>NC_000023.11:29637488-30887488 GCF_000001405.40 Homo sapiens | reverse complement strand
TGACTGATACAAATTTTATGAAAATGGAAATTTGTGTTACAAAGAAACCTTTCAGTTCTGTTGGTAATCTTGAAAGCTTTCAGTGTCCTTGGCTCCAGATAATCTCAAGGTTTTTTTTTCTTTTCAGATGCGTCCATTTTCTAGCCAGAGGTAACATTTGAGCTAGAAGTCTGCTGATCTGTAAAGAGATTCCTGATAGCTGGTAGTGACCTATCTGAAATTCAGATATTTTCAGTTACTTTGCCTCTTGTGTCAGCATGCCCAAGATACTTCAAAGAACAAATATTTTGTTTATTCTAGTCCTGAATAGTATTTCAAATTACATTATTACATGGCAACTATCTATAGGGGTTTGAATTTGCTTTATCAGCTTGGAGGTACACATACACATCCCTGCCTTCTCCAGCAAGTGGAGTACTTGACAGCTGACCCTGTTTTTCTTCTCTTTAATAATTTGATACAAAGGTTTTGGACCCTATTCATGATTTGCAGAAAAGACGGCAGCTCTTCTGGGATCCACCATAATCTGCTATGGGGCAAGGGAATGAAAGACCTTAACAGGTTCCCAGGCAGTATCTGAGGTGTTGATGAAACAGCAGGAACATCTTGCCAGTGGTCACTTTTATCTCCCACTGGTCTTTGCTGTTGCATTTCTTATGTGCTGCAGAGCCTGCTCAAGAGAAGGGCTCCACATCTGAATAGAGTTGAAGTGGAACAGCCACAGAAATCAGAAAAAAAGAGAAAAAGATACTAAATGTCTGGTAGTCATCCTCCACCAAGTCACTTAGTCAGGTTTAGCTGCCTAGTTAATTATCTCTGGCTGAAAGTTCTAGAAAAGTTTTGAAATTTGGGGTTTGCTGCTTCATCTTTTAAGAAGTACATTGTTTGGGGGCCTTCAGTTAAGTAGTCCTGTCTTCATGGAAACAGAAAAAGGAGTCTTGTGTTCCTCAGTACACATCAGTATGTGTGTGTATTATGTAGCTTTAGAGACTGTTTTAAGTAATCCCTTGGCATCTTGATGGGCAATCTGTGGTCTGAATAAGTTTTTAAATATAGTTATACTCCCAAGAAAGCGTTAAATAAAATATACTTCCTTACTTGTGAAAGTAATTACTCATGGTATTTGGGCTATTTATTAGGGCAAAAAAAAAAATCAACAAATGATAATGTAACTGAATGCTTACCAAGTAAATAAAGCCTTTCTGAAATGATTTATATTGCCACCGTATAAAGATAAAACACCAGGAAATTGCCTCATATCTACTTATAAGTTTATTTTCATACCTTCTATATGGTAAACCTCAAATTATTACCATGGCCACAAATATTTATTTCTCTAAAAGTGAAATGGACTTGATGAAATATTTGGAACTATCAAACTGAATTAATCCTAAATAAGAACATTTATTATAGTTTAATTCATGGACAGTTCTATTTGTCCAACTCTAACATCCTACTTCCCTCCCTGCTTCAAATTTCTCTACTTTCCATCCTCTCCTTCTGATGCTGTTCCTACCATTTACCTGGCACCCTTAGTTTTCCATTGACACTGAAGTCTTTGATAGGGTGGATGCTAACAAGGAAGGCACCAAAACTCCTCCAAGTCCCTTCTCCACCATCCCGTGCTCTAGGAGGTCAAGAGGGATGCGGATAAGATCTCTTACCCCACCCTGTTCTTTCTTGAAAAGGAGGATGAGAATAGCCAAGAGTGAGGGAGGCACTGTCAAGACCCTCCAATGGTTTCTCCTCTTCTTCCCTCTCCTTAAACACCAAGGAGGAAAGTTGGTAAAAGCCCACGTGCTGCAGGAACAGGCACTGTACACTCATCCTCTTCAGCAGGCCGCCATCTTCGCACTGTTTCCTCACTCCTTTCAGCTGCCATCCCCCGCTCCATCCTTCTTTCCCAGTTGGTCTTGCCTTCCTCATCCCTGGATCTCCTCCCACCCCAGCTCTGCCTTTTTGCCCTCCTTCATAGTGGAAGCCGAGGTCTGTGGTCCTAGGGAAGCTCAGACTTCCAGTTATGGGAGGGAAGATTTCCTTTTTCTACCTCCAGGGCTAAATGGGTCAGGAGTAGTTGCTGTTATCCTAAGTTGGAATGCTAAATTGATTTTCCTGTAGAAACATTGCCCACACAGGTTCTGTGTTTTGTTATACTTCTGTAACCTTTTGGACATTTAGGCTTTTGTGAGCGGGCTTGGAAACCTAGCATATTGATCATTGTCTCCTGGAAAGGCAAAGTCTGAGTTTCAAATAGATGATTTTAAAAATCAGCTTGTGCTCCAGAAATTGTTGAGGGTTGCCTGCTTTTTGTTAATTATTCACTGAAATGGTAGGTATTAATAGTACACCTTTAGCTGTCCAGAATTAGATTTATGTGGATCAGATGGCTCTTGTGGGAGATAAACTGATAGGCTTTTTAGATTGTCAATGAAGAATTTCTAAATTTAGGCACATGTTTTGAAATAAAATTTAAGTTAGTCCATCTCAGCCTAATATTGTCATTAAAGCGGACAGATCTTGCAGTTTTGTTGAAAGAGCATAGTTTTGGTTTTTCATAAAAGGAATATCTTGTTCCCACCATGAATTACTGATGATTTGAAACTTTTCAAAGGTATTGGACCTCTTGCAGTTATTTTACCCTCATTTATTTAGTGTAAACATGGGACAGTGTGTTTGTTTTACTTCAAGATTTTAAAATAAAGTGTTAGCGTGTTGAGGTTACATACTGTTACCACTGTTTGTGATGTTCAGACAATTAAGTGAGGGATATGAAGGTAATAAAAACAAAGCTAAGTACATTTTAAATTTGTTTTCCATAAATGTGTTCAGTCTTATATTGGTTGAAGGAAATACTCCTAATAAAAGGCAAGATGGTTTTTTTTTTTTTTTGGTTTCCAAACCACTCTTTCGTTTGAAAAATGACTTTCAGTAAGCACGCTGTGTTCATTTTAAGAGTTTACCAAGTTATTTAATTACACAGCGAGTGCAGAGGTTAAAAATATGATCTCGGGGTAAAATGCCCAGATGTTCAGATCTGACACTAACTAGCTCTGTGTTCGTGGGCAAATTACTTAATCTCTGACCTGTTCCCTCATTTTTGAAGGGATAATGTGGTACCTACCTCATACAAGGATTAAATGAGCCAGAGGATGTATCATATTTAAAACATGCCTAGCAATGGTGAATACTCAAAAAGAGTTAGTTCTTATTATTACGTTGTCGTCATCATTACTACTATTATTGTTATTACTTTAGCTACTTTCGAAGATGATACGCCTTCTGTTCTGGGGTGTGGGCATGAAAGATATATTTGTTTACCTGGTAGCAATTTTTTAATGCAGAGTTTATTTGAGAGGTTCAGGGAGAGAGCAGTATGTTAACTGCTGGATATATCCACAATTGGCCATAGTGCAGGAAATTCATAGAATATTAAGCTTATTTTTTTCAGTAACACCATTCCTTTTGTTAGGTATAAAGAACTATGCCTTTTTGATGTTTGAGCAAAACTAGATTATTTGAGTAATTGCAACGTCTTTATTAAAATACAGTTATCTTGGTATCTAAAGGCTAGAGTCTGTGCAGGGGGAGCCTCAATTTCTAAATGATCCATTGGTAAGACTTTTTTTTAAGCAGCACCATTTTCCCACAGAAAAATGTCACATAATAGTGTTCAGATTCCCAAGCCAGCCCAACATATCTGAATTTGAATACTGATAGTATTATAAAAACTAACTTTTATGTGTAACAGTGTCTCAGCAGGAACATGCACTGAGTACATCAAGTACTGAAAGATTATGAACACAATCTTGCAGATATGGCAGTAGGGCTATCTTCCTTTGCAGTCCTAGCAAGGACCGTCAAGCCTTGGGAAGAGAACTCTCTCCTCTGGTAGAGGCCGAGGGTAAGTAGTGGAGACTGGTCTCTAGAAGGCAGTAGCTTTTTTCTGGCTTGGCTCCTTAAAAGGCTGTATAGTATAGTGGTTAAGCGCATGGACTGTCCACTCAGAGTGCTTATCTTCAAATCTCTGTTCTATTACTTACAGAACTTCCCATCTGTAAAATGTAGGTAAAAGTAGTGCCTCCCTTATGGGGTTCTTGAGAGGATTAATGTGTTAATACGTGTGTAGTGCTTAAAATAGCATCTGACCCATGAGTGAGTGCATAAGAAGTGTTATGTATTTTTTAATTATTCAGCTTGACTGGTCTAGGATCTCTAGAATACTTTTGTCTGCTTGGCTGTCCACTGCCCACATCTTTTGCACTAAATAGGATTCTTCTCTTTCCTTTCTACTGAGGAATGGTTTCAGACTCTTCATTCCTGCCTGAAGTATTTTTTAAGGGGTTTAGGGGGGTTTATTTTATTTTTTAATGTTGGAGAAATAGCATTCTTCTGTGAACCCACTCCATTTCCCCATTTAGGCC
Source organism: Homo sapiens (assembly GCF_000001405.40). Classification (NCBI taxonomy): domain Eukaryota; kingdom Metazoa; phylum Chordata; class Mammalia; order Primates; family Hominidae; genus Homo; species Homo sapiens. Next base: position 30,883,067 of record NC_000023.11, on the reverse strand, counting down.
TTGTGTTGATGGAGATCATCATTTGAAGAAAGATATTGACTATGGGCATTTAATTGAGTCAGAATTGAGGTGCAAATTTCTCAACTTTTAGTAGTTTTTGCTAAGTCATTTCTTTTTAAATAAGCTTTTTATTTTGGAATAATTTTAGACTTACAATGAAGTTGCAAAGATTGTACAGAATTCCTATATACTCTTCATCCAAGTATATATAACCCTGGTACCTTTGTCTAAACGAAGACATTAACATTGGTACATTATTGTTAGTGAGACTGTAGATTTTACTCGATTTTACCAGAATCTCACTAATGTCCTTTTGCTGTTCCAGGATACCATGTTGCACTGAGTTGTTAAGTCATTTTTAATTATTTGTTTTTATATCATGGAGCCCTCCAGTTCTTTAGTGAATAGATTTCTGTGGTTGTAAAGCCATTTTCTGTTTTAGTTTTAAGTTTTCTGCACATACTCGAAGGCTAGGTGTTTCCTCTAGGGATGGCAAGTCCAGGGATTTATCTTGGCACTGAACTTTATAGGTTGAAATAAAAGGAGAGAGTCCTATTACTGTGGAAAGAACACTATGGTGATGGAGTGTAGGCTAAAGCATTTTTATAATTTAAAACTGTGTTTTCATGGGACTAAATGAGTTATTTTATGCACTATTCACTTTTGATGGATTTGATTTCAAAATGACAAGTCATTCTTCCTATTAAAAAAGTGTTAAGCATACTTCTTGGATATAGAAGCTAATTGAAATGAATTGGAGAATTTAATTTTTTAGTACTCATCATAGTTATGATTGATTTAATAAATTAAGTTAGTATAATTTCAGTAATTTAGAACATTTGTTTATATGCGCTTTTAGAAAATCCTTGGTTTCGATTTGTGGCAACAATCCAGTCTTTTTGTTTTTTTCAGGGATACCATATGTAACAGGTGCCATTGTTACTCTAACTTTTCACACATGCCTTCAGTTTGATGTCAAAGTCATCATTTAGTGTAAACAGCAAGTTATCTGTTAGGCTGCACATCATGAACTTTACTTTTAGAAAGTCTTATCTTTTATGCCACAGAAATAGCATTTGGCTATTAGTCATGGATGGCAAAGAAATTAATTTTGAGTTGTTTGGATAAAAATGTTTCAGTTGACTGTAGTGTGTATTGAGAGACACTGCCAGTAAACAAACTCTCTTGGTAGGTGGAAATCCCCTAGAAGTTACAGAAAATTGGGAGGAGGTGAACTTAATTAAATAACTTGAATTGTTTAGACATATTCAGAGCTTCTTATGACCTTGAAGAAATCACCCAACTTCAAAAGACCTCGGTTTCTTCATTTGTAAAATTAGGGAGTTTGACTAGATGTGTAAATCTAGTTGTTAGTTAACTTCTAAGATGTAAAAACCCTCTTGTTTAACAAAAACCTACAAGATCAAGTTGCTTATCTGAAATCTTTATGAATCAACACTAGTCACTAAGTCTAGATATAAGTCAGTTTATCAATTGGGTTCAAATAGTTTCAAACCAATATTACTGTAAGTTTGAGAGTCACTAGTTGGTTTGACACCTCTTGTATATTTTTGGTAATTAGTATATTGCTTTTTAAAATTTTGTTATCTGATTTTTGTGCTTTACCCTGAAGCAATGACCTTCAAACTTTTTTCTCATATTCCCTAAACAATTTTGAAAAATGTACTCCTTTACACTTAAAAAAAAAACAAAAAACCTCTTACTGAAGTTTAATATGCAGAAAGTACACAGAAAGTACGGTAGTGAACAACTCAGTGAATTTTCACCAACTGAGCACACTTGTGTACTAGCACCCAGATCAAGAAATTCTTACTACCTTACCCCCCTCCACCCCCATCCCTGCATATTGTCCTAACTTCTAACACCACAGATTAATTTTGCCTACTTTTGTACTTTATCTAAATGGACTCTTTTGTCTCTGACTTCTTTTATGCAACATCGTGAATTTGAGATGTATTTATATCGTATGTAGTTGTAGACTGTTCATTCTCATTACTGTATACTATTCCACTGTATGAATAGATCATTATATATTATTGTTGAGGGATATGTACGTAGATCTCAGTTTGTGGAGAATGTCTTTGTGACCTTGGAGTAGGCAAAGATTTCTTCAGCAGGACTTTTCAGGAGTAATTATTTTACAGTTTAGATTGGATAAGGAATGGGAGAACTGGTTTATTGAAATATGAGCAGTTAAATTTTTTTAAATGTTAATATGTAGTTAAAACTTGATATTCTCTAAATCTCGGGGAGAATGTTAATATTTTTAACTAAATCTTCCAGGTAACAGGTTTGTGCTTTCATGACTATTTTGGGAGGAATTTCTTCAAAAATGTGTCATGTACTTCTTTGTCTTTTTGACTTGCCGATTTGTAGGAGTTTTTTACTATATGCTGGAAATGAGCCCTTGCTGGTTGTAAATATCTTCTCCCACTGTGTGGCATGCTTTTTCTATTTCATGGTATTCTCATAAGATTACCTCCAAGGTATTCTCTCATCTTCTAGAAGCTTTGTTGTTTTGGCTTTCACATATAGATCTAGCATATACCTGAAATTGATTTTTGTATTTTGTGTGAGGTAGGGGATAATACCGTCTTTTCCTATATGGATAGCTAATTTTCCCAGCACACCATTTCCCTGCTATTGTCAGGAATCAAGTGTCCATATATCTGTGGTTCTGTTTCTGTGCTTTCTGTTCTGTTCCTTTGGTCTGTTTGTCTCTACTTGTACTGATGCCACATTGTCTTGTTTATTATAGTTTTATCATAAAACTTGATATCTAGTAGAACAAGTTCTTCCACATTGTCCTTCGAAAGCATCTTCGCTATTCTTGGCCCTTTGCACATTTCTTTGATTTTAATATCATCTTGTCATTTTCCACACACACCCACAAAACCTGTTGCTACTCTGATTGGAACTGCATGGCATCTAGAGAGCAATTTGGGAAGAATTGACATCTTTATCATTTTCTAATTCATGAACATGATACACTACGCCATTTATTTAGGTCTTTAATTTCTTTCAGTAATGGTTGTGATTTTCTCCGGAAGATTGTTCACAACTTTTGAGAGTTTTATTTGTAGATATTTGATATTTTTTGATATTGTAAATGTTTATAGCCATTATTTTGTTTGTTTATATCTTTATATTGACCTTGTATCTAATAATTTTGCTCAACTTTTAGTCATATATCTTTAGAGTATGTATTTGATCTTTTACTATGTATTCAGTCTTCTTATCTGCAAATAAAGTCTTGTTTCTTCCTTTCGAAATGTTATACTTTTGTTTCTTATCTTACTGTACTGGCTAGTATTTCGATTATAATGCAGAATAGAAGTAGTAATAGTGGCGCTATTGTCTTTTTTCCTTTCTTGAAAGGAAAACTTTGAACATTTCTCCATTAAATATGATGTTTACTTTAATTTTTTTCTAGCTATCATCAGATTAAGGAAGTTTCATTCTGTCCTTAGTTTATTAGGAGCTTACATCATGAATAGATACTGGATTTTATCAAATGTTTTTCCTATTGTTAATATAACCATAGGATATTCCTCAAGTCAAATTATATTGATTGATTTCCTAATGCTAAATAAACTGCATTCCAGAAATAAACCTAGCATGGTCAACATCACATTTTCCTCTAATTTTACTTTGGAATTTTAGATCTTTGTTCGTGAGTGGGATTGGCCTGAAATTTTGTTTTTCTTGTACTGTCCTTGTCAGGCTTTAGTAGCCTTGTAAAATGAGCTAAGGAAGATACCTGCTTTTTGATTCTCTGGAAGAGTTTAGGTTAAGTTTGGTTTTATTTTTTCTTTAAATGCATGATAGATTTTAGCAGTGAAGCCATTTAGGCCTAGAATTTTCTTTGTGGGAAAGCTTTTAATTACAGATGCAGTTTTAAAAATACTAATAGTATTCTTCAAGTGTTTCTATTTTGTTAATATCTGCTTTTATATTCAGTATATTTTATATACCTTTTTAGGAATTATTTTGCTCTTTTTCTTTCTAACTTCTTGAGATGGGTAGGTAGGTGTTTATACCCTTGTTTCCTTCCTGACATACATATTTAAAGCTATACATTTCATTTTCAAGTATTGCTTTACCTGCATCCCATCATTTTTGAGATGTAATATTTTCATTATTTCACAATATTTTAAAATTCCCACTGTAATTTCTTTTTTGATCCATGGGTTTTTTAAAAGTATATTTCTTAATTTCCAGTAATATGAGAATTTTCTAACTGTGTATTTTTTGTATTTTGTTTCTGGCTTTAACACATTTTCCTTAGAGAACTTTGAGTGATTTCAATCTTTTAAAATGCCCTGAGACTTACTTTATGGCTTAGCATGTGGTCAGTTTTTGCAAATATGTAAGCACTTGAAAAGCATATATTCTGCAGTTACTGGACACAGCATTCTATATATGTCCATTGATCAAGTTTGGTAATTGTATCGTATCTCTGTCCCTACCAACTTTTTTGGTCTGCTTATTCTTTTAACTACTGAGAGAGATATCTTTCTTTCTTTCTTTTTTTTTTTTTTTTTTGAGATGGAGTCTTGCCCTGTTGCCCAGGCTGGAGTGTGCAGTGGTGCGATCTCAGCTCATTGCAACCCCTGCCTCCCAGATTCAAGCAATTCTCCTGCCTCAGCCTCCCATGTAACTGGGGCTACAGGCACGTGCCACCACACCTGGCTAATTTTTGTAATTTTTGTATTTTTAGTAGAGACGGGGTTTCACCATGTTGACCAGACTGGTCTCGAACTCCTGACCTCAAGTGATTCACCTGCCTCGGCCTCCCAAAGTGCTGGGATTACAGGCATGAGCCACCACACCCAGCCAAGAGGTGTCTTAATATTTGCCCCTGAGATACTAATGCATGTCTCATTCTCCTAGAAGTTTTGTCAACCTTTGCTTTATATATAATTTGAGTCCATGTTATCAACTGCATACAAATTTAGTTCGTTATATTGTTCTGGTGAATTAAGCATTTTATGACTATGAAGGGACTCTTTTTAACTCTAGTGATCCTTTTTCTTTGATTCTATTTTGTCTGAAATTAATACAGCAATACCATCTTTAATAGAGCAATACCATCTTTATTTTAGCTAATGTTTGCATGATATGTGTTTATCCTTTTACTTTTAACCTTTCTGTATTCTTATGTTTTAGATGGGGCTCTTGAAAGCAACATATAGTTGTAGATTTTTTTTAACCCAATCTGATAATCATTCTTTTTTGAAACATTTGATTCATTTATACTTAATATAATTATTGACATTTTGGGGTTAAGTACAGCATTGCATTTTTATTCTACTAGCTCTGTATTTCTTTTTCCCCTTGTCTTTTTCTTTTATTTGACTATTTTTATATCATTTTTCCTTTATTACTTCAGACATCACTTATTCATTTTTATTCTTTTTGTGATTACCCTAGCATTTATAGCATGTATTCTTCACTTATCAAAGTCTAGTGTTAATTGATACTTCTACCTTCCTCCTAGTTGAAGCAAGAATATTAAAGCACCTTAGTTCCATTTACCTACCTTGTGACATACATATTGTTGTCCTGTAATTTAATTTTCTGTATGTATTTTAAACCTTACAAGACATTATTTTATACAGTCAATATTCCTTTAGATTTCACGTGCTTATTTGAACTTCATGGGTCTTCATTCCTTTCTCTATCTGTGACCTTCCATCTTGAGGCAGTTTTCTTTTGCTTCATTCTTAGTGAGGGTTTGCTGGAGATGAACTCTGTTTTTATTTGTCTGAGCCTGTATTTTAATTTTTTTCTTGAAGGATATTTTCTCCTCAGTGGAATACTAGGTTGGCAGTTGTTTTCTTCATGCTTCTTGGAGATACACAGTCTTTTAGCTGCCATTTTTGTTGTTGAAAATTAAGCTATCAATCTAACTGTTGCTTCTTTGAAAGTAATCTCCCCACCTCTGCCCCTGCTGCCCCTCCATCAGGATGCTTTAAAACTTTCCTTTGTCTGGTAGGAATTCATTGAGATTGTTACACATGTGGTTTGACAGGTTTCATCATTTTTGGAACATTTATTCAAATATTGCCTCTGCCCCATTCTGTCTCTTTTCCTTCTGGGATTCTGATTAACTCTTGGATATTAGACCTTTCTCACTGTATCTTCCATGTTTCTTACCCTCTCTTCATTCTGAGCGTTTTATTTTCCCCCGACCTATCTTTTGGTTCACTGTCTCAACGGTGTCTATTGGCTGTTAGACCTGTTTATTGAATTCTTAGTTTCGGTTTTTGCATTTCTCAGTAATAAAATTATTCTTTGCTTCTTTTAAAAATCTGCTGTGTAGCCCGGACAACATGGCAAAACCCCATCTCTACAAAAAAAAAATACAGAAATTAGCTGGGCATGCTGGTGCATGCCTATAGTCTCAGCTACTCAGGAGACTGAGGTGGGAAGATCACCTGAGCCCCAGAGGTCAAGGCTGCAGTGAGCCGTGATCACGCCACCGCATTCCAGCCTGGGTGACAGAGCGAGACCCGGTCTCAAAAACACCCAAATTCTGCTGTGTCACATTTTATGATTTCTAGGTCATTGCTGAGATTTTTAAGTTTGGCTTTCATCTCCTTGAACATAGCAAGCATAATTTAAAATCCATGTCTGATAATTCCAATACTTGGAGTCCTTCTGAGTCTCTTCTGGTCATCTTATTATGTTTCCTCGTGTGCCTGATTGTCTTTAATTGCATGCTGGGCATTGTATTTGAAAAATTATTTGAAAAATCATTTGAAACCAAGGATGATAGTTTTTCAGAAAGGAGTGTATGTGTGTGTGTGTACATCTGCTTAAGGGAATCCAGAAAATCCAGAGTTGCTTAATCAAATCTCAGCTTTAGAGACCTTCCTGGGCCAACCAGATGACTCAAGGCCACATCACATTCAGTGTGTGAACTGATTCATTGCGATTCACCCTTATTTCTAAGTTGCAGCCCTTCAGGGTCCCAACCCGAAAGTGGGTGAAGAGGATTTTCCCTTTTGTCCTTCTGTTTTGGCTCTTTGACACTTTTAAGAAAGGCATTTCTTATATTTTGACCAACCCTATTCCTTGCCTTCAGATAGGGAGGTGCTTTGTTCGCTCTTTATGGGCAGGATTTTCTTAGAAGTGGCAAAGACTGTCATTTTCTCTAAGACTTCAGACTCAGCCCTAGTTCTGTTTAAGCTTTGTTTTATATAGCTGTACTCACTTGTATAATTATATACATTTTTAATTGAAAGGTTACATTGTATGTGCGTAAATATAAGTAAATTGTTTCCTGAACACTCAGCAATATTTTAAGTCTCTTCAACCTTGGTCAATTGCTAGACCTTGACAATGGACAGGTTTATTTAAATTTCAGCTACGTCTGGAATGACTCAAAAGATGAAATCCCTCTTAATTGCTATTGAAATTAGGATGCATAATATCAACTAAAATTTTTTCCTCTCATGGAAGAGAATACTTTCCTAGTTACACTTTTGCAATCACATCTTCTGTCTTAGCATACTTATATGTAGGTATAATATATATCTGCCCTTGTGAAATAGGAAAAAAAAAAAAGGCAGTTCTGCTGAGATTCCTAGATTTCTGCCATATGAGAACCCTCAAACAACCTAATCAATGAACATTGTGCTTTACAAACTTTTTTCCTTCTATGTAAATTAATAACCCACAGCAGCCTTGTGAGGTAAGTATATGATAGGTGTGATATTAAGCAAAGGATTAGGAAACTGGGCCTAAGAGGTTAAGTAACTCGTCTGTCGTCCCACACCTGGTGAATGGCATATGTTCTTTGTCTGTTAATATTACAGCATTGTGTTTCAGCTATAATGGCCAGGTAACTCTTGCCTGCATATGCTCACTGACTTCCCAGTTTTATCATATTATGCTTTCTTCTTTCTGTAAGTCATATAATATCCTGACCCCATGACTCATGTCCTGAAGATTGAGACAATTGGGAGATTACTCCTTCATATCTCATCCTCACCGCCTCCCACCCCATTTCTAGAACATGGTACCACCAGCTCTGGAATTTGCCAACCTCTCTGCCCTGTTAGAAAGCTTGCTGTGTCACTAGTCCTTTCTCATCCCTACACATACAGTCCCTTTCTCTCTTTTTAGACATGTCTCAATTTTTCCAGTTCTAAAAGAGATGCGTCTTTGCTTTCCAGTTCATTTACCGTCTTTCTTGGCACTCAGGGCTTCCTTTGTTGCTTCTCCAGTCACTCTTGATGAAATCCTAGCCAGTCTTGTTTGCCTTATCCTTCTGAATCTTAAGAAGGGCAAAAAGCTTATCTGCCTTGTACTTCTTTTCCAGCAATAGAGTCAATGCTCCTATACTTCTAGTGATTCTGCTTCTGAACCGCCCTCATATCTCATTTTCAAATCATTGTTTTCAGCATCCAGCAACATCCTTGCTACTCACTTGTAATGATAGCCTTGAACAATTATTTTACGTTAGGCCTGTGAATGTCAAATACCCTTGTTTATTTGTAGGTACTTGACATTTGAACGTTTTATTTGAACATTTCTAAATGTACACAAATGAAAGGTCCAATGAACCTCTGATGCTACAGTTACATACGTTTTACCATACTAGTTTCATCTCCTTACTCCTCTTTTTTCCAAGAATTAAGGCATAGCCAAGACATAATTTCACTCCCCAATAATTTAACATCTCTAAAACAACACATTTTCTTACATAGCTACAATGTTATTATCTTATACAGCACATACAATACAGTTCTTAATAGCACATATAATACAGTTGACCCATGAACAAAGCCGAAGTTAGGAGTGCTGACTGCCTGCAGAGTCAAAAATCCACCTGAACTTTTGTTGTTGTTGTTGTTATTGTTGTTTTGAGACAGGGTCTCACTCTGTCCCCCAGGCTAGAGTGCAGTGGCATGATCATGGTTCACTGCAGCCTCAATCCCCTGGGCTCAAGTGATCCTTCCACCTCAGCTTCCTGAGTAGCTGGGACCATGAGCATGCACCACCACACCTACTTTTTTATATTGTTTTGTGGAGATAGGGTCTCCTCATGTTGCCCAGGCCAGTCTTGAACTCCTGGGATCAAGGGATCCTCCCGCCTTGCCTTCCCAAAGTACTAGGATTACAGGCGTGAGCTACTGTGCCCAGCCAATGTGCCACTTTTGACTCCCCCAGAACTTAACTAGTAATAGCCTACTGTTGAACAGAAGCCTTATCAGTAATATAAACAATTAACACATATTTTGTATGTTACATATATTACTGTATTCTTACAATAAAGTAAGCTAGAGAAAAGAAAATGTTAAAATCATAGAAAAATATATTTACTACTCATTAAGTGGAAGTAGATCATCATAAAGGTCTTCATCGTTGTCATCTTCATGTTGAAGAGGCTGAGGAGGTGGAGGAAGAGGTGGGGTTGGTCTTGCTGTCTCAGGCATGGCAGAGGCAGAAAAAGGGGAGGAGGTGGAAGGAGAGGCAGGCACACTTGATGTAACTTTTTTTTTTTTTTTTTTTGAGACGGAGTCTCGTTCTGTCGCCCAGGCGGGAGTGCTGTGGCGCGATCTCCGCTCACTGCAAGCTCCGCCTCCCGGGTTCACGCCATTCTCCTGCCTCAGCCTCCCGAGTAGCTGGGACTACAGGCGCCCGCCACTGCGCCCGGCTAATTTTTTGTATTTTTAGTAGAGACGGGGTTTCACCGTGGTCTCGATCTCCTGACCTCGTGATCCGCCCGCCTCGGCCTCCCAAAGTGCTGGGATTACAGGCGTGAGCCACCGCGCCCGGCCGTAACTTTTTATTTTATTGAAAAAAATCCACATATAAGTAGACCCACATAATTCAAACCTGTGCTGTTCAAGGGTCACCTGTACTTAGTCCATCCTTAAATTTCCCTAATTGTCTAAAAAAAATTCGTTTTTTGATAGTTGGTTTGTTTGCAACAGGATCTACTCATTGTATTTGGTTATACCCCTTAAGTCTCTTAATTCTCTTATAATGTATAACAATCCTCTCTGCTTTTTTTCATCCTCAGACTATGCCATTCTGGTGAGATATTGTTTAACTTGTTTCTTTATCCTCTTACTTCATATGGACCGGAAATTAGATCTATATGCTTAATTAGGTTCATAATATATTTTCTTGGAGGGGTGGGCAAGAGTGCTTGTGGTCACTTCATATTACATCACATCTGGAGGCACATATCATCTGGTCATTTCACCTTAAGTGTTGTGAAGATTCATCAGAGGGTTCAAGTGGTGACAGCTTGATCCCTTTGTGAAGCCCAACCTTTTACTTAATGCTGTTAGCATCCATTGATTACTGGTGCATGAATTAGTTATGTAATTAAAGGTTGCAAAATTGTGATTGTTCAATTTGGTCACTTCTGCTATTATTAGCTGAAATATTTATATATGGACAAACTGCTTTCTCATTCACAAGAGCTATTTGGTTAACCTGAAATATGTAGTCATTTATTGAATTGTTAAATGTATAACTCTATTATTTTACTAAGGCTTATGATAAAGTGATTCTTGAAGAAGTTAAAGCTATTCCTGAATGTTAGATTAGTAATTTTTGTGGGTTGGGTCATGGGGAAGGTCTTCCAATCCTGAGCGAACAGTTCTAATCCTATTGAGAAAAGGTAGGGTGGCAGGGAAAAACAAACAAAAAAACAGAAGAAAAGATTGTATACTCTCTTCATTATTGTGGGCTTGCAGTGCGGGTGTGGTGCTTACTTGGGGTATGGGAATTTTAAAAAGTTCCTCTACTTTACCAGAGACTACATCAGACTCACCACGGAGTCCTTTAAATTTTAAAGACCTATGGCCCTAAAAGGGCCTCAGCACAGTTTTGCAATCAAGTTCATTAAATTTTAATGACTAGTACATCTTGGGAAGCTGCAGGGACTCCTGATGGTTTTCCAGGGATGCAGCTAAAGCTCCTCTTGCTAGCTTTCTCCGAAGCTAAAATCTCAGGAAAGCTTCATTTGTCCCCTCTGCTGTTGTAAAGCTCTACCTTAGGCACTCGAGGTGATGAGAGAGGAGCAGGCTGGCTCAGGCAGTCAGGAAAACTTTCTCTTAGTATCAATTAAACATAAGTTTCATTCACTGAAATTTCATGTAGTAAAATGGCTGCCTGCTTTTTCATGACCTTTTATTCATACACTATATCACTTGCTCATACTGTTGTATTTAAAGCTTTCACAGTTTGAATCTTACCTCATTAGCCTTTTATTTTTCAGGACACTGTCTTCAGCCTTTTCTTCAAGTTTTTGACCGTGGATTGTGTTGTGTCAAACTGGATGAATTATCTTAGTTGAATTTTCACCAGTTGAAAAATTGGAGGTAAGGAGTATATTTCTTTTTTGAAAATGAATCTATATTACTGTTAACATGTTTACACCCTCCCCTCCATTTATATTCTGTGTCCTTTGTGCACTTAAGAGCAAGGATGACAAAATAAAAGATGTCCAAGTGATTTCATGTGTTTAGATTTAGGCCCTAAGAGCAGCAGCTGCTACTGCTACTACTAGTACTAGTACTACTACTACTGCTAGTGGGAGTTACAAGTTCTTTGGACAATTCATTTGCTATTAGAAACCTCACCAGAAAATAGAAGGGTAATTTAGCAGTTTATTTTGAATAAAAGGGGCTAATCCTACTCAGGTGCCAGATCCCCAGCACTGGAGCTGGTGGAGATTGAAAGATCTGCCCCCAAGAAATAACTAGATGTGTGTGGGATATACGAATCTTCCAACTTCCTAGTTTTTGTAATTTTTCTTATTCTCAAATCCATGTTAAATAACTGAATTAAGCAGATGGTAAATACAGTATTATGAACAAATAAGGGTATAATTTTGTTAGTGGTATTGTAACCATAATTCTTGCTTTGAACCATTGGTAGATCTGTATCAGGAAAGACTACATAACAATATCAGCCGTGATTTCTACATAGTTTATCTTTCTACCTTATGAAAATGTTCCCACTTTTTATAACATCTGTTTCCTAGTATCCAGCATGGGTATGTGCTGTGAATTAAATACTTAGGCAAGATGTTGTGACACCCGTTTAATAATCTTGGCTTTTAACAAGTTTTAAAATCCCTCCAGCCTTCAGTTATCTTCTTGTGTGAAATGTTTGTATTTGGGTTGAGTTCAGGGTTTCGCAGATTTGGCACTATTGGCATCTTGGGCTGGATAATTTTCTGTTGTCAGGGGCTGTCCTGTGCAGTGTAGGATGTTTAGCAGCATCTCTGGACTCTGCCTGTCAGATGTCAGTGGCACCTTTCCTCAGTATGACAACCAAAAATATCTTCAGACGTTGCCAAATGTCCCTTGCAGGGAAAAGTCACCCCTGGTTGGGAACTACTGGGTTAGATGATGTGGAGTTTCTTCCAGCTTTATAATTCTATTGTTTTTATTTTAAACAAAAAACCTATTTTTTGTAATCCAGCTTAAATGTCATCTCTTCCCTGAAGCTTTCCTCAGCTCTCCTTCTCTTTGTTCTACCTTCATTGTTTCTTTTTCTGACTACTTATTATAGAACTCAACCCCACTCTATTATAACTGCCAGTGTTTCTCTCACTACGAGGACATGGGTCTTCTGTATCGCCAAGCTTAGATTTTATTAAATGAGTGGGCAATGGGTTAGAAATTGTTTAGTTAATGATTATAAATAGCATTTCTGTTAATCTTTCAAACTCTTCCACTAGGAAATTCCCATAGTTGTGATCTTGGATTTCAGGGTTAATGAGACTGATTATTCATTTTTTAAAAAAATCTTTTAAATATATTAGAAGGCAGGAGCCTCCTATAGGTACGTGAGGATGCTACATGAACACATCTAGGCTGCACTTGAGAGAAATCACACAGAAATTCATAACGTGAAGAGTTAAGTCATTTCAACTGTCATATCCAGAGGGTTTCTCCAGTACTTCCATTTTGCTTCTTAATCAGCAAGCTTCCATCTATTTAGAAGAAGGTAACAAGGAAAGTAGTAATATTTTTCCTTGTATAACTTAAAATATATCACCATATTTGAAGTCACTATTTCTCAAACCCACAGTAAGAAATACATTTTAATCGTGATCTAGTACATACGCACATACCTGAAACAAGTTTTTTGAATGAGTATTTGCCATTACTGTGTGTGAAACACTTCGATATTTTCTGTTATTTCTTTTTCTTTTCCCCTTATAGTCATCACGTAGTACATTTGTTATACAATACATTAATAAATCAAAACCCACCATTTGAAAAACACTGTTCTAAGTAATCTCTTTAAGTAATAAAATGTGCAGATGATCTGCTTCTGGCATATGTCACCAATAGGTTGTTCTATCTTTCTTTTAAAATAACGTCATTTAGGAATTGATGCAACCAAGACCTTAAAACACCTTGACCAGAGCAAATTAGATTTCCAGTTATTTTCAAGGCCTATGTTTTGTCATTTATATGGAATATTTAGTGTGTACAAGGCACTGTAGCCAAAAGAGCATGTTTGATTCTTGTTCTCAAGATTTATAGTGAAAAATCCTAGAGGAGAATAAAAAGTTAATATACTAAGTGCTGAAAGTGATAATCAACACACAGTGACTTTTATAGGCATTTATGAAAGGGAGAAAACTTTGTAGGCATTTAGGAGGGGGTTAACATAAATGTGGGATGGCAAAAAACAAACAAAAGGCTGGGCGCAGTGGCTCACACCTGTAATCCCAGCACTTTGGGAGGCCAAGGTGGGCAGATCTCCTGAGGTCAGGAGTTTAAGACCAGCCTGGCCAAAATGGTGAAACCCCATCTCTACAAAAATACAAAAATTAGCCAGGCATGATGGAGGGTGCCTGTAATCCCAGCCACTCAGGAGGCTGAGGCAGGAGAATCGCTTGAACCCAGGAGGCGGAGGTTGCAGTAAGCTGAGATCGTGCCATTGCACTCCAGCCTGGGTGACAGAGCAAAACTCCATCTCAAAAAAAAAAAAAATGTGGGGTGGATTTCGCATTGTTGTATCAGAAAGTAGAAAAAAGTATTACACATGGTAGAAACAGCATTTATGTCAGTGCACAGTGCTTCTTGCTCATACTTGAAGTTAGTTTTTTTTTTTTTGGATAATCAAAGTAACTGAGAAATTAAAAAATAAGAAAGTTTGGTAAACTGCAAAATTAAATGTATGATATAAACACAGGGTATGTTATTTTAGCTCTACTGTGGTTGTAAAATGAAGTTGACTCAGGAGATCAATTAGAAACTTGTATGTATGATAGCTCTGATAAAAGCCAATATATGCCCTAAAATGATAATATTAACATTGAATTACTAGGTTTACTGAGAATGCGGATAATCTCTAAATGGGGAGAGAGAGTGCTCATCTGTCAAAATAAGTGAATAAGGTTACAATTCTCTCTCTCTCTGTCTCTCCCCCCCACGCGCTCTCTCTCTCTCTCTCTCTCTCTCTCTCTCTATATATATATATATATATAAGCTATATATATATATATATATATATATAAGCTATATATATATATATATAAGCTATATATATATATATAAGCTATATATATATATAAGCTATATATATAAGCTATATATATATATAAGCTATATATATAAGCTATATATATATATAAGCTATATATATATAAGCTATATATATATATATAAGCTATATATATATAAGCTATATATATATATATAAGCTATATATATAAAAGCTTATATATATATATATATAAGCTATATATATATATAGCTTTTCACTAAACAGAACTAAACAGAAAACAGGGTTTATAATAGAGGTAGCATTTTTCAAAAAGTTATACACACTTTGTGCTATGCAATTAAAAATCATATAGGCCAGGTGTGGTGGCTCACACCTGTAATCCCAACACTTTGGGAGGCCCAGGTGGGTGGATCACTTGAGCCCAGGAGTTTGAGACCAGCTTGGGCAATATGGTGAAACCCCGTCTCTATGAAAAATAAAAAAATTAGCCAGGTATGGTGGTGCACACCTATAGTCCCAGCTACTTGGGCAGCTGAGATGGGAGGATCACTTGAGCCTGGGAGGTTGAGGCTGCAGTGAGCCGTGAGTTTGCCACTATACTCTAGCCTGTCTCAAAAAAAAAAAAAAAAATTATATGCATGCTTCATAGGCCTGGGCTTAATCCTCTCTTTTCTAAATAGAATGGAGGCTCAGGATGCTAAGTCAGAACCAGGTGTTGACTTAAGAAAATAAGCAGTGGACTTGTTTTTCTTTTTGAACTTCTGCTCTCTTCTGTGGGATAATGTAGAATTTAGTTGCTGTAGAAGATATTTCTGACCTAAAAGAAAAGAAGATTCAGTTTGTAAGGATACTTGGGAAAGAGCCAACCTGCCCTGAAAGTGTGGTCTAGCATCCTGTCTGCTGTTACTTTGAGGCACCAGAAGTCTACTAGTTTTTTGTTATTTTCCATATTGAGTTGGGAAGTTAGCAAAAAGATAACCATCTTTTCGTTTTCTCAGATTTCTAGACTACTGAAAAGAAGTTGCTTTCAGAGCTGGAGATGTGAATAAAATTTCTGTGCCAGGGTTGATAAACCATCTTGAGGTATTTTTTTTTCTAATTTTAAATAACTCTATTTTTTAAAACAGTTTTAGTTTTACAGAAAAATTGAGAAGATGGTACAGGGAGTCCCCATATACCCTGCACTCAGTTTCCCCTATTATTAACAGCTTACATTAGCATGGTACGTTTGTTACAATTAGTGAACCAATATTGAAACATGATTATTAACTGAAGTCTATATTCAGATTTCCTTAACTTTTACTGAACATGTTTTTTTTCCTCTTTCAGGATTCCATCCAGGAAACCCCATCACAGTTGGTTGTTATGTCTCCTTAGACTCCTCTTGGCTGTGACAGTTTCTCAGACTTTTGTTCTTGAGGAGTACTGATCAGGTATTTTGTAGACTATCACTCAATTGGGATGTGTCAGATGGTTTTCTCATGGGTAGAATGGGGTTATGGGTTTTAAGGAGGAAGACCACAAAGGTAAAGTGCCATTCTCACATTCTCATCACATCATACAAACAGTCCATACTATCAACGTGACTTATCACTGTTGATGTTGACCTTGATCACCTGGCTGAGAACGTGTTTGTCAGGTTTCTTCACTGTAATCTTTTTTTTTTTTTTTTTTTTTAAACACCCCTTTCCTGTATTGTGCTCTTTGGAAAGCAGTCACCATGTGCATTCCACACTTAAGAGGTGGGAGGTTATGCTCCACCTCCTTGAGGTGAATTATCTATGTAAATTGTTTGGGATTTTCTGCATGGGAGGCTCCCCCCACCCCTCATTTATCATTCATTCATTTATTCAGTCATTTCTTTATCTCAGTATGGGCTCATGGCTATTTATTTTATACGTTGGATCATAATATAATACTACTTTATTTATTTTGGTGTTCAAATTTTTCCAGCTTTGACCATTGGGAGCTCCTTCAGTTGGCTCCTGTGTCATTTCGACATGCCCTCATCATCATGGGATTTTGATTTTTTAGTACTTCCTTACTTTCTGGTACTACAAGATGCTCCAGGCTCATCCTATATATTCCCTGCCCCAGTTTTAGAATCATCCATTTCTCCACAGGGCCTTGGTTCCCTTTATTAAAGAGAGAATGCAATTAGAAATCAAGAACTGGGTGCTGGGTGTGCTCATTGCTACTGGGGTATTGTTGCCTCTATGTCCTCTCAGCTGAAATTTCCGTGTATATAGTCTATATATTTATGCATATTTATAAATATTTTTATGTATAATTTTAATGTGGCAGCTAACATATTCTTTGTGGGGGGTGTTAAGTTTAAATTAAATATGAATCTATCGTTTCTGGAGGCCATATTTAAATTGAAAATGTTTTTGTGGATTATTTTAATATTATTTCAGTCTCATAGTATATCTCTTGAGACTTACAGAATATGAGATAGATGCAGTGAATATGTGACTATTTCAAAATGGTCTCTACTGTAATAAAAATCCTATAGGATGACTGTTTCATAAATTATTTAGAAGGCTTATTTAGGGGAAATAATAACTATCGTATTCCTCTCCCCCTTGTTATTTGGTAGCACCTTTACATATATGCATGAAAAATCCTGAAAATGGAACTCTTATCTCTGCCAGTAAAAGACCATTTGTTATGCCTCAATATCAGCCACTTTTTGTTACTGTTTAACTTGAAGAATTCACACTGTAGTACAAAAACTCTTCTGTTTTAAAAGCAAGGTTTGCTTTAAACTGTTGTTAAGAGTTATGACATCATCAGAGTCTTACCAGGTAGCCAGTAGTACAGAAGAATAATGGTTAAGAGCATAACCTTAAATTTGTATCCTAGCTTTGCTACTGGTTGACTGTGTAACCACAGGCAATTTATTTGCCCTCTCTGAACTTCAAGTTTCCTTATTTGTAAAACGTGGATGATAATATTACCTCTCTCATGGAAGTATTTTAGGGATTAAATGAGGTAAAGCACTTAGCACAGTACTTGATACTCAGATACGGCTCAGTAAATATGATCTAAAATCAAAACCTCCAAAGCAGCAAAAAAATAGATGAAAGTTTGAAAGCTTTATACTCATATACATACTGTGTTTTGTTCAACAATTATTACTGGACCAGACCAACCAGAAAAATTAATGATTCTTTTATTTTGCAATCCTAAAAGTTCTCTCAAGACAAGGCTAACTTTTCTTCAAACCTGGGAAATGCTCACTCACCTCATTACCTTAATATGCTAGCAGTGGCTGTCAGCCCAAGAAAGTATTGCCTCTCTAGAGGCCACTTGGGGGTGCTACTGAGATTTTATGGGCGGGGCCAGAATGCTAAATACCTTTCATTGCCTGGGATAGTCTTGCATGACGAGGAATTCTTGTGCTCCAAAATTATTGCATCAATAGTATGCCGTTGAGACACACTAGAGTACACTGATACTTACCATTGTATCTTTAAACCTTTCTGCAGAACACATTTCAGGTGTCACAAACCCAGCAGGTATCTAGATGAGTGAAGCAAGGCCAGGCTGCAGTGTTTGGAATCAGCTACGGAGTATAGGAACTAGGCAAACTGTCCTTCCTAAAAGGGGAGTGGTGCCTTAGTTTCAGCCAGTTGTTGCCTGCAGTTGCTAGATCACGTGATTTTTCAGAGAAAAGCTAGATATGTACATTTTTATGTGATGTCTCCCAGTTTTAAATGTAGCTCAACTTTAAAAAAAAAACACACACACACACACACTGTGATGGCCAAACCAGGCAGATCTGTGGGCTGAATTCATTCCACAGACCATTGGTTTGCAACCTCTGATATAACTGTTTCAGGAAGTGACCTAAAATTCTGACAGAGGTAAAACACTCTGGGCCATAATGGCACCACCCTGTTTATTTGCTGAGCTCAGGAAAAACTGTGGAAACAAAGCACTAGATGTCGACATCATTTTCTAGAGTGTGGGGAATTGTGGCATTAGAGCAGAGCTCTGGGGGAGCTTCCTCTCTGATTGGGAGGAGCAATTCTGTTGGGAGACATCCTAGCAATTGATTTTTCAGGAACAGAAACCACTGTGCCTTGTGTTACCAGCAGTCTTGAATTAGGGAGGTGGCTGCACCACTGAAGGAAGCCTCTGATTCCACTGCTAAGCATAGCATCTGGGCCCCATAGTCTGTCTTGCCTTTAAGAAAAGAATCCTCACAAAGCTGACATGCAATAAAGGCTTAAAACTCTGCAGAATCTCTTGGTTCATGTGGCCCCTGAACTGTGTGATGATCATAGGGTTTATGTCTTTAGTGTTTCTTCTTTCTTGATCTAGGGTTACCGCCTACACAGCTCCACAATCCACAGCTGTGGCCATCTGGACTTTAGTGGGGGTGTTTCAAGGGTGTCCCAGGAGTTTGGTCATGCCTGAGCCTAGCCTGTACAGCTTAGATACTGCTTGAGTCCTCTGTCTGGCTTTAAAGTGACAAATCATCATTCAGCACTTATTGTATAAAAAATAGCCCATTATAATGTTAAGAAACAAACTCAATGTGTATTTTGCTTAGTAGTTGTTGCCTACATTGATATATTTGGACAAGAATAGATTATATGCTTTGATCTGCATGGTAGCCACATCTATAATATGACACTATATGACAGTGTTTTCATTTTGTTTCTATTGGATTAAATACAAAAGTACAGCATAATACTTTACTGTAAAACTTTGTGTTTTTAAAGGAAACTGACTATATTAGGCCATTCTTATGTCACTGTAAAGAAACACCTGAGGCAGGGTAATTTATAAAGAAAAGAGGTTTAATTGGCTCAGGATTCTACAGGCTGCATAAGCATGGCACCAATATCTGCCCAGCTTCTGGTGAGAGCCTCAGGAAGCTTACAATCATGGCAGATGGTGAAGCAAGAGCAGGCATGTAATATGGCAAAAGCGGGAGCAAGGCGGGTGAGGGAGAGGTCCTAGAGTTTTAAACAATCAGATCTTGAGTGAATGGAACAAGGACTCACCTAGGATGGTGCTTAACCATTTACAAGGGCTCTGCCCCTATCATCCAGTCACCTCCCATCAGGCCCCAACTCCAACATTGGGAATCACATTTCAACATGAGATTTGGAGGGGACAAACATCCAAACTGTATCATTGACTTAATTTATTGGCTGGAATATTTTCTGTTTGTAAACAGAAAGCCTCCCAGTGAACAAAATGGAAGTTGCTTTTTTAAAGTATTTTAACATGATATAGTTATCAAAAAATTAAGTTTGAGAGTGTTATATATTACTGTGAAATACTAAATGATTATTCATGTCAGTTAGCGCTGATGTGAGTGAATGTTTGTACAGGGCAGAGTGCTAACCACTATTAAGATTACATACATAATCCCTTAAGAAGGATATGTGTTTACCAGTTTAGATTCCTATTTGTTGTGAAAAGTCAGTCTACTATTAATCATCTTTTCAGATGGTAGCCATTTTTGTAAGCTGTTGGCTTCCATTTGAAAGATGCTTTAACATGTTTCTTCAAAGGAAAGTATTTATAACCATTTTTTAAAAAGGCATTTTCTTCTTGTGTGTTTAAACAGCTAACTTATTTGTACAAGAATTATTTTTTCCTTCCCTCTCAGTCTTCCACCTCACCACACACCTTTAGCTCCCTATGTGAATGATAAACTTAATGAGGGTTTGCTCCTTAGCCAGTCAAAGAAAGGCACTCATCATTAGAAATGTCTCTGATACCTACTAGTGACACAGTGGAAAGAACACAGACTTTGGAGCAGGCAGGCGTGGATTTGAGTCATGATTCTGCCATATGTTCATTCTTTGAGTTCATTTTCTTATTTGTAAAATGGAGATAATCATAACTACCTTTGAGGGCATATTATTAGCTACCAGTAAATGGTAGCTAATTATAGTGATAAAAATAATGGTAACCTTGGATTCAGTAGCATCTGAGGTTTCTGAAGGCTCTGACAAAGCTAGGTGAGAGCTGGCCGCTCTCAAGATCTCTGAAGTATATGGAGCCTATGCTTTTGACACCTGAAGCCTGTCTGTCCGTGTTTTGATTCTTCTTGCCTTTTCTTCTAGCTCATAAAAAAGACAATGGTATTGCCCTTGTATTTTAAAGGCTTGTAATTAAGGTTGGAAAATGAATAAAACCGTTTTTGGGAGCCATTGGGAAAGCTGGAGTTAGGCCTTTGGCTGCTTCAGAAGCTCTTTATTGAAGGTTTGATTAAATAGCCATGAAGTGTTCTGAATGTGGTTTAGCACCTAAAATACTGGGATCACTTCCTGTTAGGAAAACTGTTATTTCTGTAAATACAAGCCGATTTGATTAGTTAAGGTCATCCCTACCATTAAATTCAGTGAATTCCTTTTTTCTCCCCATTTCTCCTAATAAATATTTATTGAACAGCTAGCCTGTGCTAGGCCATGTGCCTACTCGATTGTATACCCTCAAAGGAGATGTTGAATTAAGGAATCTAAGAGTTGTAGGTAGTCGCCTATTATTTAAATGAAGATCCTAAAGCCTTAGAGCTGCACTGTCCAGTAAAGTAGCCACTAACTACAGGTGGCTACTGAGCACTGGAAATGGGACCAGTGTGAATTAAGATGTGCTGTAAGTATAAAATATACACTGGATTTCAAAGATATCATTTGAAAAATATATATAAAATAACTGATTTTATGTAGATTACATTTAAAACAATACTTTTGACATGGGTTAAATGTTACAATTAATTTCACCTATTTCTTTTTAAGTTGGCCACTAGAACATTTAAAATTATACATATGACTCACATATTTTTTACTGGACAATGCTGCCTTAGAGCTTCAGTGACTTGGTAGGATTATACATCTAGCTAGGACTCCTTTGGCCAGTGGAAATTATAAATTGCTTTACTGTGAAAATGGAAGATAGATAATTCAAACCCCATTCAGAAAAAAGTTAAATTAACACTAAGGACTTTGAAATAATTTACATTTTAAATTAAATCCTGGATTGTTAATCTGGTAGCATCTCTTAGTATTTCAGATTTGGAGTTTTCAAAAGGGACAAACTGGAAAAATATACCCATTGATTTAGAAGCGTAAACCAATTTTTTTCCCTATGTGTTCACAAATTGCCCTATATAGGTGACTCCACTCCCCTGACATTTGCTGGGTGGGGGGATGGCAGGAGATGGGGGGACAAGAGTCATCTAAAAGGCTTGTCTATATATTTTTCTTTGAATATGAATAGTGTTTTATCCAAATCTATCTTATTAGGTAGACTGGTTTAGTATAGTGAAATTGATTCATCATTTAACAGATACTTGAGTAGTTGGGCTCTGTAAATACAGTGGTGAACAAGGCACAGATCTTGAGTAGAGCTACAGGCTTTTGTTTGGTTAGCTGGTTTTTGTTGTCATTTTTACTTTTTATTTGGAAATAATTTTAAACTGACTAAAAATAGGAGAAAGAACACCGCATACCCTTTACCTAAATTTACCTATTAACATTTTCCTATTTGCTTTATAGTTGTCTGTGCACACATGCATGTGTGCATGTACACATGTTTGTATGTACACATGTACATATATTTTTTTCTGAACTGTTTGAGAGTAAGTTGCATGCCCTTTACCACTGAATGCTTCATTGTCTAATACCGAAAAATAGGAATATTCTCTTATGTAACCACAGCACAGTTATCAATTCAGAAAACAGGAAATTCAATACATTTAACATTGATAGAATACTTCTAATCTACCATCAACATTTCACTTTGGTCAGTGGATCCACTCATTTATTTTATTAACAGTTTTCCCTTTTAGTATAGGATCAGGATCAGGTAAAAGATTTAGTTGTCATGGCTCTCTCTTTTTTAACCTGGGACATTTTTCAAACCTTTGTCTTAAAATGACATTTCCTTTCCCCTTCGCTTTTTAATAGAAAAGCCCAAAATGAGAAATGTTCTATTTCCTCATGATTAGTTTCAGGTTATGCATTTCTGACTGTAATACTATAAAATGATGTGTTTTTCTCATGGTGTCACATCTGGAGGCCTGTGCAGTCCATCTGGCCCTCATTGGTGATGTTCATCATTTTGATCACCCAGTCAAGATGTTGTTCAATTTGTCCACTGTATAATTAAATTTTTCCCCTTTGCAACTAATAAGCTTTGGGTACACACTTTTAAAACTGTGTGTATTTCCTACTCTTCATCCAGATTTTCCCCTAGATTTAGCATCCATTGATGATACTTGCTTGAAGTAGTCTATACTATGATGGCTGCAAAATGATTTTTCTTCCAGCTCCAGCACTCCTGCATGTTTACCAATTGGATTTTACTGTAAGCAGGGACTTCCCTTCTCCCCTATTTTTGTAGGTATGTATTTAGCTATCTTCATTGATACGGACACACGGCTCCCTCTTTTCTACAGGTTTATAACTCATTACTGTCTTTTATTATTTTGGTATTCAAATTGTTGCAAATGTGGCCAGTGAGTGCACCTCTTCAAGTTGACTTCCAGGTCCTTATATGTTCCCATCACTTCTTGAGTACTTCCTCACTGTCTTTAATAATGAGCTATATTCCAGGTGGGGCTTCAGGTTTTTGTTTTTTGTTTTTTTTTTTTAAATAGGTGAGACCTTTAGGTGCATAGATGGTTTCAGTATAGCGTGTTTAGTGTTTCTGTGAGGGTAAGCACAGCCTGCTTTGGCAGCATTGTGGAGGGGAGAGGCAAGGCAGCAGGACTAAGAAGGAGTGTCAGTGGAAGCCTCCTTAGAGGAGATGCCACCACTACTGAGATGTATAGGATCAATAGGAATAAAGTAAAATATGTAACTAGACTTAACCATACTTTTTTTTTTTTTTTAAATAGAAAATGACTGTGGTGCTAGAAGATCATTACTTTTGGAAAGCCGGTTAACATCCATTTCCTAAGAGAAACTTGGCCACCATTTGCTCTGGCATGGCGCAAAGCAGCCCACAGCTTGATATTCAGGTTCTCCATGATCTTCGACAACGTTTCCCTGAAATTCCAGAGGGCGTGGTGTCTCAGTGCATGTTACAGGTAAGTTACCTACCAGTGATAGTGATATTAAGTTCTAGTTTTTCCTATTAGAGCTGGTGATGTGTGATGTAATTAGAACCCAGGTATGTTTTCTTGTGTGTGTGTGTGTGTGTGTGTGTGTGTGTGGAGCAGGATTTCCCTCAACCTTGGCACTGTTGACAGTCTAGCCTGGATAATTCTCTGTTGTGGGAGTCGGCCTTGTGCATTGTAGAATTACTAAACGTTCTAGGCATCCGAGGCCTCTACCCAGTAAATAACAATAGCATCCCCGCAGTTGTGACAACTGAAAATGTCTTTAGACATTGCCAGATGTCTCATGGGAGGCAAAATCTCCCACCATTGAGAACCACAGATTGGAGAAGAAAATAAAAGCATGTAGCAACAAGAAAAACAGATTCTCCTTATGTTTCACTTTTTGAAGTTTTTGGGTTGTACTATCAGTCCCTAAGTCCTTAGAGTTGAATTTTGAATCTTAAATGTATCATTTTAACTTCTTAGACTACACACTTTTGAGTCTTTTTTTAAAAGTCTTTAGATAATCCACTCCCTGTTTTTCTAATGCTAAATCCTTACCGATATCTAATTTTAAATGTAAGCCCATTTTCACTCACCTTACCTTTGTTTTGCTGTGTGTCTTACATTGAATTAAATCTCATCTCGAAGACAGAATGTGTCTTTCCCACTCAGGGGACAACAAACAGAGAAGTTGGCCTACCACTTTCCCTGTACCCCATCTCCCTGTCCCACTGTCCCCTTGTTATGTTTTATATAATCCTTCACAGGATCTTAGTGTTTTGGGTTATGGCACTTACCTATTTGCTTAACTTTGGGCAGCAGTACTTCTACCATGCTCACTGGTCTTCCTCACACACAGTCAGTACTCATGTTCAAACTCTACCTTATGGCAGTGTGAGCAGCTCAGGACATAACCTAAACCTATATACAGGTGTGGTTAATTAAAAATAGAGACTCAGAGAACAATGATGGTAACAGAGGTGCTTCCTTTGTTTGCAAGCCCTTTACTAGTCTAGAGCTTTGGGCTTATGGTTTTTGTGTTACAGCTTGCCTTTGCTTTTTCTCACACACATTCCTAGCCTGAATCTCAGCTCTTTACTTTGGCCCCATTTTGGTTTCTGGTAGAGCAAAGACACTTCCCACCGGAGTGAAACCAAATAAGGATGAAGCTTTTAGTTTAAACCACTTCCTAGCAATCACCTTCCTCACCTATCTTAGGGCCCAACCTAGCCCTGACCTTGTTTTATTTCACTTAGCCCTTTATTACCTGCATTTTTCATTACCATTTAACTAAACTGAAGAAATAGAACTTCAAATTCAGCTCAGTGAACATTTGTTGATAATTACACTGTCCTAAGTCTTTCACTTTTTTCTTCCTTTGGGATTAATAAAATATATTGGTATGGAGATTTACCACCTACTGGCTCTGGAAAACTGCTTTATTCACATTAAAATGTACGAAGCTCAGCAGTTTGCATTTAATGTGCAAGCCTTAGAGCCTCACTCTGGGGTGTATCATCCTCAATTTAGGATCACTTTTTAGGAATATGATGCTTTTTTGCCTCATTCCTTTCAAAAGTGTTCATTATATGTCTTAAAAATTCTTACCTCTGAAATGATTTTGATTTCTTCCTCATGTTTACTGTTTGATACATTTTTTATCCTTATTTTTCTTTAAAGACATTTAACAGTCAAATGTGACATTAGAATCTATTCTGGTAGTTTTCTTTGTACAGTACTTCTGTAAAAATAATACTTTAATATCTTGGTTTTGTGGTTTTTTAAATTTTTCTTCATAGGAAAATTTACTCAACTTGTCACTATAGATATGCTGACAATTCCAACTTTATATCATTTTGAATTTGGGTCCTTTTTGTGACAATACTAAGTAGGCTAACTCAGTGTAGAGAACATGGAATTTCAGGGTTATTAATAAAAATATCAGATGTTAAAGTATCCATGACTACCTTATGTTTCAAACGAAACTCTCTAGTTTTTGTTTTCCCCTAATCCATAGGTCTATAAAAAAAAAAAGAATACTTTATTTCACCTTCCATATTTTTTTCCTTCAGATGTCTGTCAGTGACACATTCTAGTTGGCAATCAGTTTGAATCCTTTGGCTCCAAATTTGTTTTTAATATCTTCCCTTCCTTGCTCAATACGATTTTCAAGCAAGGTAAAAATAATTCAAATCTTTGAGTTGTAATGGTTTTCTTCAATTAATACATCTTTCCGTCACTCAAAGTATTTTTTGAAGTATTTGAATTTTAAATTTTCTATATTGATTATAATTGCCATTTGTCACTATCATCTGGGTAGAATGTTAATGTTTTACACGCATGATCTCATTTTTTAAAGTATTTGAATTTTAGTATCAAAAACTTTATATAAAGAAAAGGTTAAAATGATCTATAGAGTTTTAATACAGCCAATTCATTAAATTTCTAAGAATTCATTTTGTAAAGATTTGCTGGACTTTTTTTTAAACTTCCTAAAGCTCCAGTTTAATAATGTCCTTTTGGCCAGACATCCTTTCCCTTGAAATTATCATGTGGAAAGAGCACTGGGACTCAGGAGAATAAGAATCTAGAATTGGCTTTTCTGTTAACTAGTTAAGTGCCTATTGTCAAGCCATGTAACTTCCCAGGCATCTTTTTCCTCATCTGTAAATGTGCGTTGAATTGGAGCAGATGAACTCTAATAGGAGTTCTCCCAACTCTAAAATTACAACATTATGGGTCCTGTTTTAGGTTTAACTTCATTTGGTTCTCAGCAGAAATGAATTATTTCCTTTCATTTTTATATAAAATGTACTTTTCCTAAAATAAATATATAGTAATATCTATGCATGTACATATCTGTGTGTATATTTATGAACTACAGAGAAGGTCACAATAATTGGGAAACTTTTATGGATTACTTCAAAAGTAGTGGATAATATGTGCTTTACACTAGTAAAATAGTTTGGAATTCTGTATTTCCTTAGAGAACTGCTTTATGATAAATTAACATTTTACAAAGAGGGAACCTTTTATTAGTCTGATTACTGTCAGTTGGAACTTCAAAAGTGTCAGTTTGCTATTACCTCCTTTGTGAGTGTAGAATTAAACAATTCAAATCTTTCAGTGATTTTGAAAGTATACCAAGACACCTTTCAGCGGGTAAAAACTTTTGAGACTGTGAGAGTATGAATGAATTTAATTAAGGCAGTCGACACCAGGTTTTTAATTAAATTACCCTAACTCGGGCAAAGTCATGGAGCCGTAGTTCAAGTTATGGACTTTTTTTATACTGATTCGTTTTGCTTAAATCTTACGTAATGGTTCAGACAGTTGAAGTTATTCAAGGATAAATTTAGGTAAAAGAAAAATGAGGGCTGCTTTAGAATTTTTATTGTTTTAACTCTTGAGGAATTTTATTGTAATTCTTTTTCTCCTTTTGTGGTTTTAGTGCCTTTTAAAAACTAAAGCATGGTTATTTTTATGTTTTTTATCAATTTAAATATTAATAATGGATATTACTTATACTTATATTGCAGCAATTGTGGTGAATCCGAGATAAGCCCAACATTTTAATTTGTTGAGATGCAACAAGTATAAAATGAGTCCTGGATTTGGAGTCAGAAAACTTGGGGTTGAGTCACAGTGTTCATTAGTAGGTACTTTACATTTCTGTAGCAGTAGCAGTAGTGGTAGTACTAGTAATGTGAGCTAAATGTTTGTAAAATAATATGAATCGTTTGGGTCTCCTTTTCAGGATAGATGACCATGAAGTTTTTTGTGGTTAAAATACTGCTCTCTATTTATTCTGTGACAGTAGTATTTGCATAACTCTCTGGCAAAGCCTGACTTCCACTATTAGAATTTGTTAATGTTGCCAATGTTACTTTTACCATTTTTCTCCCCTAGAATAACAACAATCTTGAAGCCTGTTGCCGAGCCCTTTCCCAGGAGAGTAGCAAATACTTATATATGGAATACCATAGTCCAGATGACAATAGGATGAATAGAAATCGCCTTTTACATATTAACCTGGGTATCCATTCTCCTAGTAGCTATCACCCAGGAGATGGAGCCCAACTTAATGGTGGTCGAACACTGGTACATAGCTCAAGTGATGGACATATTGATCCTCAGCATGCAGCAGGTAAACAGCTGATATGTTTAGTTCAAGAACCACACTCAGCTCCAGCTGTTGTTGCTGCTACTCCCAACTACAATCCATTTTTTATGAACGAACAGAACAGAAGTGCAGCTACTCCTCCTTCACAACCACCTCAACAGCCATCTTCCATGCAAACAGGAATGAATCCGTCTGCTATGCAAGGGCCTTCACCACCACCGCCACCTCCTTCATACATGCACATACCTCGGTATAGTACAAATCCAATTACTGTTACAGTATCCCAGAACCTCCCTTCTGGACAGACTGTACCAAGAGCTTTACAAATTCTTCCACAAATTCCAAGCAATCTCTATGGGTCTCCTGGTTCTATTTATATTAGACAGACATCTCAGAGTTCATCAGGAAGACAAACTCCTCAGAGTACGCCGTGGCAGTCCTCACCACAGGGCCCAGTGCCTCACTATAGCCAGCGTCCTTTACCTGTTTATCCACACCAACAGAACTATCAGCCTTCTCAGTATTCTCCCAAACAGCAGCAGATCCCTCAGTCTGCTTACCATTCACCACCTCCTTCTCAATGTCCTTCACCCTTCAGCTCTCCACAGCATCAAGTGCAACCTTCCCAGTTGGGCCACATCTTTATGCCACCTAGTCCTTCAACTACTCCACCCCATCCATATCAACAAGGACCTCCTAGCTATCAGAAACAGGGAAGCCATTCAGTAGCCTATCTTCCATACACAGCATCTAGTTTATCCAAAGGTTCCATGAAGAAGATAGAAATTACAGTTGAACCTTCTCAAAGACCTGGGACAGCAATTAATAGGAGTCCTTCACCCATCAGTAATCAACCATCTCCACGGAATCAACACTCACTGTACACAGCCACCACGCCACCTTCAAGTTCTCCTTCAAGAGGGATATCTAGTCAACCAAAACCTCCATTTAGTGTTAATCCTGTGTATATTACATATACACAGCCAACTGGACCTTCTTGTACTCCATCACCATCTCCTCGAGTGATACCAAACCCAACTACAGTTTTTAAAATTACCGTAGGCCGAGCAACGACTGAAAATCTTTTAAATTTAGTGGACCAAGAAGAGCGCTCTGCAGCACCAGAACCTATTCAGCCCATTTCAGTGATACCAGGCTCTGGGGGAGAAAAGGGAAGCCATAAATATCAGAGAAGTTCTAGTTCTGGATCAGATGACTATGCCTACACACAAGGTAAATTTTAACCCTTTTATGAAATTTAATTTCTGTGGTGAGGCAGCAGTCTCCCATTCAAATATATTAGCTGTTTAGTTTTAATTAAATGTTTAGTATTAAATGTTGGGCAGTAGCATTGCTATTAAGAATAAAGTTAGTGGCCGGGTGCGGTGGCTCACGCCTGTAATCCCAGCACTTTGGGAGGCTGAGGCAGGTGGATCACCTGAGGTCAGGAGTTTGAGACCAGCCTGGCCAACATGGAGAAACCCCACCTCTGCTAAAAATACAAAACTTAGCTGGGTGTGGTGGCGCATGCCTGCAATCCCAGCTACTCGGGAGGCTAAGGCAGGAGAATAGCTTGAATCCAGGAGGCAGAGGTTGCAGTGAGCTGAGATCACGCCACTGCACTCCAGCCTGGGCAACAGAGGGAGACTGTGTCCAAAACAAACAAACAAAAAGAATAAAGTTAGTGCTTCAGAGTCATGTATAGACTTTGTTTTAAAACATGAAAATGTAGGCCTAATAAGGCTTAGTTTAGAAAGAATATTCATAGAGCGAAAAATACAAGTGACATGGAAATTGTCAAAAGTACAAACTACAGAGTAGGAAAAAAGAGATTCATGGAGAATGGACTAAAGTTCATCAAACGAAAGAATTTGAATCTTTTCTAAAGAGGATGGCCCAGAGGGCATAATGATATTTACATATAAATAATATATAAGAAGTGGAATTATTGGATTAGCTAAAAAGTAATAATATATAAAAGTGGAATTACTGGATTAGCTAATAGTAGATTATTGGATTAGCTAATAGTAGACCTAAATTAGATACAGAGTTTTTAAAAAGTCTATTCAGATTGTTTCAAGATAACCGGAGAATTTAGTTTTCTTTCAGTATATAAGAAGGGAAGTAATTATTCAGTATGCCTGGTAGTCAGCCTGTTCAAAACACACATAAGTATAAAGAGAATCTTAGGACAATAGAACAAGAGGGATGTTCAGGTGATGTCACTTTGGTTGCATTCAGAGGGCTAAATTGAAGCAGATGTGGAGGCAGCATAGCATTAGAAAGACATGAGAGTAAATGCCAACCCCCAAGTTGAATGAGTCTTTTATACATTAGCAGTGCATATCGAAATTTTCCAGTCGCTTGTTCAATGTTGTTCTCTGCAATGACATTATCTATAATGCTGTAGCCTTGCTGTTACATCAACGAGCAAGGATGGAGAGGTTAGCAAAGCAACTGAAACTTGAGAAAGAGGAGCTAGAGCGGTTGAAGTCTGAAGTTAATGGTATGGAGCATGACCTGATGCAGAGACGGCTCAGAAGAGTCAGCTGCACCACTGCGATCCCTACGGTAAGTGATCTGTTAGGATGTGTTAATAGGAGGGTCGGGATATTGGCTGTCAGGTCATTTATTTTTCTTTAGGCTTTATTCCTGGCAGAGTTCCGGTTTTTTGTTGTTGTTGTTATTGTTGCTTTTTTTAAAAACAACAGATGAAGGACTTTTGCCTTTAGTAGTTCTCATCAAAATAATTCATGTATGCAGATTCCATAGGCTCATCAGTATTTTCAAACACTGACGATTATAATCAAGGTATAGCATCTCATTTATTTGTAAATTGCTGTCAAAATAGAAATGAAAAGTGCACCCTGACCAAAAATTTGATGAATTTATTCTTTGTGTATTCATTTATTCTTCTAAGCATATGATATATATATTTTTTAAACATTTAAAATTAATTATTTTTGTAAGTACATTAATTCAGATGAGTTAGATCAATATGAATTTTGGAGAAGTGTTAACTGTAGAATATTTTAAGGCAGAGCAGTTTTGTTAAGTATAAATAATTGTAGAAACTGAGATAACAGTATTGATTGATAGCAGTCTTAAAGGGAACTGCTCTAATGAAAAGATTCAGATAATATAGTTTTAACATGTTGGTTAATATATATGAGTTCTAACGATCCCAAACAACTGAGAATTTTGAAGCATGTTTAAAATCTTGTGACTTCACAAGCGATGATCCAACCTATCATTTCACCTTTCAACATTTAGCAGTTTTGTGCGTATAGTTTATGCAATGTGGTACTATGCTAGATGCTTAGTACATACCTACCAGTGGGAAAAATAGATACATCAACAGATAATTATAATACAGTGTGGTAAGTGCTGTATATGTTCACGGGTAATGAGAGAATTTATACATCAACTCGTTTCTGTGCAGATTCATTGCACTTCTCTGCTCTTACATTAATCCTCCTGCTGGAATGCCCTTCTAAAAAGCTCTGCACGTGTAAATCTTGTCTGTTCTGTTCTTCAAGGCTCAACTTAACCTCTACTTTTTCCATGAAGCCTTTCCTCATTTTCCTACCCTCTCTAAGCTAAGGGCAATCTCTGAGTTTACAGGTTTAGAGAAGTGGGCATATGTCAGGCCTCTTGCAGTCAGCATGTCTGCAGCCACTCCCTCATAGAGAAGTTTCTACTTGAGGTTCTTGGCTTCAAAGGGGATCTGTGAATTCTCTGAAATTATATGCAGAGTTTCATAAGTGTGTTTAATATGGGAAGTGGGTCTATAGCTTTCATCAGATTTTCATAAGATTATTACATTGGAGGAAAAAAGGAGTGAGGAACCATTGCCTTAAACAATAGGCAGAGAGAAAAGGGGAAGGCATTTTAGAAGAGAAAAGAACAATAAGGTAATGAAGGCTTGAAGTCAAGATGGAGAGTGACTTTTAGGAGACAGTAACTACAGTTCCCTGGCATAAGCATGAGATTTCTGAAGAGTTAACAGAGGTTAACTGGGGCTTTGACCTTGAATGCTAGGTCAAGGTGCTTGAACTTTATTCTCCTGGTAACAGGGAACAAGTGGGAGTTTTTGAGAGAGAGAGTCTTGAGAAATTGGCATATTCACTAATTTAGTGACTTTTTTGTAATATCGTGTATAGTCAATATTAGAAGTGAGGAGGAAGATTTTAACTACTTAAAGCACTGGAAAATAACAAAGTTATCTTTAATGGAAAGGTGATGTTAATATAAATCAAATTTCTGCCTCATTTTCTCCATTTGAAATCTTAATTGAATCCTCTGATTGCGGAAGATATTGAAGGACATAACCCATATGGGAATCCACCCGTAGTAGTTGGGTACTTTGGAAACCTTTAGGTACCTGTAGAGCATAAACAAATTTTCTTAGCATAGTAATTTTCTTTAATCATATACATTTTATTTAGCAACTACTTGCTGTGTGATAATCCCTGCTAAATAAAATATTGGTTTTTTTTTGTTTTTCATTGGAAGTGGAGAACTGTCTAATGTAGCATAGGTTAGTACTAAAAAAAAAAAAAAGAAAAAAGCCCCAGATTTTATATCAGAGCTCTTATTGATGTATCTTTTTTCTTTCTTTCTTTTTTTTTTTTTGAGATGGAGAGTCTCACCCTGTCACCCAGGCTGGAGTGCAATGGCGTGATCTCGGCTCACGGCAACCTCCGCCTCCCAGGTTCAAGCGAGTCTCCTGCCTCAGCCTCCCGAGTAGCTGCGATTACAGGAGTGTGCCACCACGCCTGGCTAATTTTTTGTATCTTTAGTAGAGACGGGGTTTCACCATGTTGGCCAGGCTAGTCTCGAACTCCTGACCTTGTGATCTGCCCGCCTCGGCCTCCCAAAGTGCTGGGATTCCAGGCATGAGCCACCGCACCTGGCCCCCGATCTATCTTCTTGAGAAAGGAAAAAGAGAAGTTGGTGAAACTGCTGCCCTGGGCTGTAATTTAGTTTTAACTTTTATTATAATTTCAAAGATACATAAAATAGTATAATGAACCCCCATGTAGCCATCCCCCAGATTGAGAAATTGGTAGTTCATGTGGGTGCTAACATCTGAGAGATAAGACATTTAAGTGTTTCCCATGTGTTTCCATTGCCAAGCCTAGTGTAAAATGGAGGACAATTGTAGTACACAGCAGAGGGACAGTACGTGGTGGTTGAGACCGTGAGTAGGCTCTCAAGTCAGGTGCCAGTTTGAATCCTACTTCTATTTGTCACTCATGTATCCTTGGATAAGTAACTTTCTCTATGCTTGTTTTCTTATCTATAAAATGTGTGGTATAGTACTCATCTTACGGGATTTTTCTTAGGATTATATGAGGTAATATATGTGAAGCAGTTTACACAATGCCCAACAAATAGTAAGTGTTCTTATAAAATATGTGTTGGTTGCAAAATACTAGACAACTTTGCTTGAGGTTTAGACACATAAATCTGAAGCATTTTATACTTTGACTTCCTTTGAACTTGAACATATATAAGATTATACTTATGTAGGAAATTAATCAAGAAATAAATCATTTAGTCAGATTTCCCATTTTGCTCATCAAGGCTCATTTGAGGAACCATGATATAGTGGAAAGAGAGCCCACATAGGCTTGGGAGTCAGAATTGCTCAGGCGCTCACTGGCTATATCTGATTTCTCTGCATCTGATTTTCCCTAGCTGTAAAAGAGAATTATAGCAAGTACATTATAATAATTGTCAAGATAAAGAGACAGTGTATGTAATAAGCCTGGCATGAAGTATGTGAACAGTAGATGGCTAGCCTTATCATTGTCCCACTTGTGTATAGGAATACCCAGTGGAGAATTGACATTTTTGCTACTAAAGCACACATTGCTACCTTCAAGTTTTCAAACAAACTGCTTATCAGGCAGTATATACAAAATTGATTAGAAAGTTGCTTGCCTAATGATACTGCAGTGCACATTTGTGACCAGCTATGTGGGGGAGGGAGGTTGTAGAAACTTAGAATAACAGTGAAATAATCTTTTTCTAAGGAGAGCAGAAGTGCAAGATATAAGATGCATGATGGTGTCATTTCCCTTAATCTGTTATTTGCAAAGCATTATATTAAATGCTGACAAAGATGTCATCTCTTAGATCTGTATGTGAAATGAGATAGGTATATCTGTGAGTCTATATGTATTTGTGTGAGAGAGAAAATATAAGGCAGTAAATCAGAAGTGTTGACCAGCTAAATGGTAACAATATAAGTACTTTCAGAGTTTTGAGATAGAAATGTTAGCTTTTTACCTATAGAGTTTATAGATGGAACAGTTTCAAGGAGGAGGGGGAAATTTAAGTTTTACCTTGAAGGATAAGATTTTAATATGCAGAAAGCTGCCAATTACCCCCTCCCTCAAGTTATTCCCCCCCATTCTTCCTGTTCTAATTACATTTTTGGACTATCCCACAGCTTTGAGTCCCAGAGGCATAACTGAGTCCCAGCCACCAAAGAACATCAGTGGTCTTTGACGCTGGTCTATGCCAGCTTTGGAAAAAAAGCTTACCATTTTTTATTTTGAAATGTTGGCTACAAACATCCTGTTTTCTTACAGACAACTTTGAATTATACATACCCAATTTTGAAATTCCTCCTGCACGAAAACTACTTTTGACAAATGGCAGTAATTTCTCAGAAACTGCTTTTTTTCCCCCCTCAGTTTAATCAGAAGCCATATGAAAAAGGACATAGGAATCTTACTGATAAACCCTTAGTAAGATCGAGTGGTTCTACTATCTTTGGAAATGAGCCTGTTGATGAGAGTATGTTTGTTGTTTCTGAGACAGAGTCTCACTCTGTTGCTCAGGCTGGAGTGCAGTGGTGCAATCTGGGCTCACTGCAACCTCCACCTCCCCAGTTCAAGCAATTCTCGTGCCTCAGCCTCTCGAGTAGCTGGGACTACAGGCACGCACCACCACGCCCAGCTAATTTTTGTATTTTAAATAGAGACGGTTTTGCCATGTTGGCCAGGCTGATCTCAAACTCCTGACCTCAAGTGATCCACCTGCCTTGGCCCCCCAAAGTGCCGGGATTACAGGAGTGAGCCACTGCACCCGGCCTGATGAAAGTATGTTTTCGTTACGAGCAACTGTGTGGTGGCTGCTTCACTGTTTTGGGCCACTGTGGCTGAAACATCTCTCTTGCCCCCAACTCCCTAAAACCTATGGAATAGATAATCCTTTTCAGGTGCTTGACTTTCCCGACAGGTTCTTCCATGTGTTCCTAGGAAGATAGCATCACTGTTTGGAGCCCTTACATTATCTTTAATTTAAATGTTCAAGTATATATTTTAAACTATTTGAATATTGCTTGATAGGCAAGGCGCAAAGCATTTTACACATTAATGTCACATAGTTTTAGCCCATAGGAATTAGAAAAGGCAGTCCATAATAAATATTTCTAAACGACTTTTTTTGTTCCTCTAGCATTCTGTGGAATTGTAGCTATTCTGCCTTTTATCACTTATTTTAAACTTTGATACCTGCTTATTTAATGGGCATTCTCAGTTACTCTGATAATAGCTCCTAACACCATATGAATTAAGATATCCTTTCTGCTCATTTTTCTTTCACTGGCATATTAACATATTTAGCGTTTAGCAAAGTACATGTTTTTAACAGAATAGGATTTTGTTCTGTCTTCCTATAGTAGCAGATATTTAATTTTTCACTTTATATGTTATAGTTAAAATCACCCTAGTATTTAATACCTGGGCCGTGCTGAAAGCTTCAGTATTTCAGCCTCTAGATTCTAAACTTTGACTTTTTTACTATACATATATATGTATATTTATATATATACATATATATAAAAATAAAGAAATTAAGGATGACATGGGAAGTAAAGGCTTCCAAAAAGCTTTACTGAATAGAAGATTAGGACTCTCTTCACATTTCAGTGCCTCATATGTGCCCCTGAAAGGCCTAAGGAGTGGGCTGGCCTGAAGAGGTAGAGGCAGAAGAAAACAAAGTTGGGGAACAAATGGAATTCATTTGTTTCTGAAGTTTTCATGTGCTAGAGTAACTGCCTCCTTCAATCTAGAAAAAATATGACAAAAATATTTATATATGAATTTATATAGGAGTCTTTTATATAAATCCTGGCTCTACCAATTACTAGCTTTATAACTTTAAGAAAATTATATAACCTCTCTGTGCCTCAGTTTCCTCATCTATAAACTGGGCACAATATTAGTACCTACCTTAAAGGATTGTTAAGAAGAAGGAATGAGAGAATTCTGGTAAACACCGTACTGTTGTAATTTTTACCAGGCTGGACAAGACTAAGATCATGGACATGACTCGTTTAACAGGTTGATTCTTACAGTTTCCCTTACCATGAAAACATAGACACAAAATATTCTCAGTGCTCTATGATTAAAACGGTAGTATCTTGTATGGTAGAACACAGTCCACTACTGCAGCTCGCCACTTTATATGCAGATTTTGTTTATATGTGGCCATTTTGATGTCCCCATTTTACCCGACTATTCCTTTAAAAACATATACATAGGACTTCTTAAACATGCCCTCTTATGGACTAAGGCCGTATTCTTGGTAATACCCAATCATTACAATTAACATGAAACGCAGTTCTTAAATGTTGGGCTTGATAATGACTTTCCCACAATTGCTATTTTGGGTCCTTTCTTACTAGCCTGAGGAAATGACAAGATTGAGAAGCATGAACAGACAACTCCAGATAAATGTTGACTGTACACTGAAAGAAGTTGACCTCCTTCAATCTAGAGGTATAGACTTGATTATTTGGTAAACCATAAGTAATAGTGTGGTATTTTAAGCTGCTTAAATAGCAATAACTTTGGTTTTGTAGATTTAAGAGACAGTTTTTATCCGTAAGATTACAATCCTGGGAAAGAGATCCCCCTGTCCCATGGTCATGGATCAGATTTGGGGATGAAAAAATAGTTTTACTTCGGCAGTTTCATCAAGTTCTTATCATTTAGACTGTTCTATGTTGTTACTTTGCATTTATCCTCTTTTTGTCATTTACTGTGAATATTTTATAAATTGATGGGTTTTAATTCTAAAACTTAGTAGAGTTCATATTATGTGATAGACATCTAAAATATCTGTAAAAAGGGATCCCAAATCAGAGTATCAGATTTCTCAGTTTTAAAATAAACTCTATATATGTTATTTTTCATGTTATGTTATGTGAAAACATTCAACTATAATCATAGTTTTAGTTTTTTGGATTTTTTTACAGAAGTATACTACAGCAGAAGCTCTCTTAAACTTTCATTTACCCAACTCACCAGATTAGAGATGGTCTTCATTTTCTGTGGAAAATATACTGACTGATGTCCACAGCTGCTGCATACTTTTGACTAGTAGGCTGCATTCTGGTAGGCCCATGAATATTGCTCCCATC
The DNA here is from genome assembly GCF_000001405.40 of Homo sapiens. Classification (NCBI taxonomy): domain Eukaryota; kingdom Metazoa; phylum Chordata; class Mammalia; order Primates; family Hominidae; genus Homo; species Homo sapiens. The sequence goes on along the minus strand of NC_000023.11, from coordinate 30,845,906 downwards.
GGTTGAATTGTCTGCTTACCAAGAGTTGATTCTGTCCCCAAACCTGTTTATGCCAGTTATTGTATTTCTGCAATTTAATGTTTCATAAACTGACATGAAGGAGAAAGCCGCTCTTTCTATGAAAGCCAAAGGCAAATCACTCAAAAAATAGGGATTGTGAATTAGATATGGGTGAAAACAACTGAAAAAAGTCTAAAAGGATTCTGTACTCAAATTGCATTATAAGTGTTCTTAATATCTTTCTTGCTCCATTCTAAAGCAATCAAAATTATAGATGAGGGTTCAGCAAACTAGGGCCTGTTGCCTGTTTCTGTGAATAAAAGTTTTAGTGGAGCGATAGCCATGCCCATTTGTTTACATATTGCCTATGGTTGCCTTTGTGCTTCAACAGCACAGTTGACTACTTGCAACAGAGACTCTATCACAGGTCCACAAAGTCTAAAATATTATCTGGCCCTTGACAGAAAAGGTTTGCCAACCTCTGCTGTAGGTCATCATGGGTGTGGTTTATGTAAGAAATACAATATGGAACCCCAGCCAACAGACACGTAAAAATTAGGTCTTTATCTAACTAACTTTAAAATATAGCTATATACAAGTGTTTTGTTACGTTAAAGTTGACGTGTAATTTTTCTTAATTCTGTGTATTAATCAGCTTTCCTGCCCCCCATCCCCCACACTTAACTTTTCTTGATTATGGCAGCTAAGACTTTCTACAGTGTTTTAAGAGTATATAATAAAATATCTCACTGCCATTTTTAGGCAAGATTAAACAAACAGTAGGCTGGGCACAATGGCTCATGCCTGTATTCCCAGCAGTTTGGGAGGCCAAGGTGAGAGGATCACTTGAGCCTAAGAGTTAGAGACCAGCCTGGGCAACATAGGGAGACCCCATCCCTACAAATAATTTTTTAAAAATTAGCTAGGTGTGGTGGTGTGTGCCTGTGATCCCAGCTACGTGGGAGGCTAAGGCAGGAGGATCACCTGAGCCCAGGAGGTCAAGGCTGCAGTGAGCCGTGATCACACCGCTGCACTCTAGCCTAGGCAACAGAAGGAGACTCGGTCTAAAAAACAAAGAGCGAGAGATTAAAGATTAGTGGCAGGTGAACCCAAAAGACACGGCATTATCTGAACAACAGACAGAAGCAAATTTGAATGTGAGAATTGAGCAATCTAGTCAGGTACCCTTAAAGTCATTTTCAGAAGCCTAGTCACTCTATAGCCCACTAACTTGAAGCAATCAAAGAATTACTATGCATGATGTAGGGGTTACATAAACTATTGCTACTATATTTTAGAAGATTGCATCAATTTCTTTTACTTGTGTGGTCTTTGGAGCAAAACAAACAGTAAAACATTTGGTTAGGATACTTATAGTAAGCCTTTTGTGATCTAGAAATTAGAACATGAGCTGTAACAAGTAATTGAAGAAATACATATGCAGCTTCTTAAAGCATAAAAAGATTCAATTAATACATCAAATAGCACTGTGGCTTTTATGAGCTATCACAGCAATTATTTTCAGAAAATTATCTTAAAACAGCATATTCAAGTGGATAAAACATTTGTGAAAGGGCCTGCAAGGGAAACCACTATTAAGGTTTTATAAGCAAAGAGCTGTGTTTTTTGTCTGCATTGGACAATGAGCTCTTTGGGATACTTAGGCATTTCTAAATCTCTTTTCATAACGAATCTAAATGTATCCATTTTATACTAAATTCTACTCTTCCACACTGCAGAAAACTTTTTATACTGAGTTTCCAATCTAAACTTTTAAGCTAGGGAAGGAATCTAAACCTTTTTCGGTGGTGACGGGGGGAGGCAGGGGAATAAGCATTTAGAATAGATGCAAATCAGTGCATGACTTGATGAAAACCAGCTTTTTTGTGATTTTTGGTAAGGAAAACTTGTTGGGAAAAAAAAAAGTAGATCTGGAAATGAAGAGATTTAATATATTTAAACTATCAGTATTAGTACCATACAGCATCTTCTATAAATAAGTATGGCTACAGTTAACTGTAATCGTTTAGAACAAGCAGAGCACAGTGATAGGTTCACAGAAGTGAAGGCAGGACCCAAAACCAACCTTGGAGGAGACACAGCAGGAGATGTGGCTGAAATACAGACACTAGACCAGGGAATGAACATTTGAAGACAGACAGGTGAAAATTTTGTGGCAAGACAAAATTCTCAGGTATTGTTCTATCTATTCTGAAATTGGCACCTTTTATCATTGATAAATCTGTAGGAAACATTTAACACTTAGTGTAAGATTCTCCTTTTCTTGAAAATAAGAATACATAAACTGCTGATGTTATTTCACATTTATTGAGGTTGCTTAGTAGTCTCAAAATATAACTTGATTAATCCTTGTAAATGTTTATATTTGGCTTTTTCTGTAGTTCAATTTATAATGAATTTTTAAGGTAAATTATGATAAATATGAAAGTAAGCTTTCATTATTTAAGTGTTCTTTCTCACAGTTTGTTCATTAAAAATCAAAACAAGCAGAAAGAGAAAACAGTTCAACCATCCTTTCATTTCTCTTCTTCATTTATCTCCCCAAATGCCCCACATGCCTAATCCTGCCTAAGGAGACTAGCCTTACAATTAGAAAAATATTCCTTTAAGTGTAATACATTGTAGACATACATCTGTGTAGTGGTTTTCTTGGGTCTTTTCTCACAGCGATGAAAACACAATTTCATTGGGAGGACAGAATTATGTAATGAATTTTGAAATCCTGGAAAACATTTTTCCCTTCTTATGTGTTTTATTTACATATTTTCTTTAAAAAAAAATCAAATAACAGGAAAAAAGAGTTCTTAAATGCCTGATGAATTTACTTTCTTTATAGGAAACTTTGATCCAAAAGCCATGAATAATTTTTATGACAACATAGAACCTGGCCCAGTTGTACCACCCAAGCCATCTAAAAAAGGTGAGTATGAAAAATGTCACAAATACGATAGAAATAAATGTCAAAATAATTTGGGATTTCACATTTATCTGAAGAAATTTCCACTAGAGGTTAAGTTGTTCAGCATAAAGTTACCATATTTTTATTATTTTTATTTTTTTGAGACAGGGTCTCATTCTGCTGCCCCAGCTAGAGTGCAGTGGTGTGATCATGGCTCATTGCAGCCTCGACCTTCTGGGCTCCAGCGATCTTTCTGCCTCAGCCTCCCAAGTAGCTGGTGTGTGGCATGGTAGGCACACACCACCATGCCCAGCTAATTTTTTTTTATTTTTTGTAGAGATGGGATCTCACCATGTTGCTCACTGGTCTCAACAAATTTACCATATTGGTGTTATAATGTGGCAATAATGAAATGTCCCCAAACTTTAGTTTTTAAAAAGTACTGAAATTAGTAACTCTTAGAATTACTGTCAGAGGTAATTTGATGGACTATATAATTTTTTACAAACAGAAGCTGAAACACTATATTACATAGTTAACATTATAAATTTACTTAGCATTGTAAAAACTATAACCCTAAAAGATAATTCTCATAAAATAATGAGGATTTTAAAGGTCTAATGTGAGAATAGAAAGTTAGATTTGCAATAGACTTAAGATTATTTTTCAGACAACAAAAGAATACTTGTGTACTCAAAAGGGGAGCATAGCAATTGGTAGCGACTAGGTATTTTCCCATCAAGAACAAAAGAAATCCTATATAACCAAGGTTTGAAGGAATCATTTTTGGATAGTTGTTACATAAAAATGATTTAAAATTAAAGATATCAAACATGTTCTTATTTTTATGTAGCAAATGTTTAATTGGCATTTCTGTATCTTAAAAAATTAATTTTAATTGAATTTACACGTGCAGTCATTTAAGCCAGACGGATGGATCACATGAGGCCAGGAGTTCGAGACTAGCCTGGCCAACATGGCAAAACCCCGTCTCTACTAAAAATACAAAAATTAGCCAGGCCTGATGGCGCGCGCCTGTAATCCCAGCTACTCAGGTGGCTAAGGCATGAGAATCACTTGAACCCAGGAGGTGGAGGTTGCAGTGAGCCGAGATCGCGCCACTGTACTCCAGCCTAGGCGACAGAGACCCTGTCATTTATTCATTCATTCATAAATAAGTAGTCATTGAATGTAGATTAACTTTCTGCCTCATTCTTAATATTTTAATCCTTTTTGCCTTAAGCAACTCAAGGTAGATTGATCATGAAGACACATAGAACAGTGGAGAATGCCTTATTTTTGAAAAAAATTACCAGAGAGTATAACATTTAACATCTCATCAGACTTAATTAAAAGAATGTATAAATTCTATCTAAATAATACTACCTGACCTAATTACTTAAATTTTGGTTGAATAGTTTTCTACGTATATTAAGCTCATTACAGAGTGTTTTTTTTTTTATTTATAAGTTGCAACATAGTATCTGTTCTTCTTTTTATTGTTTAATATTACCATCGATGTTTCATCTGATCTACATTTAAAAACAGCCTATTGATTTCTTTTTTTTTTTTGAGATGGAGACTCTCTCTGTCACCCAGGCTGGAATGCAGTGGCACTATCTCAGCTCACTGCAACCTCCACCTCCCAGGTTCAAGTGATTCTCCTGTCTCAGCCTCCCAAGTAGCTGGGATTACCCACCACCATGCCCGGCTAATTTTTGTATTTTTAGTAGAGACGGCGTTTCACCATGGTGGCGAGGCTGGTCTTGAACTCTTGACCTCAAGTGACTCAGCCTCCCAAAGTGCTGGGATTACAGGCATGAGCTACCGCACCTGGCCAAAAAATAGTCTATTGATTTCTAAAAATGGCACAAAGAATCATCTTAGTGGATGACTGCCGAGTGCCAGATTTGGCACTTTGGCAGCATCATATGCAGTTTCTTGCCGAAAGTCACTGAGGTGTATAGTTAGCATTGATCAATTTAGTCTTTTGGGTTCATAAAATCAGTCTTTAAACTCGATTTTGCCTGAATGTCTACTAAAGAAGTATCGCCAGACAAACTTTAGTTCATTGATTCAAAGAGCTGTCTTAGAGCAATTGCCCTGTCTAAGGGAGTGCATTGGAAAGTTTTTACCCTGGAAACAGGACCAAGTTGATTAGAAATGGTGGAAAACACGTGCATCATGAGCCATCCCTCAGCATAAACTCCCTATAGGTGTGGTGTATTAGTCTGTTTTCACGCTGCTGATAAAGACATACCCAAGACTGGGCGGGCCTCACAATCATCACAGAAGGCAAGGAGGAGCAGGTCACATCTTAAAGAGAGCTTGTGCAGGAAAACTCTCCCTTATAATAACCATCAGATCTCGTGAGACTTACTATCACAAGACCTGCCCCCATGATTCAATTACCTCCCACCAGGCCCCTCCCACAATATGTGGGAATTCAAGATGAGATTTGGGTGGGAACACAGACAAACCATATCATGCGGTCTGAGGGACCCACCATAAATAACAAAGACACTGCCGTTACTCAGGAAATTTCAAGGTTTTGAGCCAGGGACAAAGCCAGACCTCTGTTTGGGCAAGGCAAAATTCTTTCCCATGCGATAGTTAAAGCAGTGCTTAGAAGGAAATTTATAGCTTTAAATGCTCATGTAAGACAGGAATATCTAAAATTCTACCTTAAGAAACAAGACAAGAACAAAGTAAAAACAAAGTAGAAGAAAGGAAAGTCAATGAGATAGAAAACAGAAAAAGTTAACAAAGCAAGTTTGATCTTTGAAAAGATAAACAAAATCAATAAACTTCAAGGTAGACTGATCTGTAAAAAAAGAGAACACAAATTACCACAATCAAAAGTGAAAGATGGGTTATCTATTACAATGATAATGATAATAAGGGAAAGTGATGGACATCTTTATGCAGTAAGCTTGACACCTTAGATAAAGTGGACAGATTTCCTGAACAATATAATCTACCCAAACTGAAAACAAGACAAAACAGTAAATATTAGTAAGTGTGTGTTTTTTTAATATATATTATATATATATATATATATATATATATATAATATATATATGTATAAAGAAACTGAATCCACTATCAAAATTTTCCCCCACAAAGAAAACTCCAGATCCAGATAGATTCACTGGTGGGTAAATTCCACCAAATATTTAAGAAAGTAAAAATACCAATCTTAAACTCTTTGAGAAAATACAGGAGGGAACGCTTCCCGTATTTCTTTTTTGTTTTTTCATTTCATTTCCTTTTCATGTTACTGAGAGGAAGTTGCGGAGATTTTCCATATACCTCCTGCCCCATTATCAGCATCCTACACCAGAGTGGTACGTTTGTAACAATTGATGAACTTATATTGAGACCTCATAATCACTCAGAGTCCATAGTTTACATTAGGGTTCACTGTTGGTGTTGTACCCCATCTTTTTTTATGGCGCTAGCAGAACTCTGATTCTAAAACCTGGTAAAGACATTATGTATCTGCCCCTCACAAAAAGAAAACAAAATTTCAGATCAATAAACTTCATGAACATAGAAACAAAAAATCCATAATTCTGTTTTCTATCTCATTGACTTATAGTCACTATATAAAAAAAGATAATACATTATGACCAAGTTGAGTTTAGCTTAGGAATATAATCTTGGTATAGGCATTAAAAAACCAACCAGTGTAATTTACCATATTAAACAAAGGGAGGAAAAGCATGTGATCGTTTCACCAGATACAGGAAAAACATTTGACAAAATTCAACAGCCATTCCTGACAGACAAAAACTTTAAACAAATTAAGAATAGAAAAGAACTCTTTCAGTCTCATAAAGGGCATCTTTCAAAAACCTTTAGCTGCCATTATTACTGAATAATGCAATTCTGAACTTACCAACATTGGGAACAAGGCAAGGATGTCTATTCTCACCACCTTTATTCAACGTTGTACCTGGAGTTCCTAGCCCATGCAGTAAGAGAGAAAAAAAAAAAGCATAAATATTGGAAAAGAAGAAATAAAACTATATATACTACAGATGACATAATTATTTTTAAAATCCTAAGGATACTGGAAAACAACTAACTATTAGAACTAATAAGTGAATTTAACAAGGCCTCAGGATGCAAAGTCAATATATAAACATGTTTTTACAATATCAGTAAACACTTGGAAAATAAAATTCAAGAGAATTTCATTTACAATACCATCAAAAACCATGTAACACTTAGGAATAAATTTATCCAGAGATGTATACATTGAAAACTATAAAACATTGTCAAAAGATATTTAAGAAGACCTAAGTAAATGGAGTGATATACCATGTTCATTAACTGACTGAATCAATATTTTTGAGATACCTGTTCTTACAAGGTTGATATATAGATACAGTGTAATACCAATTATAACCCCATTAGGTGGTAGTGCATTTTTAATTAACAAACTGATTATAAAATTCATATGGAAATACAGAAAGTCCTAGAACATCCAAAACAATCTTGAAAAAGAGCATCCAGAAGTCTTAGACTGGCTCAGTGCAATGGCTCACACCTGTAAACCTAGCATTTTGGGAGACCAAGGCAGGAGGATCACTTGAGCTCAGGAGTTCGAGACTAGCCTGGGCAACATAGACCTCATCTACAAAAAAAAATTTAAAAATTAGCCAGACATGGTGTAATTAAAAGTGTATGAAAAGTGTGTTAGTGTAGAGCTAATTTAAAAATAGCTCATTGCAGCCTCACCTATAGTCCCAGCTATTCTGGTGGCTGAGGCGGTAGGATTGCTGGAGCCCAGGAGGTTGAGGCTGCAGTGAGCCGTGATTGCAGCACTATACTCCAGCCTGGGTGACAGGCTGTCTCCAAAAAGGAAAAAAAAGTCTTAGACTAACCAACTTCAGGACTTACTATAAAGCTACAATAACCACAGTGTGATATTGGTATAGGAATAAACAAATAGATCACTGGAACAGAATAGGGAGCCCAGGTTTATACCCCCCAGTCACACTGTCATTTGATATTTGACAAAAGCACCAAAGCAACCAATAGACAAAGGAACATTTTTTTCAACAGGCAGAGCTGGAAGAACTGGATATCCATGTGGAAGAAACACACAGTCTGATCTCTACCTACCTCACATCATACACAAAAATTTGAGATAGCTCATACACCTAAGTATAAAAGTTAAACTATAAAGCTTCCAGAACAGAATATCTTTGCAATTTAGGTATAAAAGTTTTTGGACAGGTCACAGGAAGCAATAAAAAGAAAAACAATTGATAAATTAGTCTTCATTAAAGTTTTACACTTCTGCTCATCAAGTGACACTATTAAGAAAATGAAAAGGCAAACCACAGACCAGGAGAAAATATTTGTAAAATATGTATCTGATGAAGGATGGTATCCAGAGTATATAAAGAATTTCTACAACACAGTAATAAAAAGACAACTCAATAAAAAAGGGTAAAACACTTGAACAGACACTTGACAAAGGAATATATATATGAAAGACCATGAAAAAAGAAATATCAAGGAATTTTCCTGGGGTAATCAGATGGATCTGCTGCCAGGATCCTGTATAGTCAGATTGTGGTTTTCTAGCAATGGTGATGTTCGTGTTAATATGTCATTCTGAGGCCAGCCTTGTGGCTCATGCTTATAATCTCAGCACTTTGGGAGGCCTGGGAGGGAGGGAGGATCACTTGAGGTCTGGAGTTTGAGACCAGCCTGTCCAACAGGGTGAAACTCCGTGTCTACTAAAGATACCAAAATTAGCTGGGCATGGTGGCGTGGACCTGTAATCCTAGCTACTTGGGAGGCTGCGGCAGAAGAATCACTTGAACCTGGGAGGTGGAGGTTGCAGTGAGCCGAGATCGCACCACTGCACTCCAACGTGGGTGACAGAGCAAGATGCTGTCTCCAAAAAAAAAAAAAAAAAAAAAAAAGATGTCATTTTGCCTTCTGTCTTTGGGACCAACACCATGTATTCGAGGTGGGAGGTTCCTGTTTGGTATCCTCCTTGGCTGGGCATTGAATAAGGCTTGCATTAATATTCCATGATGTGGTCCCATTAATATCAAGCTTCATCTAGCGCTCTACAAGTACCTTTACACTAAAAAGACTTTGTTTGTTTGTTTTTGTTTTGAGACAGGGTCCCGCTCTGTCGCCCAGGCTGGAGTGCAGTGGCATGATCATAGCTCATTGCAGCCTCGACCTCCCAGGCTCAAGCCATCCTCCTGCCTCAGCCACCTGAGTAGCTGGGACTACAGACGCACACCACCACGCCCGGCTAATTTGTGTATTTTTTGTGGAGACAGGGTTTCGCCATGTTGCCCGGGCTGGTCTCAAACTCCTGGGCTGAAGCGATCCTGCTGCCTTGGCCTCCCAAAGTGCTGCGATTACAGGCATAAGTCACTGTTCCTGGTCTGAAAGACTCTTTTCTATGACTCATTTAACTCAAACACAATTTGCAAAAACTGATAGTCCCTTAGAGTTAGTTATAATGGGATTTCGGTTAAAATTTCTTAAATATGTATTGAATGCTCAATGCGTAGCTCAATTATGTAGATAGATGCTTGCTGTTACACAGGGAAAACATGACTCCTACCCCAAGCAGTTTAATATTCTACATATGTACACTTCTAATAAAAAAGAGACTAGGAAGCCATCTCAGTCATCTTCACTATAAATGAATTTCTATTTTAGAAATTTAGTAGTTGTAATTCTATAATAATATATATTATTGGTGAAAGTATAAATGGTTCTATTATATGCCAAATTGTCTTTAACCCGTTTTTTATCTTCTTCTGTTAAAACTTAGAAACAGTAGAACTTGATTAAATTCTATAATTTTTTGGTAAGCCTTTCATCACAAATTTATAAAAGCTATTCAGTTTTCTCCATAAAATCAAGTTTGTTTTCCATTAAGCACTTGCAGATTCTCATATTGTATTTGAAACTAAATCGGCGTTTTCTAAAAGTACATATAGTTTAGCACAGATTGGCCTGCTATTGCAGGCCACTCAAATACAAAAAGAAAAAAGATAAACCAGTAAAACACAAATTACTGGTAGAATAGGTTTATTGGTTCGAATAAATAAATGTCTTGGAGTTATTACAGATATATACCAGAAATCCAAGTGTAATTAATATAGTTTATCTGAATTCTAAGTGTGATAATTAAAGAATGTGAGGGAGACAGAAGGAAAGAGAGAGAAAGAGACAGAGAAACAAACCTTTTTTGGATTGGACTTTGTAGTTAAGCAATACAGTGTGTACGTGCTCTTCAGCGGGCTTAGAATGTCTCCCAACCCTTATTAGTAACTCATAACAGTGGTAGATTGGACTTTGTAGTTAAACAATACAGTGTGTATGTGTGCTCTTCAGTGGGCTTAGACAGCTTCCCCAACCTTCATCAGTAAGCAAGCAAGCACACTGACCTTGGTGTCCCACGATCTGAGCACTGGTCCTGGTCATCTTGGCCACCTGACCTTGTTCAAACTCAATCTGAGCACCATAGAGGGACAATCCAGCCAAATACTCCAAAGGTTGTAAGAGTTAGTGAGATAAGGTATGTGACTCGACAGAAGTACTTTGCAAATCTAAGAAACAGAACTTTACCTTATTCTTTGGAGCCTTAAGGAGACATTCACTCTGCTTTTGTTTACTCAGACAATGGAGTATTTAAGTACCTGAGCACCATGCTTTGGATTCTGGAGCAGTGATTTCCAAAGATGAGTTGTACTGTGGGCTCAGAATTCATTAGAAAATGCAAGATCTTTCTTTGGTTCCTAAGGGCAAATAATATAAAGGCTGCCATTTTTCATTTTTAATCCAAAGGGTTGCTTACTAATAAACTATAAATTTATAGAAACAATTTTCTAGCAAGATATTAGGATGCCTACAGTTCTTGTCTGTGTTGCAAAGTGTCTGCTGGGCTTCTGCACACATAGGTAATTGGAATTCAGGAAATGATTTGGGAGCACGTGGTTGTCAGTATATACTATTATATCGAGTTGGTTCTGATTTTTCAAGTACTGCTATTTTTAAAAAATCCACCAGACACAGTGGCTCCTGCCTGTAATACCAACACTTTGGGAGGCTGAGGTGGGAGGATCACTTGAGGCCAGGAGTTTGAGACCAGCCTGGGCAACATAGCGAGAGACCCTGTCTCTACAAAAAATAAAATTTAAAAAATTAGCTGGGCGTGGTAGTGGCATGCACCTGTAGTCTTGGATACTTGGGAGGCTGAGGCAGGAGGATCACTTGAGCCCAGGAGATCAAGGCTGCAGTGAGCCATTATTGTGCCACTGTACTCCAGCCTGGACAGCAGAACAAGACCCTGTCTCAAAAAAAACAAAAACAAAACAAAAAAAATCCTGTCATTTTCATCACATTTCATCATTGTAATAGCCTTACTGTATGGATAGTGCCCATAATTTTAAAATAATTTTTAAATAATTATTGCTTAATCAGATAATTGCTAAAGTAAAATTTCCCAAATTTTGCTTTCACATCGACATTTATTTGCTATCACTGAGTTTGTACCCCTAATCCATTAAAAAGTAGAAAACAGTGAAATAGGGCATTTGTTCTAAGTAATGGGAGAAGATGTAACTGGAGAAGATGGAAAAAAGTTGTAAGAACCACTGCTCTGTATAGGTTGTAAAAGCAGTATTAAATATGGTGCCTGCCCTTGCTAAAGGTAACATGAAGTAATAGGTAGGGTAAATGCACTCAGCTGTGTGGGTTGCTTGAAAGATCTTGTGAGCCTGTTCACTCTTGCAGTTGAAAGACTGGATCACTTCTTTCTGGCGTTGTTTATTTTTATGCAGACTCCTCAGACCCCTGCACAATTGAGAGAAAAGCCCGAAGAATTAGCGTGACCTCCAAAGTACAGGCAGACATCCATGACACCCAGGCAGCAGCTGCAGATGGTTTGTACTTGTGTGTCCAGAGTTTGTGCAGAATGTCCAAAGACACATGTTAATCCATGTAGAATTATAAGTAAAACCATACCTTTATTTTTTGCTTTAAAAACATTACCGAGTTTCTAAGGCTGTGCTGTCCAGTAGAAATATAATGCAAGCCACATATACAATTTAAAATTTTCTAGTAGCAAAGATGAAATTAATTTTTTTTTTTTTTTTTTTTTTTGAGACGGAGTCTCGCTCTTTAGGCCAGGCTGGAGTGCAGTGGCGCTATCCCGGCTCACTGCAAGCTCCGCCTCCTGGGTTCACACCATTCTCCTGCCTCAGCCTCCTGTGTAGCTGGGACTACAGGTGCCTGCCACCACGCCCGGCTAATTTTTTGTGTTTTTAGTAGAGACGGGGTTTCACTGTGTTAGCCAGGATGGTATCGATCTCCTGACCTCGTGATCCACCCGCCTCAGCCTCCCAAAGTGCTGGGATTACAGGCGTGAGCCACCGTGCCTGGCCAAATTTTAATATATTTTTATATAATTCAGTATATACAAAATATTATTTCAATATGAAATCAATATAAAATTATCAGTGAGATGTTTTACATCCTTTTTATACTAAGTCTTTGAAATGTGGTGTATATTTTACACTTATAGCAACATTGAGTTTTTAGAGCATGTCTATTAAAAACCAGCAACAGTAAGATACGAATTTTTTTTTAAGTGTTACGTTTTTGGGCATATTGTTCTTTTAAAAGGTAAAGACAAAAGAGGTCCTTTTCTGAAAATGGCATAGTAGGCCGGGTGCGGTGGCTCACACCTGTAATCCCAGCACTTTGGGAGGCCGAGGCAGGCGGATCACGAGGTCAGGAGATCGAACCATCCTGGCTAACACGGTGAAACCCTGTCTCTACTAAAAACACAAAAAATTAGCCGGGTGCGGTGGCAGGCGCCTGTAGTCCCAGCTACACAGGAGGCTGAGGCAGGAGAATGGCGTGAACCCAGGAGGCGGAGCTTGCAGTGAGCCGAGATCACGCCACTGCACTCCAGCCTGGGCAACAGAGCAAGACTCCGTCTCAAAAAAAAAAAAAAAGAAAGAAAGAAAATGGCATAGTAAACATTTTTCCTCCAACCGAAGGCTTTATTCCTCCATATGAGACAAAAAAGAAAACTGTATTAAATCTACATGTTTTGGAGTCATGAGCCAAAAGACACAAGGTGGGTGATAATGGCAGTTAAAAAGCAATAGTTGAAGCAAGAGAAACAAGCCCATCTCCTATTTATAGTCATAGGAAGCAGCTGAAAAACCCAGTAATTTTCTGTTATATCCTAAGGCTAAGATCACCTTCCTGTTTGAGGCTGAGCATTATCATACCTTGGGGTAAGGTTCAGGGTCTAAAATTCAGTTCTCCTTATCTCTTGGGGAATGTTATAACATTTGTCATATAAGGCAAATTGATAAACTAGAAGTCAGCTTGTTAATTTCCAGTGGAAGATATGCCTAGCCCAAAATAGTAACTGACAAAGCTTCCCTAGATCTGTTTCTTTTGTTACCTATTTAAAAAGGTGTTGCTTACCTCAGATCTTAATCTCATTTCCAGTTACCCCAGATTCCAGGGTGAATTCCATCTGGAGATCTTTAGTCTCCTATTTATTGACCTCAGTCTCAATAGAGACCTAAAAGACAGAAATTACAGGTTAACTCTAGATGCAAAGAGCTTTTTTGAGCACAAAGCCAGAGGGAATGAGGACCTAAGAGGAATGTAAGTTTGGATATCTTTTTCAAATCCTGGGGACCAACATAAGGTTGCCAGGTATGGGCATTTTTAAAAACTGATATATGAAGGATTTTTAATGCCAAAAATGTAGGAAAGAATATGAGAATAAAAGTCTTTTATACTGAATGAATTTAGCTTTATGAAAAATGAACTGTAGAATCTTCCTCTTTTCACTATTCTGAGGAAAACTTTGGTATGAACTGCCACTGCTATTTATGAACCATTAATATAAAACATATGCATATTGTAGAGCTTAAGTTGTCATGGAAGAAGGCACACATTTAGTCAGATGTTTAATATAGTGTGGATAGTATTATACTATAGAGAGGAAAAGTCAAGGTGGGCTGAAGTCAGGGAAAACTTACAGAGGCGACAGAATTTAACATGCTATAAAACATTTCTCTTTTTCTTCATTTGGCTGGAATAAAGCATAACTCTCCGCTATTTACAGGTAATGACCTAGGAAGGCAATCTATTCTGGACATATATCCATCTTCTTATAGCAGAAAAAAAGTAATTAGAACAAAGTAAAAGATCAACTTTCTGTTCAACTATGCATTTCCAGTAGATATATTTACTAATTGGCTTACATATTAAAGTAGGCAATTACCTCCCTTGATTTTTGTGGTATTTTTCTTTTCAGTTTGGATTATACTTGGAAAAAGGTTAATCTATTTACCTTCCCCCTCCCCCTTAATCCTAACCTCCCTCAGAGCATCGAACTGGCTCCACACAAAGTCCTCGGACACAACCTCGAGATGAAGACTACGAAGGGGCTCCATGGAATTGTGATAGCTGCACCTTTCTTAACCACCCAGCACTAAATCGCTGTGAGCAGTGCGAGATGCCACGGTACACCTGAATTCAGAAAAGTCTGCGCCAGGTTGAAAGTGAAACTTTGAGCACTACCAGAAGAAAAGGAAACCTCGGGACTCTATTCATCCACCCAGCCTTTTCATTTTCGATTGCACAGCGGGGAGGAGGAATGGCTTTGTGGTCGTCGTTGTGCTCACGAAAGGAAAAATGGGGAGGTCTTTTTTTTCTCCTTTCTTAACTCACTACAGAGTGAGAGATAGAAAGGGATACTTGAAACTGGGAAAGGATTCACTCTGTGAAAGAATGTACACACAGAAGTCAAGAGCTCTTCTGTGGTGGAATCCCAATTGTTAAAGTTACTGCTGAGTGGCCCTTATTTTTTAAAGTAGTACTTTGAATCATAGTATGAAATGCTACAGTTTATGCAAACTGTGAATTCCCAGAGCAGACTTACCTGGTCACCGCTCTCTGGAAAACCAAGGCTCCCCGTGCTTCTTCCCATTGCTTCCTACTAAAGAGGACAACAGGAAAAAGCACCTAGAATATTTGGGGGGGGGGGGCAAATTAATTAAGGGTATTTGTAATTGCTGCTTTTTTCAGGGGTAATTTCCAACACACATACATGCACACAAACAAAATGTTTTAAAATGTGATTTGTAGCAGTCAGGAACTAGGCATATCATGCCTTTGTTTAAAAGTACAATCAGAGGTGGTAAGATGCCTTTGGCTTGTACAGTGTGATTCATCGAGCTCTATCAACACTGGTAACTAAGACCTACTTATGCCACATAAGAGATGCATTTTTTTAAGTTACTGCATGTTTTTATTAAGGCCATTGGTTTTCAAAATAACAAGTCCTTACAAAGTATGATTTTATAAATGATATTCTCGTAAAACTGCGCTTTGCCAGTAGCACAGTGAATGTATGCCAAATGCAAGTCCATTCCAAAATCCATTTGGAAATCTTGAGCTCAGCTGTGGTTCTTAAACTTTTGCAGTCCATAGGGCCTTTTTTTTTTCCTTCCAATTTTGTGATAAATTCATGATGTTTACAGCACAGATAAAACTTTGTGCCATAATCCTAATTTAGCTGAAATCAATATTAACTGTTCAATAAAAACTTACTTGCATATGTTAACAAACCAGTGTGAGGGGAATTACAGTTGGCCAACGACAAAGTTGCACACTGCATTATTTAGGAAAGGAGGGATTGTCAAAAATTATTAAGAGAAAGGTGAATATAGAGGACTTTGAAACAACTTTTAAAATTTAACATAACTGTATCTAGAGGTCAATTGAGTCTCTACAGGCAGTTCAGATCATTTTAAAGCACTCCTTATTTATGAAATAGAACTTCAGGGTGCGGATAAGAGATATAAAGTCATGTGACTCACTAGGGTGCATCGCTGGAAACTTAATAGCACATTTCATTAAGGTCTCTGCCATTGTTGGAGTTCCTTCTTAGCTCAGAATTGGAGTTTTGGAATCTTCCCCTCATTTTGGTGAGTATAAACAGCAATAAAGTTAGTAGGTTCTCCCATCCTAAAGGATTTTACCTGAGGATATCGTCTTAGGAATATCCATAGACGCTCCCATCAGGTTTCTCCCCCAACCCCCCTACACCGCCCCCCCACTTCTAATTTAGCAGTAATCTCTGGCAGACCTGGAAAAACAAGCTGCTCTTAATAGCATAATGAAACCAAAGGCGTAATAACTCATCATAGTTTTCCATCAGAATCATTTCACACTCTGCCTACAGCTTTGAAAACATTTTTTCATATGTGAAAAACTCCCCAAAATATATCCACTAGTCTCCCAAAGGAAGCATGGTAATTAACACTGATAAAAACATCTCTCACACAACAACTGTGGCAAAACTGTGAAAATAACGGTGAGAAAGCAGATGGGCTTAAAAGCATGGTCCCCAAAACAACGTTCTTCAAAGGTTTTTGTAACACTGGTCTCTGTCTCCAATAACAGTCTAGCCGTCCTACTGTTCTGTAATATGCCTTTGCCTTTGTATGGTTTCATATCTCTTTAGTGATGGTCAACCCCACTTGGTTTTAAGTTACAATTTAGGGGAAATATATATATATATACTGCTTGGTGTCCTAGCTAAAAGGTTTACCAGTATTCATAGTGATATGCTGAAGTGGAGGCAATTAACTTGGCAGTTGTCAGTTGAGAATGAAAGTAGCATGTCTGAAAACAGTCTGATGCTTTATAAAACCATGTAGATGACTTTAAAACTATTGCATGAAAATACATCAAGGTTAATAAGCTGTTATACAGTAGATGCATGGTTTCAATCCTTTGGTGATATTATCTAGTCAATCATTGTTTTCACCTGCCAGGAAAAGAGAGAAAACAGTCTATTGGATAGGTGTAAAGGGTGGGGTATGCGGTATCAGATTGATTTTAAGGAAGTTTTGTACATGTTAATTTTTAATTGTGCACAAGTTTCATATGCCAACATAGGCTGTATTCAGTTTTAAAATAGGCAAAATGACTTGACACTGATAAATCTGGTATGTTTAACTGTGTCCCATATGTAGACTGCTTTTTGCCTATGACCAGTTTGAACAAGAATTCACCCAACTTTCAAGATGCCTTTTCAAAAGGATCTTGTAGTCAGTTGGTATGTACAGACAATTGGCATGGAAGTGGTAGGATATAAATCGGATGACGCCTGGCTGCTGAGGTGCCAGCTGGATCAGCTGGTGCACTTCTTGTTTCTTGTAAGAGGTTTCTTTAAAATGACTAGTTTGATGTATCTGGTAACATATAGGCCTGACTATACATTTTACATTATTTCGCTATTTTGTAAACTGGGATTTTAGAAAGCACGTTTGCCATTTTGTTAAAGTACATTGCCCCTTAAATTTTGGAGTAGTTTTTAAAAGTTTAAAATGGTAATAGAGGAGCCAGAAACTTTTTAAGCATTGTAAAATGTTTTGAATTGATATTGACTTTGTTTGGAAGAGAGTAGAGGCAGGGGGCTTTAAAGAAACAAAGAAATGCATTGTAAAAATGTAGTTTTAGAGCAAATTAATAATGATGGTGGGGAAAGTGTTGCTAATTTGTTTATTTCCCTGGAAGAAATGGGAAGTGTGATAAGCAGTTTAATTTTTAAGGAGCTGGTCTCAATTTTAGTACTTTTTAATTATGCAAATAAATCAATGTTTCCTTAAATTTTGTCATTGCTTTGTCACAGTTGTCTAGGGTTCATATCCAACCTTCTGTGGCAATTCAATTTTATATAGTCTTTTAAGAGGTAATTGTAATGTATTTCTGACAGTATAAACAAAAAGAATATAAGGCATAGAAGAATTGTCCTCTAAAAATATCAATGATGTATCCTGGAATGTGAAGATGTCCCTTTATAGTTAAAAATTGAATTATTTTAATATTGTACCATTGTTAGACCTTGAATGAGTCCATGTTACCGTGTGTGTCTGTATATCTATCTGTAGAGAAAGAAAAATGACAACTGAAATGTTACTTTTAAAAATCAGAATAAATTGGGCACTGTCTGTGTTGCACCACTACTGTATCTTTTCGAAAGAATTAACAGTATTTGCCTATTGTAAAGGTTAATTCTGATGACGTTTTCACATTCACCAGACTTTTTTTCCTGTATTATTTGCATCCCCAAATATTTAATACAAGTAGATTCTGCATGGCTTGGGCATTCAGAGATTAATAGAATGATGACTCAATTTTAATTCTAAAGCCATGAAAAGTTACTTTGAGACTGAACAATTCTGAATTATTTATGATACCCAATGTCCATGTTTCTTTCCCTACTGTAAAAGAATTGATCAGTTTCTTCATTAAAGCAGCAAAAACTTATTAAATCTTGTAAATACCATGTCTCTTTTAGATTTCTGTGTATGCTGTGAATGAAATCATTTTGAGATGAAATTGTACAAAGGCATTTTAAAAGGCTCTGCATGCATCGTACCTCCAAACAGTACATATTCGGAAAGTCAAAGATTCCTGCAAAATAAATAAACTAAAAGCAAACACTACATTCTGCATCTTTTCTGCGTAGAAATTTACAGTATCAAATTAGTTCTAGTGTCAGCACTCATATTTCTGGACTGAAATATGCTGTCTCAAACGTAATCATCACATTTGTCTTCCTTTATTAGAACACGTAATGTTAGATTTGGGGTATTAAGTGCACATTACTCCAATTGGAAAATTTAGTAAAATTATACATAAGCAGGTTTTACATAAAAGTTGTTGGAATATGTTAGGAACTTCTTTTCATCCCACTTTAGAATGTTATTTACAAAAGAATACATAGTTTTCTTTTTTAAAAAATCTTTGTCATTTCAGAGGCAAATAATGTTCTGATACTTTGTTAGGGTCTGTAGTAAACCTTTACAGCTTTTACACAGAAATTACCACAAATGAATTATAGTAGGTAACATTTTCAGTGATTAAGCACATTTAAATTCAAAATCATTTCCAGGCTGGGCACGGTGGCTTATGCTTGTAATCCCAACACTTTGGGAGGTCGAGGTGGGAGGAAGGCTTAAGCCCAGAGTTCAAGACCAGTCTGGGCAACATAGTGAGACTCTCGTCTGTTCAAAAATACACAAATTAGCTGGTCATGGTGGCGTAGGCCTGTAGTCCCAGCTACTCGGAAGGCTGAGGTGGGAGGATTCCTTGAGCCCAGGAGGTCAAGGTCACAGTAAGCCATGGTTGTGCCACTGCACTTCAGCCTGGGCAACAGAGCGAAACTGTCTCAAAAAAAAAAAAAAAAAAAAAGTCGTTTCCACTACATTGTTTTAATACATGAAAAATTGCAAGCATACGCAAGTAGAGATATAATGATCCCCCATTTATTACCCAGCTTCCAAAATTATCTATGTATAAGCATTCTTATTTCGTCTGTATTTTCATCCCACCTCCCCCTAGATTATGTTGAAACAAATCCCAGACATATCAATTCACTGGTAAATAAACTTTCAACATAAGCAAAGTACACTTATCAAAATCAATAATTTAAACATTGAATATCCAGTGGCAAGTTTCTCTAATAGTTTCATGGATTTTTTAACAAGCTTATCCAAATTAGGGTCTAAATAGAGTACATGAAATTGATTATGTCTCTTAAGTCTTTATATGCATTCTCATAGTCTCTGTCAGAAACCCAGTCATGTATTAACTGATTTTTTGAGACAAGATCTCACTGTGTCACCCAGGCTGGAGTGCAGTGGCATGATCACAGCTCACTGCAGCCTCCAACTCCTTGGCTCAAGTGATCCTCCTGCCTCAGCCTCCTCAGTAGCTGGGACCACAGGCACACACCACCATGCCCAGCTTATTTTTTTTGTAGAGATGGGGCCTTGCTATGTTGCCCAGTCTTGGAATATTTTTATAGGGGAATTCCCTCATCTACTATTGAGTTGTCCTCCACCATATCTTATAGTTCAATTATGCATAGAATGTCAAAGATAATTTTTAAGACAACTTTTTAAATAGCATGTGCAGTATTTTTTTCCCTTCCCCTTGTTTCCCACATCCTGGGTTGTCTCTTTTAAAATCTGTTTGGTTACCACAACAATGGTTCACTGTGGTGCTCATTTTCAGAGACATACCTGAATTTTTTTTTTTTTTTTTTTGAGACAGGGTTTTACTCTGTCACCTAGGCTAGAGTGCAGTGAGTGGCACGATCTTGGCTCACTGCAGCCTCAAACTCCAAAGCTCAAATGATCCTCCCACCTCAGCCTCCCAAGTAGCTGGGATTACACACGTGCGGCACCATGCCCGGTTAACTTTTGTATTTTTAGTAGACAGAGGGGTTTGCCATATTGCCCAGGCTGGTCTCGAACTCATGAGCTCAAGCCATCTGCTCGCCTCAGCCTCCCAAAGTGCTGGGATTATAGGTCACTGCACCTGGCCCATAATTAGTCTTTAATCCCACTATCAGTATAATGATTTCAGGTATTACCCAGCTCAGTTTTCCACACAGAAGACTGGAGGACTGTTGTGTAGGAGATGCACAGTGTGTCTCCCACCTGCATTCCTCCAAAGACTTCCTGACTTGACTTTGTCCTCTTGACCTTTTTTCTAGAATGTTGACCAGGTAATGTTTTATGATGGAGATTTCAAAGATATTAATAGAATATGTGAGTGAGATTTTGTTTTGCAAGTTCCTTATTCTTAGAGCAGTCAAACCATCTCACTTGTCCTGCCTCTTGAACATTGGCGGGTGTGCTTTTGACCACCCTTTCATGACATCACAGTGATAATATATCGTGCAAGAAAAGTGGTGCCGCCTAGCTTTCTAGAGTTTTGCACTGTGGTGGGAACAAAATGCCAGTTACTACATTCTACATTAATTTGTTTTCTTTTGACTTATTTGTGCATTTATTCCTGGGGACTGAGGTAGTTTTCAGGTAATTCCATTCCCTTGATCAAGAACTGCTAACATTTACAGCGATTTCTAAATGCTATCCCCCAATTCTGTTTTCTTTCAAATCATTTGGTCTGATTTGGGTGTGCAAGATTCAAAAAAAGATTTATGGAAGGTATTTGGGGTTGGGGGAGGAGAAAATTGGGTTAGCATATGGAAATAGCTTGCATTCTCTATACACTTTGACAATGAATCAAATGGTCACATGTGGCAGGAAGACTCTGATTGTAAGATTACGATTTGAGTTTCTCTTCCCAAATTCCACTGGTGTAACTAACAAAAACATTTTTAAGGACTGGAGAATAGGCTCTCAGGGTCAGAAATTACAGGAAGCAGATGGGGATGTATGGAGGGCAGTAGCAACCAGTGTCGGCCAGCACACAATTCCAGCCATCAGTGAAAGTCAACCTGCAAACCAAGTCTATGGGACTCCTCAAAAGAACCCAGGAAGACCCCCAAACTCTGAGCCGTGGGCAAATGGGAAGGGATAATATGTGCTGGACAGGAAGCATGTAGATGACAGCACTTGCCTTCTGGCTCACTTGGCACCACAGTTCACTACAGAAAGCATTTAATGGGAGTGGTTTGGCCACCTAGTTAAGCGGCATAAGGCACCAAGTAACTTCAAGCTGCCACAATGAACATAGAGGAAAAGCTTGCTTGGCCCAGCTGAGAATTCCAGGGAGCAGTTTTCAACCCCACAATAAATATTTAAAACAGCACCCATTGATGCCTGTTACTGACTGGCTGAAAAGAAATGCTTAGCAAAGCACTGAACTTCCCGATCTTTCTAATATTTTTAGTAATTTCCAACCAAGAAAAATAAGACTACAGAAGTAGAACAATTTTTGCTTAAGATATTAAAAGATTTAAACAATGTGACCCACATGGTATTTAAAATTGTTTAAAAATCAAATGTACATGAAGATGTAGCATTCTGAAAAAAGAATCTCATAATACAGAAGGGAAAGAGAAAACCTTAATTTCTAAATTGAATTCCAAACAAAATTTATAACAATGTTGTATCTCTCAAAAAGGAACAATCAGATCAAAAAAGGTTTCCTTCAAAGGAAAACTAATTTTTTACTAAAACTCTAAAATACAAATACAGGTAGTGAAGTTCAGAGAACTGAGTCAACAGAGATTGTAGAATTCAGAGGAAAGGGATATTGAGATGAAGAGCTGACATATAGAAGAAATAAATGTGAATCTAGACTCAGGAGATGCAATAAGGAATACCAGAAAAAACAAACACAGCAGATAGGAGAGAAGCAACGAAGATATAAGAAACATGGGACAGGACGACTGAAAAAATCTTACCTATGAAGGTCAAATAAAGGAACACAACTGTCTGATTTTCACATGCAAAATAGACAAATAGTGAATATTATCAGTTTGGTTAAATCTACTATAATAAAACTTTATACCTCCCAATAACCAACTGTTCTTTCAAATGTCCAAACATTTACCCCCCAAAAAATCGAGAAAACCTCAATTTCTAAAACAGAATTAAACAGGCCACACTTTTCTGATTGTAAGGCATCAAATCTAAAAATAACTAAAATCAAGCCACCTGAAAATTAAAAGAAAAAGCTCTTCTAAATAATTAAAAAATGGAATAAAAAACAATGTCAGATTTAGTTCAGGTGACTCCTCAACAAGAGCCTGTGGCAAAGACATTATCTCAAACTAAAAAGATTTTCAGCTCCCAAAGAACAGGAGAAAATAGTGCCATATCCCAGTAATGTTTTATACTGTGCAAATGTTGAATTATTTCTAGATGTAAATGAATTGTCCACACTCATAATAGAAGATGTTGCACAAAGAAATAATTCAGAACTGTAGTCGACGTCACTTGTGGGAAATAACGTTTCCAACACAAGATGTCTCTATGCAAACTCTAACAGTGAAATGGAAATGTCAAAATTTGTAGCCCAGCTATAGTCTGAGAGAATACTCTGTCTAATATGGCCAGTGTCAAGAATCCTTATGAGCTGGAGAGCTCTGGGGAAAGAGTTGGATCAGAAGTATTCCAAGGCCAAGCTGATGTGTAACATGTGTGAGAAAGTGTTCTTAGAAGCCAGCAGCTTTAAAATGCATGTGAGTATACATAAAGGAGTCAAACTCTGTATCGGCCACGTCTGTGGAAAAGTATGTACCCATTGTAACCAGCTGAAAACTCATGTAAGAACTCATATGGGTGAGGAGCCTTACAAATGTGAATTATGTGATAAAGGCTTAGCTCAAACATGCCAGGTAATCACCCATAGTCACATGTATCACGGTAAGGAAAAAAAAAACCTGTAAATGTGATATATGTGATTTACAATTTGCAACTTCTAGCAGTCTCAATACTCACGCGAGCACACTGATATGGTTTGGCTCTATATCCCCATCCAAATCTCATGTCAAACTGTAATCCCCATGTGTTGAAGGAGGGGCCTGGTGGGAGGTGATTAGATCATGAGGGCGGATTTCCCCCTTGCTGTTCTCATGATAGCGAGTTCTTAGAGATCTGATGTGAGTTTCAAAAGTGTGTAGCACTTCCCCATTTACTCTCTTCTCTCTCCTGCCACCAAGAAGGTGCTTGCTTTCCCTTTGCCTTCTGCCATGATTGTAAGTTTCCTGAGGCCTTCCAGCCATGCTTCCTGTTAAGCCTGTGGAACTGTGAGTCAATTAAACCCCTTTCCTTCATAAATTACCCAGTCTGAGGTAGTTCTTCATAGCAGTGTGAAAACAGACTGATACAGACACCTAGTGGAGAGAAGCCATATGTCTAAGAAAGAGGAGTGGACAGAGATTTGCCTAATCCAGCAGCAAACTGACCTGTCAGATTTGCATGCATATTAAAGGAAGCCTTACGTGTGTCACACCCAGAAGATGGTATTTACTGCCCCTAATCCTCTTTTCAAGCATACTTGAAACAAACAGGTGAAAAACTATACAAAGCATTTGTGGGAAAACTTCTATTTCTTCAGAAGTCAAACACTTTGAATCCCATCAATAAGACAGACCATTGATGATGCAAAAATTCTTACAAAGATATTAAAAAATGTAAAAAACAAAACAAAAGTTCATTCTGGAACAGACAAAACTCTAGACTTCAGTACAGAGGATCACATCATGCTTGGAGTGAATGAGATTCCATACAGAAAAGTCCTGATCAGAAACTATGGATTTGAAAGTTTCTGAAATGGCTTTAACACTGACTCTCCCTCTTGGGACTAAGGACCTGTTATCAATAATCAGGCTTTTACAACAGATCCTTCTTGTGACTAGCTGGGAACTAGAGATGATTTTTTTTTTACAACAACTTATACTGACTTTATGAGGAGTATGAAATGACTAAAATATCTGTTAGTAGACATAAATATCTCTTGTAAAAATTTCATTCACCGAAGTAAAAGCACCTCATACCACATCCTATTTCCCTTAATTTATTATTAAATTGATAAAAATTGTCTTATGTACATGATGCCTGGAAATATGTATACATTGTGGAATGGCTAAATTGAGCTAATTAACATATGCATTACCTCACATAGTTACCATTTTTATGGTGAGAACACTTTACATCCACTCTCCCAGCATTTTTCAAGAACACAATATATTGCTTTGTTTTGTTTTGAGACTGGGGGGGGGGTCTCACTAGGCTGACCAGGCTGGTCTTGAACTCTTGGCCTCAAGTGATCCTCCCACCTCTGCCTCCCAAAGTGCTGGGATTACAGCCATGAGCCACTGGGCCTGGCCAAGAATACAATATATTGTTAACTATGGTCACCAGGTGGTGCAATACATCTCTTGAACTTATTTCTCCTAACTGAAATTTTGCATCCTTTGACCAACATCTCCCCAATCTTCCCACTCCCCAGCTTCTGGTAACCAACGTTCTTCTCTTTGCTTCTGTGAATTTGCCTTTTTAGCTTCTACATATGAGGGAGATTATGTGGTATTTGTCTTTCTGTGCCTGGCTTATTTCACCTAACATAATATCCTCCAGGTTCATCCACGTCACAAATGACAGGATTTCCTTATTTTTTAAGGTTAAATAGTATTCCATTGTGTATATATAGCACATTTTCTTTATTCATTTATCCATTGATGGAGACTTAGGTTGATTCCATATCTCGGCTACTGTAAATAGTGCTGCAATTAACATGGGAGTGCAGATATCTCTTTGACATACTGATTTCATATTTTCAGATATAACCAATAGTAGTATTGCTGGATCACAAGGTAGTTCTATATTTGATTCTTTAAGGAACCTTCATGCTGTTTTCCATAGTGGCTGTACCAATTTACATTTCCACAAATGGTGTACAAGGGTTCCCTTTTCTTCACATCTTTACCAACATTTATCTTTCATCTTTTTGAGGACGAGTGCGGTGGCTCATGCCTGTAATCCCAGCACTTTGGGAGGCCGAGGCAGGTGGATCACTTGAGCCCAGGAGCTCGAGACCAGCCTGGACAACATGGCAAAACCCTGTCTCTACTAAAAACTACAAAAATCAGCCGGGTGTGGTGGCACATGCATGTAATCCCAAATACTTGGGAGGCTGAGGCAGGAGAATCGCTTGAGGTTGCAGTGAGCTGAGATCACGCCACTGCACTCCAACTCCAGCCTGGGCAACAGAGTGAGACTCTGTCTCAAAAGAAAAAAAAAAGAGAAAGAAAGGTCTATTCAGTTCCTTTGCCCATTTTTAATTGGGTTGTTTTCTTGCTATTGAGTTGCCTGAATTCCTTATGTATTTTGAATATTAACCCCTGATCAGATGTATGGTTTGAAAATATTTTCTCCCATCCATAGGTTATCTCTTCATTCTGATTGTCTCCTGGGCTATGCAGAAGGTTTTTAATTAGATATAATCCCTTGGTCTATTTTCACTTCTGTTGCCTGTGTTTAGGGGAAGATATTCAAAACAAATCATTGCCCAGACCAATGTCATGGAGCTTTTTCCCTATATTTTCTTCTGGTAGTTTCACATTTTCAGATTTTATGTTTAAATCTTTAATTCATTGAGTTGATTTTTATATAGAGTGAGATAATGAGCTAATTTCATTCTTCTGTATGTGGATATTCAGTTTTCCCGCCACCATTTATTGAAGAAACTGCCCTTTCCCCATATGTCCTTGGCACCTTTGTCAAAAAGCAATTGACTGTAAATATGAGGATTTATTTCTGGGCTCTTTGTTCAACTGGCCTAGTGTTAGCCCGTTCTCACATTGCTATAAAGAAATACCTGAGAAAGGACATGCTATTCAACAAATGGTGCTGGGATAATTGGCAAGTCACATGTAGTAGAATGAAACTGGATCATCATCTCTCACCTTATACAAAAATCAACCCAAGATGGATCAAATACTTAAATCTAAGACCTGAAACCATAAAAATTCTAGAAGATAACATCAGAAAAACCCTTCTATACATTGGCCTAGGCAAAGATTTCATGACCAAGAACCCAAAAGCAAATGCAACAAAACAAAGAAAAATAGATGGGACTTAAACTAAAAAGCTTCTGCACAGCAGAAGAAATAATCAGCAGAGTAAACAGACAACCCACATAGTGGGAGAAAATCTTCACAAACTATGCACCCAACAAAGGACTAATATCCAGAACCTACAAGGAACTGAAACAAAACAGCAAGAAAAAAACAATCACATCAAAAAGTGGGATAAGGACATGAATAGACAGTTCTCAAAAGAAGACAAGCAAATGGCCAACAAACATGAAAAAATGCTCAACATCACTAACAGGGAAATGCAAATCAAAACCACAATGCAATACCACTCTACTCCTGCAAGAATGACCACAATTTTAAAAATCAAATAATAGATGCAAGTGTGGATGTGGTGAAAAGGGAACACTTTTACACTGCCGGTGGGAGTGTCAACTAGTATAACCACGATGGAAAACAATGTGTAGATTCCTTAAAGAACTAAAAATAGATCTACCATTTGACTCAGCAATCCAACTAGTGGGTATCTACCTAGAGGAAAAGAAGTCATTATATGAAAAAGATACTTGCACACGCATGTTTATAGCAGCACAATTTGCAATTGCAAAAATATGGAACCAGCCCAAATGCCCATCAATCAATGAGTGGATAAAGAAACTGTGATACACACACACACACACACACACACACACACCATGGAATACTACTCAGCCAAAAAAAGGAACAAAATAATGGTATTCACAGCAACCTGGATGGAATTGGAGAGACCATTATCCTAAATGAAGTAACTCAGGAATGGAAAACCAAACTCCGTATGTTCTCACTCATAAGTGGGAGCTAAGCTATGAGGATGCAAAGGCATAAGAATGAAACAATGGACTTTGGGGACTCAGGGGAAAGGCTGTGAGGGGTGACTACACACTGGGTACAGTGTACACTGCTCACGTGATGGGTGCACCAAAATCTCAGAAATCACCACTAAAGAACTTATCTATGTAACTAAATACTACCTGTTCCCCCAAAACCTATTGAAATAAAAATTTAAAACATACACACACACACACACACAGAGAGAGAGAGAGAGAGAGAGAGAGGGAGAGAGAGAGAGAGAGAGTGAGAGAGAGATTCTAGTGAATAAGTCCCCCAACTTAGGAAAAGAAAAAAAAAAGAGAAATACCTGAGACTGGGTAATTCATAAAGAAAAGATGTTTAATTGGCTCACAGTTCGGTAGGCTGTACAGGCATGGCAGCATCCGTTTCTGGGGATGCCTCAGGAAGCTTTTACTCATGGTGGAAGGCAAAGGGGAAAGCCAGCACTTCACATGGCTGGAACAGGAGTTAGAGAGAGGGGGAGGTGGTGCTACATAACTTGTAAACAACCACATCTCACGATAACACACTCACTCACTATAATGACAACAGTACCAAAGTACCAAGGGGGAAATCTGCCCCCATGATCAAATTATCTCCCACCCCACCCCCAACCCACCCACAACATTGGGGATTACAACTAAGCATGAGATTTGGATATGATGTTAGCTGTGAAATTTTTATTAATGCCCTTTACCATGTTGAGGAAGTTTCCTTCTATGCATAGTTTTGAGTGTTTTTTTTTTTTAAATCACGAAAGGGTATTAGATTTTCTCAAATGTTATTTCTGCATCAATTGAGATGATTTTTTTCTTTTGTTCTGTTAATGTGATGTATTACATTGTTGACTTTTCTTATGTCGAACCACCCTTACATTCCTGGGATAAATCCCACTTGGTCATGGTGTACAATATTTTAAATACACTCTTGGACTCAATTTGCTAGTATTTTGTTGAGGATTCTTGCATCTATATTCGTAAGGATACTGGTAATTTCCTCGTGATGTCTTTGTCTGGTTTGGTATCAAGGTAATGCTAGCCTAACAGAATAAGACAGGAAGTGTTCCCTTCACTTCTATTTTTTGGAAGAATTTGAGAAGAGTTGGTGTTAATTCGTCTTTAAATGTTTGGTAGAATTGACCACTAAAGCCATGTAGTCCTGGATGTTTCCTTTTTGGAAGGTTTTTGATTATTCATTCAATCTGTTGTAAGTCTAAGAAATTACATTTCTTCTTGAGTCCCTTAGGTAACCTGTGTGTTTCTAGGAATTTGTCCATTTCATTTAGGTTACCTAATTTCTTGGTGTGCAATTGTCCATAGTATTCTCTCACAATCTTTTTTATTTCTGTAATATTAGTAATAATGTCTCCATTTCTGATTTTAGATATTATCTCTTTTCGTTGTCAGTCTAGCTTAAGGTTTGTCCATTTTCTTTTCCTTATCAAAGAACCAACTTTTGTTTTCATTGTCTCTCTCTTGTTTTTCTAAACTCTATTTTAGTTATCTCTGCTCTAACCATTATTATTTCCTTCCTTCTGCCAGCTTTTGGTTTAATTCACTATTTTTTCTAGTTCCTCAAGGTGTAAAGTTAGGCTATTAAGATTTTCTTATGTGGTTTTTTTTTGTTTTTTGTTTTGTTGTTGTTGTTGTTTTTGTTTTTGTTATTGTTTCTTGAGACAGAATCTCACTGTCTCCTGGGCTAGAGTGCAGTGGCACCATGTTGGCTCTCACTGCAACCTCTGCCTCCTGGGTTCAAGCGATTCTCATGCCTCTGCCTCTTGAGCAGCTGGGATTACAGACATGCACCACCACATCTGGCTAAGTTTTGTATTTTTAGTAGAGACGGGGTTTCATCATGTTGGCCAGGCTGGTCTTGAACTCCTGACCTCAAGTGATCCACCCACCTTGGCCTCCCAAAGTGCTGGGATTACAGGCATGAGCAACTACACCAGGCCAAGTAGTGGCATTTACAGCTATAAATTTCCCTCTGAGGGTGCCTTCACTGCATCCCATAAGTTTCGATATGTTGTGATTTACTTTTCATTCATCTCTAAGTATTTTCTAATTTTTCTTTTGATTTCTTTTTTGACCCATTGGTGGTTCTTGTTGTTTGATTTCCACATATTTGGGAATTTTCCAGTTTTCCTTCTTTTATTGATTTCTAATTTTATTCTATTATGGTCAGAGAAGATACTTTGTATCATTTCACTCTTTTTAAATCTACTGAGACTTGTAAAGCCTGATATATGGTCTAGCCTGAAGAATATTCCACGTGCAATGGATAAGAATGTGCCTTCTGCTGTTGTTGAATGGAATGTTCTATATATGTCTGTTAGGCTTAGATGGTTTAATGTTTCAGGCCTCTATTTCTTTATTGGTCTTTTGTCTAGATGTTTTATCCAAGATTTAAAGTGCTGTACTGAAGCTTCCAACTATTATTGCGTAACTGTCTATTTCGCCCATCAATTCTGTCAGTTTGCATCATATGTTTTGTAATAATGATAGTTTTAAAATAGTAATTATAGCATAATGATAATAATAGCTAACAGCTTTTTAGCAGTTAGAACATGCTAGGCACTGTTCTTTGTGCCTTGACTGTAATAACTCATTTAATTTTCACAACAACTCAATGAGGCAGAGTGCTATTATCATTTACATTTTTAAAATGAGGTGCCTGAATTTGAGAGAAATAAAGCAATTTGTAGAAGATGACAAAGCAAGTAGGTGGTAGGTGGAACAAGGATTTCATAGATAGAATCCTTAACCATTAATAGTCCAGGCTATACCCTAAAACAAAAATAAAACACCATCATAGGAATTCATATGGCATAAAAAGATGTAGCATATGTGTATGCTTATCCTTGCAGAAATATGGGTGTTTTTAAAAAATGAGCTTAACACAAATGGAGGAGTTAATATAATGTTTCATTCATTGTGCCCATTCAGAAGGTAAATATTTTTTCTTTGTACCTAAATGTGAATCCTGAAAGCAATTCATGTTTACTATTGGAAACCAGCATATCCACATCTGGGGCCAGGCGCAGTGGCTCATGCCTGTAATCCCAGCACTTTGGGAGGCCAAGGTGGGAGGATCACCTGAGGTCAGGACTTTGAGACCTGCCTGGCCAACATGGTGAAACCCTGTCTCTACTAAAAATACAAAAAATAGGCATGGTGGTGGGCGCCTGTAATCCCAGCTACTCAGGAGGCTGAGGCAGGAGGATAACTTGAACCTGGGAGGCGGAGGTTGCAGCGAGCCGAGATCCTGCCATATTGCTCTAGCCTGGGTGACAAGAGTGAAACTCTGTCTCAAGAAAAAAAGAAAAAACAAAAACAAAAACAAAAACCCTGCTCTTCGCAACAATGTAGATGGACCTGGAGGGTATTACGTTAAGAGAAATAAGCCAGATACAGAAAGACAAATACTATATGATTTCATTTATATGTGGAATCTAAAAGAGTCAAGCTCATAGAAACAGAGAGTAGATCAGTAGTTGCCAGGGGCTAGGGGAACAAGGAAATAGGGAAGTGATGGTTAAAGGGTACAAAGTTTCACTTATACAAAACCAAGTTTCGGAAATCTATAGAGCATAGTGCTACTGTATTGCATATTTAACATTTGTTAACGGCAGTTTTTTATTTTTTTTCTTTTTGAGATGGAGTCTCACTGTGTCCCGCAGGCTGGAGTACAGTGGCACGATCTCAGCTCATTACAACCTCTGCCTCCCACGTTCAGGAGATGCTCATGCCTCAGCCTCCCAAGTAGCTGCGATTACAGGCGCCTGCCACCATGCCCAGCTAATTTTTGTATTTTTAGTAGAGAGGGGGTTTCACCATCTTGGCCAGGCTGGTCTCAAACTCCTGACTTCAAGTGATCTGTAACACAGATCTTATGTTTTGTTCTTACCACAAAACAAACAACCAGAAATGGTGGCTCACACCTGTAATCCCAGCACTTTGGGAGGCTGAGGCAGGAGAATAGCTTGAGGCTAGAAGTTCAAGACCAGCCTGGGCAACATAATAAGATCCTGTCTCTACAAAAAAAAATTTAAACTAGCTAGGTGTGGTAGTGTGTGCCTGTAGTCCCAGGGACTCAGAAGGGTGAGGCGGGAGAATTGCTTGAGCCCAGGGAGTTTGAGGTTGCAGTGAACTATGGTTTGCGCCACTGCACTCCGGCCTACGCGGCATCTCATAAAACATACATACACTCACACACACACACACACACACACACACGCACACGAAGAAACTTTTGGATATATTGATGACCTTGACAGTGATGCTTTCACAGGTATATATTTATCCCCAAACTCATCAAGATTAAATATGTGTAGCTTTTTAGATGTCAATCATACCTTAATAAAGTGGTCAAAAAAAAAGATGCTGGAAATCTTAGCTCTTTTAAATCCATGCATACAGATAAGCTGCTTTGTCAAAATATTCATATGCATTTCAATTAAGCAGATATCAAATAGTGAATCTAATGATTATTTATATTGAAATATTAATGCGTGAGAGTCTCATTAGATTTTAAACTGCCACATAATCTCTTAGAATAGTGCAATTTATTCTATAGAATTGAATATATTATGTGACTTAAGCATTGTCACATTAATTATAGGCAACTGAATATAGAAGACTTTCAATTAAAATTGAGGATATATGAAGTTGTGGGGACTCCAGATTGATCAGCTAACCATTATGCGCTTTGTTAAATGTCAGGCAGATGAGCCTTAAACCATATTCTAACTAATGAATAGTTCTCTTGCATACACGAATTACCACCTTTTACATGACTAAGGGTTATTTATCTCAAAAGAGCATACCACTATTCTTTTTCTATGCAATCTTCCACAGTGGAGGCTAGATAAAATTACATCTCAGATGAAATTACTTGGCCTGTTTGTTTCCTTTGCTACAAACCTCGAATGAACTGAAACCATTTTTAATATCAAGTATCATGGTGTTATGCTAAAGTTATAAAAGATGTTACCACTGGGAGAAGGGTTCATGGGACTCTATGTACTATGTTTGCTACATTCTGTGAATCTACAATTATTTTAAAAGGAAAGCTTAAATATCAAAAGTTTGTAAGGACATCAAGTTATCTTAGCCCAAACCATTAACCCTGTTCTCAAAAGTGGTATGTTGAATGTTGCATCCAGACTAGGCCTTCTAGTTTTCACAATGTTGCTGCTACAAACCTTTATATATATATACACGCTCTGTAATGCTGACTCTCAACAATCTAAATTAGACCTAAGTGAAACTTATGTTAATACAATGGAATCATAATCTAATTTCCACTTTGATTTCTAAACCCAATTATAGAGATTTCCTCAACATCATATCAAAAGTAACTCTTTCATTACTCCTTTCTAAATCATAGGAGTTTTTAAAAACTATGGCATTAAAACCTGGGTATGGTGGCTTCTGCCTAGAATCCCAGCTACGCGGGAGGCTGAGGTGGGAGGATTGCTTGAGCCCAGGAGGTTGAACCTGCAGTGAGCTGAGATTGCACCACTGCACTCCAGCCTGAGCGACAGAGTGAGACCCCATCTCTAAAAAAAAAAAAAACTAAAAATAAAACGATGGAGTTCAAGTTTGCATGTATTTGTGCTGTTAGGAATATGAATCTTTGCTCATTCTTAGAGAAACATAGAGCACAAGGCAGATGGACCCTGTCTGCTAAGACTTCCACTTTTCCCAGAATTACGTGTGCCCTGATAAAAATTCTTATAGACAATGCCTCACTTCCCCAACTGGAAATTAATTCTTCTACATACCCTCTCCCAGGGAGCTCAAATGAATGAAGCAATGTATATTGAAGATGTAAAACTGTGTGTATAGACACACATATAGCAAATGCTATTAAGAAATGTAGCTTTCTAATGTTACAAAGAAATTATGGCATGTACATGCAACAGAATATTATTCTACTTTAAAAACAAAGGAAATCCTGCCGTTTGCAACAATATAGATGAACCTGGAGGGTATTAGGTTAAGAGAAATAAGCCAGGCACAGAAAGACAAATACTATATGATTTCATTTACATGCAGAATCTAAGTCAACTCATAGAGCACAGAGTAGAATAGCAGTTGCCAGGGGCTAGGGGAACAAGGAAATGGGGAAGTGATGGTTAAAGGGTACAAAGTTTCAGTTATGCAAACTAAGTTTTGGAGGTCTATAGAGCATAGTGCTAACAATGCTGTATTATATACTTAACATTTGTTAACAGGGCAGATTTTTTTTTTTTTGAGATGGAATCTTACTCTGTTGTACAGGCTGTAGTACAGTGGTGTGGTCTCAGCTCATTACAACCTCTGCCTCCCAGGTTCAAGAGATTCTTGTTCCTCAGCCTCACAAGTAGCTGGGATTACAGGCGCCTGCTACCATGCCCAGCTAATTTTTGTATTTTTAGTAGAGATGGGGTTTCACCATGTTGGCCATGCTGGTGAAGTTTAACCATAAACTTGAACTCCATCACTTTGTTTTTAGTTTTTTCTTTTAAGAGATGGGGTCTCACTCTGTCCTTCAGGCTGGAGTGCAGTGCTGCCATCTCAGCTCACTGCAACTTCAACTTCCTGGGCTCAAGCAATCTTCCTACCCCAGCCTCCTGAGTAGCTGGGATTATAGGCAGAAGCCACCATACCCCGGTTTTAATGCCACAGTTTTGAAAAACTCTTACGATTCAGAAGGAAGTAATGAAATACTAATTAAAATGTGTCAGATTTTTAGGGTCTTTTGAGCTGTTTCACCAAAAACATAGGTTTAGAATTTTAAACTATGGAAGAAGTCCATGGTTTTAAAACCACACTAAAAATGATTATGATTGTTTATAAAAGAAGGATGAGGCAGGTTTTGGCAGCAGGTGAGTTTCATAACTATGAAGTCAGGCACCTCAGCCTCCTGAGTAGCTGGGACTACAGGCGCATGCTATCACATTCAGCTAATTTTTAAATTTTTTGTAAGGACAAGGTCTCACTATGTTGCCCAGGCTGGTTTTGAACTCCTGAGCTCAAGTGATCTGCCTGTCTCGGCCTCCCAAGGGGCTGAAATTACAGGTGTGAGCCACTGGGCCCACCCTGTAGTGCTTTTTTATGCTCCTGAGCTCTACGCAACTCTTACAAATGGGTATTCTGACAAAAGGACATACTGATTTCATTTCTGGTCTCTAAGTCTTCTCTGAGGGAGCCCCACATATCTCCAGCAATGGAATGGAAGATGCCTATCTCTGCCACAGAAACTTGAGATTTTATACCCATTTTGAGCAGGTGCCCTTTGTCTTTAGTTTGATCTTGAAGGATGTTTGCCTGATGATTGGGCCCCCTAAAATTGCTAGAGTTATACAATTTCAGTTGATGGATGGATTGTTGTTTTATGTCCTGTATTATCTTTAAGCCAACGTGAGCTGCAGATTTTTTTCCCCAATCTAAGGTACAGTCACGCTTTACATGACTAGATCTTGTTCAGACCTCACCCTAGGCCGCCTAACTCAGAAGTTAATAGCTGTTGGGACCCAGGAATCAATGTTTTAAAAACTCCCTAATAATTCTATCTCCAGCCAGGAATTAGAACCACTGGACTAGAGTAGCAAAAGTTTTTACTTTAAAATGTCTGAGGACTAGGATTTTGACCTCCTGATAACACCACCTACTTTATTATTTATTTATTTATTTATTTATTTATTTATTTATTTATGATAGGGGGGTCTCACTCTGTCACCCAGGCTGGAGTGCAGTGGTGCAATCTCGGCTCACTGAAACCTCCGCCTCCCGGGCTCAAGGGATCCTCCCATCTCAGCCTCCTGAGTAGCTGGGACCACAGGCACGCACCACCAGACCTAACTAATTTTTTGTATTTTTGGTAGAGACAGGGTTTCGCCATGTTGCCCAGGCTGGTCTCAAACTCCTGGGCTCAAAAGATCCCTCTGCCTCGGCCTTCCAAAGTGCTGGGATTACAGGCATGAGCCACCATGACCAGCCATACACCATCTACTTTGGTGAAATACCTGAGAGCCTATGGATGTGAAGCAATTGTCATGAAAATTTGACTTCGCTAAAGTGGGGCTCTTTTTGAGATTTTTAAATGTATCTGCATTGAAAGTGAGTCGTAGATTTGGTTGAGTCACATGGTCATCAAAATATACTTGGCTTAAAGTACTCTTACATCATTAACCCTTTAAATTTTGATAGCTTTTGTGCTGTTTGTGCTTTTGACACAAGAGATCAAATGAAAAAAAATTCACGGCCGGGCGCGGTAGCTCACGCCTGTAATCCCAGCACTCTGGGAGGCCGAGGCAGGCGGATCACAAGGTCAGGAGATCGAGACCATCCTGGCTAACACAGTGAAACCCCGTCTCTACTAAAAATACAAAAAATTAGCCGGGCGAGGTGGCGGGCGCCTGTAGTCCCAGCTACTCGGGAGGCTGAGGCAGGAGAATGGCGTGAACCCCAGGGGGCGGAGCCTGCAGTGAGCTGAGATCGCGCCAATGCACTCCAGCCTGGGCGACAGAGTGAGACTCCATCTGAAAAAAAAAAAAAAAAAATTCACATACACAGGCTCACTTTTCCATCTTAACTTTAGAACTCTGGCTTTTTCATAACCAGTTATTTGGACTAGTATAAACACATTACCTTTGGTCAACGGATAGGCTTTCCACTTGGCACATTCTAGGTTTATCTCTCATAAAAATTAAGTGGCTGAGCTTGAACCCAGGAGGGTGAGGTTGCAGTGAGCCGAGATTGCGCCACTGCACTCTAGCCTGGGCAACAAGAGCGAGACTCCATCTCAAAAAAAAAAAAAAGTGGTTGAGCATTTTTTTTGCTGACATGGAGCTGGGACTTGAATATTCTGGTAAGTAGATTTAAGCCACATCTTTCTGCCTAATGCTAGCCCTTGTTTTACACACTGCTGAGGAGCAATTTAAGACAAAAGAAAAACTCATGTCTCCAAATGAGGTTTTTTTCTATACACATATACAGTCGTACATACTGCCTGGCAAATAATGGGAGCTTCATAAAGACTTGATTGAGGCTGGGTGCAGTGGCTCACACCTGTAATCCCAGCAGTTTGGGAGGACGAGGCAGGTAGATAACTTGAGCTCACGAATTTGAGACCAGCCTGGGCAACATAGCGAAACCCTATGTCTACAAAATTTAGCCGGGCATGGTGGTATACACCTGTGGTCTCAGCTACGTGGTAGGCTGAGATGAGAGGATGGCTTGAGCCCAGGAGGCAGACGTTGCAGTGAACCGAGATTGTGCCACTGCATTCCAGCCTGGGTGACAGAGCCAGACCTTGTCTCAAAAGAAAAAAAAAAAAAAAAGACTCGATTGAAAGAATGTCTGGTATACTTGGGTCAATAAGTCAAGAAGATTGTTGGGGGTGGGGATGGGGAGCTGACAATAGTCATATTTCATGAATGAATGGTAGTGCCACTGAGATATTTTGTCACAAAGGAAAGAGAAGCTTAATACAGCCAGCCAGTCTCAGTGGAGGATTGAGACGCAGTGATGGTTCTGACCCCAGTATGAGGACAGCACAGGTTGTCCAACAGTGCCAGAGCAGCCCTGGCCCGGGCCACTAAGGAAGTGTGCTATGCCCTCAGGGCGAAGCCTGCATGCAGGAACCCCATTCTGCAGTCTTCCCAGGCCCAAGTACCCCATTCTAGGATCACTCTATTAATACTACTGAGAAAGACGGAGGGAGTGCCTAGTGCTCTCTTATTTTTAAAGGGGTGTGTGTAAATGGTGAAGAAACTTTGAAATCATCGCAGATGGACATGAAGGCACAGCTGCGAACTTCAGCTTGGGGGACAGAGAGGTTCAGCAGTGGGATCCCAGCTTATCTGGCCATGGTAGCCCTTTATCCACCAGAACTGTGGACCCAGGTAAAGGATCTTGAGAATTCCCAGAAATACTTGGTCTAGTATAGCCCTTAATTGTCCTTCAGGATTCATTTTCCATATCTTCCTTTTAGTACTAGAAACCTCTGAGTTCTAGTTCACGGAACATAAGAGTATGGCTTCTGTTTGTGATCTATATGTGAGTTTCTGTTATTTTACTCTCCACATAATTACAACTTAGACCAGAATCCCTACCATTTTCTCATGCCAGGGACTTTAATTACTAATAATTTATGCTGCAAAACTAAAGAGTTTAATATTCAAGAGATATTTGAAAATAAACATGTAAATTAAAATGAAAAAATTAAATGGAAAAACTGGAGAGAGTGCAACAGATGACTTATTTTAATGAGAGAGGATAAGAATCTATTTTCTCATTTAAGTTACTGATATATAAAAGTACACACATCTTCAATGTACAGCGTGAAAATTTTTACA
Source organism: Homo sapiens (assembly GCF_000001405.40). Lineage (NCBI taxonomy): Eukaryota > Metazoa > Chordata > Mammalia > Primates > Hominidae > Homo > Homo sapiens. Next base: position 30,808,370 of record NC_000023.11, on the reverse strand, counting down.
TATATAGACACCCATATACTCAACCAGATCAAGATATGGGATATTTCAGGCATCTCAGAAGGCTCTTTTGTTACCCATCTGAGTTAGTTCTCCAGAAAGGGTAACCATTGCTTTATCACCAATCAGTTTTGCTCACTTTGAACTTGATATACAGTTTGTGTTTTTTGGTGAAGAGGAAAAATTTTAACTAAGATTGCCGTAGCTCAGAGAATATTTGATGGTGGGATTCAGGAAAAAAAAATCATAGAGTATAAGGAAGATGCGTTCCAAGTCATAATCATTCTAGAAGTGCTCTCTTCCTACCAAAAACGCCAGGGTGAGCTATAAAATCCTTCTCACAGCAGCTAAAGGAAAACGCTCTGCTTTTTTAAAAAGGAGGATTTAGTCTTGGATATTGGAGTCTCATTAGGGACAGTAGATGTTTACCATTTTAGTGTCACATGGATCTTTATGCAGAGGCAAAAGGAACAATAAAATCTAGAGTAATTAAAAGACAGTTGCTGCGGTGTGTGAGGGGAGGCTGAGAGCCTTTTACAATCAGGATGTCCACCCTGCACTGATGAGTCCCAAGAGTTTAAAACAGTGCTTGGCATATTCTAAGCATTCAATAAATATCTACTGAAAGAATGTTGAATTAAATGAATAATGAATAAGTTTGAAGGAAAATTTCTGAAATATTTATCAGATTATTTTTCTACCACCCAGAAAGTAGTAATAAATTGAAGAATAATAGTACTTGTTTTTGTGAACCTTCAACATTTCTCTTCAAAAATATCCCAGTTTTAATTCTCTCTCAAGCAAATAATGATAAAACAATATGAGCACTATTCCCTAAGCATTTTTTTTTTTTTTGAGACAGGGTCTAGGTCTGGCTCTGTTGCCCAGGCTGGAATGCAGCTGTGCAATCATAGCTCACTGTAGCCTCAAACTCCTGGGCTCAAACAATCCTCCCACCTCAGCCTCCCAAGCAGGTAGAATTATAGGTGCACACCACCATGGCCAGCTAGTGTTTTCTGTTGTTAATTTTTTATTTTTGCAGAGACAGATCTCGCTATGTTGCCCAGGCTGGTCTGGAACTCCTGGCTCAAGCAATCCTCCTGCCTCAGCCTCCCAAAGTGCTGGGATTATAGGCCTGAGCCACCGCACCTGGCCCATAAACAGTTTTGAAAGATCTAACAGCCCATCCATTTGTTGTTTGATTTTTTCCTATTGGTGCTAGGGCAGGCTTTCCTCGATAAAATGTTAAACCAATATTATGTATTAAATGGCTAAATGTGGATGGCATCTCAACATGCAAGTATCTTAGATAAAAAATAGAATTGTTCTACAATTTTTTTTCTCTAAGCAGCACCAGATAAATTCTTAGCAGTCATGAATTAATTAACAACAGGGAAGCCAAATGCGGTGGCTTACACATGTACTCTCAGAACTTTGGGTGGCCAAGGCACAAGAATCACTTGAGTCTAGGAGTTTGAGACTAGCCTTGGAAACATAGTGGGACCCTGTCTCTATAAAAAATTTTAAAATTCGCTAGGTGTGGTGGCACGCAACTGTAGCCCCGGCTACTTAAGAGGCTGAGGTGGGGGAATTGCTTGGGTTCCAGAGGCTCAGCCGCAGTGAGCCATGATGACACCACCCAGGCACTCCAGCCTGGGTGACAGAATGAGATGCAAGGCAAGGGCAAGGGAAAGGCAAAGGCAAAGGCAAGGGCAAGGGCAAGGGCAAAGGCAGAACCAGGCAATGCAAGGCACAACGCAAGGCAAGGCAGGGCAAGACACGAGGCGAGGTAAGGCATAAGGCAAGGCAAGGCAAGGCAAGGCAAGGCAAGGCACAAAGGAAGGCAATGCAAGGCACGTCCCAACGCGAGGCACAATGCAAGGTTAGGCAAGGCAAGGCAAGGTACAATGCAAGGCAAGGCATAAAGAAAAACTAGGCAAGGCAATGCAAGGCACAAGGAAAGGCAAGGCAAGGCAGAAGGCAAAGCACAAGAAAAGGCAAGGCAAGGCAAGTCCAAAGGCAATGCAAGGCAAAGTACAAAACAAGGCGAGGCCAGGCAAACCATGACACAAGGCAAGGCAAGGCAAAGCACAAGGTAAGGCAATGCAAGGCAAGACACCAGGCAAGGTAAGGCAAGACACAGGGCAAGGCAAGGCAGGGCAAGCACCAAGGCAAGGCAAGGCAAGGCAAGGCAAGGCACAAAGCAAGGCAAGAGACAGCAAGGCACAAGGCAAGGCAAGGAATGGGACAAGGTAGGCAAGGCAAGGAAAGGCAAGGCAGAAGGAAAGTCAATGCGAGGCAAGGCCAAGGCAATGCAAGTCAAGGCAGAAGGCAGGCCAGGCAAATCAAGGAACAAAACAAAGCAAGGCAAAACACATGGCAAGGCAACACAAGGCAAGGTGCAAGGCAACACAAGGCACATGGCAAGGCAAGGCACATGGCAAGGCAAGGCACATGGCAAGGCATGACAAAACACTAGGCAAATCAAAGCAAGGCAAAGTGAGGCACAAGGGAAGGGAAGGCGAGGCAAGGCAAGGCACGAGGCAGATCAAGGCAAGGCACAAGGCAAAGCAATGCAAGGCAAGGGACAAGGTAAGGCAAGCCAAGGCACAAGGCAAGGCAAGGCAAGGCAAGGCAGAAGGCACGGCAAGGCAAAAAACAAGGCATGACACAAGGCAAGGCAAGGCATAAGGCAAGGCTCCAAACAAGGCAATTCCAGGCAAGGCAAGGAGATTTAAGGGCACAAGGCAAGCCAAGGCAAGATAAGGCAAGGCAACACAAAGCAAGGCACAAGGCAAGTCAGGCAAGGTGCAAGACAAAACAAGGCAAGGCAGAGCCAGGTACAAAGCAAGGCAAGGCAAGGCAAGGCAAGGCACAAGGCAAAGCAAGGTAGAAGGCAGGGAAAGGCAAGGTACAAAGCAAGGCAAGGCACAAGGCAAGGCAAGGTAGAAGGCAGGGAAAGGAAAGGTAAAACAAAAGGTAAGGCAAAGCAAGGCACAAGCTGAGTCAATACAAGGCGCAAGGCAAGGCAAGGCACAAGACAAGGCAAGGAAAGACACAAGACGAGGCACAAGACAAGGCAAGGAAAGACACAAGACGAGGCACAAGGCAAGGCAAGGCAAGGGAAGGCAAGGCACAAGCAAGTCAAGGGAAGGCACGAGGAAAGGTAAGCAAGGCACAAGGCAAGGCAAGATAAGGCACAAGGAAAAGAAAGGCAAGGCACAAGGCAAGGCAAGACACAAGGCATGGCAAGTCAATGCAAGGCACAAGGCAAGGCACAGCAAGGCAAGGCACAAGGCAAGGAAAGGCAAGGTACAAGGCAAAAAAAGGCAAGGTACAAGGCAAGGCAAGGCACAAGGTAAGGCAAGTCAAGGCAAGGGAGAAGGCAGAAGGCAAGGCAAGGCAAGGCAAGGCAAGGCACAGTGCAACATAAGGCAAGGCAAGTCACAAGGTAAGGAAAGCCTAGGCACAAGGCAACGCAAGGCAAAGCACATGGCAAGGCAAGGCACAGGGCAAGGCAAGGCACAAGGCAAGGAAAGGCACAAGGCGAGGCACCAGGCAAGGCAAGGCAAGGCTCAAGGCAAGGAAAGGCACAAGACAAGTCAAGGCACAAGGCAAGGAAAGGCACAAGACAAGGAAAGGCACAAGGCAAGGCAAGGCAAAACACAATGCAAGGCAAGACAAGGCAAGTTACAAGGCTAGGAAAGGCTAACCACAAGGCAAGGCAATGAAAAGTAAAATGCAAGGCAAGGCAAGAGAGGCAAGAAACAAGCAAAGGCAAGCCAAGGCACAAGGCATAAGGCAAGGCAAGAACGGCAAGGCTCAGGGAAAGGTAAGGCAAGACAAGGCACAAGGCAAGGCATCACAAGGCAAGGCAAGGTACAAGGGAAGACAAGGTAAAAAGCAAGGCAAGGAACAAGGCAAGGCAATAAAGGTAAGTCCAGGCAGGGTGAGGCAAGGGAAAAAACAAGGCAAGGCACATGACAAAATGAAGCAAGGGAAGTCAAGGCAAGGCGCAAGGAAAGGCAAGCCAAGGCAAAACTCAAGGGAAGGCAAGGCAAAGTACAAGACGAGGCAAGGCACAAAGCAAGGCAAAGCAAGGCACAAGGCAAGGCAAGGCACAATGCAAGGCAACACAAGGCAAGGTGCAAGGCAAGGCAATGCAAAGTACAAGCAAAAAAAGGCAAGGAAAGTGACAAGGCAAGGCAAGCCAAAGCACAAGGCAATGCGACCTAAGAAAAGGCACAAGCAAGGCAAGGCACAAGGCAAGAAAAAGCAAGCCAAGGCACAAGACAAACAAAGGCAAGACACAAGGTAAGGCAAGGAAAGGCAAGGCACAAGGCAAGGCAATGTAAGGCACAAGGCAGGGTAACTCCAGGAAACGTGCAAGACAAGGCAAGACAAGGCACAAGGCAAGACAATGCAAGGCAAGGCAAGGCAGAAGTCAAGGCAAGCCACAAGGCAAAGCAGTGCAACGCAATACACAAGGCAAAGCAAGTCAAAGCACAAGGCAAGGCAAGGCAAAGCAAAAAAAGGAAATAGGCAAGGCAAGGCACAAGGCAAGGCAAAGCCAGGCAATGCAAGGCCAAGGCAAGGAGAGGCACAAGGCAATGGAAGGCAAGGCAGGGCACAAGGCAATGCAAAGCAAGGCAAAATGAAAGGCAAGAAAAGGCAAGGCATGTCAAGGCACAAGGCAAGGCAAGGCAAGGCACAAGGCAAGGCAAGGCAAAACAAAAGGCAAGCCAAGGGAAGGAAACACACAAGGCAAGGCAAGGCTCAAAGCAAGGCAAGTAAGACACAAGGCAAGGCATGTCAAGGCACAAGGCAAGGCAAAAAAGGCACGGCAAAACAGAAGGCAAGGCAAGGCTAGGCACAAGGAAAGGCAAGGCAAGGCAAGGCAAGGCAGGGCAAAAATCAAACCAAGGCAGGACACGTGGCAAGACAAGGCCAAGAACAAAGCAAGGCAAGGCAAGGCACAAGGCACGGCTAGGTAAGGCACAAGGCAAAGCTAGGTAAGGCACAAGGCAAGGCGCAAGGCAAGGCAAGGCAAGGCAAGGCACAAGGCAAGTCATAAGAAGGCACGAAGCAAGTCAAGGCAAGGCACAAGCGAAAGCAAGGCAGGGCACAAGGCATGGAAAGGCAAGGCACAAGTCAAGGCCAGGAAAGGCAAAAGGAAAGTCGAGGAAAGGCAAAACACAAAGCAAGGCAAAGTGAGGCAAAGTGAACACAAGGATGACACAAAGCAAGGTATCGCAGGGAAGGCACAAGGCAAGGCAAAAAAGTCATGAGGGAAGGCAAGGCAAGGCAAAAAAGTCATGAGGGAAGGTAAGACAAGGCACAAGACAAGAAAAGGCAAGGCAAAACACAAGGCAATTCAAGGCAAGGCAAGGCACAAGGCAAGACACAAGGCAAGAAAAGGCAAGGCAAGGCACAAGGCAAGGTCAGGCATAAGGCAAGGCAACACATGGCAAGGCACAAGCAAGGCCAGGCAAGTCACAAGGCAAGACAGGGCAAGGTAAAGTACAAAGAAGGTCAGGCTAGTCACAAGGCAAGACAAGGCAAGGCAAAGTACAAGGCAAGGCAAGGCAAGGCACTAGGCAAGGCAAACCAAGTCAAGAGGCAAGGCCAGACAAGGCAAGCCAAGGCATAAGGCAAGGCAGGGAAAGGCACAAAACAAGGCAATGCAAGGGAAGGCACAAGGCAAGGCAAAGTCAGGCAAGGCAAGGCCAACACAAGTCAAGACACAGGCAAGGAAACACAAGGCAAGGCACAAGGCAAGGCAAGAAAGTCACAAGGGTAGGCAAGACAAGTCAAGGCACAAGACAAGGCAAGACAAGGCACAAGGCAAGCCAAGACAAGGCAAGGCACGAGGCAAGGCGAGGCCAGGCAAGGCCAGGTAAGGCAAGGTCATAGCAAGGAAAGGCACAAGGCAAGGCAAGGCAAAGCATAATTCAAGGTAAGGCCTGGCAAGGCGGAAGGCCGGGAAACAAAAGGCACAAGGCAAAGTGAGAAAAGGCACAAGGCAAAACAAGGGAAGGCACAAGGCAAGGCAAGGCCAGGCAGAAGGCAAGGCAAGGAAGGCACAAGGCAAATCACAAGGCAAGGCAAGGCATAAGGCACGGCAAGGCACAAGCCAAGGCAAGGAGTAAGGCATGGCAAAGCAAGGCAAGGCACAAGGTAAGGCCAGGAAAGCATAAGGGAAGGAAACGCAAATCACAAGCGAATGCAAGGCAAGGCAAGCCAAGGCATAAGTCAAGGCGAGGCAAGGCACAAGGCAAGGAAAGGCACAAGGCAAGGTCAGAAAAGGCACAAGGCAATTCAAGGCAAGACACAATGCAAGGCAACACAAAGCAAGGCACAATGCAAGTCGAGGCAAGGCACAAGGCAAGGCAAGACAAGAAAAAAAGCAAGGCAAGGCAAAGCACAAAATAAGGGAATGAAAAGCAAGGCAAAAGGCAAAGCAAGGCAATGCCCAAGCAAGGCAACGCAAGGCAAGGCACAAGGCAAGGCAAGGCAAAACACAAGGCAAGGCAAAGCAAAACATAAGGCAAGGCAAGGCAAAAGGCAAGGCAAGCCTGGGCACAAAGCAAGGCACAAGGCAATGTAGGGCAAAACACAAGGTGAGGCAAGGTAAGGCATGGTAAGGCAAGGCAAGGTGAGGCAAGGCAAAAGGCAAGGCAAGGCACAGGGCAAGGTATGAAAAGGCACAAGGCGAGGCAAGGTAAGGCAAGGCACAAGGGAAGGGAAGGCAAGTCAAGCCAAGGCACAAGGCAAATGTAGGAAAGGCATAAGAAAAGGCAAGGCAAGGAAGGCAGAAAACAAGACAAGGCAAGGCAGAAGGCTAGGCAAGGTATAAGGCAAGGCAAAACAAAAGGCAAAGCAAGGAGGGAAACAAGGCAAGGCATGGAAAGGCACAAGGCAAGGCGAGGCAAGGCACAAGGCAAGGCGAGGCAAGCTGCAAGGCAAGGTAAGGCACAAGGCAAGGCAAGGAAAAGCACAAACCAAGGCAGGGCAAGTCAAGGCGCAAGGCAAGTCAAGCAAGGCAAGGCAAAAGGCAAAACAAAGCAAGGCAAGGCACAAGACAAGGCAAGGCAAACACAAAAGGCAAGGCAAGGCACAAACAAGGCAAGGAAAGGAAAGGTAAGGCACAAGGCAAGGCAAAGCAAGGCAAGGCAAGGCACAAGGCAAAGCAAGACAAGGCACAAGGCAAGGCAAGGTAAGACCAAGGCAAGGCAAGGCACAAGGCAAGGCAAGGCAAAAGGCAAGTCCAGGCAAGGCACAAGGCAAGGTAAGACAAGACAAAAGGCAAGGCAAGGCAAGGCAAAGCACAAAATAAGGCAATGAAAGGCAAGGCAAAAGGCAAGGCAAAAGGCAAAGCAAGGCAAAGCAAGGCAATGCCCAAGCAAGGCAATGCAAGGCAAGGCAAGGAACGAGGCAAGGCAAGGAACAAGGCAGGGCAAGATGAGGCATGGCAAGGCACAAGGCAAGACACTAGAAAAGGGAAGGCAAGGTTAGGCACAAAGCAAGGTAAGGCATAAGCAAGGCAAGGCACAAGGCAAGGCAAAACACAAGGCAAGGCAGAAGGCAAGGCAAGAATGGGCACAAAGAAAGGCAAGGCAAGGCACAAGGCAAGGCAATGCAAAGCAAAGGCAAGGCAATGCAAAGCAAAGGCAAGACAAGTCATGGCAAGGCACAAGGCAAGTCATGGCAAGGCACAAGGCAAGGTACGGCAAGGCATGGCAATGAAAAACAAGGTAAAAGTCAAGGCACAAAGAAAGTCTAGGGAAGGCTCAAGGCATGGCAATGAAAAACAAGGTACAAGTCAAGGCACAAAGAAAGTCTAGGGAAGGCACAAGGCAAGGAAAGGCAAGGCAACACTCAAGGCAAGACAAGGCAGAAGGCATTGCAAGGAAGGCAAAAGGCAAGGTAAGGCAAGGCAGAAGACAAGGCACAAGGCAAAACAAGGCACAAGGCATGGCAAGGCAAGGTGCAAGGCAAGGGAAGACACAAGGCAAGGCAAGGGAAGACACAAGGCAAGGAAAGGCACAAGGCAAGGCAGGTCTAGACATAAGGCATGGCAAGGCACAGCAAGGCACAATGCAAGACAAGGCAAGGCAAGTCACAGGGCAAGAAAAGGCTAGGCATAAGGCAAGGCAAGGCAAGTCAATTCAAGGCATAAGGCAAGAGAAAGCAAGGCAAGAAAGGCAAGACACTAAAAAGGCATGGCCATCCTGGCTAACACGGTGAAACCCCATCTCTACTAAAAAATGCAAAAAAATTAGCTGGGCGTGGTGGCGGGCACCTGTAGTCCCAGCTACTTGGGAGGCTGAGGCAGGAGAATGGTATGAACCCGGCAGGCGGAGCTTAAAGAGAGCCAAGATCACGCCACTGCACTCCAGCCTGGGCGAAAGAGCGAGACTCTGCCTCAAAAAAAAAAAAAAAAAAAGGCACAGCAAGACAAGGCACAAGGTAAGGCACAAGGCAAGTCAAGGTAAGACAAGGCATTGCAAGGAATGGCAAGGTGCAAGGCATGGCAAGGCAAGGGAAAGCAAGGCAAAGGGCAAGGCCAAGCACAGAACATGGCAAGGCAAAGCAAGGCAAGTCAAGGCAGGGCACAAGGAAAGTCAGGCCAAGGCAAGGCACAAGGCAAAACAAGGCACAAAGCAAGGCAAAACAAGGCACAAAGCAAGGCAAAACAAGGCACAAGGCAAGGCAAGACAAAGCCAGGCAAAGCAAAACAAGGCAAGTCAAGGCAAGACACCAGGGAAGGCAAGACACAAGGGAAGGCAAGGCACAAAGCCAGGCAAACAAGGCACCAGACACAAGGCAAGGAAATGCAAGGCAAGGCGAGGCAGGGCAAGGTAAGGGGAGGCAGGGCAAGGCAAGGCAAGGCAACGCAAAAGGCAAGGCAAGGCAAAAGGCAAGGCAAAGCCAATGCAAAGCAATATACAAAGCAAGGAAAAACAAGGCAAGGCACAAGGCAAGGCAAGTCAAGGCAAGAGAGAAAGCAAGGCAAGGCAAGAAACAAGACAAGGCAAGGCAGGAGGCAATGCAAGGCAAGAAAAGGTACAAGGCAAGGCAAGGCACAAAGGAAGGCATCACAATTCAGAAGGCAAGGCAAGGCAAGGCACAAAGGAAGGCATCACAATTCAGAAGGCAAGGCAAGGCAAAGCACTATAAGACAAGGCAAAGCACAAGCCAAGGCCAGGAAAGGCAACGCATAGCACAAGGCAAGGGAAGGGACAAGGCAAGGGAAGGGACAAGGCAAGGCAAGGCTCAAGACAAGGCAAGGCAAGGCAAGGTAAGGCACAAAGCAAGGTAAGGCAAAGAACAAGGCAAGGCAAGGCACAAGGCATTACAATTCAGAAGGCAAGTCAAGACAAGGAACAAGCCAAGGCAAGGCAAGGCAAGGACAAGCCGAGGCAAGGCAAGGCAAGGAACACGGTAAGGCATAAGGTAAGGCACAAGGCAAGGCAAAGTGAGGCTCTATGCAAGGCAACATAAGGAGCAAGGCAAGGCTAGGCAAGGCAAGGCACAAGGCAAGGCAAGGCTAGGCACAAAGGAAGGCAAGGCAAGGCAAGGCAAGGCAAAGCACAGACAAGGCAAGGCAAGGCACAAGGCAAGGTAAGTCAAGACAAGGCAGAAAGCAAGGCATACCAAGGCAAGGCCCAAATCAAGGCAAGCCAAAGCAAGGCAAAAGGCACAGCAAGGTAAGGCACAGAACAAGACAAGGAACAAGGCAAGGCAAGGCACAAGAAAGGCAAGGCAAGGCAACGCACAAGCAAGGCAAGGCAATGCACAAGCAAGGCAAGGCAAGGCAAGGCAAGGCAAAGCACAAGGCAAAACAAGGCAAGACACAAGGCAAAGCAAGGCAAGGCAAGGCACAAGGCAAACCAAGACAGAAAACAAGGCAAGGCATAAGGCAAGGCAAGGCACAAGCCAAGGCAAAGAACAAGGCAAGGCAAATGAAGGCACAGGGCAAGGCAAGGAAAAGCAGAAGGCAAGGCACAAGGCAAGGCAATGCAAAGCGTAAGGCAAGGCGAGACAAGGCAAGGCAAAGCCAAGCCAGGCAAGGCAAGGCCAAGCAAGGCTAGGCACAAGGAAAGGCAAGGCAAGCAAAAGACAAGTGAGGGGAAAGCAAGGCACAAGGCAAGTTAAGGCACCAGGCAACGGAAGGCAAGGCAAGGCAAGCCAAGCGAAGGCAAAAGGCAAGGCAAGGCACAAGGCAAGGCAAGGCAAGGCAAGGTGCAAGTCTAGTCAAGTCAAGGCACAAGGGAATGGCAAGGCAAAGCAAAAAGCAAGGCAAGGCAAGGCACAAGTCAAGGCAAGGCAGAAAGTGAGGCACAGCAAGGCAAGGCACAAGGCAAGGCAGAAGGAAAGGCGAGGCACAAAGCAAGGTAAGGCACAAGGCAAAGCAAGGCAGGAAGCAAGGTAAGGCACAAGAAAAGGCAAGGCACAAAGCAAGGTAAAGCACAAGGCAAAGCAAGACAGGAAGCAAGGCAAGGCATAATGCAAGGCAATGCAAGGCGCAAGGCAAGACAAGGCAAGACACAAGTCAAGTCAAGGCAAGGCAAAAGGCTAGGCAAAGCCAGGCAAGGCAAGGCTAGGCAAAAGGAAAGACAAGGCAAGCAAAAGACAAATGAAGGGAAGGGAAGGCAAGGCACAAAGCAAGTTAAGGCACCAGGCAACACAAGGCAGGCAAGGCACAAAGCAAGGCAAGTGAAGGCAAAAGGCAAGGCAAGGTGCAAGTCAAGGCAAAGCACAAGGGAATGGCAAGGCAAAGCAAAAAGCAAGGCAAGGCAAGGCACAAGGCAAGGCAAGTCAAGGCAATGCAGAAAGCGAGGCACAGCAAGGCAAGGCACAAAGCAAAGTAAGGCACAAGACAAAGCAAGGCAGGAAGCAAGGCAAGGCAAGGCACAAGGCAAGGCAAGGCAAGGCAATGCAAAGTGCAAGGCAAGGCAAGGCAAGGCACAAGGCAAGGCAAGGCAAGGCAATGCAAAGTGCAAGGCAAAGCAAGGCAAGGCAAGTCAAGGGAAGGCAGGACAAGGCATGGCAAGACACAAGGCACAAGGCAAGGCAAGACAAGGCACAAGGCAAGGCACAAGCAAGGCAAGGCAAGGCAAGGCACAAGGCAAAACAAGGCCAGGAAAGGAAAGGAGAGACAACACATAACAAGGGAAGGCACAAGGCAAGTTACAAGGCAAGGCACAAGCCAAGGCAAGGCAAGGCAAATCAAGGCACAAAACAAGGCAAAGCAAGGCAAAAGGCAAGGCAATGCAAGCCACAGGCAAGGTGCAAGGCAAGGCAAGGCAAGGCACAAGGCAAAGAAAAGCCAAGGAAAACAAGGCCAAGGCAAGGCACAAGGGAAAGCAAACCAAGGCACACGGCAAGGCAAGGCACAAGGGAAGGCAAGGCACAAGCCAAGGGAAGTCAAGTAACAAGGTAAGGAAAATCAACGTGCAAGTCAAGGCAAGGCAAGGCAAGGCAAGGCACAAAGCAAAGTACAAGGCAAGGCAAAGCAATGCAAGACAAGGCAGAAGGGAAGGCAAGGCACAAGGCATGACAAGGCAAAGCAAAGCAAGGCGCAAGGCAAGGCGCAAGGCAAGGCAGAAGGCAAGCCAAGGCACAAAGCAAGGCAAAAGGCAAGGCAAAGCACAAAGCAAGGCAAGGGAAGGCACAAGGTAAGGCAAGGCAGGCACAAAGCAACACAAGGCAGGGCACAAAGCAACACAAGGCAAGGCAAGGCAAAAGGCAAGGCACAGGGTAAGGCAAGGCAATGCAAAGCACAAGGCAAGCCAAGGCACAAGGAAAGCTACAAAGCAAGGCAAAGCAAGGCACAAGGCAAGACTAGAAAAGGCAAGACAAAGCATGGCAAGGCAAGGCAGAAGGCAAGGCAAGGCACAAGCAAAGGTAACGCAAGGCACATGGCAAGGCAAGGCAAGGGAAAGCACATGGCAAGGCACAAGGCAAGGCAAGACAAGGCAAGCCACAAGGCAAGGCAAAGCCAGGCAAGGCAAGGCCAAGGCAAGGCAAGGCACAAGGCAACGCAAGCAAAAGGCAAGTGAAGGGAAGGCAAGGCACAAGTCAAGTCAAGGCACCAGGCAAAGCAAAGCACAAAGCAAGGCAAGTGAAGGCAAAAGGCAAGGCAAGGGACAAGGGACAAGGCAAGTCCAGGCAAGCTGCAAGGAAATGGCAAGGCAAAGCAAAAATCAAGGCAAGGCAAGGCAAGACCCAAGTCAAGGCAAGCCAAAGCAAGGCACGAGGCAAGGCAAGGCAAGGCAAGGCACAAGGCAAGGCAAGGCAAGGCAAGGCACAATGCAAGGCAAGGCAAGGCAAAAGGCAAAGCAAGGCAAGGCATGGCAAGACAAGGAATAAGGCAAGGCAAGGCATAAGGCAAGGCAAGTTACAAGGCAAGCCAAGGGAAGGCACAAGGCAAGGCAAGGGAAGGGAAGGCACAAGGTAAGGCACAAGGCAAGGCAATGCAAGATACAAGGCAAGGCAAGACAAGGCAAGACAAGATAAGGCACAAGGTAAGGGAGACCAAGGCACAAGCAAGGCACAAGGCAAGGCAAGACAAGCCACAAGCCAAGGGAAGGCAAGTAACAAGGCAAGGCAAATCAACGCACAAGTCAAGGCAAGGCAAGGCACAAGGCAAGGCAAAGCAAGGCAAGGCAAGGCACAAGGCATGGCAAGGAAAAGCAAGGAAAAGCAAAAAAAGGCAGAAGGCAAGGCAAGGCAAGGCAAGGCAGAAAGCAAGGCAAGACACGGCACAAGGCAAGGCATGGCACAAGGCAAGGCAAGGCACAAGGCAAGGCAAGGCACAAAGCAAAGCAAGGCAAGGCAAGGCACAAAGCAAGGCAAGGCAAGGCACAAGGCAAAGCAAGGCAAGGCACAAGGCAAAGCAAGGCAATGCAAAGTGCAGGGTAAAGCAAGGCAAGGCAAGCCAAGGCACAAGGCAACGCAAGGCACAAGGCAAGTAAAGGCATCAGGCAAGACAAGGCACAAAGCAAGGCACCAGGCAAGGCAAGGCAAGGCACAAGGCAAGCAAGGCAAGGCGCAAGGCAAGGCAAGGCAAGGCAAGGCTCAAGGCAAGGCAAGTCAAAGCAAAAGGGAAGGCAAGGCAAGGCACAAGGCAAGCCAAAGCCAGGCAAGGCAAGGACAAGGCAAGGCAAACAAAAGGCAAGCCAAGGGAACTCAAGACACAAGGCAAGTCAAGGCACCAAGCAAGGCAAGGCAACGCAAGGCACAAAGCAAGGCAAGTGAAGGCAAAAGGCAAGGCACGGAGCAAGGGAATGGCAAGGCAAAGCAAAGAGCAAGGCAAGGCAAGGCACAAGGCAAGGCACGTCAAAACAAAGCAAAGAGCAAGACACAGAAAGGCAGAGCCCAAGGCAAGGCAAGCCAAATGAGGCACAAGGTAAGGCAAGGTAAGGCACAGAAGAAGTCAAGACAAGGCACAAGGCAAGGCAAGGCAAGTCAAGGCACAAGGCAATTCAAGGCACAAGCAAGGCAAGGCAAAGCACAAAACAAGGCAAGGCACAAGGCAAGGAAACACAAGGAAAGACAAGGAATGGCAAGGCAAGGCATGGCAAGGCAAGGCAAGTTACAAGGCAAGGCAAGGCAAAAGGCAAGGCAATGCAAGGCGTAAGGCAAGGCAATGCAAGGCACAAGGCAAGGCAAACCAAGGCAAAGCAAAGGCAAGGCAAGGCAAGGCACAAGGCAAGGCAAAGCCAGGCAAAGCAAGGCCAAATCAAGGCAAGGCACAAGGCAAGGCAAGGCAAGGCACAGGCAAGGCAAGGCGCAAACAAGGCAAGGTAAGGCACAAGCCAAGGGAAGGCAAGTAACAAGGCAAGGCAAAAAAATCAACACACAGGGCAAGGCAAGGTAAGTCACAAGGCAAGGCAATGCAAGGCATAAGCCAAGGATAAGCAATACAAGGCAAGGCAATGCAAGGCATAAGCCAAGGATAAGCAATACAAGGCAAGGCACAAGACAAGACAAGGCAAGGCAGAAAGCATGGCAAGGCAAAGTAAGGCAAGGTATAAGGCAAGGCAAGGCAAGTTACAAGGCAAGGCAAAGCAAGGCAAGGCACAAGGGATGGCAAGGCAAGGCACAACACAAGGCAAATCAAGGCACAAGGCAAAGCAAGGGAAAGCACAAGGCAAGGTACAAGGCAAGGCACGACAAGTCAAGGCACAAATCAAGGCAAAGCCAGACAAGGCAAGGCCAAAGCAAGGCAAGGCACAAGGCAAAACAAGGCACAAGGCAAGGCACAAGGCAAAACAAGGCACAAGGCAAGGCACAAGGCAAAACAAGGCACAAGGCAAGGCACAGCTAGGCAAGACAAGGCCAAGGCAAGACAACGCAAGGTAAAACACAAGGCAAGGCAAGGCACAAGCAAGGCAAGACAAGGTGCAAGGCACAAGGCAGAAGGCAAGGCAAAAGGCAAGGCACAAGGCAAGGCAAAGCCAAGCAAGGCAAGGCCAAGGCCAGGCACAAGGCAAGGCAAGGCAAGCAAAAGGCAAGCAAAGGGAAGGCAAGGCACAAGGCAAGTCAAGAGACCAGGCAAGGCAAGGCAATGCAATGCACAAAGCAAAACAAGTGAAGGCAAAAGGCAAGGCAAGGCAAGGCAAGGTGCAAGGCAAGTCAAGGCAAAGCACAAGGGAATGGCAAGGCAAAGCAAAAAGCAAGCCTAGGCTAGGCTAGGCAGAAAGTAAGGCACAGCAAGGCAAGGTCCAAGTCAAGGCAAGCCAAAGCAAGGCACGAGGTGAGGCAAGGCAAGGTAAAGCATGGAACAAGGCAAGAAAAAACACAAGGCAAGGCAAGGCAAGGCAAGGCAAGGCACAAGGCAAGGCAAATCAAGACACAAGGCAAGGTAAGGCAAGGCACAAGGCAAGGCACAAGCCAAGGGAAGACAAGTAACAAGGCAAGGCAAATTGACACACAAGTCAAGGAAAGGCAAGCAAAATGCAAGGCAATGCTAGGCACAAGGCAAGGCAAAGCAATGCAAGGCAAGGCACAAGGCAAAGCAAGGCAAGGCAGAGCAAGGCAAGGCACCAGGCAAGGAGAGGCACAAAGCAAGGCAAGTGAAGGCAAAAGGCAAGGCATAAGGCAAGTCAAGGCAAGGCACAAAGGAATGGCAAGGCAAAGCAAAAAGCAAGGCAAGGCAAGTCAAGTCAAGGCAAGGCAGAAAGCAAGGCACAACAAGGCAAGGCCCTAGTCATGGCAAGCCAAAGCAAGGCAGGAGGCAAGGCAAGGTAACGCACAGAACAATGCAAGGCACAAGGCAAGAGAGGACGCAAGGCAAGGCAAGGCACAAGGCAAGGCCCTAGTCATGGCAAGCCAAAGCAAGGCAGGAGGCAAGGCAAGGTAAGGCACAGAAAAACGCAAGGCACAAGGAAAGGGAGGGCACAAGGCAAGGCACAAGGCAAGGCAAGGCATAAGCAAGGCATGGCATAAGCAAGACAAGGCAAGGCACAAGGCAAGGCAAGTACAAGGCAAAGCAAGGCAAGGCACAAGCCAAGGCAAGGCAAATCAAGGCACAAGGCAAGGCAAGGCAAGGGAAGGCACAAGGCAAGGCAAGGCAAGCAAAAGGCAAGCGATGGGAAGGCAAGGCACAAGGCAAGTCAAGGCACCAGGCAAGGCAAGGCACAAAGCTAGGCAAGTCAAGGCAATAGGCAAGGCAAGGCCCTAGTCAAGGCAAGGCAAAGCAAGGCAAGCGGCAAGGCAAGGTAAGGCACAGAACAACACAAGGCACAAGGCACAAGGCAAGGCAAGTCAAGGCACAAGGCAAGGCAAGTCAAGGCACAAGGCAAGGCAAGTCAAGGCACAAGGCAAGGCAAGGCAAGGCAAGGCGCAAGGGAAGGCAAGCCAAGGCACAAGGCAAGGCATGGAAAGTCAAGCCATGGCAAGGCAAGGCACAACGCAAGGCAATTTATAAGGCAAGGCACGGCACAAGCCAAGACAAGACAGGGCACAAGCCAAGGCAAATCGAGGCACAAGGCAAGGCAAGGGAAGGCACAAGGCAAGGCAATGCAAGGCAAGGCAAACCAAGGCACAAGCAAGTCACAAGGGAGGCAAAGCAAGGCAAGGCACAAGGCAAGGCAAGGCACAAGCCAAGGGAAGGCAAGGCAAATCAACGCACAAGTCAACGCAAGGCAAGGAGAAAGGCAATGCAAGGCACAAGGCAAGGCACAAGACAAGGCAAGGCACACGCAAGGCAACACAAGGCACAAGCAAGGCAACACAAGGCACAAGGCAAGGCGAAAGGTAAGGCAATGCAAAGCGCAAGGCAAGGTAAGGCAAGGCAAGCCAAGGCGCAAGGCAAGGTGCAAGGTAAGGCAAGGCAAGCCAAGGCACAAGGCAAGGTGCAAGGCAAGGCAAGGCAAAGCAAGACCAGGCAAGGCCAAGGAAAGGCAAGGCACAAGGCAAGGCAAGCAAAAGGCAAGCAAAGGGAAGGCAAGGCACAAGGCAAGTCAAGGCACCGGGCAATGCAAGACAAAGCAAGGAACAAAGCAAGGCAAGTAAAGGCAAAAGGCAAGGCAAGGCACAGGAGAATGGCAAGGCAAAGCAAAATGCAAGGCAAGGCAAGTCAAGGCAAGTCAGAAAGCAAGGCACAGCCAGGCAAGTCCCAAGACAAGGCAAGCCAAAGCAAGGCACAAGGCAAGGTAAGATAAGGCACAGAACAAGGCAAGGAACAAAGCAAGGCAAGGGACAAGGCAAGGCAAGGCACAAGGCAAGACAAGGCATGGCAAGGCAAGGCAATTTACAAGGCAAGGCTGTTTACAAGGCTAGGCAAGGCAGGGCAAGGCACAAGCCAAGCCAAGGCAAGGCACAAAGCAAGGCAAGGGAAGGCATAGGGCAAGCCACAAGGCCAGGCAGTGCAAGGCGCAAGGCAAGGGAAGACAAGGCAAGGCACAAGGCAAGGCAAACCAAGGCACAAGGCAAGGCACAAGGCACAAAGCAAGGCAAGGCACAAGGCAAGAAACAAGCCAAAGGAAGGCAAGTAATAAGACAAAGCAAATCAATGCACAAGTCAAGGCAAGGCAAGGCACAATGCAAGTCAATGCAAGGCACAAGGCAAGGGAAAGCAATGCAAGGCAAGCCACAAGGCAAGGCAAGGCACAAGGCGAGGTAAGGCAAGGCACAAGGCAAGGGAAAGCAATGCAAGGCAAGGCACAAGCAAGGCAAGGCACAAGGCAAGGCAAGGCACAAGGCAAGGCAAGGCACAAGGCAAGGTAAGGCAAGGCACAAGGCAAGGCAAGGGACAAAGCAAGACAAGGCAATGCAAACACAAGGCAAGCCAAGGCACAAGGCAAGGCAAGACAAGGCACAAATCAAGGCAAGGCAAGGAACAAGGCAAGGAAAATCAAGGCACAAGGAAAGGCACAAGGCAAGGCAAGGCAAGGCACAAGGCAAGGCAAGGCAAGGCACAGGGCAAGGCAAGGCACAAAGCAAGGCAAGGCACAAGGCAAAGCGAAGGGAAGGCAAGGCACAAGGCAAGTGAAGGGAAGGCAAGGCACAAGGCAAGCAAAGGGAAGGCAAGGCACAAGGCAAGTCAAGGCACCAGGCAAAGCAAGGCAAGGCAAGGCACAAAGCAAGGGAAGTGAAGGCAAAAGGCAAGGCAAGGCAAGGTGCAAGGCAAGTCAAGGCAAGGCACAAGGGAATAGTGAGGCAAAGCAAAAAGTAAAGCAAGGCAAGGCAAGGCAAGGCACAAGGCAAGGCAAGTCAAAGCAAAGCAGAAAGCAAGGCACAACAAGGCAAGGCCCTAGTCAAGGCAAACCAAACAAGGCACAACGCAAGGCAAAGCAAGGCACAAGGCAAGGCAAGGCACAAGCAAGGCAAGGCAAGGCACAAGGCAAGGAAAGACAAGGCATGGCAAGGCAACGCACAAGGGAAGGCAAGTTACAAGGCAAGGCAATTTACAAGGAAAGGCAATTTATAAGGCAAGGCAATTTACAAGGCAAGGGAAGGCAATTTAGGAGGCGAGGAGAGGCAAGGCAAGGCAAGGCAATTTGCAAGGCAAGGCACTAGCCAAGGCAAGGCAAGGCAAATCAAGGCACAAGGCAACACAATGCAAGGCACAAGGCAAGGCAAATCAAGGCACAAGCAAGGCACAAGCCAAGGGAAGGCAAGTAACAAGGCAAGGCAAATCAATGCACAAGTCAAGTCAAGGCAAGCCAATGCAATGCAAGGCAAGGCACAAGACAAGGCAAGGCAAAGAAATGCAAGGCAGAAGGCAAGGCAAGGCACAAGGCAAGGCAAGGCAGAAGGCAAGGCATGGCACAAAGGCAAGGCAAGGCACAAGGCAAGGCACAAGGTAAGGCAAAGCAATGTAAAA
The DNA here is from genome assembly GCF_000001405.40 of Homo sapiens. Taxonomy (NCBI): domain Eukaryota; kingdom Metazoa; phylum Chordata; class Mammalia; order Primates; family Hominidae; genus Homo; species Homo sapiens. Next base: position 30,790,036 of record NC_000023.11, on the reverse strand, counting down.
TGCAAGGCAAGGAAAGCCAAGGCACAAGGCAAGGCAAGGGAAAGCAAGACAAGGCATCGCAAAGCAAGGTATAAGGCAAGTTGCAAGTGAAGGCAAGGCACAAAGCAAGGCAAGGCAAGTCACAAGTCAAGGCAAGGCATCGCAAGGCAAGGTATAAGGCAAGTTACAAGCGAAGGCAAGGCACACGGCAAGGCAAGGCGAGTCACAAGTCAAGGCAAGGCAAGGGAAAGCGAGGCAAAGGAAGGCCAAGGCATGGCACAAGGCAAGGCAAGGCAAGCAAAAGGCAAGCAAAGAGAAAGCAAGGCACAAGGCAAGTCAAGGGACCAGCAAGGCAAGGCAAGGCACAAAGCATGGCAAATGAAGGCAAAAGGCAAGGCAAGGTGCAAAGCAAGTCAAGGCAAGGCACAAGGGAATGGCAAGGCAAAGCAAAAAGCAAGGCAAGGCAAGGCAGAAAGTGAGGCACAGCAAGGCAAGGCCCAAGTCAAGGCAAGCCAAAGCAAGGCATAAGGCAAGGCAAGGTAAGGCACAGAACAAGGCAAGGAACAAGGCAAGGCAAGGCATAAGGCAAGTTAAGGCACAAGCAAGCCAAGGCAACGTAAGGCACAAGGCAAGGTAAGGAAAGGTAAGAAAAGGCAAGGCAAGACATGGTATGGCAAGGCAAGGCATAAGGCAAGGCAAGTTACAAGGCAAGACACAAGCCAAGACAAAGCAAGGCACAAGACAAGGCAAGGGAAGGCACAAGCAAGGCACAATGCAAGGCAAAGCAATGCAAGGCACAAGGCAAGGCACAACCCAAGGGATGTCAAGTAACAAGGCAAGGCAAATCAACACACAAGTCAAGGCAAGGGAAGGCACAAGGCAAGGCAACGCAAGTCACAAGGCAAAGCAAGGCACAAAGCATGACAAGGCAAAGCAAGGCAAGGCACAAGGCATGGCAAGGCAAGGCAAGGCAAGGCAAGGCACAAGGCACAAAGCAAGGCAAGGCACAAGACAAGGCTAGGCACAGAGCAAGGCAAGGCAAGGCACAAGGCAAGACAATGTAAAGCACAAGTCAAGGCGAGACAAGGCAAGGCAAAGCAAGGCAAGGCAAAGCACAAAGCAAGGCAAAACACAAGGCAAGGCGCAAGGCAAGGCAAGGCACGAGGCATGGCAAGGCACGAGGCATGGCAAGGCACGAGGCATGGGCAAAGCAAGGCAAGGCACAAGGCAAGGCAAGGCATAAGGCAAGGCACCAAGCAACACAAGCCAAGGCACAAGGCAAAACAAGGCAAGGCAAGGCAAGGCACAAGGCGTGGCAAGGCAAAGTAAGGCAAGGCCAGGCACAAGGCAAAAATAAGGCAAGGCGCAAGACAAGGCACAAAGTAAGGCAAGGCGCAAGGCACAAGGCAAGGCAGCACAAGGCAAGGCACAAGTCAAGGCAAGGCAAGGCAAAAGGCAAGGCAAGGCACAATGCAAGGCATGGCAAGGCAAGGGAAGGAAAGGCTTGTCAAGGCTAGGTGAGGCACAAGGCAAGGCCCAGCAAGGCATAAGGCAAGGCATGGTGTAGTAAAAATATGATACTGTAATCTCATGGGACCACCATTGTATATGCATTCCATCATTGATCAAAATGTCATTATGCAATACATGAGTAATTAAAATAATGCCACAATTAAATATGCTGTGGTATCTTGAACTGGATCCTAGAACAGAAAAAGAACTTTAGTGGAAAAACTGGTGTAATCCAAACAAAGTCTCTAATCTCATAAATATACCAATAGTCATGGCTTAGTTTTGAGAAATTGTCATGGTATATATAAAGATATTACTATTAAGGGAAGTTGAGTGAAAGATATATGGGAACTCTCTGTAAACTTTTGTGTAAATCTAGAATTTTTCCAAAATAAAAAGTTAAAAAAACGGTAAGCCCCACTAGCCTTTGCTGGAGAAGTTCATTGATGTTTACCATTTACATGACTTTATTAGGCAGAATTGGACTCACTAACCAGTTCACATCTAAAAACATTACTCTATGACATTTATATTAATACATTTTGAATAACTGTGCTCACAGGAGTTAAGGAGAGGTGAGGGTGGGAGGAAAATTGGTATGGTTATAAAAGGGCAACATGAAGGATCCTTGACGTGATGGAAATGTTCTAAAGCTTGACTGTAGCAATATGATACAATTATCATATTGATATGGACAGGAGACAGGGAAACACTAGATAGAAGAGGGTGGTTCCCTAGCAAAGGCCCCACCCTCAAGCCTGGATATCCGAGGCCCTAAGTGAGAACAGGCATTCCTGTTTTTGTCCCAAAATGTTGCCTTTTTGCCTGTCATGCCTCCTATGCTGTACCCATATAAACCCCAAACCCCAGGCTCCAGAAGAGACCAGGAGATGAGACAAGCAGATGAACGGTGGAATGACATGGCAGAGAAAGAAGAAGAGGAGGAACATTTGAACACTGAGAGGAGTTTGGCTGGGGGTGGTCAGAGACGATTTCGGCCACTGGATGGCCCAACTGCAGGGGAAGATCATCTTCTCACTCCATCCCCCCATTTCAGCTCCCATCCATCCCACTGAGAGCCACCTCCACCACTCAATAAAACCTCACATTCATCCTTCAATACTGTGTGTGACCCGATTCTTCTGGGATGCTGGGCAAGAGCTCGGGGTACAGGAAGCTGTCACACTGGCCCTCTGCCCTTGAGAAAAGGCAGACGGTCCATCGAGCTGGTTAACACTTAAAAGCTGTCTGCAGATGGCAAGGCTAAGAGAGCATTGTAACACTGGGCTTGCAGGCACCTACCCCTAGACACAACCACGGGGCTGGAGCCCAAAGCGCTCACCCTGTCCTCTGCACCTGCCCGTCTGCATGCTCTCCTCTCCTGCAAGGGGTTTGAGGAGCAGCGACAGCTACCAAACAGGCGAGCCACACCCCTGTTGCATGTCCTGCAAGGGGGATCAGGGAACTCTCCTGTTTCATCATTGTACTATAATTTTGCAAGATGGTTTCATTGGGAAGAAACAAGGTAAAGGCTATACAGGATCTATCATTCCTTACAACTATAATTGTCTCAAAAAATTTAGTTAAAAAGAGTAAAGATAAAAAGCTTAAAAAACGGGAAAAATAGTTGCTGGGCTCAAAGGAAATATTGATAACGCAAGAGATGTAAGATTTGATATCTCTGAATCATTAATATTGATTGTATTGGCCAAACTGAACTTGTGAAGAGAAGAAATTCTCAAGTATTTTTCAGAATAATCAGGAAGACTTTCAGTTTATAGTTTATACTAGGTCATGGAACCAAAAGATTCATCATCCAAATGCTACACAAAAACATAGTAGGAAAATTGTCCTACCTCCCCTGTTCCTCCTCTGTCTAGGTCTCCCCACTGACACCCTCATGATCAGCTTTGGAAGGAACACTAGATTTCAAAGGCACTGAAATAAAGTAATGTGAATCATCTGTGAATCAGATCTACAGTCTTTGATGAATAGATTGATGCATGCCTGTTCTTGGGATTACTACTGTTTTATGTAAGTGATTCACTCTTACAATGGCACCACTTTTCTCACTCCCAGGATCCCATGCTTTCCATTATCTTCTGTAACTGTTTCTCCACCAGCTCCTTTTTCCTCAAGTATGCTCAAAATTTTCCTGTCCTTAAATCCCTCGATCTCTTCACAAATAGCTTATTTTTTCCAAAGGAAAAAAAACTGTAACTTCATATTGGAGAAACCCAGCAAACATCAACTTTAACAAGTAATCAAAGTTAACATCACCAGTAATGTGACCAACTAACAGCCCCTGGCTCCTGATAGGACGCCCTGAGTCGGAAACAACATCACTTGCAATATTCTTATCAAAAATGCACAACTGAATTGAATCATATTAGAAAAACCCAAAATCAATGGACTTTCTATAAACAATGGCCAAAAATGTTAGTGTTATGAAAGACAAAGAAACGCAGAACTCTTCTGTCTTAGAGACATGGCAACTAAACGTAATGTGTGAAATTCTGAATTTGCTTCTACACCAGGAAGATTTCCTAAAAAAAAATTATGAAAATAAAATCTGAATATGGACGGACCATGAGTTAGATAATAGTATATCAAATAATTTTTGTGATCTTGAAAATTGTACTGTCTTGGCTGGGCATGGTGGCTCACACCTGTAGTCCCACACTTTGGGAGGCTGAGGTGGGCAGACCGCTTGAGCCCGGGCAACATGGCGAAACTCCATCTCTACAAAAAATGCAAAAAATGAGTCGGGCATGGTGGCATGCACCTATAGTCCCAGCTACTCGGAAGGCTGAGGTGGGAGAATCACTTGATCCCAGGAGGTGGAGGCTGCAGTGAGCTGTGATCACACCACCTGTACTTTAGTCCCATGACAGAGAGAGACCCTGTCTCAAAAAAAGAAAAGAAAATTCTACTGTCTTACATAAGAGAATGTCTGATTCTTAGCAAATATATACTTTAAGCATTTAAGGGTAAAGTCTTTAATGCTAGGTCATGGATGTCTTTAATGAACTTTCAAATTTTTAGAAAAACATGTACACATACGTGTGTGTGTGTGTGTGTGTGTGTGTATAAAACAAATGAAGCAAAAATGATCTTGGAAGTTTGAAATTGTATCTATACAAAAATTCTTCCCCCAAAAAAATCCTCCGGCATTTGCATTCAAAGTTGTAGAATGAGCATACATATTTATCTTCTCCCCATCAAGATCTCATTAAAATAATAAAAAAATTAAAAAGGTGCAAACCCATAACTTTGAATAGAACAGAATGGGGGCCAGTGAGGGACAAGAGATCATGTCAAATTAGGCAGCAAGAGTGGACTGATGAATGCAGATAGGAGGATTCTGGAACCTAGAACATGCATGAAAGAACTTACAGCTGAGGAGGCAGCCAATGTTACTGCAAGGTCCTGAAGAGGTCTTAGGTTCAGAGTCTGTAGGTCCTATGGAGAACAAGAGAGAGAAGTGAGATGGAAAACCACCAAATCCCTGCATTCTGTTTCAAACTCCAGCTCAAAAAACTGCTTGTGAAACCATGTGTTTAATCATTCAGCAAAACAAAAACAACAAATCAGGCTATTTCTCTAAAGAAATGGAACAAACTGAGAATATTGGCAGCTTTCTGCCAACTCACTCTGCCGGATGGTAAGCCCTGTGCCCCAGTCAGCCTTTTAAAATAACCAATAATCAAGATCACCAGACATTGAGTAAAGCCTGCAACTTAAAAGCAATTAAGAGAAACACTCAATTAACTCAAGAGAAAATAAAAATAACTCAGGGATCAGAGGTGAACTTAAGAAATCTAGGCCAGGTGTTGTGGCTCACACTTGTAATCCCAGCACTTTGGGAAGCCGAGAAGGGAGGTTTGCTTGAGCCCAGGGGTTTGAAACCAGCCTGGGCAACATGGTGAGACCCCATTTCTAAAAAAATTTAAAAATTAGCTGGGAGGGGTAGAGTGCCTGTGGTTCCAGCTACTTGGGAGGCTGAGGTGGGAGGATCACTTGAGCTCAGGAGGTCGAGGCTGCAGTGAGTCATGATCACTCCATTGCACTCTAGCCTGGGCAATAGATTGAGACCCTGTCTCAAAAGAATAAAAAACGAAAAAAAATCTAATTATTTCTTTTAAAAAATGAGGAGAAATTGCATTTAGTAAGCTAGAACATGACACCATAACAAAAATAATTGGATTATAGAAAAAAGCTCTTAGAATTTAAAAATATAACTACTAAAACAGTAAACATCTATAGAAACTTGGAAGTTGAGGAAATCTCCCAAACGTATAGCAAAACACAAGGACACGAAAAATAGGAGAAAAATGAAGAGCTATAGAGGTTCAACCCAAGAAGTTAAATCTCCAAACACTGAATTCTGGAAAGAAAATAGAGAAAAACAGAAACTTACTAAAGAGGCGACACAAGAAAATTCCTAGAGATTAAGGAACATACTAGGGTATACTATGTGATATTAAAGATAAATAGCAAAGAATACACATACCTCACAGTGAACTTAAGAAAGAAAGGACCCTAAAAGCTTCCAGTAAGAATAGACATGTTATCTAAAAAGGAATAGGCTAGGTGCAGTGGCTCATGCCTATAATCCCAGCACTTTGGGAGGCCAAGGAGGGCAGATCACTTGAGGTCAGGAGTTCTAGACCAGCCTGGCCAACATGGTGAAACCCCATGTCTACTAAAAATATAAAATTAGCCAGGCATGGTGGCGCATGCCTGTAATCCCAGCTACCTGGGAGGCTGAGGCAGGAGAATCGCTTGAACCTGGGAGGCGGAGGTTGCAGTGAGCCAGGATCGCCACCACTGCGCTCAGGACTGGGTGACAAGAGTGAAACTCCATCTCAAGAAAATAAATAGGAATAACAACCTGCCAGGTATTGGAATTCTCAACATTAATAGTGTATTTTCATCCTATGTATTAAGTAAAAGTGATTTTCAAACTGAAATTGTAACCACCCAATGTGTTCACCTTGCCCACTGCCTAGACATAGCCAATTTATTAAGACCAGTGAATTGCAATGGCGAAAGAGTTATTCATGCAGAGCCAGATGTGCAGGAGATGGGAGTTTTATTATTACTCAAATCAGTCTCCTGGAGCATTCGCGGACCAGTTTTTAAGGATAATTTGGCGGGTATGTGCTCAGGAAGTCGGGAGTGTTGATTGGTCGGGTTGGAGATGAAATAATAGAGGACTGAAGTGAGTTCTTCTTGCTGACTTCTGTTCCTGGATGGGATTGCAGGACTGGTTGAGCCAGATTATCAGTCTGGGTGCTGCATCAGAATACAAGGTCTGCAAAATATCTCAAGCACTGATCTTAGATTTTGCAACAGTAATGTTATTCCCAGGAGCAATTTGGGGAGGTTCAGACTCTTTGCAGCCCAGGAAAGAAGGGTTTTTTTCAGGATAGGGCTATTATCAATTTGGTTTCAGAGTTTAAAATATAAGCTAAATTTCTTCCCAGGTTAGAAACAAGATGGGGTCGGTTAGGTCTGATCTCTTTCACTGCCATAATTTCCTCAGTTAAGATTTTTGTGGGCCGGGCGCGGTGGCTCACACCTGTAATCCCAGCACTTTGGGAGGCCAAGGCAGGCAGATCACGAAGTCAGGAGATCGAGACCATGAGGAAACCCTGTCTCTACTAAAAATACAAAAAATTAGCTGGGCACAGTGGCGGGCGCCTGTAGTCCCAGCTACTTGGGAAGCTGAGGCAGGAGAATGGCGTGAACCCGGAAGGTGGAGCTTACAGTGAGCCGGATCACGCCACTGCACTCCAGCCTGGGTGACAGAGTGAGACTCCATCTCAAAAAAAACAAAACAAAACAAAACAAAACAAAAAAAACAGATTTTTGCAAAGGCGGTTTCAAAATTATGTAGGACATTTAAGGACATCTCAGTCAAGTATGAGGACAGAATAAAAGAGTTTTTAGACAAAGCAAGTACTCAGCAGTTTACCTTTTCTATATTCTTTTGGATAAATTTCTGGAAGATAGGCTATGGCAAAATGAGGGGGTAACCAAGGGTAAGGAGGACGAGGAAGAGGAGAAATGGTCACTTTAGGAAATAGATGGTACATTTTAGGAGAGCAATGAAAAGCAGTCTCTGAATGACAGCTGTACAGAGGCAATCAGTTCAGATTGCAACAGGTGGACAGAAAGCTCCAGAAGGGAAGTGTTCTATCTTCTTTGATACTCCAGGAAATAACACATTAATACTCAATTTGGTACTAAGCCAAGTCATAGCAATAGGAATACTACTGACGTTTAGCTTTTAGAATCAACCTGAAGACAAAGCCAGAATGACTAAATTGTGGTTAGAGTATAAATGCTATAAATCTAGTCAATGTGAAAGTACACATGACAGAAGCAGGGAGTTGGGAATGGTGACCACAGAAATAGAGAATACTTGTGTTGATGTCCCAACCTCATAACATTGAGACAAAGGACCCCAGCCATATTTGAGATAAGAAATTGAACTTTAAGTACATTATTCAAAGTTTCAAAGGCAACCAAAAATAGAACAGGGTAATGATGATATTGGGAGGAAAAGAGGAGATAGGCATAGGTGTGAATGAGTCAAATCCTCTATGAAAGCAGAAAGCCAGTCATTGATGGACATCACTGATGGACATTTGGGTTGATTCATGGCCACATGGTGGGGAACAACACACACTGGGGCCTGCAGGGGATGGGGAGTTGGGGAAGGAAGAGCATCAGAAAGAATAGCTATTGGGTACTGGGCTTAATACCTAGGTGATGGGTTGATCTGTGCAGCAAACAACCATGGCACATGTTTACCTATGTAACAAACCTGTACATCATGCACATGTACCCCAGAACTTGATGGGGAAAAAAAAGAAAGCAGAAAGCCACTAGGTATTGTAGGGCAAAGGAAAACTTCCCCTTCGCCCTCTGAAAGTTTGTTGAAAAATCAACTGACAAAAGGCAGATTAATAGGAGAAAAGGTATACAAAATTTTATTTTAATGTGTATATTATAGAAGAATCCCAGGAGAATAATTACCCAATAACCTAATGAGGTCCAGAAGCTTATATATCCTTTCTCATGGGGGAGAGGCATCATGGGGAAGGCAGACAATTCTTTTGAGGGGCAGCAAATGATTGTACAGAGAATGAATGGACCTAGCAGATAAAAATTAACTTGTAAATGATTCTCTTTAGAAACTGAATGAGCCCAAGAGACAGGCATTATCTTGTGAAAAAGTTCTCCCAGGTGCAGTTGTCTTTTTTCCTGAGATAATGAGATGTCAGGGAGAAGATGGAAGGTAATTGTTTCTTTTAAGAAGAAACTTTGTTGGTCATTTAAATTTCCAGATGGTGTACCCCTGCCCTCGAGGGGGAGGACCAATAGTGGTATCCAGATTCTGAGGCAGCTTCTAAGGCCTCTGAACATGTCAACGTGCCAGTCCTTGGAGTATCACTTTCTGAGCCCCAGCTGTATTATCTAAAGTTGATAAAGCAAGAATTTGTATGAGCATATTTAGAGATACAACATTTGGCAGGGAAACAATGATCAATGTTGTTAAAGAAAAAACTATTCATGACAATTGTGAAAGACAGTAAGGCAGTCTTTATTCAGGACCACAGTGATAGAGGAGAGAGATCTGGCTCAACTCCAAATACAAGGAAAAATTGGAATGTATAGCCAAGGAGCAGGGTGGGGTGAGTTGATGGAAATTTACTAAGAGAAAACATCAAGGATAAGGAGCACTCTGGCTAAACCTACTTGATAGGATTATTGCTGAAGCCAGGCCAAGGTGATAAGGTATCCAGGGTGGGGAATGAGAAATTTGGTCAGATATCAATGGTGGGGGATTTTCACTAAACTGACCCAATAAGATTCTTGCTAAAACTGGAATAAGCAGAAATGAATATAGAAGCCCAAAAATCGGGCCTGGCTGAGATGAGTTTAGAGGAACCTGACTACACTTAGGTTAAGGGAGAGAGTCTTTGTCAGTATTTACCTCTATGTAGAAGATGGTTACTTTTTAATAGCAGTCCTTCTGTGTCATCTAAACCATGTGCACAAATGAGTTTAATTTGTTAAAAATGTACTTTGAAAGTCCCCAAACACTAATTCTACTTTGTTATCTCCCAAATCTATTTCGCAGACACATTTATTATTTTATCCTAGCTTTATACTCTCTCTACTGCTGCTGATTCCTCTGCTATAGATTGGACTCTGCCAAATTGCCTGCTGAAAGTGGTTTTTAACTTGAGAATGTCATGGTTTCAGGCTTTATCTCACTTGACTTTGTGATATTAACTGCTTCTTGTTGTTCTCTCTCACCTTGGGCTTTAAGATCTCAGGACCTTTTAGGTTTCCTCTACCCTTGATGACTTTCCAGCCTCCTCCTTGGATACCTCCTCCCCTGCTCACCATATTCATGTTGTTGACATGGCATTTCATTCTTGAAACCTTTTTTTTCACCTCGTGTCCTTTCCTTAGTCACCCAACCACTGCCCTCAGATACTGATGCAGGAGTTTTCTCGGCCCTTTCCCTGGACTCGGGGGTGCCCCCTCTACTTGGCCCACTGCGCTCGACCGCTTGTGGGAGGGAGCATATGAGCGAGTGTGGGATCCAGCCAGCTGCCCCGGGTGCCAACACAGGAACAAGTTCCATGTGGGGCCTGTGGCCAGACCAGGCACAAGCGAGCCAGTATGGGATGCAGCCGGCTACTCTGGGCGCCGACACAGAAGCAAGCTCAATGCAGGGTCCTCAGCCACATAAGGCGTATTGCCTGGAGGGGAACATGGCGGTGCCCAGTTGAGGGTGCCCGTGACCCTGAGGCCCCAGATGAGCTGTTACAGTGCTCCTGTAATTCCACCATCCACCGATGGTGGTGTGTTAGCAGCTCAGTTAGCCCCTTGCCTCATCACATGGGGCTGCTTCCCTCTGCCAGCGAGGGCAAAGGGCCAGTGTGACAGCCTTTCTGCATACCCACACTTGGTGGGTCCCAAGCTCTTGTCTGATGTCCAAGTAGAACGAGGTCACATGGACAGTTGAAGGATGGTGAAGGTGGAGAATTTTACTGAGCGATGAAAACGACTCTCAGCAGAGAGGGGAGCTGGAGAGGGAATGGGAAGAGCAGGTCATCTTCTCCAAAGTCAGGCTGTCTCCTCCTCTACCAACTGAGTCTGGGGTCTTTATAGGCACAGGATGGGGAGTGTGTGCCAACTGGTTTGTGACTATGCAAAAAAGGTTAAAGCAAAGACACTACTCAAACATGGGCACAACAGTGTAGAAAACCAATTAGGAAAGGGTAGGTAGATGTAAAATAGGTGAAGGGTGTGGATCAATCAGAAGAAAGCATGACAAACAGGAAGACAAGTTTGCAATCCAGTCCGAAGATTTAACTTGTAGCTTGGCTTTCAGGCTTTAAACTGTCTTCGGCTTAGAGGTGGGGTTTCACCAGGTACCTACCCCTATCTGCTTAGGCATTTGGCTGCCTCCTGTTGCTATCAATATCACTAGAATGATAATGACTCCTATCTTCATTTATGTCTATTCTTGAACTTCCAAATTTTAGGTACATTTTGAACTTCCTACTTAGACTGCTCCACCTAAAAATTCGACAGATAATTCAAACACAGCACATTAAAAGACAAAAAATACCGGAACTTATGGGATATAGCTAAAGCATGGCTTAGAGGGAAATTTATAGCTATAAATGCCTATAACATAAAAATATCTCAAATCAACCTAATCTTCCATCTTAAGACACTACAAAAATAGTGAACTAAATGCAAAGCAAACAGAAGAAATAAGACTAGAGCACAATTAAAATAGAGAATAGAAAAATAGAAAAAGTCAATGAAAGATTGGTTGAGAAGATCAGCAAAATTGAAAACCTTTAGCTAGACTGAACAGAAAATAAAAGAAGAAACAAATTACTCAACTCAGGAATGAAAGGACATCACTACTGATATTACAGAAATAACAGTGACTTTAAGAAAATATTAGGAACAACTATATGCCAACACATTAGATAACTTAGATAAAACGGAAAAATTTCTAGAGAAACACAAACTCCTGAAACTGACTCAAAGAAATAGAAAATCTTAATAAACCTGAGACAGGTGATTAAATTAATAATTTAGAAACTTCCTACAAAGAGTAAATTCTCCCTTCCTCCACTTTATTGTTCTATTCAGGCCCTTGATGGGCTGGATGATGTCCACCCACATGGGTGAGGATGGATCTTCTTTATCCAATCTACCAATTCAAATGCTTATCTCTTCCAGAGACTCCCTCACAGACACATCAAAAAATTATGTTTCACTAACTATCCAGGCATCCCTTACCCAATCAAGCTGACACACACAATTAACCATCATAATATCCTTTACAGATATTTATGCAAAAGCCATCAACAAAACACTAGCAAATTAAATCCAGACATATGTAAGAGTGATTATATACCATGACCAAGTAGGTTTTGTTCTAAGAATACAACACTGACTTAACATCTAGGGAAAAAAAAGCAATGTAATTGTATTAGTCCATTCTTGCACTGCTATAAATAAATACCTGAGACTGGGTAATTTATCAAGAAGAAAGGTTTAATTGGCTCATGGTTCCACAGGCTGTTCAGAAAGCATAATGCCAGCATCTGCTGCTGGGGAGGCCACAGGGAGTTTTTATTCATCTTACATGGCAGGAGCAAGACCAAGAGAGAGATGGGGGAAGTGGTATACACTTTTAAACAACCAGATGTCATGATAAATCACTCACTCACTCACTCTCACAAGAATACCACTGAGGGGATGGTGCTAAACCATTCATGGGAAACCACACCCATGATCCAATCACCAGGCCCCACCTCCAACAATGAGGCTGCAACTGAACATGAGATTTGCAAGAGGACACAAATCCAAACCATATCAGTAATATACCATATTAATAAAGAACAAAAATCACATGATCTCAATAATAATAAGTAACAGGTAACATCATACTTAATTGGTGAAAGACTGGATACATCACGAACAAGATAAGGATGTTCACTCTCACCATTTCCATTCAATGTTGTACTGAGGTTCTAGCCCATGGTAGTTAGGCTAGAAAAAGAAATAAAACACATCCAAATTGGAAAGGAGGAAGTAAAACTATATTTGCAGATGACATAATCTTGTATATAGAAAATCCTAAGAAATCCACTAAAAATTATTAGAATAAATAAGTTCAGCAAAGTTGCAGGATACAAGATCAATACACAAAATCAACTGCATTTCTATACACTAGCAATGAACAGTCTGAAAATTAAAATAAGAAAATTCCATTTATAACAGCACCAAAGGGATTAAAACTCTTAGGAATAAAATTAACAAAAGCAACATAAGATTTGTACACTGAAAACTAAAAAATGTGGTTGAAAGAAATTGGAGAAGATCTAAATATGTAGAAAGTCATCCATGGGGATAGATCAGAAGATTTAACATTGTTAAAATGATAATATTCCCCAAACTGATGTACAGATTTGATGCAGTACTTATCAGAATGCTAGTTGATTTCTTTGAATAAATTGACAAGCTGATTCTCCATTTCATAAGGAAACACAAGGAGCCAGATGCCAACACAGTCTTCAAAAATAAAGTTAGAGGAGTCACACTTTCCAATTTCAAAACTTACTTCAAAGCTACAGTAGTCAAAACAGCATGATACTGGCATGAGGATGGACATGTATATCAATGGAAAAGAATTGAGACTCCAGAAATTAATTCTTATGTTTATGGTTAATTGATTTTCAACAAGGTTGTCAAGATAATTCAATGGGGGGACGAATGGTGTTTCAATAAATGGTGGTGGGACCACTGAATATTCACATGAAAAAGAAGTAGGACCAAATTGTAGGAGTTCCAACTATAAAATTCTTAGAAGAAAACACGTAAGTCTTCATGACTTTAGATTAGACCACAGTTTCTAGACATGGCATTAAAAACATAAGTAATAAAATATAGGTAAATTGGATTACATAAAAATTTAAAACTTTTGTTCAAATGATACCATTAAGAAAGTGAAGGCCAGGCGCAGTGGCTCACGCCTGTATTCCCAGCACTCTGGAGCCGAAGCGGACTAATCATCTGAGGTCAGGAGTTCGAGACAAGCCTGGCCAACATGGTGAAACCCCATCTCTACTAAAAATACAAAAATTAGCTGGGCGTGGTGGCACAATCCCAGCTACTCGGGAGGCTGAGGCAGGAGAATCGCTTGAACCTGGGAGGCAGAGGCGGCAGTGAGCCAAGATCACGCCACTGCACTCTGGCCTAGGCAACAAGAGTGAAACTCCGTCTCAAAAAAAAAAAGAGGCCAGGCACGGTGACTCATGCCTGTAATCCCAGCAATTTGGGAGGCCGAGGCAGGAGGATCACGAGGTCAAGAAATTGAGACCATCCTGGCCAACATGGTGAAACCCCATCTCTACTAAAAATACAAAAATTAGCCAGGTGTGGTGATGCGTGCCTGTAATCCCAGCTACTCGGGAGGCTGAGGCAGGAGAATTGCTTGAACCTGGGAGGCAGAGGTTGCAATGAGCCGAGATCACGCCACTGCACTCCAGCCTGGTGACAGAGCGAGACTCCGTCTCAAAAATAAAACAAAACAAAACAAAAAAAAGAAAGTGAAAAGACAGCCCACAGAATGGGAGAAAATATTTACAAGGCATATATCAGATATCAGATAAGCTACTGGTATCCAGAATATAAAAAGTACCTTCACAACTCAATAAAAAGGCAAATAATCCAATTTAAAAATAGGGAAAGGAGATGAATAGACATTTCTATAAAGAAGATACACACATGGCTAACAAACACATTAAAAGAGGCTCAACATTATTACACATTAGGGAAATCCCAATCAAAACCACAATGAAATACCATTTCACACCCACTAGAATGGCTAAATCGGAAAGATAATACGTGTTGGTGAGAATGTGAAAAAATTAGAAATCTCTCTTTTTTGGGGGGGGGGGGGGTGGGGACAGGGTCTCATTCTGTTGCCTGGGTTGGAGTGCAGTGGCTCTATCTCAGCTCACTGCAACCTCTGCCTCCTGGGCTCAAGCAATCCTCCTACCTCAGCCTCCCAAGTAGCTGGGGCCTCAGGTGCGCACCACCACGCTCAGCTAATTTTTGTATTTTTTGTAGACACGGGGTTTCACCATGTTGCCCAGGCTCATCTTGAACTCCTGGGCTCCAGAGATCCACCTGCCTCAGCCTCCCAAAGTGGTGGGATTACGGCTGTGATCCACTGTGCCCAGTAATCTTACACGTTTTTGATGGGAATATAAAATGGTCAGGTACTTTAGAAAACAGTTTGGCTTTTCCTCAAAATGTAAATTGTAAACTTTCTCATACTATAAACAGAGTTACAGTAAGTCCCAGAAATTCCACTCCACCCAAGAAAAATGAAAACATATGTTCACAGAAAAGCTCATATATGAATGTTCATAGCAGCATTATTCATAATAGCCAAAAAGTAGAAGCCACCCAATGTTAGTCAACTGATAAATGGCTAAACAAATGTGACATAGCTCTACAATGGAATATTATTCAGTCATAAAAAGGAATAAAGTTCTAGCTGGGCATGGTGGCTCACGCCTGTAATCCCCGCACTTTGGGAGGCTGAGGCGGGCGGATCACCTGAGGTTGGGAGTTTGAGACCAGCCTGACCAACATGGAGAAACCCTGCCTCTACTAAAAATACAAAATTAGCCAGGCATGGTGGTGCATGTCTGTAATCCCAGCTACTCGGGAGGCTGAGGCAGGAGAATTGCTTCAATCCAGGAGGCAGAGGTTGTGGTGAGCTGAGATTGCGCCACTGCACTCCAGCTTGGGCAACAAGAGCAAAACTCTGTCTCAAAAAAAAAAAAAAAAAAAGGAATAAAGTTCTGATATGTACCATAACACAGATGAACCTTTAAAACACTATGCTAACTGAAAGAGACCAGACACAAAGGCCACATATTGCATGATTCCATTTATATGAAAATTTTATAACAGGTAAATTTATAGAAACAGAAAAAAGATTAGTGGTTGACTGTGGTTGGAGCGGGTATGAAAAGTGACTACTGATGAGTAAGGGGTTTCTTTTTGGGGTGAAGAAAATGTTCTAAACTTAGATAGTGGTAGCAATTGTACAACTGTGAATATGCTAAAACCACTGAAATGTATACTTTAGGTAAATTTATGGTATGTGAATTCTACCTCAAGAAACAAATTCAAGAAAAACGTATGCCTTCCCCACCCTCCTGAATCTTTACTTTTTCTGCAAATACTATGGTGACTTATCCTCCTGAATCCCACGGCTTCATTTAATGGGTCTACCATGTACCCACTCTCCCTTACTAAAAGTCAATGCCATATGGAGTAAAAGAATCAGCCAGTCGAGACTCATCCAAATTCATATTCAAAAAATCATGAAATATAATGAATGGCTTTAGTTTTAAGGTATTAAGTATGGGATAACTTGCTATGAAGCAACAGATAACTAGAAGAGTAGACTCATAGTATCTGTGAATCACCAGCAAAGCTTATGGTAGGTCAGTGTTTGTGCAATAAGAATAAATAAATGGGCCGGGCGTGGTGGCTCATGCCTGTAATCCCAGTACTTTGGGAGGCCGATGTGGGCGGATCACCTGAGGTAAGGAGTTCGAGACCAGCCTGGCCAGCATGGCAAAACCCCATCTCTACAAAAAATAGAAAAATTAGCCAGGCATGATGGTGCGTACCTATAATCCCAGCTATTCAGGAGGCTGAGGCACGAGAATCACTTGAACCCGGGAGGCAGAGATTGCAGTGAGCCGAGATTGCGCCACTGCACTCTAGTCTGGGCAACAGAGTAAGACTCCATATCAAAAAGAAAAAAAAGAAAAGAAAAGAAGAAAAAACAAATAAATGACCACAGAATGTAGGAAGAGATTTCAAATTGCATCCTAGGGTGAGTCTGCTTCCGACAAATTTTTCAAACTGTAATGGTAGCCTCAAACTTTTCAAGCTTTTGTTCTGATCTACAATGGGGTAAAGAGGAGGGGGCTATAGGTAAAACAGGGTGTAATTGGATGAGCCATAGTGACAGTTAAATACAAAGCTTTTGTTTAGAAACTGTACCTCAATAAAATCAAACAGGGCATTAGATTGAATGTCTTAGATAGAAGAAAAGAACTACTCTCTGAATTAAAATAAACAAAGCTTATGGTAGGTCAGTGTTTGTACGATAAGAATAAATAAATGATCACAGAATGAAGAGGTTTCAAATTGCATCCTAGGGTAAGTCTATGAACTACACAAATCCATCCATGTGAACTACATACATTTCTCAAAATATACTTCTTACTCTTGGATGGAAACAAGCCAGGAAAGATACAAATTTCATCCCATCTTATGTATCATGGGGCAAGTTCCTTAGGATGTCTGTGCATTATTATCCCCATCTGTAAAGAGGAGACAATAAATATACCTATATCATAGGGTTATATGAGGGTTAAATACTTTCATTAGAACACAGCCTGGCGTGCTGCACCCATTAACTCATCATTTACATTAGGTATATCTCCTAATGCTATCCCTCCCCCCTCCCCCCACCCCACAACAGGCCCTGGTGTGTGATGTTCCCCTTCCTGTGTCCATGTGTTCTCACTGTTCAGTTCCCACCTGCACGTTGTGCACATGTACCCTAAAACTTAAAGTATTAAAAAAAAAAAGAACACAGCCTGGCATGCAATAAATATTCAAAAGCCAGTAGCTATTACTGCCATTATTACTGGTGCAAAAATTGTTTTGTTTTCTTGTTTTTGCTTTTTTCAATATGGTGTATTTCTCATTTTAAATCTGCTAACTTCTGGCTGATGGTCAGATTACGCTCAGCATTTTTAGTGCTTAAAGGAGCTGATGGAGCTGAAAACCAAGGCTCGAGAAGTACGTGAAGAATGCAGAAGCCTCAGGAGCCGATGCGATCAACTGGAAGAAAGGGTATCAGCAATGGAAGATGAAATGAATGAAATGAAGCGAGAAGGGAAGTTTAGAGAAAAAAGAATAAAAAGAAATGAGCAAAGCCTCCAAGAAATATGGGACTATGTGAAAAGACCAAAGCTACGTCTCATTGGTGTACCTGAAAGTGATGGGGAGAATGGAACCAAGTTGGAAAACACTCTGCAGGATATTATCCAGGAGAACTTCCCCAATCTAGCAAGGCAGGCCAACGTTCAGATTCAGGAAATACAGAGAACGCCACAAAGATACTCCTCAAAAAGAGCAACTCCAAGACACATAATTGTCAGATTCACCAAAGTTGAAATGAAGGAAAAAATGTTAAGGGCAGCCAGAGAGAAAGGTCGGGTTACCCTCAAAGGGAAGCCCATCAGACTAACAGCGGATCTCTCGGCAGAAACCCTACAAGCCAGAAGAGAGTGGGGGCCAATATTCAACATTCTTAAAGAAAAGAATTTGCAACCCAGAATTTCATATCCAGCCAAACTAAGCTTCATAAGCAAAGGGGAAATAAAATACTTTACAGACAAGCAAATGCTGAGAGATTTTGTCACCACCAGGCCTGCCCTAAAAGAGCTCCTGAAGGAAGCGCTAAATATGGAAAGGAACAACCGGTACCAGCCACTGCAAAATCATGCCAAAATGTAAAGACCATCGAGACTAGGAAGAAACTGCATCAACTAACGAGCAAAATAACCAGCTAACATCATAATGACAGGATCAAATTCACACATAACAATTTTAACTTTAAACGTAAATGGACTAAATGCTCCAATTAAAAGACACAGACTGGCAAATTGGATAAAGAGTCAAGACCCATCAGTGTGCTGTATTCAGGAAACCCATCTCACGTGCACAGACACACATAGGCTCAAAATAAAAGGATGGAGGAAGATCTACCAAGCAAATGGAAAACAAAAGAAGGCAGGGGTTGCAATCCTAGTCTCTGATAAAACAGACTTTAAACCAAGAAAGATCAAAAGAGACAAAGAAGGCCATTACATAATGGTAAAGGGATCAATTCAACAAGAAGAGCTAACTATCCTAAATATATATGCACCCAATACAGGAGCACCCAGATTCATAAAGCAAGTCCTGAGTGACCTACAAAGAGACTTAGACTCCCACACATTAATAATGGGAGACTTTAACACCCCACTGTCAACATTAGACAGATCAACGAGACAGAAAGTCAACAAGGATACCCAGGAATTGAACTCAGCTCTGCACCAAGCGGACCTAATAGACATCTACAGAACTCTCCACCCCAAATCAACAGAATATACATTCTTTTCAGCACCACACCACACCTATTCCAAAACTGCCACATACTTGGAAGTAAAGCTCTCCTCAGCAAATGTAAAAGAACAGAAATTATAACAAACTATCTCTCAGACCACAGTGCAATCAAACTAGAACTCAGGATTAAGAATCTCACTCAAAACTGCTCAACTACATGGAAACTGAACAACCTGCTCCTGAATGACTACTGGGTACATAACGAAATGAAGGCAGAAATAAAGATGTTCTTTGAAACCAATGAGAACAAAGACACAACATACCAGAATCTCTGGGACACATTCAAAGCAGTGTGTGGAGGGAAATTTATAGCACTAAATGCCCACAAGAGAAAGCAGGAAAGATCCAAAATTGACACCCTAACATCACAATTAAAAGAACTAGAAAAGCAAGAGCAAACACATTCAAAAGCTAGCAGAAGGCAAGAAATAACTAAAATCAGAGCAGAACTGAAGGAAATAGAGACACAAAAAACCCTTCAAAAAATTAATGAATCCAGGAGCTGGTTTTTTGAAAGGATCAACAAAATTGATAGACCGCTAGCAAGACTAATAAAGAAAAAAAGAGAGAGGAATCAAATAGACACAACAAAAAATGATAAAGGGGATATCACCACCGATCCCACAGAAATACAAACTACCATCAGAGAATACTACAAACACCTCTATGCAAATAAACTAGAAAATCTAGAAGAAATGGATAAATTCCTCGACACATACACTCTCCCAAGACTAAACCAGGAAGAAGTTGAATCTCTGAATAGACCAATAACAGGATCCGAAATTGTGGCAATAATCAATAGCTTACCAACCAAAAAGAGTCCAGGACCAGATGGATTCACAGCCGAATTCTACCAGAGGTACAAGCAGGAACTGGTACCATTCCTTCTGAAACTATTCCAATCAATAGAAAAAGAGGGAATCCTCCCTAACTCATTTTATGAGGCCAGCATCATCCTAATACCAAAGCCTGGCAGAGACACAACAAAAAAAGAGAATTTTAGACCAATATCCCTGATGAACATCTATGCAAAAATCCTCAATAAAATACTGGCAAACCGAATCCAGCAGCACATCAAAAAGCTTATCCACCATGATCAAGTGGGCTTCATCCCTGGGATGCAAGGCTGGTTCAACATATGCAAATCAATAAACGTAATCCAGCATATAAACAGAACCAACAACAAAAACCACATGATTATCTCAATAGATGCAGAAAAGGCCTTTGACAAAATTCAACAACCCTTCATGCTAAAAACTCTCAATAAATTAGATACTGATGGGATGTATCTCAAAATAATAAGAGCTATCTATGACAAACACACAGCCAATATCATACTGCATGGGCAAAAACTGGAAGCATTCCCTTTAAAAACTGGCACAAGACAGGGATGCCCTCTCTCACCACTCCTATTCAACATAGTGTTGGAAGTTCTGGCCAGGGCAATCAGGCAGGAGAAGGAAATAAAGGGTATTCAATTAGGAAAAGAGGAAGTCAAATTGTCCCTGTTTGCAGATGACATGATTGTATATCTAGAAAACCCCATTGTCTCAGCCCCAAATCTCCTTAAGCTGATAGGCAAATTCAGCAAAGTCTCAGGATACAAAATCAATGTGCAAAAATCACAAGCATTCTTACACACCAATAACAGACAAACAGAGAGCCAAATCATGAGTGAACTCCCATTCTCAATTGCTTCAAAGAGAATAAAATATCTAGGAATCCAACTTACAAGGGATGTGAAGGACCTCTTCAAGGAGAACTACAAACCACTGCTCAACGAAATAAAAGAGGACATAAACAAATGGAAGAACATTCCATGCTCATGGGTAGGAAGAATCAATATTGTGAAAATGGCCATACTGCCCAAGGAAATTTATAGATTCAATGCCATCCCCATAAAGCTACCAATGACTTTCTTCACAGAATTGGAAAAAAGCCACTTTAAAGTTCATATGGAACCAAAAAAGAGCCCACATTGCCAAGTCAATCCTAAGCCAAAAGAACAAAGCTGGCGGCATCACACTACCTGACTTCAAACTATACTACAAGGCTACAGTAACCAAAACAGCATGGTACTGGTACCAAAACAGAGATATAGACCAATGGAACAGAACAGAGCCCTCAGAAATAATGCCACATATCTACAACTATCTGATCTTTGACAAACCTGACAAAAACAAGAAATGGGGAAAGGATTCCCTATTTAATAAATGGTGCTGGGAAAACTGGCTAGCCATATGTAGAAAGCTGAAACTGGATCCCTTCCTTATACCTTATACAAAAATTAACTCAAGATGGATTAAAGACTTAAATGTTAGACCTAAAACCATAAAAACCCTAGAAGAAAACCTAGGCAATACCATTCAGGACATAGGCATGGGCAAGAACTTCATGATGAAAACAACAAAAGCAATGGCAACAAAAGCCAAAATTGACAGATGGGATCTAATGAAACTAAAGAGCTTCTGCACAGCAAAAGAAACTACCATCAGAGTGAACAGGCAACCTACAGAATGGGAGAAGATTTTTGCAATCTACTCATCTGACAAAGGGCTAATATCCAGAATCTACAAAGAACTCAAACAAATTTACAAGAAAAAAACAAACAACCCCATCAATGAGTGGGCGAAGGAGATGTCAAATGTCAAAAGAAGACATTTATGCAGCCAAAAGGCACATGAAAAAATGCTCATCATCACTGGCCATCACAGAAATGCAAATCAAAACCACAACGAGATACCATCTCACACCAGTTAGAATGGCAATCATTCAAAAGTCAGGAAACAACAGGTGCTGGAGAGGATGTGGAGAAATAGGAACACTTTTACACTGTTGGTGGGTCTGTAAACTAGTTCAACCATTGTGGAAGTCAGTGTGGTGATTCCTCAGGGATCTAGAACTAGAAATACCATTTGACTCAGCCATTCCATTACTGGGTATATACCCAAAGGATTATAAATCATGCTGCTATAAAGACACATGCACACGTATGTTTATTGCAGCACTATTCACAATAGCAAAGACTTGGAATCAACCCAAATGTCCAACAATGATAGACTGGATTAAGAAAATTTGGCACATATACACCTTGGAATACTATGCAGCCATAAAAAAGGATGAGTTCATGTCCTTTGTAGGGACATGGATGAAGCTGGAAACCATCATTCTCAGCAAACTATCACAAGGACAAAAAACCAAACACCGCATGTTCTCACTCATAGGTGGGAATTGAACAATGAGAACACATGAACACAGGAAGGGGAACATCACACACCGGGGCCTGTTGTGGGACTCGGGGCGGGGAGGGATAGCATTAGGAGATATACCTAATGTTAAATGACGAGTTAATGGGTGCAGCACACGAACATGGCACATGTATACATATGTAACAAACCTGCACGTTGTGCACATGTACCCTAAAACTTAAAGTATAATAAAAAAAGAATGTAGATCAGAAAATATTACTCATAGCTCATATAATTATCTAAGGCAGAGATTAATAAACTATAGCCTGTGGGATAAATCCAGCCCATGGCCTGTTCTTGTAAATAAAGTTTTATTGGAACACAGCCATGCCCATTTGTTTACATATTGTCTATAGCTTCTTTCTTGCTACAATGGTAGAGTTGAATAGTTGCAACATAGCTGAGTAGTTGTGATGGAAGGCATATAGCCTGCAAAGTCTAAAATACATACTCTCTGGTCCTTTACAAAAACAGTTTGTCAGCCCCTTAACTAAGGGGGTGGGAAAGAAGAAAGCTTATATAACATAAAGATGGGTTACTAAATTTGACTCACTGGTTTTTTGCTTCCTGCAAGTTCAGCAGACAGTAAGTTGACATCAGTAATATAAGACCTTGATTACTTGTGCCACTGTTGCCTTGAAAACATTAAAAGAATGTTTTCACTGGCTGGGTGTGGTGGCTCATGCCTGTAATCCCGGCACTTTGGGAGGCCAAGGCAAGTGGATCACTTGAGCTCAGGAGTTTGAGACCAGCCTGGCCAACATGGTGAAACCTGGTCTCTACCAAAAATACAAAAATTAGCCGGGTGTGGTGGCGGCACGCCTGTAACCCCAGCTACTCAGTGGCTGAGGCAGGAGAATCACTTGAACCCAGGAGGTAGAGGCTGCAGTGAGCCAAGATCGTGCCACTGCACTCTAGCTGGGCAAGAGAGAGAGAGATCCTGTCTCAAAATGTTTTAACTAACAGTGAGGTATTTTGAGGTTCAGAGAGAATTAACTCACCCTATTCAAGAAGATAAAAATTTGGCCTGGTTGGCTTAGATGAAATTTTTGGATAACTTCTCTAGAATACAAATTGATATGCACAGTTTTACTGAAAAAAAAAAAAAAAAACTTAATTTGTTTCATAAGAATATATCAGCGTATATATATGAGGCAAGGCAAATACAGCTGACCCAAATCTGCTTCCTTGCCTCTCCTGAGACCCTTGGTTAGTCCCTGTTACCCTGGTGACTGAACATCCATACCTGAGTGTTTTTGAGTACTTTCCAGTGCCTCACATGCAGCAGGCTTCACGCTCAACTTAACTCTTCCTCCAGACTTGTCCCAGGTTTGTTCGTTTGTTTGTGATGCCACTAGCCACCCTCCCCACCCAACTAGAGGTCATACACACTTGGGTTCAAGTTGTGACTTTGCCGCCCCTTTAAGTTTGGCGTATTTTTCAAACTGTCTCAAGCTTCAGTTTTCTCTTTTGCGCAATGTGGAGAACAACAATTATCTCATTAAGGATTGGTGTAAAAATTAAAGGAGACACTGAGTATAAAGTGCTCGGCAGACAGTAGGTATAAAAAATTTCTTCTGGGCCGGGCGTGGTGGCTCATATCTATAATCCCAGCACTTTGGGAGGCTGAGGTGCGTGGATTGTTTGAGTCCAGGAGTTCGAGACCAGGTTGGGCAACATGGCAAGACCCTGGCTCTACTAAAAATACAAAAAAAAAAAAAAAAGTAGCCGGGTGTGGTGGTGCACACCTGTGGTCCCAGCTACTCATGAGGCTGAGGTGGGAGGATCGCTTGAGCCCAGCAGGTGGAGGTTGCAGTGGGTCAAGATCACCCCACTGCACTCTAGCCTAGGTGACAGAGTGAGACCTTGTCTCAAAAAAGAAAAAAAAAAAACTTTCTTCTGGCCAGGCCCAGTGGTTCACACCTGTAGTTCCAGCACTTTGGGAGGCCGCAGCTGGAGGAAAGCTTGAGGTCAGGAGCTGGAGACCAGCCTGGGCAACATAAAGACCCCATCTCTACGAAAAGTTTAAAAATAATAATAATTAGCAGGGCATAGTGGTATATACCTGTAATCCCAGCTACTAAAGGAGAAAGGCTCACTTGAATCCTGGAAGTTGAGGCTACAGTGAGCCACTATCATATCACTATACTCTAGCCTGGGCAACAGAGTGAGACCCTGTCTCGAAAATAAAGATTTCTTCTAAACTTTTTTTTTTTTTTTTTGAGATATGAGACAGGGTCTTGCTCTGTCCTCCCAGGCTCAAGTGATCCTCCCACCTCAGCCTCCCAAGTAGCCAAGATACTACAGGCATGCATCACCATGCCCAGTTAACTTTTTAAAATGTTTGTAAAGACAGGATTTCCCTATGCTGCCCAGGCTGGTTCCTGAACCCAAGCAATCTCCCCGCTTCAGCCTCTCAAAGTGCTGGGATTACAGGCATGAGCCACTGCGTTCAACCTATACACTTTTCGAAATGTTAATCACTCATGTTCTTTTCTTGGATTTTGCACTCCACATCTACTTAGTCAATAACTGCCATGATTTAACTTCTGCAGCAGGCTTTGATTCCAGCGCATCCCTTCCATCAACATGGCCATTCCCTTGTTTCTTCCCTGAATGGCTGCAATTATTCCCCATCTCTTCTTCCTTCCTCTAACTGCTTGCTTTCTGAGCCATCTTACTACAGTTTTGCTCAGAAACCTGCATCTGCTGTGTTTTGTTAAATCTATTAAAATCCCACTCAGTTTGTTGTGTTTGTTGATCAAGGCTTTTCAATCTTGGGCTGCAGGGCCCTGCTACCTCTCTTAAGCCCATCTTCTACTTCCCTCTGGGCCTTTATACTTGCTGTTTTCTCTGCCTGGACCTAAGGTGTTTCCAAAGGTAATTTTGACTCTACATAATTTCGCCTCATAAGTTGACTTCCCTTTTTGCCAATTATATCTAGTGGAATATAAGTTACACATGTGTATGACATGGCCCCTTTATGTCCAGTTATTTGGGTCATTATCCCTTTCATCTGTTCGAAAGCTGGCAGGAATGGGTAGTCAGTGGCATACAACAGGAAAGATCAGAGTTTCCAACAGAGAAAGATCAAATTCAGGTTTGGTCACTGTGTAACATAACTTTTCTGCATAATAGACTCTAAAACTTAGTGGCTTAAAACAATAAGCATTTATCATTTCTCACAATTCTGTGGGTCTGCTGGGCAGTTCTGGTCCCAGCTAGCTCATTTGACTCCTGAAATCATTTGGAGCCTCTGTTGAGACTGGATATTTAGTATGGCCTTAGGTGTGTGGCAGTGGTGAGGCTAGTATGTCTCATGTGCCTCAGCTGTGAGGGCTTATTTCTGTTCCACATGGTGTCTTATCTTCCAATAGGCTAGCCCTGGCTTCTTCACATGGTCGACTCAGGGTTACAAAGAACA
This sequence comes from Homo sapiens, assembly GCF_000001405.40. Taxonomy (NCBI): domain Eukaryota; kingdom Metazoa; phylum Chordata; class Mammalia; order Primates; family Hominidae; genus Homo; species Homo sapiens. The sequence continues at coordinate 30,764,545 of NC_000023.11, read as the reverse complement.
GTAAGAAGCCCAGACGTGGTGCCTAATGCCTGTAATCCCAACACTTTGGGAGGCCAAGGCGGGCAGATCACTTAAGGTCAGGAGTTTGAGACCAGCCTGGTCAACATGGAGAAACCCCGTCTCTAGTAAAAATACAAAAATTAGCCGGGCGTGGTGGCAGGCACCTGTAATCCCACCTACTCAGGAGGCTGAGGCAGGAGAATCGCTTGAATCCAGGAGGCGGAGGTTGCACTGAGCTGAGATCGTGCCACTGTACTCCAGCCTGGGCGACAGAGCGAGACTCCATCTCAAAAACAAACAAAAAACAAACAACAGCAAGAGGACAAGCTCCAATGTTCGAGACCTTTTCAAGCCTCTGCTCATGTCCTATTTGCTAATTTCTCATTGGACACAGCAAACCACATAAGATTTGCTTTTTAAAGGGTCATTACTAACCAATCTAGCCCAGCCACTCACTATGTAACATTGAGCAAGTCATTTGCCTCTCTGATACTTTATCTGTAAAATACAGAAACCATTTATATCACAAAGTTCCTTATAAAGATGAGTAATTTTAAAGTCTTTACATGTGTTTATGATAATTCCTTATCTCTTGCAATGCTTAGCATTGTGCCTTACACTTCAAACCTTTATTATGTGTGGTTTTTGTTTGTTTTGTCTTTGAGACAGGGTCTCTTTCTGTTGCCCAGGCTGGAGTGCAGTGGCTCAATCACAGCTCACTACAGCCTTGACCTCCTTGGGTTCAGGTGATTCTTCCACCTCAGCCTCCCAAGTAGCTGGGGCTACAGGCACATGCCACCATGCCCGGCTAATTTTGTATGTTTTGTAGACACAGGGTTTTGCCATGTTGCCCAAGCTGGTCTCGAACTCCTGGGCTTAGTGATCCACCCGCCTCGGCCTCCCAAAGTGCTAGGATTACAGGTGTGAATCACTACACCTGGCTGTTTTTTTTTTAAAACTAGGAGCTATGGAGGATACAAGGATAAATGATGGCAGTAAATATCTTCTGCTTTTATAGATTAAATGATTGCCTTGAGAAATGGAATAACTTTAAATGACCTTTGCCATAAATGCTTTCTATTTTAGTGTCTTTTTTCCTTCTGATTTTGCAATTTATGTTCACAGTAGAAAAATAAGTTCAAAGAGGAAAGGAAAATTAACTAAAGTTTCATTGCTAAGAGATAACTACTGTTAACATTGCAGCAAATTCCTCTTCAATCTTTTTTTTTCTATGGATTTCAATCTTGTTAATAGCTTCCAAGCAAAGTTAAGACTTCTGAAAAGGAGAAATAGATTTAACTATTCCCCACTTTGAAAACTTACTAAAAACATATGCTAGAATAAAAACCAACTGACAGGCCATTTGACAACAGAGTACCAGGAATGGTGATGGAGGGAGTCGCTAGGAGATACAGCACTTACTTGCTTGTTTGGCAGCAAATAAGAAGTCACAGCCATAAAACTCACAATTACCGACAAGTAATAAATAGTTCCCATTTACTTTTTTTAAGAATCCATATAATAAACATTTCCTTTACTTGACTCATTACATTACTTGCCTTTTGACAAGAGTACTTCCTCTATGCAAGAATGAGCAGCAGATGCCCCAGGGCCTCCACCTTTTTGAAGAGGTTTTGGGTTTTGAACAGACTATATTTTATTCTTCCAGCAGATTCTAATTTTTCATGTGCTCCTTATTCAGCTCGTGGCTGCCCTGATCAATTTCCAAATGACTTTCTAGTAGGAATTTTAGCAAGTATATTGGTTTTTCCATGGGGTCTTTCTCACCAAAATTGTTACAGATATACATGAGACACATAAATGTAGTTTGTCTCCATTTACCAGATTTCTACTTCATTACTGAGACTATACACATGGTAAAAAAAAATTAATAATAATATGGACAAATAGAAAGAACATTACCCTAGTTACAGATCTGCTATTAATCTAACGGGATGACTTCAGAGGCATCGAGTTTCTAACTCATTGGAAGAGGAGGAGGAAAAAAAGGATGAGAGACGGAAGTAGTAAGTGAATTCTAACTTCCCTATGTGATAGTTTAGGCCATCTTTCTATAATGTCAATGTCTATGTAAATCTTCTTGGAATGAATTTTGGAAGGTAACCCAGTGAGCTAAGACTACTGTTTCAGTATCAGTCACGACGGAATGGGTTCTTGGCTGCTTATTTCTATTAAATCAAACGTAATTGCATGGTTCAGATTGTCTATATCCTCAATGATTTTATTTTTTAGGTTTGGGGTACATGTGCAGATTTGTTATTTAGATAGACTCGTGTCACAGGGGTTTGGTGTACTGCCTATTTCATCACCCAGGTATTAAGTCTAGTACCTATTAGTTATTTTTTCTGCTGCTCTCCCTCCTCCCAGCCTCCACCCTCAGGCCCTCAGTGTCAGTTTTTCCCCTCTATGTGTCCATGTGTTCTCATAATTTAGCCCCATTTAAAGGTGAGAACATGTGGTATTTGGTTTTCTGTTCCTGCGTTAGTTTGCTAAAGATAACAGCCTCCAGCTCCATCTATGTTCCTGCAAAGGACATGATCTCATTCCTTTCTATGGCTGCATAGTATTCCATGGTGTTTATGTACCACATTTTCTTTATCCAGTCTACCATTCACAGGCATTTAGATTCCATGTCTTTGCTATTGTGAATAGTGCTGCAGTGAACATATGTGTGCATGTGTCTTTATGACAGATTTCTATTCTGTGTAATGGGATTGCAGGGTCAAATGATAGTTCTGTTTTTTAGGGCTTTGAGGAATCACCACACTGCTTTCCACAATGGTTGAACTAATTTACACTCCCACTGATACGGTTTGGATTTGTATCCCTGCCCAAATCTCATGTTGAGTTGTAATCGCCACGTGTTGGAGGAGTGGCATGCTGGGAGGTGATTAGATCATGGGGTGGACGTCCCCCTTACTGTTCATGTGATCGAGTTCTTACAAGATCTGGTTGTTTAAAAGTATGTCACACTTCCCATTCACTCACTCTCTCCTTCTCCACCATGTGAAGATGTGCCTGCTTCCCCTTCGCTTTCTGCCATGATTGTAAATTTCCGTAGGCCTCCCCAGCCATGCTTTCTGTACAGCCCGTGGAACTGTGAGTCAATTAAACCTCTCTTCTTCATAAATTACCTAGTCTCAGGTAGGTCCTTATTGCAATGCAAGAACAGGCTAATACACTCACCAGCAGCATATAAACAATCCTTTTTCTCTGCAACCTCACAAGTATCTGTTATTTTTTTACTTTTCCCCCACCCCCTGAGAAGGAGTCTTGCTCAGTCCCCCAGGCTGGAGTGCAGTGGCACAATCTCAGCTCACTGCAACCTCCACCTCCCGGGTTCAAGTGATTCTCCTGCCTCAGCCTCTGGAGTAGCTGGGATTACAGGCACACACCACCATGCCCAGCTAATTTTTGTATTTTTAGTAGAGACGGGGTTTCACCATGTTGGCCAGGCTGGTCTCGAACTCCTGACCTCATGATCCACCTGCCTTGGCCTCCTAAAGTGCTGGGATTATAGGCGTGAGCCACCGCACCCAGCCTTGACTTTTTAATAATAGCCACTCTGATAGGCATGAGATGGTATCTCATTGTAGTTTTAATTTGCATTTCTCTAATGATCAGTGATATTGAGCTTTCTTTCATATGCTTGTTGGCCACATGTATGTCTTCTTCTGAAAAGTGTCTGTTCATGTCCTTTGCCCACTTTATAATGGGGTTTTTCTCTTGTAAATTTGTTTAAGTTCCTTATAAATGCTGGATGTTAGACCTTTGTCAGATGCATAGTTCGCAAATATTTTCTCTCATTCTATAGGCTGTTTGTTTACTCTGCTGTGTCTTTTGCTGTGCAGAAGCTCTTTGCTTTAATTAGATACCATTTGTGAGTTTTTGCTTTTGTTGCAATTGCTCTTGACGTCTTCATCATGAAATCTTTGCCAGTTCCTGTGTCCAGATGGTAGTTCCTAGGTTGTCTTCCAGGGTTTTTATAGTTTGGGTTTTAAGTCTTTAATCCATCTTGAGTTGGTTTTTGTATATGGTATAAGGAGGGGGTCCAGTTTCAATCTTTCGCAGTTATCCCAGCACCATTTATTAAACAGGGAGTCCTTTCCCCATTGCTTGTTTTTGTCAGCTTTGTCAGTGATCAGATGGTTGTAGATGTATGGCCTTATCTGACTTCTCTATTCTGTTCCATTGCTCAATGTGTCTGTTTTTGTACCAGTACCATTCAGTTTTGGTTACTATAGCCCTGTAATATAGTCTGAAGTTGGGTAGTGTGATGCCTCCAGCTTTGTTCTTTTTGCGTAGGGTTGCCTTGGCTATTTGGGTTCTTTTTTGGTTCCATATAAATTTTAAAATAGGGTTTTTATCTAGTTCTGTGAAGAATGCCATTGGTAGTTTGAAAATAGCAATGAATCTATAAATTGCTTTGGGCAGTATAGCCATATTAATGATATTGATTCTTCTTATCTATGGGCATGGAATGATTTTCCATTTGTTTGTGTCATCTTTGATTTCATTGAACAGTGTTTTATAGTTCTCCTTATAGAGATCTTTCACCTCCCCGGTTAGCTGTATTCCTAGGTATTCTATTTGTGGCAGTTGTGAACAGGATTGCATACTTGATTTGGCTTTCAGCTTGACTGCTGTTGGTGTACAGGAATGCTAGTGATTTTTGTACATTGACTTTGTATCCCGAGACTTTGCTGAAGTTGCTTATCAGCTTAAAGAGCTTTCAGGCTGAGACTATGGGGTTTTCTAGATATAGAATCACGTCTGCAAACAGAGATACTTGACTTTCTCTTTACCGATTTGGATGCCATTTTTTTTTTTTTTTTTTTTTGAGACTGAGTCTCACTCTGTTGCCCAGGCTGGAGTACAGTGGCACAATCTCAGCTCACTGCAACATCCACCTCCCAGGTTCAAGCAATTCTCCTGCCTCAGCCTCCCAAGTAGCTGGGACTACAGGCGCATGCCACCACACCCGGCTAATTTTTTGTATTTTTAGTAGAGATGGAGTTTCACCATGTTAGCCAGGTTGGTCTCGAGCTCCTGACCTCGTGATCCACCCGCCTCGACCTCCCAAAGTGCTGGGATTACAAGCGTGAGCCGCCACGCCGGCCACCCTTTACCTTTTTCTCTTGTCTCAGTCATTGGCCAGGACTGCCAATACTATGTTGAACGGGAATGGTGCGAGAGGGCATCCTTTTCTTATGCCAGTTTTCAAGGGGAATGTTTCAAACTTTTGCCCATTCAGTGTCATAGCTGGGCTCTTATTATTTTGAGGTGTGTTCCTTCAATACCTAGTTTACTGAGAGTTTTTAACATGAAAGGGTGTTGAATTTTAACAAAAGCCTTTTCTGCATCTATTAAGATAATCATGTGATTTTTGTGTTTAGTTTTATGTGAAGAATCACATCTATTGACTTGTGTATGTTGAACCAACCTTGCGTCCCAGAGATAAAGCCCACTTGATCGTGAATAAGCTTTTTGATGTACTCCTGGATTCAGTTTGCTAATATTTTGTTGAAGACTTTTCCATTGATGTTCATAAAGGATACTGGCCTGAGGTTTTCTTTTTTTCTTGTGTCACTTCCAGATCTTAGTATCATGATGATGCTGGCCTCACAGAATTAGTTAGGGAGGAGTCCCTCCTCCTCAATTTTTAGGAGTAATTTCAGTAGGAATGGTACCAGCTCTTCTTTGTACATCTGGTAGAATCCAGCTGTGAATCTATCTGGTCCTAGGCCTTTTTTGGTTGGTAAGTTATTACTGATTCAATTTAGGAGCTTATTATTGGTCTGTTCAGGGATTCCATTTCTTCCTGGTTCAGTCTTGGGGGGATGTATATGTCCAGGAATTTATCCATTTCTTCCAGGTTTCCTAGTTTGTATGCATAAAGGTGTTCATAATATTCTCTGATGGTTATTTGTGTTTCTGTGGAGTCAGTGGTAATTACCTCCTCCCCCCACCGCTTATTTTTGAGACAGAGTATTGCTCTGTCACCCAGGCTAGAGTGCAGTGGCATGATCTTGGCTCACTGCAGCCTCTGCCTCCCAGGTTCAAGTGATTCTCGTGCCTCAGCCACCCAAGTAGCTGGGACTACTGGAATGCGCCGCCATGCCCCGGCTACTTTTTGTATTTTTAATAGAGACGGGGTTTCACAATGTTGCCCAGGCTGGTCTCAAACTCCTGGCCTCAAGTGATCCATCTGCCTTGGCCTCTCAAAATGCTGGGATTACAGGCATGAGCAGCCATACCTAGCCCTTGGTTAGTATTTTTCTTCAAGAATGTTGAATATAGGCCAGGCCCACACCTGTGATCCCAATACTTTGGGAGGCCGAGATAGGCAGATCACTGAAGTCCAGGAGTTCGAGACCAGCCTGGACAACATGGCGAGACCCGTCTCTACTAAAAATACAAAAATTAGCTGGGCATGGTAGCATACACCTGTAGTCCCACCTACTCAGGAGGCTGAGGTGGGAAGATCACCTGAGCCCAGGAGTTTGAGACTGCAGTGAGTTGAGATTGTGCCACTGAACTGCAGCCTGGGCAACAGAAGTGAGACACTGTCTCAAAAAAAAAGTTTTGAATATTGGCCCCCAATCTCTCTGGCTTGTAGGGTTTCTGAGAGGTCTGCTGTTAGTCTGATGGGTGACTTGGCTTTTCTTTCTAGCTGCCTTGAACATTTTTTCTTTTATTATGACCTTGGAGAATCTGATAATTATGTGTCTTGGGGATGATCTTGTGAAGTATCTTACTGGAGCTCTCTGTATTTCCTGAATTTGAATGCTGGTCTCTCTAGCTGGACTGGGAAGTCATCATGGATGATATCCTGAAATATGTTTTCCAAGGTGCTTACACTCTCCCCCTCTCTTTCAGAGACACAAACGCGTGGTACATTTGGTCTCTTTTTATAATCCCATATTTTCAGAGGTTTTGTTTGTTCCTTGTCATTCTCTTCTCTATTCTTGACTGTCTTATTTCAGAAAGCCAGTCTTTAAGCTCTGAGATTCTTTCCTTCACTTGGTCTATTCTGCTGTTAATACTTGCAATTGTGTTGGCCGGGCGTGGTGGCTCATGCTTGTAATCCCAGCACTTTGGGACGGCCAGACAGGTGGATTACTTGAGGCCAGGAGTTCAAGAACAACCTGGTCAACATGGTGAAACCCCATCTCTAACACAAAAGTTAGCTGGGCGTGGTGGTGCATACCTGTAATCACAGCTACTCAGGAGGCTGAGGCACAAGAATCGCTTGAGCCTGGGAGGCAGAGGTTGCAATTAGCCAAGATCACCCCGCTGCACTCCAGCCTGGATGACAGAGCAAGACCGTCTCAAGAAGAAGAAAAAAAAAATACTTGCAATTGCATTATAAAATTTTTGTGTTTTTCAGCTCTATTAGGTTATGTACTTTTATGTTCTGGCCATGTTCTCTGTCAGCTCCTGTACTGTTTTACTGTGATTCTTGGACTGGGTTCCCATGTACTCCTGCATCTCAATGATCTTTGTTCTTATCCATATTTTGAATTCTATTTCTGTCATTTCAGCCATCTCAGTCTGGTTAAGAACCCTTGCTGGAGAGGTGGTATAGCTCTTGATAACCCTGACGGTTTGATTGTGGTATAAGGTGAATTCAGTCAACTGGCTTCATTTCTAGAAGATTTTAGGGGCCATAGGTTCAGCTCCCAACTCCTAGACTGCATGCTCTAACTCTGGGGTACTGGTTTTGGGCCCCAACTTTGTTCTCTGGCACCTCGAAGTTAGGAACCCACTGTTCTGGGTTGTGGGGCTGAGGTACTCCCAGACCACTGTCACAACACTCTGATGGATGGTGCCAACCAAAGCGTTTCATAGGGTGGTGGCAGTGGGATCCATTCCCGTTCATACATGCCAGCAGCAGCGGAGCTGTGTGCACACTTGTTAGCTGCAGCAGGGTGCTAGCAGGTGCCAGACTACCAGCCTCTGTGTGGGCATTTGCAGCTGCAGTGGAACTAACATGGCTCCAGCGGGTGGAAGAACCCCCGCTGGCAACCATGTGCACAGGTTGAGATAGTGGTGGTGTTAGCATGGTGTTGGGGTACTGGCACGTGCAGGACTATGTGCTTTCTCTGTGCATGTTCACACAGGCAGAGGTAGCCGCTCAAGGTTGGGGAGGGTCCACTGTTCTCTGTGCCTAGTTTCAAGCGGGTGGCAGTGTCAGTGCAGGGGTTGGGTGCTGGCGGGGGACGGCACTGGTGGGCTCTGTGCCCATCAAGGCTCCCACTGCAATGGTGATACAGTAGGAGGAAAGGATTGGAGTGCACTCACTCCATCAGCAGTGGCAGGGCAGGGTGCATGTGCACACACATGCTGGTGGGGCAGGGAAGGCAAGATCTGCCCCTGCACACAGGAACTGCACTGGCAAAGCAATGTGGGGTTGGCTGGGCTGGTGCATGGCCCTGACGCCCTCCCTACTGGTCAAGCATAGTCTGCCAGTGCAGGAGCTATGATGTGGGCCCCCAGTGCACATGAGGCCTGCACCAAGTGGTACTCAGGTAGGACCAGCCCCATCTGATAAGCAAGACCATCCTACAGAGTTGAGATCTGACAGTTCTCCTAGGGCTAAAGTCTCCTACAGAATCAAGTTGAGCCTAGGAGGATGGACTTCACTGGCCATGCTCCACTACAGATGCTCCCCTGCCAAACCCTCTGGGCTCCACACCAGCTGAAGTGCTGCCCCTACTACTTCTCTAAGCAGATTTCCCGGCCAACTCAAGTTTCCGTGGTGGTCGAGTGGCCTCCTCCTGCCGGGATTCCAGAGGCCCAGGGCGAGATCAGGTTTCTCCTTGCCTGTTCAACTCACCCATTTCTCCAGAGTCGTTGGGGGCCAGGTATGAATCCCAGTGTGCAGTAGCTCCAGCTTCCTCCCACTTCAGCCCAGCTTCTGTATCTTCCCTCCTTCCAGTCTCAGTGCTTTCTCTCTGAAGATCAGCTAGGAGTATACCAGTTGTCCTGGTCCCTTGGTGGCAGCTGTTCTACCTGGCTGTGTTTAGCCAGCCATCTTCTTATTTTCTTGATACAGTAAACTGTGCAAGTAGGTTAGTACCTCCCACTGTAATTATGGGTTTGTCTATCCTCATATTTCTGTCAATTTTTGCTCTATATATTGGGGGTCTGTTATTAAGTACATAAGAGTTTGTTATAACTTCTTAGAAAACTGGAACTTACAATGGCCATTTAAAAAGGAGTCTTTGGTAAGGCTTTGCATTGTATTCTGCTGTGTTTAGATAGCTTGGCTCACAACTGGATTATAGGCTTTAATCGGAGAATATTTGCTATCTATCTTAACAAAATGATCTTTAGGAGGCTGCTCCTACCTCACTTCATCCATGTGCTTCTGGAACTGCTAACTGTAGTCTCTTCATCCCATTGTCACACTAAGTCTGAGGGGTGGGCACATGGCTCCGGTTGGGCCAAAGTTCTTCCCCAGACCTTTCTGGATTGCAGTTGGAAAGGAAGTCTTCCTTCTTCATTGGCCAGAACACAGTAGAGATGGGCACCCAGAGTTTTCAGGTCAGATACCATTTTCTGGGGAGGATTCTCTCCGATTCCGTCTGCTGTGAGAAAGATCACTGATGCCTCTGTGGCCATGAATCTAGCTCTAAAGCTGATAGGTTACATGAGAAACTTCTGCTCCACATTTCTCCCCCTTTAAGGTGGTTTGATCTATCCTTTGCAATACCCTAAATAACATGTTTTTAAGAGGATTTAGCTCTCCCTCTCCCTCTCTTTCCACAGTCTCCCTCTGATGCCGAGCCAAAGCTGGACTGTACTGCTGCCATCTCGGCTCACTGCAACCTCCCTGCCTGATTCTCCTGCCTCAGTCTGCCGAGTGCCTGCGATTGCAGGCGCGCGCCGCCACGCCTGTTTTTCGTATTTTTTTAGTGGAAACAGGGTTTCGCTGTGTTGGCTGGGCTGGTCTCCAGCTCCTAACCGCGAGTGATCCGCCAGCCTCGGCCTCCCGAGGTGCCGGGATTGCAGACGGAGTCTCGTTCACTCAGTGCTCAATGGTGCCCAGGCTGGGGTGCAGTGGTGTGATCTCGGCTCGCTACAACCTCCACCTCCCAGCCGCCTGCCTTGGCCTCCCAAAGTGCCGAGATTGCAGCCTCTGCCCAGCCACCACCCCGTCTGGGAAGTGAGGAGCGTCTCTGCCTGGCCGCCCATCGTCTCGGATGTGAGGAGCCCCTCTGCCTGGCTGCCCAGTCTGGAAAGTGAGGAGCGTCTCTGCCCGGCCGCCATCCTGTCTAGGAAGTGAGGAGCATCTCTGCCTGGCCGCCCATCGTCTGGGATGTGAGGAGCCCCTCTGCCCGGCTGCCCAGTCTGGAAAGTGAGGAGCGTCTCTGCCCGGCCGCCATCCCATCTAGGAAGTGAGGAGCGTCTCTGCCCGGCTGCGACCCCGTCTGGGAGGTGAGGAGCGTCTCTGCCCGGCCGCCCCGTCTGAGAAGTGAGGAGCCCCTCCACCCAGCAGCTGCCCCGTCCGGGAGGGAGGTGGGGGGGGGTCAGCCCCCTGCCCAGCCAGCCGCCCCGTCCGGGAGGTGAGGGGCGCCTCTGCCCGGCCGCCCCTACTGGGAAGTGAGGAGCCCCTCTGCCCGGCCACCACCCCGTCTGGGAGGTGTACTCAACAGCTCATTGAGAACGGGCCATGATGACAATGGCAGTTTTGTGGAATAGAAAGGGGGGAAAGGTGGGGAAAAGATTGAGAAATCGGATGGTTGCCATGTCTGTGTAGAAAGAGGTAGACATGGGAGACTTTTCATTTTGTTCTGTACTAAGAAAAATTCTTCTGCCTTGGGATCCTGTTGATCTATGACCTTACCCCCAACCCTGTGCTCTCTGAAACATGTGCTGTGTCCACTCAGGGTTAAATGGATTAAGGGCGGTGCAAGATGTGCTTTGTTAAACAGATGCTTGAAGGCAGCAGGCTCGTTAAGAGTCATCACCACTCCCTAATCTCAAGTACCCAGGGACACAAACACTGCGGAAGGCCGCAGGGTCCTCTGCCTAGGAAAACCAGAGACCTTTGTTCACTTGTTTATCTGCTGACCTTCCCTCCACTATTGTCCTATGACCCTGCCAAATCCCCCTCTGCAAGAAATACCCAAGAATGATCAATAAAAAATAAATAAAAATTAAAAAAAAAAAGAGGATTTAAATGTTCTCACCAGAAAACAGGATAAATATTTGTGAAGTACTTTAAATAGTGCTCTGGAATTTTGACCACAGAAGGTAGTATATTAGCCAATAGCTATCCTCATCATTATAATTTTCTAAAATGTTATTTGGAAAGAAAGTAGTGCTTTCCTGTTTGTAAGCATAAATATGCTTACAAGAATATTTTAAATATATGAATATACATAATTAGTACTTTTACAATATGCTGGGCAATGACTTAAACATATTTAGCCAAGAAGACAATTTTTGAACTAGGAGGGGAGGGACAGGTTACCAGAGGCTGGGGGCTGGCGGAATGGGGAGATGAGGTCAAAGGGTAAAAAGCCTCAATCAGGTAGGAGAAATAAGTTTGATTTTTTTTGAGAGCTACTGCACAGTGTGGTGATTATAGCTAACAACTGAGTACTGAACATTTCACTGACACTAAGAGTAAATCTCAAATGTTCTCATCACAAAAAACGTCAAAAATTTGAGGTGATGGGTAGGTTAGCTTGACTTAATTATTCCACATTGTATTTTTTTTTAAATCATACCATCAGTTTGTACTCTATAAATATATACAACTATAATTTGCCAATATATAAAAGAAGGAATGTACCTCAACATAACAAAGACCATATATGAGAAGTCCATAGCTAGCATACTGAATGTGGAAAAGTTGAAAGCTTTTTCTGTAAAATAAATAAATAAATCAGGAACAAGACAATGATGCCCATTCTTGTCACTTCTGTTCTACTTTTCTTGACTGGAAGTCCTAGTCAAGAAATAAAAGGCATTCAAATTGGAAAGGAAGTTAAATTGTCCCTGTTTGAAGACAACATCATTTTATATATAGAAAACCCCAAAGACTCTAAAGAATGGTTAGAACCAATAAATGAGTTTGGTAAAGTTGCAGAGTACTTATTTTTAAAAACTCAATAACAGGCTGGGCATGGTGGCTCATGCCTGTAATCCCAGCACTTTGGGGGGCAGAGGCGGGCAGATCATGAGGTCAAGAGTTCGAGACCAGCCTGACCAACATGGTGAAACCCCGTCTCTACTAAAAATACAAAAATTAGCCAGGTGTGGTGGCGTGTGCCTGTAATCCCAGCTACTCAGGAAGCTGAGGCAAGAGAATCACTTGAACCTGGGAGGGGAGGCTGCAGTGAGCTGAGATTGTGCCACTGCACTCCAGCCTGGGCGACAGAGCAAGACGTCGTCTCAAAAAAAAAAAAAAGAAAAAGAAAAAAAAGAAAAAGAAAAACTCAACAACAAAGAAAAATCAGCAGTGATTCTCTATACACTAACAATGAACTATCTGTAAAAGAAATCAAGAAGACAATCCCACTTACAATAGCATTAAAAAATAGTTGGGAATATATTAAACCAAAGGTCAAAGGTCTGTACAGAGAGAACTATAAAACATTGAAAGAGGCCAGGCATGGTGGCTCATGCCTGTAATCCCACCACTTTTGGAGGCTGACGTGGGAGGATCACTTGAAGCCAGAAGTTTGAGACCAGCCTGGGAAACATAGTAAGACCTGTTTCTAAAAAAAAAAAATTAAATAAAAACCACTAGCCAGGTGTGATGGTGCGTGCCTGTAGTCACACCTGCTTAAATGCTTAAACCCAGGAGTTGGTGGCTTCAGTGAGTCATGATTGTGTCACTACCTTCCAGCCTGGGAAACAGAGCAAGACTCTGCCTCAAAAAGAAAAAAAATTGAAGACACAAATAAATAGAATATTTTTCAGATTGGAAAAATAGTTAAGATGTCTGTACTACCCAAAACAATCTATAGATTCAATGCAATTTGCGTTGAATTAGATAGAAGGAGTTGAGCTTTTAATTTGTATTCCTATCAAAATTCCAATGTCTTTTTCACAAAAATAGAAATTATAAAATTCATAGGGAACCATGAAGACCCCAAACAGCCAAAGCAACCCTGAGCAAAAAGAACAATGCTGGAGGTATCACACTACCTGATTTCAAAATCTACTACACAAAGCTATTGTAACCAAAACATTATAGCACTGGCATAAACAGACACATAGATCAATGGAACAGAATAGAAACACCCAGCAGTAAACCCAGAATATATGGTCAACTAACTTTTGATAAGGGCACAAAGATGACACCATGGGGAAACAATAGTCTTTTCATTAAGTAACACAAGGAAAACTGGATATCCACGTGTAAAAGAATGAAACTGGACCCTTATGCCATACACGCATGAAAAAACCCACCCAACCCAAAATGTATTAAAAACCCAAACATAAAACCTGAAACCATAAAACTCAACACACAGGAAAAGAGTTTGACATGGGTCATAGCAATGATTTTTTTGGTTATGACATCAAAAGCACAGGCAACAAAAAAACTAAAGAAGTGGGATCACATCAAACAAAAAAGGCTTCTGAACAGCAAAGGAAACAGTTAACAAAATGAGAAGGCAATTTATAGGTTGGGAGAAAATATTTGCAAGCTACATATAATAAGGGGTTATCAACCAAAATATATAAAGAGCTCACCTAACTCAATAGCAAAAAAAAAAAAAAAAAAAAGATAAACTGGTTTAAAAATGGGCAAAGGACCTCAGTAAACATTTGTCCAAGAGGACATAAAAATAGCCAGTATGCTAATTATCAGGGAAATGTAAACCAAAATTATGAGATCATCTCACATCTGTTAGGATGGATTTTATCAAAAAAAAAACACAAGAAATTACAAATGTTAACAAGGGTACAGAGAAAAGGGAACACTAATACACTGTTGATGGGAAGGTAGATTAGTGCAGCCACTGTGGAAAACAATAGGGAGGTTTCTAAATAAATTAAAAGTAGAACTGGCCAAGGCACGGTGGCTCACACTTGTAATGACAGCACTTTCGAAGGCTGAGGTGAGAGGATCTCTTGTGGCCAGGAATTCGAGACCAGCCTGGGCAACACAGGGAGACTCCATCTCTCTCTCTCTTTTTTTTTTTTTTTTTTTTTTTGAGACAGAGTTTTCACTCTTGTCACCCAGGCTTAAGTACAATCTCTGCTCACTGCAACCTCTGCCTCCCGGGTTCAATCGATTCTCCTGTCTCAGCCTCCTGAGTACTTGGGATTACAGGGGCCTGCCACCACGCCCAGCGAATTTTTTTTTTTTTTTTTTTTTTTGTATTTTTAGTAGAGACAGGGTTTCAACATGTTGGCCAGGCTGGTCTTTAACTCCTTACCTCAAGTGATCTTCCCACCTTGACCTCCCAAAGTGCTGGGATTACAGGCGTGAGCCACTGCACCCGGCGGGAGACTCCATCTCTAAAAAAAGTTAAAAAGTTAGCCAGGCATGGTGGGGCGCACCTGCGGTCCCAGCTACTCTTGTGAGGCTGAGGACCACTTGAGCCCAGAAGGTCAAGGCCACAGTGAGCCGTGATTGTGCCACTGCCCTACAATGTGGGCGACAGAGCAAGACCCTGTCTCAAAACAAACAAACAAAAAAAGAAGTAACATATAACCCAGGAATCCCACTTCTGCACTCCTGGGTATATATCAAAAGGAATTGAAACCAATATGGCGAAGGGACAGCTGCAATCTCATGTTCATTGCAGCACTATTCACAACAGCCAAATATGAAAACAAATGTCTGTTGATAGATGAATGGATAATGAAATTGTGATATAAAGGAGTATTTTGGTACAATATGGTTCAGCCTTTAAAAAGAAGGAAATCCTACCATTTGTGACAACATGGATGAACCTGGAGAACATTATGATAAATGAAATAAACCAGACATAGAAAAAAAAATATATATATATACTGCATGATCTTATTTATGTGTGGAATTAAAAAAAAAAAATTCAATACATAGAAACAGAGGGTAGGCCGGGCGCGGGGTGGCTCACGCCTGTAATCCCAGCACTTTGGGAGGCCAAGGCGGGAGAATCACTTGAGGCCAGGATTCAAGACCAGCCTGGCCAACATGGTGAAACCCCGTCTCTACTAAAACTACAAAAAATTGGCCGGGCGTGGTGACCGGCGCCTGTAATCCCAGCTACTCTGGAGGCTGAGGCAGGGGAATCGCTTGAGGCAGGGGAATCGCTTGAACCAGGGAGGCAGAGGTTGTGGTGAGCCGAGATCGCGCCACTGCGCTCCAGCAAGGCTCTGTCTCAAAAAAAAAAAAAAAGAAAGAAAGAAAGAAACGGAGGGTAAAATGGCGGCAGCGGGGAGCATGGGGAAAAAAAGTGGGAGGAAGCACTTCAAAGGGTAAAAAAAAAAAAAAAAAAAAAAACAGTGGATTTGAACTCCTGTTTTGGTCAACATTTGACTTTTTAATTGCTTACCAGATATGAGCCTTTAAAATATCTTCATCTTTTATTTTGTGCTGACATCCATATACTTAGTTCTGGTTGTTCCTGAGGCCCAAGTACATCCAATCTTTCTTCTACTTAGCTCAGTCTCAGAACACACAGGGTCGTGCAACAAATTTTCTTTGTTTTAAGCTTTTAAAAAAAAAAAGCAGCTAAGTAGGTAGCTTTTACTGCGTCACTCCCTCCTTTACGACAGTGGCGTAAAACCAGCATTTATTATCTCCTGATAATGTGGGTCAGCTAGAGGACTCTGCGCTGGGCTGCCTTAGTTGATCTCACCTGCGCTAACTCATGCATTTGTGGTCAGCTGGCAGCTGGGTTGTCCAGAGGATGACCTCACTTATGGGCCGACAGGTGGTTGTCTATTGGCTGGGGTGCTGTGGAGGTGGGGGAGCCACGTTATTTCTTGTTTTCAGTAGGCCAGTTCGCCTTCTCCCCGCGGCAATTGCAGGATTCTGTTTGCTGCTAGAGAGGGCAAGCCTCAATGTGCAAGCACTTTTCAAGCTTCTGATTGCATCACATTTTTTAGTGTCCCATTGGCCAAAGCCAGCCACATGGTCAATCCAGGTGCAAAGGTTGGAGAAATAGACTACACCTTGGGAAGGGAGGAAAAGAATTTTGATAGTTTGCAATCTACTATAGCTAGTTCAATTTGGATTTCTGTCACTTGATCAACTACTGATAGAAGCTATTTAAAAATGGTTGAAGTGGGCCAGGCGCGGTGGCACAGGCCTGTAATCCCAGCACTTTGGAAGGCCGAGGTGGGCGGATCACCAGGTCAGGAGTTCGAGACCAACCTGGCCAATATGGTGAAACCCCGTCTCTACCAAAAATACAAAAATTAGCCGCGCGTGGTGGCCAGTGCCTGTAGTCCCAGCTACACGGGAGGCTGAGGCAGGAGAATTGCTTGAACCTGGGAGGCAGAGGTTGCAGTGAGCCGAGATCACACTACTGCACTCCAGCCTTGGTGAAAGAGCGAAACTCCGTCTCAAAAAAAAAAAAAAAAAAAAAAAAAAAAAAAAAAAACCAACCTGTTAAGGTGTTAGTGTGGAGTGATGTTTACAATCATATATCATTGCCACAGCAATCACTTACAACTAATCAGGCAAATTTTACGAGACATCTATTTCAAGTCTTTAAACCAACAGTAACTTCAAAGCAATCCCCTACTGGCATCCTACTGGCATTTCAGCTGGGTAATCCCATTTTTAAGGACTTTGGATAGGATATTTAATTAATGATCTCGGAGACACACATTGTATATATTTCTTCTTTGTCCTGAAACTACATCCTTTGCAAATCCAGTTGGTAATACTCCAAAGTGCTTTTCTGCTAGTAGGCTGAGGGACAGTTCTATAAATTCTCAGCTGTGGAAAAGACAATAACAGTTCCCTGTTGCAATAGCAAGCGGTTCTGATTACTTTGTCACACTTCATGTGAGTTTTACCAGAAATGCTGTAGGCTTAAACTGAAAACTCCTCCCAAAGTGGTACAAGTGGCTCCACATATATTTAATCTCCCAGCTCAATAAAACATTCCTATTTCCTGAAGCATTGATGCAGCCATCTGGAGCCCAAAATGACCAGACAAATGGGCAACATTGGTTACTATTGCTTCTCCTCAAGGAACATTAACTAAAATGTCCTTTTAAAGTAAAACATCTGGACCTATTTATCACTATTTAACAATGTGAAGGGGGTTGCTTCCTAAACAGAGTATTGCACTAAGATGCTAAGTATGCATCAAAAAAAACAAAATTCAAGGAGAGAATGACTACAAACATTTATCTTTCCCTAAGACTTAGAACTCTGTCAATGTCGTGTATGGCAAAAAGAAAAGAAAAATCCCCAAAAGTCTTTGAGTTTTCAAAATAAGGTTAAAACTTGCCACTAGATTAGATTCTACAGAAACATATGTAATTTAATGGACACTGAGCCATTCTCTGCCCCAAACACATGCACGCGTGGACGTGCGCACGCGCACACACACACACACACATACACACCCCTTACCAAATTCCTGAATGAATCTTGACTTTTCTTCTGAGAGAGACCTCCTTGGCTAGTCCCTGGTTCCTAAGAGATGATGGTTCTTGAAGGCTTTTAAGTAATGGAATGACATATCAGATTCATGTGTAGAAAACTCTGCTACAGTGGCAACATTGGGGCAGTTAGTTTTTGCTGAGTAGCAAAATGAACCCCAAACATAAAGCCTTAAAAAAAACAATCATTTTGTTGCTCATGATTCTGTGGGCAAAGCAAATCACATGGTCAAGCCCTGATTCAGTGCACTTGTGCACGTGGAAACCAATCAAAGGCATGGATACAGAGAGGTCTGACAAAATTGGGGCCCATCATTGCAGCAATCTATAGCAGAGGGTTTCATTGTATCACCTGTGGGTTACTTCAAACTTTGTGGGCAGATTTTCTGCAGCTTGGGTGACTTTTTAAACATCTGTGTACATTTGAGAGCTGATGAGGCTTTAAACAAGGTTAATAAGGGGGGCAATTAGGGGGACAGGCTAATATGTATGTTCTATTTTGATTTTTATTTATGTTTAGGAAAAGTTGACTATAGTTTGTGCTCATTTCTCTACTGGGAAGATGTTAGTGTCGTACAAACCTAGAAAATTCATCCTGTAGACTGTATAGAAATGTTAGGTAATTATGATCCCAAGGTATTGTCCTATAGAAACTCACCACTGTTTCCAGCTCTACATCCAGAGAGGTACCCATTTAAATTTACTTTTTGTTTGCAGATTAGTTTCGTATCTACACAAAGGAGGCCACTTAATTCAGGATTATTTCAAGTATAAAGGAAACAAATTCTTGTTCTCTTGCTGTCCATATTCCTATTTATCCCTTCAAAATTTCCTAGTTAGTTGTTCATTCTGAAAATACTTATTTGGCTTACTATGTGCAAGAAGCAATGCTACATGTCATGTAAGATATGGTTTCTTATTTTCCAGCCCCTCCTCATTCCAGGCTTATTCATTCATTCCGTATTCATTCAGCAAATATCTATTGAGTATGTTTTGTATGCCAAGTACTACAATTGCAACTCGCATATCAAACCATCCATTCCATCAACAAATACATACTGAGTGTCAGTTATGTGTCAGGCACTAGGCTTGACAGGTACAATGCCTGATATTAGAACTCTACGGGTGAGCAAAATTCAGCATTCTTTGCTTTCTAGAGTTTATACTGTAGTTGGGAATACAGACATCAATCTTATGATTATACAAACGTAAGTATATCCAATCAAAAAAAATGAGATAAAAGTACAAATAAAGGAGAAGAATATAACCTGGACCTGGGGGCCAGAAAAGGCTTCCCTGAGTAAGTGATGCCTGAGATGAGATGAGAAGGTGGGAAGGAGAGTGGGGAGCAAGAGGTGCAGAATCCAAGGCAAAAGCAACAGCACACAAAAAGGCTCTGTGGCAGGAGGAGCCACCACCCTTCAGCAGAACTGAAGGAAGGGCTGGAGGCTGGAGATGGGGAGCAGCATATCCTGGGAAGGGCTGTAGGTCCCAGGAAATAGAGCGGTTTTTATCCTAAGATAAATGAGAGTGAATGAAGGATCTTAAGTTGGGGGAGACGGCATGGTCAGATTTGCTTTTAAAATGATTGTTCTGACTGTTGCATGGAGAACAGATCTTCAAAGTGGGGCCAGGGTGGCTGCAGGGAGATGGGTTAAGAGGAATCCCTGGTTACTACTCCAGCTGAGAGCCTGGACTAGGATGGTGCCAGTGGACATGGAGAGAAGGAGTTCAGATGTATAGGAGATAAGAACAACAGACTTTGGTGATGGGTAGATGCAGGCTGAGGAAGGTGTCAAAGTTGACTCACATATCTCCCCAGATTTCAATCACATTTTGCAATCACCAGATTTCAATCACAGATTTCAATCCCCAGATTTCAATATTATCTTTATTAAGGTTTCTACCAACTTCTTAAAGGTAAAAACAAGCTGCACTTTCTTTTGGATAAGAATTGCAAAGGCATTCACATGAGGTCACTCACACAGTGTATCAGGTAGCTTTTACTGTATAATCACCCCCCAAGATGTAATGGTTTAAAACAACAATAATCTATTTGCTCACAATTCTGAGGCTTGCCAGTTTGGGCTGTGCTCAGATGGGTAGTCTGCTCCACACGATCTGCTCATCTTCCAGTAGGCTAGCCTGCTGATATGGTTTGGCTGTGTCCCCACCCAAATCTCACCTAGAATTGTAATAATTCCCACATGTCAAGGGTGGGGCCAGGTGAAGATAATTGAATCATGAGGCCAGTTTCCCCCATGCTGTTCTCATGGTAGTGAGTAAGTCTCATGAGATCTGATAGTTTTACAAAGGGCAGTTTCCTTACACATGCTCTCTTCTGCCTGCTGCCATGTAAGACATGCCTTTGCTTCTCCTTTGCCTTCCACCATGATTGTGAGGCCCCCCCACCCAGCCATGTGGAAATGTGAATCCATTAAACCTCTTACCTTTATAAATTACCCTGTTTTGGATATGTCTCTATTAGCAGCATGAGAACAGACTAATACACCTGCTCTCTTTTACATGATGGTATCAGAGCTCCAAAGACTAGTTAGCCCCAGAGTGCTGTCAGTTTCCCTGCTTTCATTTGCATCTCATTTACTGTTGTTCCATTGGGCAAAAGTCACATAGTGAAGCCCACAATCATTGTACAAGTGGACTACTTAAGGACACGGATATAGAAAGCTGTGACCAAATTTGAGATAATTACTGAAACAATCTGCCACATATGTTTTTATTGTTTTAACAGTGAATGACTTCAAAACTTGTAGGAGGATTTTCTACAATCCCAGTGATTTATTGACATTTATGTAGTCAATACATTAGCATATGCCCAACAATGATTTGACCTAGTGTTCTTGACCTGGTGTCTAGCTATGTTAACATTATTTGTGTTCTCAGTAGTCAAGACCAAAGCATAGAATTGACTGATGCTCAGTCATTCCATGGCTTTGATGCATTGATTCCCTAGCAGGTTCTCCAGCCACTGCAGTATCACTTCTTGTGGCTTTTGTGATTCTAATGAGAAAAAACTTTGAATTGTATTTTGGTCTGTCCAATGTCTTCTACTTGATTCAAAGTATTTCATGGACCACTATACATTTGCTTATGTAAGCTTTTCATTTTTAAAAAATGTCCTTTCTTTAGAACATTTAGAACAGATATAATTATTGTATCAGTCAGCTATTGGTAAGTAATGACAAAATGCAACGTTTCTATGGTATACAGCAATAAACATTGATTTTGCTTACGTGTCTGTGGGTCAGCTGGGGGGTCTGATGGTTTAAGCTGGATTTTCATTAGCTCCATGTGTCTCTCATCATCCTTGATTCAGAGGGTTAGGCAAGGCACTTCTCGTGATGATGCAGGGGCACCAGAAGACACACTCAACTGCACAGGCATTTTTGAAGCCTCTGCTTGTGGCACATCTGTTAACATTCCACTGGCCCAACATGTAGCCAAGTTTGAAGTTAAGATGTGGTGAAATAGAGTCCTTCCACAGAAGTAGAGGAGAGGGATGGAGTATTTTTGCACAATAATTTATCATATTGACTTTGACAGTGAGCTAATAAGGGTTTTTTCAATAATGACTTGTCTTTTCAATCTACTGGCCACACTGAGTTCCTGGGTTGGTTGGTTTGCTTGTTTTCTTTTTCTTTTTTCGATATGGGGTCTCACTCTGTTGCCCAGGCTGGAGTGCAATGGCATGATCACATCTCACTGAAGCCTCAACCTTCTGGGCTCAAGTGATCCTCCAGCCTCAGCCTCCCAAGTAGCTGGGACCACAGGTGTACACCACCATGCCCAGCTAATTTTTTAATTTTTTGTAGAGATGAGGTCTCACTATATTACGTAGGCTGGTTTTGAACTCCTGGGCTCAAGCAATCCTCTTGCCTTGGCTTCCCAAAGTGCTAGCATCCACCATGCCTGGCCATTTGTTTTTTAATTTGCTTCTTTCTCCCTCTCTCCTCTTTCTCCTATCTTCCCCTGTTCCCCCTCCTCTCCCTCCCCCACCTCACATTTAAAATGTGGTTTTAAAAAGTTTTAAGGCGCAGAAGATGATTTATTTGACCTTTTATTTCCAATTTTTTCCCTAAATGATGGTTAAATTTATCTGAGATGCCTTCTCCTTTATTTTATTTATAAAACATATACAAACCTTTTAATTTATCTATTATTTCTACATGTGTATATTGCCAGGACAGGTGGCTAAAAAGTTTGTTCATTAAACTGAGTTATCAAATGTATCACTCACTGTGCCCCCTTTACCCCAAGTATATAAAGAGATTATTTTCTTGTCTGGTTTTTAATTATTATTCACAGAGGAAGGATCACCTTCCATCCTTATCTTTAAATAAAAGTTGTAGACGTTTATCAAACATCCAGCACTTTCAAAGACTGCTCAGTGAAACTTGGGCCTGGCCACTTCTGCCCAGTGTGGGACCTCTTTAACTGGCAATCTCCACTCCAGAACTCCCAGTTGGGCTGGCAGAGATTTTTTTCCCCTTCTTTTCTTTCTTTGCTCAATGCTGGGTAATTTGTCCCGATCTGCTTTCCAGTTTGCTAATTAATGGCCGGGAGCGGTGGCTCATGCCTGTAATCCCAGCACTTTGGGAGGCCGAGGCTGGTGGATCACTTGAAGTCGGAAGTCAGGAGTTCACGACCGGCCTGGCCAACATGGTGAAACCCCATCTCTACTAAAAATACAAAAATTTGTTGGGCTTGGTGGTGTGCGCCCACAGGCCCACCTACTCGGGAGGCTGAGGCATGAGAATCACTTGAACCCAGGAGTTGGAGGCTGCAGTGAGCGGAGATTGCACCACTGCACTCCAGCCTGGGCGACAGAGTGAGACTCCACCTTAAAAAAACAAAACAAAAACTGTTTACTAATTAAACTGGGAGATTAATAAGATGTGTCCAATCTGTTCAATATATTGTGAAAGGAAAATAAATTTCAGTACCCCCAAATCGCTAAACCAAGGGAAAACTCAAGCTGGGAACTGCGTCAGGCAAACCTGCCTCCCATTTTATTTCTAAATAACATAGCTACAAAGATGAAAAAAAAAAAAAAAAAAGCTACAGACCTCCCTCACAATTCACCCACAAGGAAATTCCTTGTAGACAAAGGACAGATGGGATCCCTCTGAGGCTCCTGAGATCCCCTTCCTCTGCCCTATTATTTCACTAAGCCAGACTAAGGCATTAGTGACCGTTCCTCTACCCTCCCCTCACATGTAAATTGTCCATTCAATGAAAGGCTAATCAGAAACTCAAAAGAATGCAACTGTTTGTCTCTTAGCTACTTATGACCAGGAAGCCCTCCCCCTGGCCTGAGTTGTCCCGCCTTTCCAGACCAAATCAATGTACATCTTACATATATTGATTGATGTCTCATGTCTCTGTAAAATGTATAAAACCAAGCTGTGCTCCAACCACTTTGGGCACATGTTGTCACGGCCTCCCGAGGCTGTATCACGGGCACTTCCTTAACTTTGACAAAATAAACTTTCTAAATTGGTTGTGACCTGTCTCAGATATTTAGGGTTCACAATATCCACTGCGTTCTTAAGTTTGGTTATTGAGTTTTCCATCTCTAGAAGTTCGGTTCATTTCTTTTTCAAACCTGCCATGTCAATTTTCTAGCTTTCTGTCTTGTGAATGTTTTCAAGTTTGCCATTTATTTCTGGAAACTTGTCCGATAATATCTGAAATTGTTAAAATCTCCTTCTGCTGTTGTATCAGCTGGTTCACATTCATGATGCCTTGCTTTCTAGTACTGAAGCAGCATCATTGTCTAGGGTAAATACCCGGGGTTCGTCATCTTGCGCCAAGAAGATTAAGGACACAGACACATGTGGGTAGGTTAAGGAGCAGAAAGTCTAATAGGCAGAAGAAAGGAGAGAGGAGAGCAGCTCTCTCTTGCGAGAGAGAGGCGTCTGAAAGTGAAAAGCCGGCCTGCAGTGGACTGCAGCAGATTTTATAGGCAGGCTTGAGTAGGCAGTGTCTGATTTACATAGGGCCCACAGATTGGTTGGACCAGGTGTGACATTTACATTGTGCGTGGGGAAAGCCAGTCGCCCCACCTCATCTTATTATGCAAATGGGCTTGCCACTTGGCCGGCACCATCTTGTCTGCTCCTTACATGGCTGGCAAAAAGAAGGGAAGGTGGAGCTGCCATCTTGATCATGCCTTTTCCTATTGTCACAACTACCGGCATTCACCCGTGCAAAATTCAGGCTTGCTTGTCTCTATCTGCAGCTCGATTTTACAGGCTGCTCTTTGTTAGAAAATAAAATGATTTGGGGGCTGCTTTTCATTAAAAGGAATACCTTACTGAGGACTCCCATTACCATACCCTCACTATCCACCTAAGTACTTTCTTCTTAACTCCTATATCAGTACTGTCTCTGACCCCATGCCTTTCATTGCCTTTGGACAATTATTTTTGGTGGCCTCCAAAGGCCTAGGTTAAAGAGACTTTGTGATTTGATTCAGTCAGCCACTTGGGAGCACTTCCAATCCAGATTGCAACAACCAAGTTCAGGGCTTGATGGACCCTGTTCATTGGGGCTATGGGTCCCTGGGGTACAAACTTGCATAAGGGCAGGTATGTGGCAACAACTTCTGAGGGATACGTTTCCCTTTATTTTTTTCTTCTCTAGCTCTGCTCATAGCCAAGGCAACCATCTCTGTAGTCCCCAGGGACAGGGGAGTTAGGGAATAGATCCAGTCCTTATACTGGAGTTGTAGTCTTTTTGGATCCTTCTGTAATGCTGGAGAAACTTCTATAAGAGTCCCTATATTTTGAATGCATCTTGGTCCTGGACTTCTGGATCTGGATCTCAAGTGTGAAGCCTGTTCATCTTTGGTGCTCAGAAGCTTATCTCTCTGATTACAGGCTATCACCCCAAAATTAAAACTTGCCCTAGGAGTTCACTACTATCTTTTCAGCTCTTCAATACAATTCTATTTTTTTGAGATGGAGTCTCGCTTTGTCACCCAGGCTGGAGTGCAGTGGTGCAATCTTGGCTCACTGCAACCTCCGCCCCCTGGGTTCAAGCAATTATCTTGCCTCAGCCTCCCAAGTAGCTGGGATTACAGGCATGTGCCACCAAGCCTGGCTAATTTTTGTATTTTTAGTCGAGATGGGGTTTTGCCATGTTGGCCAGACTGGTCTCGAACTCCTGACCTCCAGTGATCCGCCTGCCTCGGCCTCCCAAAGTGTTGAGATGACAGGCGTTAGCCACCACACCAGGCCACTTCAATACTTTCAAGATATTATTTTGACATTTTCAATGGAAGGTTGATCTGAATAACCTACTGTGAGAGATAAATATAGCCACAAACTATCTGCAGCTCTTCCTATCAAGAGGTCTCAGCCAGGCGCAGTGGCTCACGCCTGTAATCCTAGCACTTTGGGAGGCCGAGGTGGGTGGATCACCTGAGGTCAGGAGTTCGAGACTAGCCTGGCCAACATGGTGAAATCCCATCTCTACTAAAAATACAAAAATTAGCCGGGCGTAGTGGCTACATGCCTGTAATCCCAGCTACCTGGGAAGCTGAGGCAGGATAATTGCTGAAACCTGGGAGGCAGAGGCTGCAGTGAGCCGAGATCATGCCACTGCACTCCAGCCTGGGTGACAGAGCAAGACTCCATCTCAAAAAAAAAAAAAAAAAAAAAAAAAAAAGTTGGGGGGGTCTGTTTTCCCTTCCCTTGAATCTAGGCAGTCTTATGATTTGCTTTGACCAATATAGAAAGCCGTGGAAGTAGGCTTGCTGTGGTGGCTCATGCCTGTAGTCCCAGCACTTTGGGAGGCTGAGGCAGGCAGATTGCTTGAGTCCAGGAGTTCAGGACCAACCTGAGCAACATGGCAAAACCCCATCTCTACAAAAAATACAAAAGTTAGCCGAACATGGAGGCACATGCCTGTGACCCCAGCTACTCGGGAGGCTGAGATGGGAGGATTGCCTGAGCCCAGGAGGTAGAGGCTGCAATGTGCCACTGCTGTGATCATGCCACTGCATCTATCCTGGGTGACAGAGTGAGACCCTGTCTCAAAAAAAAAAAAAGCAGCGGAAGTGACATTGCGGGACTTTCCAAGCCAAGGCCTCACGAGGCCTTACAACTTCCACTCTTGCCCTCTTGGAATCCAGCCACCATGGGAAGATGTCTGAGCTATCCTGCTGGATAATCAATGTGGAAAACTGAGGGGTTCTGGCTGATAGCCCCAGCTGACTCCCAGATGTATGAGTGAGGTCAACCAAGGCCATCCAGCCTCCAACCAATGTGCCATTTGACTTGGATTACTTGTCCAGGAATAATCTAAGCAAGACCAACAGAACTGCCCTCAGTAGAACAGATCAAATCGATGCTCTACAGAATAGTGACCAATAAAATGGTTGTTGTTTCAAGCCACTAAGTTGTGAGGTGGTCTCTTACATAGCAATAGATAACTGATACACCCAGCTCACTATTTATTAAAAACCACAAATACCGGCTGGGTGTGGTGGCTCACGCCTGTAATCCCAGCAGTTTGGGAGGCTGAGGCGGGCAGATCACGAGGTCAGGAAATTGATACCATCCTGGCTAACACGGTGAAACCCTGTCTCTACTAAAAATACAAAAAAAGTAGCCAGGCATGGTGGCGGGTGCCTGTAGTCCCAGCTACTCGGGAGGCTGAGGCAGGAGAATGGCATGAACCCGGGAGGCGGAGCTTGCAGTGAGCCGAGATTGCACCACTGCACTCCAGCCTGGGCAGCAGAGCGAGACTCCGTCTCAAAAAAAAAAAAAAAAAAAACCCCACAAATACCTTAAACTGAAATTTTAATGCCTAAAACATTACTATAATTCTTGTTATTTGTTATTTTGAGGAGAAGATATTTATGAAAAATGTGTTAACAATGTAAATATATTTTGCTGTAGTCATCAAATATTTGATGGCAGAATTGTATTTTTTTTCCTTTTGACTTCAGAAAAATCTTTAAGCATACACAGTTAAAATGGCCAAGTCCACTTGGGTATACCAAAGTCAACTGATTACTGAAGCAGGGTAAAAAAACTGAATTTTCCTTTCTCCAATCCCTTCACCCAAGGGGCTACAATTAGCTCTGCTAAAGCAACATTTAGAAACAAAATTCATTATTTCTTAACCTAGAAACCTGAGAGGAGAAGAAGGAATAGCATAACCCTAAGGCCATTCACTTTATTTCAAGTTAACATCCTACTGAAACATTTTGGATAAAACCCTTTTTGATGATTTTCTATAAGAGAGTTAGCTCCAAAAATAGTTTTGTGAGCAAGACAATTTATTTGCCTACTTTCCTTGCCTGTACTTTCATTGTTGTGTAATTATAGCATCTATAAATCTACAACTAAATTTTTCACTAATAGTACAATGCAAAGCAAAATGCCTTTACTTCTTTTAGATTTGGATTACTCAGTTCCAAAATAGTTTGTTTTTTTAGAGTAACATATTAAATTTTTTAAAATTTCTTATTTTAAATAAAACAATTCCATTTGAAATAAACCTTATCCAAAAGATGCCCACGGGATTATGGTGTTAAAATTGTTGGTTTAGGCCGGGGATGGTGGATCACGCCTGTAATCCCAACACTTTGGTAGGCCAAGGTGGGTGGGTCTCTTGAGCCCAGGAGTTTGAGACCAGCTTGGGAAACATGGCAAAACCCTGTCTCTACAAAAAATACAAAAATTAGCTGGGTGCAGGTGCAAGTATGAGTCCCAGGTACTCGTACTCGGGAGCTAGGAGGATCACCTGAGCCCAGGAAGGTAGAGGCTGCAGTGAGCCATGATCACGCCACTGCTCTCCAGCCTGGGTGACAGAATAAGACCCTGTCAAAAAAAAAAAAAAAAATTACTGGCTTATAGATTATATGATTAAATAAATTTAATCCTGTATGTAGCTTATTATTGTTGATAGGAATCTATTGTGGGTTTTTTTAGAAGTATATACTTTGTGTCTTAAAACTGTATGTGGAATGTCGGCTAGGACCACCGGCATGTACCACCATGCCTGGCCAATTTTTCTTTTTAAAATTATTTTTGTGTAGAGATGAGGTCTCACTGTGTTGTCCAGGCTGGTCTCAAACTCCTGGCCTCAAGTGATCCTCCCACCTTGGCCTCCAAAGTGCTGAGTTTACAAGTGTGAGCCACTGTGCCTGGCAGTTTTATTATACTTGGATGCTATGGCACTTACAACGTATGATCAAAATGCTGATGGATTGTAGTAATAAAGAATACTTTCTTAATAACTTTGTAAATCTCAACATGTAAAAAGCTAATGACAATGATAATAGAGTTAAAGATTTGCCTGGTATTGACATGATAATGATGCTATCAACATAAGGGACAATTTAACACGATTTTGTCTTGATTTGGTCATGTTTATAGATTGTTATATAAAAAGATTTTTTTTCTGTATACCTTTCTAGAATCATTCGGTGAAAGGCAAAAGCAAAAAAATAAGAGTAAAAAAAATTTGGTTCATATTGAGAAAATAATGGAGGAAGAATTTTGCCTTGGAATTGGTTGATTCTAGTATGTCATTCCAAGACTCAAGTATAAACAGAAGTTTTTTTTTTAAAAAAACGCTTTTTTAATAGAATAGGCTATAACTAAGAATATATTTATGATTGAATAAATTTAGCAGAGTATATGTGTAATTAGCAGAGATATTTGAAGTATTAAGTGTTAAATTATAGAGAAATGTCTATAAACCTGACTTTTATGATGAGCTAAAAGTCTAAGGAAAATCAAAGATGCAAGAGCGTAAACAGATTGTTGGATTCAGTTAAGCCTCTGGTTTTTACGATCTTATCATGAAAGCATTCTGTACATCTCCCACAGTCACTACAATGCTTTCACTTTACTATGATTACCAAAAACCAGTACAGTAGCAACTTCTGCTGATAGGAAGAAATGTCTAAGACAGAGAAGCCCGACTGTGGAAAGTAGCGTCACCTAGCGGCCGAATTTGTTTCTTACAGGAGACCAGCTTTTCAAAAGATAACTGGGTCACTAGAGCCTATTCTATTTACATGGCCTTTAGCAAGCTGATAAAAGAGTTTAGGCTGAGTGTGGTGGCTCACACCTGTAGTCCCAGCATTTTGGGAGGCCGAGGTGGGAGGATCTCTTGAGCCCAGGAGTACAAGGCCAGCCTTGGCAATATCGTGAGCCCTCCCCGATCTCCACAAAATTTTTTTTAAAAATTAGCTGGGTGTGGTGGCACGTGCCTGTGGTCCCAGCTACTGAGGAGGCTAATCCTGGAGGATGGCTTGAGTCTGGGAGGTCGAGACTGCAGTGAACCGTGATTGTGCCACTACACTCTAGGCTGGGCAACAGAGCAACACCCCATCTCAAGAAAATAAATAAAACTTAAAATAGTTTAGACTACAAGTGATGGAGTTGGAAAACAAGGGAATTTTTTTTTTCCCTAAGCTTCTGATTCTCTGGTTGAAAAATAGGGGAATCTTGTATGGTACAATTCCTTAATAAATGTTGATTGGATATCTGAGACATTTCAGCAGAAATGGTTCAGCATCTCTCCACATTAAAATCACTTAAAATTGGCATTATGGTGTCTAAAATACAACCTAATAATAATAATAATAAAAAAACACAACCATTGAAGTCCTGTCCACTATGATCTAAATGTAAGACACCTATGTTAACACTTGTAGCTTCACCAGTTCTTCGAGCTGGGCACAGAAATCCTTGGCTTGAGCTACATAGGTGCTTGGCTCAAGCCAAGAATCTGGGGCTGGATAATGGTGTGAATATTTTCTTTCCTTAGTTTTGAAGGGCAATCTTCTTTTGGGAAGGCTCAGGTGGCTAGCAGGGAGTGCAATTCAATTAGCCAAACACAGTTGTTGGAGCTAATTAGGAGTCAATAATAAACAGCTGCAGGCTTCAGCATATACAAAGCCCTGTGTACGACAGGCACGGCCCTGCCCACGCCTGCCATCCATGGGTGTCTCTCTCTGAGAGGGAGAGAAGGGGAACATGGTGTCTCTGATGAACACCTGTATATATGGGAGACCTGACAAAAAATCTCCTTCCAATAATTTTTATTATTCCAGTCTTAATCCATAGAAGATAATAGCTCTGGTTTTGTTTATTCTAAATGAGCCTGCTTAATAGAAAACATTAAGAATCTCTCTTATACTCATTTCTGATTATCCTGAACAAAAATATGTACTCTGGCCGGACACAGTAGCTCATACCTGTAATCCCAGCATTTTGGGAGGCTGGGGCGGATGGATCACGAAGTCAGGAGGTCGAGACAAGCCTGGCCAAGATAGTGAAACCCCGTCTCTACTAAAACTACAAAAATACCAGGCATGGCTGCGTGCACCTGTAGTCCCAGCTACTCCGGAGGCTGAGGCAGGAGAATCGTTTGAACCCGGGAGGTGGAGTGCAGTGAGCTGAGATCGCGACACTGCACTCCAGCCTGGGCGACAGAGTGAGACTACGTCTCAAAAGGAAAAAAAATGTACTGTCTCTCTGTGTGTGTGTGTCTGTGTTGGGGGTGAGTGTATATCCTTGCAGGATACACATCTATTTAACATATAGAGTTAGAGAATTAACTGAACCTGTGGGATGGAGACATAGAAAACATTGAAAAGTCACGGAAGAATCCTAATAACTTAGTTTTATTCATTAGTTATGTCTCTTCCTTTAAAATCGATTAGATAATGCAACTAACTAGCAGTAACGTCTCCCTGAGTGTGGGCAAGGAGAATTAAAGTATCAAACCATAATGGGGGAAAAACCCAGCATAGGTGAAATTAGAGAATTGTTCCATTTTAGAGTCAAGTTTTCCTTCAATAGCAGGTTTTAATCACCTCATCACCCTACCGTTTTAACCACGTTTTTGTGGTATTTTAAACACATATTATAAAGGAAACAAATGTCATTCCATTTTATTATTTAGTACTTTCTTTGGACTGTAATGAATTAGAACCCGGAATACAATAAAACAGGTCTTCTGCGTAACTTAAAATCTAATTTGATGATCACAATTATTTTCCCTTGGACATTACAGTTAAATGTAGAGTCAAGACTTTTCTGTCTAGAAACTTTCTAGCCTTAACACATAATTACAAATATGGTGGTCTTACAGCTATGCAGTTATCTATTAAAATTCATGGAAGGTACTATATAGAAAACACATGGGCATTTCTTTTTTGAGTCTTCTAAATTCTGTTCATAACAAGTGAATGGCTAAGGAAGGATGTAATTTCTTTTTTGTTTGTGTGTTTTGTTGTTGTTGTTGTTGTTAGAGATGGAGTCTCACCCTGTCACCCAGGCTGGAGTGCAGTGGCGCCATCTTGGCTCACCACAACCTCCACCTCCCGGGTTCAAGCGATTCTCCTGCCTCAGCCTCCCAAGTAGCTGGGATTACAGGCGTGTGCCACCATGCCCAGCCAATTTTTGTATTTTTAGTAGAGATGGGGTTTCACCATGTTGGCCAGGCTGGTTTCAAACTCCTGATCTCAAGTGATCCGCCCACCTTAGCCTCCCAAAGTGCTGGGGTTACAGGCGTGAGCCACTGCGCCTGGCCAGGATGTAATTTCTAATACACACATTATTTCTTCTGTATATTGATGCTTTGTAGGAGGTGCTTGAAATAATTCTGCCAGAAGATCAATAAAATTTCAACCCTTTTAATTGGGAAGGCTGTCAGTACTAACAAAACTACACTGATAGACAGACAGTGACTAACGAATTCAGATACACACAATCAGGAGCAACACACCTTATATTTTTATTATGAAATATATGGAGCATACAGAAATGTAGAGGATAGAATAAAGACATGTGTACCCACCGCTAAGCAGTGCCAAATCTTAAGGTATTGCTACATTTGTTTTAACTCTTAATTTTTTTAGAAACACAACTTTCCAGGTTTCAGCAAAGTCCCTTTCCCTGACCCCATCCTCCTCTTTCAGAGGTAACCACCACTAAACTTGGTATTTATCATCTCTATGCCTATTTTATACTTTCAGTTCACTTGTGTCTACATACATGACAGCCCTGACTAGTTTGCATGTTGAAATTTTTATATAGTTTATGAACACTCAAGTTCTATGAAATATTCCCTTAAAGTCTGGGGAAAAATCAAAATAACCACAGGGATCATTTTAGGACTATGGGTGACTTTCTTCTTTCTAATCTCTTTCTTTTTCCCATTTTTATAAGAGGAGTAATATTCTCATTTCCAAGCAGTTTTATCAAAGAAATGAAGTGGACAGACTGGGCACGGCAGCTCACGCCTGTCATCTCAGCACTTTGGAAGGACAAGGGGGGGGGACGGGAGGCGGATCACAAGGTCAGGAGTTCAAGACCCACCTGGCCAACATGGTGAGACCCCCGTCTCTACTAAAAATACAAAAATTAGCTGGGTGTGGTGGCGTACACCTGTAGTCTCAGCTACTCGGGAGGCTGAGGCAGGAGAATTGCTTGAACCTGGGAGGTGGAGGTTGCAGTGAGCCCAGATCACGCTACTGCACTCCAGCCTGGGCAAGAATGGGACTCCATTTCAAAAAAAAAAAAAAAAAAAAATATATATATATATATATATATATATATACACACACACACATATACACACATACACACACACATATACATACACACACACACACACATATGTATAGTGAAATTTTTTCCCACCCCTTTCTCCCAAATGCCTAATTATCAACCCTTTCTGTCCCAGTGGATAAGCACTATTAACAGCTTTTCTGTCCTTCCAGCATAGGCAAACATTCTAGTTTCTGTCTCTCTCTCTAATAGAAGGGTAGCACACTTACATGCTACTCCGCACCTTGCTTTTTCACTTATCCCAAATACCATATCTTTCTAGACAGTGTCCTCATTCTTTTCTAAAGCTACACATTTTCATTGTATGGCTGTACCAGAATTTATTTAACAAGTTTCTCTTTGTTGGATATTGTGGTGATTACTTAAATGATTTCATATTTATGAAATCCACTTGTAAACTAGTCATACAATAATAAGAAACCTATGAGATAGATATTATCAAGTTCAATAATAAGGAATAAAAGAAACTAAATTTTAATACTAAACAGGAAAATTGAAAGAGGCTGAAGCTGCTTTTTAAAATAAAATATTGTCATCCTCTCAACTGTTATGCTGTCAGGTAGAACTAGTTATTTGAAATAGAATGAAAACTGGCAATTAAAGGTATTGGCCTAGTTGAGAAACTTGTTTTTAACCTAACTTCTCCTTCTCAGAATATTTATCTTTATGGTCCTCAAATTTAATTTAATGGGTCATTTTCATTAAATTTGATGACAGGGAAATCTCAGGAAATACCTGTGAGAGTTTTTTTTGTCTACGATATTTGGCACAGGTTATATTTAATTATAAGGCCAGAATTAAGATATGTACCTATAAAGTATACACAAAGTAGAAATCAGATTGATTTACAAATTCACTCAGTTTTCTACTAATTTGTTTATTGTGTGAACTTATTATTAAAGTTGTTAGGTTGCAAAAGCAAAGGATCAAGGAAACTTCATTATTTAAATATTACTAGATAAAACAAGCTATTAAAGAGTTATAGTTAAAAAAATTTTTGTACTTCTATCTACTATGTTGTAAACACTACAGATTAAATACTACCTACTCCACTGTCAATGCCATTAGCTTCTGTGCTATCACAGCTTTCATTTGTTGGTTTCTCCAAAAACTTTCTTTCTTCACTCCCACATGATACCAGATACCCAAAAGATATCCCAAAGAATTGGGCTTTGGGCACTTCAAAAGAAACATACTAAAAATTCTAAGATATCATTACAGAAGCAGAGATGCATTACTTATTTTACTGATTAGTTGGAGAACAAAGGATTGAGGTGTTGCCTATCAGGTTGAGAGAAAAATGGTGGTCAAAGTTAGCCATGCAAGGCCCTGTTGATAATGGCTGCTGACCTTACCAACATTATTTTTTGCAAATGCTGAGATGGGACAGTGTAGTTTCTTCTAATAGAATGATTAAAGTGTTCATCATTACAGAAATTACTTCTTTGGCTGTTGGTTAACTCTTCAGAGTGTGCCCTATCAAGCGCTAACAGCCAAGTTTCACATGTCCTGAAACATCTTTTTTTTTTTTTAGTAGAGATAGGGTTTCTCCATGTCGGTTAGGCTAGTCCCGAACTCCTGACCTCAGGTGATCTGCCCACCTCGGCCTCCCAAAGTGCTGGGATTACAGGCGTCAGCCACCGTGCCCGGCCTCTGAAACATCTTTCTTAATTTAACTTTCAACTAAGTTCTAGTCTGTAAATGAGAAATGCAAGTAAGAACAAGGGGTCAATTTATTTTAAGTAAATTTGTCATTAAATATCAATGTGTACAATTTCAAACATTTATAAATCTTCCAATTTATAGAAAAATTAATGTAATCTTAAAATTATTTGAACAGTGGCTTTCACAATTATTTACAATGAACTCAACCTACTTTTGTAGAAACATTTATGTTTAAAAGTACCCCTGCCACAAAGTGATCATTTCACAGTACCTTTCTATAATATTTATGTCACTTAAGTGGTGGCTGCATCAATAAAACCTAGCAGATTCAATAAATTAGAAACAGCACAATCAGAACAGTCAATAAAGCTACCATTGATTCCAAACAAAACAGAACCTTTTATAGTAAGATATAAATGTTTTCCCATTCAGCACTCATTGAAAAAAATAATTAGGAGGCAATCTTTTCTTCACTGTTTACTACAAAACAAAGTAATTTTAAGATATTTTTAAAAATTGATGTTAAGAAGCAGGATTAGGTAACTTCTTATAATATGTGACATTAAATATTTTGAGAAATTCTTGGTTTCATTGGAAGGTATTTGTAATGATAAACCTTCTTTCAGTTATAATGAGATACTAAGCAGAGGTAATTCTGTCATCCCAGATAGCAATTTCTTATTAACAATTGATAACATTTGAACTGAAAGAGATTCTTGGCTTTATTTCTATATTTTTTTCTACTTAGGTATTTAACTTTTTTGACATCCTCTTATCCCCTCAATAGGATCCAAAATATGTCTAAAATTAATTCAAAAGAAAAATAACTATTTGAATTATTGCTTGTGTTTGAAAACAATATTTACTGTAGTATTCCACAGTTTCTTCTTTTTTTAAGCTAAGACAATTAAATAAAAATGTAAGGGATAAGAAATATAGTTGAAGTCACAATAAAGTATATTTTCTTTTATTGACATAAAACATAAATTTTAAATGTTGGCTTGTTAAGAAAAAAATTCTCCTGGTAAATATTATGCATAACCGTTGCCCAAAAATGTATACAGCTGTTTTCCAACATATTTATATACACAGTGGTTCACTTAAGACCAGCCCTGTTAGAACCTTCTGAATATAATGTGCTCTTAATTTATAAATGGGCTACCCTCAGTGTATAAAATATATAGGCATGTATGTTATACATACAAAGTAAAAAATATAAAAAGGAAAGATGGAAGAAAAAAGAAAGTATCTTTTCCTATAAGATCCAGACAGAAAGTCATTATAATTAGTGGGACCATGGAAAACATCTGAAGGATTTCAGTTTTGGCAAATAACTTTTCAGAAAAATATCCAAGCTGTGAGAACACTAAATGTCTATTTTAATAATTTAGTAGAGGTTTCTATTCAAACATTCAGTGAAGATGTTGCTGTCTTCAACTATGTAGAAAAGAAGACTTTTAGGGTGTCTGTTAAAAGCAAAGAGCTGCTGATTTTTAACAGGTTAGTAATAACCTTTTAATCAAGTATATGTCATGCAGAGACTCAAATCCTGGTCCAAAAGTGTTTGAGTATGTTCGATGGAAGATTCCAATGGTAAGGATCCGAATTCTTCCTACATCTTAGAGGGAATGGAGCAGGATGTTATGGCAATGGAGGGGGTCAGCCCCAAAGGTAGCTGGCCCAACCTTAACTGTGGATGTTTAAAAAAAAAAAAAACCACCAAATATTTCTATAGCATTCTTTTTGCTGCATTTTCTTTATTTTAAGCCACAGGTCTACTTGGAGGGTCATGCAGCAAGTGGCTTATAAATAAAATCAAAGTCTATGAATAGTGTCATTGCATTAAGAGACAGAATTGCTGGGTTCTTTCATTATGTAAAAAGCTCACATCTTGGGAATCCATGAGTTGGTAGGTTTTATGGAATACCTGAAATGGGGAACAAAAACCATATATGTCAATAATACATGCATACAATTCAGGAGTTAAAGCAATGCAGATGATTCAATCATTTATTAAGCTAGAAAGTCCATATGATTTCTAAATCATGCCTCACAATTAAAATGCAACAAACAGGGCCAATTCCAAAATTAACAAATATTGCCACTGTTGCTAATCGTTTACCAAGGCAAACAATTTCCAGCCCTCTCAAATTGCAGTGTATGTCACCGAAGAGATAACCTACATATAGTGACCACATGCATTTTAGAAGTCTAAGACTCTAGACACATAGCCCATCTTTTAGCTTAGAGAGATGCAACCTGTCTCAATTTTCATAGAAACAAGGCCTTTTCATGAAACCCTAATCATGAATTTTTTTTTTAAGTTTCACTTTCATGGGAACATACAGAATAAGAAGCATCATTTCCATTTAAGCCAGTAATTTTAAGAAAAATTGAGCTATCACCAGGAGCAGCTTCCACAAATGGCTATTATAAATTAATAAGATTATGCAATATATTCCATAACATGCTGAGCCATTTTACTTTTATTAAAAAAAGATTATTCAGTATAAATTAATGTGGAAAAATAATTCTGTTTTCATTTCAACCCCTTCATTTAAGGAATCATTTTTAAAACTTCAGTTCATAAAAGATATTCTTTTAACTAAAATAAGAGTAACTATAAATCTTCCCTGGTTTTAGGGTTTTACAGGAACTCTGTGGACATGCTCTGGCTGAAACTTGCCAGAATTGAAAAGTTAAGACTTGCTTAGCAAATTTTCAGGATTATGAAAAATAATTTATATACATTTGAAAGACAATTTAATTAATGTCAAAAGTATACTTTAACTTTCAGCAGTCAGTCTGAAAGTCCTTTCATTTAAATATTAGTATTTTCACTTTTGCTTATTGCTGCAGCTGACAGCAGAATGTAGTCCCTCTTAAAGAAGTCATCACATTAAAAATTTAAAAAGGGTAAGCAGAGTCACAGTTCTTACTTCTAACTGCCCCCAAAGATTAATTGGTCTAACTAATTAGACCTTTTATTGATTTTCCAGCTTCCTAGACACAGAAAGAATGAAAAACACTGAAAAATTTCTGCTAAGTTATACACGAAAACATTAAAGCTAACTAATAGAGTTGTCTAATTTAAAGAGTAACTAACCTGAGATGTACCTTGCTCCGATTAACATTACCATGCTACTCACTATAAAAAAGCCCAAGGGCAGACTACAGAAGATACTAGGGTCACCTGTGGTCATCCAAGCAGAAGAGAATTCCAGTCAAGCAAACCAAAAGAGAGACACATAATTACAATATTTGTGTTAAGAATCACAAGATAGCAAAACAAAATAAGCTATAAAAATAGTATATTCATAAAAGCTAGCAAAGAGTTATTACTTCAAATCAAAAATATAATCAATATTGAAGGTTTATGACAGTTAACAAACAATACAGATAGCATGCCACACAGCCAAGAACATAATACATATAGACTAACATTAGCCTTCCACTGGCAAAGCCAGAGTGAGCCTATGGATAACTTTTTGGGAGGCTGTTAATTTTAGCTTTCTTGATTCTTCCCCCAAATATATTAAATGATCTATTTAATTCCACCTAAGTTCAAATTATAGTTCTCTTTTGGCCATGAGAGAAGAGTTATATTAGTGTCCTAAGATGAATTTAAAACCCTATGTTTGCTAAAATATTAGTTCAGTTTTATTTTTTTAATAGAATTTGGTGCGTAACAAAATGCACCTGACAATACATTTTAAACACATATGAAAAGTATGTTAAAAATTGTTTACAAAGCATTCAAATATAGTCACAAACAAGAAAATAATTATGATTGCTTCAAAATTGGCAAATTGCTTTGAAACTTAAGCAAGCCTGATATTCTTCCCATAGGTTAAGATACAGGTAGCAATTCTAATATCCTCTCAAGTTTATCAAAATAGGATTCTATCTATATTGCTATTATCATATAACTTATATAGTTATATAGCTTAGATTGCTTAAAGGAATACAACTAGCATTTTATTACTATTCCAAGCTTATTATACAGCTTAGAGACCCCCAAAATATTAAATATTAGAGTGTTTTTCATAAATCTATTCAAAAAACATTTTCAGGCCGGGTGCAGTGGCTCACGCCTGTAATCCCAGCACTTTGGGAGGCTGAGGTGGGCGGATCACCTGAGGTTGGGAGTTCGAGACCAGCCTGACCAACACGGAGAAACCCCATCTCTACTAAAAATACAAAATTAGCCGGGCATGGTGGCGCATGCCTGTAATCCCAGCTACTCGGGAGGCTGAGGCAGGAGAATTGCTTGAACCCGGGAGGTGGAGGTTGCGGTGAGCAGAGATCGTGCCATTGCACTCCAGCCTGGGCAACAAGAGCGAAACTCCATCTCAAAAAAAAAAAAAAAAAATCAAACTGGCTTAAATCCACTGCAGCCTAACTGAAACAAAAACAAAGTTCTTTAAAATATAAAACTCTCAAAAGATCAAATTACTTTTATCATTAATGCTGATAGCAGAAATTGGAGCAATGATATCTTTTTTTGTTTGTTTTATCAACTTTTTCTTAGTATTTTAAATTCATTGATAGTAAAGTACACAAACAAGGGAAAAATGATCAGTTGATTTTGTGGGAATTTTGCAGTTAAAATTACATCCTCAACCGCTAGTGAGGAGAACTGTGTATCTGTGTGTAAGGCATGGGGTTGGAGGGAGGGAGACAGGAGGATTAAAATGCCATTTTAAGGCCAGGCGCGGTGGCTCATGTCTGTAATCCCAGCACTTTGGGAGGCTGAGGCGGGTGGATCATGAGGTCAGGAGTTCAAGACCAGCCTGGCCAAGATGGTGAAACCCCCGTCTCTACTAAAAATACAAAAAAATTAGCCGGGCACGGTGGCAGGCACCTGTAATCCCAGCTACTCAGGAGGCTGAGGCAGGAGAATCGCTTGAACTCGGAGGGCAGAGGTTGCAGTGAGCACAGATCCCACCACTGCACTCCAGCCTGGGCAACAGAGTGAGACTCCATCTCAAAAAACAAAAAACAAAACAAAATGTCATTTTAAACATGCCATTTAAAGTGCCATTTTAAAACATCCAGCTAGTTAAAGAAATAATGTAACTCAATTTCCTATAAGCAATAATTAAGGGCAACTAGAAAAGAAGTCAAGGCTTACGTCTGTTATATCTCACACAGCAACTAGCACTGTGCTAGAAAAGTACTTATGATTGAGAAGTTTAGTTGTAAAGGGTCTCTCAAAATTACAGTCTTAGCAAGAAAAACGTTGCCACCATCTTGGAAAATGAAGCTGAGTCTCACAACAAAAGATATTAAGCTTATTTAGGAGAAAAACAAAAGCTTCAAATAGGAACATCCGGGACTGAAAATACAGACCACAGTTATCTGTGGCAGTAGATAGTTCTGGAAGCTTCTCCTAAAAAACAGATACATTAACTTTGGGGTTGGAAGGCAGGTATTATTTCATTTGTCAACTCTTCCCCATTAAAGTATATGCTCAAGCCAGGTGCAGTGGCTCACACCTGTAATCCTGGCACTTTGGGAAGCCAAGGCGGGCGGATCACTTGAGGTCAGGAGTTCCAGACCAGCCTGGCCAACATGGTGAAACCCCGTCTCTCCTAAAAATACAAAAAAATTAGCTGGGCATGGTGGTGGGCGCCTGTAATCCCAGCTACTTGGGAGGCTGAGGCACGAAAATCATTTAAACCCAGGAGGCGGAGGTTGCAGTGGGCCAAGATTGTGCCACTGCACTCTAGCCTGGGTGACGGAGCGAGACTCTGTCTCAAAAAAAAAAAAAAGTATATGCTTCAATAAATTATCTGCCATTGTTCCATTCATTATGCTCCACATCTTGCATTTAGCAAAAAATAATAATACTATGCATCTTAAGGCTGTTTAAATCTAAATGGTTTACTTAAGCTCTTGACCTTCCTAAGTGACTGAAAGGTAGAATAGTCCACTATTTTTTCTGCTAAGAGCACTTCCCAATCTATTTATAAGAGTTCGAATTTACTATGTTTGGTATATTTCTTTCTCTGATTCCAAAGGAATTCCCATTATGTACTTGGAATCAGCCTAGGAAGTAGCAGAATATATTCTGAAATTAATACAGCTTTCAGTTGGTTCAGGTCATAAAGACAGCCCCCCAAAAAGGTAAAGTAAGAGGAGAGGGGAAAAAAATGAAGACTCTAGTTGATTTTTTTTTTTCATTAAGAAGAAACTAGAAATAATTTTACTCTTGGAAGACTAAGTTGTCAATTGAAGTACCAAGAATAAACTAATAAGGAAAGATATGGCAGGATAAAGTTAAAGTATGTATATCAACCTGATAATTTACATTTTGTGTTTAGAACTTTAAAGTGTTTTCAAAATGTCAGAATCTCTGGACATATGATAATGCTTTTCTTCAGAGCAGCCTGGCTATGTGTAAATGCCTAGATACTTAAATAACTATTTAATATACTAAGAAAATGTGACAATAATAAACAAAAACATTTTTACCACTTTCTGGAGATTGAGTTGTAACCCAACCCATTGACTTCATCACAGCTTTCTTCCATGTAGAATAACGAATTTCACTTTCTAGAATTAGAAGGTAGAAAAAACACATAACGAAAGGTAGTTTGCTGAGATGTTCTTAGTACCATACTTATGATCACTCAACATTCTTGACAAATTATTGCACACATTAAACTGCAGTAGGGCTTTAGCAGGACTCAGATTTGAAAGCACATGGTTGCTGATGACTGCCAGTGACTGGAAGACATGCTTGCTTGGAAGTTGGAGTGAAACAGGACACAGGGAGGCTGGGTGTAGTGGCTCATGCCTGTAATCCCAGCATTTTGGGAGGGTGAGGAGGGAGGATGGCTTGACCTCAGGAGTTTGAGACCAGCTTGAGCAATGTGGTAAAACCCTGCCTGTAGTACCAGCTACCTGGGAGGCTGAAGCAGGAGGATCATTTGAGCCTGGGAGGTGGAGGTTGCAGTGAGCCAAGATCACACCACTGCACTCTAGCCTGGGTGACAGAGCAAGACTCGGTCCCAAAAACAAACAAACAAACAAACAAACAAAAACAGGATAGGGGAAATTCAGCAGGGTAAAGGGAGATTGGCAGACAGACTGCCTGCTATGCAGACTGGGCCACTCACAAACAAGTGGTAATGAATTAGAAAGGGGAATCCCATTTGATCTGTTTTCTCTTCTTTTTGGGGGGAAAGGGTACGAGGAAAAGGGTATGCTGTAATGTGGGAAGACTAGAAGGAGACATTTTTATTTCTTTTTTTTTTTTGAGACTGAGTCTCGCTCTGTCGCCCAGGCTGGAGTGCAGTGGTGCCATCTCGGCTCACTGCAAGCTCTGCCTCCCGGGTTCACGCCATTCTCCTGCCTCAGCCTCCCCGGTAGCTGGGACTACAGGCGCCCACCACCACGCCCAGCTAATTTTTTGTATTTCTAGTAGAGATGGGGTTTCACCGTGCTAGCCAGGATGGTCTTGATCTCCTGACCTCGTGATCCGCCCGCCTCGGCTTCCCAAAGTGCTGGGATTACAGGCGTGAGCCACCACGCCCCGCAGGAGACGTTTTTATTTCAGTCACAGGATTTAACAAATACTGATTTCTCATAAGATTTGAATTGCATTCCTCTGAGACAGCCCCATGCCCCCCAACCCCAGCATCTTAAAGCAAGATTTTTTAAAGGTGGAAATCCACAATAGAAAGTCTAAACAAAAATGAGCTTGATGTTGTACACTTCTAAGGGTGCTGAACCCCATGTGGGGCTACCTTTCTCTCAAGCCTCCCAGACTTTCCATAGCACCTGAGGCCTGCAACACCCAGGAGAGAAGGCTCAAGAATCACTCACTTCAGAAAGCTTTCCAGTGCCCCATTTCTATCCCCCCCTCTCTCTTCACACACACCCCAGGATGTCAGCTACCAAATTTTTATGGTTTTGTCTTCTGCTCCCAATATACTCTAATCTTCTGAAGGGCAAAAGAAGATAAGAAGATAAGGCCTTATTCATCTCTATATCCCCACATCAGTACAGTCTCTGGCCTGTGGTTGGCTATAAACAACTGTTTGCTGGCAAAATGTACTATCTATGCCTAGGTGCCCATTCGTTTATGGGGAGGAGTGAGGGCTGGTGAGAGGGAGGACAATAGGGCATGACTGATCAACCCCAGGCTAAGGCCTTCAACACCAGCAAAGATGGCTCCCCTAAGAATGGAGATGGCTCTCTTGGCACAGAACTTCCTTGCTTTAAGAGTGAGATTGGCATTTAGAGGCCATATACCCGCTCTGGACATTATTTGCATATTATAAAGTTGATTTTTTTTGAAAAGTAGAAAAATTTTTTGAACTTCATATTTTATCCAGTATTGCAAAAGTTAAAAATGACAGAATATCAGATGGTGAAATACATTTCTAAATCAAGGTACATGGTATAATCTGACTATAAAATTACTAGTATTATAATTCATTTTCTTATATGTTAAAAGAATGAATAAAATTGAGAAACACTGGTATATTCTCCCAGAAAACCAAACAAAAATGCATTTGAAAGCTTATTCCCAATACCTCAAAATCCACTTTGATGCTTTTTTTTTCCTTTTGTTTTTTTAGAGACAGGGGTCTCATTATGTTGCCTAGGCTGGACTCGAACTCCTGGGCCCAAGCCAAGAGATCCTCCTGGGTAGCTGGGGCTATAGGCACAAATTACCATTCCCAGCTGATGCTATTTTATGCATAGGTTTCTAAAAAGTTATAAAACCAATTCTAATATATAAAACCTTATTTTTCTACATTTATTTAAATTTAAGAACCGCATCACTACATTTTAGTAAAAGTGCTGATCACAGCTTGTGGCTTAGCTTAGTTAGCACAGTGAATCAGATATCTAATGTTCACTTACTTAAATTGTTGCTGCCTTCATCAGGTTAGTCCTGCTGTGCTTAAAAGTTACCAGAGTGTCTCTTAACCCAGCTA
Source organism: Homo sapiens (assembly GCF_000001405.40). Classification (NCBI taxonomy): domain Eukaryota; kingdom Metazoa; phylum Chordata; class Mammalia; order Primates; family Hominidae; genus Homo; species Homo sapiens. The sequence continues at coordinate 30,721,704 of NC_000023.11, read as the reverse complement.
ATTATGTCCTAAAACTGGGCCACTGGCACCAAAGATGATCTGGTGTAGACATTAGGGATGAGTGGCTGATATATCTTCCTTCTCACTTTAAAAAAGGCTATGGCCGGGCGCGGTGGCTCACGCCTGTAATCCCAGCACTTTGGGAAGCCAAGGCGGGCGGATCACGAAGTCAGGAGATCGAGACCATCCTGGCTAACGCGGTGAAATGCTGTCTCTACTAAAAATACAAAAAAAAAAAAAAAAAAATTAGGCGGGCGTAGTGGTGGGCACCTGTTGTCCCAGCTACTCGGGAGGCTGAGGCGGGAGAATGGCATGAACCCGGGAGGCGGAGCTTGCAGTGAGCCGAGATTGTGCCACTGCACTCCAGCCTGGGCAACAAAGTGAGACTCCGTCTCAAAAAAAAAAAAAGGCTATTCTAACTAGCTATACCTGACAGTGTGGCAGTATTATTATCCTACACTAAAGGACCATAAACAGTAAAAGCAAATGATTTTTAAAAAGTGATTTTAGAAGTTCTTTTGATAAGCAACGATTTCTCTCATTCACATTTATTCAGTAAAGCCCAATATGCTTGGCAGCCGAATCTGCAATGATAACATTTACTATTTTACTTGGTTCCTTAACTTTTAACTAAACAGAAAAACAAAACTCCCGTGCACTAAGGTCGTTTTCACAGTATATCACTGAACATTTCATTCTTTAAATGTACCCTCCGCATTAATCTGAGGTTCAAACCGCTCCATCGTGACGGCAGACAAATCCTCGGGTTCGAGACTCCATACGCCGACTCCTTCTGCAGCCCCTGCCGCCATAGCCGCACCCAGTGCAGTGGTTTCGGGCATTGAGGGCTTCACTGAGGAGAGAGAGTTCCATCAATATCTTTGTGGTTACATATGCCCAAAGAACTAGTTATTCCACAAGAAACATTACTCTGGGAGTTTAAAGGAATGAAGACTTACTAACCTACTGGTATATACAGAATGTCTGCTTGTAGCTGCATAAGAATTTTGTTGCTGGTCATTCCTCCATCTACCTGCAAATGACTGAGTGGAATTCCACAGTCTCGATTCATGGCATCCAAAATCTTAAATAAACCAGTGCAATTAATGTTATAAATCTATTTCATAGTAACATCTCTGAAAATGGCAATCCTCCACTCAGAAACTCTCAAGAGCTTCCAAGAGCCTATGGAATAAATTGAGACTTCTTATTCTGGTCTTCTAAGCCCTCTTTGATCTGGTCACAGCCAACCTTTTCTCTCACTACACCTCTGCATTCACCTTGATATTCAGCTAAGCTATACAACTCTATTTTGCACCCTGTTTTTCTGCCTTGATGCCTATGTTTGTGCTGTTTCCTTTGCCTAATGTGTGCCACTCAGCCTCCCCACAACCATAAAATTCCCAGTGCCTGACAGGGAACAGGAACTTAGAAGGTAATGACAGCTGGAAAAAGGGGGAAAACCCTGCTTATATTTAGATTAGTATTTAGGCAGCCTTAATATTTGATTAACTACATTTTCAGTACTGAATAAATCTCGGGTGTTAACATATAACTTAAGAGTGATAAAAGTGAACTAAGTACAAGAAAACAGGCCCATATTTGTTACCTCTCGAGTTTGGAAACAAACAGCTTCTAATGCAGCAAAAGCAATATGGCATTTATTGGTGAACTGAGTGAGTCCACAGATTATCCTAAAAATACGCACAAAGATTTTCAGATTAGAATGATATAAACCAATCAATTTGAAATATCTCAAATATGAAAAGGTCAAATTTGGTAGACAGAAATGTCCAGGAAGAGAAAATTGGACATAATCATTAAGTAACTCAGAAAGTCCTTATATTTCACAATTCTGCATTCATGTATGAAAAAATTCATGACACATTTGAAAAGATGATGGCATCATAAAACTGAATCAGTATTCATTATGATGATGTCCCTTCACTATACAACTTACAGACATCATGAAGATAAAAGATAACATGAATACGGATATGGCAGGGGTTATTGTCAGCTGATTCATAACTTCTTGGAGCTTAAAGTTTCTGAAATTATATTCTCCAAAAAGAAAAGGTTTTCTCAACACATTATAATTATTTGAAAATAGATAAGAAACTAATAAGTTATTAACGACTTTGGTAAATAAATCAAGATCCCCAAAAGCACTCCATATTTTCAATACTTACCCTCTTGCGCTGGGCTCCCAATAAGGTGCATATAACCCCGAAAATGCTGGGACGAAGTAGCAGCCATAAGAAGTACCTACTTCTTTAGCAAGTTTTTCTAACATTAAAAACAAAACAAAACAAAAATCACACAAATATTGTGTATTATTATATAAGCATACCTATTTTAAAAATTAGAAAAATTAGGACAGGGGTTTTGGTTTCCAATTCATTGGTAGAGCAAAATGTTGCTAACTACAGTAGTATGCTAGGATCAACAGAAATGAGTTTCTCTCACATTAAATACCCCCCACTAAAATGTAGCCTAGCTCAAGAAATCAAGGAACCAGATTCATTTATTTAAGGTATTTTAGCTCATTTCCACTATTTTTAAGGTTGCTGACTAGGAGATGAAAAAGTGGCCTCTAGTGTGTCCCTAATCAGAAATGTATTTCTGATTGTCTCACCTTCAGGCAAAGTTAAGCAAGTGGATGAAAGAGTGAGTAGGTAAGTTCAAACTAATTATCTATAGACTGAAAACAGCCGTATTAATACTTAAATTATAGGTACCAGAGTTTTAATGCTCACTCTAATCTAAGAGTTAAAGCTCTTTCTCATCAGATAAATTTAACTCAACTTCTCTATCTGCAGGTTCTGGCAATCTCCAGTGTTCAATTTTACACTTGGGTAATTTTTATGCCCTACATTGCCAGTTTATTAACAACCACCACTAATTATGTCAATTCCTTGTTTTATAAATCTTCACAAGATAGTCTTTTGCATAAGTCAAACTCATAATAGGGATCCATATAATTTATGGATCACATTTGGGGCAAAGCATAAGTATTTACTTTGCAGAGATAAAATACTGAAATGTGTCATTTTTCAGATTTTCTAACCTTTTGTTAGAACACACTCACCAATTTCTTCTGAGGTCTTTATAATTCCAAGATTGTCTCTTAGCCAGCGAATAACAGCACCAGCTATAGCTACAGAACCCTAAAGAAAAAAAGGAATTCAAGACAGAATATATTTTATCACTATCCAAGGTTTTTATTGAGCATATTCTGTGTATGACACAATCAGATGGACAGAATTCAGTTTCCATTTTGAGACTCCGACAAATATGTAAACTAGGTCTTCTAATACAAACATAGTTTTATCTAAGTCACTAATAAAAGTTTTTCACGGGATGAGGAAAAGAAGTGAGCTTTCCAGCACACCCTTGGATTTGTCCCCATAGGTGGACATTGATCTTTGATCAGTTTGCTTCTTGAACAATTTTCTGTCTGTTGCTAAGCTACTGAGGTATGTTATCACTTAGAAATATATTGCCATATTGTTCATAAAATTATTGGGAGAGGCCACATTAAAAGTTTTTTCAAGTCTGTTTCCCATATCTAACAGTATAGTAAATCAAGAAAACAAAAAGCAAAGAAGCTAGCTAGTAAGTAATTTTTCTTTAAAACAAAATCACCTAGAGCTGTGGCAATAACAATAAAAACATATTTCAGAGTTGGATAAACTGGCTTTGAGTCCCAGTTCTAGTACTTAATTGCTGTGTAATCTTAGTAACTAATCTAAGTAACTTAGTAAGTTAATCTTAGCAAGTTCATCTAAGTAACTTGCCTAAGTTACTTAGGCTTTCTGAGCCTCCATTTCTTCACCTATAAAATGATGACTATGACAACACTTACCTAAACAAATTACTGTGAGGCTCAATATGAGAATATATGTGAAGGTTCTTACTAAATGTAAATATTGACTTCATTAATTTCTTTAATGTTAAAAAAGTATCAGCCAAATATCACTGACTGATGAATAGATAAAACGCAGTATGTCTACACAATGGAGTATTATTGGACTATGAAAAGGAATGATGTCTTAATACATGCTACAACATGGATGAGCATTGAAAACATTATGCAAAGTGAAAGAAGCCAGGCACAGAAGACGATATATTGTACGATCCCATTCATATGAAATGTCCAGAACAGACAAATCCATAGAGACAGAAAGTAGATTAGTGGTTGCCTGGGCTGGGGGATAGGGGGTGGTTATGGGGTTTCTTTTTGGGGTGGTGACAATGTTCTAAAGTTAGATTGTGGTGATGGTTGTAAAAATCTGTAAATATAGTATTACTATAAACCATTGAACTGTATATTTGAAAAGGGTAAATTGTGTGGAATATGAACTATATCTCAATAAAGCTATTATAAAAAGATCCTGAAGGCAAAAAAAAAAAGAAGTATCAGCACGAACCATTAGGAATACCAAGAAATTTTTTTTAGCTCTGATAGTTCATTCATATAGATTATTAATGTAAATTACTTCCACAGAGTCACTCCAAACCAAACGTCAGGTAATATTAAATGTAGGGACCTGTCCTCAGTTCTATTAACTGAATTACAAATGGTCATGCCTTCTTGTTGTCAGTTGTCAAAATGTAAGTAAACTAGAGAATGAATATGCTGGTATATTCCATCATTCATAGCTTCTATGAGAAGTTACTATGTTACTGCAAAGCTACAGAATGCCACAATTGTTCTGTTTATACATTTTTATATATGTAGACATACATACAGTACTCTGTATCATTACATATATAAAATGGCTTTTTAACCACAGGAAGTATTTGAGGAACAGATCTGGCATAGCTGTGCAAATATGACAAGGCTTTAAAAATGGGACAAAAACAATTCAAGAAATACCTTACAAGGGACTCTAACACAGCTCATTCCCTGCCTAAAATAAGTTGTTGTATTAAGTTTGACACATTTACATATTTAGGTACTTAGTGGGATCATTCAAGAGAACTAAGTAAAATTTTGGTTTAAAGAGATTTAAGATTCAAATTTCCTTTGGAAACAGACAATTCAGAGATAGCAGCTGCCAAATACTAGTAAATATGTAAGAGTTTCTAGACCAGTGCTGTCCAACAGAAATATAAAGTGAGTCACATATGTAATTTATATTTTTGCCACATTAAAAAGGTAAAAGGAAGGTAAAATTAATATTTTATTTAACCCAATGTATTAAAAAAAATTTCAACATGAAATCAATATTAAATTATTGAGATTTTTTTTTGTACTATCTTTGAAATCTGGTATATACTTTACACTTACAGCACATCTCAATTCAGACTAGCCACATTTCCAGTGCTCAATAGCTGCATGTGGCCATGGCTGCCATGGGCAGTATAATTCTAGACCTAATTGAAAAAGAAAAACAAAAACAGGTGTCCCTCCTCCTTATACTCTCAAAGACACTGTCCTTAAATAGCATCTAACCAAGAAATGCATACATAATTGTTTTAGGCAAGTACAGTTAAACTGCGAATTTTTAGAAGCCACTGTGCTAGGAGTCTAGTAAAGTGATTTTGTGGCACAGCTGGTGGGACTTTATACTCTAGGAAACCACGTGCTGATATACCTCATTTCCATTGAAAAAGATAGGATGTTACATGCTTACACCATATTTTTAAGAGAAAGCAATATGATTTTAGCAAAAGGAAAATCAAGGTTTTGATTAGAGGTAATTAGTTGAGAATCAGAGTATTATTTAGATTAAAACAAAAGAAAAAAAATACATAGTCACTGTTAAGGCTCCAGGAGATAACTGTTTTAAATTCTGTCATCAGGAATACACAGAAGTGTTTTGTTGTGATTGAAAAACTAGATTCAATATAACACAATAAAAGGTAGATAAAAACACTTATCTGAAAAAAGTAAATAATTTTGCTGTCAGGATATAATACATGGTATGATTTAGCTTTTAAAGAAATAAAAATGAGAGACATCTCTAATTCACAAAAGACATGTGGTCTTCTGAATTCAGAGGCAGGAAATAAAATGGAAGATGGTAATAATGTTTCAAAGCTGGACAGGAAAAGAGTATAGCAGCCAAAACCTAAAATGATAAAAGAAGGTGACTGTCTACTTGTTATCAGTTAAGTTACCATAAATTACACCCTAAGTATAAAGATCCAATACTTTAGTATATCATCTACAAATTTGAATCAGCCCTTGTTCTAGGTTATGATTCCCTGGAAAAGATGCATGCAAGCTTAATAGTTGTACACTAAGGGAGATGCAATGAAAGTGAGAGGGTGTAAAGAATAATAAATTAAATTATAACAGGGCAAGAGGAATAAATTATTTTAAAACTAGACATGTAGCCTGGAAAGTGAAAGGCTAATAAACAGGCTATAGGAAGATTGAATTAAAAATAATCAAGTAGATCTGATGTAATGTCATAGCAGGCAAATACATTTTTCTTCAAAAGCTCCTTGACATGAATGCCACTGCCACAAACAGTATAAAAATAAAGCAGGATATTTCAGGATGCAGTAGAATTGTAGCTTACAAGGCAATTAGGGTGAAAATTGGTGAGTATGGAGAAAAATCAGGTAAAGTAAAGATTACCCTAAATTGCTTACAATCATTCATCAGGCATAGCAAACACAGTTTTGTGTATACTACAGTGCTATGTATCTGTACGTATATGATTTATAATGTAGTTAATTTGTATATATTAGATTACAAATGCAGTGTCTAACTCTATAGCATTTTTAATTGCATAGAGAAAGGGAAGAGTTGAATTGGAGCAACATTATTTTTGAAATGTAACAGATTTCATTAATACTTCAGTAACAAGTTGGGGAACTAAAATTAAAAGCATTTATTGCTCAGAAAGTATACTTTTCAAGAAAGAACATTATAAAAGTTCATAAACAATGTTTATATGCTTGTGGCAGATAGACTTTTAATTAAGGTGGCTCCCATGATCCCTGCCTCCTGATGTGCATACCCTTGCATAATCCTCGCCTCTTGAGCGTGGTGATATCTGTGACTTTCTTCTACCCAACAGTACATGTCAAAAGTGATGGGATATGTGTGGTGATGTGTACGTGCTTCCATTACATGATTTACTGTGCCTGTCTTGCTGGAGATATTCCCTCCCTTCCTGACTTTAAGGAAGCAGAGAACCACTGGGGGTCCCTCAGATAGCAGGGAACTGCAGGTAGCCCTAGGAGCTGAGGGTGGCCTCCATCTGACAGGTAGCAAGAAACTGAAGTCCTCAGTTCCACAACCACAAGGAACTGAATTTTGCCAATAACCTGAATGAACCTGGAAGCAGATTAAACCTCAGATGACAGCAGAGCCTCAGTCAACATCTTGACTGCAGCCCTGTGAGACTCTGAGCAGGGTACCCAGCTAAGCTGTGCCTGGATTCTGAACCCATGGGAACTGAGAAACAATAAATGTGTTGTTTTAAGCCACTTAAGTTTGTGGTAATCTTGTTACACAGCAATAGATAATCTATTACATAGGTTTATACCTAAAATAGGGATTTAGCTCAAGAAGGATGAAAAACTCTAAAAAGGAAATCTTAACGCTATAATCGTTAAACCATAACAAAGAAAAGATAGGGGAAGAGATATTTAAAGAAACCAGGGAGGCAATATAGGGAACCCTCTTTGAAGCTCATATTTAAAAAGAAAAAAATGGCCTAACATAGGATTCGGTATTTGAACAATATTTAATGGGTATGTATTATCTGCCAGCCTGCTGGGACAGAGTGGTAAACAAGATAGACAAGTACCCTGGCCTCAGGAAATCTATATTCTAGTGACAAAACACGGAACATGGAAGTCTCAAGTCATAAGTAAGCTCAGGTTCATACTCATATTAAAAGTTCCCAAAAGGATTTTTGTTTTGTGAAACAGTATTTGGAAAAAGAAGAGGAACAAGGATGCCAGAGGGAAGGCAGAACCACTCAATGGCTCTATTTTGCTCCAGTCTCTTCCACTACTGAGAAATATTTTCCAACTAGAAAGGGTGGGACAAATTTAACCAGTTTAATATGAGTTTAATGTCACAGAACAACTTAAGGATCATGAACACCTATTTCTTTTTACAAATAATGAAAATGAGAATTTAGAGGTATTAAAATGTCAGGCCTTACTATCACCTGCCAGGGGCTTCAGGGAGAGAAAAAGAGTTCTCTTGGTGATGAAAAAGAAGATGCAGATGCTTACATGAGCAGAAATAATGAGTTTGTACTTCAAAAATCCCCTTTGTTCTAACCACAGAGGATAACAGACACGATATAAAAGAGAAAACTGAAACAACATGCTGACTCAAATACAGAATAACATCTATGTGGACAGACACGGAAACACATAACCAAACAGGACTGAAGCCACAAGCATGATGGCTTCTGATTTATTTTTCTATATGTGTCAGGGAGTAGGAGTGGTGGCTGGGAACTGGTTCCTCCAGAAGAAAGGGGTCCAAAATGTTTTGCGCAAGACAGGGAATAGAATCAGGCTCAATGCTTGAAGCCAGGAGCTAGGTGGCGCTCTCTTACTTGTGTAGGGATGCTAGAAAAACAAGCAACTGTGTATTTGCTGACTGAGGCTATATGGCTTAATGGAAGACAAGGCTGGAAGTGACAATTCTAAACTATACGAAGAAATCTTGTATTAAGAAATCCAACAAGGCCGGGCGCGGTGGCTCACGCCTGTAATTCCAGCACTTTGGGAGGCCGAGGCGGGCGGATCACCAGGTCAGGAGATCGAGACCATCCTGGCTAACACGGTGAAACTTCGTTATTTCCAGTCTTTACTAAAAATACAAAAAATTAGCCGGGCATGGTGGTGGGCATCTGTAGTCCCAGCTACTCGGGAGGCTGAGGCAGGAGAATGGCGTGAACCTGGGAGACAGAGCTTGCAGTGAGCCGAGATCAGGCCACTGAATTCCAGCCTGGGCGACAGAGCGAGACTCCATCTCAAAAAAAAAAAAAAAAAAAAAAAAAGAAAAGAAAAAAGAAATCCAACAAACTTAATAGCTGGACTAGAGTTCATTCCGGCCTAACACAGATTTTAAAATACATATGTTTTAAGTATTCGGAGATAAATTAGGAAATGACTTCCATTTTAAAAACAAACAAACATGAAACTAAGAATAAAAAAAAAAGAGAACTGAAACAAAATCAGGTGGATGTGAAAAATAACCAAATAAAAACTATAGAAATGAAAATATTAAATAAGATGAAAAATGTACTAGATGGGGTAAACTCTAGACTAGATAGAGAGGATGAGTAAACTAGCATTCCCCCATATTGCTGGTAGGAGTGTAACTTGACACATCTACTGTGAAAAATGGTTTGCACTATCTACTCAAAGTGAAGATACACATAATCTATGGCCTAGAAATTCTACTCCTACAGAAAGGTGAATACATTTACATCAGGAGGCATATACAAAAATGTTCATAGCAGCATTTTTCATAATAGCCAAATACTGAAAACAACTCGAATGTCATCAACAGCTGAATAAATACTAAACTTCAATAATTTCATATAGCAATAAGAAGCAATGAAAAAAACAGCTATGTATAATACTGTGGATGAATCTCACAAACATAATGTTGAGTGAAAGAAGCCAGATCAAAAAATACAAAAAAATACATACTAAGTGACTCAGATATGCATGCACATGCTCTCTCTCTCTTTTCTTTTATATTTTTAATATATCAAATATTAAACACATGCAAAACTAAACTCTGGTGTTCAGGGCTGCACATTTAAGTGTTAGAACTACAAAGAAAAGTAAGGAAGTGATTATGATAAAAGTCAGGCTGATGTTTATCTCAGGGAGAGGGAGGAAGTTGTGATCGTGGGGCAAATAGAGGTTCTTGGGATTGGCGGCGTTCTATGAACAAGTTACATGAGCCTTTATAATAATTTTTCAAGTTGTACATTGATATTTAATGCATTTTTCTCTATGTGTCTTATATTTCACAATACAAAAAAGGCTTTTATGATTTGTCTTGTTTGTTTTAAAGAGAGGATTTGGAAATGGAAGGTAGATACTGAGAAACTCACCAGGGACGCAGCACAGAGAAACAAAGAGATTAAAAAAATATAAAAGGGCAGTTAAGAGACATGGATGATGGGTTGAAAGGTTCCAATATTCATCCAATAGCAATTCCAGAAGAGGATGGAGGTAATGGTAGAGGAGCAATATTTGAAGAGATAATTGCTGAGAACTTTCCAGATCTGAAGACAGACTTGGATCCAAGTACCTAACAGGATAAATAAAAATAAATCCAAACACAGGCATATCATAGTAAAACTACAGAACATCAATGATAAAGAGATAATGTTAGAAACTCCCAGACAATAAACCAGATTATCTACAAATGAACCACATATTGACAGCAGAGGTCTCATCAACATCGAAAATGGCCAGAAGGGATGTGGGAAAAACAATTGTTAATATAGGCTTTTATACTCATCCTCAGAGTGAGGGCAAAACAAAGACAAACCTAAAAAGAATAGGCTTACTATCCCACACTAAAACTAAAAGAACTATAGAAGGATGCCCCTCAGCAAAAAAAAAAAGAAGAAGAAAAAAAGGAAAAAAGTAGGTGGGAATAAAAAAGGTGTGAGACCAAAGAAATGATACTGGACACAAACTAAGAAAAATAAGTCAATAAATATGATTTACTGTGGACTGCAAAGAAAACAACAGTAATTATTACATGTTGAACAAAATGGGGGAAATGAAAGCTTTAAACAAAATAACACAATTGGTGATGGAGGCGGTAGAATAAAATATTAGAGTTCCTTATCATGGTCGGGAGATTAAAAATACCAAAAAATGACATACACTCTTAGAAAAATATATGGTTAAACAATATCTTAAAAATCTGAGGGTATACGCAAAAGAAAAAAAATCACCAAAATAAAAACATAGAAATGTATCTTATTGTTCCCAAATCAGCAGAGGAAGAATGGAAAAAGACTAAAAGACTGAAGATGGGTAGCTATAGTTTTAGGTTTTAAAGAGCATAAAGACTAAAATTTTCCTATCTCCAACTTCTAAGCCTAACAACAATTGATCAAATGAAAGACAATATTATTAAATATATACTTTGTAAGCATTTACAAAAAAAGGAATTAGTATGACCAAGTGAAATTAGCATGTGTTTACTGATAAAAAGTTTTACCAGTCTAGCATTATTCCCCACCCTTGTTTTTTGGTTTGGTTTAATTTAATTTTTTTTAAATGTTTGTTAATTGTAAAAAAAAATTAAGAAAACAAAGAAAAAAATTCTAACTACACCGTTAACATATTAGTATGCGTATGTGTGTTGTTGTTGTTGCTGAGACCGCTAGGTTAGCAGATGAAGGAAGGGACATAAGCTAGATGCAGTGACAACAACACTGGACTTGGGAGACTGGAGCCCAGAACTTTCAGACTTACAAGGAAGGAAATGGTACAGCAGGGTGGCCTAGGCATCAAGGCTTTGATGTCCAAGCATCTGGATCTGCTACTTACTGTTGTCAAAAGTTACTTGGCCAAGGGACTCCAATTTCACTTTTCTAATCTCGGTTTCCTCACGTGTAAAACAAGGGGATAGGAGGGTATATTGTCATATGATCTAGCGTCTCTCTGAGCTTTTACAATTCTAAGCATCTAAAAGCATTACATAAATTGAAACAAAATCATAAAGCATATACTTGTTAAATCTCTAGATGAGACAAAACTGAAAGAGTAACAGTAAAGAGTGAAAACGAATTCAGACTATATAGGAATAGGCTAAAATCACTATTATGAAATTAAACAGGAAGAAACAAAGACCTGAATTTAGATTTAACAAAAAAACTACACAAATACAGAACAGAGCAGACTTGGTTTGACAATGATTCATTTGAAAACGAGCTAGGTTTTTTAGCATATGCTCCCAGGGCCAATAATATGAAGTCTAAATTAATATTAATTATTTTAATTAATAAATATTAATTTAATAAATATTAGTCTAAATTAATGAACTCTCAGGCTAGAGGAGCAAAAGTAGTGCTTATGGTAGGAGAGGCACAAATCATCCTATTGATTGAGTACAGGTCAGATTAGATGTAGAATGTTATATTCCATTCTGGACGACATGAATTGCAATGCACCCAATGAAGGGAGCTCAGAACTATAAAGCATCCAGAAACCATGTGAGATCAAGGCATTGGGTCAGTTTACCCTGGAGGAGGAAGACCCAGAGAAACTGACCGCAGCCTCTAATGTTGGAACACTTTTGACAACCAATGCAGGTCCAATGCTAGAGGTGTTATTAAGAAGCAACTTTGGGTGCTGTCTTCAGATAGAAGTTGGATGGCTACTGGTAAAGGAGACAGGAGAAGGTTTTTCACATTGGGAGGGGAGTTAAGACCGAGTGACCCCTGTCCCTGAGGCCTGTCCCAGGTCTAAGGCACCTGTATTCTAAAGCACTGATTGTTTCCCATGCAAGAAGAAAAAAAGCAGAATCATATTCTTATTATATTATAGGTAACACTTATCAAGTGCATATTCTATGTGCCTAGTGTTGTGCTATGCACTCTCCACAGAGGGAAAGTAGAGAGGGAGAGGGCTTGTAGGATTTTAAGTTCTGAGAAGTGTTAAGATACATTTAATATACAGACTAAGTTTTCACAAATGCTTCCATCCATAGAAAAGGAGCTGGGGAGAAATATTATAGTGTTTATGGGGTGGGGAAGGGAGAAAAATAGAAATAAACTAATATTCCTCATGTGCTAGGCATAATGACTAATAAAATGTTTTAACTCTAACTAGAAGTCTTTAACTTGTGACCAAATTATTATCAGGCACTCCAAAAAATGAGCCTCAATGAGTCTGCAGATCAAGTGTATACTTGTGCATTATAAGGTAGCCATTTCAAAATTAATTATATAGAAATGCTTATAAGAAATGTATCTAATTTTACAAAAAGAATATTATTTCTTTGACTTTATAAATAAATATTTCTAACACTAACTTACCATATCCTATAGGCTTAGGCTGGCATATTCCTACTATAACATACAAAAATGTTTGAAACAAATGTTTCCAGTGATAAGTGGCATAAATCTCCTCACTTTCTTTTCTATATCAAAATGTTACACAAAATTTATTTTTATGAGGAGACAAGTGAAGAGAGTTGTTCTGCCTATTTGTGCCCAGGGTTCTCTTTGGAACACTGGAGCATTTTATTTATAAAATCAAAGAATTTTCAAGATGAAAGAAATGTTAGAGAGCACGTTAATCCGATTAAACTTTAGAGATAAAAAAAAAAAAAACCTTACATTGTAGAGCTCTCAAGTAATATGCCTAAGGTGACATGATTAATTGGCATAAGAACTGAGGAACCAATCTAATCAAGGTCTCCTGTGAGTCCTGACACCCAGATCAGTTTCAGGTTCCTTCAACTCAATCAAATGCCAAGAAAGCAGAACTTTTTGAGTCCTCTGTATTAAGATTTACCAGAAAAGTGTTAGAAAACACTGTAATTTTTATTAGCTTTGAATGTTTGTCATATTATCCATATTGATTAAAAAGAACTTACTTCCAAAGCATAATATACTGGTTTGTCTCTGCCAAGTTTGTAAGCCACTGTGGTGAGAAGGCCATGATCAGAAAATACACACTGTAAGAAAGAAAAAAAAAAGATTTCAGTAGTGGAAAATGAAAAGATAACATGAGAACTTTTTTTTAAAGTTAAAATAACATAGGTACAAAATAATGCAATCAATAAACCAATTTTTAAAATAAATCCTTACAGTCAAAACGATCAGAATTAAGAACACATTTAAGCTGTATAAAAAGTTTATTCCTTGTTTCAAATTAGATTTGCATTAAGAATTTGATGAGGTCTCAGTCTAGATTTCCCACCAGCACAATTAAAAACACACATATAAAATTCAAAGAGTCTAAAATGGTTCTTATTAGAACGATTCAAATTTTGTATTGAGCTCTAAATTAAACCCTGATAAAGATTAAGTAAAAGCTAAAGACTAAAAGTTGTTTAATAGTAAATTATGTTCAAGCATTATTTAGATGAACTTAGACTTTTAAATCAATTTTTTAATTTAAAAAACCAACCTTATGGCCTGTATTACATAGTAAGAAACATCCTGTTCCATACCTATGGTTGAAGGGAGAATGAATAGTAAGACAATTTTATTGAAAGCAAATAATGAAACATTAATAACACAAATGATCAAAACTGACATATAATTTAGTCCAAAAAAGTCATTATAGTTTTATAAAAGTTCCTAAAGTTAACAAAAATCATATATCTTCCTGGAATAATGTTTTAGAAATCAGCCTAGAAGAAAATGTACTTAGTGCAATCTTTTTTTTTTTTTTTTTGAGATGGAGTCTTGCTCTGTCACCAGGCTGGAGTGCAGTGGCGCGATCTTGGCTCATTGCAACCTCCGCCTCCCGAGTTCAAGCGATTCTCCTGCCTCAGCCTCCCAAGTAGCTGGGACTACAGGCATGTGCCACCACGCCCAGCTAATTTTTTCTATTTTTAGTAGAGACGGGGTTTCACCGTGTTAGTCAGGATGGCCTTGATCTCCTGACTTCGTGATCCACCCACCTCAGCCTCCCAAAGTGCTGGGATTACAGACGTTTAAGCCACTGTGCCTGGCCATTGCAATCTTAATAGAAAAATGCAGATATAGTATTTAGTGTTTAGTCAGTCCTAGGCCAGGGCTGTGTTTATAAAATACCACTGAATTACAACAAATTCTAAGTTCTGTCATAGTTATGTTACTACTAATCCATGTGGAGTGAAGCATCATGACTGACAGCCAGCTTAGCTCTATCATTAATACAGTCATAAAATGAGAAACACCACTACCTTCTGGCAGGGTGGGGAGGCTGGATACAGAGTGTGGGAGGGTGTAGTTGGAAAGCTAGGACAAGAGTGGCATGGAACGGAAGGCAATTTAAGGTCTACCTTTGATAATCAGAGCCAGAATGTAACATGGCTGATACAGAAGAACTGAATTTATTTTGTGGCAGCCTTATCAATATAAACTTTGGATTCTGCAGCAAGTCTGGCCCTTGGACATTAATAGGTAGTTTTGACATGTGCCAGGCAGATAAGTGGCCCAAAGTGATACCAGTAAGGGTCACAGAGGAACAGTTAAGCTTGGGGTAACAAGGTTGCTACAGTCACCCTTGCTTGGCTCTGCCCAAGCTGGGCATTCCTTCCCCGTGGGCCTTGCTGCTGTGCCCTGCACCACCAGGGTTCTAACTGTGCTGGTGACATTCCAGCAACTGAAAGATGGGACAGTGCTCAGTCCAGGAGCTGGCAGAAGGATCCCAGAAGAAGCTACCACCAGTCAGCACTAACTCAACAGATCCCATCAGCTGCATTTTGATTGTGCAACAAACACAAAACCAAGGGAAATTGTTTTCCGACATTTTTCCAGGTACCATTGTTACCATAAGGATTAGCCTAGGATAGTCTATCTCTTCTCACCCAAATATATTCTTGGCCTGCTTGATGAGCAGGTGACAAATTCAAGGAGCATGGGACTAATATCTAATTTTGTAAAGATACTTGTCAAATAACACTAGGTACAGGTAATACATTTACAAACTAAAACACAAAATCACTATACCGTTTTATTGCCGCACACTGAAAAAGCTACATGTTTCAAGTTAATCTACTGTGATAAATATTCATAAAAATGGAAGTTAATTATCTATTTCATGCTTTTTAAAGGAGAAATCTGTACCAATTTAGCATCCATATAAACACTATACTGAACAGTAGCGTACGCGTCTTAGTGCAAAACTGATGAGAAGACTGAAGGTACTTAATAAAAGTGAATTCTTAAGTGAGTATACTTAATAAGCAATTAATGAGTATTAGCAAATATGAAGAGACTTCTTTGCTATACTTAGGCCACAGCTTTTAAAGCAGTACACAGGCAAGTATTTTCCTCTTAAATTTTATTGTTCTTTCTTCCCAGTCATCAAGCACATATGGAGCTTTCAGCATTTACATGATCTACCTCGCCTTCCTCATTGTACATTGTACTCACAGAACACTGTACTGTGTTCAAACATAGCAGAAAGATGTCTCACTTTTCTAACTTCTACAAAGGTAAACGTTGCTTGCTCTCCTTCATGACTATCAGATCAGGACTGAGCAGCCCAGAGAGGTGTGACGAAGATGGCGCATAGGGGCAGGGGGGTTGACCCCAGAGGAAGCTGTGAGGGAGGTAAAAAACTCTGTCACACCCAGTCAGCACTACTGGACAAATGAGACAGCTATCTCATGTGCTCTTTCAGAAAAATAAAATTTAATGTTCAAATAATTTTTACATTCTAGAAAAATTGGAAAATACAGCTAAGCTGAAAGAAAAATTAGAATCATCCATAATTTCTTCCCCCACTCTGAAACAGAGATGGGCTTTTCATTGAATTCTGAGCTGACTGTCATTTTCTCCCTGCTGAGGTTGGGAGAAATTAACTAAATTTTCAATCCCAATCTCTCTAACCTCTTACTTGGTCTTGTCCATCACTTATCCCCCATTTATTTTACAACTTTCATCTGTTCTCCGCTCAGACTCCAAAGAAACATTCTCTGGTCTTACCATAACTTACAAACAAAATCAAACAAAATTCCCAAAATGTTACATAATCCTGTTAACCTCACAAACTATGTCCTTCTCTCACCATTCCTGGATGGTTGTATTTTTGCAAAGCACATGTCTTCGATTTCCTACCTGCTTACATCTCTTTTGACCATTTGCAACCAGGCTTCTATCTTGAGCATTCTAGTACAACTTCACTCTTGAAAGTCACAAAACGGCTGGGCGCGGTGGCTCACGCCTGTAATCCCAGCACTTTGGGAGGCTGAGGTGGGCAGATCATGAGGTCAAGAGATCGAGACCATCCTGGCCAACATGGTGAAACCCCGTCTCTACTAAAAATACAAAAATTAGCTGGGTGTGGTGGCGGGCGCCTGTAGTCCCAGCTACTCGGGGGGCTGAGGCAGGAGAACTGCTTGAACCTGGGAGGCAGAGGTTGCAGTGAGTTGAGATCATGCCACTGCACTCCAGCCTGGTGACAGAGCGAGACTCCATCTCAAAAAAAAAAAAAGTCACCAAACGAAGACCTAATTTCTATGTATAATGGTCCATTCTTGGTACTCAGCCTCCATGACCTCTTAGTAATGTTTTGCGCTACTGACCATGCCTCCCTCATAAATATGTCTACCCTGGATTTCCACACTAATGAATAATTTCAGGCTAGGTGCAGTGGCTCATGCCTATAATCCCAGTAGTTTGGGAGGCTGAGGCAGGAGGATTGCTTGAGCCCAGGAAGTTGACACAGCCTGGGCAATATAGTAAGACCCTATCTCTACAAAAAATTTAAAAATTAGCTGAGTGTGGTGGCATGCACCTGTAGTATCAGCTACTCAGGAGGCTGAGAGGGGAGGATCACTTGAGCCCAGGAGGTCAAGGTTGCAGTATGCTGGGATCTCACTACTGCACTCCAGCCTAAGTGACAGAGCAAGACCCTATCTCATATATATATATATATATATAAAATGAATAACTGCATTGTTTTTCTGACTTCTCCATCCCCGTGCCTGCTACTTCTACTTGTGTAAATATCTCCTCTACTTGTATATTTTTTCTTGGTAATTTCATCTACTTCTGTTGCTTCAAAATCCCCTCTATCTAGGGAAATTCTAAAATTTCCATCTTTTTTTTTTTTGAGGCAGTCTCTCTGTCACCCAGGTTGGAGTGCAGTGATGCAATCTCGGCTCACTGCAGCCTCCACCTCCCAGGTTCAAGCAATTTTCATGCCTCAGCCTTCTGAGTAGCTGGGATTACAAGCACTCACCACCACACCCAGCTAATTTTTGTGTTTGTAGTAGAGACAGGGTTCTGCCATGATGGCCAGACTGGTCTCAAACTCCTGACTTCAAGTGATCCACCTGCCTTGGCCTCCCAAAGTGCTGGCATTACAGGTATGAGCCACTGTGCCTGGCCAAAAATTTCTATTTTTATACTGAACTTATTCCACATTTCCAAATGTGTGCAACATACAGCCTGCCAGCACCACAAACACGCTCTGAACAGAAATTCTTCCACTCAGACCCTTTCCTTACTTTGGCTAAGCCTAACCACAGGGTCCAGGTACCTAGATGACATACCTACTTCCCCTCCCTTTCTCCTCTGCAGTGCCATGCACATTCACTCATGGCCTCCCTCTCTGTCTCCATCCTTCTGAGCCCATGTGCTCATTACCGGGACACTATGGTGGCTTCCTCCATGGCATCTTGGCCTCTAGTCTTTCCTCACTTTCACCCAAGACTGCTACTGACAACTCCAGTCATCTCTGAACACCAGCTTATAAACCTTCAAAAGTTTCCTATTGCCTATCAAGAAAAGCTCCTTAGCCTGAAATATAGGGCTTCACAACATGATCCTAGCTTTATATTTTTTGTCACTTCCCTACTCTAATGTTCTCTACATTCTCTAAACAAAGTCTTCTATTTCCCCATACGTATCTTTGTTCAATGTTCCCTGTACCCTCCAATACTGCTCATTTTTCAAAGCATCTCATTACTAAGATAATCTTTTGTGACTTTTCTATCCTCCCATTGAAACCCAACAGCTTTGCTTCAAAGTTTCTCATGGCACTTGATTCCAGCTGCCTGGAACCCAGATTCCAAGAATGTTTCCAGACTCAGGCTGACTCAGATGCTCTTGGTCATGTAACCTCAGATTACCATGACCTGCAAAGAATTCCCACATCCCTCCTCCTCAAAAAACTCTCACACAAATAATGTCACACTCTTGCATGAGAGCCACTGACCCTGCTAGACTACAAGAACGTTTAATCTAGAAATGTTACACATTCCATTATTCACAAAGGAAGAACTTAACCACTGAAGTTAAAATCGATGAGATAATTAGGAAATCCTCAAGAAAATAGCAATTAAATGTAGCCTCTTGCCAGTTATATGGAAATCTTTTCCATACAGGAGGTAGTACAGTACACAGGTTAAGAACCCTGGCTAAGGAATGACATGGATCTGGGTGCAAATATTGCATCTCCCACTTACTAGTTGTGTGCTGTTGCATAAATTTTTTTCTTTAATTCTCAGTTTCTTGATCTATAAAATGGGAATAATAGGATCTATATGTGGATTAAATGATATCATGTGTTTAAAGCACATGAAACATTATAGGTAACACAATAGCCATTGGCTAAGCTTGTGTTATAATTGTTAGTATTAATTCAGCTTTTGAGGCATATTTAATTTTGTTCATGAATACGTATAATTGGCAGGTAGATTTTTTAATATTTAAAAGATTACCTTGGCCAGGAGTGGTGGCTCACGCCTGTAATCCCAGCACTTTGGGAGGCCAAGGCGGGCAGATCACCTGAGGTCAGGAGTTTGAGACCAGCCTGACCAACATGGAGAAACTCCGTCTCTACTAAAAATACAAAATTAGCTGGGCGTGGTGGCGCATGCCTATAATCCCAGCTACTCGGGAGGCTAAGGCAGGAGAATAGCTTGAACTTGGGAGGCGGAGGTTGCAGTGAGCCGAGATCGCGCCATTGCACTCCAGCCTGGGCAAGAAGAACGAAACTCCATCTCAAAAAAAAAAAATAAATAAAAATAAAAAGTAAAAATAAATAAATAAATAAAAAGATTACCTTCAAATAAATATAGTGATTGGTGGGAACAGAAAGAAAGAGTGCCAGATTCAGACTCAGAAGGCATGGCCTTGAGATCTGGTTCTGCTTTTGTGTCAAGGCTATGACCTTAGGCAAGCTCCTTGAGTATCCATTTTCTTATCCTAAAGTGGGAGTCATCTTCTTATTACTCTTAGATATGGGGCTTGTTCCAGATTCTGCATGTGTGAGTAGTAAGAAGATGAGATTGAGAGAAAAATATACCAAATCTCTACTTCTATCATTCTTTCTGCTTCTTGTCAAAGGAGAAACTTCAGATAATGGAGAGAAAGCACAATGCCAGGAAAGGCGAAACTTCAGATAATGGAGAGAAAGCACAATGCCAGGAAAATAACCTTGAAAATCCCACAAAAATATAACTTTACAGTTAGTGAGAAAGACTTAATATGCCAAAAACTATATATTACAGCTCTTCCTCACTTCTTCCCACCCCTCTCACCACCCCACCAATCTCCCCAAAAAGGCAAGAATACTTTGAACCAAAATTTAGTTTTTAGGATATAAAAGGTAATGAATTTTACAAATTAAGGTTTTGTTTATTTGTTTGTTTTTGAGACAGAGCTTCACTCTTGTTGCCCAGGCTGGCATACAATGGCGTGATCTCGGCTCACCGCAACCTCCACCTCCCGGGTTCAAGCGATTCTCCTGCCTCAGCTTCCCGAGTAGCTGGGATTACAGGCATGCACCAACACGCCCGGCTAATTTTGTACTTTTAGTAGAGATGGGGTTTCTCCATGTTGGTCAGGCTGGTCTCTAACTCCCGGCCTCAGGTGATCCACCTGTCTCGGCCACTCAAAGTGCTGGGATTACAGGCGTGAGCCACCGCGCCCAGCCTACAAATTTAGGTCTTTATAAGCTTCATCAGTGTGCATATATATGGCATTTTGTATTTTATTTAAAGATATAAAAAAATGGTAAAAAGTGTATATATGCATATTGGAGCTATTAAGCTATTGATTTTCATCCTGGATGAACTTCAAAAGCTTTTCCTTATTCAAAGCACCAAGTAGAAAAAACAAAACAGCATTGGTTTTTAAGTCTGTTTCTTAAACTCACGTATTTTTGGCTTGTCCAATCTGGAAGCACATTTGTCCCACCAATGCAGCAGACTGGTCCCCTAAACACTGAAAGTATAAATGACAATAAAGAACACTGACTAATACAATAGTATTAACTTTCTTTTTAGAAGAGCCATAGGATTTTTCATTTTTTATTTATCAAAGAATGAACTGTCTATTTCCTTGCATTTTCTCCATTTGGCCATTTTCCCCATTTGTTAATACCATTTGTTAATATGTAAGATAATAGGTATGGGAAGGGAGAGTTAAAATTAATTTATTCAAAAGATTCTCAATGGCCCACAGTATGACATGTAAGAACAAGAATTAGCCAATTTTGCAACTTTTACTTGTTTTCCCTAGTTTAAAAAGAGGCACACTGATGAACTAAGAGGAGGAAAGCCATAACATGGGGAAGGGTGGGGATGGGGAGACACTTGGTGATGAAACTTACCCCAGATATTGGCACACCTTCCAAGGCCCCAGCTTTCTAATAAAATTTAAAAAAAGGATTATGAATAGTCACAAAATTTTGGCTCTACTAACATAGCTGCAACAAGAGTGAACACAAGTAGCAATGTGCCAGAGGATGTGGGCAGACAAGACAAAGAAAGCATTTCAACTAAATGAATGATAAAGAGACAGATACTACAAGTATTCCTAGAATGACAGGAAGAGATGTGGCACTGGAGAATGAACATAAAACGTTAGACTGGGAGCCAGTAAATGAGGGCTCTACTCTTGGTTAGTTAGTTAGTATTAATCTACTAGCAGGCTGTTGAAACCTCTCAATACATCACATTATTTCTCTACAAAATGGAGATTGGGCTACGTGATTGCTCAAGTTCATTAGTACTTTGCTATTATTGCCATTATTAAGAAATGACTAATATATTCTTCCAATAGCTATCAAACCAGTATGAAACACATTTATTTTGCAAGGCCATATTTTAGCAACTTTTCTTTCTACTCAAGCTGCTCTAAACACAAGAGTGTTCAGGTATTGTATATTATTTGTTCATAGCAAACATCTTTCTTCAAATTTAGATAAGCAACAGTTAATTTATGTCATAAATACTGGTTTTTATTTTGATCATGATGGCCAGCATTCTAGGAAGAAAAATGAGATTTAAGTGGCTGATTGTAGACTTGACAACCTTAATTTTAAAAAAAGACACATTAACTCAAGGCAATATTTAATGATATTAAGGAATTAGGAGAACTAAGAAATAGGATCCCCAGCCGGGCACTGTGCCTCCTGCCTGTAATCCCAGCACTTTGGGAGGCCGAGGTGGGAGGATCACCTGAGGTCAGGACTTGAAGACCAGCCTGGCCAACATGGTGAAACCCCATCTCCACAAAAATACCAAAATTAGCCGGGCATGATGGCGGGTACCTGTAATCCCAGCTACTCAGGAGGCTGAGGTGGAAGAATCACTTGAACTCAGGAGGCGGGGTTGCAGTGAGCCAAGATCATGCCATTGCACTCCAGCCTGGGTGACAGAGTGAGCCTCCGTCTCAAAAAAAAAAAAAAAGTGTGTGTGTATATATATATATAAAACGTATGTGTGTATATATATATATAACATGTTATATATATACATGTTATGTATAACATGTTGTATATATACATGTTATACATAACATGTATATATAACATGTTATACATAACATGTATATATAACATGTATATATATAACATATATATAAAACATATATATATATATAAAATCCCTGAAGTAGGGGTGATGTACTAGGATGAGCACCAAACTAAAGCTTTGGACCTGACTCCTTGGTCTGCCATGTATGAGCAAGTCTCCCAGGCTCTGGGAGCTTTAGATATCCCGTCTGTTAAAGTGAGGGCAAGAATAGAATTCACCTCACATAGCTATGATAATGAAGAAATAATAGCATAAATGTAGAAACCCTTTACAAAATAGAAAATGTCCTCTAGATAGCTGGTATCATTTTATTTCTTTCTTGTTTTCTGGTTAATTCAAAACCTGCTATTTTCTTTTCTTTTTTTTTTTTTTTTTTGAGATGGAGTTTCACTCTTGTTGCCCAGGCTGGCATGCAATGGCACCATCTCGGCTCACCACAACCTCCGCCTCCTGGGTTCAAGTGATTCTCCTGCCTCAGCCTCCCGAGTAGCTGGGAATACAGGCATGTGCCAGCACACCCGGCTAATTTTTTTTTTTTTTTGAGACGGAGTCTCCCTCTCGCCCAGGCTGGAGTGCAGTGGCGCGATCTCGGCTCACTGCAAGCTCCGCCTCCCAGGTTCACGCCATTCTCCTGCCTCGGCCTCCCAAGTAGCTGGGATTACAGGCACCCGCTACCATGCCCGGCTAATTTTTTTGTATTTTTAGTAGAGACGGGGTTTCACCATGTTAGCCAGGATGGTCTCGATCTCCTGACCTCGTGATCCGCCCGCCTCGGCCTCCCAAAGTGCTGGGATTACAGGCGTGAGCCACCGTGCCCAGCAAAACCTGCTATTTTCATTTACTGTATATATTCTTTGAAAATCTGAACCTGGATATTAAGTAAAGGGTAAATTTCATAAAAGGCTTAAAGTGAATCTATAGGAAACCTAGAGGCTATATATCTTGATATATTTAAGTATTACAAGAAGTCTTTGCTTATACTTTCAAAATTAACAAACTATCAACAGGATCTACTATGTGTGTTCAGGCATGTAAAGTGCTCTTTTTTCTTCAGAGGGAGGGACCTCTGATGCTCCTCCTGGAGCATCCTTGATGAAGCATGCAGAAAAAGTAACAGTGCATTTCCAACTAACTGGTCTGGAAAGGTGGTCAATATATCATTTAAAATAGACATTTCAAACTGTATCTATCTAATTGCCCTATTATGGTAAAGCCCAAAGCACATCACAGTTGTACTTTATGAGAATATCAGAATCTCTCATTCCAGGAAACTACCTTAGTCTTTTATTTTAGAACATTACTCTTTAAAAACAAACAAGATTAAGTTTTTGTAAAAATTAAAATCTGACTAGAGCTTATAATAATTTGGAAGGTCACGGAAATTCTAGATATATATGTTTAGTAAATGGACTTCTGCTTGTCTAAAAATAAATGGAAGTGCACTGTATCTTTTCCAAATGAATGGGTACATAATTGGCGGGCAACCTACTCACCACGCTATGAGAGATTTTCTATAGTCAGCAAGGGGGAGAGAGAAGGATAGAAGCATAATATTTTAAATACAAGAGAAAACTAGGCCAGTTCCACGTTTTTTTTTCTAACCATCCTGTGAAACTATTTCTCAAGCATCGTTTCTTTTTCCTTGACCCAAGTCAGTTTGCAGACAGCTATGAAATGATCAAAGCACTTTTACTGTAGATAAGCAGTGACTATGGCTTCCTTAAGAAATTCTATGTTGCCTTAAAAAGCTTTATTATAAATAAAACAGTTAAAAATTCTTGCTCAAGCTTTATCCAGAGCACTTAGTGTTCATCTATATTATTATTAACTTTGTAAGTGAAGTTTCTCATATCTTTCATGAAATGTCTAAGCAATACTTTTTGTAATTTATCAGACTTATTCCTGAGTCTTATCATAAATTCCAGATTTTTGTGCTCAAACACCAGTGCAAATCCTCCTAGAGGTTTTCATTCCTGATGTTTAACCACAGACTCTTAATGATGCTAGGCACACTTTTGCTGAAGCTATGTCTTTACTGGATTTCAGTGAAATCAAAAGTAAAAATGTCCATTACAGAAACTAGTTTAATTAGCAATCCCAAATCAGAAACAGACTCTTTGCTTTCAGTTTCTTTGCTAAATTTTGCTCAGGCAAAGAATCTAATATATAACATAGCTTGGCCATAAAAAAGATTCAACGGGAAAAAGAACACTACTAAATATGCAGAGTCTCTCCGCTAAATTAAAAGCAGACATCACAACCACTAAACAGTTATTTGGATTCAAAGAATAAATTGGCTCATGCCAACATCTAAAGTTAGAGTATCCCATCAATTCTTTAAAAATAATAATACTCAAAGAAAAACCAATTAAAGTTTATAAATGCAAATCCATTGTAAAAAGGACTGTAAAGTTTTTAAGTCACAAAACATAACACAGTTGACTTTTGAATTATGAATAGTAAACTTGTTTTGTAATAAAAAAACTTTAATTATTAGGTTTTTTTTTGTTTGTTTTTTGGTTTTTTGGTGTGTTTTTTGTTTGTTTGTTTGTTTTTTACCATTAGGCCATAGATCTCAGAAGAACTCCGGACATTTGGAAGAATTTCCATTGGAATTCCAAAAAATCTGAAAAACAAGAAGATTGGGTATTTAACACTGTTTTAAATAGACATCTAGAAACATTTATATGTATTTAAATGCAAAAAGCATAAATAACAATTAGAAATGGATGTTTTTGAGCATGGAGTTAGATAGCAATAAATACGTAAGCCAACAGAACATAGCTGTATTCTTAGATATTTAACATTCTAACTTTATGCAAGCCAATCAATAAAAATTAGAAAGCACACAGAAACCAAAGTACTTTTATAAAGGAACCTAAACTTCCGTGAAGAATAATTAATTTGGCCTGTTTATTATAAATGCAATAATAGTCTCTCTTTAAAAAACACATAACATAGATTTGCATATTGTAGTTGAAATATCAACAGTTAAATTTTGGTGCTCCACTGACATCTGAAAATATTAAGATTTCGGTTATAAATAGGTAGTGTATTGGGAAAACTATATTTAGAGCAAAACAGAACTTACTCGCAGAGTTGTTTATCCCATTCCAAAGAATGAATGTTGAAAAGCATAGTCCTACTTGCATTTGTTACATCTGTACAGTGGACACCTCCATTGACTCCTCCTGTCAAACTCTAGGCAGAGTAAAAAAATCAGGTTAAATTTGTACTTATTGGCAATTTAATTTACATATTGTTAAGGGTCATAATCAGCAGAGCACATAAAGCAAAAGAACGGAACATTACATTTTTTTACCTTCTTTTTTCTGTACTAAGTCTTTGAAATCTGGTGTATATTCCATGCTTACAGCAAACCTCAATTTGATCATGTTTCAAGTGCTCAATAGCCAAATGTGGCTAGTGGCCACCTTATCAGCACAATTCCAGTTACTTGATGGATAAATAAAAAATCGGTTTTGTTTTCATCCTATTATGTTGAGAAAACTCAGAGTCTTATTAAATTCGGCGAGATGAAATAAATGGAAATATCTGCCTCATAAGGATTATTAGAGAATTGTGTGTTGTTGTTATCTCTTTGGTTTTTTTTGTTGTTGCTGTTGTTGTTTAAATAACAATTCGCATTATGCTATCTACACTCACCTAAGCATATATCCTGAAAGGAGAGTTTTAAACTTTCTTTCTCAGGTGTACCCACATGCCTGAACTGAAGGCACTGCTGCTTTCCTTTACATGGAAGCAATAAGAGGTAGGAAAGGAACAAAGGTCAATAAACAGCATCCAGTGGGATATAGCCAAAATGTGCTCCCTTGAGTCTCCTGCAGCTCACAGTTTCCACATCTTGCCTTACTCTGGTTCGATGCAATTGTCAAAGGTACTCATTCAACTGTGACTGACACACGTGAAAATGGCTGGCCATGAACACAAAGCACATTCTGCCCTGGCCAAGCACATGGAGAGGTGAAGAAGGTGCCTCTTTCTGATATGGGTTCTGAAAGACCTGCTCTGTGGATCTGTCAAGTGAGAGTGGGGACAATATTTCCTTGACATTCCCTTGAATGTTAAAAAAGATCATTACATACTTACTGAAATATTTACAAATAAAATGAAATGTCTGGCATTTGTTTTAAAATTATCTGTGGGGAGAAAGAATATGTGAGTATAGTAGAAATAAGATTGGCCATAGGTTGATGATTGCTGTGTATTCAGCTTAGGCAAAAAGATTCTAAATAGAAATTTCCACTATGATTTAGTTTCATATTATGGCTTGATTATACAAGAGACAGTTATGTAATGTTGAAAGCAAAAGATAAAAGTACTCTAGGTATTTTATCCTGCTAAATAGTTATTTCGTCTAAGACATGGCTAGTGGGAAAGGAGTATATAACAGACAATAGGGAAAGGGTATCTAAATTACTCATCCTAAAGATAATAGATATTAGATACAGTTTTGGTAATTATCCTTCATTTTCACTGAAGTAAGACAAGAAAAAATAAAGAGGAAGTAGGCAAAAATGCTTCTCGAATGGAAGCTGAAAACTTCTCCTGTTGCTTTTTGAGTGGTTTTTCTTCATAATGCTGCTAATTAAAAAGTCTGACCTGCTAGTAGAAACAATAGGCAAGGCAGTCTAGAAAAAATTTCTGAAAAAATTCTCCATATATCCATTATATTTAAACATACCCAAATAAGCCATGAATCAATAGTCCCAAAAAGAGCTCGTTTTTCTTCAACGGCCTTTTGAACTTTTCTCACATTGTCAAGGAGCCAACGAAGTTTCACTGCACTGAAGTAAGTGCTAAGTGGAAGGCCTGTCTTGGACTAAAACAGTTGTGAAGTTCAGTTAGCAAATGAAAAGTGTAACAGTTTAAAACAAAACCACCAAACAAAAGAACTCAACAAATCACAAAATATTCAAAGACCCTGAAGGCAATCCCATAGTATTATGAATAAAAATACTTTTCCTGTCTCATGGCACAGGAAAGCATGTTCATGAACAAAGATTAGGGTGACATGTTTACAGTTCAAAGGGCATCCACGTAGCAAGGTAAAGAGAAAATTAAATGACACAACATCCTGTAATTAGATAGTGACAATGTAGATGTTGATTTTTGCAATAAATTAGTATTGTATGTAGAACCTAGCCCAAAACTATGCTGTTTATTTTATATTCCATAAAAATGACATTTAAACTATTAAAAACCAGAGAGTATACCAAATCATAAACTAATGATCATAACCAGAAAACTTTTAAAACAATAAGACTTAATAATATATTTTACATATATACACACACAAGTTCAAATAACATAACATGAAATTAGTAGACACTAAAGTAGAGCTCAAAGACATGCCAAATTAAAGCAACACAGGGCCAGGTGTGGTGGCTCATGCCTGTAATCCCAACACTTTGGGAGGCTGAAGCAGGTGGATCACTTGAGGTTAGGAGCTCGAAACCAACCTGGCCAACATGGTGAAACCCCGTCTCTACTAAAAATATAAAAATTAGCTGGGCATAGTAGCACACACCTGCAATCTCAGCTACTTGGGAAGCTGAGACAAGAGAATCGCTTGAACCTGGGAGGCAGAGGTTGCAGTGAGCTGAGATTGCACCACTGCACTCCAGCCTGGATGACAGAGCGAGACTCTGTCTCAAAAAAAATAAAAAATAAAAAATAAATAAAGCAACACAGAATTACTCTATCTAAAACAGCAGTTGCCTAAATTTAGCAAATATATTAAACAGAGGGAATGTGAACTGAAGAAAGATTAATGGGCAAAAATGAAACACATATGTGCTTACCAATCTTCCTTGAGAATGGGTCAAACCCAACTCATTTGTGGTTAGTATATTAAACACTAAATGTATATAAAGGCTGATTAAAGTTAACTAGTTAAGAAAATACGCCAGGCGTGGTGGCTCATGCCTGTAATCCCAGCACTTTGGGAGGCTGAGGTGGGCGGATCATGAGGTCAGGAGATGGAGACCATCCTGGCTAACATGGTGAAACCCCGTCTCTACTAAAAATACAAAAAATTAGCCAGGCATGGTGGCGGGCACCTGTAGTCCCAGCTACACAGGAGGCTGAGGCAGGAGAATGGCATGAACCCGGGAGGCGGAGCTTGCAGTGAGCCAAGATGACGCCACTGCACTCCAGCCTGGGTGACAGAGCGAGACTCCGTCTCAAAAAAAAAAAAAAAAAAAAAAAGAAAAGAAAAAGAAAATACATACACAAAAATAATGCAACTATGATTCCCCTCCCCATCTGTATTCTTATTTATCACCTAACTACAGAAAGTGATAACTTTTTCCCTCCTATCTCATATGAGTATGGTTTTGTAAGAAAACTCAAACCAAAGGATTTAATACTTTAATGCAACCTGTAAATTAAAAATCTTAACTCAAGGTTTTCTAGCTTTCTTTAAAAAAAAAAAATCAATGCACAAAAATAATGGAAGGAGGCCGGGCGCGGTGGCTCACGTCTGTAAACCCAGCATTTTGGGAGGCTGAGGCGGGCAGATCACCTGAGATCAGGAGTTTGAGGCCAGCCTGGCCACTAAAAATAGAATAAAAATTAGCCGGGCTTGGTGGTGCTTGCCTGTAATCTCAGCCACTGGGGAGGCTGAGGCAGGAGAATCATTTGAACCCAGGAGGCAGAGGTTGCAGTGAGCAGAGATTGTGCCACTGCACTCCAGCCTGGGCAACAGAGTGAGACCCTGTCTCGAAAAAAAAAATGGAAGGAGATATTTTATGGAAATATTATTTAATTTGAAGGAACAAGGGTCATCCCAAAAGATGACCTGGGAAGATCTCACAAAGTCAATAGCGAGGTAGTACATAATATCTTATTTTCATCATGGGGGTAGAAAGTGTAAAAGTTGCCTAAAATGACATCGGAGAGAAAAGCATGCATCCCTCGAAGCAGAGTGCAGCTGGAGGTGAGGATGAGGATTGGGCAGGGTGATGAAGGGAACGGAATAGAAAATGATTTATTCAGGACAAGTCTGAAGTTATTGTGGGGGGACGGAATGGTCAGATTACTGCAATTAATGGGATTTCAACAATAGTTTTAGAAGAAAATGATACAAGCATCCCACTGACAAATAAAAACGGGATAAACAACAACAAAACACAAAAAACAAAAACAGAAAAAGGGAACTTCCTTTTAGACGCTAGAAGAACTTGGCCTTGACCTTGCTAAAAAAAATTCCTCACCTATTTTAAAAATTCACTCTCCCTTCCTTTATGTGAAGAGGGATCTATACAAGGACTGAAAATTAGGCAGTTTTATTAGCCTTCTTCATATGAACAAAGTGGAAGAGGGGTTCAATAAAGGGCTAGAGTGTCTTTTACTTTCTCTCTCCCTGAATCCAGATGCTTAAAAACTCAAAAGCAGCCAGAACATTCTTTGATGGGCAGTAGAAAAAATAGGGATAGATTTGGAAAACATAGTTCAATTATAGAAAGCACCCCTCCCACCAGCACTTTGGGAGGCCGAAGTGGGCGGATCATGAGGTCAGGAGATCGAGACCATCCTGGCTAACACAGTGAAACCCCATCTCTACTAAAAATACAAAAAATTAGCCGGGCATGGTGGCACGTGCCTGTAGTCCCAGCTACTCGGGAGGCTGAGGCAGGAGAATTGCTTGAACCCAGGAGGCAGAGGCTGCGGTGAGCCGAGATCACACCATTGCACTCCAGCCTGGGCAACAAGCATAAAACTCCGTCTCAAAAAAAAAAAAAAAAAAAAAGCACCCCTTGGGAAGTGTGACTTAAGCCACTGGGACGCATTATAATCTCTTCCAGCCTGTCAATTTTGTGTTATTATTGTTCCAATCCACCACAGAGCAAGAAAGACGGGAAGGTAAAGACTTGAGTTGGCCTCAATTATCCGGGAAAAAGATTCTATAAATTGTATCAAATAACTATTGTACCATAAGATGCTTCTTTCTAGTGAAATCTGCAAACTTTTTTTAAAAAAAGAAACATTCTTATAGTATACTTCTGAAGAAATTCTTACCTTGACAAAGTTATTATTTCCTGGAATTCTTTTACTAAGACTCTCAACGGTAGACTGGGTTCTTAGATCAAGCCACACTATAGACCAAAATAAAATAATATACATGAAAAACTTCATTTAAAAAATAAGAACTTACTGAAATCACTATCAAGGATAAAAGACTGATTAGTTTCTATAAGGAATTAAAATTCTATAGCTTTTAAGAGATAGAAATTAGAAAATTAGAAATGAATGGGCATATTGTTAGATAAAAATAAATTTATGAGAGGATTTAAAGCTTTTATGCAAAATTACAGACCAAGTTAGGAGAATAATACAAACCTTAGAGTGCTTATTTTGTATTATTTTTATAGAACAAAACTACAAAAAATATTTGGAATATAGATTTTCTAAGTATACATGAGGCCAGAGAATATCTAAAAGCTAGGCAGGCTAGTTGGTAGCACAAAATGCAAAACCCAGGATCATCATACCATATATAAAGTGTGCATCTTAACAAACTAGGGAGCAATTTGTGACTAAGACAAAGTAGATAACTTGATTCTGTTATTCAGGAAACAAAAGATTCCGTCTGTTATGTATGAAATGCTTATTTACATTGAAATCTTTCCAAGTATGCTAGACCCGGAATCATTAGAATCCTTTTAAAGGCACCATTCTTTCTCTCTGCTGGAGTATAAAAAAAAAAAATCTCCATTTTAATGGATCAACATTATCTTTACTAAGTAGCTATTATCTACTTTCTAACCCCCTGGTGGAAACGATTTCTGTTTTACTTCATGTTAGTAGGCTTGAGGAAGAGGAAACACTAAATAGTACATAAAGTAATTGTGAAAGGCAGCCAATAGAATCAGCTAAGCTTTATTTGCCAGATTTAAGTTTTGTACTTAAACTTCGATAACTTTTAATCTATTTGTGGTCATTTGATATTTTTAGGACACTGACTGCTCAGATACCTCCTGAAAAGACTCAGTTTCATAGTCTATTTAAAGGACTCCAGGGAAGACTATACAAGCTTGCCCACTACCACATATTTGAATGCTAGCAATCATTGTGCAGTTTGGTTAACTCTTCTATATTACTCCATTCTCTTCACTAAAAAGCAGTTATTTCCTGTAGTAAATTTTAATCAATTCTTTCTAATTACTTATGCTGTCATTTCCCTGGAGGGCCCTGCACTTCATTTTGACAGTGGCTACTTTCCACAAGACTTAAACTGGGGACTTCAGGACAAGATACGGGTTTCTGTAGGTGGGAAAAGCAGCAAGAAAAGACTCACCACAACCAAGAAAACAGGAGGGAAAAGAGAAAGACCATGAAAATAGATGGCCTATAATAGATAACATCTGCATTTGCTGCCCAGTATCTACTCCTCCTGCATCTGTTGGGGAGAGGTATTTCGAATTCTTTTTAGGAAATCGTTCCACCCTCACCCTCAGCCATGTAGTGTACCTGAGATTTGATCTTACTCCCAGCTCCAGGAATGGGTCTGGGCCCCAGTGACTGGATCAGGAAACATGTGGTCAAAGAGATTTGTGCTCAGTCT
This sequence comes from Homo sapiens, assembly GCF_000001405.40. NCBI lineage: Eukaryota > Metazoa > Chordata > Mammalia > Primates > Hominidae > Homo > Homo sapiens. Next base: position 30,689,653 of record NC_000023.11, on the reverse strand, counting down.
GCAAGAGTCCCTCTTCTCAGCTGACCTTGGCAGTGTGTGGCTTGGGCCTGCTGCCCTCATGAAGTGGGAGTTGAATATGCCACATCAGGAGCCATCCCAGAAAAGGCAGGCTTGAGGGGGATGCAGGTGATACTGTCTGAGTCTGGAATCAAACAGCACCTGAACTTAGCTACCCTTGCACTGCTGCTTCCAAGAGCAAAAGAACTGCCCCCTGCTTTAAACTTCATTTAGTTGAAATAGAATTTTCTATTATTTACACTGTGATTGATACAAGCCATTAGTGACATCATCATGGAGGTGGCAAGATCTCCCATGCCCAGGGAACAAGGGCAGTCTACTTTTACACAGTGGCAGTACTGTATGACTGTGACAAATGTGGACCTTCCTTACAGGTAAGCAATCCTAGCAGGTGTTATTGGCTCACAGAAATAACTAGAAAAAGTAGAAGAATTAGAAAAGTTTTAAATCTATGATAGGTAAAATTAACAAGCACATCTCAATACTCAGTGTTTCAAAATACAGTGAGCTATGAGTTTAAAAATGAATTTAGTGAGTTTTGATTACCTACTTTAAAAATTGAAATAGGATGAATTAGAATGGAAAATATCAGAGTTCAGTGCACTGGGTAAGATAAATATTGATTTGTGAAACTTTTGTTTTAGTTATGTGGATTTGCTGGATCATTATGTAAAATGTAATTCTTACCAAGGGGCATGAACAAATACATTTGAAAGCCACTGCCCCAGGCTTTTTTGGTTAATGACTTAAAATATTCTAGACCGTGTTTTTTCATATTTTAATGGACATAACATTCACAAGGGAGCTTAAAGATGGGCTCCATCCCCATAAATTCTAGGACAGTAGTTCTGGGAATGAGGCCCAGAAATCTGACTTTTAAATAGGTGCCCCATTTTGAGAAACACTGCTAGACTTCACGGCAGTGGTTCTTTCCTATAAAGCATACCAGGACTACCTGGAAAACCTTAAAATTCAGGCCCTACCTTGCATGATTCTGGTTGCAGGTCTAGGCAAGGCCTGAGCTCTGAGCCTCTGTACTTTTGTTAAAAGTGTCTCAAGTAATTCAGTATAATACTAAAACATGAGGACCTGTTTTCTTTCTCTCTCTCTCCCTTTTTTTTTTTTTTTTTTTTTGAGACAGAGTCTCTTTCTGTCACCCAGTCTGGAGTGCAGTGATGCGATCGCGGCTCACTGCAGCCTCCGCCTCCCGGGAGAAACTCTTTTCATCTTTTCAAGAGCATATTCTTTAAAATACTAGGTGTGTTCCAATTATATGTTTAAAAAAATCTAAAGAACCCCCCCGATAATCAGATGGTTCTCCAAGTCCCAGTGGCCCTGTGATTCTATTGCTCCTTGGCAAGGACCACTTAGGCACTTTATTCCTCACTTGAAAGTTTGCAGCTGTGACTGACAATAGTGGTAAACACAGAGTTAAATCCTTACCACAAAGAATCAAAACACTGGATGTGAAATCAGGGAGACCAAAATTCAATGTTTGGCTTTGCCACCAATAAGCTATGTGATTTAGGCAACTCATTTTACCCTTCTTGGTCTGGATTCTCTAAATATAAAATAAGGAGGCTGGACTAGATGGTCTCTAAAGTCTTTCTCCTTCCATTGTTCCATGATCATAGAAACCTGTCATAATAATTACTGTGTTTTTATAGACAGACATTAAGGCAGTTAGAATACATGGAATGCATTAGTAAAACTGCCAAAGAGAAAAATATCAGTGGTTGGTACACTACCAAGCAATTCACAAATGCTCAAAATTAATTGAATTAAGAACAAAAAAATTAGAAAACTTATTAAAGAAGCTAAGATGGCAGAATTAGATTTGCAGAGAGACCAAAAGCCAAAGAGAAGACTCCCAAGCTGGAGGACTAAGCCCCTTGTGTAGGTAATCTCTGAGAACAATCAAAAGGAATGACAGATCCAGATCTGGCAGCAGAAGTCAATTTCCCCCAACATATAGGACTTGGGAGGCTGGGAAGTGAGCAATAGCCAGAGCACCAATACCTGAGGAAGTACCAGGAGCTGGAACTGAAGAGCCAGAGGGAACAACGGCAACTGGAACTGAAGGGCCAGGAGAAACTGGAGCAGCTGGAGCATTAGAAGAAATAAGGGCAATTCACGCTAGAGATGGCCAGGTTCAAGGTCTCTTGTTGACCATTTAGGAAATGGTAGATCACTTGGGCAAGTTTATCAGAATGAACACTTTTTCTACACATTGGTGTAGAAAAAGAAAAGGAAGAGGCAGGGAGCAGAAAGGGAACAAAGGAAGTCCAGTATGAATCTCTGATTCAATAATATTTCCATTTGGATGAAGACCAGGTAAATACCTGCTTCTTGTTTAGGATGACTCTTCTCTATCTGGCAACATATATGCATCCTAATTAGAAAAGTGGCTCAGGTGGTAACTGACTACTCATTCAACCACTAAATTGAAATGATGGATGATGTACTGAGGGAGCACAATCCTAGAGGATGTTAGAAAGGAATGGCAAGGAGCATGCTACAGTCTGTGTTGTGGCCATCTACATTAAGACATGAAAGGGCTGCTTTGGGAAGGCAGGTCCCCAAGAAAGCACTTTCCTGGTAAGATAGCTGGGAGTAAAGGGCACCTTCACAGAAGGGAGCAACGTGTCTAGAGGGAACAGGGGATTGCTAACTTCCAAAGTAATTAGGAAAAAAATAGAAGGAAAATTGATGCTAGGGAGTCCAGAACACTAGACAGCCCACTTCTAGAAGGTATGTCCCTCCCCTTATCTACACCAAGTAAAGCAGAAGTAAATGGTCAAGCCCATCAAATAAGTAAGTTAATAAAAATAACTTGGATGATCTGAACTTATTTGTATTAAATAAAGTCACATCCAATCTGTCTGGTAGATTTAGTTTGTTCTGGAAAAAAAAAGTTTGAAGAGTGAAGATAAATGTAGTTGCCTCAATCCCCATGGGCTAGAGTTAGTGACATAGTAACAAACAGTACAGAGGAATAAATTATTTTTTAAATATTTAGAATAATAAAACCTCATAACTTTCCAGTTTTTCGTTAGTCATGACAATAGAAGGAAAAACAAAATAAAGTAAAAAAAAACCCCACTAAAATCATCTAGCTGATTTCCATTTGACTAGAAACAGGCAAATAATAAATCTTCTCTGAGATGGTCTGTCATGAGCTGCTAGGGTGATAGGAAGTGAGGTGAAGGTGAGGCTCCAGGTTATGGAACACATCCTAAGCACAGACTGCTGACAGTTATACAAAGTGTTATTGGGTTGTTTCTCCCACAAGAGACATGATAGTAAAACAGATTTAGTTATGGCATTTTACTATTTGTCAAAAGCTAAGCTATTAATTAAGCTGGGTAAGTGGTCATTTGCAAGGTGGAAGAGACTATATTGATGGCTGCCCCTCACCTGATGACATTCTCAGAAACAGGTGGGGCCAAAAGTAAAACAGAGTTGGGAAGGAAAGATTGATTTACATATATGCCAAAAGGCGGGGGCTGAAGCCAATTTCAGCTCTTGGGTATAAAATGCCAAAATATCAATGACTGACTTGAGTGTGGGTGATCCTAGGTAGGCTCTGCATTTCCCCTAGGAACACCTATCATGTATAAACCAATCATTTCATCTGGCATTACTGGATGAAAAAGGCTATCAGCCAATTCAGAACAGTGGCCCTAGCTAACAATTACTGAAGCCTTATAGTCCGTCAGGCCCTGGCTTAAGTATCCTACATGGATTAACTCACTGATCTACACCTCAAGTCTATGAGGTCTACACTTTTCATCTCCCCAGTTTAACTGTCAAGGTAACAGGCACAGAATGGTAGGAAGTGGAAAAGCTAGGATCTGAACCCAGAACCTGAATCTAGAATTAAACCTCTAGGTAGGTATAGCCATGATGACGTCACAGTCTTAACGGGATAAAAATAATTATTAAAGATTGGAGAACTCAAAGTTGAAAACTAAGTCAGTTTCTTTTTATTTGGCCAGATTTGAATAATTCAATCACTGCAAAATAAATACAGCAGTATTTCTTTACCCAGGATTGAGGGAGATGTAAGGTTTTCAAAGAATCCTGTAATAATGGAATTTTTTTAACGGAAAATAAGTGGATCTTAATAAAGCTGAAAATTCTAGATTTTACAAAAGTGAAAAACCTTCTCCCACAAAGAACTAATTGAAAAAAAATACTTTTAGCCAGGCGCGGTGGTTCAAGCCTGCAATCCCAGCACTTTGGGAGGCCGAGGCCGGCGGATCACGAGGTCAGGAGATCGAGACCATCCTGGCTAACACGGTGAAACCCCGTCTCTTCTAAAAATACAAAAAAAATTAGCCGGGAGCGGTGGCAGGCGCCTGTAGTCCCAGCTATTCGGGAGGCTGAGGCAGGAGAATGGCGTGAACCCGGGAGGCGGAGCTTGCGGTGAGCCGAGATCGCGCCACTGCACTCTAGCCTGGGCGACAGTGCGAGACTCCGTCTCAAAAAAAAAGAAAAAAAAAAAGAAAAAAAATACTTTATTGTTTAAAGTTAAGTGTGCTTAGGCGTTTTAGGTGGTTTGTCATCTATGGTTTTCTTTTCTGCTGATTCTTTGAAACATAAGCCAGTTCCAGAAAAGATAAAAGGATTGAGCTCAAGGTTCAGATCTCAACTCATGATCACATAGGTTTAATAATTGGCCCAGTATTAACCAGTATGTTAAAAAAATGTAAAAACGATAACCAATCTTTAAAATTGCAACACTCTCCATAAAGAGTTATGTGTGCCATTGGGAACTTTAAATATAACATCTTAGAAAAAAATGTTTGCACTACCATTTAAATATAGAAAAATGTTTCAGGGACAACGAAATATTTTTTGTGGGTGGTTTTCTTTAATATCCTAAAAGTGTTAAGCCAGGGACTCTTGCCTTGCTGGATTAGTCCCTACTGTGAATGCTTTTTTTTTTTTTTTTTTTTTTTTTTTTGAGATGGAGTTTTGCTCTTGTTGCCCAGGCTGGAGTGCAATGGCGCGATCTCAGCTCACTGCAACCTCCGCCTCCCGGGTTCAAGCGATTCTCCCGCCTCAGCCTCCCTAGTAGCTGGGATTACAGGCACGCGCTACCACGCCCAGCTAATTTTTGTATTTTTAGTAGAGACGGGGTTTCTCCATGTTGGTCAGGCTGGTCTCAAACTCCCGACCTCAGGTGATCCGCCCACCTGGGCCTCCCAAAGTGTTGGGATTATAGGCGTGAGCCACCACGCCTGGCCTATGAATGGTATTTTTATATTAAATCAAGAATTGTGCTCTACAGAAAGCTACCAGAGTGAGGGTCATATTGCTCTATACTTACCATACATACCAATCAACTGCAGTGGTGAGTGAGCAAACTTGGCCAATTAGGGGGAAATACAGCTAGGCCATTCTAGTTTGGACAGAACATTTCCCTGGTAGCATCAGTAAAATGTGTGTGTAAACATACTAAACATCACTGATTCAAGCCTTCTCCCGCTTCACATTTTAACTACTTGGGTAGTTTTGTGCTTCTTGGTCAGTTTAGTCTGTGGCTTATTTACTTTTTCAATAATAGAAGACAACCAGTTATGTAGACCATTAATAAAAGCTGCTTTTGGAAGGAAAAGGCTTAGAAAAATGGGTGGGTAGAGGAAACCCCGTGGAAGGGAATATTGAAGATAATGCTAAAAGGGAAAGAGAGAAGTACCAGGAAGACTAGGGCAACTGAAGAGAGGCAAGAGAAGCCCAAGGCCTGCTTTGGTTCCAGGGCCACAAAGCTCTTGCTGATCCACCAATGAGGTCATTATTGTAAATGCCTGCATCATGGCACAGTGGCTGGAAAGCAGTGATGCAAAGTAACACTTTCCCATTTTAGATATCACATTAATGTTTACCTTATTAATCACATAATTAACAGATAAATTCTAAAAATACATAGAACTTGTAAATTAGGCCATCTCTTCCTCAATGGACCCATTTAAATTTTTTTCTGTTTATAATTGTATCTGATAGAAAAGATGTCAATAAACAAACACACCTTTATTGCAAGCAAAAACAAATAGCCCTTCTCAGTCTTTACCTTCATCAAGCCTATGCCGTGGCCACCAATGATATCCTGAAGTTCTCCTATCTTGGTTTTTCTGTTACCGTAGTGGGGGTGAGTGAATTATTGCTTATCAAGTGTCCCTGAGCCATAAACAAAGGAGGCCACATAGAAGTTTTTAAAAAGGGAAACATAATGTGCTCCTCTCATATGCTTGTTTGTAATAAATATTGCTCATCTGGCCGGGTATGGTGGCTCACACCTGTAATCCCAGCACTTTGGGAGGCCGAGATGGGAGGATCACTTGAGGCCAGGAGTTCAAGACCAGCCTACTCAACACAGCGAGACCCTATCTGTATTTAAAATATATATATTTATATACAGCTGTATATATATATGCATATATCATCTGTTGTATAATTTAGTAAGACAGAAATAAAGAGGAGAAGGACAGGCATAGAGTTACAGAGATTTACAAGAGAAATAGACAACGAAGGAAGAAAACATACAAAGAGAATGCTATGGACTGAATGTATGTGTCTCTTCCAAATTCGTATGTTAAAATCTTAACCCCTAATATGATGGTATTAGAGATGGGACCTTTGAGAGATAAATTAGGCCATGAGGGTGGAGCCCTCATTGAGATCAGTACCCTCATAAAAAGAGAGAGCTTACTTTCTTTTTATCACTGTCTGCCATATGAGGATGAGAAGACAGTCATCTGCAAACCAGGAAGAAGGTCCTCACTAGACACCAGATGGGTAAGCACCTTGATCTTGAACTTCTAGCTTCCAGAAATGTGAGAAATAAATTTCTAATCTATAAGCCACCCAGTCTATGATATTTTTGTTAAAGCAGCCTGAACCGAGACAGAGAAAAAAGTATAAAACCTGCAGACTGTGATATAAACAAAGCAAAAGAAGTTCAAAGACAAATATACGTGAAAATCTCATTGTTTCCATCCATCCTACCTTGTGTTGCTTTAGAATAAAACTGCTAAAGATTTAATATTATGTTGATATTTTCAACTGAAGACCTACATGGAGATATGACACTTTAGAGTTTTCCTGGATGAAATAAAACTGAAGGCAGAATCTATCCTTGTCATTTCTTAGTGGCTCTCCTCCTTTCCTATTTCCCTTTCTCCTTCTAGCTTCCAAACTTCTATCCTTAGTTTCTGTAGCAGAAAGTCAAGTACAAGGTCTTCCTGGTTTGTCACTATATGCCAAGGGTTATCACAAAACCTAGAACACAGAAAGGCACCTATTCTTTCATTGAATTAATTTTATATTAATTACTATAGTGAGTTCATCCATAATAAATTGAGATTATCACATCTATGTTATCAATTTTCAAGTCTACATTTGGAACCATCTAATTTCTCATTGCCCAGAATTAGCTTCTATTACAAGTTCAACACTCACTTTGTCGAAAACAAGGCCATTTTTTCTCTCAGGTTGGTACCCCCTAAATATTATTTAATTTCTTTCTGTTCTCTCAGGCTGAAAATCTCACAGGCCTGCTTTATTTTCTCCCTCCTCCTTATGCCCTATCCAATGTATAAACAATAAAATTTTTGTTGTTTATAAATTATCCAATCTAGGGTATTTTGTTATAGTAACCAGAATGGACTAAGAGAATGGGTTAGCTGCCTAGTGTATCAAGTCTACACTACTCTGCATAGCTTTTGGTGACCTCTATATCCTCACCAACTCCTAGTATATTTCACTTTCATTTCTTAATAATTTTTTCACTGGATATAGAACTGTATGTGGAAGTTACTTTCTTTGAGTACTTTAAAGGTTTCATTCCATCGCATTCTGACTTCCTTTGTTTCCACTGATAACTTAGCTGAAAGTCTTAGGGTCACTCTTTTGAAGGTTATATATCTTTTTTCCTCAGCTACTTCAAAACTTTATATCTTCATATCCCAGCATAAGTATGGTCTTCTGTATATTTATCTTGCCTAGGGATTATAGTGCTTATTGAATCTACAGCTTGCTATCTTTCATCAGTTTTGAAAAACTTTCTCCCATTATCTGTCTAATGTTATTTCTGCCTCGTTTTTTCTCATTCCTTTCCTTCTGGAAGTCCAATTACAAATATATTAAACTTCTTCACCTTTTCCCATATTTCTCTTAGATTCTTTTGTGCCTTTTCTAAACTTTTGTTTCTCTGTGCTTCAGTCTAAATATTTTACTCTCTCTCCCAGTTCTGATTTATCTTCCAGCTCACAAATTCATCTTCAGCTATGTCTCCTCTGATGGTAAAACCCCATCAATTGAGTTCTTAATACAGTTTTAGAATGTCCATTTAAACTGGACTTCCAATTCTTTGCCAAGATTATCAATCTCAATCTTGTCAATTAATTCCTTGAACATATTAATTATGGCTATTTTAAACTCTAAAAACTCTAATATCTGAATTTCTTGAGTCTGTTTCTAATGTCACTTGTTTCTGTTGCTTTTCAGTCACGTTTTGTTTTGTATGCATGGTTTTTTTAAATAGAAAACTAGATAATGCGTATGAAAAATTCTAGAGATTATTTGAGGCTCTAGATGATGTTGTCTTCCTCCAGAAAGGATTTACTCTTATTTCTGAAAGGAAGTTAGGCCACTAGCATTAGCAATCTCAGATCATCTTAATCCAATTAGTGTTAAAGATCATTTGAATCTGGGCTTCAATTCCTGTGAGGGTTGGTTTATTTTCAGTTTACCTCACTTCCAGGATTTGACCTTTCACAGTCCCAGTCCAAAGTCTGGGATTTTACCAACACTCATCCCCACCCTTGGCAGCCCTTGACTTCACCTTTTGCCTCCTTATCTTTATGGACCTGCAGAAGTGTGGCTTAGCCTGTCAGATACTCCTTTCAGAACCTACCGATATCTCCAGGAGATAAGCAATGCCAAATGCTAGGCTTATGTCTCTGGGCTTTCCTTCTGTCCTCACTGCCTTGGTAGCCTTCCAGTTCTTCAGAATTTTATTTCATTTTCATCCAGCTTTTCTGGTTGTTCTCCGCATACTGGTGTGTTTGAAACAACCCATTCCACCATCATGGGATGGCTAAACTCTCCTTTATCATCTGTTTTGCCTCAAGCTGCCCCGTGTTTTAAGTCTACACTACACTGCATGGCTTTCAGCCCCCTCTATATCCTCACCAACCCCTGTCTACCCAAATTAGAACACAAGCTTTAAGGTTGGAGAGTGTTCATGTTTAAACTGTGGCTTTACTCTACTTATAGCTACATGCCATTGGACAAGTTATAGAGCTTTTCCACAATTAATTTATAAAATAGGGGTAGTAAAATCTGTTTCACAGGGTCAGTGAGATTAAATAATATGGGTAAAATACTTAGCACAATCCCAAAGTAATAGCAGTTAGCACTTACTGAGTATTATTATCGCTGCTAGTTCTACTAAAAATAAAAAAAAATGAGTCAACCTATGCATGAAACTCATCCATTTCTTTACTCTGGCAAAATATGTGTACACATTTTCACCTTCATAGCTTGTTCACATTATTCCTCAATTTTCTCTTTTCCTAACGCAATCCAATATACGCTTCAAGGCCCAAGTGAAGTTCAACCTCCACTGTGAAAAGTATGCTAAAATTTCAAAATCCATACTGATATGTACTTGCTCTAAGTCCTTTTCAACCTATCAACACATGATTTATCAACTATTCCCTAATTTTGTTTTATGGATTGTTCCCTAATCTAGTTTTCTCTTTCCAAAACTAGATTATAAAGTGCTTAAAAAAACAGCCAATATAATTTGTATCCTTTATAGTACCCAAGATAACATCAAACATGTAAGAGGTTCTCAAAACATGTATGTGGCTCAGGATAGAAGAAAAGAGTTCCTCATATCCTATGAACATTTGAATTAATACTGCAAAGCACGTAGAATGGGGGAGGGGTGCAGAGGGACACAGGCAGAAGAGAAGGAAATAAGTAAATAAGAACATCACAGAAAGATTTTCTAGTAAAACATTTACTTAAATCTTTACTGTAAGCATAACTTCAGCTTACCTAGTTGCATTATTTGAAAAATAACAATCCAAAGTCCAAAGTTCCATTTTTACAATTCAATGTTTAGAATATAACTGGAACTAGCCGGGCGTGCCAAGGTGGGCAGATCACCTGAGGTCGGGAGTTTGAGACCAGTCCGGCCAACATGGTGAAACCCTGTCTCTACTGAAAATACAAAAATTAGCCGGGCATAATGGTGCACACCTATAATCCCAGCTACTTGGGAGGCCGAGGCACGAAAATCACTTGAACCTGGGAGATAGAGCGAGCCGAGATTGCACCACTGCACTCCTGCCTGAGTGAAAGAGAAGACTCTGTCTCAAAAAAAGAAAAAAAAAAAAAAAGCTCAGAATTTAACTGGAACTTTCTGGTTTGCCTGAGTAGGCTCTTCCTTTCATTAAGAAAACAAAAGAAAGTAAAACCTTAACTAGTTCAGGAAGTTAGCTAACATTGATCTATCAAAGGATACTCTCCTAAATACTAGTCATTAAATAGTCTGTCTTATATTCAAAATGAATTACTCATGAGAATGAGAACAAAATAAACATTTAAAACATGTACTTCTGGCTGGGTGTGGTGGCTCACACCTGTAATCCCAGCACTTTGGGAGGCTGAGATGGGTGGATCACTTGAGGTCAGGAGTTCAAGACCAGCCTGGCCAACGTGGTGAAACCCCATCTCTACTAAAAATACAAAAAAAAAAAAAAAAAAATAGCTGGGCATGGTGGTGGGCGCCTGTGATCCCATCTACTGGGGAGGCTGAGGCAGGAGAATCGCTTGAACCCAGGAGGTGGAGGTTGCAGTGAGCCGAGATTGTGTCATTGCACCCCAGCCTGGGCAACAGCAAGACTGTCTCAAAAAAAAAAAAACAGAGGAAAGAAAAAAAAAAAAAACACCACAGAAAAAGATGTACTAAAAGGATCTTTAGTTGTAATTCTTTCAAATTTTTTGAGAATTTAATTTTTTATCATAAATACAGAAAACATACTAAATACTTTCTTATAATACAATAACATTAAATACTTTAACTTTTAATAAAGATTATTCCCCCAAAATTATCCCCTCTCTGATAATTTCTGATTCCATTCCCCATCCCACAACTTAGTATTTAATTGATAAAAAATTGTGCTTTGCTTTCTGACACAATGAAGTCTTTTAGTGATTGTAATTTAGAACAAAATTTTCCTTTTAGGAAGTGGTAGTATCATTCGGTGTTCAACAACTGTCATGCTAATAATGATGCTAAAATATACTCAGGATCATTTACACCTAATAAGTTGTGATACCTAAAAGTGGTATATTTGAGATTTGGGGTTTTTTAAATCCCTGCTCAAATAGCCACATTTGTAGAAGAAGCAGCTAAAATTCGAATATTCTATTTTTATAACCTTAGAAGAATAATTCAAATTCCTAGATGGAAAGACAAACACACAAGTACTTTATAGAAAAATGACTGTGAACACACGTAATTTTAATTTTTTGAGGGTAAGGAGGTAAGATCTCTTTTAGATGTCACAAACAGCAGGGGTTATAAAACAATTTGGCAAACATTCACTCATTTGTAAGACAATCTGCAAGAGGAGAGAGCATGGGAGAGTTAATTCACTATGTGAATATGTATGATCCAAAAATGGTAAATATACAACAGTTAATTTCTTAGCAGACTCTTCTGCCCATCCCATCAAGATTATAGGTACCATGACTGCATGTGTTTTTTTTTTTCTTTCTTTTTTTTTTTTTGAGATGGAGTCTCACTCTCTTGCCCAGGCTGGAGTGCAATGGCAAGGTCTTGGCTCACTGCAACCTCTGCCTCCCAGGTTCAATCAATTCTCCTGCTTCAGCCTCCCGAGTAGCTGGGACTATAGGTGTGTGCCACCACACCTGGCTAATTTTTGTATTTTTAGTAGAGATGGGGTTTCACCATGTTGACCAGGCTGGTCTTGAACTCCTGACCTCGTGATCCACCCACCTCAGTCTCCCGAAGTGCTGGGATTACAGGCGTGAGCCACCATGCCTGGCGACTGCATGCTTTTTTAGCAAGATATTTTAATATGACCACATTTGCAATGTGAAGAAAGGCCCTACATTTGACATCCATGCATGACAGCTTACCCACAGCATTGTAGAGAGGCTCTCCAGTTATCTTGTCCCAGACTACAGTGGTTTCCCTCTGGTTGCTGACACCAATAGCTTTAAAGAGAAAGTTAAACAGAAGGAAGTCAAAAATTTAACAAGTAGGAAACTACTTCAGGAAAACAGCTCTCATCTTACTAGAGACACAACTAAACATAGCAAATCAAAAAAATACTTGAAACATTTGTAGTGATATTAGTTTATTTTCTTTGAGTGGCTCCAGAAAAAGTCAATACCCAATGCCAAGTGTTTCTTTTCATTTCTACATACTCCTTCCAGCTTTACTACTAGCACACAATGATGGACCCAGATCAATACCCAAATAAAAGGCACACTGGTTGCTTTAAGGAATGCAATAACTTCACAAATTTATAATACCCAATTTATTATTCTGAGCAGACCAATAATCAACTCATTCATTTGTTTACCAATTGCTACAAGAAATTTTCCTCCCTATGTGTGTGCATTTGTGTGTGTGTGTGTGTGTGCACATGTACATGCCTACATTTTAAGAAAATAGCTATGGACAAAATCCTTCATGCTGAGCATCCTTATATTATGGTTTGTTAGAAATTCAGTTTTATTCCTGTATTTTTAATATGTCACAATACATAAGAATTTGAATCAGGCATAAATATAATATATAATGGCATTTACATTATATTGACCTACATAAAACAAGTACTATATTTAGTGTAAAAAAACACTAACCCACACTATCTTATTCAATTCAGCTTGGTTGAGCTAAATTGGAGGTTTTCAGACTTGATTGTACTTTAGAATCAACTGAGGAGCTCTTAAAAAATACCAATGACCAAGCCCTGGTCAAAACATTCCAATGTAACTGACCTGGGATGGGATGTGAGCATTGGTATGGGTTCCTAAAACTTCCCCAGGTGATTCTAATGTGCATCCTGGATAGAACACACTTGGCCAAAGGATCCAGCTCTTCCAGAATTTAAGATTAGGACAGACCTTAAAGGCTGTATAAGCAAAAATACTTCTCAAGCTCAAATCTTCTCTAGAATCTCCTGTCATATGACCATCCAGATAGCACTTCTAGTGACAAGATATTCACTACATCTCTCAAGGCAGAGCAATCTCCATTGGACAACTTTGGTGCTTTTTTTCTTTTTGTAAATCCACCAGACTGGAAAATGTAGCAAGACCTCACCTCTACAAAAAAATAAAATAATTAGCCAGATGCAGCAGTACACAACTGTAGTCCTAGCCACTCGGGGCTGAGGCAGGAGGATGGCTTGAGCCCAGGGGTTCAAGACCACCCTCGGCAATGTAGCAAAACCCAGTCTCTATAAAAAAATTTTTAAAAATTAGCCAGATGGCCTGGCGTGGTGGCTTGCACCTGTAATCCCAGCACTCCGGGAGGCCGAGGCAGGTGGATCATCTGAGGTCAGGAGCTCAAGATCAGCCTGGCCAACATGGCAAAACCCTGTCTCTACTAAAAATACAAAAAATTAGCCAGGCATGGTGGCATGTGCCTGTAATCCCAGCTACTCAGGAGGCTGAGGCAGGAGAATCCCTTGAACCCAGGAGGCGGAGGTTGCAGTGAGCCGAGATTGCGCCATTGCCCTCCAGCCTAGGCGACAGAGGGAGACTGTATCTCAAAAAAAAAAATTAGCCAGGTGTGGTGGTGTGTTCCTTTAGTCCCAGCTACTCAGGAGGATTCCTTAAGCCCAGGAGTTCAAGACCAGCCTGGGCAACATAGTTGGACCTTGTTTCTAAAAAAAAATTTTAAAAATTAGGGGGGTATGGTGGTGCACGCCTGTAGTCCCAGCTACCCAGGAGGATTGCTTGAGCCCAGGAGTTTGGGGTTGCAGTGAGCTCTGATGGTGCCACTGCACTCCAGACTGGGCAACATAGTTAGATCCTGTCTCAAAAAAAAAAAAAAAAAGAAGAATAAAAATCATTTTCTGTGGCCGGGTGCGGTGGCTCACGTCTGTAATCCCAGCACTTTGGGAGGCCGAGGTGGGTGGATCCTGAGGTCAGGAGATCAAGACCATCCTGGCTAACACGGTGAAACCCCATCTCTACTAAAAATACAAAAAAAATTAGCCGGGTGTGGTGGTGGGCGCCTGTAGTCCCAGCTACTCGGGAGGCTGAGGCAGGAGAATGGCATGAACCTGGGAGGCGGAGCTTGCAGTGAGCCGAAATCGGGCCACTGCACTCCTGCCTGGGTGACAGAGCAAGACTCTGTCTCAAAAAAAAAAAAAAATCATTTTTTGTGTAGCTTCCACCTCCCGATCTTAGTCATATTCTTTGGAGATATATAGAATAAGGGTAATCCTTCTACATGCCAGTCTTTCAAAACTTGAAGCAGCTCTTTTGTACCTCAAGTCTTCTCTTCTGCTGTGTAGCCTAAACAATCCAATTTCCTTCAACTGACCCCACCTAAACATGGCATGGTTTAAAGTCCCTTTATCACCACGCCTAGGAACATGCAAGTGTATGTCCATATCACTCAAACTGTACGTCCAGAATAAAACACAATACTCTAGGAATGTTCTGACCAGCACAGAGCTGAGGGGGAACATCAGCTCCCTTGTTCTAATACTATTTATCCAATGCAGATTGACTTACTTTATTCAACATCTTTTCTAAAACTACCTATTGGGTGGTATGCTCACTAACTGGGTGACGGGTCTGTACCCCAAACCTCAACATCATGCAATATACCTACATAACAAACCTGCACATGTACCCTCTGTATCTAAAAGTTTATATATATATATATTTTTTAAAAAATATTTTCTAGAGATACAAAGATGATTGAGATTCTACTCCAAAGAAATTTAGAGGCATAGGGTATAAGGAAGAGATTCTGGGTAAGACAAAAATGTTTATAAAAGTAAATAAAGAAGAGAAAGGAGAATGAGGGGATGGATGGGGCTGGGAATCAATGGGGACTTGGTTCTGACTGATGTAGTGACAGGAGAGGATGGATTACCAGCACAAGTGGAGGGAGGAGCTCCAAGTGGGGCAGAAGGCTATTGCTGCCCTTGTGATGAAGGAAAGTTGGCAGGAGATCCAGATATTAAGCACAGCAACAGGAAGGTGAGGATTTAAGGCCGCAGACCCTCAACTTTCTCCATGAAGCAGGAGGTAGGGTTATCTGCCAAAACAGGGCAAGAGTTTGGGGCACCATTCAGTAGAGCTCAGGCTCTGAGGCCAGATAGCTGGGATTCAAATTCCAATTCCTGTGCTTCCTAGCAGTGTGACTCTGGGTCTCAGTTTTGTGTCTTGTAAAATGGAGAGAATAATAGTTCCAACTTTACAGGGTTACAGTGAGGAGTCAATGTATATTAAAACACATGCCTGGTACACAGTAAGCACTCAATAAATGTTACCTACTGCTGCTGCCATGGTCATTATTATTGAGAAGAGAGTAGAGTAACAGTTTCAGAGAATGGGACTGAGCTAAGGAGGGCAAATAAAGGAATTCTGCAGCAGCTCTATGGGTACATATTGTGAATGTAATTTTTTTGTGCGTGTGACAACTTTACAACATGGGATCACAATGAACTTATAGTCAACTAAAATCTCCTATTCCTCCTCACTATGTTAATTTTACCATCAATAAGCTGGCTACTTTCTTACTCACAATCCTTGAGTCACTATTCTATGCCTCTCATGCTACCTATCTTTACCAGGTCATTTTAACTTTTCTTCAGAATCTAATTTAGAGCTATTTCAATCTGATTCTTCAGTCACGGGTTCCTCCCTGGGCATTCCTTTTTTCTCTTCTATCTTAATTGGATTCCTTCATGCCAAGTAAAATTGCTTTGCTTGCAGGCAAAGTCCAGTGAAACAGCTTCCCAGGATTCTCTGCCAGCCACAAACATGTCTTTACTACCTATTTCTCCCCAGGGCACACAAGTCTTATGTGTGAACTTATCTCTGAACTTTTTCAATGTTCCAGTGTCTTGTCATTCCTACCCTAAAATCCTCTATGTTTTTTAAAGAAAACGTTGCCAACTGCTAATCTCAGCACATGTGCCATTCCTAATGGTTCCTAATTTTAATTCCTTCTTTCTTGGAATAACACATTCAGGTTTTATAATTCTCCACTCCTCCTCATGTGCACTGTTTAAGATAATATGAAAGTCACATGCATAAAACATGTATTTCCTGGCCTCAAAGTCTTTCATTTACGGACATCATAACCATTATCATATATCGTATTGCTCTTGCATTTACCAGCTTCATACTTTACCCACATATTCTCTTTGGGGGCACTTTTCTCTACACTGAATGTCAGTAGTAAAATTAAACTAGTTAAAAGCTACACTCAAAATCCCTGGTTAATTTTTCTTAAAATTTTCCGTGAAGTTATAATCACAGTTAAGAAAATATACCTTAGAAAAAAGAGCCTTTGAAAATACTCCAGGATGTTAATAATTGTTGTCTTGGTAGAATTATGGATGAGATGCATCCTTTTTTAAAATTAAAATCATAACATATAATTATAACACATTTTTTAGGAGAAAACTAAAAACACACAGAACAAAATAATAAGAGCTTCAGAGGAAGGTTCTCTGGCTACAAAAAGGAATACCATGTGGGAAGAGAGATAAAGCTTTTTATTTTCATTTTTTTTTTGAGACAGAGTTTCGATGTTGTTGCCCAGGCTGGAGTGCAGTGGCGCGATCTCGGCTCACCGCAACCTCTGCCTCCCTGGTTCAAGTGATTCTCCTGCCTCAGCCTCCCGAGTAGCTGGGATTACAGGCATGCGCCACCATGCCCAGCTAATTTTTGTATTTTTAGTAGAGATGGGGTTTCTCCATGTTGGTCAGGCTGGTCTCGAACTCCAGACCTCAGGTGATCCGCCCGCCTCAGTCTCCCAAAGTGCTGGGATTACAGGCGTGAGCCACTGCGCCCGGCCTGATAAAACTTTTTAAAACAGGCTCTGGAAGATGTGTACTTGAGGTGGGTTAGAAAAATTGCAAATGAGATGTGGCTGCTGCTGGAAACATTTTGGAGAACGAGGTGCCTTCCTGAAACCCCTGAGAGGCCCCTGACAGTATGAGTCTAAGAGGTGGTAGAAATGTGTGTGAATATGTTGGGTAGGGCAAGGCAGTGGAGGAATGGATATGTGGGTTTCCCTTTTCTCTAACAGGGAAATAATTGTTTTAGATACAAGATAATCTAATCTCTGAGAATTTTATGCTCTCAATTTTGAAAGAGTTTATGTTGTGTTTTCGTTCTATCACATGAATGAATATGTAACTCTTTTTTTTTTTTTTTTTTTTTTTTTGAGATGGAGTTTTGCTCTTGTTGCCCAGGCTGGAGTACAATGGCATGATCTCGGCTCGGCGTGATCTTGGCTCACTGCTACCTCTGCCTCCTGGGTTCAAGCGTTTTTCCTGCTTCAGCCTCCTGAGTAGCTGGGATTACAGGCATGAGCCACCATGCTCAGCTAATGTTGTATTTTTAGTAGAGATGGGGTTTCTCCAAGTTGGTCAGGCTGGTCTCGAACTCCCAACCTCAGGGGATCCACCCGCCTCGGCCTCCCAAAGTACTGGGATTACAGGTGTGAGCCACCATGCCCAGCCGTAACTCTTTGTATTTTGGAATTGCTACTGTAACTCTTTATACTTTGTAATTCCTTGAGCCCAGTGACAGGCAAACAGAGCTGACTCTACCGCTAGAAGGAAAGAAGCAGTCTATTTAATTGCCTTGAGCTAGTGTGTGCTGCTCAGTTGGAGAGTGAATTTTAATTTTGGAGGCACTGTTCCTAGTGACTTGAAATCAACAAACCTTCTGTCAGATAAGCATAACAAAACCAATGAAATTGAAATTTGCCAAGGAAATACCAGACATGAAGAACTCTTAATGACTGTCAGGTAGGACTATAAATGATATCACTCTTCAGTTGGCAAAGTTAATTTACTTGCCACACAAGAAATAAAAACAGAAGTGGTTTGTGAGATTACCATCAGTGTGGCTCAGGAAAAAGAACTCTGGTCTAGGAGTCAGGGGAGCTGTGCTTTAATGTTAATCTACCACTAAAAAGCTACATAACCTGCAGTTAAGTCCTCTTCCCTAATTTGCAGATAGAGGGAGCTGGTCTAGTTGACTGAAGATCCTTTACAGTGTTGTTTTTTTTTTTTTTTTTTTTTTTTGAGATGGAGTTTCGCTCTTGTTGCCCAAGCTGGAGTGCAATGGCGCCATCTCGGCTCACTGCAACTTCTGCCTCCCAGGTTCAAGAGATTCTCCTGCCTCAGCCTCCTAAGTAGCTGGGATTACAGGTGTGCGCCACCACGCCCAGCTAATTTTTTGTATTTTTAGTAGAGACAGGGTTTCACCATGTTGGCCAGGCTGGTCTCGAACTCCTGACCTCAGGTGATCTGCCTGCCTCGACCTCCCAAAGTGCTGGGATTACACGCGTGAGCCACTGTGCGCCCAGCCTTTTTTGTTGGTTTTGTTTTTTTGAAACAAAGTCTTGTTCTGTTGCCCAGGCTGGAGTACAGTGGGGCAATCTCGGCTCACCACAACCTCTGCCTCCTGGGTTCAAGCGATTCTCCTGCCTCAACCTCCCAAGTAGCTGGGATTACAGGTGCCCACGACCACGCCTGGCTAATTTTTGTATTTTCAGTAGAAACAGGGTTTCACCATGTTGGCCAGGCTGGTCTCGAACTCCTGACCTCGTGATCCACCCACCTCAGCCTCCCAAAGTGCTGGGATTACAGGTGTGAGCCACTGCACCCAGCCTCCTTTACAGCTTTAACAGTTTGTGATATAGAGTTCTATGCAGGCAAGCAAAAGCTTGGTCCTTGGCAATGCCAATTGGATAAATTTTCTGGGAAAAAAAAAAATAGTACAACTGGCCTGGTATGGAGGAGCTTGTGGGATGTTCTCTTCTGTGGCCAGAGGATGGTAGTTGTACAGATGGAAGTGCTGGGTCAGTTTGGCTCAGATGTGGACTTCACACTGGCCAGACACAGAGGAGTATAGAGAAGCTGCCTGTTCAATTCTTAGACCAGGTAGTGCAAACGGAAGACAAATCACTTGGGCAGGAGTTGTGTGTCATCTTCACATAACCGTAAAAACAAGGGAGAAAGGAATAGCATCCAAGTGGGTCCAGAAAGCCAACACATCACAACCTACCTTACCTGTAAGGGAGGTAGAATGATGTCAAAGCCATGGTCAATCACCCTGGACTCTACATTCTAAACATGGCTTTAAGCTGCCTGGATTACTTACGTCTTTGGTAATTTTGACAAGAGTGTGCTACTGATTGCCTATTATTTGTTTGCACTGTTTAGACTGTGAGAAGTGCAAGAACAGCTCAAGGAAATGATCAACAACAATCACTAATGCACAACTCATCTAAAGTTCAGGACTACAACCCTAAGAGAAGTTTGAAGCCCTTCCACTTAGATGTAGGGATAAAGGGAGGATAGGATTAATATGTGCATAGTATTAAAAGTTGTTAATAAAATATCAAATTATACTTTTAAAAAATCTGCAATAACAGAAATAACTCTATTATTTTATGCATTTCCATTTATTTGTGATTATCAGATTAACATGTTTTCTGCACTTAAGCATTACCTCCATTGTATCCTTAGCACATCTGGCACATAGTAGGCACTCTATAGATTTGTAGTCTTTTTTTTTAAGTGAGTTTTAATTTATACAAATAGGGGAAAGGCTCAGGAGCGATGGTAAGTATCAAAGCCAAGATGATGGCAATCAAGCCACCACCACCAATTGATGTTCTCTCTATCTATAGTCAAACTACCTAAGGAGGAAAAAAAGAGCCCTTGAATGGTAAACTTGAAAATTTTAGGCTATAAAGTAGACAGCAAACTTCCACACTATGCTTCCACCTTTTATGCTATTATATCAATCTTGGGTGGCTGGATTTTTTTTCCCTATATGAATGATGAAAAGCCAAACATAGATATTCAATTAAAACTACTAGGACTTCGCTGGGCGCGGTGGCTCATGCCTGTAATCCCAACACTTTGGGAGGCCGAGGCGGGCGGGTCACGAGGTCAGGAGTTCGAGACCAGCCTGGCCAGCATGGTGAAACCCCGTCTCTACAAAAAATACAAAAAATTAGCCGGGCATGGTGGTGTGTGCCTGTAATCCTAGCTACCTGGGAGGCTGAGGCAGGAGAATTGCTTGAACCTGGGAGGTGGAAGTTGCAGTGAGCCGAGATCATGCCACTGCACTCCAGCCTTGGGGACAAGATCGAGACTCCATCTCAAAAAAAAAAAAAAAACTACTAGGACTTCTCAGAGAAATCCATAACAATCTAACACCCTCAAGCAATTATTTCAGGGAAATTTTAGAAGTGAAGAGTTTGGATTCCAAATACCCCTTCCCCACAACCTACTCATTCCTCTAGTCTTTCTCTCCTTAGCAAAAGGCATCCTCATCTATCCAGGAGCTCTGGCAAAAACCAAAGCATCACCTTTGACCAATCTCTTCCCTCAACCCCACTACTCTCTCTGTTACCCCAACATCCAGTCTATCAGCAAATTCTGGCCCTTTCTCTCCACCTCCACTGCTACCATTATTGGTCAAGCCACCATCCTCTCTCAGGACTTCCATAGCAGCCTCCGCACTAGTCTCCCTGTGTCCACACTTTTGCCTTTACCATCTACTCTCCACACAGCAGTCAGAAAGTTGCCTTGAAACTGCAAGTCATCCCTTGCCGCCTTGCTTAAACTTTCTCATGGCTCCCTATGATACTAAGAATAACATCCAAAATCCTAAATATGGCTGATGAAGCCCGACCCACTTCCACAATTTGATCGCCTACTGAAACCCCCTACCCAGTCTCACTGCTCAACATTTTTAGTCTTCTTTTGACACACTGGCCTTCTTTCTGACCCGGAAATGTCCCAGGCTTATTCCCACTTCAGGGCCTTTGTACGTGCTGCATCCTTTTCCTCAAACACTCTTCTAGACACTGGCATGGCTGACCCCTTTTGCCCTCTGAGAGCTCAGCAAAAGTGTCACATCCTTAGAAAGGCTTTTCCTGGCCACCTAATCTAAAGCAAGCCCTTCTAGGCAAAACCCACCATACCACTTGGTTTTTATTTTTTGGAATGGAACTTTTTAGTATTTGAAATTATATTTTTCTGCTCTTATTATCTCGCCCCCATCCAAATAAAAGCTCCATGAGGACAAGAACTTAAATCTTCCTCTTTAGTGTTGTATCCTCAAGTTCTCATAGAAATGCTTGGCACTGCATAGGCACTCAATTATAAGCTGAAAGAATAAATTAATGAATTTGATTGAGAGAGTCTTATTATGTGGGTAAAATATTCTACTAAAATACCTTTTATGTTGGAAATATCAATATTGAGCTGTCCAAGTTTCTCACATGTTTTCTCTATACACTCATAGACAGAATGTAGAATTTCCTTAGGGTCCTGTTCCACCCATCTTTGAACAAAAGAAGGCATTTGGTTAGTAAGAAAGCAACACAAATATAACTTTTTTCTATAGAAATGTTAACTTATGAGGGTGTGGCTGGTGCATACATTAAAGAAAACCAGATTAAGCAAAGCAAATTACATTCCACATTTTAAAGAAATGATTTCAAGAAAAGCCTATTTCCTTACAATTTTATTATTCTCCACATAGTAATTAATCATTTTCAAGGAGGCCACTAATGGCAGGCCACAAACAGCAAATATCTACCTATTTTAAAATTATTTTTCCAAGTCTAATAAGAAATTAGTTCCCCTTCTTTATATCCTGCAGATTTAATTAATTTTGATAAATTATCTGCATGTTTCACTAATCGCTGATTATTTCTAAGTAGATGGAAATATATTTATTATTATTGAGAATGATATATTTGGGAAGCAAAAGGAATTCTGAAAAGTCAAATAAGTATACTAGTCTTTTTTGCTACTTTTTTCCCAAAATGTTTTGTTGGAATTTAGGGAGAAATTTAAAACTCCTTTTAACTATTTCATGTAGATAAGTGATTGGTCCAAGTTCTCAGACCCAATCTCAGTATAATTTTGGTAAAGTACCAGGGCCTCAGAAGGATGAAAGGCTAATAGTAAATGAGAAGGGTGAGAAGCCTAGGAGAAATATGGTAATTTGAGGAAGTCCAAAAGTAGAAATGATACAAACTAAAATGATTCTACCATAGGATCCAGAAGTAGCAAGGGAATTCCAACTGCCTTTCTTCTCTGCCTTTCTCAGGCCTAACTAAATGCTTCCCTTTCCTGGGCTTTGAATTCTGTCTCTAACTAATTTTTTTTTAATTTTTTAATTTTTATTTTTTTTGAGATGGAGTCTCGCTCTGTCGTCCAGGCTGGAGTGCAGTGGCGCAATCTCGGCTCACTGCAAGCTCCGCCTCTCGGGTTCACGCCATTCTCCTGCCTCAGCCTCCCGAGTAGCTGGGACTATAGGCGCCCGCCACCACGCCCGGCTAATTTTTTGTATTTTTAGTAGAGACGAGGTTTCACCATGTTAGCCAGGATGGTCTCGATCTCCTGACCTCATGATCCGCCTGCCTCGGCCTCCCAAAGTGCTGGGATTACAGGCGTGAGCCACCGCGCCAAGTCGTCTCTAATTTATTTTTAAAAACCCAGTCTCCTTCTGTGTATTTATAATTTTCATCTAGCCAAGACTCAGGTATCTTCTTTACAAATTGCACTGGGTTCAGGCTTGTGGACAGTCATGCTAATGCCTCTAACATATCAATAACTTTTATTATTAAACAAAGGAACTCTAAAAAATTAGAACATTTTTTCATGTGAAGAAGACAATACAATTTAGAAACACATCAATTTTTTTCTCTCTTTCTTAAATTGAAGTAAACTTTACAGTGAAATGCACAAATCGAAAGCACACAATTTGCTGAGTTTTGACAAGTGGAAATACCCATCTAACCAACACCCCAGTCAAGATACAAAATATTTCCAGCAACCCAGAAAGTTCTTTCATGCTCCTTTCAAGTGAATCACACACCTCACAGACAACCACTTTTCTGATTCCTATCATCCTAGATTAGTTTAGACTATTATAAAATTTCAGATAAATGGAGTCATGCAGTATATACTCTTTTGTATCCAACTTTTTCATTTTCCATATTTCCAGTGACATTCCCTTGTGTTGGTGCAAGTATCTGTCCACTTTTTTAAAATTACTAAATGGCATTCCATTGTTATCCATCTTACTGATGACAGACATTTGGGTGGTTTCCAGTTTGGGGCGACTTTTAATAAAGTAGCTATAAACATTCATGTGCAAGTCTTTCGATGGGCATATGCTTTTATTCCTCTTGGGTAAATTCCTAAGAGTGAAATGCTGCAGGTGTATGGTTAGCTTTGCAATAACCTGCAACACAGTTTTTCAAAGTGGTTATATCATAAAAATCATTAAATTTTAAATAATATACTTAACATCATATTTAATCACAATTACTACTTATGAATACTATTCCCAAAAATGTGATTTTAGTATTAGATGTTAAGATATGTGAATACTTTTTTAAAAAGATACCTTTATTATAAAACAAACCTGACACTCAAATCAGCAAAGCAGCATTTTTGCAATAATAGGAACACAAAACTAAATGACTTCAAAGTTAATGTGAAATTTCTGATATTTAATACTCTTTTGCTTTATTACTTTATTATTCATTCCTTATCTTTAACTGAATTCCTAAGCCATCAATTCCTCACATGTAAGACATACCAAGTTATTGCATATTTTCTTGACTAATAACAACCTTTCAAATGTTTTCAGGAGGATGTCTGACCAAGTTTACTTTACAAATCCACAGGGCAAGTTGGGTGAGATGGACTAACAAACATAATGTGTCTTTACATATTAAATTAGGAAACATACCCTTCTCTTGGGAACTCTTGTTTTATTTCTACTTGATGATGACTAAGTAGTTCAGCTGTTTTTGAATTGAAAACCTGAAAAAGATATTGTAATATTAATGTAAAAATGCAGGCAGATATCAAGGATGTTTAAAGTTATTCAGTAACTGAAGTTCTTGTTCACTGGTAGAAAAAGTCCAATTAGATGAAATGCCATATAAGATGTTCCACTTTCTTTTCATATGGATTCATAAAAGATATAAGGCAGCATCAGAAATAACTTCTCTTTAGGTAAAAAGAAACCTATTGAAGATAAAGGTAAATTAAGAAGCAATTCCCTACTCCTTAAAAAACCAAAATGGTTCTCGGAAATTTAACACATTAATTAATAATATGGATTTATTTTACAGAATAGGAAAACCAAGAATAATAAAAGAGAGCTGATACAATACTAATAGCAATGGTGTAAGTTTCCACTCCATTTATCTTGGACGTGGAAACAGAAAGGGTCACAGATACTCAGGCACATAGACACGTACTGTGTAGATTCCTTTGAAGGGAAGTGTGGCTACGCATCTAGCTCTTATAAAAGAGAAATAGAAGACCAGACACGGTGGCTTACATCTTTAATCCCAGCACTTTGGGAGGCCAAGGCAGGCAGATCACTTAAGGTCAGGAGTTTGAGACCAGACTGGCCAACATGGTGAAACCCCATCTCTACTAAAAACACAAAAAATTAGCCAGGCGTGGTGGTGGGAGCCTGTAATCCCAGCTACTCAGGAGGCTGAGACAGGAGAATCCCTTGAACCCACCCAGGAGATGGAGATTGCAGTGAGCTGAGATTGAGCTCCACCCTGAGCGACAAGAGGAAAACTCCGTCTCAAAAAAAAAAAAAAAAAAAAAAGGCAATAGAGTCCTTGTTAGTAAAGGGATAAGTATATACTTGGCCCCATCCAGCTGAGTACTCTCTGTGACATGCTTGTCATAAATTGCTGACCCTTGATATAAAACATTAAAACCAATGGATGAAAACTAACAAAGAAGTGTAATACGATCCTCTACAATTTTAGCACTACTAAAAACAACACTTTTTAAAATATAGCAAGTTTTGCCGGGCGTGGTGGCTCATGCCTATAACCCCAGCACTTTGGGAGGCCGAGGCAGGCGGATCACGAGGTCAGGAGTTTGAGACCAGCCTAGCCAACATGGTGAAACCCCGTCTCTACTAAAAATACAAAAATTAGCTAGGTGTGGTGGCGCATGCCTGTAATCCCAGCTACTCAGAAGGCTGAGGCAGGAGAACTGCTTGAACCGGAACCCAGGAGGCGGAGGTTGCGGTGAGCCGAGATCACGCTATTGCACTCCAGCCTGGGCAACAAGAGTGAAACTGTCTCAAAAAAAAAAAAATCTATATATATATATAAGATATATATATATCTATATATCTATATAAAATATATATCTATAAAATATATATAGATCTATATAAAATATATATCTATAAAATATATATAGATATATATAAAATATATATCTATAAAATATATATAGATATATATAAAATATATATCTATAAAATATATATAGATATATATAAAATATATATCTATAAAATATATATAGATATATATAAAATATATATATAATATATAGATATCTATATATATACAGAGAGAGAGAGAGCAAGTTTTTCATATATATTGTTTCCATGTTATAGTATCTATATTTGAGTACCAAAGTACTTACTCTTACAGAGTAAGATGCATATTTTGATTAAAATTAACTTCCAAAATTACTCTAATTACAGCAGCGAAGTCACTTCCAATTAGTAAAGTGTTTCCATGCCTAGGTTTCCTGTGGGAGAAAATTACCTGTTCAATGCAGACTAAGAAAATAAAAAGCGTTGAATGTTGCCTTCCTCCTTCTATATCACACACGCCCCCTTTCCTCTTTTCTGGAGGAAATAATAAACATAATGAAAGCAAGAGGGCAAATTCTGAAGTCCTTTGAGAAGATAAAATATCTTACAAGTCAAAGGTTAACTTGATACATCATACACCATGTGATAGCCCTGTGATTTACAAGGTAGCATTAGGGTATGTCTCTAGGATACCAACTCCATTAGCATTAGGGTGTGTCTCTAGGAAGCCAGTTCCATTTGCCCTGTTTTATTCACTGAAGTATCCCTAGGAACTAGAATAGTGCCAGGCACAAAGTTGGTGCTCAATAAGTATTTGTTGAATGTCCAAAAAACATGATGTATTACATGTACTTATTAGGACAAAAATTATCAGATAAAATGAGAAACACTTATGTGCAGAAAAACTTCACTACAATAGGAAATTCCAGCTGTGTTACTGTTATTCATATTACAGCTGCTCCCTGCTACTCTCAAATCCCTAAAGGACTCTAGGTTAAGAAAACAAAGTATTGGCCGGGCGCGGTGGCTGACGCCCGGCACTTTGGGAGACTGAAGCAGGTGGATCACCTGAGGTCTGGAGTTTGAGACCACCCTGGCCAACATGGCAAAACCCCGTCTCTACTAAAAATACAAAAATCTGTTGGGCGTGGTGGCGCATGCCTGTAATCCCAGCTACTCAGGAGGCTGAGGCAGGAGAATCACTTGAACCAAGGAGGTGGAGGTTGCAGTGAGCTGAGATCACGCCATTGCACTCCAGCCTGGGACACAAGAGCGAAACTACGAAAGAAAGAAAAGAAAGAAAGAAAGAAAGAAAGAGAAAGAAAGAAAGAAAGAAAGAAAGAAAGAAAGAAAGAGAGAGAGAGAGAGAGAGAGAGAAGGAAGGAAGGAAGGAAAGAAAGAGAGAGAGAGAGAGAGAGAAGGAAGGAAGGAAGGAAGGAAAGAAAGAAGGAAAGAAAGAAAGAAAGAAAGAAAGAAAAAGAGAAAGAGAGAGAGAAAGAAAGAAAGAAAGAAACAAGGTGTCCCTTTTTGCTGGCTGAATTCATAAAAACCTCAATAGCAGACCTATGGGGCTCTGAATGGAATGAGACCCCTCTTCCATCACCTCCTAGTTTTAACTAGGGCAACGTCAGGGCCCTTATGCTAAAAATGAATTCATGGATCTTTGGAAGAGACACAGAAAACAGAAGGATTTTGGTAAATTCTATTTGCTGTATTAGACCATGAAGCCATCCAATCAAACAACATTTGGATGTACCAGGATGGAGCCTAGACCTCCCTACTTCATCAAAGCTCTGAAACTTAGGAGACTGACACCACCTTAGTGTATGTAGCCTGTCCAATAGAAATATAACCCAAACCAAAAACGCAAGCCACATACTAATTTTAAATTGTGTCATTAAAAAATAAAAAGAAACATATGAAATTAATTTTAATAACACATTTAAGCCAATATATCTATAAACTATTGTTTTGACATGTGATAGATATAAAATATTAATGATTTGTTTTTACTAAGTCTTTGGTATATATTTTACACTTACAGTCTACTCAATTCAGACTAGCCATATTTAAAGTAATCAGTAGCCACATGTGGCCAGTGGCTATTGTACTGGACATGAAGTTCTAGAGTACTTTTTTCCTCATATATCTAGGTTCACATGAAGCCTTCTGGCCATTGATTTGTCTGCAGATGGCCAAATGTACAAAGAAGGCTAATGATGTTTCCACAAGACTCTATGGTAGAGGATAATTAACTCCACATTAAAACACAGTACCCAGAGGCAAGAATGCTAGTCTGATTTTTTCAAGTACATTTCAGAAATCATTGTCAATTAAAGATAGCAGTGGCTGTATCACTTGCTTTATACAATGTCTAGCCTGGTCATTTGGTTTTTTGCTGGGGTGTTTGTCTGAGACAGGGTCTGGCTCTGCCACCCAGGCTGGAGTGCAGTGGCACAATCTCAGCTCACTGCAACTTCTGCCTCACATAGGGCTGTCAGGGCTATGAAGAGGAGAAAGGACATGTAACCCAGAATTATGAGGGTCTGAGAAGGGCTCTCAGAAGTGGTAACTTCTAAACTAAGACTTCAGGTTGAACAGAAGGGAGTCCATGCGGGACAGTGGGCATAGGACTGCAGGGTGTTCAGGTGGGCGAGGGTGCACAGTACTTGTTGATGAGAAAGGATTAGAGGGAGGCAAGACTGGGACAGGAAGAGCAGTTGCAATGTGTCTGCAGTCCAGGTGAAACATACAGAGGCCTCCACTAGGAGGGCCGCTGCGATGGGATTGACAGAAGTGAAGTGCAAGTGCAGAGAGATTCTTAATTCAGGAGGTACAAGCAGGAAAAAGAGCAACACCCAGGGATGACAAGTTACAGGTCAGTGCAACTGAGTAGGCAGTGTTTACCAGACAAGGGATAGGGTAGGAGCAGTAGCTTCCGGACAGGAACGCATAGGAGATTGCAAATTTTGTTTTAGATAATGTGTGTTTGAGATGTTGCTTGGGCACAGAAGTGGAGATATCCAGTCATCAGTTGCTTCTATTTTAGGTCATAAGCTTAAAGAAAAAGATCCAGGCTGGGCACTGTGGCTCATGCCTATAATCCCAGCACTTTGGGAGGCCGAGGTGGGCGGATCACGAGGTCAAGAGATCAAGACCATCCTGACCAACCTAGTGAAACCCCGTCCCTACTAAAAACACAAAAAATTTGCCAGGCATGGTGGCACGCACCTGTAATCCCAGCTACTCAGGAGGCTGAGGCAGGAGAATCGATTGAACCCAGGAGGCGGAGGGTGCAGTGAGCCGAGATCACGCCACTGCACTCCAGCCTGGTAACAGAGCGAGACTCCGTCTCGGAAAAAAAAAAAAAAAAAGAAGAAAGAAAAAAAAAAAATCTGTTCTCAGACTTTTGTGTGGGCCAGAAAGGTAGTTGACAACGTCATGCTTGGTGTGATGTAGAGGCAAAGAGCACACACAGACCCCGGAAGCACAGAGAGCTGGGGCACATCGAGCTCCAGCCCTGCCCACATCAGCTATTTGACACTTTTTTCTGAGCCTCTATGTTTTTCATTTGTAAAAGGATAATAAAGTAATTTATGAAGAGTATTTAGCATAGAATAGGCACAGAGTATACATCCAAAAGGTGTCAACACTATCATTGTTGCTACTACTGCTACTAATTTTATAATTACTTTTATTACAATTACTACTCCCACCACCACTAATAGATGACAGAATAAGGATTAGAAATCACTCATTCTGAATAATGAATATAGGAAGCCAGTCCTATATTCATCTCTAAACCCAAATCATGTCTCAATTCCAGATTTTGTTTTGGGTGAAGGGCAATTTAAAAAGGAAGAAACAAGGAAAGTGAACATAGAATGAGAATTTAGCTCCGTGCAGACACAGTATATACCCAAAAGATGTAACCACTACTGTCACTGCTGCTACTACTGCTATGTTATTATTATTATTATTATTATTACTATTACCTATAAGTGATAGTATTACAGTTGGAAGTCACCAGGTCTATATTCAGCTCTATGCGCAAACTATGACTCAATTCCAGATTTGGAGGAGGAGAGTAATTAAAAACTGAAAAAACAAGGAAAATTGTTTTTATAAAAAAGTGTTTGGCCAGGCCCGGTGGCTCACGCCTGTAATCCCAGCACTTTGGAAGGCCGAGGTGGGTGGATCACCTGAGGTCAGGAGTTCAAGACCAGCCTGGCCAACATGGTAAAACCCCATCTCCACTAAAAATACAAAAATTAGCTGGGTGTGGTGGTGCACACCTATAATCCCAGCTACTGGGGAGGCTGAGGTGGGAGAATCACTTGAACTCAGGAGGTGGAGGTTGCAGTAAGCTGAGATCACACCACTGCACTCCAACCTGGGCAACAGAGCAAGACTCCGTCTCAAAAACAAAAAATATTTAAAAATTAGCTTCTGAAACAACACATGTATTCTCTGCCTTATAAGAATGAGACTTCTGGGGAGCTGAAATGCTCTCTTTACTAAGTAACTGTCCTGTAGGCTTGCCTCACTCATCCTATGACTAATTCATCTGTCCTATCATAAATGTGCACATTCATTTCCCTCCCCATGTGATTTCCCCACTAGTCTACTCTTTTATGACACACTAAACTTTACCATGTGATAAGACATTATTCAGAAATGTAAACTTCCTCTTGAGAACACCATGATACTACGTAAATGTGAGTGACTGAAAATAAAAATATTAGCCACAAATATGTTCCATGCCAAATTTGACTAGAAAAGGCATCTTCCAACAAGCCACAGAAGTAAAGAAAACATAGCAAATGAAATTATGTTTTTCTTAAAAATGAAATTGGCCGAGCACGGTGGCTCACGCCTGTAATCCCAGCACTTTGGGAGGCCGAGGCGGGTAGATCACCTGAGGTAGGGAGTTTGAGACCAGCCTGACCAACATGGAGAAACCCCATCTCTACTAAAAATACAAAAAATTAGCCAGATGTGGTGGCACATTCCTGTAATCCCAGCTACTCGGGGAGGCTAGGCAGGGGAATCGCTTGAACCCAGGAGGCGGAGGTTGCCGTGAGCTGAGATCACGCCATTGCACTCCAGCCTGGGCAACAAGAAGAGTGAAACTCTGTCTCAAAAAGGAAAAGAAAGAAAGAAAGAAAGAAATTGTAGTAAATGGCATATACATACATCAAATAGAGCTATAGTTTCTGATTTTGACTTTTTCCAAGATGCCTCAAGTTTTATCGGTCTATTCTAATCCAAGTGTTCCAGTCAACACACTTGAGTCCTTGCAGGTCCCTTGCTGCTAATGTTGGTTCATGTAACATGTGTCTACCACATGCCAGATGCTGTGTCAGGCTTTGGGGAAGAAAAAGGACATGGTTCTATCCCTCAAGAAGCTCAAAATTGAAAGCTCTTACCACTTAGTCTTGTGACAGACAAGACAAGAGTGGGTGGCAGCTCTCTGTTGAGAATGTGTTCCTGGTACTTGTGTAATGTGATGGGCAAGGAAACAAGCAAATGTAGTGGAGAAAGAAAGAAACAACAAAAGAACCACAACTTGGCCGGGCGTGGTGGCTCACGCCTGTAATCCCAGCACTTTGGGAGGCCAAGGCAGGCGGATCATGAGGTCAGGATTTCAAGACCAGCCTGGCCAACATGGTGAAACCCCGTCTCTACTAAAAATACAAAAAAATTAGCTGGGCATGGTGGCGCACACCTGTAATCCTAGCTACTCAGTAGGCTGAGGCAGGAGAATTGCTTGAACCTGGGAGGCGGAGGGTGCAGTGAGCTGAGATCGTGCCACTGCACTCCAGCTTGGGTAACACAGTGAGACTCCGTCTCAGAAAAAAAAAAAACAAAAAGAATCACAACTCTACTTATCACAAGAGTGGCCTCATTCCAACTGTGAGCCAAATCAGTTTTACCAAAATTTATTGTTCATTAGTCCCTGGCCCATAATGGGTGCTTAATAAATGTGTTGAATACATAAATGAAGGAAAGAGGAAATCCATCTGTAAGCCTTATGAGATCTCTAAGTATGATGGGACAGCTGGGGCCAAGGGAATGCTTCCTGCCAAAACAAGCACTGAGCTACAATTCTAGTCATTCTTTATATGTATTGTCGGTTGAAACAAAATGATGATGCAACCATTATCCACAGTGACACACCTGAGCCCTGCCTAGGACCCACTGAATTTGAGTCACAAGATGATCATAACCCACAGTACTCATTCAAAGGCAATATTTTTTATAGATTGCAAAACCAATTTATAAGTATGTTTTTCTTGGTGAAGATTCATTCGTGATGATAATCAGAACTGACACTTGATTAATAGGTGAGAAGGTGGCCTCCCCCTTCTCTCATTTCCCCTTCACAGTACTCTACACAGCTGGGGAACCCAAGGCAGTAGTCAGGAGGACTGGTTTCAGAGTATAACAGACCTGGACTTGAATCCTAGCTCCACCAGTTACTCTGTGACCTTGGGCACAATCCTCAGCCACAGTCTAATCACCTGTGTAAAGAAGCTTACTAATACGATCTACATCACAGAGTTATGAGGATTAAATGAGATAATGCTGGAAAAGTCTTCAACATAGTACCTGACACATTTCAAGCCACAACACATTACAAGTCTTTTAAAAAATCATCATAGTGGGGAAAAAATTAAGTTACCAAATTAAAGAAGGAAGTTGATTGTTTAAGCTGAAACTTTTGTCTTACAAAGAAATGGCCCCTCCTTAAAACCTGTTACACTAATTCTCTTTCCAAGAAGTTCCTACTCTGCAATCTGAGTTACCATGTGCCAACCCCAATTCACTTTCCTATCAGATAAGTTGGAAATTTTCCGCTTGTACAAAGCATATGCATGGGGTCCCAAGATTAATTCTTTGACAATTTGATGAGGAAATGAACATGTTCTATTGTATGTCTACTACTAAAATGTAAGAAGAAATTAAGTAACCAAACGTACCCAAGAATGTTTTAAGAGGTAAGAAAGAAAACCAGAATTAAAATTCAGTTAACTTGGCTGGGCACGGTGGCTGACGCCTGTAATACCAGCACTTTGGGAGGCCAACGTGGGTGGATCACGACGTCAGGAGTTCGAGACCAGCCTGACCAACATGGTGAAACCCCGTCTCTACTAAAAATGTAAAAATTAGCCGGGCGTGGTGGCGCATGCCTGTAATCCCAGCTACTCAGGAGGCTGAGGCAGAAGAATCACTTGAGCCTGGGAGGCAGAGGCTGCAGTGAGCCGAGATCATGCCACTGCACTCCAGCCTGGGCTACAGAGCGAGATTCTGTCTCAAAAAAATAAAATAAAATAAAAAATAATTCAGTTAACTTATTAAAGAGAAATAAAAATCTACTCAATAAACATGTATAAAACACTCTCTGAACAGTCTTTAAGTGCTGTTCATCTTTGTATTTCATAAAACATCTTGGTCAACATGACAAATAGCTTAAAAGGAGGACCCTGCTCCCAAGTACAGCAGGTATACGATTATAATACAAGGGGGAAGGTAATAAGAGCTATTAATAGAAGTATTTTTAAAAGTGCTGTAGGAAGGGGGGGGAATTCTGAATAACGGTTTGAGGAAGACTTACACTAAAAGGTGGCAGTTGAGCCACTATTTAGAGGTAGAGAAGCGGATATGTGGGATAGAGGTGGAGGCATTTCCCTGGGATGAAAGAGCACAGATAAAGCCTTTTCTCCTTATGGGAGAAAGCTAATATTGCTAACAGAGAAAAAAGAAGAAGAAAGCTTGCAGAGATTATTGGTCTCAGGAAAGTCAAGTTAAATATGCAAATTTAATGAATAATAGGAAATTACTTAAATATCTTTAATTTTATAAGCTTCCTTATGACAGTTCTTATCCACTGTATTCTTTCCTGAGAGGTAAGCAATTATTTTTCAGTCATAATTACAACGTGGAGTAATATGACTGGAATAACTCCCGGGAATCATCTTGTGATTGAAGCACTTATTCAGCAAATCTTTTATCTGCATTTTGCAGGGAGTGGTTTAGCAATCTCTCTCCTTATAAACAAAGGAAAAAACACCTTGCTAAACCATTCCTAAGTTTTTCACTACTTCACACAGGATCTCTACGGTTTTTTTATTTGCCTCTAGAGCATGCTTTCATAGTTGTTTCTCAAGGAGAGGACAATTTTACTGATCAACTTTTATAAAATCATTCTCTAAGCAGGATAAGAATCTTCTGAATTTGCATCTTAGCTTACATGCAATGAGACGAGGCCTCACAGAACCCAGTAAACAGGAGCCAATTTTTGAAGGCTCATGTTGTTCATGTTACAGACTGAACAATTAATTGTGGTAATATGAAGTTGATCAAGTTCTTCTTCATTGATGTAGAAAGATGTCTTTTAGGCAACAAAACCTGAGGGACCAAGAACAACCTGTAGTGAATAAAGAAGATTGCTGGGCTACATGGACAGCAATAATGAACAGTCAAAAAGAAGGCATGGACAGTTCAAGCTGACTCCTAAAGGAAGCCTACAAAGTTATGAAATATTTTACCCATTTTCATATTGAGCAAAGGCTGTATAAACTTGAGAACATCTGCCATGCTTGGTTTGGCCCCCACAGTGCTTTATAAACTAATTGCCAACATTTAAGAATTGAAAGATTTCATTGAAAACTCTAGACTACCTGCTTTTAATCTGACGATCTGGCAGCACTGGGCTTGTGTTCCTGCTTGGCAGCTACTAGCTGTCCCCTTGACCTGGATATCTCTCTAGTCTGCCTTCCCCCTTCTACCTGCCTGGTCCCTGCAGGCATTTGTGTGGGCAATTCTTGAATATGGCTTTAAACATCAACCCACAGTTAGTTGGCACATGTCTTAATGGTCTTTCTTAAGTTGGGAAGATGATGATCGTGTATATTATGTATTAATCAAATCCAGTTAAGCAAACTTTCTTATGATTCAGGATTACTCTATAAACATTTCTATGAATATAAGACAAAGTGAAACCTGCCCTGGGTGATCAAAAGATAAACAGTGCAAGAGACAGTGGAACTATGCTTGGCAGCTCAAACCAGGGTAAGTCATTAAATAAGATTCAAACCAAAATTAGACTGAAAGCTTCTCACTTTAGACAAAAAAAGATATGTCAGGATCAAAGCACAAATGCAGTTTTTAGTCAAGTGCCAGCTCTGACAGAACTTTGAAAAAATATATACATTGTATGTATAATGCCTATGTATAAATATACACATATGTGTATATATGTACAGATATATACATACTAAATAACACAGGAAAACATGATTTGCGGTAAAGTGAAGAGCTAAATAATCATTAAATATTTACATCAACTTGCCAAGTTAGTCAAATATCCATTGAAAGCATGGGCTTTTATCAGCAGGCATTCATTTCAATTACTTTTATTTATTTTTTATTTATTTTTATTTTTTTGAGACAGAGTCTCGCTCTGTTGGCTAGGCTGGATTGCCCAGGCTGGAGTGCAGTGGTGTGATCTCTGCTCACTGCAACCTCCGCCTCCCGGGTCCAAGTGATTCTCCTGCCTCAGCCTCCCGGGTAAGTAGGATTACAGGCGCCCGCCACCACGCCCAGCTAATTTTTGTTATGCCAGGTTGGCCAGGCTGGTCTCGAACTCCTGACCTTAGGTAATCCACCCGCCTCAGCCTCCCAAACTGTTGGGATTACACGTGTAAGCCACCGCGCCCGGCCTCAATTACTTTTAAATTATCTTACTGAACTCTGTGCTAGGTCACTTTAAGAGCAAGTTTACTAATTGCACAAAAATTAATCAGCAGTCACTTAAATAGCAATCTTTTGTGGTAAAACTGTGCTGTCACACATGGTAAATAAAAAGAGAAACAGAATTTCCGTGTCGCATTATGCTGTGAAGCACAGTAAGGACAATCATTTGTTTGTAATGGGCAAAGTCTCAGAACTGAAATTTGCGAGTCTTCGGAATTAAATAAAGATTATGGCAAAACCAGTGTAGTGTGACTGTTTCCTAATTTGTTCTGCCACCCTCCCCAGTATTCAACCCTCTGCAATTTTTATGGGAGAGGATGACAACGCATCATCACTCCAATACTTTATTCGTTCTACTGCTGGAAAGGACGCTGTGTTAGCTACCACAGCCGTGACACAGCTTTCCCCCCATCCAAGGACGTCCTGTGTCTCGCAGGCCAAATGTTCCTGGGGAAGACCGCGGTAGCCGTCAATGTGGCCACCTGTCCCCTACTGCAAGCGGGCCGCTCTGCGCGGATGCTCGGAGAGTCCCTGCTCCCTTTGGGGGAAGAGTCACCCCATTAGTAGGTGACCCAGCTCCGCCACCAAAACTGCGACTGTTCAACTCGGCCATGGGGGTCATGAGAGGCCGAGGTCCCCCAGGCCTGGCTGGGGCATCCCCAGTGTGGCAGGTCCCGTTCCGGCCTCCCTCCTTGCCCAGCGGCCGGGGCACCGGGCCGGAGAGATGCGGGATGGGGACACAACAGCCACCCCCTCCGTCCCCCGACTCCCGCCCCGGCTCAGCGCCTCTTCACATGTCACCCCGGGCTCACCAAAAAGCGCGTCGAACTGGTGCCCTGGTCCACCGCCCCCACCAATGGCCCCAAAACTGCCTTCTTTGAGGCTGCCATGAAACCAGCTTCAGGTCGGCCGGCGATTGCGGCCGGTTTCCTGGGTGACGGCGGCGGGAGGGGGAGGGGCAGGTGACGAGTCCAGAGATCGAGGCCGCGCGCGTCCGCTGAACGCTCGGACCGCGCTCGAGGCGGCCCCTTTACCCGCGCGCAGCCTTCTCACCCCGCCCCTCCGGCCCAGGCCCCGCCCCCCACCGCGTACCCCCAAGGCTCCAGGGGCGTGTCAGGGGGGGTGGGGGTGGGCGCTGTCACCTGGGCTGGCCAATCAGCAAACGCAAAAGAGCCGAACGCTCGGACAGGCAGAGGGCGATGAGACGTCACGGGGGCGGGGCCTGGGCGCGGTGGAGGCGGCGGCCCGCGCAGTAGGTCACGTGGGGGCCCGGCGAGCGGACAGCAGAGCCATCCAGCTGCATGGCATGGGGCGGAGACGAGTACTGCCCTTTGGCAGGCAGCGCTCCTGGCCGGCGAAAAGAGCGCACTTCCACTAGTGTCCTGGGGCTCGCCTCCATAGGGGTCTCAAAGTGTGTAGAACTGCTTGTTCCCTCCAGTGGGCTGTGCAGAGTCGTGCAGCGACGTGAGTCGCTGTGTGGACCTACCCGGCCCGGCCTTCCCGCGTTTCCCACGCCCCGCCCACCTCCCTGCATCTGGCCCCTGGTAATCGTAATCATTCCTTTGGCTGGGATTGACCCCATATAGGGTCACCTCAAGGAGCAACGCGAATCCTTCACCGTTGCAAGCTTTTCAGGGACAAGAAACGCGGAAGTTCTTTCGGTTTAGCATTTAAGGAAAGCACCCAAAATCAACCTCCCCAAGTTCCTCTATCGACCATTCAGGCAGAAGGCGCCCGGCACCACTCCGTCCTGACGCGCCCTTGCTCCTCGTTTGGCCTCACTCTGCGGTCCCCTCCCCCACACGCCATTTCCTCTCCCTCCATTAACTGCTTTGGATGGCAGGGGACAGAAAAGGGACTCTCCCTTGACCTTGAATTTACCTTGCCCGGATCCTTCTGGATCCTGTGTTCTAAGGGCTTTCAAACTTGGAACCAAGACCCACACTGTGAAACAGTTTACAAAACAAACCCAGGCTCCAGTGTGTGTGGGCGGGGAGCACATTTGTAGTTACAATTGTTACACATGTAAATACATGTTATATACATCTAATATACATTTATGTATGTATAGAAAAACTTTCCAAAACAATATTTGTCCTTCCACAGTATGCATTCTGTATTTTTATTCTATGGCATATCATTTTTTTTTAATGCTGATTGAAAATCACTAAATTGCTTTTGTAACCCACCATGCTCTCTATCAATTTTAAAAGCACTCCGCTATACCCACTGTCATTTCTTTCCATCCCTTTCCCAAATCTCTGTGTTCTGGAACATCATTTCTTTTCCTTTTTTTTTTTTTTCCTTTCTTACCTTGCTCTACACCACGTCACTTGTCCATCTCTGTTTGTATAGTTTTACCACACATGATCTGAAAGCAAATTTTCCTAAACACCGTCTAGACCTCACATTCTAATGTTCCAGATGAAGCCTGCTTATGGACATACTAGATTTAATAACTATCGATAAACTGGCTTGCTTTAATATAAGAGTGAAGATGAGTCAGTATCTCTGAATTTCCTGGAAGAGGAAAAGAGGGAGACAGGCATATAAGCAAGGAACCAGGCCAACTTGCCTCTAAAAACAGTGAAAGGCATTAGTTGAGTGAATGATATAGAAAAGGATTTTCTTGGTTCTAGAAGGCAGTAAAAACAAAGCCACCAAACCTACCACATCGATCCATTAAAAAAAAAAAATCCCTGACCACGTTTGAACTTTCACATACTTTTGACTCTCAGATTCCAACAGGACAGCAAATTATTTGTTTGGCAGCACAATGGGATCAGAATTCAGACATTTCAGAATAAGTTGGGCTAGATGTACATGGGGGATTCTTAAATTTGTTGATCCTATGGTTCCTACAACAATGTGTATTCCACATCCTCATTCCTTTCACCAAAACAAAACTGAAAAGCCAAAATATTGGCCTTTCAGGCGTCACATCTCAGCACCCTGTTAGAGATGAGGTAAAGATAAGGGGAAAGGTGTTAGATGGAAGAGTTGAGCTCAGCCTATCTTAAATATTTACTGTGAACTTTTTTTTTTTTTTTTTTTTTTTTTTTGAGTTGGAGTCTTGCTCTTTCGCCCAGGCTGGAGTGCAGTGGTGCAATCTTGGCTCACTGCAACCTCCACCTGCCTGGTTCAAGCAATTCCCCTGCGTCAGCCTCCCAAGTAGCTGGGACTACAGGCCCGCGCCACCATGCCCGGCTAATTTGTTGTATTTTTAGTAGAGATGGGGTTTCACCATGCTGGGCAGGCTGGTCTCGAACTCCTGACCTCGTGATCCGCCCGCCTTGGACTCTCAAAGTGCTGGGATTACAGGCGTGAGCCACTGCGACCGGCCTACTGTGAATTCTTATAAGTCCACTTTGTCTTATTTTTTTAGAATTACAGTCAGCCTTCCATATGTGAGGGTCTCTTATCCAAGGATTCAGCCAACCGCAGATCAAAAATATTTGAAAAAATGTCAATACAACAATAACAAACAATACAAATAAAAACAATACCATGTAACAACTATTTTCATAGCATTTACATTGTATTAGGTGTTATAGTTAATCTAAAGATGATTTAAATTTACTGGAGGATGTGCATAGGTTACATGCAAATACTATGCCATTTTATATAAGGCATTTGAGCATTCTCGGATTTTTGTATCCTCGGGGTAGGGAGGGTGAGTGTGTGTGGTGAGGGCGGCGGGGGTGGGGTCGTCCTGGAATTAATCCCCAGAGGGACAAATCCCCTTTTGCTTGACTTTTCTCACTCCCTCAAGCCCCAGCTATTGTCCAAAACCTTTATATAATTGTAAAAATCAACCAATAGACACTCTGATTCCATTTTTCTTACTATAATTGAGACAGAGTTGGAAGTATTAATAACAATGGGGCCTCTGAGGCCAAGAGCGCATAAGTGACATACATCTTAAGACTAGCCAGCCTCCTGTGGTAGAATCAGAACCAGAATTTCAGTCTCCTGACATCAAACCTAGTGCCCTTTTACCAGAGTCTGAGGGAAGGGAAGCTGAAGGAAGTTAGGTAGGAAACCAAACAAAAAGGAAAAAAGACAGGATGCTGGTTCACCTTCTTCTCACCACCCACCCCAGATATGAAGGCAAAGCAATAGAGAAAACACTGGACTGGGAAGAGAAGGACATTGGTTTGATCTTGGCCCTGCCATTCAACACTTAATCATCATGGGCTTGAGTAATAACTCATTTATTTCCATGGCTTCTTGTTACTTGTTTGTAAAATAGGGAAAATGTCACTGACGTAGATGGGTCAATGTGAGACTTAAATGATGTAATGCCTGCTAAAGCACTGTACAAGCAGAACGGTTAATCATGAAAGGCAAGAGGCAGTCTCACTGTCCTATCTCCATCAAAGAAACCCAGAGGTGAAGATCAAGGTCCTTCATGCAAATTAAGTAGCTTGAGTCACCTAAAGCTCACTGTGATGATTTCTGACTGGTAAAGCAGGAAATCAATGGTAACCTCCCTCTTGGAGAGTCCCTAGGTGTTTCACTTATTCTTCCTCTGGTTTTTCCTGTTTTTTGTTGATTTACACAGAATTTATGTAAGCAGAAAGCCTACACTTCCCTCGAGAATCTCTGCACCCCCTTTTCCCCCAGAAGTGCTTCTTGGTCTTCACTTATTTGCCTGAGAAGTAACACTTATGTTTTCAAGTTTAGTCTGTTTGGAAAGCTACCCTTTCCTTAACCCCTCCTTGCTAGTTTAATGATTACTTGGATATGGATTAATATGAATATTGGAAGTACAACGTGGAGTTAGTGCTGGAAAGGACTATAGTAAAGAGCACAGGCACATTGTTATTTTATGGGATTGGGATGATTTAAGCAGATATACAAAGTGTTTTGCCCAAGGTAGCAGAGGGAGTTAAAGACAGATTCGGGATTCAGTTTTTTTGTTTTTTTTTTTTTTTTGTTTTTTTTTTGAGATGGAGTCTCTCTGTCTCCCAGGCTGGAGTGAAGTGGCCTGAACTTGGCTCGCTGCAACCTCAGCCCACCACCAACCTTGAACCACCAGTTCAAGTGATTCTCCTGCCTCAGCCTCCCAAGTAGCTGGGATTACAGGTGTGTGCGACCATGCCCCGCTAATTTTTGTATTTTTAGTAGAGACGGGGTTTCACCACGTTGGCCAGGCTGGTCTCGAACTCCTGACCTCAGACCATCCACCCTCCTCAGCCTCCAGAAGTGCTAGGATTACAGGTGTGAGCCACCGCGCCCGGCCCACAGATTCGGAATTTAAACCCGCTTGATAAAAATAGGCAAATTGGGAGCCTACCCCCACCCTCTATAAATTGAAGCACCCACTCACATGCATGTTAATAATCTAAGTTGTAACTACCTAAAATAATGTTTCGTTTTATGCAGCATTGCAGTTGTAATCGAGTTAGGGTTTGATAGTTTTTCTCAAACTTTACCTACTTCAAGCCAGGCATGGTGGCTTACGCCTGTAATCCTAGTACTTTGGGAGGTTGAGACGGGCGGATCACCTGAGGTTGGGAGTTCAAGACCAGCCTGACCAACGTGGAGAAACCCCATCTCTACTAAAAATACAAATTAGCCAGGCGTGGTGGTGCATGCCTGTAATCCCAGCTACCTGGGAGGCTGAGGCAGGAGAATCACTTGAACCCGGGAGGAGGAGGTTGCGGTGAGCTGAGATCGTGCCATTGCACTCCAGGCTGGGCAACAATCCATCTCAAAACAACAATAACAATAACAAAAAACTTTACCTACTTCAGAACTACCTAGTGGACTTGTTAAAATCCAGGTTGCCAGGCTGCAAACACCCCAGATTTTTTAAGTTTTTATTTTTAATAGTTCTCAGGTGATGCCAATACTGCACATACAGGGACCACACTTTGAGAACCACTGGGCTACGCATATGCTGGAACCTTTAATTTTCTAGTTTGACAAAATTGTGGCAAAACCATTAGGTGCGAGAACTCTGTTTCATGAGTTGTTACTGCCCTTTTCTCTTATATCCTAGGTCTCTGCTAACAATCAAACAATCCACTTAGAATATTGGTAGATAACGCTGGGTGCCGTGGCTCATGCCTGTATTCCCAGGGAATACTTTGGGAGGCCAGGGTGGGTGGATCACCAGAGGTCAGGAGTTCAAGACCAGCTTGTCCAACATGGCGAAACTCCGTCTCTACTAAAAATACAAAAAAATTAGCTGGGTGTGGTGGTGCATGCCTGTAGTCCCAGCTACTCGGGAGGCTGAGGCAGGAGAATCATTTGAACCTGGGAGGCAGAGGTTCAGTGAGCTGAGATCTCGCCACTGCACTCCAGCTTGGATGTCAGAGTGAGACTCCGTCTCAAAGAAAAAGAAAAGAATATTGGTAGGTAAAGCTTAAGGCAGAGGTTCTCAAACATTAGCTTATGTCAGAATCACCTGGGGTACTTGTTAAGGATGCATATTCATTCCTTCCACACTCGCCCTACCCTGACCTCCCCCTAAATGCAATGAGCTAGGCTACTTGATGCCAGGGATTTTGCCCTGATAATCATTATATCCCTAGGATCTGGGAGTCCTATAAGTGATGGTTGAATGAATGAATATTGTAGACTGCTACATAGGCTGCTGCTAATGACTAATGCCTTCTAATAATAATGTCCTTGTGTTGTGCCCTCCCATATTGACCCTGAGCTTGGGCCACGTGACTTGCATGGGCAATACGATGTTAGCAAACATAATGCAAGCAGAGACTTGATAAGTGCTTGTGGAGAAATGGGCCTTTCCCTCTTGGAACTCAGTTGCCATGCTGTAAGAAAGATAATTTAAACTGCTAGCAGATGAGAAGCCATGGGAAAGAGAACTAAGGCCCCCCCGCTGACCATCACCAACTTCCAGATATGTGAATGAAACCATCTTGCATATGTAAGCCCTGTCCGAGGTCCCGGCGGATTGCAGCTGCTGAATGAATGACCCAGTTGAATGAATGACCTCAGCCAATAGCACCAAGAATGGAAAACGACAACAACAATGACAACAAAAAAACCACAGCCGAGCCCAACTAGTCCACAGAATCATGAGAAATAACAAATGGTTGTTGTTTTTAGCCACCCAGTTTTGGAGTCATTTTTTAAATGCAGCAATGGATAAATGATGCAATTGGTACATTTTGGTGTGATCTCCATTCCTCACAATCTAATTCTTGGTCATATCTGGTTATAACCAAGGCATTGGGCCTTTTGGAAAAATAAAAATATGAGTATCCAGAAGTTTTCTCATTTTCCAAACATGTTTGAAAAACTTGCTACTGGTGCAAATTGAGAAGTTTTCTTTTCTTTTATTTTCTTTCTTTTTTGAGACAGGGTCCTGCTCTGTCTCCCAGGCTGGAGTGCAGTGGCATGAACGTATCTCATTGCAACCTTGACTTCCTGGATTCAAGGGATTCTCCCACTTCAGCCTCCAGAGTAGCTGGAATCCAGGAGGTCAAGGTTGCGCCATCATACCTGGCTAATTTTTTTTTTTGGGTAGAGATGAGGGTCTTATTCTGTTGCGCAGGGTGGTCTTGAACTCCTGGGCTCAAGTGATCCTCTGCCTCAGCCTCCCAAAGTGCTGAGATTACAGGCATGAGCCACCTGGCCCGAGCAGTTTTCAATTTGAAAACCTGTTGTTTCTAAGGGTCTGGGGTAAAGATCATACTTGGAATGCCCTTGAGGTCATGGTTGGATCTGTTAAGGGCAAAGTGGGACCATTGGTAACTTTGGCTGTTTTATTTCCTTCTTCCACATCCCTTTGGTCTTCCAGTTTCACATTTGTCTCATTTTCCTCATGCTTTCTCTTTTGTGTGCTTGTTTATCTTTCATTTTTCTATGTCCACCTCTAAGCCTCCAGTGGCTAATAGAAGAAAGACAAAAATGTATGTTATTTTACTTACTTATTTATTTATTTTTTCAAGA
This sequence comes from Homo sapiens, assembly GCF_000001405.40. NCBI lineage: Eukaryota > Metazoa > Chordata > Mammalia > Primates > Hominidae > Homo > Homo sapiens. Next base: position 30,646,498 of record NC_000023.11, on the reverse strand, counting down.
CAGCGTCTCACTCTGTTGCCCAGGCTGGAGTGCAGTGGCACCATCGTGGCTCACTGCAGCCTCGAGCTCCCAGGCTTAAGAGATCCTCCCACCTCAACCTCCCAAGGATCAAGTAAGTGGGATTACAGGCACAAGCCACCACTTCCAGCTAATTTCTTGATGTTTTCGTAGAGACAAGACTTCATTATGTTGCCCAGGCTGGTCTTGAATCCCTGGACTCAAGCAATCCTCCCACCTCTACACTCCCAAAGTGCTGGGATTACAGGTGTGAGCCACCGTGCCCGGCCTGAAGATGTATGTTCTTTTTTATTTTCTGCCTTTTGCCACTATATGTACACATTAAAAAATATGCATACTGATAAAAAAATGTAGCCTTAGGAACCACAATTTAGTTCATGTACTACATTTATATTACATTTATAATCGTGGGACACTGACTTTTCAAGTGCTCCATTCACACATTCAAATCATACAAAGAAAATAATATTTAATGCTTCCTTTGGCAAGTCACATAGTAGGCACAAAATATATGTTGAATGGATGTAGGTAATTCACTAATGTCAATGAAGTTACAATCATTCATTTGCTGACTTAAAACAAATATGCTATTGAAAAGAAAAGGTAACTACATTTTATTTGTTTAGGCCTTGTATTTAAACTTTTTTTTAAATTTATTTTTATTTTTTTTGAGACGGAGTCTCGCTCTGTTGCTCAGGCTGGAGTGCAGTGGTGCGATCTCGGCTCATTGCAAGCTCCGCCTCCTGGTTTCATGCCATTCTCCTGCCTCAGCCTCCTGAGTAGCTGGGACTACAGGCGCCCGCAATCACACCCGGCTAATTTTTTGCATTTTTAGTAGAGACATGTTAGCCAGGATGGTCTCGATCTCCTGACCTCGTGATCCACTGGCCTCAGCCTCCCAAAGTGCTGGGATTACAGGCGTGAGCCACCGCACCCGGTGTATTTAAACTTGAGTAGGAAGAAAATGTATCATTTATCACTCAATAATGGCATGGGAAGAAAGAGGAATGATGATCTTAATTGAAATCTATTCTTTGTCTTTTAAATGGGAAACTCAACTTCTTTTTGAAATATTCCACTGAGGTCACACTTGTCTTTGGGGATATTTCTTTGTGAAGACATATATAGATTTTTTTTTCCGCCTCCCGGGTTGAAGCGATTCTCCTGCCTCATCTTCCCAAGTAGCTGGGACTACAGGCTCGTGCCACCATGCCCGGCTAATTTTTGTATTTTCAGTAGAGACGGGTTTCACCATGTTGATCAGGCTGGTCTCGAACTCCTGACCTTGTGATCCACCCACCTCGGCCTCCCAAAGTGCTGGGATTACAGGCGTGAGCCACCGTGCCTGGCCTAGATTTAATTTTTATTAATTAAAGGATTGAAAAGAACTTTCAGGATTGCATAGCACTTATTAGAGATGAAGAAAATGAGGGCAAGAATCAGGGTAAGTTGTCCAAGGTCATTCTAATGCATGATATTGTTCACCCAGTGGTGAGATGCACATGTGTTTTATGAATTTACTATTATTCATGAAAAATGAACTCAGAGTATAAGCCAACCTATAATCAATCAACAGTACTATTTTCCCCCAAGTTACTGTAAACATATAAACACTATATGTGTAAATAATTGAGCCATCATTGATAAAATCTGCAGCCTTTTTCAGGGAGTTTTTCTATCATGCTTTCTATACTTTATTTTCCCAGAGCTCCATTCCTCACCACTGTATACAAAACCCAAGTCTTCATCTCTGTCATCAATCTGTGTATGGTAGAGACTGAGGGATTAAGTACTGTAGAGAAACATCAAATGCTGGAAAGGATGTGGAGCGATAAGAACTCATTCATAGCTGGTGGGGTTGCAAAATGTTACAGTTATTTTGGAAGATAGTTTGGCAGTTTATTACAAAATGAAAAATCCTCTTACATATGATCTAGCAATTACACTCCTTGGTATTTACCTAAATGAGTTTAAAATTTGTGTTCACGCACAAACCAGCACATGATGTTTATAAGCAGCTTTATTCATAAATTTCAAAACTTGGAAGCAACTAAGATGTTCTTCATGGGGTGAATGGATAAACAAACTGGTACACACAGACAATGGAATGTTATTCAATGCTAAAAATAAATTAACTATCAAGCCATGAAAAGACATGGCCATTTTTTTTTTTTTTTTTTTTTTTTGAGATGGAGTTTCATTCTTTTTGCCCAGGCTGGAGTGCAATGGCATGATTTTGGCTCACTGCAACCTCTGCCTCCCGGGTTCAAGCGATCTCCTGCCTCAGCCCCCCGAGTAGCTGGGATTACAGACATACACCACCATGCCTGGCTAATTTTGTATTTTTTAGTAGAGACAGCGTTTCTCCATGTTGGCCAGGCTGGTCTCGAACTCCCGACCTCAGGTGATCCGCCTGCCTCGGCCTCCCAAAGTGCTGGGATTACAGGCGTGAGCCACCGCGCCTGGCCTAATTTACTAATTTTTAAAAGCTAAGGCTATTTTAAGTATTTTGTAAGCTATTGGCACAACATGAAATCACTGACTTAAGTAGAATAATTTTTTTCTTCTTTTAAAAACAGTTGACCGCCAAATCTGTGCAATTCAGGACAATTTCAAGTACATTTTCTATTTACATTTTCAAATGTACCTTAACTTCTCTACCCCCACCCCTGCATATCCCTTCCCATGATTGCTGGTTAAAGACATTACAGTACACAAATGGAACTTTTCTCTTTCGTAGTTTGTGTCTGACTGCCTGGAAATGATGATCTCATGACTGTTGGTTTGAAGTTAGGCAACATAGCAAGAGGAACCTGGTTAAAGAGGAAATAACTTCTGTTTGTAAATTTGTATTTGTGCAATGTGGAAACCATATGTTTGTATAATTCTCCTCTTATGACTCTCTCTTCTCCTAAATGGGGTGATGTCTCTTGCTTTGAAGACGACTTGCTTTGATGTAGTGCCTATGTTAGATACTTTGGGACTTGCATATTCTACAGGAGACAGAGCTCATATTGCTTTGACCATTGGAGATCTCCAGTCTGCCAATTTCACACTGATATGGGCACTCAGACTGGCATATGTGTTCAGGAATAGGGAACAGAGTGAACACTTTTAACTTATGATTCACAGATATGTGGTTCCAAAGTTTAAAGGAACAAGCTCCATTTCATGGAAGGGTTTTGTGCTTTCTGTGGCATCCCCTGGTGAAGTGTTTTGCAGCAAAATAGTTCTTCACTCCATAGCTGTGTTTTATTATTTGGGATCCTTCTCTGCTATCAAGTCTAAGAGAGCTTGTTAAGTGGATTGTATTCAGGAAAGAGTTTATTTTCATTCTCTTGATATTTCTCCTGTTAATTCTACTGAAATTATATTTTTCTAAAGGAGGAAAGGCAGATTATGTATTCCAATGAGAGTGGAAATCCTGTAGGTAATTATTGTATGTTTTATAACTATTTAGACTAGTGTTTTTATGGCTGTAGAATCATGAGTCCCCAAGTTAAAATCTTATACACCTCCAAAGATATGTAAGGTCAATTTATAACAAACTGGAGGTTTTCATAGACTCGCTCCTGTAAAAACACCATTACCTTGGCCTTTGGCCTTTACTCACAGGACATTCTTTAGCAGTACTTTTCCCCTCTCTGTACATTATATTGTCACAGTAATGGCTCCCAATGTGCTCACTCCTCCCTGTATCCAAGTCCTTGCTTAGTCCCCATCCACTCTGAGTCTACGCTTGACCAGGTGACTCGCTTTGGCTAAGGGGGCAGTAGTAAATATGACATGAGCAGAGGGTTAAAATGAGCTTCTTCAGTAGAGCTAAGGCTCCTTTGTAGTTCTTTTGGGAATCCTCAAACCACCATGTGAAGAAGCTTGGGCTAGCCTGTTGGAGAATGAGAGACCCCATGGAGCAGAGACAAGTCATTGCCACTGAGGCCCTACTAGAAAAACCAGCTTGACAATCACCAGACATGTGAGTGAGGCCATTCTAGAACATGGAGTCTCAGCTCAGCCAGCCTAGACTAGAAGAGCCATCACAAACATCACAAATATCCCATCTATCACAAGACAATCCACAAAATTGTGATCTAAATAAAATATTCTGTTGTTCTAAGCCCCTAAATTTCAAGATTTTTTTTGTTTGTATTTTAAGTTCCAGGGTACATGTGTGCAGGATGTGCAGGTTTGTTACATAGGTAAACATATCAACCCATCATCTGGGTGTGAAACCCAGCATGCATTAGCTATTTTTCCTGATGCTCTCCTTCCCCTCACCTCCCTGACCAAAAGGCCCCAGCGTGTGTTGTTTCCCTCCCTGTGTCCATGTGTTCTCACTGTTCAGCTCCCACTTATAAATGAGATCATGCAGTGTTTGGTTTTCTGTTCCTGCATTAGTTCCTGCATGAGAATAATGACCTCCAGCTCCATCCATGTCCCTGCAAAGGACATGATCTCATTCCTTTTTATGGCTGCATAGTGTTCCATGGTATATATATACCACATTTTCTTTATCCAGTCAATTATTGATTGGCATTTGGGTTGATTCCATGTCTTTGCTATTGTGAATAGGGCTGCAATGAAAATACTCTTGCCTGTATCTTTATAATAGAATGATTTATATTCTTTTGGGTATACACCAGTCAGGAAAAGCTAAGTGGCACATGTCCCACGTGCACAGTGAGTTCCATTTTCCACTATGTGAGGGAATATCAATTACATACCTGGTTGCCCATCTTTTCTCTTCTTCCATTATGGAAAGTATCTTAGTCAATTCTTCAGTTGCAAGGGAAAAAAATATTCATGTAAGTTAGTTAAAAACCAAACTCTGTGTGTGTGTATGTGTGTGATTGCATGCACACGAGCACAGAGGCATGTGCTGAGTGGGAAGTAAGAGATGGTTTTGATAGTAAAACAGAGAACTTTTTTTTCTTTTTTAAGACTGAGTTTTGCTCTTGTTGCCCAGGCTGGAGTGCAATGATGCGATCTCGGCTCACTGCAACCTCCACCTCCCAGGTTCAAGCGATTCTCCTGCCTCAGCCTTCCAAGTAGCTGGGATTACAGGCATGCACCACCACGCCTGGCTAATTTTTGTATTTTTAGTAGGGAAGGGGTTTCACCATGTTGATCAGGCTGGATGGTCTCGAACTCCTGACCTAGGGTGATCCACCCGCCTTGGCCTCCCAAAGTGCTGGGATTACAGGCATGAGCCACTGAGCCTGGCCTAGAACAGAGAACTTTTTAGACACAAGATCAGCAGCTCTGCCAGGCTTCATGTTTGCAGGCGCTGGGAAGCCCCTGAGGACTGAGTCTACTCTCCACAATTTCTATTCTTCATTCCCTCTGGGACTCTTTTGAAACTTTTTCAGCATCCATTCTGTTTTCCTACTTCACTCTGAAGATTGGCTTTCTCTATTTATTCATCAGGCTGTACAGGGTTCCAAATGACACCTCAGTCTCCAAGTCTAGAAGACTCCATCCTTTATTGATTATAATCTGTTTCCAAATACAAACCCTCAAGAAGATCTGACTGGCTCAACTCATTTGCCTACTACCTTTAGTCAAGTAGCCACCCCTGACCTAGTGAGAAGTGGTGACATGGGACAGATGGGGTGGGCAAGAAGATTTTATACATCTGTTGGTTGATTGGAGTTCTGCAGATATAGGCTGGGCTCAGATGGGTATTGCTGCTTCAGGCTATGCTAGCTATGATGGCCTTTTTTCTCACTGTGGGTTGCATATTGGGTAGAGTGGCTTCCTCTGTGATGTTTTCTTCTTTGGACCAGTGAGATACCTTGTTTTGGGGTATGTTCTTCTCATGGTGATGGCAAAAGTGCAAGAGAACAAGTAGAAACATGTAAGCCTATTAAGGCCTAGGCTTGGCCAGGCGCCGTGGCTCACGCCTGTAATCTCAGCACTTTGGGAGGCCAAGGTGGGTGGATCACGAGGTCAGGAGATCGAGACCATCCCGGCTAACACAGTGAAACCCTGTCTCCACTAAAAAATACAAAAAATTAGCCGGGCGTGGTGGCGGGCACCTGTAGTCCCAGCTACTCGGGAGGCTGAGGCAGGAGAATGACATGAACCCTGGAGGCGGAGCTTGCAGTGAGCCGAGATTGCGCCACTGTGCTCCAGCCTGGGCGACAGAGCGAGACTCCATCTCAAAAAAAAAAAAAAAGGCCTAGGCTCGAAATTGTCACACTGACACTCCCTTCAGATATCATTCTCTAAAGCAAATTACATGGCTAGGCCCAAAGACAAGGGGCAAGGAAGCACTCTTAATCCATGATGAGACCATGGCAGTGTCTGCATGAAGGTAGGGCTGAAGAATTAGGGCCAATAATGCAACCTAGCACACCTTCTTTTCAGGTCTTGTGTTGGGAACAGGCCCCCAAATCTGGCCATAAACTGGCCCCAAAACTGGCCATAAACAAAATCTCTGCAGCACTGTGGCAGGCTCATGATGGCCATGACGCCCATGCTGAAGGCTGTGGGTTTACCGGAATAAGGGCAAGGAACGCCTGGCCCACCCAGGGCGGAAAACCACTTAAAGTGTTCTTAAGCCACAAACAATAGCATAAGCAATCTGTGCCTTAAGGGCATGTTCCTGCTGCAGGTAACTAGCAAGAGCCCATCCCTTTATTTAGGCCCATCCCTTTGTTTCCCATAAGGAATACTTTTAGTTAATCTATAATCTATAGAAACAATGCTTATCACTGGCTTGCTGTCAATAAATATGTGGGTAAATCTCTGTTCGAGGCTCTCACCTCTGAAGGCTATGAGACCCCTGATTTCCCAGTCCACACGCTATATTTCTGTGTGTGTGTGTCTTTAATTCCTCTAGCACCGCTGGGTTAGGGTATCCATGACTGAGCTGGTCTCAGCAGTCTTGAATGCTCATCTTTGGACCAGCAGAGATGGTAGTGGCAGTAGCTAATGGTAAAGAGCTAGAATAAATGGGTCCAGGGGATAGAGGCACTAATTTGTCTGTAAGAATGGCTTTCAAGGTTGTTAGCAGTCAAAACTACAGAATTTAAAGGGCTTGCTCTGGATCAATACTATTATTCCAGGAGTTCCAATATGGTATCATAGCTGAAATTGCTAGGCATAACATGGCCCACAGTGGAGAGCTAGCCTGACAAGTAACTCAGGACAAAGCTGTACCCCCTGGAATGAGAAAACTGCTGTGCACATCAGGAAAGCAACACAGCTACAGGGTTATAGATCAGACCAAAATAGCAGAGGTCACGGCAAGGTGTGAGCACGACAGCGAGCACTGGTCCAAGACTAAGAGAGCAAGACCACTTCAGAATCCAGAAGATGCGCTTTGGTCAGGCTTGAGTAAGGCCAGAGACACAAGGTTATTGAAGGTCCTCAGGGCCTGCCAGAAAAATGGGACTGATCCTGCTACATCACAGTGCTTTTCCGTCTTTTTCTGTAAATTTGCCATCCCTTGCCCCATCCCACCCTACCATGTTATTATCTAAATGACTTGGTTGTCAATTCATTATGTTACACCTTATCTGTTCCTTTAATTTGTCATGTGTGGATCATGTGAAATATATTGTAACTATTTTTTAATAAAATTCAGATCAGGCCCATGCCTCTTTGTTTGATCTTGATTATTTAAGAAATCAGGGTTACAAAGTCAGAAGACCCAATAAGTGTAAACTGATGGTAGAAGGAAGAGGTAATAAAAGTAAGTCATGTGCAGGGGTTTACTCTCCTTCCGGGAAAGGCTCCTGATGCAAGCAAGTTACTGATGGGGGAAAGGAAGCCGTAGCCTGACTGTATTAGGAGAAACAGGAGAGGAGCTCTGTCCGAGCATTTAGGAGAAGTCCACATAGGCCAAGCAGCTTGTGAACTGTTTAAACTTCCTCATTTCTGAATTCAGAGTAAGCTCCTGTTTACTTTTCCAGCCTCATCTCCCACAACTTCCCCATCTGTACTTTACCCACTGCCATTAAGAGTGGTTTCCATTTTCCAAAGACATCCTGCTGTTTCCCTATTCTGTGCCTTTTACTGTGTTGTTCCCTTCATCTGGGATGCTGCCTTTCCAATTTCTGCCTATCAAACTATTCTCATTCTTCAAGGCCTATCTCCACTTCCACTTCTTATTTATTTATTTATTTATTTATTTATTTATTTATTTATTTATTATTTGAGATGGAGTCTCACTCTTTTGCCCAGGATGGAGTGCAGTGGCACAATCTCAGCTCACTGCAACTTCTGCCTCCCGGTTCAAGCAATTCTCCTGTCTCAGCCTCCTGAAGAGTAGCTGGGACTACAGGCATGCACCACCACGCTTGGCTAACTTTTTTGTATTTTTAGTAGAGAAGGGGTTTCACCATGTTGGTCAAGCTGATCTTGAACTCCTGACCTCAGGTGATCTGCCCGCCTTGACCTCCCAAAGTGCTGTGGTTACAGGCGTGAGCCACCACGCCTGGCCTCCACTTCTATGAAGTAGATTTCCCAAGCAAATATGACCTGTTCCTATTTTAACTCCCACAGCACATTTCATAGTCAGTCTTGTATTATCATTTTACCTGGACTTATTTTCTCCATCCTTTCCCCCTAACTTCCTTCTGTATTAGATATCTATTGGACATCCTGTATTTTATCTAAACCTATTAAGATGCATGTTCTGGCTCTTTTTTGTTTTTTGCTTTTGGAGACAGGCTCTCACTCTGTCACCCAGACTGGAGTGCAATGGCATGATCGCGGCTCAATGCAGACCTCCTAGGCTCAAGCAATCCTTCCACTTTAGCCCCTTGTGTAGCTGGGCCTACAGGCATGAGCCACCAGATCCAGCTAATTTTTGTATTTTTGTAGAGACGGGGGTCTTACTATGTTGCCCAGGCTGGTCACGAACTCCTGGGCTCAAGCAATCCTTCCACCTAGGCCTCTCGAAGTGCTAAGATTACAGGCACGAGCCACCATGCCAGGCTAGTTTCTGCTCTTGAAGACTCCAGTTGCTCTAGAGGGAGATGTAGACAGGTAAATAGGAATTGTAACATGTGGTAAAGACCAAACAGAAGGAAGCATAAGTGCTATGGGAATCACGAAGGAGGAAACTCTAACCAGTCTTTTAGAGTCAGAATCCTAAAGGTAAAGGACAGAAGTCATTCCAGCACAACCAGCAGCACATGCAAGGGCCCTGGAGTTACTTACAAACTGCTGTAAGGAGCAATACATTAAATATTATGCTTAAATCTCGATAAATGAATAATCTAAATGTATAAATTATATAAATACTTTCCTGTTTATGTCTTTCAGCAACCTTCAATTAACCATCATTGACCCCAATTTATAAATGAGGAAACCAAGGCTCAAAGTTTAAATGATTAAGTTGGAGTAAATCAAAATCAGGGTGGCAGAGTAAAGATGACAACATAGGTTTTCTAATGCCAAAGCAGTGCCCTTTTCTCTACATTCTGCCTCTCAGATCTGGTTCCCCCTAATAGGAGAGAACTGGGCAAAAGGTCAAGCAGAGGCTGCAGGAGAAAAGTTAGGAGCCAGAGGAAAAATGATATGACCTTTACAGTTTTTACCCAAAGGCAAACTCTACTTAATAAAGTATGCAGAATCCAATGTTTAGTAGTTAGATCAGAGTGCCTCGATACCTTCCTATGAACTCTTCTCTGCTTTCAATGGTCGACACTGTCATTCACATAGGTAATCAAGGTGGGGAGGTTCAGGATGACGTCTAACCTACTTAAAGAACTAATGTGGATGCAGTGATGGTAACCAACAAAAATGTCATAACATAGCAAGTAAATACAAAGAACTGGAGTTGCACAAATCACCTGATTGAAATTCTAACCTCAGTACCATTGCCACCCCAATGACATGCCTTTTTTTTTTTTTTTTTTTTTGAGACGGAGTCTCGCTCAGTTGCCCAGGCTGGAGTGCAGTGGCGCGATCTCGGCTCACTGCAAGCTCCGCCTCCAGGGTTCAGGCCATTCTCCTGCCTCAGCCTCCTGAGTAGCTGGGACTACAGGCGCCCGCCACCACGCCCGGCTAATTTTTTGCATTTTTAGTAGAGACAGGGTTTCACCATGTTAGCCGGGATGGTCTCGATCTCCTGACCTCGTGATCCACGCCTCAGCCTCCCAAAGTGCTGGGATTACAGGAGTGAGCCACCGCGCCCAGCCTATTTTTTTTTAAAAGGCATGTCGGCCAGGCACCGTGGCTCACGCCTGTAATCCCAGCACTTTGGGAGGCCCAGACACGCGGACAACCTGAGGTCAGGAGTTAGAGACCAGCCTGGCCAACATGGTGAAACCCCATCTCTACTAAAAATGCAAAACAAATGAGCCAGGCATTATGGCGCGTGCCTGTAATCCCAGCTACTCGGGAGGCTGAGGCAGGAGAATCGCTTGAACCCAGAAGACGGAGGTTGCAGTGAGCCGAGATCGTGCCATTGCACTCCAGCCTGGGCATCACCTTGAGACTGTATCTGGAAAAAAAAAAAAAAAAAAAAAAGAATAGTACCACACTCTAATACAAAACAAAGTTTCATTTCATTTATACTTAAAAAAATATACACATACCACACAAAATATTTAAGAACGGTAATAAGGGTTTTGTAAAATGTAACAAATAATAAGGTTGTAACGCCAGTAATCCTGATCTCTGTAGAGACCAGCACTGCCACCCTCAGTAAGAGGTGGAAATTGCAATTATCAAGTAAGAATATTATATTTTTAAATTAAATGAAAATAGCTCCCGTAATTAGCAGCCTTGATAGACTAATTGTGTTGGAAGAACCCTTAGAGATAACTCCTCATTTTCTACATTAAAAAATAGACTAGGCTGGGTGCGGAGGCTCATGCCTATAATCCCAGCACTTTGGGAGGCCAAGGCGGGCGGATCACGAGGTCAGGAGATCGAGACCATCCTGGCTAACACGGTGAAACCCGGTCTCTACTAAAAATACAAAAAATTAGCCGGGTGTGGTGGCAGGCGCCTGTAGTCCCAGCTACTCAGGAGGCTGAGGCAGGAGAATGGCGTGAACCCGGGAGGCAGAGCTTGCAGTGAGCCGAGATGGTGCCACCGCACACTCCAGCCTGAGCGACAGAGCGAGACTCCGTCTCAAAAAAAAAAAAAAAAATAGACTAAGTAGCTGGTGGTGCGCATCTGTAGTTCCAGCTACTTGGGAGACTGAGTCTGGAGGATCACTAGGAATTCAAGGCCAGCTTGGGTAACATAGTGAGACCCCCGTCTGTATTAAAAAAAGGAAAAAAAAAGACTAAGAGAAATTTGGCGACTTTTCTCAGTAACGTTTTTTGGGGATTTCCATATACCTGATGTCGTTTTATCTTTGAAACCTTGCAAAGTAGACATGACAGGTGGTATTCTGGTTTTGCACATAAGAAAACTAAAGCTCAGGCCTGGCGTGGTGGCTCACGCCTGTAATCCCAGCACTTTGGGAGGCCAAGGTGGGTGGATCACCTGAGGTCAGGAGTTCGAGACCAGCCTGGCCAACATAGTGGAACCCCATCCCTACTAAAAATACAAAATTAGCTGAGTGTGGCGCATGCCTGTAATCCTAGCTACTTGGAAGGCTAAGGCAGGAGAATCACTTGAACCCGGGAGGTAGAGGTTGCAGTGAGCCAAGATCACACCACTGCACTCCAGCCTGGGCAACAAGAGTGAAACTCCGTCTCAAAAAAAAGAAAAAAGAAAAATAAAGCTCAGAAAGTTTAAGCCTTGTTCATTAGCACAAGAGTAATAAATAACCTATGCCAGGATTTTGGGCTTTCTCCTGTATCATGTGACTATGAACTTTTATTGATCTGAAGGAACTGATAGTAAGAAAATATAATAACAAAGAAAAAACTTGACATTTCAATGTTTTCTTTTTTTAAAAAATTTTGTTTTATTTTAAGTTCCATAATGTGAGTGCAGGATGTGCAGGTTTGTTACATAGGTAAACATGTGCCAAGGTGGTTTCTGTACCTATCAACCCATCACCTAGATATTAAGCCTAGCATGAATTAGCTATTTTTTCCTGATGCTTTCCCTCCCCATACACACCCCCCAGCCCCGATAGGCACCAGTGTGTGTTGCTCCCCTCCCTGTGTCCATGTGTTCTCATTGTTCAACTCCCACTTATGAGTGAGAACATGCGGTATTTGGTTTTCTATTCCTGCGTTAGTTTGCTGAGGATAACGGCTTCCAGCTCCATCCATGTCCCTGCAAAGGACGTGATCTTGTTCCTTTTCATGGCTGCATAGTATTCCATGGTGTATATGTACCACATTTTCTTTACCCAGTCTATTTATTGATAGGCACTTGGGTTGATTCCATGTCTTTGCTATTGTGAATAGGGCTGCAGTGAAATACGCATGCATGTATCTTTATAATAGAATAATTTATATTCCTTTGGATATGTACCCAGCAATGGGATTGCTGGGTCAAATGGTATTTCTAGTTCTAGGTCTTTGAGGAATCACCACACTGTCTTCCACAGTCTTTTAAACTGTTGGTGGGAATTTACACAGTCCCACCAACAGTTTAAAAGTGTTTCTATTTCTCCACAGCCTCGCCAGCATCTGTTGTTTCTTTACTTTTTAACAATCACCAATATGTGGCCAACAAACATATGAAAAAAAGCTCAACATCACTGATTATTCGAGAACTGCAAATCAATGTTTTCTTGTGCAACCCATTAAAGAAAGTGGAAAGGGTTCTAGGTTAGGGACTTGAGACTCATTTCCAGCAGTCATTGGCTGAGTGACCTTGGGCTAACTTTTTACATGTTTTTATCTCTGAAGTCACATGCCTGGAGCTTAACTTTTCTCACAGGGTGGTCTCAAATGAGACAGTGGTTGGGAAGGTGCTGTGTAAAAAATAAAATGTTAGGTCATGATATGGTCAAAGCAAATTCTGGACCCATTATGCTTTGGAAATGTAGGAGATAATAAAAACATTAGGCCGGGCATGGTGGCTCATGCCTGTGATCCCAATACTTTCGGAGGCTGAGGCGGGTGGATCACTTGAGCTCAGGAGTTTGAGACCAGCCCGGGCAACATGGTGAAACCTCATCTCTACCAAAAATACAAAAAATTAGCCAGGCATGGTGGCATACACCTGTGGTCCCAGCTACTCAGGAGGCTGAGGTGGGAGGATCTCTTGAGCTGGGGAAGCGGAGGTTGCAGTAAGCTGAGATTGCACCACTGCACTGCAGCCTGGGTGACAGAGCAAGACCATGTCTCAATAATAATAATAAAATGAAAACATTACCTATTTAGGTACTAATCTAATGAGAGACATCTATGACTTGTAAAGAAGGATTCGGCAACTGTAAGAGCAGAAATAACTCTAAACACAAGAAGTAACACACGTGTTCTTCTTTGGGAAGACAATATGATAAAGAGATATTTCACAAGTTAATTTATAGATTCAATACATTACCAATTAAATTCTCAAGTACTTCACAGCACTTGAGTATCTGTAGTAAACTTTCTAAGAAAAATTATAATTCCAAGCTATATCTTTAGAAAAAAAGATAGTGTAAGATTTACTCTGCCAAGGCCGGGCGTGGTGGCTCACGCCTGTAATCCCAGCACTTTGGGAGGCTGAGGCGGGCAGATCACGAGGTCAGGAGATCGAGACCATCCTGGCTAACACGGTGAAACCCTGTCTCTACTAAAAAATACAAAAAATTAGCTGGGCATGGTGGCAGGCTCCTGTAGTCTCAGCTACTCGGGAGGCTGAAGCAGGAGAATGGCGTGAACCCGGGAGGTGGAGCTTGCAGTGAGCCGAGATCACGCCACTGCACTCCAGACTGGGTGACAGAGCGAGACCCCATCTCAAAAAAAAAAAAAAAAGAAAAGAAAAAAGAAAAGATTTACTCTGCCAAACTTTTTAAAAATCCTCATGATTTTTTGGTACTATCCTAAGTAGAGAAAATAGAATGATGAAGTCGAATAGGTACAAAAAGTGCTCTAAAAACATTTTAAGATATATCAGTATATGGCAAATCAGACATTAAGTAATAAAAATGAATCACTAATAAATGTATTAAGGAACATAGATATGAATATGGAGAAAAATAAATTTACAACAATATTTTTATTACATCCAAAATGTATTTCAAGTTAGTTAAAGTGTTAACTATTTAAAAAGCCATCTAAAAACAAAGCTAGAAAAAAATGGAATCATCGATCTTAGATCATTTTTGGAAGTGAGATAATTTCTTGATAACTAAAGTAATAAAAATGTCCATGGTAAGGCCATGTGCCAGGACGCCTGGCTAATTTTTGTATTTGTAGTAGAGACGGAGTTTTACCATGTTGTCCAGTCTGTTCTCGAACTCCTGACCTCAAGTGATCCACCCGCCTCGGCCTCCCAAAGTGATGAGATTACAGGTATGAGCCACTGAGCGCAGCCTGAACTCAATCTTTATAATGACATCAATCCCACCCATGAAGGTAGAGCCCTCATGGCCTAATCACTTCTTAAAGAACCCATCTCTTAATATCATTACAATGGCAATAAAATTTCAACATGAGCTTTGGAGAGACAAACGTTCAAACCATCGCACATCTGTGTGTGTGTGTGTGTGTGTGTGTGTAAGAATTCTAGAAGGAAACATAAATAACTTTGAACAGTTATCGTTGGAGAGAGGAATGTGGAGGAAGGAAAAGAGGAAAGCTTCTACTTAAAATTTTGTATCAATATGTACAGTATGGATTTTCTGCCCAGTAATATGTATTACTGATATTTAAAAATTGCCAACAGAGTTTATGTGGGCTGTGGACTCATGGGCCAATTGTTTGTTTTTGTTTTTTGTTTTCCCTTTGTTTCTGCGTTCAACTTCAGACTTCTCTGTATATCTTCTTCTTTGTATTTCTTTGCTAAAAAGAATAAGTATTTTAACTTTTATATTGAGTTATATCCTTGTGAATTGACCTGGAAAATGTCTGTGGAATAGTAAGTGAAGAAAGCAAGTTGCAAAGTAAAATTTTTCATTAAAAACAACCTGGGGAAGAATAACTGTTATAACTTCAGATGAGGAAGAACAGAAAACTACATTTCCTTTATGCATAATGAGCAACTTACAAAAATCTAATGAAGTAAAAAAAAATTAAAATATCACTAAGAGGTCATATAAGGCCTGTTTAGTTTCCTATAGCTGCTGTAACAAGTTGCCACCAATTTAGTGGATTAACACAACACGCATTTATTATCTTACAGGTCTGAGGTCAGAAGTCCAAAATGGATCTCACTGAGCTAAAATCAAGGTGTTGGCAAGGCTGCATTCCTTTCTGGAAGCTCTAAGGGATAATTCGTTTTCTTGCCTCTTCCTCTTCTGAAGAGGTATCTGCATTCATTCCTTGGTTCAGGCCATTTTCAAAGTCAATAATGGATAGTCTAGTCTTTTTCACATGATATCATTCTGACACTCTCCTTCTTGCACTTTTGAGGAGGACCTTGTAATTACATTGGGCCCACAAGGTAATTCAGGATAATTTTCCTTTTTTATTTATTATTATTATTTTTTTGCATCAAAAAGCTTTATTTCCATTTGATCCAAGGCTTGTTAGGGTAGTTAAGAAAGCTGCCTAGTGGCTGGAGGGAGAGGCTTAGGCAGAGGCCCTGTTACTTTGCAAGGGGCCCTTCAGAAGTCGCTGGGCTCAGAAGGCTCTTAGTCCTGCTTGAGAGAGTGTCTTTCGAAGAGTTACTCGCCCAGCCCAGCCTCCGGGCCGGCCAGCCTGTGGAGGGTGGTCAGGTGGTCACCCATCTTCTTGATGAACTTCACTTACTCATCTAGGAAGTGACTCTCCAGGAAGTCACAGAGATGGGGGTCCGTGCGAGCAGAACCCAGGGCATGAAGATCCAAAAGAGCCTGATTCAGTTTTCTCTCCGGGGCCATGGCGGCTTTCATGGTGTCCGGGGTCTTACCCCACTCATCTTCAGCTGGCTTCTTGATGTCCTGGAAGAGAGCACGGCTGCCACGCTGGTTTTGCATCTTCAGGAGACGCTCGTAGCCCTTGCACTTTTCCTCAGCCAATTCGCGGAAGAAGTGGCTCACGCCTTCCAGAGCCACATGATCGCCGTCGAAATAGAAGCCCAGAGAGAGGTAGGTGTAGGAGGCCTGCAGGTACAAATTGACCAGGCTGTTGACGGCTGCGTCCACGTCAGTGGAATAATTCTGACGAATCTGGGAGCTCATGGTTGGTCGGCAAGAAGGAGCTAACCACAAAAACGGTGCTGGCAGGTCCCAGAAGCAGGAGATGGCCAAGAAGATGGTCCTGGAGGTTGCAAGTGGAGAGGAAATAGGAGGGCGGTCGGAAGCTGGAAGAAAGAGTCCCCGGAACTGTTCCGTCCAAACACTGTTGAAGCAAGAGACAGACCCGTGGGACCGCCGAGCAGCAATTCAGGATAATTTTCCTATCGTAAGGTCATCTGATTAGCAACCTTAACTCAACTTGCAGCCTTAATTCCCTGTTGCCATGGAAGGATACATATTCACAGATTCCAGGGATTCGAGCATGGACATTTTGGGGGTATCACTATTTTGCCTATCCCAGGACCTGAGAACAGTGGCCACTTCTGGGACTATACAGGGATGTTCCCAATTCCAGAGGAGCTGGAATGCTAGTAATTTATCTGGAGAGGACAGATGTGGCTTCTTTATAATACCCCCTTGACAGTACTTCAGTTTACTGCAACCTGAAGGAAAACTTGCTATGTTAGTTTAGTACCTGAATTAAACCTGAGAAGCAATAAGATTCCTAACTGCTTAATTCCTTTACGTCTTTCCCTTCTTTATTTTGAGGTGTGTCTGCTGCCCCTGCTTCTGCATCAGTGCTTTTGCTCTTTTTTCCTTTTGTTTTGTTTGTTTGTTTTTAATTTTTTGAGACGGAGTTTTGCTCTGTCGCCCAGGCTGGAGTGCAGTGGTGCGTGATCTCGGCTCACTGCAACCTCTGCGTCCCAGGTTCAAGCGATTCTCCTGCCTCAGCCTCCGGAGTAGCTGGGATTACAGGCGCCCACCACCACGCCCGGCTAGTTTTTGTATTTCTAGTAGAGACAGGGTTTCACCATGTTGGCCAGACTGGTCTCAAACTCCTGACCTCAGGTGATCCACCCCCTTGGCATCCCAAAGTGCTGACATTACAGGCATGAGCCACCACTCCCGGCCAGTGCTTTTGCTCTTTTACAGAGTCCTTCATTTACTGATACAACTATAGCCTTTGCAGATAGAGAGGGGTCTTCTTCTGATGCAGACCAAGTACTCTGTTCTTGGCACGCCTCCTGAGAAAGTTTTACCATCCCTCAGATCCCCTGCTATAACACATTTCTCCTCATCAACTCTTCATTGACAAAAAGTTTGAGTTAGCAATACTTACTGTGTGCATGTCACACAGATACACACACACAAAACTGACTCTGGCAGTTTACATGGAAAAAGAAACGAGAATACAATTTGGCTTATAATTTATAATTCAATTTGCATAGAAACCCTATGCAAAATTTAGTAATAGAAGCTAATTTGAGGATAATAGAAGAATTGCTTCTATAATTACATAAAATCATACTGTTCAGGAATATCAATTCTTTTCTAAGGTCTCAAATGCGCATTTTCATGACCAATTATATATTTGTCTCCTAAACTTAATCTTCCCTCCTGATTTCATGGCATTAGTAGTATCCAACCCAGAATTTGAGAACATCAGAAAAAAAATTATCATCCGAAGTGAAGCTAATATGAATCAAAATGAAGGAGATTACTAATGAACAAGAGTGACCTACATAGAGAGTTGATATGTGTTATTAGGGAACTGAGCCCGAACTTAAGTGCAAATCTTCGAACTTCTAAGTCCAGAAATTTTACTCTTTAAGGTAGAGACAAAATTCTGGCTTGTTGTATCTTGGAGGGATGGTCAAAACTTAAGGCTGAGGTGGCTGTTCACGTAGGAGAATCCCTCGTTGTCAAAGGGCAGGGTTAGTCTCTTGTTTAGGAGGGCACTTCCTGTATTTGGTCTACCTGGCATTAAGTAAAGGTATGGCCTCATAATAGGCTCTCAGCAAATATTTGCTTGCTGCTTGAGAAGTGTTTTTTCTTCAGTATAATATTTTTTTAACCTGGTTTCGACCTAGGTGACAACCTCCACAATGGTTGGTTCTTAAGGAAATGGTATCAAAAGAATGAGTGCAGGGTGAGGAGGGTTTGGGGTTGGATTAGGAGTGGAAACTTTGCACGGCTTTGGGGATGTAAATACAGGGAAAGGCAGCTGAGAGACACACAATTATTGTGTCATTTTCAAGGCAATATAATGAGCTTCTTTCATCTGAATGGAGCTGCTTATGTAATGTGGGCGTGGGTGTTGGGTTGGGGGGATGAATAGGGAGCACGTTCATGCCTTTCTCCAAGCAGGCCTATAAGAACATTCCTGTCACCCCCTACCTCTTTCTCTCTTCTCCTTTCATTCTACCCACTAAGAGGAAAGACAGGAAGCAACAAAGTCCACTTCAAATCACACTAAGTAAAAAGCCAAGTATCCTTGTGTACTTAGCATGTTATTTAAATACGTTGCTGCTGATGATGACATACCGTGAAAAAGTTACATAATCTGGTTGTGAAATGCACAACAAAGAAAGGCAATATCTTCATTGGCAATTGTCTATAAGTTGCACACTGTAGGGACCAAGGGAAAACATTCCCTTCACCCTCTGAAGGTTTGCTGAAAATCACCGACAAAAGACAGACACAAATTTATTTGATCATAATTTTACACAAACGTGAGAGCATTCACAATGAAAACTCAAAGATATAGGAGAAACTGTCCATTTTCCTGCTAAGGTTCAACAAAGCACAGATAGCTGTGTAGAAATATGATCGGACAAAAAATGTGGGGAAACCAAGTAAGGCCTGTCTGTCTAAATTCTTCTTGGCCTCTGAGCATGCACTCCTTCCTTCTGGGTATGGGGCAGGTCCCTGTCTGGAGTGGGGGGGTCTCATGACAGTGAAACAAGGTAGATTAGATCGTTTGTCTTCATGGCCAGTTTCTACACAGAAAGGCAGGGAGAAAGTTAGAGTAATAATTTTAGGTTTTATGGCTGGCTTTGGGAGAAAGGGGTTCTGGCTTCTGACTTATTTTGGGGAAGAGGGATTCTAGTTTCTGTAGCTAGCCCTGGGGGAGAATGAGAGGCCAGCGATAAGAGGGCAGGAGAAAGTCAGAAATAACTGCTTCTGAGACCTTCATTTTGGGGTATCATTTTCTGAGACCCTACAACACCTATCTTTTCCTTTGCTCAGAGTTGAAAACCAACTTGCCCATCAACTTCAGAATTCACAAAAATGGGCACAGCAACTGAAAGACAGGTGTTATTATTCTTTTAAAATCCAAAGAAGGCCAATCCCAATGACCTTTATAAAGCTGTATTTCCTGAGTTAATGGAAAGAAAACTTTAGTATTAGAAATTTAATGGTGCCATGCTTTATTTTCTCTTATCCAAATAAGGTTTATTTCATAGCTTATCTTTCTTCTCTGCTCTGTGTCCTTATTTTTGGAAGTTTTAAGTTTGTAGTACATTTATCCTGACTACAGATCAAATGCCCTTTAGTGAAGAAGAACATATTGAGAAATCACAAATCATTGCTGTGTTTACATTTCTATTATAAGAGTTAAACATTTGTTTTAAGTAAGGGATTATTACTCTTAGTTGCTTCCTAATGAAGGTTGTTTAGCAAAGCCACTTCAAAACTGTGAGAACATGAAAATTTTGCATCTTTCTCACTTCGTATTTTATAGCAGGAATCAAAGTTCAGTCAGTGCTCTAACTTGCAGAGACCTCCAGCTTAGGTTAATAAAGAACTAGTTTTTTGTGTGTATTTTGTCTTTGTTGGGCAATATTTAATGGACTTGCTAATAGTTCTTTGGAAATTGAAGAGTTAGTTATGGAAGACCGAGAGAAGGGCAGGGAAAACATTACTTAGGTGAAGTAGCCTGAAAACTTAGTTCTAAGGCCATAACTTATTAACTGAATGACCTTGGGCAAATCACCTTGCTGAACTGAATTATTGGAATTGCACTTGAATTGAGGAAAAGGTAGCTGAAAAACCCTAACATGGAACAATTAGTATATTGGTCCTGAGCAAGCACTCTGGAATCAGACTGCCTGGATTCAAATTCCAGCTCGGTTGCCTACTGCATTTTACCTAGAGCAAGTTACTCAACCTTTCCATGTGTAAATTCACTATCTATAAAATGTGGATGAAAATAGTACCTACCACATAGAGTTGTATGATGGTTAAATGAGCTGGTATATGTAGAGCACATAGGAAGTTCTACTACTTCCATATAGGAGTTAGTATGCTTACAGTGGTCTTAATATTGAAATCGGTTAATGATCATTTCACGTACAGAATACTTTGCCACATACGATGCTTGAATTTTTATGATCATCAAGAAGAAAAAGGCCTTATGGATGACAACCAAAACCATCTACGCCCACAGAGCTCACTATTTACAATCATTAATGTAACTTTACTACTCCATCCTCCACTCTTTATTTTATTTTATTTTATTTTATTTTTTTGAGACAGAGTCTCGCTCTGTGGCCCAGGCTGGAGTGCAGTGGCATGATCTTGGCTCACTGCAAGCTCCGCCTCCCGGGTTCACGCCATTCTCTTGCCTCAGCCTCCCGAGTAGCTGGGACCACAGGCGCCTGCCACCACACCTGGTTAATTTTTTTGTATTTTTAGTAGAGACGGGGTTTCACTGTGTTAGCCAGGATGGTCTTGATCTCCTGACCTCGTGATCCACCGGCCTCGGCCTCCCAAAATGCTGGCATTACAGGCGTGAGCCACCGCACTCAGCCTCATTGTCTTTATTTTTAAAATTTTAAAATGTTTTTAAATTTTTTATTTTTTAAAAATATTTTATTTGAATTTTGGTGGGTACATAGTAGGTATATATAGATATATATATATATTTATGAGGTACATGAGATATTTTGTTACAGGCATGCAATGCATAATAATCACATCATGGAAAATGAGGTATCCATCCATTCAAGCATTTATTTATTCCTTGTGTTACAAACAATCCAATTGGACTCTTTTAGTGATTTTAAAATGTACAATTAAATTATTATTGACTACAGGCACCTTGTTGTGCTATCAAATACTAGGTTTTATTCGCTGTTTCTATTTTCTGTGTACTCATTAACCATTGGTAACTTGCCCCCACCACCCACCACTATCCTCTCCAGCCTCTGGTAACCATCCTTCCATTCTCTATGTCCGTACATTTTATTGTTTTGATATTGAGATCCTACAAATAAGTGAGAACCTGCAATGTTTATCTTTCTTTGCTGGGTTTATTTCACTTAGCAGAATGACCTCCAGTTCCATCCATGTTGTTGCAAATGACAGGATCTCATTCTTTTTTATTGCTGAATAGTACTCCATTGTGTATAAGTACCATACTTTCTTGATTCATTCCTCTGTTGATGGACACTTAGGTTGCTTCCAAATTCTAGCCATTGTGAACAGTGCTGCAAGAAACATGGGAATGCAGATATCGCTTCAATACTCTGATTTCCTTTCTTGTGAGTAAATACAGTATATCCAGTGGAATTGCTGGATCATATGGTAGCTCTATTTTTACTTTTTTGAGGAACCTGCAAACTGTTCTCCATAGTGATTGTACTAATTTATTCCCATCAACAGTGTTTTTTTTTTTTTTTTTTTTTTGAGACGGAGTCTCGCTCTGTTGCCCAGGCTGGAGTGCAGTGGCGTGATCTCGGCTCACTGCAAGCTCCGCCTCCCAGGTTCACGCCATTCTCCTACCTCAGTCTCCCGAATAGCTGGGACTACAGGCACCTGCCACCGCGCCCGGCTAATTTTTTTGTATTTTTAGTAGAGACGGGGTTTCACCGTGTTAGCCAGGATGGTCTCAATCTCCTGACCTCGTGATCCTCCTGCCTTGGCCTCCCAAAGTGCTGGGATTACAGGCTTGAGCCACCGCGCCCGGCCTTATTCCCATCAACAGTGTACAAGGGCTGTCTTTTCTCCACATCCCCGCCAGGATTTGTTATTGCCTGTCTTTTGGATATAAGACATTTTAACTGGGGTGAGATGATATCTCATTGTAGTTTTGATTTGCATTTTTCCATTTCTCCAAATGTTGAGCACCTTTTCATATGCTTGTCTGCCATTTGTATGTCTTTTTTTGAGAAATGTCTATTCAAATATTTTGCCCATTTTAAAATTGGATTATTAGATTTTTTCCAATAGAGTTGTTTGAGCTATTTATATATTCTGGTTATTAATCCCTTGTCAGATGAGTAGTTTGCAAATATTTTCTCCCATTCTGTGGGTTGTCTCTTCACTTTGTTGATTGTTTCCTTTGCGGCACAGAAGCTTTTTAACTTGATGTGATCCCATTTGTCCATTTTTGCTTGTGGGGTATTAAGAAATTTTGCTCTGTCGCCCAGGCTGGAATGCAGTGGCATGATCTCAGCTCACTGCAAACTCCACCTCCCAGGTTCAAGTGATTCTTGTGCCTCAGCGTCCCAAGTAGCTGGGATTACAGATACCCACCACCATGCCCAGCTATTATTATTATTATTATTATTATTATTGTATTTTTAGTAGAGACAGGGTTTCAACATGTTGGCAAGGCTGGTCTTGAACTGCAGACCTCAGGTGATCTGCCCCCCTCGGCCTCCCAAAGTGCTGGGATTACAGGTGTGAACCACCGCTCCTGGCCTTGCTTTCCAATTGGATGCCCTTTATTTCTTTTTCTTCTCTGATTGCTGGAGCTAGGACTTTCAGTACTCTGAAAGAGACTCTCCTAAGAGACTCTTGCCCAAGAAGATCATAACTGCAAATAACTGTTGCTCATTCTGGGAAATTTTCGAAAGACATATTGACTCTTCTATAGAAAGCATCAAACAACGATTTATACCCCAGATATTTTGAATTCCTTTTCTTAAAATCCTCATCTTGCCTTTTCTACCAATCCTAAACTATTATTCTTACCCAATAATAAGACCCTTAATTGAAAGGCCTGCCTTAAGTCAGATTTCAAACTCTCATAAATATCTTAACTTTCCGTTCCCTGCCCAAGATTCTGTCATGG
Source organism: Homo sapiens (assembly GCF_000001405.40). Taxonomy (NCBI): domain Eukaryota; kingdom Metazoa; phylum Chordata; class Mammalia; order Primates; family Hominidae; genus Homo; species Homo sapiens. The sequence continues at coordinate 30,623,378 of NC_000023.11, read as the reverse complement.
TTTCTTTCTTTTACTTCAATAAGAATAAAGTCAACTTTGTCTGATCAACAAGTCGTCTTGATGATATATATGGGAAGCCAGTCTTCCACTTGGATTAATGGAATTAACTCTGAATTTGAGTTAGAAGTTAAGAGTTTAAGTCATAGTTCTGCTACTTGGTCCACTAATTTTCAGATACCTCTTCTGTAAAATGTATGTATATGAAATATATACATATATATAAAAGTGTCTAGTATAGTGTGTGATAAAGGATACTTAATAAATGTTTCTTACATTATCCTTACTTTTCTTTTTGGTTCCCTGCTGGAGAAGGGAAAGTCGGGGAAGTGAGTATACTGTTAGTCTGTTTAAGCCACCATCTCTGGGTAAGTGCTCCTTGGCCTTTAGTAACTAACCTTATAAATACAGCCAATGCTAGTTGAAGACCCTGGGGGATGGGCATACTTCTCTCTGCCAGGGCCACCATAGTTTTCTGAAAGCAGTGCACACAAGACCCAGAGCAAATACTAACTTTTCATACCTGCAGAGAACTAGTAGCTAATGCTTATGGATGGAGGGCTGAGGAGGACCAGCACTCACCTACTTTCTATACATAAGAACCTTGTGTGTATGCAGGAGGTGTCCTATGTAGGCATTTCTTAGGCCTTCCAAGGGTTTTCCCCATGAACATCATCTTGCTCACTGACTCCGCTCTGCTTTTTTCTCACTTCCTGTGCCAGTTATTGATTCATTGACTCTGAGGTCCATATTCGCCCTTTTTGTCTGCTATGGGAAAATGGGTCTGGGCCCTTTAAATATGCTTCTTTTGCCAGCTGCACAAAGTTCATCTTTGTCAGTAGAAGGTGCTGGAGAGACATTGTAGGAGAAAAGTATTTCATTTCATGCTCTGGTATGCTTGCTCAGGCACTCTCCTGTAGGGCTCTGGGCTTCTCCAGTGTAGGCAGTTTCTCCAGTCCCCAGTCCCCACAGTGCACAGCTGCCAGCAGCATGTAGTGTCCAGCAGCTTCACCTGGCCCCCACCTTGGGTGGTTTTGTAGCAGAGTGCCTCTCATGAGAAACCTCCCTGTAAACATCTTCCTGGGAATCCTTGATGATGGATTTTTTTTTCTAGCAAGTTAACAGAAGGTGGGTTTCTAGCATTAAAGTATGAAATTTCAACAAATTGATTTTTAAAAATAGCATTGACTTTTATTAGTAATTTATGAACTGGGCATCATCCAGTCTACAAAATAGACAGAAACTCCACTGGGCATAGCAGAACAGTCAGTTTTTGTAAGATAACTTTGGCAGGAACAAGGAAGCAGCATAGTGCAAAAGGTGGATTGGTTAACAACAGGTTACTTTTCTTGTATGAGTTAAAGCAAAGGGGATTTTCTTTTTTTTTTTTTTTTTTTTTGAGACGGAGTTTCGCTCTGTCGCCCAGGCTGGAGCGCAGTGGCGCGATCTCGACTCACTGCAAGCTCCGCCTCCCGGGTTCACGCCATTCTCCTGCCTCAGCCTCCCGAGTAGCTGGGACTACAGGCGCGCGCCACCATGCCCGGCTAATTTTTGTATTTTTAGTAGAGACGGGGTTTCACCGTGTCAGCCAGGATGGTCTCGATCTCCTAACCTCGTGATCCGCCCGTCTCGGCCTCCCAAAGTGCTGGGATTACAGGCATGAGCCACCGCGCCCGGCCGCAAAGGGGATTTTCTTATCCTGCTGGCTCAGGTTGCCTTGGCCCCTTTTGGTTGGTTGCTGTGAATCTCCTGTTTTTCTTTTAGAAAACTGGCCTGTTTGGGAATTTGGCTCTCATTTCTTTCCTGATTTCTTGGAAGGTCAAATCTTACAAGTAAACAGCTTAGGTTTCAGTTTGGTTACATGGAACCTTAGCATGAGTGATTCCATTTTGGGCTGGTCTATTGGGGTATAGTACAGCAGCTCTGTCCAACTCAATTGCCTTCCATAAATTTTATTTAACACCAGCAAGTTCTGCTGGTGAGACACCACAACTTCTCTGTCAGTGAGTCATAACCATGACTTGCTGACGAGGTCTGGATCTCATCCCTGGGTGAGGTAATCTTCCTTGGCAACTCTATTTTGGGACCTGGTGTGTCGACTTCTATATCTGCTGTTCTTACATTCTGTAGTGTTCTCCTTACCTTTTACTAGGCAGTCTCTCATTTCTTCAATCCTCTGTTATAGTTAATAATTGTTTTTTTTATTTGTTTTGCTTTGTTTTGTCTTGTTTTGTTTTGTTTTGACAGTTTTGACAGTCTTGACTGTTTTGACTGTTTTGACAGTCTCATTCTGTCACCCAGGCTGGAGTGCAGTGGTGCAATCTCCTTTCACTGCAACCTCTGCCTCCCAGGTTCAAGTGATTCTTGTGCCTCAGTCTCCCAAGAAGCTGGGATTACAGGTGCCTGCCACCACCCCCAGCTACATTTTTTTTTATTTTTAGTAGAGACAGGGCTTCATTCACCATGTTGGCCAGGCTGGTCTCCAACTCCTGACCTCAAGTGATCCACCCACCTCGGCCCCCCGAAGTGGTGGGATTACAGGCGTGAGCCACCATGCCCAGCCAATAATTGTTTATAACATTTCTTTGTGTGTTTTTCCCCTGATTGAACCCAAACTGATATGCTTCTCAAGCCATTTCTTTATCTTATCCTCTTTGATTTAATGTGGTGTACTAGGTTGTTCTTGCATTGCTATAAACAAATACCTGAGACTGAGTAATTTATAATGAAAAGAGGTTTAATTTGCTCATGGTTCTGCAGGCTTTGCAGGAAGCATGCTGCTGGCATCTGCTTGGTTTCTAGAGAGGCATCAGGGAGCTTTTACTCATGTTGGAAGGTGAAGCAGGAGCAGACATTTCGCATAGTGAAAGCAGGAGCGAGAGAGAGAGAGAGAGCCGGGGAAAGTGCCACAGACTTTTAAATGACCAGATCCCCTGTAAACTCAGAGCAAGAGCCCATTTTATCACCAAGGGGATGGCCCAAGCAATTCTTGAGGGATCTGCCCTATGATCCAAACACCTCTCACCAGGCCCCACCTCCTACACTGAAGATTACATTTCAGCATGAGATTTGGGCCAGGATAAACATCCAAACTACATCACTGGGAAAGGAGACAAGGCCCTGCCCTCAGTATTTGCCAAATCTCCCATTAGAAATAACTAAATCACAGTACTCACCAGTCTTTTCTGGAGCTTTGGAGATTTTGCAGCTTCAAGTACCCCTAATTTCAATGTCTTTTTCTCCTCCTTCCAGTTACCGCTCCTCCAAGGCAGACAGTTGCAGAGCCTTGTAGTCTGTATTATGGAAAGAGGGTCATAGGGAAGGGGGGCATAAAGAAGAGGAGCTCTAGTTGATCTTCTAGAGAATTTGAGAGCAAACACATCCTGCCTTCACAGAAATTAATTTTCTTTGCAAACTTTCTCTACAAGAGGCAGAAGACCAAGTTATATAAGAAAAATCCATTGTTCCTTTTATTTATTGGGAGCTAGAATCCTGTCTGAATTACTTTAAAAGAGCATTTTGGGCCATGCGCAGTGGCTCATACCTGTAATCCCAGCACTTTGGGAGGCCGAGGCGGGTGGATCACGAGGTCAGGAGTTCAAGACCAGCCTGGCCAACATGGTGAAACCCTGTCTTTATTCAAAATACAAAAATTAGCTGGGCGTGGAGGCGCGCGCCCGTAATCCCAACTATTCGGGAAGCTGAGGCAGGAGAATCACTTGAACCCGGGAGGCGGAGGTTGCAGTGAGCCGAGATAGCGCCATTGCACTCCAGCCTGGGTGACAGGGTGAGACTTCGTCTCAAAAAAAAAAAAAAAAAGAGCATTTTGCCTTCTCTCAGCCATAATTTACATTACAAGGCATGATACATTATCTGGTAATGTCTGGTCACAATGATTGCAATCTCGTTCCTCATTGAGATGGGCTGTGTGTGTATTTCCCTGTCTTTTAAATTTAAATGAAACAATCTCAAATTTCAAAAAATAAGACAGGCTACTAACAAAATACATTTAGAAATAATTTATGAAATTGAGAATGACTAGCATTTATTTATAAAATTGCTTCCCCTTTCTGTACTAACTTTTTACTCGATTGAAGTTATTTTCACATTCTTTTAACCCACAAGGCAGCTGCTATTTGACCATGTCCCTCATTCTGTTCATTACTTATGAGTGTTTGTAATCCTCTCCTGCATCTTCCATTCCAAGGCAACCACTGATCTGTTTTCTGCTGCTATTGATTAGTAAGCATATTCTAGAGTTTTATGGAAATGGAATCATATAGCAGGTACTCTTTTTTGTTTGACCTTTATCACACAGAAAAATTATTTTGAGATCCATCCATGTTGTATGCACTGCTAATCCATTCCTTTTTCAGTTCAGCAAATGTATTTCTCAGTTCAAAGATTTATTTTTATTTTAAATTATTTCAATCTCTTTGTTAAATTTCCCTGATAAGTTTCTGAATTGCTTTTCTCTGTTATCTTAGAGATCACTGAGTTTCCTTGAAGCTACTATTTTGAATTCTTGGTCAGAGAGGTCACATATCATCATCTCATTAGGGTCAGTTACTGGTTCTTTGCTTTGTCCATTTGGAGAGGTCATAGTTCCCTGTTTGTTGTTGTTTCCGGTGTTTATATGTCTATGTCTTTGCATTGAAGGATGAGTTATTTATTCCAGTCTTCTCTGTCTGGCTTTTTTTTTTTTTAATTGGATATATTTGCTTAGAAGTTGTTTACTGCTAGGTCACTGCCTCCTTTTAGCTCTAGGTGGTGCTTTAAGCTCAAGTTCACCTCTGCTCTAGTAAACAATCGGCGCACTGCCCAATCCAAATGGGGGAGGTCCTAAAGGGGATATCCCAGCATTTTAGGAAGGCTGTCTAGTGGTTCATGCCCAGGGGATCTGTAGGATGAACCTCCTATAGCATGGTGCTGCTGAGCAGCCACTCTGATTTGGCGTCATGCTGCTGAGCAGCCACTCTGATTTGGCGTCTCCTGCTTATGAGTTTTCAGGTCTGGGGATGGTAGTCCTGCCTCCCGCCTTTGTCACTGCCTGTCCTCAGGAATATTTTTCCCTTCAGGCACTCGCAATGCTTCCAGTGGGTTAAAGCAGAAACATCCTGCCTGGGAACCCAAGATGGTGGGGAAGTTGATTGTGCACCTCAATCTTACTTTTTCCAGTGTAGAAACAGGGAGTTGGGGGAAATTGTTTTTTTTTTTTAGATTATAAAAACTTCCTCTTTAATCAAGGCTTTTAACATGAACAGATTTCTTGAATAAAATGGAAAGTTTCCAGTACACTGAAACATAAATCCACAAGTCACCATACATACAACACCCGGCAGGAAAAAACAAAAACAGCAAGTTTACATGATCCCTGTAACAGCCATGGTCTCAAACTCAGATGCTTCCTCCATCTGCCAAGTGTGTTCTGCATACAGAGCACATCGTGGCTTCTGGGGTCACACTCAGCTGAGGCTGTGGGTCCACAGAGCACTCATCTGGCTGGGCTATGGTGGTGGTGGCTCTACTCAAGAAGCAAAGCAGCTACCAGCACATTCAAACAGTGTGTTGAACATCTTTTAAATATCAAAGTGAGAAACAGAAGTCAACATAATAATGTTATCAGAAAGATGTTAGGAAGTAAGGACAGCTGTGTAAAGCTCGAGGCTGAAAAGTAGCTTGCCAGCTTCATTTCTTTGGCTTCTTGGGTAGCGGGCGCCGGAAGAGCAAGACGTGCGGTTCTGGTTCATGGATCATATAATGGACCCATCCCTGACTCTGCTGAATGCCAAGATTCCTCCATTCAGATTCAGACATCAAATGGGTTTCAGGGACCAGCTTGGCTATGTCCTTGGGCAGCATGACATGTCGATACTCAAACTCCTCGTCGTCGTATTTGTCCGAATAGTAAATTTGTTTGTGCAACATGATTGCTTGGTTTGCTAGCCTTCAGCCCTGCACCGCCAACCTCCAAGCAACTCCCAACAGCATGTGCTCTCACCCACTTTGGCCTCCAGTTGGGGGAAAATTTTCTATGCACTTGGTGCCAGGCAGAATGGGGCAAGGGCACTGCACTGTGGATGTTGAAGTTTGATTCTCTTACCGTCGGCTCAGAGTTTTTTCACTTCTCTGCTGCCCTGGAAACGGTCTCATCTTCCTATATAAGATCTGGGATGTTTCTGTTGATAATCTTGGCAATGTATATTTGTTTTTGGTTGTCTGTGGGTAGGAGAATGAAGCGAGTTTGCTTCTATATCATTATTTTGGAAAAAGAAGTCCCATTCTTTTTTATGGTTTAGTAATATTCCATTGCATGATGCATCACAATTTTTTTTTTTTGAGATGGGGTTCTCTCTGTGTTGCTCAGACTGGTCTCAAACTCCTGGGCTCAAGCTATCCTCCCACCTCAGCCTCCAGAGTAACTGGGATTAGAGGCACATACCACTATGCCTGGCTTACATAATTTTTATTCATTCACTTGTTGATGGATATTCGCAATGTTTCCAGTTTTTGGCTATTGACAAGTAAAGCTGCTATGAACATTTGTATACAAATCTTGTGTATATATGCTTTGATTTCTCTTTCACTGGGCAAATACTTAGGTATATGTTTAACTATTTGATAAACTGCACAATTGTTTTCTGAAGTGGTTGTACCATTTTACATTTCCACCAGAAATTCATAATAGTTTCAGTTGTTCCACATTCTCACCGACACTTGGTATGATCAGTCATTTTAATTTTAGACATTTTAATAGGTGCGTATCAGTTGCTCATTGCGATTTTAATTTGCATTTCCCTTAACTAATGGTGTTGAATCATCTGTTAATGTGCTTATTTGACATCTATATATCTTCTTAGGTGAGATGTCTATTCAAAATTTTCACCCACTTTTAATTGAGTTGTTTTCTTTATATATTCTGGATACTAGTTCTTTAACAGATATGCAATTTGCATACATATTATCCCAATCTGTGGTTTATCTTTTAATTCTCTTAGTATTTTTTTGGGGAGTGAAAGCTCTTAATATGGTCGAAGTCCAATTTACCATTTCTTTTATTTTATGTATCACGGTTTTGATGTTATATCTAAGAAATCACTGCCAAACCCAATGTAACAAAGATTTTCTCTTATTTTTTTCTAGAAGTTGTATAGTTATAGACTTTACCTTTGGGTCTCTGATATATTTTCAGTTAATTTTGTATATACTGCAAAGCGTGAATTTAAGTTTCTTTTTTGAATATGGTTGAATATCCAACTGTTCCAGCACAATTTGTTGAATAGACTAGCTTTTCTCTGCTGAATTGCCATTGTACCTTTGTAAAAAGCCAATTGACTATACTGATATGGGTCTATTTTTGGATTCCCTATTCTGATCAACTGACCTATTTATCAAACTTTACACCAATACCAACTGCAACTGTATAGAGTAACTTGCTCTTATCCTCATTGTATATGTTCCAAGACTCCCAGTGGATGCCTGAAACCATGGATTTTACCAAACCTCATCTATACTATGTTTTTTCCTATGCATATAAAACTTTGATAATGTTTAATTTATAAATTAGGCAAATTAAGAGATTCATAAAAATAACTAATAATACAGTAGAATGATTACAACAATATACTGTAATAGAAGCTGTGTGAATGTGGTCTCTCTCAAAATATCCCTTTTTAAAAGTTTTATTTTATTTTTAATTGACACACAATAATTGTATTTGTGGGATACAATGTGATATTTTGATACATGTATATTCAAAATATCTTCTTGTACTATATACATCCTTCTTCTTTGGCATATCTGAATTGCCGGCATCACTACTCTTGCACTTTAGGGCCATTATTAAGTAAAATAAAGGTTACTTGAACACAAGTACTGCCATACCATGACAGTCAATCCGATAACTGAGATGAATACTAAATGACTAATAAGTGGGTAGTGTATACAGCGTGGATACACTGAAAAAAGAAATGATTCACATCCCTGGCAGGAAGGCACAAGGTTTTATCATGCTTCTCATAATGATGTGCAATTTAAAACTTATGAATCGTTTACTTCTGAAATCTTCCATTTAATATTTTTGGACCATGGTTGACTGCAGGTAACTAAAACCACAGAAAGCAAAACCATGGATAAGGGGTCACTATTGAAGTCAAGTAATATGTCCTCCTACAAATCAAGTAATATAAGTATTATAAGTCCTCCAACTTGTTTCCTACTTTTCAAAGATATTTGAGGCATTCTAGGTTCTTTGCATTTCTATATTAATTTTAGAATCATCCTGTTAAGCTTTAAAGACAATCATGCTGACATCTTATTGGGTTTGTTTCAAAGAGATGTCTTCACAATATTGAGTCTTTCAATCAATGAACATGGTATATTTCTGCATTTATTTAGGTCTTCTTTCATTTATCTCAGCAATGTTTTTTAGTTTTCAGTGTGTAGGTATCACATGCACTTTGTCAGGTTTATCCCTAACAAAGCATATATATATATGCTTGAGATAGGGTCTCACTCTATTGCCCAGGCTGGAGTGCAGTGGTGGGATCATGGCCCACCACAGCCTTAACCACCTGGGCTCAGGTGACCCTCCCATCTCAGCCTCCCAAGTACCTGGGACTACAGGTGCACACCGCCACACTAGGCTAATTTTTATTGGATTATTTTGTAGAGATAGGGTTTCGCCATGTTGCCCAAGCTGGTCTCGAACTCCTGGGCTCAAGTGATCTGCCTGCCTTGGCCTCCCAAAATGCTGGGATTACAGACATGATAGTATTTTATATTTTTGTTGTCACTGTAAATGATATTGTTATAATTTATAATTTAAATTTCCCATTTTCATTGCTAGTATATAGAAAACACAATTTATTTTTCATTCTTTATCTTGTATCCTACAACTTTGCTAAACTCATTTATTCTAGTATTTTTCTTGTAGATTTCACAGGACTTTCTGCATAGACAGGAATGTCATTTGTGAATAAAGACAGTTTTATTCTTCCCGTACAATATGAATGCCTTTCATTTTTGCCCTATTTCACTGGCTGCATCTTCCAGTATAATTTTGAATAGAATTGGTGAGAGTGGATCCTTGCCTTGTTCCTGATCTTAGGCAGAAAACATTCAGTCTTTCATCATTAATGAGGTTAACGGTAGGTTTTTTCATAAATGCCTTTTATTAGGTTGAGGAGGTTCCCTTCTATTCCTAGTCTGTTGAGTTTTATTGATTAAGTTTTGAATGCTAAACCAATCTTGCATTCCTGGGATGAACCCCACTTGTTCATGATGTATTTTCCATTTTATATATAATTGGATTCAATTGCCTGGGGCAATTATAGGGCTCACTTAGTTTGTTTCCTGTTTCTCAGCGATGATTGTCCATTGCCCAATGTCCAATGTCTTGAAAACTGCTGTTTTACAGTTTTGTCCCTGTAAATTTGGTCCCCGTTACTCCATCTTGACTAGAAGCAGAAGTTCAAATGTTGCATTATTAACGTGAACTCTGGAGAAACTGTGATAAAAAAAACTGTCTTTTCTGAATCATAAGCCAAAATGACGTGTATGTTTTCACACCAAATAGTGATAACAGAGACTCAGAAACGCAGCAAATAGAAATGGAAATCCAAGGCTCAAGAGGCATCTGTAAGTTTGAGAAAGTTTGCTATTTCATTTAAACAGCAAATTAAATATATTTTGTAAGGTTAGCAGAAACAGCTCTTTTTAAAATGATATTCATAATTTCTATTCTAAGAAAAGAAATCACTAGCGAGTGTGTATACACACACAGAGGAATGAGGAAGCAGTGAAATTAAAATTTTTTAAAAAACCAACCTTTACATCAATTGGCGTATCTCATGCAGAGAACCTTTAAATTGAACCTAGGCACTCCCAAAAAGAAAATCAATCAAGAGTGGTATCTTCTTATAGGTTAAAAAGACATTCAATATTCATAGAATTGCTTATCTGCAGAACTTTATTTATTTATTTTTTTGAGACAGAGTCTCGCTCTGTCACCCGGGCTGTAGCGCAGTGGTGCAATCTCCGCTCACTGCAGGCTCCGCCTCCCGGGTTCACGCCACTCTCACGCCTCAGCCTCCCGAGTAGCTGGGACTGCAGTGCCGGCCACCATGCCCGGCTAATTTTTTGTTTTTGTATTTTTAGTAGAGACAGGGTTTCACCGTGTTAGCCAGGATGGTCTCGATCTCCTGACTTCGTGATCTCCCCGCCTCGGCCTCCCAAAGTGCTGGGATTACAGGCGTGAGCCACCGCGCCCGGCCAAAACTTTAAAGATAAGTATACTCGTTATTAGTTATCCCACAAGTTCAGGAATACTTTGAGAATATATTCCAATTTTTGCAATTCTTATTTCTTATTAATTTACGAGGGGAAGTTAAACCTTTTTAGCAGAAGTGGTAGTTCCAGAAACATCTGGTGTTTATAAACAGCAGCTTGTGGGTGGAGACTATGTCTCCCTAATTTGTCAGCAGTTCAATGCTGCATTGATAGACAAATTGAAGTGGCCTAAAAGCTAGAACTTTGAGAATTATGTTAGCCTAGTTGAGCTTTGGATCCATTGTTCTGGAGTATTGATTTTCTTTTCCCAGGGATCTTAATTTAGTTTAGTTTTAGTTTTCAATAAATTATTTGTTCATTCATATAATGGTGCTTTGAGAGAGGATTTGATATAACGTTTCAGGATCTATTCAAAGGCTCAGACCGAGCAGGAACAAAACACTGCTACAAGGACTTCCTCTAGACACACCTCTTTTCATCTCTGCAGCAATTCACTTTTCACACTATGGACTGGACTCCCTTTGAGTAACCAATAAATCACAAAAGGTGTGTGTAAACTGTTTTTGCTTCAGTCATACTTGACTGTTTTATTAGGCATAGATCCAAGTGTAGGCTACAATCATGATTTTTTTTTTTTTTGAGATGGAGTGTTGCTCTTGTTGCCCAAGCTGGAGTGCAATGGTGCAATCTCGGCTCACTGCAACCTCGACATCCGTCTCCTGGTTTCAAGCGATTCTCCTGTAGCTGGGATTACAGGTGCCCGCCACCAAGCCCAGCTAATTTTTGTACTTTTAGTAGATACGGGGTTTTGCCCTGTTGGTCAGGCTGATCTTGAACTCCTGACCTCAGGTGATCCGCCCACCTCGGCCTCCCAAAGTGCTGGGATTACAGGCATGAGCCACTGCACCCAGCCTTACAATCATGATTTTTTAAATCTTAAATTTCATCTCCTAATTTAAGATTTCATCTCCTTTGAATAAAATAAAATCTCAGCTACTGGAGTACATTAATTAATGCACCACTTCATACACATAACAGTTTCCCATGTCAGTCTGAGATCTGACTTACATTTTCCTTCAAAACACTTTCCATTTTTTTCAAAATTTAATTATCTATGGAGCAGCTAAATCTCTCTGCTCAAAAGACCATTAGTAGAATGTCAATGTAATTTACAGAGGTGTTAACAAGATAGCATACCTTACACTCTGGTTTCAGATTGAATTTAAATATTTATTGAATTTAAATATTGGTTTTATTAATTACCAGCTGTAGGACTGTGCCTCAGTTTCCTCTTTTTTTTTGGGGAGACAGGGTCTCACTCCGTCACCCAGGCTGGAGTACAGTGGTGCTATCATCGCTCACTGCAGCCTCTACCTCCTGAGCTCAGGCAATCCTCCCACTCAGCCTCCTGAGCAGCTGGGACTACAGGCACGCACCACCATGCCCTGCTAATTTCGTTTATTTTTTTTTTTGTAGAGATGAGGTCTTGCTATGTTGCCCAGGCTGGTCTCAAACTCCTAGACTCAAGTGATCCTCCTGCCTCAGCCTCCCAAATTGCTGGGATTATAGGTGCGAGCCACCGTGCCTGGCCTGGTTTCCTCTCTCTCATTTTTTTTTTTTTTTTTTTTTGAGGAGTCTCGCTGTGTCGCCCAGCCTGGAGTGCAGCAGTGCAATCTCGGCTCACTGCAACCTCTGCCTCCAGGGTTCAAGTGATTCTCCTGCCTCAGCCTCCCAAGTAGCTGGGATTACAGGTGCCTGCCACCATGTCCCGCTTAATTTTCGTATTCTTAGTAGAGACAGAGTTTCCCCATGTTGGTTAGGCTGGTCTTGAACTCCTGACCTCAGGCGATCCGCCTGCCTCAGCCTCCCAAAATGCTGGGTTTATAAGCGTGAGCCACCATACCCGGCCAGTTTTCTCGTTTTTAAAAATGGGTAAAGGCCGGGCGCCCTGGCTCACGCCTGTAATCGCAGCATTTTGGGAGGGTGAGGCAGGCAGATCACCTGAGGTCAGGAGTTTGAAACCAGCCTGGCCAACAGGGTGAAATCCCATCTCTACTAAAAATACAAAAATAAGCCTGGCGTGTTGGCGCATGCCTGTAATCCCAGCTACTGGGGAGGCTGAGGCAGGAAAATCATTTGAGCCTGGGAGGCGGAAGCTGCAGTGAGCCAAGATAGCGTTATTGCACTCCAGCTTGGGCGACAGAGCAAGACTCTGTCTCCAAATAAATAAATAAAAATAAAAATGGGATAAGATTAGTAACTAACTCATAGGGTCGTGGAAGTGAGTAAATGAAATAAAACATATAAAGGGTGTAGTACTGTGCCCAACACATGGCAAATGCTTCACAAGTTGTTGTTTCTGCCTCAGATTAAAACCATTGCGAATGTTTTCAGTGGAGTGTAGGGTTTCTTTTAAAAAAAGATGGAAAATTTCTGATTTTGAGGGCTTCAATATTTAAAGGGGAAAAGCAGGCTGGAGGGGAAAGAGGGAGGGCATGGTCACATTACTGAATTTACATATTGCTAGAGAATAGGAGCAGGTAGGGGAATAGTCAATTATGTATTTGTCTAACGCTTAGTAAATCGGCACTTTACATAAGATAAGCTGAACATAGAGTAGTTACCTGCGGAGATATTTAACCTTTTATGTGTAGCTATTTGCTTCAAAACAAAAGGAAAGGCAGTTTCTTGCATGACTCAGCTTTTAGCTTAATTTTTTCCTTTGGCAGAGTGAATTGGGTTTCCAAGATTTTATTTTCCTTTTACACAGCACACCCAAAGTACGTGACACAATCTAATTTCATGTGGGCAACAATAACTTTCACATTGAGCATATGAGAAATCCGGAGAGACTCATGGCATAGACTGTGATATAAATAGAATCCTTAAATTGTGGAGTGTACCCACCTACACATGAACTAAATCTATTTTTATGAGATCATCACTGACTCCATATTGAGCATATTAAGGAACCCAGAAACATCTGTGGAATAGAGTGTAATATGAAAGGTCTGCCTACAGCTGTGTAGTGCACCCAACTGTATATAGAATAAGTCTACTTCCATGGGGTCATCACTTCCTTCCACACTAAGCAAATTAGGAATTTAGGAAGATCCCTAGTATAGATTGTGGTGTGATTGCTGCCTCCTTGATTTGTGTAGTCCTCTCAACCATGCATAGACTAGGTCTACTTTGATATGACTATCACTAAATCACATTCACATATGAGTAGATCTGAATAATTTATGATATATACTGTGCTATAAATGGCAGCCCTTCAGTTGTGCAATGTAACAATCTCTGCATGGTAGACCTATTCTCTATAGTTATCCATTCTTTTTTCTTCCTTGAATTTTAAAGTACAGATTCCCTGAATTTTAGCTGAAGAAATGACCACCAAAATAAAGACAACATTTCTCAGCCACTTTTGTAACAAACTGTGGCTATGTAAATTCTAGACCATGTGTGTAAGACATGTGAAACTTCCAGGAAGTGTCTTTAAAGTGAGGTAGATGCTCTTCCAGAAAATTTGAATGAGATTGGATAGTTGAGTCTAAGAAGTCATATTCGGACATGAGGCAGAAGCTATGTGTGGAAGACAGTAGAGCAACAAACTGGAATGGGCCTGTTTCTTAATGACTGGAGGGTTACTATGCCATTCCTGGGCTGCTGACTTTGACTACTTACTTGAGAACTATCTTGTTTATAAGCCACTCCTTAATGTAAGATGTGAGTCCAACGTAGCCATTCCAAATCCCAACTGTTAGGGTTATTTTTATGTGTCAACTTGGCTAGGCTGTTATGCCCAGTTGGTCAAATGCCAATCTAGATGTTGCTGTGAGGTTATCTTTTTAGATGTGATTGATATTTAAATCAGTAGATTTGAGTAAACAGATTACCCTCCATAATGTGGGAGGGCCTCATCCAATTAGTTGAAGGCCTTGAGAGAAAAGACTGGAAGGCCACTGAAGAAGAAGAAATGATGTTTCCAGATTGCCTTCAGACTCAGGACGTCGACTTCTTGCTGGAATTTCCAGTCTGATCTGTGGGTTTGGGTCTTTTTAGCCCCCGCAATCATATGAGGCAATTCCTTAAAATAAATCTCACCATCTCTGTCTTTCTCCTTCTGTCTTTCCGTGTGTGTGTATACACACGTTCTGTTTTTCTGAAGAATCCTGACTAATCCATCAACTAATTCAGTTTTTGGTTTATTTTAGTTCATATATTCTATTCTACTTCAAAGACCGCCTGCTTAAATACTATAAATAAATGTTGCAGAAACCAGCTATGAGCCAACAGTGTAACTTTTGGACAAGTGATTTTATACATCTAAAATTAGGTACAAATAATTAGGTAATAATCCTCTGCATGTATCACAGAACTATTTTGAGGACAAAATAGCTGTGTTTGGAAAACAAAGGCAAAAAAAGTACTTTAAAAAATGTAAAAGACTATAATTCTTGATATCCAGAACAAGTTATATATCAACTGTTGTGCTTAACAACTTACTCAACAGCTAAAAAGAACAGACTTTGCAGCTTGTAAAGAAATATGACTCAATTTTCAAGTCAAGCGCTTCGAACAGAACTTGAAACGTATGCCTGCAAAATTCCATTCATGACTGGGATATTTTGTCTGGTTATTGGGTCAAGTTAAATGGATAATTACTTTATTAGGTGTGCATGCCCGGCAGCCCACTATTAGGGTTTTATGGGGATTTTGGGGTCTGTAGAAGCTGCATACAAGGAGGCACACTTTTCCTACCTTTACCTCTGTAGCTGAGCCTTAGCATCAGGAGTTTACTAGCTAGAAGAGAAAGCTTGTCCAACCCACTGCCCGCAGGCTGCATGCGGCCAAGGACAGCTTTGAATGCAGCCCACCGCAAATCCATAAACTTTCTTAAAACATTATGAGATTTATTTTTTGCAGTTTTCTTTTTTTAGCTCATCAGCTATTGTTGGTGTTAGTGTATTTTATATGTGGTCCAAGACAATTCTTCTTCTTCCAATGTGGCCCAGGGAAGCCGAAAGATTGGACACCCTTATTAGAGCATCTCTTGTTCTTGACCCAAATGGTAGCGTAAGTGACTATTCTATCACTTATCTTTGTTATGAAGAAACCCCTTAAGTAATAAAACAAAACAAAAAACTTTTTTCTTTTTTGATGTATTCCATGTACATAATTATCAATATTTGGAGTGTTGCCTCAACTGGTCCTTGTGGCAGCCCTAAATTTTTTTTTTTTTTTTTTTTTTTTTTTGAGACAAGGTCTCGCTCTGTCACCCAGGCTGGAGTGCAGTGGCTCAGTCTCAGCTCACTGCAACCTCTGCCTCCCTAGCTCAAGCAATCCTCCTACCTCAGCCTCCTGAGTAGCTGGGATTACAGGTGTGTGCCACCATGCCTGGCTAATTTTTGTATTTTTGGTAGAGATGGGGTTTTGCCATGCTGCCCAGGCTGGACTTGACCTCCTTGGCTCAAGCGATCCTCCAGCCTCCGCCTCCCACAGTGCTAGGATTACAAGTGTAAACCACCATGCCTGGCCTAAACTTCTTATGTTATAAGTCTTGATTAATTCTATCTGGACTCCAAATTCCCCTAACAGATACCATATTTATCTATTCTGTTAGCCCCATTGGTTTCTGCCATATAAATGTTTTCATCATTCCTCACTAACAAGTCTTTCTCACTATGCCACAGTGATTATACACTCATCATACTAAATCTTTTATTCTCTGGGATATGTCACTCTTTGGCATCTTTCCCGTGTCTATCTGTGTGTTTTTTCTTGCCTTTACATGTTCATAATTACTGTAATATCTCCTAAGCAGGAATCTTTTTTGCAGGGCAAAGCTAGGTTTCAGCTTGCTTAATCTTAGGTATAATTGTGACTCTTGTTTCTCAGGCCATTCTTGCCATGGGGAAAAGGTTAAAGACCATCTCCTGAAAAGAGGTATTTGGAACAAGCCTGCAACAATTTTTTAAAATTTATTTTTTGGGGGAATATGTAATACAAATACATAGTACAAAAGGGCAAAAAGCTCCCTAGGCACCCAATTCCTCTCTCTGGAAAGTAAACAAAATTGTCAGTTTCATGTGACTCCTTCCAGAGATATTCTAGCATTTAAAAGATATACACAAAATAAAAAAAAATAGAAAAAGACACACACACATATATACAAACACACACAAACACGAGAGAGAGAGGGAGAGAGAAGGGAGGAGGGCATACTGCATGTACATTATATAACTCCTTTTTTTCACTTAATATATCTTGGGGAATGTTTTATATCAGTACACATAGAGCCATCTCATTCTTTTAAATAGCTGCATTATACTCCATTATATAGATGAGCCGTTATTTATCCAATTCCTTACTGAGGAACACTTGGGTAATTTCCAATCTTTTCCTATAATAAAAAATGCTGTAATGAGTGTCCTTCTACATACATCATTTCACACACCTATGAAAATATCTTTATAATAACTAAGAGCAAAACTCCATAGTCAGAGGACCTGTGAAGTTACAATTTTTTATAGACATCTTTGACCATTAGTATAAGGGGAAAATTGAATCTCTTTGTAGTTTCCATTTGCATTTCTCTGATCACAGTGAAGTTGAGTATCTTCTCCTAGCAAATTGTTTTGTTTTTGTTTTGTTTTGCTTTGAGATGGAGTTTTGCTCTTGTTGCCCAGGCCGGAGTGCAGTGGCAAGATCTTTGCTCACTGCAACCTCCGTCTCCTGGGTTCAAGCGATTCTCATGCCTCAGCCTCCTGAGTAGCTGGGATTACAGGCGCCAGCCACCATGCCTGGCTAATTTTTGTATTTTTAGTAGAGACAGGGTTTCACTATGTTGGTCAGGCTGGTCTTGAACTTCTGACTTCGTGATCTGTCCGCCTCGGCCTCCTAAAGTGCTGTGATTACAGGCGTGAGCCACCGCACCCAGCCTCTTCTTAGGCTCTTAATGCTGAAAATCCTCAAGGTATCAATATATCACTTCATTCCCTAGAGTTCTTGATATGCCTATCAAAGCCAGGTGCTTTTTATATGCAGAAGTGATGAGAATGTCCATCCTCGCTCCCCTGCTGTTCCTTATCTCCTAGGCATTGACCCAGGCCCCTGTTTGTGTCTCAGTGACATTTGCTTTTTTTTTTTTTTTTTTTTGAGACAGAGTCTCACTCTGTTGCCCAGGCTTGAGTGCAGTGGCACGATCTTGGCTCACTGCAACCTCTGCCTCCTGGGTTCAAGCGATTCTCCTGCCTCAGCCTCCAGAGTAGCTGGGACTACAGGTGCATGCCACCACACCTGGCTAATTTTTGTATTTTTGTATTTTTTCTTTTTTTGAGACGGAGTTTCACTCTTGTTGCCCAGGCTGGAGTGCAATGGCGCGATCTCGGCTCGGCGCGATCTCGGCTCGCTGCAACCTCTGCCTCCCGGGTTCAAGCGATTCTCCTGCCTTAGCCTCCCGAGTAGCTGGGATTATAGGCATGCACCACCACACCCGGCTAATTTTTTGTATTTTTAGTAGAGACAGGGTTTCTCCATGTTGGTCAGACTGGTCTTAAACTCTCGATCTCTGGTGATCCACCCGCCTTGGCCTCCCAAAGTGCTGGGATTACGGGCGTGAGCCGCTGCGCCTGGCTTAATTTTTGTATTTTTAGTAGAGACAGGGTTTCACCATGTTGGCCAGGCTGGTCTCGAACTCCTGGCCTCAAGTGATGCATCCACCTCGGCCTCCCAAAGTGCTGGGATCAAAGGCTTGAGCCACCGCGCCCAGCCAACATTTCCTTTTAAAACCAGCTCCTCAGCTTCTGCCTACAGGACATATTCTCAAGGCAGGTCAGTCTGAGAGCAGGGAACCGATATCTGGGACAGACATCAGGCTGTCTTCTTCATTATCTGAAGCCATCCTGATACAAACAGAGTTCTCCTGACCTTACTCACCAGTATATCATGTAAGCCTGAATCCCTGTTCGGGTGAAACCTGGGGTCACAACTCTATAAGGCATGCTAGGTCCATCCCTGTGTGGGTCCCTACCCTGCTTTCTCCTTCTATTCCCTGTGCCGCCCGTCTTACACCCCAACTCTAAGTCTCTGTGCTCTAAGTATAGTGGATTATTGGCTATTCCCTAAATGTGCATCAACTTTCGCATCTCCTTAACTTTCCCCATGCTGATGTCTCTTCCTGGAATCTTCTTTCACCAATTTCTACTTGAAGATTGCTTCTTCATTCTTTATGACTCAGCTTTAATGGTCATTCACCTGTCAAATCTTCCTCAAGGGTCTTCCACATTGCAGAGGCCTCTAGCATCCCCCCAGGCTCCTAAATGAATATCTAGTTATTTATTTTTTGTCTATAAATATTTTATAACTATCATACTATTTTAGTAGTGCTTTGTAAATAATTTTCCTATCAAAAAATTAATGATATTCTGACTTGGAACTATTTCTTAGTCAATCCTGGCAGTCTCTAACTGGGAAATCAAACACAGACAGTTGCTTGATGGTAGGAGTTATTTCCCAGGCACTAACACAGAAGGTATGGTCAAAAAGTATTGGCGATGTAGATGACTAAGTGATTGAATAGATAAGGAATGATGTGGCAGACAAGACGGCAAGCAGGGAGCAAATGGCAGTGCCACAGCTGGGGGCATGTAAAAATGACAAGTGTTTCCCTACTTCTGGGAGTGACAAATTACTTCAGAAAACTAAGAAGGGTATCTGTTGAAATTCTTGACTCATAGGTTAAGGTGCCTTAATGGTACATTCAAGGAGAAGAGGCAGAGTTCCTGAAATCAGGACTTGACCTAGTCTGGGCAGTGGGTCAACTAGCTACCCTTGGGAAGGGGTGTATGTCCTAGATGATTCTGGACTAAGAATATCCTAAGGAGAGGGCTCTTACGTCTCTTGGACATATGAGGATACCTTGATAGACAACAAAGATGTGCCTTGTGGGTGTGTATTTATAGTAAAAAATATGGCACTCAGTATATTTAGTGAACAAATAATAGAAAATAATTGTAACTTCCAACTGGGCAGGTATTAGGAAGGTATGTATGGAATTGGGTATGGTATATTTCAGTGACAAGTCTGTTTTCCACTTTCCCTTGCTTTTTTCTTATTCCTTGAATTTATATAATTTTGTCTTTTATATATGGCAATTTTCCAATCATCTTATTTTCTACTTTATTTATTTTTTTTTTAAATTTATTTTTTTATTGATAATTCTTGGGTGTTTCTCACAGAGGGGGATTTGGCAGGGTCATGGGACAATAGTGGAGGGAAGGTCAGCAGATAAACAAGTGAACAAAGGTCTCTGGTTTTCCTAGGCAGAGGACCCTGCGGCCTTCCGCAGTGTTTGTGTCCCTGATTACTTGAGATTAGGGATTGGTGATGACTCTTAAGGAGCATGCTGCCTTCAAGCATCTGTTTAACAAAGCACATCTTGCACTGCCCTTAATCCATTTAACCCTGAGTGGACACAGCACATGTTTCAGAGAGCACAGGGTTGGGGGTAAGGTCACAGATCAACAGGATCCCAAGGCAGAAGAATTTTTCTTAGTGCAGAACAAAATGAAAAGTCTCCCATGTCTACTTCTTTCTACACAGACACGGCAACCATCCGATTTCTCAATCTTTTCCCCACCTTTCCCGCCTTTCTATTCCACAAAGCCGCCATTGTCATCCTGGCCCGTTCTCAATGAGCTGTTGGGCACACCTCCCAGACGGGGTGGTGGCCGGGCAGAGGGGCTCCTCACTTCCCAGTAGGGGCGGCCGGGCAGAGGCGCCCCTCACCTCGCGGACCAGGCGGCTGGCCGGGCGGGGGGCTGACCCCCCCCACCTCCCTCCCGGATGGGGCGGCTGGCCGGGCGGGGGGCTGACCCCCCCACCTCCCTCCCGGACGGGGCGGCTGGCCGGGCAGAGGGGCTCCTCACTTCCCAGTAGGGGCGGCCGGGCAGAGGCGCCCCTCACCTCCCGGACGGGGCGGCTGGCTGGGCAGGGGGGCTGACCCCCCCCACCTCCCTCCCGGACGGGGCGGCTGGCCGGGCGGGGGGCTGACCCCCCCCACCTCCCTCCCGGACGGGGCGGCTGGCCGGGCGGGGCGCTGACCCCCCCACCTCCCTCCCGGACCGGGCGGCTGGCCGGGCAGAGGGGCTCCTCACTTCCTAGTAGGGGCGGCCGGGCAGAGGCGCCCCTCACCTCCCGGACGGGGTGGCTGGCCGGGCAGGGGGGCTGACCCCCCCCACCTCCCTCCCGGACGGGGCGGCTGGCCGGGCAGAGGGGCTCCTCACTTCCCAGTAGGGGCGGCCGGGCAGAGGCGCCCCTCACCTCCCAGACGGGGCGGCTGGCCGGGCGGAGGCTGACCCCCCCACCTCCCTCCCAGACGGGGCGGCTGGCCAGGCGGGGGGCTGACCCCCCCACCTCCCTCCCGGACGGGGCGGCTGGCCGGGTGGGGGGGCTGACCCCCCATCTCCCTCCCGGACGGGGTGGCTGGCCGGGCTGAGGGGCTCCTCACTTCCCAGTAGGGGCGGCCGGGCAGAGGCGCCCCTCACCTCCCGGACGGGGCGGCTGGCCGGGCGGGGGCTGACCCCCCCACCTCCCTCCCGGACGGCACGGCTGGCCAGGCGGGGGGCTGAACCCCCCACCTCCCTCCCGGATGGCATGGCTGGCCGGGCGGGGGGGCTGACCCCCCCCACCTCCCTCCCGGACGGGGTGGCTGCCGGGCGGAGACGCTCCTCACTTCCCAGATGGGGTGGCTGCCGGGCGGAGAGGCTCCTCACTTCTCAGACGGGGCAGCTGCCGGGCGGAGAGGCTCCTCACTTCTCAGACGGGGTGGTTGCCAGGCAGAGGGTCTCCTCACTTCTCAGATGGGGCGGCCGGGCAGAGACGCTCCTCACCTCCCAGACGGGGTCTCGGCCGGGCAGAGGCGCTCCTCACGTCCCAGAGGGGGCGGCGGGGCAGAGGCGCTCCCCACATCTCAGACGATGGGCGGCCGGGCAGAGACGCTCCTCACTTCCTAGATGTGATGGCGGCTGGGAAGAGGCGCTCCTCACTTCCTAGATGGGATGGCGGCCGGGCGGAGACGCTCCTCACTTTCCAGACTGGGCAGCCAGGCAGAGGGGCTCCTCTCATCCCAGACGATGGGCGGCCAGGCAGAGACACTCCTCACTTCCCAGACGGCGTGGCGGCCGGGCAGAGGCTGCAATCTCGGCACTTTGGGAGGCCAAGGCAGGCGGCTGGGAGGTGTAGGTTGTAGTGAGCCGAGATCACGCCACTGCACTCCAGCCTGGGCACCATTGAGCACTGAGTGAACGAGACTCCGTCTGCAATCCCGGCACCTCGGGAGGCCAAGGCTGGCGGATCACTCGCGGTTAGGGGCTGGAGACTGCCCGGCCAACACAGCGAAACCCCGTCTCCACCAAAACCAGTCAGGCGTGGCGGCGCGTGCCTGCAATTGCAGGCACTCGGCAGGCTGAGGCAGGAGAATCAGGCAGGGAGGTTGCAGTGAGCCAAGATGGCAGCAGTACAGTCCAGCTTCGGCTCCGCATGAGAGGGAGACCGTGGGGAAAATAACCCGTTCTAAAGTATTTTGTTATAGTAGAGTCCAAAGGGACTAAGACACACCTTCATCCAGTTGGCTTCCTTACAGCTTCAACTGGCACATGAGCTAAGTTGCCCTTCCTGTGAGTTTGCATAACCTTTTAGTTCTAGTTCTCAGAGGTCACCGGTAGACTGCCCTCTCATAAAAATTTAAAAAAGAAACGCAGAGCCTGGCCGGCCACAGTGGCTCACATCTGTAATCCCAATACTTTGGGAGGCCAAGATGGGAGAATTGCTTGAAGCCAGGAGTTCAAGACGAGCTTGGGCAAGTAGTGAGATCCTGTCTCTCGAGCACTTGGCCATCGATCTGCCTTCCTCCTGGACAGCAGACACTGGGCAACATCAAGTGTGCAGTCCCTAAAATACATCAAAGCTGGGATCACTTCCCCTCCTGGGTAGCTTGGGACCTCCAGTCCCTTTGGAAGAGTTGGTTCATTTTCTTTTTAGGAGGCCTTCTTGAATCTCTAGTCGTCGTCAGGCTTAGGTCACACTACCCATGCACTGATCAGCCCTGCCACGTGGGGGAGGCTCCAAAAAATGAAGCGGTTCCAGGGGTGCCAAGGTTCAGAGCAGAGTCTTGAGAGCCTGAGGGGCAGGAGGAGGCAAAGGTCTTTGAGGACGAAGGGGTTTGGCCACAGTCCCGGAAGATCTCAGGTCGTGGGGCTTCTGTGAGCGGGCACATCCCCTGTGCCTGTGTGATTGTGAGCTTGTGTGCTTGTGTGGTTGGGGGTCCTTCCTGGAGGAGGCATCTAGGTTGAGGGCCCCAGGCCGGGAATGGGGTGGGGCCTGTCGTCAAGGAAGGGACTCAGCCCTGGAGGTTTCTGTGAGAGCTCAAGCCACAGGAGCCACAGGATAAGAGGAGTGTGGCTGCAGAACCCAGGTGGCAGGCCTTTCCTCAGGCCCCTTACTCCTGACCTGGACGAGGCCGGTCTTCCTCAAGGAGGTAGGAGGTATCCTGGCCAGCAGATCAGCCAGAAGCTCTAGGAGGAAGGTGCTGCGGCCGGGGACTCTGCTGCCCTAGACAAGACTTCATTTCCTTCCATGCAGATGGCTGTGTGGGTTCCTGCTCTGTTGAGTGAATGTTCCCTCCACTTTATTTTAAATATACAAATAAAACATATTTATTATAAAAGTAGAAACCTCAAATAAGCAAAAATGGAGAGGGAGAAAAATTTTTCCCAAATATCGTCTTTTGAAGATAACCACTGTTAAATTTTGGTGGCTACCCTTATGAAGACAAACATTTTTCTTAGTAATCTTTTTATAATATTGAGTAGAAAATAGCTTTTCTCTCACACTATAATTTTATTTTTGAAATATTTACTCTCTTTTTGCATACCTTCCCAGAGATAATGTATTTAGAACTATAAATATATATAACATATAATCTGTTATATACATTATATTAATAATATAATATAATTATTAATATAATATATATTTCATATATGTGTATATTTCATATATTCACTTATGTGGGATATATATCCCATGTAAGAAATATATAAAGGCCGGGCGCGGTGGCTCACGCCTGTAATCCCAGCACTTTGGGAGGCCGAGGCGGGCGGATCACGAGGTCAGGAGATCGAGACCATCCCGGCTAAAACGGTGAAACCCCGTCTCTACTAAAAATACAAAAAATTAGCCGGGCGTAGTGGCGGGCGCCTGTAGTCCCAGCTACTTGGGAGGCTGAGGCAGGAGAATGGGGTGAACCCGGGAGGCGGAGCTTGCAGTGAGCCGAGATCCCGCCACTGCACTCCAGCCTGGGCGACAGAGCGAGACTCCGTCTCAAAAAAAAAAAAAAAAAAAAAAAAAGAAATATATAAAATATTATATATAAACATATACACACAGACACACGTATTATATATATGTGTGTGTATATGTATGTGTATATATTCATATATATGTGGAGTGTGCTATTCATTTATTTGGGATGAATAGCACACTCCAAATTCTTAGTTGAGAATCATCTAGGACATATATATATTTAGATATATGTATATGTATATATGTATATGCATACATATATGCATATATATGTTTATATACACACAAATATGTATATATATGCATATATATGTGTGTATATACATATGTGTGTATATATATGTGTGTGTGTGTATATATATATATCCCACATAAATGAATAGCAGACTCCAAACATTATTTAACACCTTATTTTTTTCTTATACTAGATCTTGGAGATCTATTACATTTCAGTTCACTGAAATTTCCAATGTTTTCTCTAGGTGGCAAAAACTATTAAAGTGAAAGACATCTTTTTTTGAGTGAGACTAATTAAAACAAACAAAGAGAAGGAAATATATTTTAAATGACACTCAGAACCCCTAATGTCACGAGGCACAGAGAACAGCAGTTAGGCAAAGAACAAGAGGTATGCAGTGGGTGGTAGGGGACTGGCTAGAGCTGGGAAATGGTGGGGATGGCATTGCTCAGTTCTAGCTGGGAGGATAGACTGGGAAAAACAGGAGTGGCTGAGGTCAGCCACTAGAGATAGGAAGGGAAAGAAATTTATGGAGAATGAGCAAGAACTATTGAAATCCTTAAGAATCCCTGATTTTGTTCTACTCTGTATATGTGGACAGAGGATATTTCTGCCTAGCTGCCATCCCCAGTTTATGCTTCACAGTACATCCTTGTAGCCTATCTTAGTTTCTGTCCTACTTGATTCTCCTGCCTCTTGCAGTTCTCTCCACAGCAGGGCTGCCCTGATGTGAGGCGACTCTCAAGGCCAGTCTGGGGCCTGTTTTCTCTGGCCTTGCTTGAGGTGGCTTCTTCACCATGGCTGATATAGAGGCCAGGAAGGACTCAACCTCTCCTCCCCTGAGACTCTCCTAGGGAATCCAGAATCCTCATTCAATATCTTTCCTATCACAGTGCTGTGTTGGAGCACTGGCTTTTCACAAATCCTTCTCTGTTCTTTGCCTAGAGGTGGAAAATCTTGGAGAATTAACAGCCACTCCCTGCTTTCTAAGGGAATGGCCTTCTGCTAACCTTCCGAGGGGCTCAGGTTATCCTTTGTGTAATAATTCTTGAGTTGGGGTGGGGATTTCTGCTTTCCTCCAGTGACAGTCTTCGACTTGGATCTAGGATTGGTCTTCTTCATGAAAGTAGAGGTTTTGTTTTGTACAATGCCTAAAATAGTCCTTAGGAGAATCTCTGTCTTCAGAAAAAATATGTGTCGAATGAGTGAGTGGATAAAAACGTAGTTAGGTTTCTAAGGTACCAGAAAAACTAACTTAAGCAGAGTGCAAGTGGAGTCTATGCTAAGAAAACTATGGATGAGAACCAATAAGTGTAGCAATGCTCGTAGGGGAAATGTCTTCAGAGATTCCTGACCCCTTGAGGCAGCTCTAACTGGCAGAGTACATCCTTTAGTTCCAAGCTTCCAGTGGAGTCCATCTGGGCAGAGACTGGAGTTCTAGAGTTAGGAAACAGAGACTCAAATAGACAGTGGGAAGGCCTGAGCAGGGAGAAGTCCATATTAGGTTTGGGCCTGAGGGGCTGGAGTAGGCATGAGGGAGTGGATGAGCCTGGGGAAATGAGGGTTCCTGTGGAAAGGACAGGTTGGTTGTCCCTTTCTTTTTCACTTATATCACTGGGGAGTTCTTAGATGGAATGAGTAGAGACTGAAACCTTAGAGTGGGCGGAAGAGGGTAAGTGGAAAGAGAGAGAGAGAAGAAGCAGCAGCAGTTAAAACGCTTGGAGCCCTTAGTTACAAAACAGGATTTTCACTTCTCTTTTTTTTTTTTTTTCTTGCTGGTAGATGCTGTTGCCCACTGAGGGAGGGTTTTCCTGTCCCCAAAGCCCCTTCCCTTCTTGCAGAGCCCCTTCGCCTTAATTTTACCTGGGAAAGCCAAGAAGGAGCCATCAGGACTCAGGAAGTAAGACTGAGAAAAGATGTAGATGTGGCAGGGAAACAGAGTCAGAGTCCACAGCAGGGTGTACAGTTAGGGACAGGGAGGTGATGAGGGAAGAACTTCTATTTCCCAACCCCAGCATGATCCAGAGGGAGGCAATTTCTGAGCACACAGGAAGGACCAAGTTGTTTGCCTTTGTGTGCTTTTTCATAAGTAAACATGAATAACCTTTCTTTCTAGATAAGGAGTCTTGCATTGGCTGAAGAAATGGAGTTCCATTTAGGAAAAGGAGCTCTTGTCTTGGAAGTTAACACACAAACCCATTTTAGAAGATTGAGTAACAACACCACTACCATTATTTTTAGAAAAAGGAAATACACCCCAAGACGACTAATTATTGTGATGGCAAATGAAGGAAATGGTTTTATTGTCAGATCCATGATTTTTCCGGTGCCCTGGTCTTCTCCAGGAGCAGGTGTGTTCTTTGATGGGTGTCTGTCATATGCTCAGTGTGACATAGACCACATTCCTTTCCCATCTGCAGACTTGACCACGACATCCTGATCTCAAAATCTGAAAATGTAAACTGAACTACACCCCTTTTAGGAATCTATTCTTAGTGATTTCTGTGAATTAACTTCTTGCTAAAATTTCCACACACTTAAGGTTTTTCCACACATGATTTTGTCTCTCCTCGAGGAAATGAAACAAATAAACCAAGATCTTTTGATCATATGACATTTTGGATGCAAATAGGCAAAAGTATTTGTTTCAAGCATTGAAGTACTTCCTTTATTCAAGTAATAATTACAAGTATCTTAATTATAATTTTTTTATTCAGAGTTTTTCATTACTATTTCTACTTAGGAGATTTTGTGGGATTTTTTTGTTTTGTTTTGTTTTGTTTTTTGAGATGGAGTTTCACTCTTGTTGCCCAGGCTGGAGTGCAGTGGCGCGATCTCGGCTCACTGCAACCTTTGCCTCCCGGGTTCAAGCAATTCTCCTGCCTCAGCCTCCCGAGTAGCTGGGATTACAGGCATGTGCCACCACACCCGGCTAATTTTGTATTTTTAGTAGACATGGGGTTTCTCCATGTTGGTCAGGCTGGTCTCGAACTCCCGACCTCAGGTGATCCACCCGCCTCAGCTTCCCAAAGTGCTGGGATTACAGGCGTGAGCTACCATGCCTGGCCAGGAGATGTTTTAGTAAAATGGTTTTGAAGCCATTCCTCTTGGGCTAAAATCTTAGCACCATAGTTACTAGCTGTGTCCTTGAGAAGTTCTTTGGGTCTCTGTTTCCCTATGTTCTAAAATAGGGTGTATATGGGTACCCGCCTGTTGGAATGATTAAATAAGTTAATACATTTAAAGTTCAACTGTTTTTAGTGCATAATAAATGCTTGATATGCCTTAATATCTGTTATTTACACCCTAAACGGTTCAATAGAAGGAAAACAGCTTGGCGTAGTGGCAACAGAGTAAGCTTAGAATCAGGAATATTTCGATCTAAATCCTGATCCTTGCTTGATCTTAGAAAATTATTTAGCCTTTCTGAGCTTCAATTTATTTATTTGTAAAATAGGAATAGTAACATATAGTTTGTGGATGTTACTGTGAATCTTAAGACAATAAATAAATAACCCAAGTATGGTGAATATTCTAATCTCAGCAATAAATAGGTAAATGCATGCTAAACTTGCCCCGCCTGCCTCCCCTACCAGTACTGCTTTATGTTCTTTTAGGTCAGCAGTTCTCAAAGTGTGCTTCCCAAGGCATTTCAGGGGAGTCCATATCAAAACATTCTCGTAATAATACCAAGATGCTGTTTTCCTTTTTCACTGTATTAACGATTGCACTGGTGGTGCAAAAGCAATAAACAAAATTCCGACTCCTTAGCGTGTATCAAGGCAGTGGTGCTAAACTTTACTAGTAGTCATTGTATTTTTCATCCCCACACACTCACAGTTTTAAACTCACAGGTTGCAGTGAGCAGAGATCGTGCCACTGCACTCCACCTGGCGACAGAGTGGGACTCCATCTCAATAAAATAAAATAAAATATAATATAATATAAAAAATAAAGTTAAAAAATTTAAAAAAATTTAAAAGCCTCTCTCATTTAAGAATGTCCTTGATGAAACAGCAAGAATTATTAATTTTATTAAATCTTGACTCAAGTACACTTAAAAAACTTCCCTGCAATGAAATATGAGGCATGCATAAAGCACTTCCGCTGCACACTGAAGTAGAATAGATGCCGCCAGGAAAAGCATTTGAGTGATTGGGTTGATGGCTTAACTAGTGGCTTTTCTCGTGAAACACTATTTTTACTCCAAAGAGCAACTGGCAAACCATGGTTTTTCAGACTTGGAGATCTGGCAAACATTTGCTTGAAAATGAATGAAGTCTGTTTGTCACTTCAAGGAAAACAACTGACAGTATATATGTGGCCAACAATGAAACTCAAGTGTTCAAATGAATATTACAATTTTGAAAAACCTATTCCACTATTGGGATTTTGACAGCATCTCAGTACCTACTGACTCTCCTGATGAGACTGGTTGTGATATTAACAAATGTGATGTTTTGATATTATACAGTAGGAAATGTGCCAGCATTTGGAAGGGCTGCATAACTCAGGGAACTGATATTTTTTCAAATGACCAATGTATGATATAAAATCTTGCATGAGTAAATGATGCATTAAAAGTATAAGATGGATCAATGGGTTTTAATATAATGAAGTACAAGAAGTTCATAATATACTTTCTGTTCCACATTACAAGCAACCTTTAAGAAATTGTCACTTGTCAAGTTTTGGTGTTGTGTCCAAGAGGAATATCCACAGTTATCTGAAAAGCTTTTAACACACTCTTTCCTTTTTCAACAGCATATTTCTGAGAGGCTGGATTTTCTTCATATACTTCAAGTAGAATTCTTCAATCAAAACAGCTTATCCCAATAGATTAAATGCAGAAACTAATTGTCTTCTATAAGCCAGGTGTTAAAGAGATTTGTAGAAATAGAAAAGGATGCTACTCTTCTCGTTAATTTTTTTGAAAAATAATTTTTAAATCAAAAGTACATTATTTATATTACCACATAATGGGTCTATTATTATAATTATTAAATGGGCCAATAAATGTTTCAAAATTTCTTAGTTTTAATTTTGCTTATGGACAATATCAATATAACCCACATAAGAGCTCTTTGAAATTCTCCATAATTTTGTTTGCTTGTTTTGTTTCTTTATAGACAGGGTCTTGCTTGTTGAGTGCAGTGACTATTCACAGGTGTAGTCGTAGCTCACTGCAGCCTTGAACTCCTGGGCTTAAGCAATCCTCCTGCCTCAGCCTCCCAAGTAACTGGGACTGAAGGCACGCACCACTCTCCACAATTTTCAAGTGTGTAAAGGAATCCTGACACCAAAACGTTTTATAACTGCTACTTTAGATCATTATTTCTGAACACTAGAATGGCTCAACACTAGAATCACCTAGGGAACTTTAAAAAATGACCAATGCTTGGCACCAACCCAGATAAATTAGAGTATTTGTGTTTGCAACCCAGGTATTAATATATATGTACTTTTAGAAACTCACCAGGTGGCGCACCTGTACTCCCAGCTACTAGTGGGGCTGAGGCAGGATGATCGCTTAAGCCCAGGAGGTTGAGGCTGCAGTGAGCTGTGATTGCACCACTGCACTCCAGCTTGGGTGACAGAGTGAGACCCTGTTTAAAAAAAAAAAAAAAAAACAGCGAAAAAACTCCCCAGATATTACTAATGTACATCCAAAGTTAAAAACTATTGCTGTAGGGTAGTCTAATCGTAAGAATCTTCTGAGGCAGTTGTTAAATGTGGCAGTCCCAGGTCCAAATCTAATGAACCAAATCTCCAGGGGAAGGGCCTAGAAAATCTGCATATTTAATAAGCACATCAGGTGATTCTTAAAATGAGATAATTTGGGAAACATTCCACCTTTCTCTTCCCAACTTCCTCATTCTTGATGACAGGCTCATTAGTTGCTAACAAAGGCATTATTCAACTAAATTCGACCCACAGAAGTTTGGAGTATATGCCTTAAAACCTATCTTTTAATGTGAGATTTTGCTGCAGAAATGGCTTTAAAACTTAAAGTTTTGAAAGTATAAAGACACAGTAGTTAGTTGTTTGACAAGGCACTATTCTCGTGTGGAAGGTCTCTTGTCCAGGCAACTCAAATTTCACAGTTTTGTGGGGGGCACTTTATGAATTTGAGTTGGGTAAATGAATGAATTCTGCATGGGCAGCTGACTCTTCACCTTAAATGTTCAGAGGGACCTACGTCAGAGGACCAGAAAGAACCAGTTTTTCTGACTTGATCATCTTGTAATTCAGATAAAAGCTTTGTAAATACAAAAAAACATGTCCTCATGAATTGCAAGAAGGAAAATAGACCCAAGGAGAGGTTCAAATGGATTACCTTGGAGTGCAGACTAGAAAGGGGTTTATGGGAATCACTTGAGAAGTGAAACTTGCCCGAATAGAATATATCCTCAAATTCCGACTTTTTCTCTTCTGGTGAAACAGGAAGAAGGCACTGTCAGTATTAAATAGTAATTTCCTGTCTGCAACACCACAGTCATTTTTTTTTTCCTGATCAGAGAAGTCCCTGAACTACGAGCCTTTTGGAGGTAGAAATCAAACCTTAGTGGTTTTTATGTATAAAATGCCTAATACCTGGCCCTTAATAAATGCTCAATAAGTAGTTTCTGAATTGAATAAAGTAGTGATCAAGTCTAGATCTCGATGTTAAAAAGGTACAAAAATTCTATAATTCTACATGGAGCATTTCTTTTTTTTTCTTTTGAGACGGATTCTCACTTTGTTGCCCAGGCTGGAGTACTGTGGTGTGATCTTGGCTCACTGCAACCTCCGCCTCCCAGGTTCAAAAGCAATTCTCCTGTCTCAGCTTCTCCAGTACTGGGACTATAGGCGCACACCACCACGCCCGGTTAATTTTTGTATTTTTAGTAGAGATGGGGTTTCACCATGTTGGCCAGGCTGGTCTTGAACTCCTGACCTCAGGTGATCCACCCGCCTCGGCCTCCCAAAGTGCTGGGATGACAGGCGTGAGTCACCGAGCCTGGCCTATATGGAACATTTCTTTAAGGTAACTTGTGTTCAACAAGGCTCACATTGAAAATTGTAAAAATTGTAAGAAAAACTTAGTTCTTCCAGAAAAGATACACATAAAATTGAAAACAATGTTTTCCTTTGGAAAGTGGAAATAAGGGAGTTAGGGGAGAAGACTTTTTTCTTTATAGCTCTGTACCATTATATATATTTTAAACCACGAGCAGGTAATTTATATAAATTATTTTTAAATGACAAGTTCAAAATTTGAATTGCATAATCATTTAAGCGGAGATGTTGAAGGGACTTTGGAAATCCCTCTCCCTTCCCCAGCCCCAACTCACAGAAAAGTTCCAACGGCCTCCTCACTGTTACCTACATGTGGCAGTTGTTAGAATGCCCACAGTTGTCCACTTCTTCCATCAAGAGGTAGATTAATGAGAGTTAATCCAAAGTAATTGTACAGAAATATATTAATTTTATCCTTTCCTATCCTATTACTATTTAATTAACTCAGTAATCTATACTTCTTTGATACTTGCACAATACCTTTAAAAACTGTAATTTATCTTTTTACATATTTGTCTGATTTCTGCCATTGTACTGTTGATTCTGAATGGTAGGAAGTTTTTCTCATCTCTGTCTCAAAACGCTGTGTACTAGATGTTGTATATAATACATAGAGAATAGTCCTCTGGCTTTGGAGTCAGAAAAGCCTGGGTCCAAATTCCTGGCCCTGACTTCCTGTGTGACTTTGGACAAAGTAATTAGCCTCTCTGAAATCCAAACTTTTCTTATTTTAAAAAATAATCAAACATGCTCTATAGGATTATTTTGAGGATTAAATGACATAAATCAAACCTTTTAGTCTATAATGCACGTATAGTAGGCATTCTGCAAATAAGAGCTTTTGCTATATAAAGGCTTAAGATGCAGAACGTAGGTGCCTTGAAACCTTGTTACTCAAAGTGTAGTCCTCCACAGATGAGCACCATTGCCATCCCATGGGAGATTGTTAGAAATATAGAATGTCAGGGCACACCCCAGATCTACTGAATCTGGATTTAAACAGGATTCCCAGGTGATTCATATGCGTGTCAAAGTTTGAGAAGCATTGTCTTAAAAGACCATTCTTATTGTATATGTTTAAAGTGTACAGCATAATGTTTTAATATATTGATCTTAATATACATATACATAGTGATTACTGTAGTCAAGCAAATTAACATACCTAGCATCTCATAGTTACCTTTTTCCTTTTCTTTTTTTGTGGTAAGAGTACTTAAAGTCTAAGAGATTTTAAAGTAAAGCCAAGAGATTTGTAAATCAATTTGATATGAATCTGTACAATTAAGCACTTACATCTACTGGATTAGATTCTCATTAGATTAGATTCTTATCTCATTGTTTGATGGGAATTTCTGATAATGAGCCCCCAACAGAAAGTTTGCATTGTCATATGCTTCGTAGTAATCCCTTCAAGAGACTTGATAGAAAGGATTTATTTTTGCTCTAAATTTTGAAACTAATTAGTTGACTTCTACTAAATGTGAATGTAGAGGGATTCATTAATTTAAAATTTATCTTGAAAGATGTTTTTCATTAGCCTCAAGCATTGTTCTTCTCACCTCCAGGAGTTACAGAGCAAGGGAAAGAATTACAAAGAATAGGAATTGCTTTATTGTTATAAATGTGTGCCTGTAAATAGACAGAAGTTGCTTAAACAAAACTAGCTCTTCGATCTATAATCTGATATATACATTTGCTTGAATTTTACTCATAGAGGGACAGGACCCAAAGAGGGGTTTGATGTGGTCAGTTGGAGACAGAGATGAAAAATTTCTACCCCAGAAGCCTCTCCATAGAGAGGAAATCTGGAGTCTTAAGGGCTCAACGGCACTAATTTCACTTCTCCATTGCTTTGTGAAATAACGTTACTTGGACTGAAGTTCCAGTTTCTCCTCCATAGGACTCATGTGTCCCTGACTGTCTTTATTAACATGAGCCAGTGCTATGGCATGATAAAAATAGAATCAAGGGGGGAAATAAAAACTAAGAAGCTTTCCAAAGAGAATGTAAATTGTAAAAAATTTGGAAC
This sequence comes from Homo sapiens, assembly GCF_000001405.40. Lineage (NCBI taxonomy): Eukaryota > Metazoa > Chordata > Mammalia > Primates > Hominidae > Homo > Homo sapiens. The sequence goes on along the minus strand of NC_000023.11, from coordinate 30,590,397 downwards.
TTTCTCTGGGGTGTATAAATCCCACCACTTGGCTTTGGAGTGTCTCGTCCCTTTTCCTTAAAAAATATGCCAAAATTGCACAATCTCGTGGGATTAGAGGACACCAAGATTATGCAGGTTTAATTTTTCTAGGCTCTTTTACCTCTGAATATAAGTCTGAGAACTGTTCAACTGGCTCTCACAAAGGAACCTCTGAACTTCTAACAACTATTTGATGACAGAAACTAAACTTTTCATAAAAGCTTGTATAAAGAGCAATATTTAAACTGCTTGGAAGCTTTGCTCTCGAGAGCCACTGTCCTAAAACAGTCAAGTTGGAAGAGAGAGATGGTTTGGGGAGCCCACTATCATCTTTAGAGTTGAAGGTTTACCAAGCTCATTCTTTCTGTTATAGTTCAAATTATCTAAACATGCAGAGAAAAGGATGCTAAGGAAAACAGAATCCATATCTTACCTCAAAATACAGTGTTAACCTATTAGTTTAATGTGTCTTTTTCATTTAATTTAGTTCTTTACAGAGTACCATATTTTGGATGTTTCTCCCTTCCAAATCTCATGTTGAAATTTGATCCCCAGTGTTGGAGGTGGGGGTCTAGTAGAGTTTGGGTTGTGGGGGCAGATCCCTTATGAATGACTTGGTGCTATTCCTGCAGTAATGAGTGAGTTCTCACTCTATGGGTTCTGTGACAGCTGGTTGTTAAAAAGCACCTCCCACCTCTTGCTTTCTCTCCTGCCATGTGATCTCTGCACACATCAGCTCACCTTCACCTTCTATCACGAGTAGAAGCAGCCTGAGGCTCTCACCAGACGCAGATGCCCGATCGTGAACTTTTCTAGATGTCAGAATCATGAGCCAAAAAACCTTTTTTTCTTTATAAATTACTTGGCCTCAGATATTCCTTTATAGCAAGGCAAATGGACAAAGACAGAAAATGGGTACCAAGGAGTGGGTTGTTTCTATAAAGAAATACCTGAAAATGTGGAAGCAGCTGTGAAACTAGGTAATGGAAATAAAGTCTCAGATGGAAATGAGGAACTTATTGGGAACTGGAGCAAAGGTCACCCTTGCTGCATAGCAAAGAACTTGGCTGCATTATGTCCTGTGCTCTATGGCTTTGTGGAAGGCTAAATTTAAGAATGATGACCTGGGGTATCTGGAAGAAAAAATTTCTAAGCAGCAAAGCCTTGAAGAAGTGGCATCGTTGCTTTGAACAGCTTATGATCAGATATGACAGCAAAAGAAGGATCTAAAGTTGGAATTTATAATTTAAAAAGAAGCAAAAATCAAAACTATAATGAGATATCAACTCACTCCAGTTAAAACGGTTTTTATCCAGAACCATTGGATAAAATAACAAGTGCTGGCGAGGTGTGGAGAAAACGGAACCCTCATACACTGTTGGTGGGAATGCAAATTAGTATAACTGTTACGAAGAGCAGTTTAGAGGTTCCTCATAAAACTAAAAATAGAGCTACCATATGATCCAGCAATCCCACTGCTAGATATATACCCCAAAGAAAGGGAATCAGTATATCTAAGAGATATCTATACTCCTATGTTTACTGCAGCACTGTTCACAATAGCTAAGGTTTGGAAGCAACCTGAGTGTCTGTCCATCAACAGATGAATGGATAAAGAAAATGTGGTACATACACACAATGGAGTACCGTTCAGCCATAAAAAAGAATGAGATCTTGTTATTTGCAAAAACATGGATGGAACTGGAGATCATTATATTAAGTGAAATAAGCCAGGCCGGGCGCGTGGCTCATGCTTGTAATCCCAGCACTTTGCGAGGCTGAGGCGGGCAGATCATGAAGTCAGGAGTTCGAGACTAGCCTGGCCAATATGGTGAAGCTCTGTCGCTATTAAAAAATACAAAAATTAGCCGGGAGGCGGAGGTTGCAGTGAGTAAAGATTGTGCCACTGCACTCCAGCATGGGCGACAGAGCAAGAGTCCATCTCAAAAAAAAAAAAAAAAAAAAAAAAGAAAGAAGAAAGAAAGAAAGAAAGAGAGAAAGAAAGAAGCCAAGCACAGAAAGACAAACATCACATGTTCTCACTTAGCTGTGGGAGCTAAACATTAAAATAATTGAATTCATGGACATAAAGAGTAGAAGGATGATTAACAGAGGCTGGGAAGGGTAAGAAGGTGATGTTGGGGGGAGTTGGGGGTGGTTAATGGCTACAAAAAATAGAAAGAATGGGCTGGGTATGGTGGCTCATGCCTGTAATCCCAGCACTTTGGGAGGCTGAGGTTGGCAGATCACCTGAGGTCAGGAGTTTAAGACCAGCCTCGCCAACATGGTGAAACCCCGTCTCTACTAAAAAATACAAAAATTAGCCAGGTGTGGTGGCTGGCACCTGTAATCCCAGCTACTCAGGAGGCTGAGGCAGGGAGAACTGCTTGAACCCAGGAGTCAGAGTTTACAGTGAGTTAGAGTGCCCACTACACCCTAGCCTGGGCAACGGAGCGAGACTCCGTCTCAAAAATAAATAAATAAATAAAAAGAATGAATAAGATCTAGTGTTTGCTAGTACAACAGGGTGACTATCGTGAATAATAATTTAATTGTGCATTTAAAAATAACTAAAAGAGTATAATTAGATTGTTTGTAACACAAAGGATAAACGTTTGAGGGAATGAACATCCCATTTACTCTGATGTGATTACACATTGTATTATTATCTATATCAAATTATCTCTTGCACCCCATAAATATATAGCCTACTAACTACCCACAAAAATTAAAAATTAAAGACAATAACAATACAAAATATTTCCTTAAAGTAAAAAAAAAAAGAAGCCGAACATCAAAATTTGGAAAATTCACGGTCTGATCATGAAGAAAGAGTGTTTTCAGGAGACAAATCTAAGGGTACTGTGGAGCAACCACTGTGGAGATTAGCATGGCTAAAAGGGAGCTAGGTGCTAATATTTAATACAATAGGATATAGGGCCTGAAGGCATTTCAGAAAATTTTGAGGCTGCTCCTCCCATCCACTGGCTCAGAGGCCTAGAAAGACAGAAAAGTTTTGGGGGAGATGTCAGGGTATTGCTGCCCTGTGCCACCTCAGGATGCTGCTCCCTAGATCCTGACCACTCCGAGTGGACCAGCCATGGCTGAAATGGCCCCAGATACATCTCCAGCTGACACTCCAGAGAATGCAAGCTGTACACTCTGGTGACATCCATGTGGTGCTAAGTCTGCAGGCATGCAAAATGCAAAAGCTGTACCTAGTGGAGCTGTAGGAGCAGGGCCGCCACTCTCCAGATCTCAGAATTATAGAGCCATTAGTAGTGTGCAACTCCAGCCTGGAAAAGCCACAAGCCCAAATTCCAGTCCATCAGAACAGCCACCTGGGCTGTACCCAAAATAGCCATGGGGGTGGGGCTTCCCAAGGCTTTGGGAGCCCAACCCTCCCACCAATGTGCTCAGTATGTAGGAAATGGAGTTAAGGGAGATTATTTTGGAGCTTTAAGATATAATATCTGTCCTGCTGGGTTTCAGAATTGCTATAGAGCCTGTTACCTTTTTCTTTTGGCCTATTTCTTCCTTTTAGAATGAAAATGTTTGCCCAATTACTAATTTTAGAAGTAAATAATTTATTATTGAATTTACAGGCTCACAACTCTAAGGAACTTACTTTAAGTCTCAGATGAGACTTTGGACTTTGAACTTTTAAACTGGTGCTGGAACAAGCTAGAACTTTTGGGGACTATTGCTATGGAATGATTGTATTTTGCAATATGAGAAGGACGTGCTATTTGGGGGCTAGAAGCAGAATGGCATGGTTTGCATGTTTGTTGCCCCAAACCTTATGTTGAAATTTGATCCCCAGTGTTGGAGGTGGAGCCTTGTGGGAGATGTTTGGGTCATGGGGCAGATCCCTCATGAATGACTTGGTGCCATCTTTGCAGTAATGCATGTGTTCTCATGGAATTAGTTCTATGAATGCTGGTGGTTAAAAAGAGCCTGAAACTTCCCTCCCTTCTGTTGCTTCCTCTCTTGCCATGTGATCTCTATACAGCAGGCTACCCTTCCCCTTTGCCTTGAGTGGAAGTAGCCTGAGGCCCTCACCAGATGCAGATGCACAATCTTGAACTTTCCAGTCATCAGAATTGTCAGCCAAATAAACCTTTTTTCTTTTGTTTATTTATTTTTGAGATGGAGTTTTGCTCTTGTAGCCCAGGCTGGAGTGCAATGGTGCGATCTCAGCTCACTGCAACCTCCACCTCCCAGGTTCAAGTGATTCTCCTACCTCACCCTCCCGAGTAGCTGGGATTACAGGCATGCACCACCATACCTGGCTAATTTTTTGTATTTTTAGTGGTGACAGGGTTTCTCCATGTTGGTTAGGCGGGTCTCGAACTCCCGACCTCAAGTGATCCACCTGCCTCTGCCTCCCAAAGTGCTGGGATTACAGGCGTGAGCCACCGCACCCAGCCAACCATTTTTCTTTATAAATTACCCAGCCTCAGGCATTCCTTTATAACAATACAAACAGACTAAGACACAGAAGCACCAACAAGAAGAAATAGCAGCAGATTCAACTTTCCCTTTTCCTTTCTTCTTTTGAAAGGCACACAGCAGTAAGGGTAATGATAGACTTGGGTTTAGGATAACAATCAATGTATGAAAACTGAGATTCTGTACAAATTTGGTTGAGTCTTTGGCCTCCTGGTCTTAACAGAAGTAAATTATTATGAGGCCAAGGCAGAGTTCATACAAATACTCATTTGTACAAGCTTCAAAGAATAGGTAAATACACAGCATAAGTACAATGAAAATTCTCAGTTGTTCAACTATCAAACAGAGCAAGTGTTTTCTCTTTAATATCAATTTATGATAGAAGGAATAAAGCATTATCTTGGCTTGAGGAGGAAGTGTCTCTGTGTCCCAAAACCTGAAAATCAGACGGGGAGAGGGATAAGAGGTTAAAAAAGGAAAATACGGGTGGGGGGAGGGGGGAGGGATAGCATTAGGAGATATACCTAATGCTAAATGACAAGTTAATGGGTGCAGCACACCAACATGGCACTTGTATACATATGTAACAAAACTGCACGTTGTACACATGTACCCTAAAACTTAAAGTATCATAATAATAAAATTAAACAAATAAAAAAGGAAAATATAAAAACGAGGGAAGTGGGGCAGAAGTTTGTCAAAACGGGCTTAAAAGAAACAAGCCCTTGTAGTAAAAACTCTGTCAAGTATTTCCAGGGGTTGATTTACCTTAGAGTTAATAATAGAGATTTGAGTTTTGGTGTTAGAGATTTTTGCGAGATTGTTAAAGCAGGTAATGTTAGGTAAAAGCAAAGGGTGACAATTAGAAAGCAGAAATCAAAACATTTCATGAGACTGCCAATTCCTTCAGCATTCAGGTATTTGTTTTACTGACTCTGTATAATGCCAACTAAAGGGTAATGGCCAAAAAAAGAGGAGCTATTCTATGTACTGTATGTGGCCTTAAAATAAAACGTATGGAGATTACATTCAATTTCCCCTTTAACTTATATCATATTTCATTATAAATCATTTTTCACCTGAAAAAAATTAAAAAATGCTTCAGAAACTTTACAAATGCCATAATCATATTATTTGATGCTGAAATGAAACTCTCTCTGAGTTGGAAAATGGGAGTTATTCAAGAGCAGACAGTATACATTACAATCAATTACATCCTAAACAACAAAATCTCTAGCGCACAAGAAGCCATTACAGCTTCATAGAAATTCAGAATGTTGTACTTAATAAAGCAGTTATAATCTGCCATCCCATCCTCAAGATAAGCAGCATTGCTCTAGAGCTTACTTTATGGATTTCTTTGGTATAAATTAGACCTACTTAAGTATAACTAAGAATTTTTAAATGTCATATTAATTTTACCCTATGGGATATGTAACATGTTCCTAAATTCTAATATGTTCATGTTAATTTTTATAGAACGTCAATTAAAATTAATCTTCTGCAGAGGAAGTGCATTAATACCTTATATGTAATACTGTAATTGTGTCTGCAGGCAATAGCGATTATAAAAATTACTAAGGTAAACTATGAAAGTGAATACGGGATAATAGGGTTGTGTTTTTAAAGATGTAATGTTAAACATTATTATGAAAAAAACTTTACTTTTATATCATTATGTAATCTCATATGGGCACCAGCACTTTTTGTTTTGTTCACTTTTCTTTTCTTTTTTTTTTTGAGACAGAGGCTCGCTCTGTCACCCAGGCTGGAGTGCAGTGGCGCAATCTCCACTCACTGCAACCTCTGCCTCCCGGGTTCAAGCGATTCTCCTGCCTCAGTCTCCCGAGTAGCTGGGACTACTGGCCTGCGCCACCACGCCCAGCTAATTTTTGTATTTTCAGTAGAGATGGGGTTTCACCATGTTGGCCAGGATGGTCTCCATCTCTTGACCTCGTGATCCGCCCACCTCGGCCTCTCAAAGTGCTGGGATTACAGGCGTGAACCACCATGCCTGGCTGTTTTGTTCACTTTTCTTAGAGGCATTTCTGATGTTATGACAGCTATGATGTCACTAGGCAATAGGAATTTTTCAACTCCATTATAACCTTATAGGACCACTGTGGTGTACACTGTCATGTATGCGGTCTATTGTTGACCAAAACGTCGTTAGGCAGCACATGACTGTACAGTGAAAATTATTATTATTATTATTATTTTGAGATAGAGTTTCACTCTTGTTGCCCAGGCTGGAGTGCAATGCGTCATCTCAGCTCACTGCAACCTCCACCTCCTGAGTTCAAGCGATTCTCCTGACTCAGCCTCTCAAGTAGCTAGGATTACAGGCGCCCGCCACCATGGCCGGCTAATTTTTGTATTTGCAGTAGAGATGGGGTTTCACCATGTTGGCCAGTCAGGTCTTGAACTCCTGACCTAGATGATCCACCTGCCTCAGCCTCCCGAAGTGCTGGGATTGCAGGCATGAGCCACCGCGCCCGGCCCTGTCTAGTGAAAATTAAACCTCTCTTCCTATCTGACATTTGTCTCTCAGATCTCCTCCCCAGAGGCAATCACTATTGTCACCTTCTTGTGCATGAATCCAAAAATTATAAGTAGTAGTGTGCAATGACACAATATCAACTGGGTGGTGGTGTGGTGACCTTCCTAAAGGTGGGGCTACATCAATAAAGAACTTGTTAAATACATTATTGTTGGAACATCCAAAACCTGGAAGTCTAAGTAGTTATTTAAAAGGATGAGGTCAGTCAGCAAGTACTAATGGTGAAAAATTATACAAAAAAGGTAAGAGAATAGCACATGTAGTATCCTACCATTTGTATACAAAGAAGGATATATATAATTTTTGGATTGATACACAAGGAGCTGACAATAGCAATTGCCTTTGGGGAGGAGATCTGAGAGATAAAGATCAGATAGGAAGAGAGGTTTAATTTTCACTGGACAGTCATGTGCCGCATAACGACGTTTCAGTCAACAATGGACAGTGTACCTGACAGTGGTCCTATAAGGTTATAATGGAGCTGAAAAATTCCTATTGCCTAATGACGTCATAGCTGTCATAATGTCATAGAACAATTATTTTATTTTAAAAATAAAACACGTGTAGCCTAACTGCACAGTATTTATAAAGTCTACAGTAGTGCCCAGTAATGTCCGAGCCCTTTGCATTCACTCACCACTCACTCACTTACTCACCCAGAGCAACTTCAAGTCCTGTATCCTCTATTCTTGGCAATTGCCCTGTACAGCTGTACCACTTTTCATCTTTTATACCATATTTCTACTGTACCTTTTCTATGTTTAGGTATGTTTAGATACACAAATACTTACCACTGTGTTACATTTGCCTACAGTATTCAGTACAGTCACATGCAGTATAGGTCTGTAGCCTAGGAGCAATAGGCTACACCATATAGCGTAGGTGTGCACTAGGCTCTACCATCTAGATTTGTGTAAGTACACTCTGCGATATTCGTACAATGAAATCACCAAATGCTGCATTTCTCAGAATGTATCCCTGTTGTTAAATGATGCAAAACTATATTTTTGTACCACTTACAGTTTTTAAAAACATGTATATAATTTTTTTAAAGAAACAAACTATTGAAAAAGCGAAGGGAATAGTGAACAGTGTCAAATACTATAGAAATGTCAAAGAGGATATAGGCTGAGATAAAGGCTATTAGACTTGATGATTAAGGGGCTTTGGTAACTTTGAGAAAATAGGTTTAGTTGAGTCATTTGAGTATTGAGAGTGGTCAGAGAGTATGCTTCAGAAAGACAAATAATTTATCCTGAGATAGTTGAAGTCTGATGGAATAAATCTGTGATTGGTCTGTTGTGTGTGTGTGTGTGTGTGTGTATATATATATATATATGCTTAATATATACTTATATATATATATACTTAATATATACTTATATATATACCTTTCTCTGGTTATGGAAAGGCAATAATGGATTTTTTTTTTTTGAGATGGAGTCTCGCTCTGTTGTCCAGGTTGGAGTGCAATGGCGCGATCTCCGCTCACTGCAACCTCCACCTCCCAGGTTCAAGCGATTCTCCTCCCGAGTAGCTGGGATTACAGGTGCATGCCACCATGCCCGGCTAATTTTTGTATTTTTAGTAGAGACAGGGTTTCACTATGTTGGCCAGGCTGGTCTTGAACTCCTGACCTCAGGTGATCAGCCCATCTTGGCCTCCCAAAGTGCTGGGATTACATGTGTGAGCCATCGTGCCCGGCCAGGCAATAATGGTTTTATATGGGACTGGAAATTGGCAAGTAGGATGTGACAGAAAGACATATTGTTGTGGAATTTAGAGTGCTACTAGGAGCACTATGAGGTGAATAGAGGGTAGCCAGGGTGGAGGAAACCTGGTGAGGATTGAGAGTGAGCTAGGAGGGATGCTATCATAATGGAAATAACTTGGAGGGTGTTTTGTACAGCAGGAAAAGTAATTGAATAATAGGAATAATGTCCATTTAGAGGCACAGATATCGAGGCAATAACTTTTACCTACTATTCAGCAGATTAATAGAAAATCATATTATAAGATTTCAGCTACAAGGGATATAATTCTATTTTATTTTAACCAGTAAAGAAAAAGCTGTTTAAAGCTGATTTTGTATGCTCAGGTTTTATCAAATGAGAAATAGTAGAAATAGTAGGTTAGCTTGGCATAGTGCCCATTTTTTCCTTACAGAATCTTTTTTCTGCAAAGGAGGTTTTTCCATCAAAGGGGTAACTTTAGAGACAAAATCAAGAGTGGGCATAATCAAAATTCTGCATATTGTATTTGAATAAAACAGTAAGTGTGACTTAAGACAACGTGGAGAAGATGGAATCACCCCACAATGGTTATTTCATTGTACTTCCAGGCGAGTTCTTGGTAACCCACCATAAAGTGTTTCTGGAGGTAGGTAAGACCTACTCTACGGTGTCTCATGACTGTGGATGAAGCAACACTAAAGTGAAATAAATCAATGTTTGGCCCTACAGGTGCTATGGTCTCTTGATCACAGCTAAATCCTTGATGAGCTAAAAATGCCTGAAGACATCACTGAACCTGATTTTGTAAGATTACACTGTAACTGAATTTGCCCCTGGGGCAATGAGTCTGGTGTTTCCTGTGATGGTAGGTCAAGTCAGATTCAGGACTAGTTGAGAAACTGTCCTTATCATGGCTCATACATGAGAGCATGCCTTCTAAAGTGGATTTAAGTAATGTTTCATGAAAAAATAATGCAGAAAATCATGACTAACAAAAATAAAAATGCTAGTATACTTTAAAATATATGACATTTTAAGATAAGTCGTTGAACAAAAGTAAACAAAATCAAACCCATTAAGTGGAAATGTTCACCTCTTAAGAGTTTGGAACTTAGCTTTGTTTTTTGTTTTGCTTTGTTTTGTTTTGTTTTGTTTTTTGTATCCATAGAACTTAGTTTTGATTGGAGTTAGGTAGAAAAAGACAGTGAAGTAGTTATGATTTGGGCAGGCTTATTCTTTGTTGGTTAACTTGAAGCAGTCAGGGTAAACCAGATAAATGATTTTGAAACCCTTAATTTTTCTGCTTTTGGGCAAGAAGAACTGACCCATTTGCAGATAGACTTGTCTGTCCTCCAGAAAAGACATAGATTATAATACATTTGGGCCGTACAATCAAAGTTAAATATGACTTAAGAATACTAGTTTTTAAAATGAAAAAGTAATACATACACACAGAAATTTCAAAAGGGTATAGAATGAAAAATGAGTCTTGTTCCTGAAACACAATTGCTTATTTCTGATTTCTTGTGTGTAGCATAAAAAAAGAAATATTCTAGAAAGGCTATAACAAATGCTGGTGAGGATAGGGAGAAAAGGGAACTCTCATACACTGTTGGTGGGAATGTAAATTAGTACAACCACTATGGAGAACACTTTGGAGGTTCCTCAAAAAACTAAAAATTGAGCCACCATAAGATCCAGCAATCGGACTGCTGGGTATCTACCCAAAAGAAAGGACATCAGTACATTGAAGAGATATCTGCACTCCTATGTTTGTGGCAGCACTGTTCACCATAGCTAAGATTTGGAAGCAACTTCAGTGTCCATCAACAGATAAATGGATAAAGAAAATGTGATACATATACACAATAGAGTACTATTCGGCCACAAAAAAGAATAAGATCCTGTCATTTGCAACGACATGGATGGAACCAGAGGTCATTATGTTAAGTGAAATAAGCCAGAAACAGAAAGTCAAACATCACATGTTCTCACTTATTTGTGATATCTAAAAATCAAAACAATTGAACTCATGCACATAGAGAGTAGAAGCATGGTTACCAGAGGCTGGGAAGGGTAGTGGAGGGCTGGTGGGGCAGGTAGGGATGGTTAATGGGTGCAAAAACTAGTTAGAAAGAATGAATAAGACAAAGTATTTAATAGCACAACAGGGATACTGTAGTGAATAATAACTTAATTTTACATTTTAGTATAACTAAAATAGTATAATTAGATTTTTTGTAACACAAAAGATAAATGTTTGAGGGGATGGATACCCCATTTTTCATGATGTAATTATTATGCATCATATGCATGTATCGAAACATCTTATGTACCCCATAAATATATACACCTACTGTATACCTACAAAAATTAAAATACAAAATTTTAAAAAGAAATATTCTATTACATAAGCATGTATATACATATATTCCTTAAAAATACAAACTGGAAAATGAGTTCTTGCTAAACAATATATGTTAGAGATCTTTTTTTTTCTTTTTTTTTTTTTTTGAGATGGAGTCTCGCTCTGTCACCCTGGCTGGAGTGCAGTGGCACAATCTCAGCTCACTGTGACCTCCACCTCTCGGGTTCAAGGGATTCTCATGCCTCAGCCTCCGAGTAGCTGGGATTACAGGTGCCCACCACCACGCGTGGCTAAGTTTTGTATTTTTAGTAGAGACAAGGTTTCACCATGTTGGCCAGGCTGGTCTCAAACTTCTGACCTCAAGTGATCCACCTGCCTCGGCCTCCCAAAGTGCTAGGATTACAGGCGTGAGCCACCGCACACAACCTACATAGGATTTTAAGTATGCATACGTTCTCATTTACTTGGCCAATATCTTATTTATGGATATAATTTTTTCTAGTCATTTATTTTCTCAAGCAATGCTGCAACAAATATCTTTTCACATAAGTCTTTGTGTACAAGTGTAAACATATAGCTTGGACAAATTTATAAAAAATACAATTGTTGGGTCAAAGGGTATGAATATTTGTATTTGAGAGATACTGGGAAATTGCCCTCTAAATATGTTTACAATCTCATCAGTAGTGTTTGAGAGTGCTTGTTTCTTCACAACTTTGCCCACACCATGTATTATTGTTTTGACCTTCGGTATTTGGAGAGGGAAAACTTTTTTCTTTTTTTTTTCTTTTGAGACGGAGTCTCGCCCTGTCGCCCAGGCTGGAGTGCAGTGGCGCGATCTCGGCTCACTGCAAGCTCCACTTCCCGGGTTCACGCCATTCTCCTGCCTCAGCCTCCCGAGTAGCTGGGACCACAGGCGCCCGCCACCGCGCCCGGCTAATTTTTTGTATTTTTAGGAGAGACGAGGTTTCGCCGTGTTTGCCAGGATGGTCTCGATTTCCTGACCTCCTGATCCACCTGCCTCGGCCTCCCAAAGTGCTGGGATTACAGGCGTGAGCCACTGCGCCCGGCCGAGAAAATTTTTTTCATTTACATTTTTAAAAATTATAAGTACCATTGAGAAATAATACTTCTTAAAAATTATAGATTAGTAACGAAACAGAATTTCCTAAAGTCATATGTGACTTTGGCTTTCTTTTGGGTGAAGGATCCCAGATAATGTACTTTTCTAGAAAGGAAATTTAATTCTGTTGCTAGGGTTCTTACAAAATGTGTAACCATAAACTATTTTAATAAGAGACAGTTTCGTAGATAGGTTTCATTTTTCGAAAAAGGGGAAGAAACACCATTCTGTGGCTTGATGTGGCTTTGTCAGTTACTGCCTCCCCACCTCCCGGGACTTCCCACTGCCTCTTTAGCACAAATCGGACTTGAACAAAAACAACTCTTTTTCCATGGGACCAATTATAAAAAGAATGGCTTTGCACTGAGCAGCTCAGTCTACTGGTCTCATCAGTGAAAGGCTTGTGAAAATTTCTGGAAAGAGCATTGGCTGGCTTGTTCATCTCTCTGTTTGGTCAGTTGCTGTGTTTCTGCCGGATCAGATGAGCAGATTGGTTAGTGAAGGTAAGAAAAAGAAAGCAAAGGACCCTAGAACTCCGCTATTATTTTTTGTCATCTGTCTTCTCACGCTTTCTTAGCCCTTTATCACGAGAGCGCTGATCCATTCTTATGACATCTAAAATGCTTTTCTAGCTTACCATATCAGAGACAAGTGGGAGTTTAAACAAGCATTCAGTGGAGTTGAAAAATAAAGAGAAATTAAGCCCAATACTTCCTTTCCTTACCTCCTCGTGTCCACATTCTAAGCATTTCTAAAACACTTATATTTTTACCTACAATTTTTGACTGATCTGAGCAAATATTTATTGTGTTATTTTTGCAGTCCTCTTTCACTAATTGCCACACTGGTTTAGCTTCTGCATTTTTAAAAGAAGGCCTAAAAACCTAAGCAGGGTTTTGCAGGGACAACACAGCTCTTGAATTCAGTTACGGTGATGCAGTTTTAGAGACGAAAACAATCACAGTCCTTTCCAATTGGATTTGACTCTCAATTATTCAGTTCAGCAAGCTTGTGATAGTGTTTTTCTGTGTGGCAGGATGTATTCAAAATGAATGCGATCTATAGTGAGGATGCTTTTCGACTTTCATCTGGGTGATTTGGGGAAAGCTTCCCTTTTGGTATTAAAGATAGCGCATGTACGAGTGGAGTTTTGTTTGAATTATCTTTAGACTCGCTCAAACATTCTTTGTCTTGCGCATATGAATCTGTGCTTAAATATAGACCTGGTTTGGACAGAATATTTATATTGATATTTTATAACATTTCTTGCATAGGTCAGTGTGAGAAGAAGATTGTTTCTGAGCTTGAGAAGCTTCTGGAGGATTGAAGAGTATTTGAAGTCTGTGTCAAACATCCATATCATAAGTGGAATTTTGGAGATATTCAAAGGTAGTACACTAATTCTATTATCTCAGAGCAAAATGATGTTTGAAGTATTTATATCAAGTCACTGAGACATTTCTCATCTCATATGTAGTGATTATTTTAGATATATAAGATATTGTCCCTCTAGGCTCTTAATAAACATTATACAATGTAAATATGCCTTCATTAACTAAATATGGTTTTTTCCCCCTCCCAATTTTTATTTAGAAATGTTTCAAATCTATATAAAAATTGAAAGAATAGTACAACGAACACCCATATTTTCATCATGTGTATTAATCAGTGGTATCTTTTTGCCACATTTACTTTCTCTCTCGCTTTGTCTTTCTCTGTCTCTGCCTGTCCTTTTCTCTCTCTCTATATGTGTATATATATATTCACACACACGCATGCACATATGCACAGTTTTTTCCCTGAATGGTTTGAAAGTATGTTGCTGACTTTAGGACACATGTCACCCCTAAATTCTTGAGCATGTATCTCCTAAAAATAAAGGCAGTCTTCTATAACACATTACAACACCACGGAAACATAACATCAACACAATACTATTATCTAAGATGTGATACACATTCAAATTTTCCTAATTATCCACATGTCCTTTAGAATCTTTTTATGTTTTAAATCCAGGATCCAATCAAGAATCTTGCATTGCATTTGTAGTTGACATGCCTACAATTAAGTAAATGTTAATGAAATTGGCATAATTAACATGATTAACAATGATTAACAATTATAACACCAAAGAAATTTATATCAGTACAATACTATTATGATAGGTTTCTTATTTTTTTAGTCCTCTCATTTTGCATCAAAATACATTGAAAGTGATTCAAAAAATGATCCAAAAGGTTTAATTTTTCAATTTATATCAAGAAGGAGTATAAAGAAAAATCCAAACTATGATAAAATATATTTACTAATATTTCTGCACCAAAGTTTACATTTTCTGAACTAAGAAAATTCACACATCAGATCGTCCTTGGAAGTAGCCATTAACTTTGGTCATAAGAATCTAAGCAGAACCAAACAAAAAATTATTTATTTACTTGGTAATATTAATATGAAGAAGAGAGGGCTTTTGATTTATGATTGTATTATCTTAGCCATAAAGTTATACTTTCAGAAATTAATTTGTTAAGAATCACTTCATATTTGATACAAGAATAGATAATCCCAAATTATATGATTTGTAACAGAAATTGAAATATTAATGAGCAATATTTTAGAGCATTCATCAATAAATTCAATACAAGCTGAAATAATAGGGATATAATCTAAGGTATGTGATTAAGTGATTATTTCCAGCTCTAAGGAACAGGTATTTTTAAAGATAAGAGTAAGGAAACTGCAGATGCTATTTTATACAGGGAGGTCCTTCCTAAAGAAGCTTTTTGTTTAGGTAAAGGTCTAGCATCATTCACTGAAAAAAAACTGGAACATGTAATACAGATTTGGTTACATTATCATAATTAAATCATGAACAAAACAATATTCAAGTTTTTCAGTGATCACTTTTCAGCAATTTACCTGCAAGTCCCCCACACCAAGAAAGTCTTAAAAAGTTTACAATGGAATTATGGGATTTAGAATTTATATTATAGGGTAATATAATATAGAGGTAAAGAGATGAAATACAGGATTTTGAGTTTTGCAGGCATTAAAAAATAACACATGACCTACATATGATTTTAACAAGACTCTCTAATTTGAGACAAACATAAATTAGCTCATTTGATTGGAAAATTAAAAAAAAATAATGTGCTAAGGAATGTCAATGAAAACAATCTCAAACATTGCTGGTGAGAGAATAAATTGATCCAAGCTACTTGAAAGGAAATTTGGCAATAGCTTTGATCTGGTAATTCTGCTCCTCCAAATCTGGCCTGTGGAAATACTCACGGAGGCATATGCAATAATTACACATAGTGGAAAAGCAAGACTAATCTCAGTGCCCCTCAAGAGAAATGATTTACTAAAATAAGATGTGTCTTTAGATGTACTATTTCAAAACTCTTAAAAATTATATCTCTGTAAGCAGACATGTTGACAGGTAGAAGCCAAACTGTACCCCTGCTAGCTAGGCTCAAGATCACAAATGTTTTCCTGTCTGTAATTCCAAGATGTTGTAGCCCATGATGGTGGAAGGCAGTCCCATCCCATTGCCTCCATTTGTGTGTGGCCACTAATAGTTTTTGCGTCCATCTCAATCCAGCCTCTTTGGGTGTCTTAGTTTGCACACCTCCAAAATGTTCTTCAAGGGGCGGGATCTGTTTTGCCTCATCATCCAAAACTCCCACACTCCCCACCAATCCTCAATCTTGTTTTTTCCTTTTGCTCGTGTCAATTTTTCCTTCTTTCCAAAGACTATTCCAGTGATTTATCTTTTCTGTTTTATTAAAGTTTCATGCAATCCTGATGAACACCTTGGGGTAGGGGAGAGAAGAGCCAAGAATCCTTTTCTAATTCAGATTCAATGATTCTGAGTAGATGGCCAAGGGTTCTGAAATGTTAACATAGGAGGTGAGACTTGAAGGTTATGGGTGGTGGACCAGAGGATGGATAGGGAACCAGAACTCTCAGGACGGAAGACAAAAAATGCACAAATCCCTGGGATAGGCATGGGGCTCAGGTGAACTGGGAAGGGATCAGCATGACTGGGGTCCTGGGTCCTGTGGGGAACAGGCAGAGATGAGATGAGGAAGACAGACAGGGAGCATACATCACAGGCCTACCCTGTATGGACTTTATCCCTGAGGTGATGGGAAGTGGTTTGTATTTAAACAGAGGATCTGTATTATTTGTTTATTTATTTAATTTATTTATTTTTTATTTTTGAGATGGAGTCTTGCTCTGTCACCCAGGCTAGAGTGCAGTGGTGTGATCATGACTCACTGCAACCTCTGCCTCCTGGGTTCAAGCAATTCTCCTGTCTCAGCCTCCCGAGTAGCTGGGACTACAGGTGCTCGCCACCACACCAGGCTAATTTTTGTGTTTTTAGTAGAGACAGGGTTTCACCATATTGGTCAGGCTGGTCTTGAACTTCTAACCTCAGGTGATCCACCCACCTCAGCCTCCCAAAGTGCTGGGATTACAGGCATGAGCCACCACGTGCAGCCTGTAATATTAAATCACCCTGTGAAAGATGGTTGCAAAATTAAAGATGAGGCGATGCCAGGCTATAGCAGTGTCATGGTTTAGGAAAATGTTCATATGGTTAGATTAAAAAAAAGAGGATAAATTAATTGTATTCCTCAAAGACATATGAGCATCGATACATAATTGGGACATATGTGTAGTCATCTGGGCCACCCCTCTGGGGTGAGTGCTGACTTTCCCCTGGAGCCTTCCTTTCTGCACTTCACTGCACCTTCCTTCTTTTATTTGGCAAGTGCTGTTGTTACTACATGGAATCAGGGCTGATGCCCTTTTCCTGGAAGGACTAATTGCGTGTTATTATGACTGCGTGATACTAACTGCTCTTAACTGTACAATAGTGTGATATGTTCTAAGAACAGAACACACACTTTGGAGTTTGTAAACTTGGGCTTGAATCTTGCCTATAGTACTTAGTAGCTGTGTGGCCTTGGAAGGGGTATTTATCATACCTGAAACTCAGTTTTCTCATTTGGAAAATCTAGATAATGATAAAGAGAAAAAAATTAAAAGATTTTTAAAAGGATATGATCATATCTAGATTATGATAATATCTAATCTGCAGTGTTGTTGGAAGGTTAAGGGCTATGCCTGGAAAGCACTCGGCATACAGCTGTCATTATTATGATGCGTATCCCATTTATTGCGTCTGCTTTTTGACTTAGGTCAAGGGTAGGTAAGCCACAGCCCAGGACCAAATTGGCCCCCTGCTTGTTTTTGTAAACTTTAGTAGGAGCCCAGACACAATCATTTGTTTACATATTGTCTATGGTTACTTTCCTGCTAGGCCAGCAGGGCTGCAACAGAGTTTGTATGATTTGCAAAGTCTAAAATATTAACTCTCTGGCCTTGTATAAAAAAAGTTTGCTGATCCCTAACTTAGGTGTTTTAAACGTTCCCCCTTATAAAGTTCTTCTTTCCTTAGGTTTTCTCTTTGACTCCACGCTTGTGTTGTTTAGATGTAAATTAAAAGTGTGTCCTTTGATCAGCATGCTCAAAGGATACAAAATTACAGTTATATAGAAGGAATAAGTTCAAAGGATCTCTTGTACAGCATGGTGACTACAGTTGATGATCTATCATATTCTTGAGAAATGATAAGAAACTGAATATAAGTATTCTCACCACAAAAATAATAACTGTGAGCTAATATATATGTTAATTAGATAGATGTTGCCATTTCACAATATACACACTTCAAAATACCATATTATACATGAGAAATTCATACAATTTTATCTGTCAATTTTAAAAAATCAATCAAAAATGTGTCTATGTGAAGAAGTGATAACAACAGCTTTCTGAAAAACTAAATGCTCATCTAGAAAGAGAACTTACATTGCAGTTTCTTCTGAAAAGCAAGTAAATGATTTAACAAGGCACTGCACTTTAGCACATATTTCTAAGTTGTGAATTTGCACATAAGGTTAATTTTGGCATTCCCCTATCTGTTAATGATTAATGTGGGCTAAAATTGCCTATAACATCTCCTCTGCAAATATTCTCAGGTGTCTTTTCCTTCACGCCTAACCAATCAGGGAGAATTTTATACATTTTATATATGTATATTTTATATGTAATATATATAGCTTTACATATATATAGCTTTATATATATATAGCTTCTCTAAGATGAGAAACAAGAATTCAAGTGACAAAATATCATTGAACAATTAAAGTAATCCATTGGGTTAAATTTTGATGTCTCAGATGAAATCAAGTCTAACAAATATGTTAACATCTGTTTGAAGTGTACCTTTTATATACCCTTGAAGAGACCCAGTGATATCTTATTAGAATTTCAAAAATAATGGAAAATTATTAAGAAAAATGCAAAAATCAGTCAAAATAAACCCAATTAACTTTTCTTGATGTCTCTACTCTAAAATTTGAGGATATTGTGATGTGCAATGCTGTCTTTATTCTAGTGGTGCATTAAAGGGTGCAGTAATGCCCCCCCCCCCTTTTTTTTGAGATGGAGTCTCGTTCTATCGCCCCGGCTGAAGGGCAGTGGCCCGATCTCAGCTCACTGCAACCTCTGCCCATGACCCCACCCCATTCAAGCGATTCTCCTGCCTCAGCCTCCTGAGTAGCTGGGATTACAGGCATGCACCACCACGCCCTGCTAATTTTTTGTATTTTTAGTAAAGATGGGGTTTTGTCATGTTGGCCAGGCTGGTCTCAAACTCCTGACCTGAGGTGATCCACCTGCCTTGGCCTCCCAAAGTGTTGAGATTACAGGCGTGAGCCACCACGCCTGGCCAAATGGGTTTCTTTCTTTCTTTCTTTCTTTCTTTCTTTCTTTCTTTCTTTCTTTCTTTCTTTCTTTCTTTCTTTCTTTCTCTTTCTTTCTCTTTTTCCTTCCTTCCTTCCTTCTTTCCTTCTTTCCTTCTTTCTTTCCTTCTTTCTTTCTTTTTCTGAGACTAAATTTTGCTCTTGTTGTTCAGGCTGGAATGCAGTGGCGCAATCTCAGCTCACCACAACCTCCACCTCCCGGGTTCAAGCGATTCTCCTGCCTCAGCCTCCCGAGTAGCTGGGATTACAGGCATGTGCCACCACGCCAGACTAATTTTGTATTTTTAGTAGAAATGGGGTTTCTCCATGTTGGTCAGGCTGGTCTCGAACTCCCGACCTCAGGTGATCCACCCACCTCGGCCTCCCAAAGTGCTGGGATTATAGGTGTGAACCACTGCACCCGGCCTTGAATGGGCCCTTTTAAGTGCATTAAAGTGGAAGATGAATTGAAGCAAAGGGCCTAAACTAGGAAATTAATTATGAAGATTAAATGTGTTAATATATGTATTTTTGTTTATAAATTTTATGTATTATTACTCTGCATAGCTTTAGAAAGGTCTTTTAAAAGCCTCCTTAGTGTGCTCTCTGCTGCCCTCTGCTGCTAATTTTCAGAAATTAATTTTGATTCTGATTAATGCTCACTTTATTCTTCATAATCTCATTCAAAATTAAAGTTTGATGGTACTCTAGACATAATTTAATCCCACATTCTCAATTTACAGATGATAAGTTGAGTGTCTGAGAGGTTAAGAACATGAACTTGGGCTCTGTTTCCTGACTGCTGGTGATTTTGGACACTACTCAATTTTGTCATCTGTAAAATGAGCATAATAATAGTACCTAAATATTAGAGTTTTTTTGTGATGATCAATTAATTTAGTACATAAAAAGCACTTAGAATATTATCTGGGTTGTAGCTAGTACTATGTTAGCTATTTTATAGATCTGGCAACAACTAAACTAAAACCACTGCTAGTGACAAGATCAGAGAACTCTGGTCTCTTAAATACTAGTGCGTGCTCTCTCTCTTTCTCTTCATATATATGTGTGTGTGTGTGTGTGTGTGTGAGAGAGAGAGTATTTATGTACACACACATATATATTTTATAAAATATATACAATTCTCCATGATTTGTTAAGTGTGAAGGAAAAGACACTGGAAGACGTTTGTAGATGAGATGTTCTAGGTAACATACATATATTTATATATATACACCACATATGTATATTGCCTGAATGAGTATGAAATTAAATTTTGCCTTCAAATATAGATTTTTTTTTTTCTTTTTAGACAGAGTCTTGCTCTGTCGCCAGGCTGGAGTGCAGTGGCGCTATCTGGGCTCACTGCAATCTCCAATCTCCACCTCCTGGGTTCAAGTGATTCTCCTGCCTCAGCCTCCCGAGCAGCTGGGATTATAGGCACACGCCACTACCCCCAGCTAATTTTTGTATTTTTAGTAGAGACGGGGTTTCACCATGTTGGCCAGGATGGTCTCGAACTCCTGACCTTGTGATCCATCCACCTCGGCCTCCCAAAGTGCTGGGATTATAGGTGTGAGCCACCGTGCCCGGCCCGAATATAGATTTTTAAAATGTGACTTGTTCAATGCATCCAAAGCTCTTGTAGTCTTTACAAAGCCCTTGCTGCTGCTCCTTCCTCCTTGTACTGTTCCAGGTAGGCTCCCCATAGAAGAAGTTACAAACCTAGAAAGCTCCTCAAGCCCCCAATATAAATTCCTACTGCCTGCAAGTGGAAGGTGACTTCACTGTGGACTTTAAGTAGCTTCTCTAATGAGCTGCCTACCTGAATTTCCAATGGACAATTACACACTTGCACCCAGACAGTCTATCTCTTGTCAGGCTCAAGAAGAGCTAAGCTAAACCCATTGCTTCCTCCACAGCTCCTCCTGATCTTCCCATTTTGGTCAATGATGGTGCCATTTCCCCTACATACCCACACTCAGAGTTACTTTTGGCTCCTCTCTCTCCTTCACTTCCATGTCTGGGGGTCTTGGTCTCTCAAATGCATTCCTTCTCTTTCTTTTCTCCTACCTCCCTCCTGGTTCCTGTCCCAGTCATCTCAGGCTGGGATGAATCCAACAGCCTCCTAACTTGGGTCCTTAATACCAATCTCACTCTGCTGAAATTAATTTTGCACTTTATTGCCATATTATATCATGTGGTGAATCAGCTTCCTTACCTGCCAGAACGTTGCAGTGCCTACAGGATGAATCAAATGTACTCAGTCTTGGATGTCCCAACTTACCTCCCTGACCTGACCTTATCTCCCACTCCTCCCTCTCAGAAATCTTTTTTCCTTTTTTTTTTTTTTTTGCTGGGGACGTGTCTATCCCTAGACACTAGGATGCACTTTCTGTTTTTCCGTCATCAGACCCACCACTTTACTGGTCTGTCTTGGGTCCTACACATCAGAATGATAGGGTTCTTATTCTGCCAGAATTAAGATACCAGCAAACCTCTCAGTTGACAACCAATAGGAAAAGGGGCCCATTACTGTACTCAAAATAAAATTCTAGGCCCTTTTCCTTCATTGTTATGAAGGAGTGTGGAGATTATCAGGAGTACTTATAAAACTCATCTGCATACAATGAAAGAAGACTCTGTTAGGGTTGATTGTTTAATATGAAGAAAAATAAGATAAATAGTGGGAGACTTGGAGTGTGTCTGAATGGGGATAAGGGGTCCTAAAGGGGGGATTCGGCAAACTGGGACATTTCAAGAAAGGCTCTTAGGTGAGCATGACACTGACAAACAATGCTTGCGCCCCACCTACATTGGTGTCTGTTACTGACCCACATGAAATTGACAACACAAACCTCTTCACTTTTATTGCCCTTCTCTCCTCTGTCTGCAATGTTTTCCCTCTTTTCACTGCCATTGGAATCCTTTCTGTCTGTAGGGCCAAATAAAGGTTAACCTGTCACACAGTCATCTCTCTCTCTTCTTCACCCTTAGAATATGCAATATCTTTAACCACAAACAGCTGTACAGGAAATGCCATCTTCTTCTCCCCCCACCCCCTTAGTTACTATTTATTTATTTATTTGAGACAGAGCCTCACTCTGTCATCCAGGCTGGAGTGCAGTGGCACGATCTCGACTCACTGCAACCTCCGCCTCCCCAGTTCAAGTGATTCTCCTGCCTCAGCCTCCTGAGTAGCTGGGATTACAGGCGTCTGCCACCACGCCCGGCTAATTTATGTATTTTTTAGTAGAGATGGGGTTTCATCATATTGGCCAGGCTGGTCTCTAACTCCTGACCTCAGGTGATCCGCCCTCCTTGGCCTCCCAAAGTGCTGGGATTACAGGTGTGAGCCACCGTACCTGGCCCTTAGTTACTTTAAAATATTTATCTTTAGTTTTTATTTTAATTAAAAATTTAATCACAGTTATACTTGCACATAAATTGGGTCAAATAATTCTGAGAAATTTGTTATGAAAAACTGCTGTCCTTGACTCCTTTTCCAGAAGCAACTACTTTTATCTCCCTTAACTAATTACTTGATATTTACCATCATTTCTTTAAATAGCATGCTGTGTTGCAACTTTTGGATTTTTCAGTTTGGGGCATTATTTCTTGACTTGTCATCATGAAGAGGAGGATTTATTTCTCCTTCCTCCCCTGGCTTCACCAAGCATATACAACTTTGTCCCCTTCCTCTCACTATACAGAGTGGCCGCCTAGTCTGGACTCACAGGCAAATGCCTAGGATGATTTTTATTGGTATCACTGTACTATATGTACATTAAAATAGTATTTTATATATACATGATATTCTGCCATATATGATAAAAATATTTTATCTTTGTGTACTGACTTCATGGTCACCCTGTGGTTATATTTTAAATTGAGTTAGATCTATTTTCAGTGCTTTATATTATCATGTGCTATATTATCATGACTATATAAAAGCTATTTATAACTCAGCCATATAGTAGACCATGGGTTGTTTTTGTTTTGCTTTGTTTTTTCACAACACAACTTTCTTTCTTTTTTTTTTTTTTTCTTGAGACATGGTCTGGCTCTGTTGCCCAGCCTGGAGTGCAGTGGCACAATCACAGCTCACTGCTGCCTCAAACTCCTGGGCTCAAGCGATCCTCCCACCTCAGCCTGCCAAGTAGCTGGGACCACCACGCCTGGCTAATTTTTGAATTTCTTGTAGAGATATGATCTCCCTACATTGCCCAAGCTGGTCTCAAACTCCTGGGTTTAAGTGATTCTCCCGCCTCAGCCTCCCAAAGTGCTTGGATTACAGGCATGAGCCACTGTGCCTGGCTTTACTGCTACACAACTTTCTTAACATTATCAATTGGAGATTATAATTGTCTAGATCTGTGATGTCTATATGGCAGCTACTAGCCAAGTGTGGCTATTTAAATTAAATTATATTAAATCAAATTAAAATTTCAGTCACAGTAGCCACATTTTAAGCAGCTATTGGCTATCATATTGGAAAGCACAGATATTGGACATTTTCATCACTTCAAGACGTTCTATTGGATAGCACTTTTGTCACCTCAGAGATGACCTAAAAGAATGCACAATTAAAATGAAAATATCTTTACAATTTTTCGTTGAACAATTCACACAGGCATTCCAGACTTCTCCAAATAGAAGCATTTAAAAAACTTTAAAAGAAATTCTATATCATCTTTGTTTCAAAATAATGAAACAAAAAAAAGTCTCAAATAAGTGTTCTAATCCCATTTCATTACCCAACATCTAATAGTTTATGCTCTGGCTTTACCATCTCTCTTTTTTTTATTTGTTTGTTTTTGAGACAGAGTTTCACTCTGCCATCCAGGCTGGAGTGCAGTGGCTCAATCTCGGCTCACTGCAACCTCCACCTCCTGGGTTCAAGCGATTCTCCTGCCTCATCCTCCTGAGTAGCTGGGATTGCAGGCATGCGCCACCATGCCTGGCTAATTTTTGTATTTTTAGTAAAGACGGAGTTTCACTATGTTGGCCAGGCTGGTCTCAAACTTCTGACCTCATGTGATCCACCTGCCTCGGCTTCCCAAAGTGCTGGGATTACAGGCATGAGCCACCACGCCTGGCCTGGCTTTACTATCTTTTGTTAGCTCCTTTCTGACATCCCTTGAAAGGAATACAGAAACAAATTAATTACTCAGATGTTACTTTAGTATGCTAAAAATAACTGTCATAGTATGCTATAATGGCGATCAACCAATGAACTTTAAATTGCAATTATAGGCTGGGTGCAGTGGCTCATGCCTGTAATCCCAGCACTTTGGGAGGCCAAGGTAGGTGGATCGCTTCAGGTCAGGAGTTCGAGACCAGCCTGGCCAACATGGTGAAACCTCATCTCTACTAAGAATACAAAAATTAGCTGGGAGTGGTGGCGTGCACCTGTGGTCCCAGCTACTCGGGAGGCTGAGGCACAAGAATCACTTGAACCTGGGAGGTGGAGGTTACAGTGAGCCGAGATCACACCACTGCATTCCAGCCTAGGTGAAGGAGTGAGACTGTCTCAAAAAACAAAAAAACAAAAAAACAAAAAAAATACTGCAGTTATAATTAGCAATCTTCAGTATTTAAAAATTTTATGTTATCACCTTCACTATTTTCTAAGTCTTTGCTGTTCCATAGAGTAGTCATGTGACAATTAAAATTAATTTAAACTAAATTAAAAATTGAGTTGCCTTAGCCATATTACAAGTACCCAATAACTACATGTAGCTATTGGCTGCCATTTTAGACAACACAGATATAGATCATTCCATCATCCCAGGAAGCTCTGTTGGACAGTGCTGGTCTAGATTTTTCATTTGCTTAGCTTTTTCTAATTTATCCCCAAAGTTTGTAGTCAATTGTATAAATTGTATTTCATGATGGTCAGACCTTTTCAGTTGTCTTCAATTTTATCTTTAGCTTCAGAAGCCTTCCGATCTGTTCTAATCAGCCTGGTTGCCTTTTAAGCCTGTTACATATGCAGCTTTCATCCCAGAATGTCTTTTCACTGTCATCATGGGTAGGTCTCCTCTTCACAACTTCTGGGCCTAGGACAAAAAATGGGGAGCCTCAGTCTTCAGCCCTTCCATCTGCTTTTCCCAGTCCTGGCTATCCTTGACATTCAGCCCATACACCTAAGCTCTGTCTACAGCCCTCACTAAAAACCACCTCTTCATCATCTTTTGGGCCTAGAGGTGTGTGCATGTTCAGTTTCCCCAAGTCTGCCCTAATCATGATGGATTTGGGGAGGAGCCTGTGCAGACTCTGTAATTGGGTCTGCCATCTGAGCAGGGAATTCTGAGGTCCTGAATACTAGAAGTGTGAGATAGAAGGCAGCAGTATAGAGGCTGGGTGGCCTCCCATCATGTTGGACTCTAGAACTCCTTACCCTGTTGGGAGAGGTGCAACTTAAGGAGGGCCAGAGTGAGGCCCTTTACATTGCAGGGTTTAGAACAAGGGCTCAGGCTATCCGAGTTTAAGGGCTGTTTGTTTCTCTCCTGTGCTGGATTTCCTGTTTCCTGTATCCTTTGTCTCCATTTTATTGTTTTACTTACTCCTTTCAGTGGAGCACATAGTCTATTGACTTTCTGAGAAAGGTGCTTGGAAAATCAGCTATTTGAGACTTGTAACCTAGAAATATATTTATTCTATCATCATACTTAATTGATAACTTGGTCTCGGTTGAAAATAACTAGTTGAATTAAAATTCAGAATTTGTAGACATTTTTTCATTGTCTTATTGTTTCTTATGTTGCTGTTGAGAAGTCTGAAGATTCTGGTTCTTGGTCTTTTTTTGTGACTCTTTTTTTCATTCTGGAAGCTTATAGGATCTTCTCTTTGTCCCAAGTGTTCTATCATTTCACATTCATGAGAGGAGGTATAGATCGATTTTCACTCACTATTTTGATAACTTATGTCTTTCCATTCTGGGAAATATTCTTAAGTTGTGTCTTTGAATTTCTCCTCTGTTTTCTCTGGTCTCTCTTTCTGAACCTCCTATTATTCAGATAATAGATCTCCTGGACTGGTCCTCTCTAGTTTTATTTTCCATCTTGTAATTTTGTTCTGCTTTCAAAATAATAATTTGCCTCACCTTTACTTTTCAATCCTTCCATTGAGGTTTAAAATTATCATTTTTAATTTCTAACAGCTTCAGAATTCTTCTTTTTTATAGCATCCAATTTGTAATTCATGATTATATTATACCTTAACTCTTTAAGAATATTGATGGTAGAATCTGCCACCTCCTTCACCCTACCCTAAGTTTGTTTCCTCTAAATGACTATTTTGATGTTTCTCATATCAGACTTTTCCTCAGATGTTTCAGAATTCTACTCATACTTAAGGATAAAGATCCAAAAAGCTCAATAGGCTCTATTAATTGTGGGCTTAAATAAAGGATGATCTGGTTGCCTGTTGAGTTGGGGAACCTCTGATGTCAATTGCTCTTCTTCTCAGACAAGTCAGATTCCCCAAAACATTCTTCCCAATATCCTGCCTAGAAGGTGGATACTCCTCTTGCTAGCATTCTTGGAGCTGAGTAAGGGGAGAGAGGTCATGGATCTCAGCAAAAATATGCGTATGTTTATTTAATTGATCTATTATCAATTCAGTAACTTTACCCTCAACTGGTATTCCCTACTCCAGAGACCCTCTGTTTCACTCTTTAGAGACTACATTTCAAGTTTTTCTTTGGGGTTAAGGATGGGGAGTGTCACCTGGCTGCATGGCCAGGTGTGAAAGATGATCTGGGTTTCTGACTGCTTTTTAAATAGATTTTCGATATTTCTTACTTTAGGTATATCCCCTTTACTCTCATTCCAAAAAGGCATCTGGTACCACCAATTCCTCAACATTTAGGGGAATTTAAGTCAGATTGGCTCTTCGCTTTCCCCATGTGTATTAGTCCATTCTCATGCTGCTATAAAGAACTGCCTGAGACTGGGTAATTTATAAAGGAAAGAGGTTTAATTGACTCAGTTCTGCAGGGCTGGGGAGCCTCAGGAAACACAATCATGGTGGTAGGCACCTCTTCACAGGGTGGCAGGAGAGAGAATGAGTGCCCAGAGAAGGGGAAAACCCCTTATAAAACCATTGGATCTCGTGAGAACTAACTCTCTATCACGAGAACAGGATGGGGGAAACCACCTCCATGATTCAATGATCTCCACATGGTCCCTCCCACGACACGTGGGGATTATGGGAACTACAATTCAAGATGAGATTTGGGTGGGGACACAGCAAACCATATCACCATGGCTCTTGTAAGATTCAGTTTTCTTAGGTCTCCTGTCATTAATCCTCAATCTCCTGCTTCTCAGCTTCTAAAATGTTGTTGTACTGGTCTCTTCTCCTGTTGTTTTTTTTTTGTGTGTGTATTTGTGTGTGTGTGTGTGTGTGTGTGTGTGTGTGTATTATACCTTTTTAAAAACCATTTATTGTTGTTTTAGTGAAGTTTGGAAAGGAAAAAAAAATACATGCATGTGCCTATTCTGCTATCTTTCCTAGGGATCCTTGCTTTCTTCAACCTCAATTGGATATCTTTTTTGAGCTCACTTTCTCCAGAGTGGTGGGAAAGTACTCACTGTCAATCAGGATTTCCTCAGTCACTTCAGGGCTCCCTCCTCCTTGGATGTGCGTCTAAGTTTTAGATTGTTTATATAAAACCTTAGGGTCAGCTGAGGATGGGAGTGGGTGGGGGATATCTTTGGTTGTCATCATGTAGCCATACTGGTATCCATGGCAACTTACCATTCATCTGGTCCCTGGTTTGTAGTCTATGGAGATCATGTCTGCGATCTTTCCACCCCAACTGTAGGTCTTCTCCAGGATTTGAGGCTCTCAGCAGCATGCTGATGTGTGAGCAGACTTGATGAGGCAGCCTCATGCTGGCCCGCCCAGGTGATCTGTGTGGCTGTCTCTCCTTCTGCTCCTGCACCATGCCGGGCATGAGATAATTTTGCAAACCTGTCTACTCTTGGCTCCCAAATCTCTCTGGAGACATACTTTTTCCCTCCATGGGGGACTCAGTCTACTTAAGTTTATTATTAGTGCATAAATATTATGCCTTAAGTCCTTCATGGTTCTGGATTCTGAGGTGTAAAAGCTCAGGTTATGGTTTCTCAAAAGTCATTTCTCCCAAACGATTATTTCTGCCAGGAGTTTCTAAAGCCCATTTAGATACTCAAAAGTCAACGATCATTTATGCTCTGATTTTCCACAATGATATTCTGAGGACTTGAAGGCAGAATGCCCTAGCTAAAGCCTAGGTGGGGGTAGGGTGTTGAGGGCCAGGAAGTAAGTGCATCCCCATTAGTTCTTTATGATAAACTCTTTCTCTGTTTCTTATCTTTCCGTGTAGGTAAGATTGGCCTTTTCACCTGCATATTAGGTTTGAGGGCAGAACTTCACATAGATTTTAAAGGAGAGGACAACTTTTTTTTTTTTTTTAATCCTTATAAGTGTGTTCAGCATACAGAAATTACTTCATGGATTTGTTGAAGACCTTTAGCTTAGTGTCTTCATGGCACATAACTGTGCCCAGAATATAGTAAACATTAAAAAAATTGAGATTTGCTAAATAAACCAGGAATAGTTCCAAAAGAGAAAAAAAAAATTACTATCTTACCCTTATACAATTTTTAAAAAAGGGAAACATTTTATTTACCTGGGAAACAATAATTACATGAATGTAAAAGAGATGTTAACAATTTTTAAAAGGACCTTTATGTATGGTTAAAAAAATCCTTCTTTTCTTATTTGACATTACAAGTTCAGGCTCAAGTTGACAGGTCTGTTTCAGAAGCCCAGCTCTCGAGGCCCAAGAGGACCAGTTTTCCTTGCTGTTGCCTTTTGCCCCAGTGCCGGGAATGCCAGTGTGTTCTGTTTTTAGAAAATGCAGCTGCTGGTTTCTAGCCTGTTCTAGCCACTCTAGACCAGTGACAATTGCTGGGGGTAGGGAGGGGAGGCAGATGTGGGGAAAGTCTATGGTCAGAAAAGCTCCTTGGTAACTAGGAGGTAAACACATCAGTTAGATACAGAGACATTTTCAGGATGTATTCTGAGAACTGGGAGGGAGAGAGAAGGAAATTTATTCTGGGATACAAAGGCAGGGTAGGCTTTGTGGTACTTCATGATGTGTTGAGCACAAATTAATTTCATACCATGTCATTGTTGAAAATTCTTTAACTCAAATTAACAAATACCTTTTGAGTCTCTGTAGAAATGCAAGTAACTGTGCTAGCTCCTAGGGATCCAATACAAAGTTAAGTAAGACACAGCACTTGTTTTCAGTAGAATTTGCCACAGATTTTCTCATTGTTTTGCTCATAATCCACTAGCCATGTTTCTCTCCAATCTGCAACTTCTAGATCACTGTTCATTTCCTACGGGGCAGAATGTAAATGCTTTTGCCTGACTGCCAAGGCTCTTCACGATCCAATTTCAGCCTATTTTCCCAATTCCTTCTGCTTGTGCTCAGCTTCTTTGTATGTGGTGAGTAGGTCATGCCACCATATTATCTTATAAGCCTGTTCCTATGGCTGGAACTCCTAATTACTCTTTAGCATTCAGCTGAAATATCACCTTCCCTATGACACATCCTGTGACTTCTCCCCCTTTGCCCCAGGCTAAGTTAGGGACCCCCCCACCCCTGTACTTCCTTTTTACCTATCACTATTATAATCCTCAGTGATACAATGTTGGAATTGTTTATATCTAGTTGATTTTTTCCTATAGTGGGAAACTTCCTGAAGGATGGAATTGTGTGCTTTTCATTTTTATATCCTTAGCACATGCCATAGTCCTGGTACACAGTAGGCACAGAATTAGTACGAGCTTGGTGAATGAATAAAGTGAATTTATTCATTGTCCTTATTTTTTGATATATCAAGTGCCAACTTCTAAAATTTCAGTATTCTTTTTCCCCATTCTTACTCATCAATTCTCTTTCCAGAATGCTGTCAGAAGGGTATCTCAGTGGACTTGAGTACTGGAATGACATCCACTGGAGTTGTGCCTCTTATAATGAGCAGGTGGCTGGGGAAAAGGAAGAGGAGACAAATTCTGTTGCTACCCTTTCCTATTCCTCTGTGGATGAAACACAAGTCAGAAGTCTCTACGTGAGCTGCAAATCATCTGGCAAGTTTATCTCTTCAGTGCATTCAAGAGAGAGCCAACATAGCAGAAGTCAGAGAGTCACAGTGCTGCAGACAAACCCCAATCCTGTGTTTGAAAGCCCAAACTTGGCTGCAGTTGAAATATGTAGAGATGCCAGCAGAGAGACCTACTTGGTTCCATCTTCTTGCAAAAGTATTTGCAAGAATTATAATGACTTACAGATTGCAGGGGGCCAGGTGATGGCCATTAATTCAGTGACAACAGATTTTCCCTCTGAGAGCAGTTTTGAATATGGCCCTTTGCTGAAGTCATCTGAGATTCCTTTACCCATGGAGGATTCCATTTCTACTCAGCCCAGTGACTTTCCCCAAAAACCTATCCAGCGGTACTCATCCTATTGGAGAATAACAAGCATCAAAGAGAAAAGCAGCTTGCAAATGCAGAATCCTATTTCTAATGCAGTTCTGAATGAGTACCTGGAGCAGAAGGTTGTGGAGTTATATAAACAGTACATTATGGACACCGTGTTTCATGACAGTTCTCCTACCCAGATTCTGGCGTCTGAACTCATCATGACAAGTGTAGACCAAATCAGTCTTCAAGTGTCTAGAGAGAAGAATCTGGAGACCTCAAAAGCCAGAGATATAGTCTTTAGCCGCCTATTGCAATTGATGTCAACTGAAATTACTGAAATTAGCACTCCTAGTCTCCATATTTCTCAGTATAGCAATGTAAATCCATAGAGAGGATGCTTCCATTACTGTCTCGCATTTACTTAAACATGAAGCAACACTTTATCCATTTATTCTGAGAATGTGCAGGAGGGGTTAGTGAAGGGGAATTAAGGGCTAGAGAAGTAAAGATCAGCTGGAAGTCATGTGTGAATCATGGAGAAATCTCATAATATTACACTTGATGAAGGAATATGGTAAGAGGAGCCATAAGGAATGATTTCAAAGAGAGGTGTGTACAGCAAGGAAGCAAAAATAAAAATGATCAAAAAAGAAACGGTTAATTCATTTGAAGAAACATAGGAATTAAAAAAGAAGACAGTCAAATGAGATGAAACAAAAAGGCCAAAAGGTGGCCGGGTGTAGTGGCTCACGCCTGTAATCCCAGCATTTCGGAGGCTGATGTGGGTGGATTACCTGACGTCAGGAATTCGAGACCGGCCTGGCCAATATGGTGAAACCCCATCTCTACTAAAAATACAAAAAATTAGCTGGACATGGTGGTGGGTACCTGTAATCCCAGCTACTAGGGAGGCTGAGGCAGGAGAATCTCTTGAACCTGAGAGGCAGAGGTTGCAGTGAGCCGAGGTCGCTCCATTGCACTCCAGCCTGGGCAACAAGAGTGAGACTCCCGTCTCAAAAAAAAAAAAAAAGTCAAAAGGTTTCAGGGTAAAGAGTTAAGAATATATTTGTTACCCAAATAAATTCATCCAACTTGTTTCTTTTTGAAGGAGATGGACTGTAGAAGGCTGCTATATTTGGGTAGAAAGATAGGGTCAAACAGTTTTCAAAATATGTTTATCTCTCCTTTGTCTATTCTGTATCAGATCATTTAAAGGTATATTGTTTGTAAATATTAAAACTGTAACAAATTATAATTGTGTTTTTATTTTTGAATGGTTTCTTAGTTACAGACACAGCCACAAAACAGCCACTCAAATCTCCTACATCTGTTTCCTGGTAGAGATGAAGTTGTCTAAATGAAAAACACCACATAGCACTAAACCATTTAGTGTTATTTTGCTGTGTTTGATTTTCTTGGTACTAAGCTTCAAAAGAAATTATGAGACCAGGTGCGGTGGCTCATGCCTGTAACCCCAGCACTTTGGGAGGCCGAGGTGGGTGGATCACCTGAGGTCAGGTGTTTGAGACCAGCCTGGCCAACGTGGCGAAACCCTGTCTCTACTAAAAATACAAAAATTAACCGGGCATGGTGGCAGGCGCCTGTAATCCCATCTGCTTGGGAGGCTGAGGCAGGAGAATTGCTTGAACCCAGGAGGTGGAGGTTGCAGTGAGCCAAGATTGCACCATTGCACTCCAGCCTGGGCGACAAGAGCGAAACTCCGTCTCAAAAAAAAAGAAAGAAAGAAATTATGAATCTTATTGTTTCCCTTTTTTTACCTCTTCCTTTTCTCCATGCCCTCTTGACCTGGAGCCAGGAAGGGGTCTTCCATGTCCTTGGAACAAGGTTACAAGCTGTAGGGTCCCATGATATCAAATTCTGTAAACTCATTCACTAGAATAGTAGCTTCACTGCTCTGCATCGCATCTTTCCTCTGGCTCAGGGATTGTCAAACTATGGCCCATTGACCAGATCTAGCCTGCTGCCTGCTTTTGAACTCCCACGAGCAAAGAATGATTTTTCCAATATTTAAATGGTTGAAAAAAAAAAAGCAAAATAAGAACAGTATTTTGTGATGGGTGAAAATTATATAAAATTCAAATTCAGTGTCCATAAAATAAAGTTTTATTGGAACACAGCAGTGCCCATTTGTTTATGTGTTGTCTCTGGCTGCTTTCACACTAGAATGGCAGAGTTGAGTAAAAGTGATAGAGAATATGGCTCACCAAAGCCTAAAACCCTTACTGCCTGGTCCTTGACAGAAGAAGCTTGCCAACCCTGCCTAACAGTAGTGCGTTGTCCATATAGTGGTTACTTGGCTTAATTCAGGTTCGCTGGGAAGGCAGACTCTGAGATGGAGATTGGTAAGTTCCTTGAGGAGTGGTCTTGGGAACAATGTCTGTGATGGAGTGAAGGAAGCAGAAGAGATTTCCACAGAGGCTTCCGCCCATCTCACAGGGAGCCCCTGGAGCTAGGGTGACCCTTCAAAATGGTTACAAATGGAAACAAGAGGGTCAGCTTTTATACTCCAGCATCTACCAGGAGCGGAGTGTAACCTTAGCCTAGGCAGTTCAGTGGAGGAGGGCAATCCCCAAAGTAGGAATCGACTGTGTCTTCAGCAGCCAAATTCCAAGCAGCTACTGGGGGAATGAGCTCCTCACCCCGAAAGAGCAATCTGGGTGGAGCAATCCTCTGCATTTAGCAGTATTTGTATTTGTAGAGTGAATGGATATATATATATATTTTGGATATATGTTTTTTCACAATATATGCTATTGTGTAAGGAAATCTGGTTTTGAAATAATTATTAGAAATGTTATTCACTGTTTCAAAACTATCACAATAATAAATGCAATATACTAATTGCTTGCTCTGTGTCTAGCACCATGTTAAGAATTTTACAAGAATTATCTTACATAATTCTTATAATAATCTTATGAGGTGGAATGTCTATTATTATCCCCATTTTACAGATGAGCCTGCTGGGCTCAGGGAAATTAAATAATTTGTCCAAGGGCACACAGTAAATAGTGGAATTGGCTTTGAGTTCAGTTTTATTTAACTTGAAAGCCCTGGTTCTTAACCACTATCACCTGCTTTTTCTGTTCACCACTCTATTTGTCTCACTAAAGATTTTTTTTCTGCTCTGAGTGGAGTCAACTCATTAATTTCTTATGTTATCTCATCTTTCCTTTTTAGTGTTTTGCTTGATATACTATTTATTTGTATGTCTTCCTGCCCAGAACATGAACTTTGATTTATCCACATGCTTTTCCACATCCTAAACATTACTTGCACACAGTAGGCAACCATTTCATATTTGTTAAATGGATAAATATGTTTTGGTCATGTTGGCTACTGCATTTGGTGATTGAAGTAAAAGACCATCAATATGAAAACCAGATAATTCTGACTAGAAAAAAAATGCTATTGAGGTTTTCTCAAGGCATAAACTAACTAAATAAATGAGCCTAATTTATTACAGCAGGTTAATAAATGGTACAATAGAATGCATGGTTATTTTCCGTTGATTCCCAAGATATAATTTGTTACAAAGTAGGCTGCATCAGTTTTTTTCAATGAATATTTATTTGATGTTGTGTTTTTGTTTTGCTTTGTTTTGACTTTTGAGTTGGAGCACTGTGTATTAAGCATATGGAGGGAAGACATACGTGTGTATACACACACAGGAGTAGGCCCTGCTCTCTGAAAACTTACCATATTGTCATGGAGACCTGGAAGATAACTAAGGAAGAAGTAACAAAGCCATTTATTAGGCAAGAACTTGGCAAAGTGATACAAACAGGAATAAGATGATCAATTATTGCAACTCAAGTGTAGTGAGTGCTGAAAAGGAGACATGGTAGGGAGTTCTAGACAGTTGGGGAGCCCAATGTAAGAAAAGCTTCCAAGGGGGGAAGTGATGGTTTAAATAACTCTTGAAGAACAAGATCAGATCTAAGCAAATGGGTAGGAGAAGCGTTCAGGTAGAAGTATGAGAGGGTTTGGTGCAACAGGAAACTGCAAGTCGATGGCTGTAACTGGAACTGAATGAGTGTATGAATAGGCAGGATATTCGGTTTTTAAATTGCTATTGTGACAAATTAATAGAGTTTAGTGGCTTGAAACAACAAAAGTTTATTATCTTACATTTCCAGAGATCAGAGGTTCAAAGTCATTCTCACTGGGCTAAAATGAAGTTATGGGCAGGGCTGCCTTCCTTCTGGAGTCTCTAGGAATAAGTGAGTTTCCTTGCTCTTTCCAGCTTCCAGAGGCTGGCAGCATTCCTTGGCTCTGGACTTTGATCTCTGCTTCCATCCTCACATCTCCTTCTCTGACTCTGATTCTTCTGCCTACCTTTTATAAGGACCCTTGTAATTACAACTGGGCTCACCCGAATAATTGAGGATAAGTTTCCCATCTCAAGATGCTTCATTTAGTCATACTTGCAAAGTCCCTTTTGCCATGTAAGTTAACAGTTTCACAGGCTCCGCGGATTAGGACGTAGACATTTGCAAAGGGGGAAGGTAGAATTATTCTTTCCAACACAGACAGTAGCAAAAGCATTTGTGACTCTTAATTGTCAGAACTTTGCCTCTCTAGCACTAATTCTCTTTATTTAAGATGGATAAATCCATGTTTGTTTATATATAAAATAGTTTGCTTCTCTTTTTGTCTCCTGTCATCTAACACTATATATATTTTTTCTGTATACTTTAATTCACTCTATCTCTTGCTCATTTTAGTTGCCCAGGCTGGAGGGCAATGGTGCGATCTCAGCTCACAGCAACCTCTGACTCCCGGGTTCAAGCGATTCTTTTGCCTCAGTCTCCCAAGTAGCCAGGATTACAGGTGTGTGCCACCACGGCTAACTAATGTTTTGAATTTTTAGTCGAGACAGGGTTTCCCTATGTTGGCCAGGCTGGTCTCTAACTCTTGGCCTCAGGCGATCCACCCGCCTCGGCCTCCCAAAGTGGTAGGATTATGGACGTGAGCCACCACGCCCGGCCAAGACTATTTTCTTAAGTAAGGTAAATTGGGTGGTTGTAGGAAGAAAACATGGCCTGTGGGTCCTAGAAAATCAGGAACCTGGAACTGACAGTCTGCTGTGACTCCCACCCCTCCCTCTGCGGAGGTGGCATGGATTCAGAGAGGACCAACCTGTGGAGAATGGGATCATAGGAAACCCTGAAAAATTACTGGGTTCCTTCTGTAATCTAGAAGCAGGAGACACTTGAGGACCAGAAGGTGCCATGCAGACAGAATAATGAGCTTCTTGGTAACCTGTAGTAACCTGTGTCCACTGATGACCAATAGTCTATGGCTTGAAGATCATCCACAATCTCCTGCCTTGCCCTTCACTGGCACTGTATGACATTCTAGGACTGTGAACCAACCCTGGGGAGGATTGAAGAAACCAAGAATAACTGAAATGAAATTTTCTGCCACCATGGAAGAATGGAGGTCCAGCTTCAGAAATTTAGCCATTCTGGAAAGAAAAAAAAAAGAAAGAAATGAAGAAAAGAGGAAAGGAAGGAAGAAGAAAGAAAGAAAGAAAGAAAGAAAGAAAGAAAGAAAGAAAGAAAGAAAGAAAGAAAGAAAAAAAGAAAGAAAGAAAGAAGAAAGAAAAAAGAGAGGTGTTATTAATTATACTTCTGAGTTTGTGGAGAAGTTGAAGTTAATTAGACTCCTATTCCTCCGCCCTGTCCTGGGACGAAATAACCTAAAGACAGAAACCTGTTACTTCTGAAGTAACATTATGAAGTAACTTCTGAAGTAGCATTATGAGAGGGACAAATGAGAAACTAGCTTTAGATCTAGTCTAGGAGGAAGAGGCAATGGAAATTAGGAAATTGTGTTTCTCCCCTCCTTCTCCCTTCCTCTTCTTTTTTCCTCTTTCTTTCTCTCTCTCTTTCTTTCTTTCCTCTTTCTTTCTCATTCCTTCCTTCCTTCCTTTTTGTTTCTCTCTCCCTTCATTCTTTTCATTCATTCTCTTTCTCTCTCTCCCTCTTTCCATCCTTTCCCTTCCCCCTCCCACTCTCCCATCCTTTACATTTCTTTCCTTTTCTTCTTCTCTCCCTTCTTTCCCCACCTTTCTTTACTTTTATCTTCCCTACTTTTTTCTCTCTCTGTTACTATTTATTTTGTTATTTTTTAATTTTTTTTGAGACAGAGTCTTGCTCTGTCGCCCAGGCTGGAGTGCAGTGGCGCGATCTCCGCTCACTGCAAGCTCCGCCTCCCGGGTTCACGCCATTCTCCTGCCTCAGCCTCCTGAGTAGCTGGGACTACAGGCGCCCGCCACCACGCCCGGCTAATTTTTTGTATTTTTAGTAGAGACGGGGTTTCAGCGTGTTAGCCAGGATGGGCTCGATCTCCTGACCTCGTGATCCACCCACCTCGGCCTCCCAAAGTGCTGGGATTGCAGGCGTGAGCCACCGCACCCGGCCTACTATTTATTTGATAAAATGCTAATTTCTGAAATTCCAAAAATGTTTCTCCATTTTATTTTATGTAATGCTAATGAATAAGAAGTTAATTCACGAATATTGCATAAAAGAAATCCAAATAGTGATGACTTCTCACTTCAGCACCCCTTTGCCTTCCAGATTCCCTGCCAGCAAGGCTCACAATATTCTACACTTGTACAAATATATAAATTTATATATTATATACACACACACACACACACACACACACACACACATATATATATATAATTTTTTTTTTGAGACAGAGTCACGTTCTGTTGCCCAGGCTAGAGTGCAGTGGCACGATCTCGGCTCACTGCAACCTGCGCCTCCCAGGTTCAAGCAATTCTCCTGCCTCAGCCTCCCGTGTAGCTGGGACTACAGGCACTGGCCACCACGCGTGGCTAATTTTTGTATTTTTAGTAGAGACGGGGTTTCACCATGTTGGTCAGGCTGGTCTCGAACTCACGACCTCAGGTGATCCGCCCGCCTCAGCCTCCCAAAGTGCTGGGATTACAGGTGTGAGCCACCAGGCCTGGCTGTAAGTTTATATTTTTAAACAAATGATACTGTACTATTCTGTCCTTTTGTCACTTAACTATACACATTTCCATAGGAAGGAGTGTTGTAAAGGGTTTGAATCATATATACTCTGTGAGGAGGACACCAAGATCCCATTCTACTACAGCTTTCTCTAGAATGGGAAATATAGAAATCTGAATAGACAAACCTCAGTACAGGAAAAACAATGAACACTATCTCCCTGTAGGCCATCTCTTTCCTAATGGAAAGAATATTCACATAAAATAAATAAGCCTTTTTCTTTTTTTAGGCACCTAGTGTTAGAGAGTGTAAAATTTAGCTAAAACACACAGGCATTACACTGAAATGGACTGACAGATTGACACTGGTCCATTAACAAACTCCTCAGTTATGGTCCACAAATTCTAGACTGTATTTTTATCTAGCTCTTATTTCTATGTCTTGTCCACAATGATATTATGTTGACTAATGTGTTATCGTGTGACAACTTGACTGGACCATGGGGTGCCCAGATATCTGGTCAAACAAATTTGGTTCTGGATATGTCTGTGGCAGTGACTTTAAATGAGACTAACATTTGGAAAGGTAGACTGAGTAAAGCACATTGCCCTCCCTAATGTGGGTGAGTCTCATCCAAGTAGTTGAAAGCCTTAATAGAACAAAAAGGATAACCCTCCCCTGAGTAAGATAATTTCTTCTACCTGACTGCCTTCAAACAGGGACATTGGCTTTTTCTTGCCTTCGAACTCAACCTGAGACATTGGCTATTCCTTGGTCTTGAGGCTACCAGCTTTCAGATTAGAACCACATCACTGGTTCTCCTGGGTTTCAGGCCTTCAGACTGGAACTACACCCTGCAGATTTTGGGACTTGTCACTTTCCATAATTGTGTGAGCCAATTTCTTATAATAAATTTATCTATCTATGTATCCATCCTATTTGTTCTGTTTCTCTAGAGAACTCTAACTAATAAAGATTTTATGACAAATTTTCCAGATGCCTTCTTGAAAATAGGATACATTAAGCCTATGGCCCCTTCTTGAGCTATCAGCTTGGTGACACTATCAAAGAGTACAATGAGCTTGATTTGGCATAACTGGTTTGTGATGTGCCATCCGGTAATTAGTCTTTATTTGAAGGCACTCACCCAACATCCTTTAAACCAGGGGTGTCCAATCTTTTGGCTTCCCTGGGCCACATCAGAAGAAGAAGAATTGTCTTGGGCCACACATAAAACACACTAACACTAACAATAGCTGATGACTTTAAAAATTGCAAAAAAATCTCATAATGTTTTAAGAAAGTTTATGAATTTGTGTTGGGCCACATTCAAAGTCATTCCAGGCCACATGTGGCCCACGGGCTGTGGGTTGGACAAGCTTGCTTTAAACAATCTGTTTAGCATTTTCCCTTGATTAATACTAAATTCAGGATACATATTTTTGAGATCTTAACTTAAACAAATTTGGACATTTCATTTCTCTAAACTTCTAACATTTCCCTCATTCTGCTTTATATATGGAGAAGGATTGAAGTGGTTTAGTCATCACGTTTGTTAAGCTGATTATACCTTGGGTGGTGATGTGCCTGAATTTGGAGACTTTAATTCATTGAAATGAACTTTGCATACACAAGCATACATATTTACATATATTTTAGTACATTTCTTGTTGCAAATATTTTAAAATTATATTTCTACTCTTTCCTCTAATTGGAAAATCACTTTTCTAAATACAGTTAAACTATATGTTCAAGGTGGCTTAAGTTACATCTGTTTGTTTTAAAATAGACTTTATTAGGCCAGAGAAAGATTGTTTATTCATGTTCTGAGCACAGAATCTGAAATTGAAATCACGTTATGGAAATACAATCAGGAAAGCAATATTTACATCTTAACTAATGTCATGTGGTGTAAGTAAAAAAAGATAAGGTAGTAACTATCTTCTTATATTATGAAGAAACATTGCTTTTTGATAAATGACATAGATTGAACAGAAATAAGTATATGTAATTCTGAAAACATTTAGAGCTGCCACTAAAATAAACTTCCCTAAATTATAAAATCGTAAGAAGACACAATTGCTATGACGTTTTTAACCCTCTGCCAGTCCTCCTGGGGCAGTTTCCCAGTAGTTTATAAGAAGTAGTTTAGGGCGTCTTGCAGCTTTGGGGAAAGAGATTTGGCACTTTTCGCTCTCTCTGAAGTTTTTTTCTTAAGGGGTACAGGTAAATTTGGTACCCTTCTGATCCCATTAATCGTTTTAAGTTATAGATCAGGATACAGTCTGTTAGATTTAAAGAAATACTGCATCAAACATGGTATCACTCCATGTGGACAATTCACAGTTTAATACAAAAGAAACTGAAATTCCGGATGTTTCAAATATAATCTAGGATTTCCACTCATTTAAAATTAGATTCAAACCTGGTGTGGGGGCAGGTGCCTGTAGTCCCAGCTACTCTGGAGGATAAAGTGGAGGACTGTTTGAGCCCGGGAGGTCAGGGTCAGCCTAAGCAACATAGTGAGACTCCATCTCTAAAAAATAAAATTAGATTCACTTTTAAATAAAATTAATCTATTATCTATTTAGTATATTAAATTATTTAATTCATTATAAAAAGTATTTCATTAATGAAAATTTGTTGAATTAAAATATCATTATTTTATACCCTCCAGTGAATTAAATGGAGCTAGGAAGTGAGCATGAATGTCCACTAATATAAAAGAAGAGAACAAACTGGACATTATGTGCTTCCTGACTAAGGAACAAAATACCACCCAATGGATGGAACCTGAGTCTGATCAAGCCTCTAAATCCAGCTGTCAATTTTCAGAAAATACAGGGGAAAGATGAATATGTTAAAGTGCCCCATGAATACGTAGTCTATGAAACTCAGACTAGAGGAAACTAGTGTCAATCTTTTCAATAGGTAAATTGTAAGTAAAAGAAAGAGATGAAGGGGACAGTTGTAGATTTAAAAAGACTTAAAAGGCATATCAACTTATTTCTAAATGGGCAAGACTGAATTAGAATGTCTAGGGATGCACATTTGGGTGAAAATACCATCAAGAAAGACAAGGACATGATTACTTTGTAAGTCAAGATAATGGTTACTTTTGATGGGAAGAGGGGACTGTGATTAGGACACATGGAGTGATTCTGCAGTGTCTGGCAAGTTTCTATTTTTAAAATTTGAATCAGGATCCAATAAAGTTCATATATTGCCATTGGTTAATACGTTTCTATAAGTATCTTTTAACCTATAAGTTAAATGTTCATCCTGATTTCTTAGTTTTCCTTACAGTTTATTTGTGAAGGAACTTGGTCACTTTACTTGTCCTACAGTTTTCTAGATTTTGCTGATTGTATTCCCAGGGCATTATTTAACAAGTTTTTCTATACTCTGTCTTTCTTTTAAATTAGTAGTGAGATCTATAGGCTTGATCAGATACAGGTTTTATTTTTTCTTTTCCCAAGGAGAATTCACGGGTAGTGTTGTGTCCTTCCATGCGAAGGCATATAATGGCTGGTTGCATGATATTTTATTTGAGAAAATATTATTCCAACTGCTAAATGGCAAGTTTTATACTTTTTAAAAAATATCAAAATGTATATTTCCCAGGTGCTCTTTCTGACTCCGTTTTTCTTTTCATTTTTTAAAATACTGAGATTAGGTCTATGTTGCCCAGGCTGGCCTCGACCTCCTGGGCTCAAGCAATCCTCCCAGCTCAGTCTCCCAAGTAGCTGGGACTATAGGTGCACAGCTCCGTTTTTCATGCCCAGCTCCGTTTTCAACAAATATTTTTACAAGACAAAATGGGTCCAGTACATTGTCTCTATTTATGATACTTTGGAATGTTTTGCCAAATTTAAATGTTGCAAAATTAGAACCTTCTCGGTCTTCTTCTGGTAATGATAATACATTTACCCAATTAAAATTCAGAGCTCCACCAGAATATTCTTTCCACAAGTGGAGATATTCCAAGCCCAAAAATAGAATTTCAAAATTAAATCTTGCATATTATTTGTGCTATCATCATTCCATTTGTTTAGTTCCTCCTTTCTTTTTTGCAAAGATAAATTTCCAGTCTTTCCTTTTGCAAGTTCTATTTTCAATAATCACAATTTTCTAGAAACTTCAAAGATTTCCAGTGACCAAATTTGAGAGCGCTAATTTACATAAAAGTGTAATATTATTTATTGTAAGGCACATAGGTTGATCTACATGGTCGTTTTTCAAAGGTGCAAATATTTCTAAAATCTGACGATGGGAAGCTGAGAAGACTCATGCTGCCATGTTAAAATACTTTCAGTTTTCAATATTAGTTTCATCACGAACATTTACTTATTCTGTGTATTTATAAAAATACTTTTTTTTTTTTTTTTTTTTGAGACAGAGTCTCGCTCTGTCGTCCAGGCAGGAGTGCAGTAGCGTGATCTCGGTTCACTGCAAGCTCCGCCTCCCGAGTTCACGCCATTCTCCTGCCTCAGCCTCCCCAGCAGCTGGGACTACAGGCGCACGCCGCCACGCCTGGCTAATTTTTTGTATTTTTTTTAGTAGAGACGGGGTTTCACCGTGTTAGCCAGGATGGTCTCGATCTCCTAACCTTGTGATCCGCCCGCCTCGGCCTCCCAAAGTGCTGGGATTACAGGCGTGAGCCACGGCACCCGGCATTTTTTTTTTTTTTTTTTTTTTTTTTTTTAGACGGAGTTTCACTCTTGTTGCCCAGGCTGGAGTGCGATGGTGCGATCTTGGCTCACCGCAACCTCTGCCTCTCGGGTTCAAGCAATTCTCCTGCCTCAGCCTTCCTGAGTAGCTGTGATTACAGGCATGTGCCATCACGCCCGGCTAATTTTGTATGTTTAGTAGAGACAGGGTTTCTCCATGTTGGTCAGGCTGGGCTCGAACTCCTGAACTCAGGTGATCTACCCGCCTTGGCCTCCCAAAGTGCTGGGATTACAGGCGTGAGCCACTGCGCCCGGCCTATAAAAATACTTTTAATATTAATAGCTTTCATTTCAACTGGTAGAGTATTACTTCTTGTTTGGATGCAATTAAAAGTTTTGTGTTCACTTGACCTATTGTATTTTCTTGCTTTCAAAGTTCCTTAATTTAGTGAGAACATTGCTTTTACTATGATGCTGTGCCCTAGCAAAATTAGTAATCATTTCATCCCCTCAAAAGTAAAAACTTTTTCTTCAAAGTTTAACTTTTTAATTGAATTTGCAATAATACTGACATTGTCAGATGTTTTATCTTCAATAGAATGAACACTTAAAAGCTTTACTTTAATTACATAAATTGAATGGAAAGAAACCACTATTGAAATTAACCTATTTTCTACTTGAAACGTCTGGGGTTATTTAACCCCGGATGAAAGAGAGAAATTTCTCTTATGTTCACGGTAAAAGCATATTTATAACTATTGCATTATCTTTTTTTGTACATGACAAGAAAACTCAGCACTGAAAATTATCACAATTAATTTCACATGGGTATTTGATCTCAATGAAAAGTGATGGTGTCATATACCTTTGATCTTCTTCAGGTATAGTCTTTTTAAATAAGTATAACGTTTTGTGGTACTTACTGATGCTTTTTCAGCAGATTTGTGTTTTCATGTACTCAGTAATAACATTGTAACCCCCAAGATTGATGACAAACGTTAATACATATTTTCTCAAAAGTTACTCATTCACCATATTTTCTTGAGAAATGAGAATCCAGTTCTTAGTTACACTTAATACAATTCCTTTCTCATACAAAAGTTTAGTACAAAATGAAAAGCATTACCATACAATAAAATAGATATATGAAAGTAGATACACAGTATTCAACTTTGTAGTAAGAATGTTAATATTTCTCTGAGCATCTTTATCCCATACATGTTTCATATACACCTCACTTAACATTTTTTAGGTTTCCCACTGCTTTCACTAACTGTTGGCCTGGTGGCACTGTGTGTGTGTGTGTGTGTGTGTGTGTGTGTG
Source organism: Homo sapiens (assembly GCF_000001405.40). NCBI lineage: Eukaryota > Metazoa > Chordata > Mammalia > Primates > Hominidae > Homo > Homo sapiens. Next base: position 30,546,835 of record NC_000023.11, on the reverse strand, counting down.
TGTGTGTGTGTATGTGAGAGAGAGAGAGAGACAAAGACAGAGAGAGAGACAGAGACAGAGAGACTGAGTTTCTCCTGGGTGTACACCTAGGAGTTGAATTGCTGGGTCATAGGTTACATGAATTTTCAAATCAAAGTGAGAGAGAAATCCATTCATTATCAATAGCAATATATAAGATGTCTTGTCAAGCAACATCTTTGCCAAATCTTGACATGGTAAAACTTTAAATTTATGGCCAATGGAGTATATACAAAATGGTATTTCACTGTTTGTCTGTTATTGGTGTATAAGATTGCTTGTGATTTTTGTACATTGATTTTGTATCCTGAGACTTTGCTGAAGTTGCTTATCAGCTTAAGGAGATTTTGGGCTGAGACAATGGGGTTTTCTAGATATACAATCATGTCATCTGCAAACAGGGACAATTTGACTTCCTCTTTTCCTAATTGAATACCATTTATTTCCTTCTCCTGCCTGATTGCCCTGGCCAGAACTTCCAACACTATGTTGAATAGGAGTGGTGAGAGAGGGCATCCCTGTCTTCTGCCAGTTTTCAAAGGGAATGCTTCCAGTTTTTGCCCATTCAGTATGATGTTGGCTGTGGGTTTGTCATAGATAGCTCTTATTATTTTGAGATACATCCCATCAATACCTAATTTATTGAGAGTTTTTAGCATGAAGGGTTGTTGAATTTTGTCAAAGGCCTTTTCTGCATCTATTGAGATAATCATGTGGTTTTTGTCTTTGGTTCTGTTTATATGCTGGATTACATTTATTGATTTGCGTATATCGAACCATACTGCCCAAGGTAATTTATAGATTCAATGCCATCCCCATCAAGCTACCAATGACTTTCTTCACAGAATTGGAAAAAAACTACTTTAAAGTTCATATGGAACCAAAAAAGAGCCCGCATCACCAAGTCAATCCTAAGCCAAAAGAACAAAGCTGGAGGCATCACACTACCTGACTTCAAACTATGCTACAAGGCTACAGTAACCAAAACAGCATGGTACTGGTACCAAAACAGAGATATAGATCAATGGAACAGAACAGAGCCCTCAGAAATAATGCCGCATATCTACAACTATCTGATCTTTGACAAACCTGAGAAAAACAAGCAATGGGGAAAGGATTCCCTATTTAATAAATGGTGCTGGGAAAACTGGCTAGCCATATGTAGAAAGCTGAAACTGGATCCCTTCCTTACACCTTATACAAAAATTAATTCAAGATGGATTAAAGACTTAAACGTTAGACCTAAAACCATAAAAACCCTAGAAGAAAACCTCGGCATTACCATTCAGGACATAGGCATGGGCAAGGACTTCATGTCTAAAACACCAAAAGCAATGGCAACAAAAGACAAAATTGACAAATGGGATCTAATTAAACTAAAGAGCTTCTGCACAGCAAAAGAAACTACCATCAGAGTGAACAGGCAACCTACAGAATGGGAGAAAATTTTCGCAACCTACTCATCTGACAAAGGGCTAATATCCAGAATCTACAATGAACTCAAACAAATTTATAAGAAAAAAACAAACAACCCCATCCAAAAGTGGGCAAAGGACATGAACAGACACTTCTCAAAAGAAGACATTTATGCAGCCAAAAGACACATGAAAACATGCTCATCATCACTGGCCATCAGAGAAATGCAAATCAAAACCACAATGAGATACCATCTCACACCAGTTAGAATGGCAATCATTCAAAAGTCAGGAAACAACAGGTGCTGGAGAGGATGTGGAGAAATAGGAACACTTTTACAGTGTTGGTGGGACTGTAAACTAGTTCAACCATTGTGGAAGTCAATGTGGCGATTCCTCAGGGATCTAGAACTAGAAATACCATCTGACCCAGCCATGCCATTACTGGGTATATACCCAAAGGACTATAAATCATGCTGCTATAAAGACACATGCACACGTATGTTTATTGCGTCACTATTCACAATAGCAAAGACTTGGAACCAACCCAAATGTCCAACAATGATAGACTGGATTAAGGAAATGTGGCACATATACAGCATGGAATACTAAGCAGCCATAAAAAAGGATGAGTTCATGTCCTTTGTAGGGACATGGATGAAATTGGAAATCATCATTCTCAGTAAACTATCGCAAGGACAAAAAACCAAACACCGCATGTTCTCACTCATAGCTGGGAATTGAACAATGAGAACACATGGACACAGGAAGGGAAACATCACACTCTGGCGACTGTTGTGGGGTGGGGGGAGGGGGGAGGGATAGCATTAGGAGATATACCTAATGCTAAATGACGAGTTAATGGGTGCAGCACACCAGCATGGCACATGTATACATATGTAACTAACCTGCACATTGTGCACATGTACCCTAAAACTTAAAGTATAATAATAATAAAAAAAAGAAAAAACATGGTATTTCATTTGGCTTTAATTTATATTTTCCAGACCACCAACAAAGCTGAAAATCCTTTTATATGTTTAATGGCTATAGGTATCTCCTCTTCTGTAAAATGCTTATACAGGCCTTCAACTCATTTTTTTCTCCTTTTAAAGAACTGAACTTTATTGTTTTAGAGAAAATGTATGTTCACAGCAAAATTGAGTGGAAGATACAGTAAGTTCCCATATACCCTATATTACTTTGTTACTATTGATAAACCTACATTGACAGCTCATCATCCGAAGTCTATAGTTTACATTAGCGCTCATTCTTGGTGTTGTTCATTCTGTGGGTATTGGCAAATATATAATGACATGTATCCACCATTATAGAATCATACAAAGTAGTTTTGTTGCCCTAAAATCTTCTGTGTTCTGCCTATTCATCCCTCCTTTCCCTCAATTCTTGGCAACCATGAATTTTTTTATACCTCTATAGCTTTGCCTTTTCCAGAATGTCACATAGATGAAATCATGCAGTATGTAGCCTTTTCAAATTGGCTTCCTTCTCTTAGTAATATGCATTTAAAGTTCCTCCATTTCTTTTCATGTCTTGTTGCTGATGCATCTTTCAATGAAATTATTATAAACTGTGGTGTGTCTAGACAATGAAATATTATTCACAGCTAAAAAGAAATCACAGTTTATCCATGTAACTACTGAAGAACATCTTGGTTGCTTTAAAGTTTTGGCAATTATGAATAAAGCTGCTATAAACATTAATGTGAAGGTTTTTATGTGGACATAAGTTTTAAACTTCTTTGGATAAATACCAAGGAGTGTGATTGCTGGATCATATGGTAGGAGTATATTTAGTTTTGTAAGAAACTTCTAACTATCTTCCAAAGTGGCTGTATTTAATATCATTTTGCATACCTACCAGCAATGAATGAGAGCTTCTGTGGCTCCATAACCCCACCAGCATTTGGTGCTGTCAACGTTTTTCATTGTGGCCATTCTAATAGGTATGTAGTGGCATTTCACCGTTGTTTTGATTTGTAATACCCTAATAACACATGATGTGGAACATTTTTCATGTGCTTATTTGCCATCTGTATATCTTCTTTGCTCAGGAGCATGTTCAGATCTTTTGCCCATTTGTAAATTGGGTTGTTCTTTTTCATATTGTTGACTTCAGCTTTTTCATACACTTTGAATAACAGTCTTTAATCATGTCTCCTGCAAATATTTTCTTCCTATCTGTGGCTTATTTTCTCATTCTGATGACAGTATCATTCTCAGAGCAAAAGCTTTCATGATTTCAACAAAGTGCAACATTTATCAATATTTTTTTCATGGCTCATGCCTTTGGTGTTGGATCTAAAATATCATAATCATGCCCAAGGTTATCTAGATTTTCTCCTATGATATCTTCTAGAAGTTTTATAGTTTTGTGTTTTATATTTAGGTCTATGATCCATTTTAGGTTAATTTTAGTGAAAGGTGTAGGGTCTGTCTAGATTCATATTTTTGCATGTCTTGTTGCTTCAATACCATTTTTTGAAAAGAGTCTGTTTTCACCATTGTATTGCTTTTGTTCCTTTGTCAAAGATAGTCAATTATACTCATGTGGGTATTACGGACAAATAAAATTGTGTATTACATAGGTGCAAAAGTAATTTTGGTTTTGGAAAGTGAATTTTAAATCATTATAATTAGGCTCAAACACATCTTTATTAATCAAAATAGGAACCATTACAATCAGCACATTTTTGCCAATGATAAAGGTTTTTGTTTTTTTCCTGTAGCGTAAAAATCTGTGCTTTGGGACTCGACGAACTCTTGGAAAGCATTTTCTGCATCCTGCTGGTTGTGAAAGCGTTTTCCCCGCAAAAAAAGTTGTTGAGATGGCTGAAGAAGTGGTAGTCGGTTGGCAAGGGGTCAGGTGAATATGGCAGATGAGGCAAAACTTCATAGTCCAATTCGTTCAGCTTTGGAAGCCTCAATTGTGTGATGTGCGGTCCGGTGTTGTGCAGAATTGGGCCCTTTCTATTGACCAATGCTGGCTGCGTATGTTACAGTTTTTGGTGCTTCTCGTTGATTTGCTGAGCACAGTTATCTGATGTAATGGTTTCACTGGGATTCAGGAAACTGTAGTGGGTCAGACTGGCAGTAGACCACCTAACAGTGACCATGACCTGTTTTTGGCGCAGGTTTGGCTTTGGGAAGTGCTTTGGAGCTTCTTCTCGGTCTGGCCACTGAGCTGGGCATCACCGGTTGTCGTATAAAATCCTTTTTCGTTGCAGGTCACAATCCGATTGAGAAATGGTTCGTTGTTGTTGCGTAGAATAAGAGAAGAAGACACTTCAAAACAATGATTTTTAAAAATTTTTGCCCAGCTCGCGAGGCACCCGCTTATCGAGCTTTTTCACCTTTCCGATTTGCTTCAAATACCGAAGGACCGTGGAATGGTCCACGATGAGTTCTTCGGCAACTTCTCGTGTAGTTGTAAGAGGATCAGCTTCAATGATTGCTCTCAATCAGTCATTGTCAACTTCTGATGGCCAGCCACTATGCCTCTCATCTTCAAAGCTATTGTCTCCTTTGCAAAACTTCTTGAACCACCACCGCACTGTACATTCGTTAGCAGTTTCTGGGCCAAGTGCGCTGTTGATGTTGCAAGCTGTCTCTGCTGCTTTATGACCCGTTTTGAACTCGAATAAGAAAATCGCTTAAATTTGCTTTAACAAACAAAACAAAACAAAATCATAAAGCGAGAAAAGCCCATTAAAATTATGTATAACATAACCACATTATTTAAGAATTTATTCCAATATCAAATGGCAAATTCCAACAATTCAAAAACTGCAACTACGTTTGCACCAACCTAATATATTTAAGATGTACAAAGTGATGGATTTGATATGTATATACATTGTGAAATGATTACCACAATTGAGTTAAGCAACACTGCTGGGCACGGTGGCTCACGCCTGTAATCTCAGCACTTTGGGAGATCACCTGAGGTCGGGAGCTCAGGACCAGCCTGACCAACATGATGAAACCCCGTCTCTACTAAAAATGCAAAAATTAGCTGGGTGTGGTGGTGCGTGCCTGTAATCCCAGCTACTCGGGAGGCTTAGGCAGGAGACTCGCTTGAACCCAGGAGGCGGAGGTTGCAGTGAGCCGAGATTGTACCAATGCACTCCAGCCTGGGCGACAGAGCAAGACTCCATCTCAAAAAAATAAATAAATAAAATAAAAAGTTAAGCAACACATTCAATCACCTCACATAGTTACCATTCTTTTGTGTGTGTGTTGTGGACACTTAAGATCTGCTCTCTTCACTAATTTCAAGCATACAACACAGTACTGTTAACTGTAGTCACTATGCTGTACATTAGATCTCCAGAACTTATTCATCTTGCATGACTGAAACTTTGTACCCTTTGACCAAAAGCTCTCCATTTCCCCGCTACCTCTCTCACTGGCATCCACCATTCTACTCTCTACGTCTAAGAATTTGACTGTCTTAGACTTCATATGTAAATGAGATCATACAGTATTTGTATTTCTGTATCTAGCTTATTTCAGTTATCATAACATCCTCCAGGTCCATCTATGTTGTCACAAATACGAAATTTCCTTCTTTTTGAGGCTGAATAATATTCCAACATTTTATATATATATGACATATATATTATATATATGGTAATATAATATTTGCAAACTATATATGGGCATATATAATATATAGTATATATGGGCATATATATTATATATAACTAATATATGGGCATATATATTGCATATATATTATATATAACTAATATATGGGCATATATATTACATATATATAACATATATATATTTCACCCTTTATTTAAATTATTTTAGTTTCTTGGCTATTGTGAATAATGCTGCAATGAACATGGAAATGGAGATATCTTTTAAAGATAGAGATTTTATTTCCTTTGGATATATATCTGGAAGCGAGACTGCTGAGTATTATGGTAGTTCTATTTTTCAAGGAACCCCCATACAATTTTCTGTGATTGCTGTACCAATTTACATTGCTACCAATAGTGTATAAGGCTTCCCTTTTCTCCACATTCTTGCTAACACTTGTTTTCTTTTGTCTTTTTGGGAATTGCCATTCTTACAGGTGTAGGGTGTTATCTCACTGTGGTTTCAATTTGCATTTCCCTGATGATTAGTGATATTGAGCCCCTTTTCATATACCTGTTCCCCATTTGTATGTCTTCTTTTGAGAAATGTCTATTCAAGTCTTTCACCATTTTTAAATTGGGTTATTTGTTATTTTTTCTTCTTCTTCTTCTTCCTTCTTCTTCTTCCTTCTTCTTCTCTTCTCTTCTTCTTCTTCTTCTTCTTCTTCTTCTTCTTCTTCTTCTTCTTCTTCTTCTTCTTCTTTTCTTCTTCTTCTTCTTCTTCTTCTTCTTCTTCTTCTTCTTCTTCTTCTTCTTCTTCTTCTTCTTCTTCTTCATCATTATTATTATTATTATTATTTTTTGAGACAGAGTTTTGCTCTTGTTGCCCAGGCTGGAGTGCAGTGGCTCAATCTCGGCTCACAGCAACCTCCGCCTCCCGGGTTCAAGCGATTCTCCTGCCTCAGCCTCCCGAGTAGCTGGGATTACAGGCATCTGCCACCACGCCTGGCTAATTTTCTGTTTTTAGTAGAGAGGGGTTTCTCCATGTTGGTCAAGCTGATCTCAAACTCAGGTGATCTGCCCGCCTTGGCCTCCCAAAGTGCTGGGATTACAGGCGTGAGCAAAACGCTCAGCCTATTATTATTATTTTTGCTATTGAGTTGTATGAATTATTTACATATTTTGGATATCAACTGCTTATCAGCTAGTTTGCAAATATTTTCTCCCATTCTTTAGGTTGTCTTTCATTTCGTTGATTGTTTCCTTTGCCGTGCAGAAGTTTTTCAGTTTGATGGAATCTCGCTTATCTGTTTTTGCTTTTATTGCCTGTGCTTTTGGTGTCATGTCCAAAAAATTTTTGCCAAGACCACTGTCAAGGGATACATGTGCAGGATGTAGGTAAACTGCGTGTCATGGGGGTTTGCTGTACAGATTATTTAGTCAACTGGGTAATAATCATAGAACGTGATAGGTTTTTCTTTTTATTATCTCCCTCCTCCCACCCTCCACCCTCAAGTAGGTCCCAGTGTCTGTTGTTCCCCTCTTTTTGTCCATGTGTTCTTGTTGTTTAGCTCTCACTTATAAGTGAGAACATGCAGTATTTGCTTTTCTGTTTCTGCACCAATTTGCTTAGGATAATGGTCTACAGCTCCATCCATGTTGCTGCAAAGGACATGATCTCGTTCTTTTTTATGACTGTGTAGTACTTCATGGTGTACATGTACAACATTTCCTTTATCCAGTCTATCATTGACGGGCATGTAGGTTGATTTCTTGTCTTTGCTTTTGTAAGTAGTGCTGCGATAAACATATGTGTGCATGTGTGGGTTTTTTTTTTTTTTGGCAGAGTCTCACTCTGTCACCCAGGTTGGAATGCAGTAGCACAATCTCAGCTTACTGCAACCTCTACCTCCCGGGTTCAAGTGATTCTCCTGCCTCAGCCTCCAGAGTAGCTGGCACTATAGGAGCACACCACAATGCCTGTCTAATTTTTGTATTTTTAGTAGAGATGGGGTTTCACTATGTTGGCCAGGCTGGTCTCAAACTTCTGACCTCAGGTGATCCACCCACCCTGGACTTCCAAAGTGCTGGGATTACAGGCATGAGCCACCGTGCCTGGCCAAGCCACCATGCCCGGCCTGTGTCTTTATGGTAGAATGATTTATATTCCACTGGGTATATACTCAATAATGGGATTGCTGAGTTGAATGGTAATTCTGTCTTTAGATCTTTGAGGAATCACCACACTGCTTTCAACAATGGCCAAACTAATTTACACGCCCACCAGCTGTGTATAAGTGTTGTCTTTTCTCTGCAACCTCACCAGTATCTGCTATTTCTTGACTTTCTAATAATGGCCATTCTGACTGATGTGAGATGGTATCTCCTTGTGGTTTTGATTTGCATTTCTCTAGTGATCAGTGATATTGAGCTTTTTTTCATATGTTTCTTGGCCATATATACATCTTCTTTTGAAAAGTATTAATGTCCTTTGTCTACTTTGTAATGGTTTTTTTTTTACTTGTAAATTTGCTTAAGTTCCTTATAGATTCTGGATATTAAACCTTTGTCAGAGGCATAGTTTGCAAATATTTTCTCCCATTCTGTAGGCTGTCTGTTTACCTTGTTAATAGTTTCTTTTGCTGTGCAGAGAAGCTCATTAGTTTAATTAGGTCCCATTTGTCAATTTTTTTTTTTTTGTAATTGCTTTTGGCATCTTTGCCATGAAATCTTTTCCCGTTACTATGTCCAGAATGGTAGTTCCTAGATTTTCTCCTACGGTTTTAAAAATTTTAGGTTTTACATTTAAGTCTTTAATCCATCTTGAGTTGATTTCTGTATATGGTATAGGGAAAGGGTCCAGTTCCAATCTTCTGCAATTTAAGCCTTTAATCCATCTTGAGTTGATTTCTGTATTATTGTATAAGGAAGGGGTCCAGTTTCAGTCTTATGCATATGGCTAACCAGCTATCCCTGCACTATTTTTTGAATAGGGAGTCCATTCCCCATTGCTTGTTTTTGTTGACTTTGTTGAAGATCAAATGGTTGTAGGTATATAGAACTATTTCTGATCTCTCTATTCTGTTCTATTGGCCAGTGTGTTTGTTTTTGTACCAACCGTGCTGTTTTGGTTACTGTAGCCCTGTAGTATAGTTTGAAGTTAGCTAACGTGATGACACCAGCTTTGTTATATTTGCTTATAATTGCCTTGGCTATTCAGGCTCTATTTTGGTTCCATATAAATGTCAAAATAGATTTTTCTAATTCTGTGAAGAATGTCATTGGTGGTTTGACAGGAATAGCATTTAATCTGTAAATTGCCTTGGGCAGTGTGGCCATTGTAAAGATATTGATTCTTCCTATCCATGAGCATAGAATGTTTTTTCATTTGTTTGTGTCATCTCTGATTTCTTTTTTTTTTTTTTTTTTGAGATGGAGTTTTACTCTTGTCACCCGGGCTGCAGTGCAATGTTGTGATCTTGGCTCACTGCAACCTTTGCCTCCTGGGTTCAAGCAATTCTCCTGCCTCAGCCTCCAGAGTAGCTGGGATTACAGGTGCCCACCAAAACTCCCAGCTAATTTTTGTATTTTTAGTGGAGATGGGGTTTCACCATGTTGGCCAGGCTGGTCTCAAACTCCTGACCTCAGGTGATCCACCCGCCTTGGCCTTTCAAAGTGCTGGGATTACAGGTGTGGGCCACTGCTCCCTGCCATGATTTCTTTGAGCAGTGTTTTGTAATTCCCATTGTTGAAATCTTTCATCTATCTGGTTGCCTGTATTCCTAGGTATTTTATTCTTTTCATGGCTATTGTGAATGGGATAATTTTCTGATTTGGCTCTCAGATTGGAATGCTACTGATTTTTGTACATTGATTTTGTATCCTGAAACTTTGCTGAAATTGTTTATCAGATCAAGGAGGTTTTGGGCAGAGACTATGGGGCCTCCTAGGTGTAGGATTATGTCATCTGCAAACAAGTATAGTTTGACTTCCTTCCTTCCTATTTGGATGCCTTTTATTTCCTTCTCTTGCCTCATTGTTCTGGCTAGGACTTCCAAAATTATGTTGAATAGGAGTGGTTAAAGAGGGCATCCTTGTCTTATTCCAGTTTCCAAGGGGAATGCTTCCAACTTTTGCCAATTCAGTATGATGTTGGCTGTGCGTTTATCATAGGTGGCTCTTATTATTTTGAAGTATGTTCCTTCAATGCCTGGTTTGTTAAGGGTTTTTAATATACAGAGATGTTGAATTTTACCAAAAGCCTTTTCTGCATCTATTGAGATAATCATGTGTTTTTCAGTTCTGTTTATGTGATGAATCACATTTATTGATTTGCATATGTTGAACCAACCTTGTGCCCCAGGGATGAAGCCTACTTAATCGTGGTGGATTAGCTTTTTGATGTGCAGCTGGATTTGGCTTGCTAGTATTTTGTTGAGGATTTTTGCAAACGCTATTTTTTTAAGTCTATATTAATGAGCAAAATAGGTTTGTTATGCTCCTTTTTTGTACTGCTTTTATGCATTTTTGATCTCAGATATATGCAGGATTAATAGATGAGTTAGGGAAGGAATCCCTTTTTTTCTTTTTATATTCTCTGAAAGCATTTGAATGAGATTAAGATTATCTGTTTTGAGATTGGTATTTGCTTTAAAAGAGATTTGAAATTATTGCTTTAATTTATTTAATATTAACAGGACCATTGAAGCTTATAATGTGTTTCTCAAATCAGTTCTGCTAATTATATTTTTCTAGAAATTTGTCCATTTTGCCTAATGCATTAAAGTTGATGTGTGCTTATTATCTTTTTATTCTCTGCTTTATCTAAGTTTGGTTATTTTTCATTTATCATTTTTACTTTGGTGCCTCCTCTCTTTCTCTTTCTCTGCCTTCTTTTCTTTATGAATCTTGCTGAAAGTATACTTATTTTGTAATTTTTTCCCAAAAGCCCAATTTTTGTCTTTGTTGCATTTTTGCACGTCACTCCTATTTCATTGATTTACACTCTTTTTATTATTCGTCTGCTTTTTTTATGTTTAGTCTAATATTCTCTTTCAGATGTCTAATTACTTCATAGCTTTTCCCCCTAAAATAAGTATTTAAGGCTATAACACTTCCTTCAAAGCACTGCTTTTCCTATGTGCCTTAAGTTTTGATATACAGTATTTTTATTATAATTTTCTTTTAAACATATCACAATTTTCATTATGAGTTACTTATCAGTGTGTTTTTAAAATTTCTGAAAACATGGATATCAACCCATCATGAAGGATCTGAGATTTTACCCTACTTAGAAGATAACAAGTTAATATTGATGAACAGATTTGAGACTGCTAGGTCAGTGACAAAGGACCTTATAAAACACAGCATTAGCAGTGGTCAGTGTATCAGCATTTTCATGTGCTGAGTCCTCAAACCCCAATTTCACCAGGGTGATGAAGAGAGCCAGGTGACATGTGCATTTACAGCGAGTTGTGTTACAGGAAAGAATTCAGAGCTTAAGAAACTCAGATCTTTTATACTGTACAGTAAGCATGCTTGCCCTTTGCTCTAGAGGGAGATGCTATCTTTATCTTCCAAAGCTGTCTAGTATACAAATATCCTTGAAAAGATGGCCTGAGAAAAAGCCAGTCAGTGCCTCTGCTCATAAGACATGCAGAAATATAAGACCCATGGAAAATTGTCTTGCAGTAGTAAGTATATTTGTTATTTTTGTTGTCTTTCTAACTTAATCGAGTTGTCAGAGAAAATAATCTGCATAATACCTATGCTTTGAAATTTATTAGGGTTCATTTTGTGGCTCAGTACATTATCCAGTTTTTTTTACTGTCTCATTTACAAAATACATTTTTTAAAAGAATGCAAGTTCTCAAATTTCTGGATGCAAAGTTCTATGTAGGTCTATTAGATCACGATTTTTAATTGCATTATTTAGACTTGTTATATGCTTTCTGAATTTTATCTCCTTAAGCTATTGATAATTGGGAGAGGTATGTTGAAATCTCCCACCATGATGGCATCAATTTCTTTTTTTTTTTTTTTGCTTTTGTTGTTCTATCAATTTTATCTCTACATATTTTGAAGCTATTTTATTAGGTTCATCCATAGTTAAAAATTTCTATACTTTTTTGGCAAAATGAATGTCATTTGTACCTACCTGCTCTCACTCTAATAATGCTTTGCTTGAAAAAAAAATCTATTTTGTCTGATACTAACATATATACTGGGCTTCTCTTGTTAAGTATTTGCCTTATATGACTTCTTTTATCCTTTCACTTTCAACCTTTGCATGTCCTTGATGATTTAGGTGTGTCTTTCATAAAAAGATATATTGTATTATGTTTATTATTCTTTTTAAAAACAAGTGTTCGCTGTGTTGTAATATTTCTGCTTTAGATGAAATCTTTTCAAACACTTTTCTCTTGAAAGAATCCTCTTCTTCAGATATCTTGATGTATTGGCCTGTTGACATATTTCTTGGAATATGAGCTACTTTTTTTCATTGACGGCTATGGGGAAAGGGTCAGAGGTCAGGTCTCAATCTGCATTAGCTCAAATGAGTTTCAAGAAGTCACTGTGGGGGGAATATGCCCCTTATGATGGGGAGCCCCACATTTAATCACTCCTCTGTGGCAGCATTAACAGAGGTCTCAGGACCCACTCATGATGTTGAGAAACAGGACTCAGGGCATTCATTTTGCTTGTATGAATCATAGCAGGAATGGCACACCTCTGGAGCTCACAGCAGCAGTTTCTTGATCGTGGTGGTTTCCTGATGATGGCAATAACAACACAGTTCTGGAACCAGGAGCCTCTTGATCACATAAGAGGCAGCAGCTGCCCTGATAGCCAGGTTCCATGGTGAGTCTGTAGAAGTTGTTCCTGAAAACTCAAACTAGAGTTTTTTTCTTCAGCTCCTACCACAATTCTATAATGAATTCTGATATGGTTTGGCTCTGTGTCCCTTGAATTGTAATCTCACCTTGAATTGTAATAATCCTTACGGGTCAAGGGTGGGATCAGGTGGAGATAAATTGGATCATGGGGGTGGTTCCCCCATGCTGTTCTCTTGATAGTGAGGGAGTTCTCACAAGATCTGTTGTTTTTTATAAGGGGCTCTTCCACCTTTGCTGCTGGGCACTTCTCCTTGCCTTGTGAAGAAAGTGCCTGCTTCCCCTTCTGCCATGATTTTAAGTTTCCTGAGGCCTTCCCAACCATACAGAACTGTGAGTCAATTAAACCTCTTTTCCTTATGAATTACTCAGTCTCGGGTATTTCTTCATAGTAGCATGAGTATGGACTAATACAAATTCCTTCCTGCTTGAGCTAGCTAAAGTGCAGTCTGCCTTGTACAACTGAACCCTGACCTAGACAATATGCTAAAGGATCTAAGAAAGTTGAACTCATAAAAGTAGAGAATCAAGTGGTGGTTGCCAGATGCTGAGTAAGAGGAGTGAATGGGGAAAGGGGAAATGTTGATCAAAGGGTGACAATTTTAGTTAAACAGGACGAATAAGCTTTAGTGATCTATTGCATAGAATGGTGACTATAATAAATAATAATGCATCATATACTTCAAAATTACTAAAAGAGGAGATTTAAAATGTTTTCACAACAAAAAAGTGTGTGAAGTTACAGATTTGTTAATTAGCAAATGATTTAATCATTTTATATTGTAAATATATATCTAAACATCACATTGTACCTCATAAATGTCTAATATATACAATTTTGTCAATTAAAAATTTAAAAACAACATGCTAAAGGGAATTATAAGAATTTAAAAAATCTTCTCCCCTCAAAATCTATATCAATGTGCTTTTGTCTTTTGCATTCGTATTACAAAACTTTTGCTTTAGTTGTGGTGGTGATCAGACAAACTGAAAAGTTTTCTCAACTCAGAAATTCTGTTAGCAGTCAAAACTTCAAAATTGGCTGCTTGCACTATTTACAATAGCAATGACATGGAATGAAACTAAATGCCCATCAATGGTGAACTGGATGAACAAAATGTGTGGTACATATACACCATGGAGTAGTATGCAGCCATAAAAAAACCCAAAGTCATGTTTTTTTTGTTGGTTTTTTTTTTTTTTTTTTGCAGCAACATGGTTGCAGCTGGAGGCCATTATCCTAAGAGAATTGACACAGAAACAGAAAATCAAATACTGTATGTTCTCACTTTTGTAAGTGGAAGCTAAACATTGACAATACAAGGACATAAAGATGGAAACAATAGAGTTAGAAAAAATGAATAAGACTTACTATTTGATAACACAACAGGGCAACTATAGTCAATAATAATTGTACATTTTAAAATAACTAAGAGTATAATTGGATTATTTGTAATACAAAGAATGAATACTTAAGGTGATGGATATTACATTTGCTCTGATGTGATTATTATTCATTGCATGCCTTTATCAAAATATCTCATGTAACCTGTAAATATATACACCTACTATGTACTCACAAAAATTAAAAATAAAATTTTTTTTAAAAGATGGAAACAATAGACAGTGGGTACTATTAGAGGAGGGAGGGCGTAAGGGAAGCAAATGTTGAAAAACTACCTATTGGGTGCTATGCCCACTACCTGGGTGATGGGATCATTTGTATCTCAAGACCCCAAGACACAATTTACCCATAGAACAAAGCTGTGCATGTATCCCCTGACCTAAAATAAAAGTTGATAAATGAAAAGAAAATGGGCTGCTTTTAATCTTTGCTTTCCTGCTATAATATCCCAACCTCCACATCCCTCACGCTACACATATGGATGCATCTGGCCACCTAAAACAGTCATATATTAAATCATATTAACATATTTTAAAGTAGCATCTCTGTTGTAAATATTTATAACTACTCCTTTAAGGTGAATTCCCAGAAATTAAATTGCATCATGAACATTTTTAACTCTGGATACTTATTTCATATCACTTCCTAAAGTGTTTTACTACTGTATTTTCTGTCCGCAACGTAGGATTTTTTCCTAGCATTTATCCATTGCACTATTACCCAAAATAGGAATCCTGACAAAGTATCTTTTGCTAATTTGTTAATGAATGACAGTCTTTTATTGTTGTCTTGATGTGCATTTTTGATTACTGGGATACTTGAAAATTTTACAATATTTATTTAACTAAATGTATTTCCATTTCTTGATGGAGTCTTTAAAGTCAGAGAGATTTTGTGTGTAGAGTAAAAAGATCACTTGGATTTTGCTTTATTTACATGTCTAGTGAACAAATCTGGCAGTCATTTTTTTCTTAAACACATAGAGATTAAATGGTGTCTTAATTAAATTTCTTTGAACAATTTAAGCTCCAATAACAAATTTAATGTAACTGGTTTTCCTTTTGAAGACTTCAGACACCTCATCAGCAGTGTAAACATTTCAAACACCTTCAACAGTAAAGATAGCATGAATAAACATAGTGATTGTAAAACTTATTCTACAAAATAATTCCTTGGGTTCCAGTTTAAGTATCAATGAAGATGGTCAACTAAGACAACTAGCTCCCTTAGCCAAAACTGATCTCTGAGAGATATTGTAAAGGTATGGAGAAAACTGACAAACTCCTCAGAGGTTCAATCCCTGGTATGAGTGTTTGCAGAGGTAAAATCAGGGTAGTGAATAAACAGTGCTGAAGATCTTAGGAAAATGGGTGGAGATTGACTAATTTCCAGCAGTCACATCCCCATTGCACTCCCAAACTCCAGGCCTGGTGCCTTTTCCAAATGGTCTTGTGGGTGGAATTAAGGGAAAGCCTTGATATGAAGAAACAGCTTGGTGGAGTGAGGAGTGATTAAATATGGGGCTCCCCGTCATGCACAATAGTCTGTGCATATTCCCTTCCACAGACTCATCATAGAACCTGACCATCAGGGCAGCTGCTGCCCCTTACGTGATCAGGGGGCTCCAGGCTCCAGAATTGTGTTGTTATTGCCATCATCAGGAAACCACCATGATCAGGAAGCTGCTGCTGTGAGCTCCAGAGGCGTGTCATTCCTGCTATGATTCATACAAGCTAAATGAATGCCCTGAGTCCTGTTTCTCAACATCATGAGTGGGTCCTGAGACTACTGTTAATGCTGCCACAGAAAATAAAATACCTGAAAAATCATTCTTGCCCCAAAACCTAGTACTAACAGCAGAATCTCAGCCTTTGTGTCACTTCCACCTTCTAAATTTTGCATCGAAGTATCCGATTGCCTGATTTTAAATCACGTCCAAGATTCTAATTGCAAGTAAGCCTGGGAAATGTAGTTTTTGTTTTCCAGCCACTGAAGAACAAGAGGGCACAACCAAGGAGGGTGGAATAGACATTGAATGCCAAGTCACTATACCAGGATGCATATTAAAACCCAGGCCCAGGGACTTCATGGTAATGAGTACATAACCTAGAGTGGGCACTGTCCACTGTGCTTCCTCTAGGTCTCCTCCTTTGTAGTTAAAAAAAAATTGTTTCTGTACACCCATCTGTCAACTTCAATGCCAACTTTTGCTTTCAACCTCCTCCTTCCCACCCACCAGTTGGAGGACTGTCACTGGACTCCTGAAGTCAGTTTTTCTGGCAGGTGCAGAGAGCTAGAACTACTTAGATGTTTCGACACTCCTGGGAAAGCCCTTAGCCAACAGCTGAAGAATGCACTAGTATGAAAGTTGAGCCCCCTTGTCTCTGATTGGGACAAACTCTAAGGCACCATACTTCAGAGTTACCCCACAGGATTAGGCTGTGGTTGTCCTAAAGACTTTGCCTCAATTGCAGTCTTGCAAACCTTCTCCTACTTTCTTATCTGCTCTGTTCCTATATTTTTTATCAGTTTATTTCAAGAAAATTTCCTTCATAAATAATTTGCACATGGATATGCGCTTCAGGTTATTATTCTACTGAACCCTACCCCCAAAATGCTTCATCCACCACTAAGACTCAGTGCCCTCAAGAAATGTAGATATGTACTACTCAAATACATACAAGAGCAAAAGTAGAAAGCCACTCACTTCATTAGTAGAAAGCTCATGAGATTGTAGGAAGAGTAGGAGAAATGAATGTGGGGTAGCATATTCTTATATCCTGATCTCCCTTCTCTAGCCTTGGGGTTTGGAATAGGAAACTACAACAGATACTGCAGATTAGGTCACTTAGCATCCATTGTAACCACTTTCTAGCTTACTTTTCTGGACAAAAGTAGTTGGAAATTTAAAAACTACACATCTCAGATTTCCTTGCCTTTAGAGTTCTGCATGTGACCCAATTTCTTAGCATCAGTGTTCAACTTGGAGGTAGCAACAGGAGCTGGTGGTTGCAGGTGGGAAGAGGGGATCATCTGGAAAGTTCAGGGGTTGAGGCATTTGATCTTCAGCTGTGGTGGAGTTTTTGGCATCCAGTGTCAAAGGATTTGAGTGGTGGGTTTGCGATATAATTGTGTGTTTTCTCAGACTGTATTATCTCTCAGTGCTTTGATCCTGGGACTACAGTATATAGGTCCATTCTTTGGTCCTCTCACAGTATCTGCCTAACATATTTTGATATGTATTTTATGCCTAAATTAGCAGATCCTGTTGTCTGCAACTAAGAATCCTGGCAGGTGGACAGGATGTATATAGGAGAGGTTGAAGATAAACCTGAGGTGGGGTCTTTTCCCCACTTATCCCAGAAACAAGGGACGATGGAGTGGTTAGACAGAGAAAACTAGAGCTAATACTCCAAAGCTGCCCTTGGGTCTTAAATGGCACTATTTCCACATGCCCCCAACAGGTTACCTAGTCTAATCAGGTAGTATACCAGAGTGGGTTGCTATGGCACTTGGTAATTTTATTTTTTTTGAGACAGAGTCTCACTATGTTGCCCAGGTTGGAGCGTAGTGGTGCAATCTCAGCTCACTGCAATATCTGCCTCCTGGGTTCAAGCGATTCTCCTGCCTCAGCCTCCTGAGTAGCTGTGATTACAGGCACGTGCCACCACGCCCAGAAAAGTTTTTGTATTTTCAGTCGAGACGGGGTTTCACCATGTTGTCCAGGGTGGTCTCGAATTCCTGACCTCAGGTGATCTGCCCGCCTCGGCCTCCCAAAGTGCTGGGGTTACAGATGTGAGCCACAGCACCTGGCCCACTTGGTGACTGAATGGCAATCACAGTATGTTGTAATTTATAAAAATGGCCACAAATTATTTCTTTCCATCTATCCATGCCCTTTAATAGTGTACCCCTACACTTGCTTTAGCCAATGGGACATTAGAAAATATTATGTAAACTTGAAAAGTGACTTGAAAAGCAATTGCGCAGTGGAGTTTTCCCCTCTGTCTGCTTTTGTAATAGCTGCTTTTTTTTTCAGTGGTGACATGAAAACCTCCAGCTAGCCCGCCAGATAACCAAAGGTAGATGGGCTAGTAACTCCCGTTGTACGTGTCAACCACCAAACATTTGAATGGTGAGGCCAATTGGTTACCCATTGACCTGCCAACCATGAATGCATGAACAACCCAACTGAAATTCCTTGAGCCTGGTCCAGACAATGAAGTGCCCAGCAGAATCATGAGCTAGATAGTTATTTTAAACCACTAAATTTAAAAACATTTTATCACGCTACTAAAGCCAACTGACACATACTGAGACTTCTTGAGGGGTTTCATAGGCACCCCTGAGAACTAAGATAGAGCCAAGTTGTCTGGAAGAGCAGTCCACAAGTTGCATCAGCCAAAATCTTCAGCAGCAAGTGCCAATAGAGTACCCAAGGATGGGACCGGATCAATACCACGTTATGGACAACGCTGTCTTCCCACAATGCCACGAGGTAGAGTAAACCCTGTGAACTTCTTAGAAACAATAGTAGATGCAAGGAAAATCTGAAGTCTGGGCCCATTCAAATAAAACTCAGTTTAAATTATTTAAATTAAGACTTAATGGAGTTACCAGGTTGGGCTAAACTTTAATTTTTATTCTACCTGTAGAGTGAAAAACATACCAGTTATAAAAAATGAAAGAGTTAGTGTAAGTGACATTGCAGAGTCAAGATCATTTTTTGCATAATTTATTAAGTTCAGTGTAATTTATGATCATGAAAATTAATGTATCATTAAATATTAATTAAAAGAAGATAAAAAAGAATGTTTAATCTGTGATATAGCACTAGAGAAATTATTTTGCAGTGTTGGGAACAGGTCCCCAAATCTGGCCATAAACTGGCCCCAAAACTGGCCACAAACAAAATCTCTGCAGCACTGTGACATGTTCATGATGGCCATGATGCCCACGCTGAAGGTTGTGGGTTTACTGGAATGAGGGCAAGGAACACCTGGCCCACTCAGGACGGAAAACCACTTAAAGGCGTTCCTAAACCACAAACAATAGCATGAGCAATCTGCACCTTAAGGACATGTTCCTGCTGCAGATAACTAGCCAGAGCCCATCCCTTTGTTTCAGCCCATCCCTTTGTTTCCCATAAGGAATACTTTTAGTTAATCTACAATCTATAGAAACAATGCTTATCACTGGCTTGCTGTCAATAAATAGGTGGGTCAAACTCTGTTCGGGGCTCTCAGCTCTGAAGGCTGTGAGTCCCCTGATTTCCCACTCCACACTCTATATTTCTGTGTGTGTGTCTTTAATTCCTCTAGCGCCGCTGGGTTAGGGTGTCCACGACCGACCGAGCTGGTCTCGGCATTGCAGAACTATATAAAATGCCATTTGTGAAGATTATGTAATAGTGTAGAAAAATACTTCTGTTTTAATATTAAGAGAAACATCATTAAACAATATTGTATGTAGTATTACTTACTGTTACATTTTTAATAAACAAATCATTTTTGCATAAAAAGTAAGCTAGAAGAAAGGACACGTAATACTCAAAGAGTCTATACTGAGATAATGGGACTAGATGTGATTTTTTTGTCTTTGTATATTTTCCAAATTATCTTAATGATAATGTACTGTTTATAATATTGATTTTGAAAAATTTAGATTGTGGTATAGAATTTTTAAAAGTGTCTTCTAGGTCCAAGAGTCAATGATTCTAAAAACTCAAAGCTGTTCATTGAAAAATGGTTTAATAATATATGATGCTTGTGCAATAATTGTATTTATTTTTATTATAGCCAGTGTTTAATAACTATGAGTGGCTCACTTGCAGTCAAATAAAAATTAATTGTTGGCTAGAAGAATATACATACTTACCGTTGCTCTTCCATTTCTAAGTAATAAATAATAGTGGTTAGTTCCTGTTTGACATGCTGGGATATAAGTGAAGAATGAAAAACTTCAAGACAAAAATGGGATCATAGAAAAGTTTATGTCTCCCACTTGTTAAACATATGTAGACCCACCATGGGAATATCCATGTCTAGAGGAAAAAGTGTCTTCTAGGAACCCAAGCAATAGAAGGAAAATTTTAGGTTTCCAAGAACCAAAGATTTACGTCTAACTAAATTTTTTGGTAGACCTTGCATTTTTTGCTGCAAGGTAATTCTGGAAAACACTGTGATACGACAGACAGGACTTAGTTGTTTTTCTTTTTTAGAATTATAACATTTTTCTTATTAGCTATAAAATGTAGGAAAACTCTCAAGGGAAATGGAGTAATAGAAGAAGCCAGTTTTTGTCCCTGTGTCATCAAGGATAGAAGATTGGGAAACCTATATTCTCTTAGATATAAATACTTAGAAACTTCAGTGTGGCAATACAGAAAAGTTCATAGAACGAGAGCTTATTTTTGTGTGTATATTTGTGTGGTGTGTGTGTAAGAGAACAAGTTTGCTTATTTTCAAATTCAATGCTGCTTAAGTCATGGTCCACATACCACTGCTGGGCTGCAAATTATTCTTAGTTCAAAATAGTTATAAATAGTTCATGCACAAGCAATTGGCATAGGTTTGCTTTGGTACTCCTGGTTCTCAGGCCTTTAGACTTGGACTGGAGCTGCACCGCTAGCTTTTTGGGTCTCCAGGTTGCAGACGGCAGATCATGGGACTTCTCAGCCTCTATAACTGTATAATCATTTTTTTTTTTTGAGATGGGATTTCACTCTTGTTGCCCAAGCTGGAGTGCAATGGCATGATCTCGGCTCACTGCAAACCTCCACCTCCCGGGTTCAAGCGATTCTTCTGCCTCAGCCTCCTGAGTAGCTGGGATTACACGTGAGCATCACCACACCCGGCTAATTTTTTGTATTTTTAGTAGAAACGGGGTTTTACCATGTTAGCCAGGATGGTCTCGAACTCCTGACCTCAGGTGATCCACCTGCCTCGGCCTCCCAAAGTGCTGGGATTACAGGCTTGAGCCACCACACCCAGCCAACTCTATGATCTTTATAACCACTCTATCTCTCGTGCATGTGTGTGTGTGTGTTGTTCTGTTTTACTCGAGAACCATAATTAAAACTCCTACCTCACTGAACATCTCAAATGACAATAAATCCATATCTTTGGTGGTCCATGCTTTTTTTCAGATTAGATTTGATTATTATAATACAATTATTACTTCAATTGAGTGAAAAATCTACCTTTCCATGACATCTAGCCATTGTAGATGTTTACAAATAAATCATTTTTGAGAGCGATGAATATGTTCATTTTCTTGACTGTAGTCATGTTTTTGTTGTTGTTGTTTTGAGACAGAGTCTCGCTCTGTCGCCCAGGTAGAAGTGCAGTGGTACAATCACAGCTCAGTGAAGCCTCGACCTCCCAGACTCAGGTGATTCCCCTGCCTCAGCCTCCTGAGTAGCTGGGGCCACAGGCACGCATCACGATGCCTGTCTAATTTTTATATATTTTCTAGAGATGGGGTTTTGCCCTGTTGCCCAGGCTGGTCTCAAACTCTTGGGCTCCAGCAATCTGCCCAATTCGGCCTGGGATTGCAGGTGTGAGCCACCACACCTGGCTAATGTGTTTAAAACTTACCAAATTGTTGCCAAGGGTTTTGCTGTCACAAAAGAAGCTTGGACATAACAACATGAATGAATCTCAAGAGCATCGTGCTTAATAAATGAAGCCAGATTTAAAAAAAAAAAAAGCCTGATCACATTATACATTTAAAACACGCACAATTTATAAAATATCAATTATCCAAAAGACTAATATCAAGAATATACGGGGAATTCAAACAACTCAACAGTAAAAAGCAATAATATTATTTTAAAATGGGCAAAGGATATGAATGGAGATTTTTCAGAAAAAGGCAAACAAATGGTGAACAAGTATGAAAAAATGCTCAACATCACTAATTACCAGGGAAATTTAAATTAAAACCACAATGAGGTATCATCTTATCCCAGTTAGAATAGCTATTATCAAAAAGACAGAAAATAAGAAATGCTGGTGAGGATGCAGAGAAAATGGCTGTAAATTAGTAAAGACATTAAGGAAAACAGTGTGGATATTTCTCAAAAAACTAAAAATAGAATTACCATATGATCCAGTAATCCCACTACTTGGTATTTATCCAAAGAAAAGGAAATCAGTATGTTGAACAGATAGCTACAGCCTCACGTTTATTACAATACTATTTACAATAGCCAAGATATGGAATCAACCTAAATGTCCAACAACAGATAAATAAAGAAAATGTGTCTCATATATACAACAGAACACTATTCAGCCATAAAACAAATGAAATCCTGTCATTTGTGGCAACATGGATGAGCTTGGAGGACATTATATTAAGTGAAATAAGCCAGGCACAGAAAGATAAAAATGCATGTTCTCACTCATATGTGGGAGCTAAGAAAAGTTAAGCTCATAGAAGTAGACAGTAAATTGTGGTTATTAGAGGCTGGGAAGGGTGGGAGGGAGGATAGGGAGAGGTTGGTTAATGGATACGAAATTACAGTTAGATAGGAGGAATAAGTTCCAGCACTATATAGCCCTGTAGGGTGAATGTAGTTAACAATAATTTATTGTACATTTTCAAAGACCTAGAAGAGAGGATTTTGAATGTTCCCAGCACAAAGAAATGGTAAATATTTGAGGTGATGGATATGCTAATTACCTTGATTTGGTCATTGCACATTGTATACAGGTATCACAGGTTCACTCTGTAGCCCATACATAAGTACAATTTTTATATATCAACTAAAAGGAAAAAGAAAAATGCTAATTATACTTCAATAAAACTGATTTTGAAAAGAAAATATGGAAGAACCTAGGAAGTATAAAAAGAAGTGTTCCCTCACATCTGTAATCCAAGTACTTTGCGAGGCTGGGGCAGGTGGATCACCTGAGGTCAGGAGTCCGAGATAAGCCTAGCCAACATGGTGAAACCCCATCTCTATCAAAAATACAAAAAAATTAGCTGGACCTGGTGGCGGGCACCTGTAGTCCCGGCTACTTGGGAGGCTGAGGTAGGAGAATTGCGTCAACCTGGGAAGCAGAGGTTGCAGTGAGCCAAGATCGCGTCACTGCACTCCAGCCTGGGCAACAGAGCAAGAAAAAAAAAAGTGTTTCTTTATATTATCCTAAACTCACACAACTATTGGGATACTGAAAAACCATCTAGTTCACATCTTCAGGCAAGACCAGACTGAAAATAACTCATGAAATTGTCAAGTCATTTCTGAAAACTCTTCGAAACAACTTCTAATATCTTTCAACCTTTAAAATAATGTTTAAAGGATACAAAATTATAGCTATATAGGAGGAATAAGTTCCAGTGTTCTATACCACTAGGATGGCTGTAGTTAACCATAATATATTATATAGGTTCAAATAGCTAGAAGGAGGGTATTAAATGTTCCCAACAGAAATAAATGATAAGTTTGAGATGATGGATATACTAATTACTCTGATCTGGTCACTATACATTATACGTATTGAAATGTCACTATATTCCCCATAAATATATATAATTACTATGATCAATTAAAAAATAAAGTATAAAAAGTGAAATAATTTTTTCTAATATGTAACTACTAAAAACTTTTACTCTAATTTAAACCAATTGCCTCTTGTCTATATTAAGCAAGTGTGAAAAACAGTTGTTCTTTCTTACTGGGGTTTCCTTATTCTCCTACATATTAACTGGCATTTAGATAACTAAATTCTTTAAATCCTGCTAAATAAATACCAGAATCATCTCTCAACATGTGTATAAATTAATTTACAATATTTTATCCATCTACAGCATGCCTTATAGATGTTATATACTAAAATATTTAAATATCTTGATTTCATATGTGGAAAATTGAAGATTAGAGAAGTCTAATGGTTTTACCCATGTTGCACTGACAGTCAATGTACAGGATTGGGAACAAGTTGAGGCCTGGGACAATGTCATATTCATTTTTAATTGCATTGCGATCAGCCTGGCACATAAGATGACTCAATTAGTGTTTGAAAACTAATAGTGTGAGTGCCTTTCTCTGTTTCCTCCTGAAAATATTAAAAAAGCAAGAAGGGGAGAAAATGTTGAACAAACCCTATTTTGAATGAAACCAGGAGACAAATAATCTTCATATTCCAAAATACATTATATTAATATATTTATATATATGTATTATATTTATATGCATTAATGTAAGCCTATCAAATGAAGCTGAGGCTGAGTATAAGCTGTACAGGAGGTAGTGAACAGAATAAGTCATTGAGAATGATGAGAAGAGCCAATAGAGGAAGATCTCAGAAAATTCCAGAAAAAATATACTGAAAGAAGGTGAGGGACTTACTTGGATGTGCTAAAGTGATACTCATTGTTTGTAACCATAGATGCAGGAAATGCGTCAATTGGCTTGGTTGGTAGCAGAAGCTCGAAAGGCCCAATGTGGGTCAGAGAAGTAAAGGAGCTGGGGCTGCACAATGGATCACAAAGGTGAATCATAGTTGTAGGAAGTAATTTGCCCTTACGGTAGTAGCAGAGATTTAGCCTTTGATTTGTGAAGTTGCCCTTGCCCATTATCCAGCCTTACTTCTTGTACTAGAAATAGCTGACCTCAGGAGAATATAATCTATTTCATTATGAGTAATAGAAAAAACAGACACAGAGATATTATACAAAAAATTGTGTGATAGAGGAGTAAAACTTACTGACACATAAAGAACATTCTCCAGAAAAATGTTGCCTTAGAACTGATGAAAAGTGTGAGTAGGAGATGCATCATCCCCCTTGCACTCAGTTTCTAGACAGGCTGACGACTTTTTGCTGCATGCCTCTTTGACTTCAATGACAGCTTTCTCTGACTGATTTTCTGACATGCAGAGCAAGCTGAAAGTGCCAGAGAGCTTATAGCCCCAGGAACATTCCTCATCCAATTATAGACAGGAATTGCCTCACCCTGGGAAATGTGAGGGAGGGACAGTGCTGAGATGAATTCTGCATCCCTGTTACTCAGCATTGTCTGGGATTGTTTTATGAGAAATGCAGAATCTCAGACCTTATCTCAGACCTGCTGAATGAGAACCCGTGTTTTCTAAAAATCCCCAGATGATTTGTATGCGTATTAAAGTTTTATAATCCCTGTTTTACAAAGTCTCCTAGAGGAACTCAGAGGGGTTGGGATCCACTTGTTATAGCAGTAATTGGCTCATTCATGCACTCTGCATTGACTGTCATCCCTTCCTGGTCTCAGTTTATCAAACTCACCCCAGTGTTTCTTGGGATTATCTCCCAAATTACAACTTGCCCTCACACCTTTGTTTTCTTCAGAGGGAACCCAACTTCTGATGATGACCAAATGTTTGGTGACCAAATATGGTGACCTATGATGGTGACGATTTTTTTTTAAATAATGAAAGCAATTGCCTCTCTGAAGAAAAGTTACAAAGATGGAATATAAGAACTCAGGGAAAAAATGGACAGACATCAGGAAGATAAAGAAGTGAGTTGACAGAACAAAATAGAATATTAGGAAAAAGGCCGGGCGTGGTGGCTCACGCCTGTAATCCCAGCACTTTGGGAGGCTAAGGCAGACGGATCACTAGGTCAAGAGATAGAGACCATCCTGACCAACATGGTGAAACCCCGTATGTACTAAAAATACAAAAATTAGTTGTGCATGGTGGCGCACGCCTGTAGTCCCAGCTACTCAGGAGGCTGAGGCAGAGAATCGCTTGAACCCAGGAGGCGGAGGTTGCAGTGAGCTAAGATTGCGCCACTGCACTCCAGGTTGGTGACAGAGTGAGACTCTGTCTAAAAAAAAAAGCATATTAGGAAAAAAATGGCAGAATCATAGAAATAAAGATGGAATTGGAAGGAAGCAAGAGATCATAGACATTGTTATATATATTATAGCCAATAAGAAGTAGGGAAATTGAAGAAAGAAGTAAAAATAGCAAATCTAATGATGCAGAAGTATGAAAATAGTTAAAAGAGATTAGAGAGAAAAAATAATTATAAAGACAGACAAAGAACATCCCAGAGGAGAAAAACAAAATATGGAATAGGACAAATATTTAAATATGTAATTCAAAAAACTTTTCTGAAACCAAAGACAATCTTTACATTGCATGCCAGGAAAACAGTGACGTAGAATGGTCTACGTTAAAGCATGTCCTGGTAAATTTACTGAAACTTAAAGCTAAAGAAATAGTACACTAGACAACCAGGCAAAAAGTTCAAGTCACTCAGGCTACCTCAGATTTCTTCATAGTATCAGTGCAGGCCAAAAGAAACTGGAGAGTGTCTCATAAATTACTCAAGGAACAAAAGAATGAGCTAAAGATGTTATATCTAGCCAAGCTGTACTTCAAATGTAAAGGCAGTAGAATATACAGACTTACTTCAGAGATATTGCAGGTTTGGTTTCAGACCACAGTAATAAAGTGAATATCACAATAAAGCAAGTCTCACAAAATCTGTGGTTTCCCAGTGTGTATAAAAGTTATGTTTACACTATACTGTAGTCTATTAAGTGTGCGGTAGCATTATGTCTTAAAAAATAATATGCATACCTTAATTTAAAAATACTTTATTGCTTAAAAATACTAACAATCATCTGAGCCTTCAGAGAGTCATAATCTTTTTGCTGGGGGAGGGTCTTGTCTTGATGTGGATGGCTGCTGACTAATCAGGGTGGTGGTTGTTGAAGATTAGGGCAGCTGTGGCAATTTCTTAAAATAAGATAACAATGAAGTTGGCTGCATCAATTGACTCTTCCTCTCAGGACAGATTTTTATGTAGCACGTGACGCCGTTTGATAGAATTTTACCCATGCAGAACTTCTTTAAAATTTTGAGTCAATCCTCTCAAAACCTGCTGCTGTTTTATCAACTAATTTTATAAAGTATTCTAAATCCTTTGTTGTCATTTCAACAGTGGTCACAGAATCTTCACCAGGAGTAGATTCCATCTCAAGAAACCATTTTCTTTGCTCATCCACACTAAGCAACGTATCCACTCAAGTTTTATCATGGGATTGCAGCAATTCAGTCACATCTTCAGGCATCACTTCTAATTCTAGTTATGTTGCTATTTCCACCACATCTGCAGTGGAGGTCTTGAATGCCTCAAAGTCATTCATGAGGGTTAAAATCATTTCCTTCCAAACTCCTCTTAATGTTGATATTTTGACCTCCTTTCATGAATCACATATGTTTTTAATGGCATCTAGAAATGGTGTGTTTATTCTAGAAGGCTTTCAATTTACTCTGTACAGATCCATCAGAGAAATTATCATCTACGGCAGCTATAGTTTTACAAACCGTATTTTTTAAATAATAAGAGTTAAAAGTCAAAATTGCCCCTTTATGCATGGTTTGCAGAATGAATGTTGTGTTAGCAGGCATGAAAACAACATTAATCTCCTTGCACATCTCCATCAGAGGTTTTGGGTGACCAAATGCACTGTCAATGAGCAGTAATATTTTGAAAGAAATCATTTAGTTTTTTTTTTTTTTTTTTTTCTGAGCAGTAGCTCTTGAAAGTGGGCTTAAAAATTCAGTATACCATGCTGTAAACACATATGTTATCCATGCTTTGTTGTCCCACTTGCAGAGCACAGGCAGAGTAGATTTAGCATTATTCCTAAGGGCACTAGGATTTTAGAATGGTAAATAAACATTGGCTTCAACTTAAAATCACCAGCTGTATTAGCCCCAAACAAGAAAGTCAGCCTGTCTTTTGAAGCTTTGAAGCCAGGCATTGACTTCTTTCCAGCTATGAAAGTCCTAGATGGCATCTTCTTCCAATAGAACGCTGTTTCATCTATATTGAAAATCTGTTCTTTAGCGTAGCCACCTTTACCACATGTCTTAGCTGGATCTTCTGGATAACTTCTTGCAGCTTTGCCATGAGCACTTGCTGCTTTACCTTGCACTTTTATGTTATGGAGATGGTTTCTTTCTTTAAACCTCATGAACCTACCTCTGATAGCTTCCAACTTTTCTTCTGCAACTTCCTCACCTCTCAGACTTCAAATAATTGAAGTTAGGGCCTTGATCTGTATTAGGCTCTGGCTTAAGGCAGGGGTCCCCAACCCCCGGGCCACAGGCCAGTACCAGGCTGTGGCCTCTTAAGAACCAGGCCACACAGCAGGAGGTGAGTGGCAGGGGAGCGAGAACTGTCACCTGAGCTCTATCTACCTCCTGTCAGATCAGCGGCGGCATTAGATTCTCACAGGAGCCCAAAACCCTATTGTGAATTGCACATGCAAGGGATCTAGGTTGCGTGCTCCTTAAGAGAATCTAACTAATGCCTGATGATCTGAAGCGGAACAGCTTCATCGCGAAACCATCCCCCGCCCAACTCTGGTTTGTGGAAAAATTGTCTTCTGCAAAATTGGTCCCTGATGCCAAAAAGGGGTTGCGGACCGCTGCCTTAAGGGCATGTTGGCATTGGTTTGATCTACCCAAACTAGTCAGACTTTCTCCATATCAGAAATAAGGCTGTTTCACAATCTTGTCATTTGTGTGTTCACTGGAGTAACACTTTTAATTTCCTTCAAGAACTTTTGCTTTACATTCACAACTTGGCTGTATGGCACAAGAGGCCTAGCTTTCAGTCTGTCTCAGCTTTTGACATACCTTTCTCACTAAATTTAATCATTTCTAGCTTTTGATTTAAAGTGAGAGATGGGCAACTCTTCCTTTCACTTGAACACTTAGAAGCCATTGTATGTTTATCAGTTGGCCTAATTTCAATATTGTTGACTCTCAGGGAATAGGGAGGCCCGAAGAGAGGGAGAGAGATGGGGGAATGGCCAGTTGGTGGAGCAGTCAGAACACACACATCTTATATGGTCATAGTTTGTGGCACTCTAAAACAATTGTTGTTGTAACATCAAAGATCACTGATCACAAATCACCGTAACAGATATAATAATAATGAAAACGTTTGAAATATTGCAAAATTACCAAAATGTGACACAGACAGAAAGAGGAACACATGCTGTTGGAAAAACGGCATCCATAGGCTTGCTGGACTCAGGGTTGAATATGCAAGCCTGCAAAGGGATATTGTTATCACGAGCTCTTCTTGAGAAAAGTACAAGGGGATGAACTTCAGCCAACTAATGGATGACTAGAGAAAGGACCAGTGGGTGAGCACCAAATGCATTTTAAGCGTAGAGTTAAGACTAAAACACATGCAGGGATTAGAATGACAGATAGGAATATAAATGAATATGTCCAGACAATACTAGGAATGAGGCATTTAAAAATAATATGAGAAAGGCTGGTCGCAGTGGCTCATGCCTGTAATCCCAGCACTTTGGGAGGCCGAGGCGGGCAGATCATGAGGTCAGGAGTTCAAGACCAGCCTGGCCAATATAGTGAAACCCCATCTCTACTAAATATACAAAACAAACAAACAAACAAAAAAACAAAAAAAACTAGCCAAGCGTGGTGGTGCATGCCTGTAGTCCCGGCTACTCGGGAGGCTGAGGCAGAGAATCACTTGAACCCAGGAGGTGGCGGTTGCAGTGAACTGAGATTGTGCCACTGCACTCCAGCCTGGGCAATAGAAGAAGTCTCCCACCTTCAAAAAAAAAAAAAAAAAAGAAAGAGAGAAAGAAAGAAAAAAGAAAAGAAAAGAAAAGAAAAAAACATAATATGAGAAACAAGGTGACAAATAAGTTTTCTGGGTTTCCTTAACTGGGTGACAAAAGACATCATTTTATTTATTTTTTATTTGTATAAATTTAGGGGGTACAAGTGCAGTTTTGTTTCATAGATATGTTGTGTAGTGGTGACATCTGGGCTTTTAGTGTAACTATCACCTGAAAAATGTTAATTGTACATATTAAGTAATTTCTCATCCCTTACCCACCTCTCACCCTCCCACTCTCCCACGTCTCCAGTGTTTATCATTCCACACTCAATGTCCATGTGTACACATTCTTTAGCTTCTACTTATAAGTAAGAACATGCAGTTTTTGACTTTTCTTTTCTGAGTTACTTCACTTAAGATAACAGCCTCCAATTGCGTTCATGTTGCTGCAAAAATGTGATTTTAGACTTTCAAATAAAAGTCATAGAAATGTAGACATATATAACAGTATACAAGATAAGCATCAAGAAAGATTTACTTAATAAGGTTGTCTAACTCATAGAAGCAGAGAGTAGAAGAGTGGTTACCAGTGGCTGGGGGCAGAAGTGGGGAGATGTTGGTCAAAGGTACAAAATTTCAGTCAGAAAGGAGAAATAAGTTCAAGAGCTCTATTGTACATCATGGTGACTATAGTTAATAATAATGTATGATATATTTGAAAATCACTAACAGAGTAAATGTTAATGTTCTCACCATAAAAAAGGCAAGTGTATTAGTCTGTTCTCACACTACTATAAAGATACTACCTGAGACGGGGTAATTTATAAAGGAAAGAAGTTTAATTGACTCACAGTGCCACATGGCTGGGGAGGCCTCAGGAAACTTAGGATCATGGTGGAAGGGGAAGCAGGCACCTTCTTCACAAGGTGGCAGGAGAGAGAAGAGAGAAGCAAGAGGGGAAGAGCCCCTTATAAAACCATGAGACCTCATGAGAACTCACTCACTATCAAGAGAACAACATGGAGGAAACCACTCTCATGATTCAATCACCTCCCACCAGGTACCTCCCTCGACACGTGGGGATTATGGGGATTACAATTCAAGATGAGATTTGGGTGGGGACATGAAACCTAATCATATCAGTAAGTATGTGAAGTAATGCCTATGTTAATTAACTTGATTTAATCATTGCACAATGTATGTTTATATATATATATATGAACCATGCTGTATATTATAAATTTATACAATTTCTATTTGTCAATTAAAAATAATAAATTTAAAAAGAAGAATTGTTAAAAGATGAGGAGGAAAGGGAAGAAAAAAGTGAATAAATTTGGGTTGTTTGCAAATATCATTTGAATTATTGTTTTGTACAGTCAACTTTTTTTAGTTAAAATGTATCAGAGGCCGGGTGCAGTGGCTCACACCTGTAATCCCAGCACTTTGGGAGGCCGAGGCGGGTGAATCAGCCGAGGTTGGGAGTTCGCGACCAGCCTGACCAACATGGAGAAACCCCGTCTCTACTAAAAATACAAAATTAGCCGGGCCTGGTGGTGCATGCCTGTAATCCCAACTACTTGGGAGGCTGAGGCAGGAGAATCGCTTGAACCCAGGAGGCGGAGTTTGTGGTGAGCTGAGATCGCACCATTGCACTCCAGCCTGGGCAACAAGAGTAAAACTCTGTCTCAAAAAAAAAAAAAAAAAAAAAAAAGAAAAATCAGAATCTTCTTTAATGAAAAACTAAATTATTAAGATTAAACTACTTAGTTGCAATTTGTGAAGGAAGAAGATTTGGAGGTCTAAGCATTATGGTGAAATTGAAGGATAGTATGATTTTGTGAATAGACAGGAATCTGTCATTTATGTAGCATTATATGAGATTTAAACCACAAGGCTCAACATGGCTGAAAGAATGAGTGATGAAAATAGGATTTCTCATGCAAGTACTTACTTTTATATATAAAAAACTTATGCATAAAGTAATTGTGAATGATCTCTTATGACCTACAGATTTTCCTTCCATGGAAGAATGAACTTCCAAGTAGCTAGAAAAGTATAGGAGGGGAAGGGGAGCACTTGCCACTCAGGAGTACGTAACGATTCTAACAGTTGTGCTCATTTGGAGTTCACCATTGTAATTAACCTCATAAAATTACTTTGTGTTAACTTATCTCATGGAAGTGAGTGTAAAGGCCTTTATATGTAGAATGCATAACTAATTCCAAATTAGCATTAAGGAAATTCATAAACACATTCTGTAAGCACCTAACCTGGATACTTCAGTTGATTCTGAAATAAACACTTCAATTCAAAGATTCTTGCTGAAAATGTGCTTTGTGAGATTTTCTTTTCATGCTGTTTTCTGCTCCCTAGAGAAGGCAATGCTTTGTGAAGTTACCTAATGGACCGAGAAAACTCACTGAGCTAGTGACTTACAGGCAAAAGAAGTTTCAAAGCAGACATCTCAGGCATCATACTCACCACACTGATCAACTAAATTGAGAGATAGAAACTTCAGTTACTCATCCATGTATTTGATCTATATCAGTCCATATACTCCTATAGAAAAAAGAATTGATTTGGTGATTCTCAAGCTTTTCAAATGTGAGAATTTCCTTTTAAAGATCAAAACACTTTAAGAGCCACACATATTGAGAAAATGTGTTATTGTAAGTGACCATTATGTATTCTACGAAGCTATAATGGCCATCATATTTTTGCTGGTCAGCATCCCTTCCCCTTATTGAGGTACCAGTACCCCAATTTTCCTATTGTAAAACATCCCTCCCTTTTTTACTCTTGGTCCATTCACGTTGGGTGATTTAGACTCTACCCTTGGCTGCAGTGGTGGGTATGTATCTTAGGCCTGGCCTATCAAAGTATTCCATATCCTGGATCACAGTAATTACCTCCCTGATGGACATAGGCTACCTAATTTGAGACAGTTTCAGAACCTTTGCTGGGACTGTTGAGAGTGAGGCAGTCCCTTTTATCTGTTGGGATTTGCCTATATAAACCTGTACATGCTGGCAACCACCTACACAGTGTTAAAGTATGCATGAGAATAAAGCTCAAAGGCAGGAAATGAAGCTGAGCTATTTAAAGAGATGGAGTCCTATATTCATGGTTTGTGCCACTAGATCTATTCATGCATACTCAGATTTATCCATATTCTTTCCAGGCATGTGCATCCCCAAATTTCGTTTTTAGTTTGAACTGGGCTTCTGTCACTTGAAAGCAAGAATTTTTTTCTGACACAAATGCTTTGCAATGGTATTTTATTGTATGAATCCCAATAACAAGGACTATTTGAAACAGCACAAATATTCATGAGACATATTATTTAGTTAATGTGAAAGTAACACTCTGTGTGTATATGAACATGAAGACCATTTGCAATTAACTACCACCAGAGGGCAGAGGTCCCTGGGTTTGAAACCATTTTAATTTAAGTTTTGGAGGTCACGTCAACACAGATTAAGGCCACATTTATACAACTAAAGTGTGGAGTAGACTGTGATTATCTTGAAAATCTAGCGGGGCTTAGAAAGCTAATCAACACTGTATTTTCTCTCTGTGTCAGCATAGTTTCAAAGTCAAATATGGCTTGCATCGAAAAAGTATGCATTGCAGTTAGACGGTGTTTTATCATGATTGAAAATACTCTAGGGAACGCAGTACAATTTTGTTTTTGCATGTAGAATATTTAGAACTTCAATAAGTCTTCAAGGTATTATTGAGTAAAACAAGTTCATTCTCAATGTCGACATAAAATGAATCATGAGGATATGTACATAGCTAAAGCTATTTTTTCAAGTATCATTTTATTACTTTGTAAGTTTGTTGAGCTCATCTACAGTTTTCCAGGTGCCTCCAAACACATTATTTTATTTAATTCTAACAGTAATTTTGTAAGGAAGTGAACTAGAAGTTATTGACACTATGTTGAATTCTATGGTGGGGAACACATAAGCACACAAACATGTATTTTAATTTAAAGTAACATTATAAGGTGACTGTTATTATAATTATTTTATATGCAAGATAATTAAGGCTCAAAAGGGAATTAAGTTGTTCTAGTTCTCACAAAAAGCTCAAATTAATACTAAAATTTTTAAATTCAAGATCTCTATTTTCTACTTCTAATAGTTCTAAGTAGGGTCTATATGGGTGAAACAGAATTAATGAGTGAAGATTTGCTTTATCGGATTAACGGTATTGAGGACTGTTATATCTGGATTTCTTGCCTCCATGTTGACTTGAATTATTGAAAACAATCATATTTATGTGATTCTAGTGTGCTTCAATAAAAATCATTCTAAAACCCTTCCTCTCTTCCTTCCTTTCTTCCTTTCTTCCTTCCTTCCCTTCTTGTTCTTGTTCTTTTCCTCCTCCTATTCTTCCTCCTCCTGTTCCCCCACTCTTTCTTCTCTTTCTGTGATGGTGATATGGTTGAGGGAAAATCTTGCTTTGCTAATGTGCCATTTTTTTACTTCCTTCCTTAGTCTGACACAAATGATGTTTTCTGAAGTCCACTTTAGACACAATATTTTGGAAACCCTGATTCAATTTTACCGATCTATGAGCATACTAATCTACAAGGGCTGGTGGCAAGGTGAAAAACTAGGATAGACCTGATAGGCTTGAAGAAAAAGATGGAGTGATTCTAGGTAACAAATTAAGAAAAAATACAGAAATCAGGAGAAGTAAGGAGATTTGATATAGGGTAATAAATCCCAGGGCTGTTCTTTTAAGCTGTCCAACTTAGACTCCAAGAGCAGCCATCTGAATACCACTTTTGCTAGTAATTTGAAATACTCACTCTCCTTGACCTCATTGCAGGTGGACCTTGGCAATACCCAGCCTGTGATAAACTCTACTTTCTTCTTACACATGGATGAGATCACAAAATTGAATGGATCTATTGAAGGTCATGGCATTGAGCCAAAGAGGGAATTCCTACCTGATTGCTCCAATAGGGCCTGAAATTCAACATATTTTAGATCTGAACAAATTATCTCTTCCTTTTCCACATGTACCCCCCCCCCTTTTTTTTTGGTTTCCCAATTTGTATTAATACCACACCATTTTCCTAGTCACACAGACTTCACAACTAATTCATGTTTTTCTCTAACCATTTAGTCTTCACATCCCAGCACTTATAAAACCCTGGAGATTATGTCTCTTTATATCTCTTGAATTTGAAATGTTCTTTTCACTCCCTCTGCAGGGGCCTTGGTTTCAAATCTCATTACTGGGCCATTATTATAATAGATATCTTGTTAATGTCCACTTGAATGGGGTCTCTCTCTCTCTCCTTATCCCAGCCTCACATTGCTTCCAAATTAAACTGTAGCTGAAATGTATTTCCTCACTTTGAAACATTCTCACTCATTATCCTATAAGTTCTAAATTCTTGGCCCTGGCACTCAAGGTCACCCCTTATTTATTCCAGACTCAGTTTTTCAGAATTTTTCACACTGCTCTCTTGACTCCTAGGGGACACTTCACATCTCCTTGACAATCCCTGATACTATGATTATCCCATGTCTTTGGACCAAGAATGGCCTTACATTTCCAGTTCTGGTTAGTTTTGAAGTTATCCTTTCTTTATCTTAGCATTGTTGGCATTTTTGACACATTTCTAAAGCAATCATCTTATTATTCGGTACATTTTAAATATTTGTGTAATCTCTTGTAGTCCCGGCTAGATTGGGAGCTCACTGAGAAAAGATATTACTCATGTATGCATTCCTCACGAGGGCCCCTTACATTCCATTTACACTTTTGAATGAAAGTGATTAAACCTTAAGTTTGGATTGTTTCTTTTACGGTGACTGAAAACAAGGAGAAGAGTTGCGTCTGTGTGTGTGTTCATTTTGACCTCTATTCTGAACCTCTTTTGAAAGATGAACTTAATTTAGGATTCTAAGTAGTTAAGGAATAGGAAGAATGCCTTTCCTTGTTCTTTGTGTTGTTAAGGCACTGTCGGGAGCTGTTTTAAAACCATGGAGATAGATAGAAGGCAGAGTTCTATAATATTTTAAAATTTAGATAGATGCAGTATAAATCATTTCTGGAGGTGACATAGTACCCCACCGTAGTACTGTATTTGAGAGGGCTGTTAGATGAAAGTAATCTTTTCTAAACTCAAACTGACATGGGAACAGTTAAGTCTGATTTGTGAGCTACGGAAGTGTCATCTTTTATTCTTCTCAAAGACCTTAACAACTTGAAGGTGAGGACAAAGGGAAGGAAAGAAATGGAGACTCATTTATTTTTCTTGATGTAGAAATTGGTGTTCATCAAAATCTTCTCTCTAACGACTTGCAATGATACAATTGATGGGTCATAAAAATGTTCACCAAGTTTTGACACATTGGGTCACATTTTAATTTTATTTCTGGAGACTTTTGAGATTCAGCTCTCTTTTTGTGAAGGGGATTATGCCCCACTACTTAACAGTAAGGATATTAATGACCACTCACACATAC
Organism: Homo sapiens; assembly: GCF_000001405.40. Lineage (NCBI taxonomy): Eukaryota > Metazoa > Chordata > Mammalia > Primates > Hominidae > Homo > Homo sapiens. The sequence goes on along the minus strand of NC_000023.11, from coordinate 30,510,386 downwards.
CATAATTTGACATAATTCCCCAGGCATTTTTCTCACCTTATTTTATTCTGAGTATATGAATCAAATTTCATATTTTGCTTATTCATAAAAAATCTTTTTCCCCACTAAGGTACAAGAAGAGGAAATAATTCACATATTTGTCTAAGAATTGAAATGTATTCCCACTTCTGATGGAACTCTGAACTGCAGACGATGGAAATGAAAAAAATAACCAGAAAATCTGACAAAATACTTATTATGCTTTTTGAGTCCAACCCTATGCGGGAATTCATTAGCATTTTCTTACCATTTCAGAAACAAGTATCACAAAAGTCAATTACGTTTTCTTGATATCTGTACTTCTTTTTTATTCATTCACCCATCAGATATTCTTTCAGTACCTACTCTATGCCAGGTAGACTTCCATGTGCTGGCATTCAGTAGCAGGTTCTTAACTGATGGGGTGACATCTGCAATCCCATTAACATCTTTACCCACTACATGCTGTCCAGCACTGATCATGGAGTATTAATATGTTATTTTCCACCCATTTTCACAGTGCTTTGCGTAGTATATGTGTGACAAAGTAATCCTCAGCAATTTATCATGATGTCAAGACATTTAACTCTAATGCAAATGGAAGTTTCTCATAGCCATGCCAGGCATGCCAGGAGGGTAGCTATCTCATATAAGGATTTCTATGAAGGAGGATATTGCAGTTCTGTTTCATTTGAAGATGTAAGTCTCCCTATGACAGGTCTCATGTGTTATTGCTATTGGCTGCTTGACTCATCCTGAAATGGGAGTTCTTGGTTTCCTTCTTATTTAGAAGGGAACAAGGGTCAGCACCTCAACTGCTGCAATGCATTGTAGGAATTAGAAAATTTTAGTTTTCTCACACAGGTAAACAAGTGATTGTCTTTTATGTATCTCTTGTTTGAGTACTGGAGAGCTTTCATTTTATCTCTCTCCTGAGGTCACCTGGAAGAAATCTCTTCTCTGTCTCCTAATTCCACATTTCATTTAGTCTATTTTAATAGATGTTGACCGATTGATTGCAGGAACCTCTTAACTAATTTGACTCCTTTTCTCTCCTGCCTGAATGCTTTTTCAAGATAGCCAATCTAATAATGCCTTTCTGCATCTTTAAGTCATTGATGGCTTTTCAAGGCCTTTTGAGCTACAGAGGCTCCCGTATAGGGTGGCTCTCCTGACCTGCCATTTTCTCTGTCTCTGATGGCCAAAGACTAGATCATTCCTTCCTATGCTGATTCCCATACCACTCTTTTTATACCTGTAATGTAGCCACTATTACACTGTAATCTAGCTAGTCATTTATATTTCTGTCTTCCTCACTTCCATTTTGAGCATGTTGAGGGCAGAGAGAATGTCCTATTCATCTTTGCCTTTCCAGGACCTAGCACAGTGCCTGGTACAAAATAGGCACTAAATATTTGCTGAATTGAGTTAAGCAAATACACTGGAGTTTCCAGTGAAGTCATGAAGAATTTTATGAGAAACACTAAATTCCTCTCATATCCTATGAATTTGTAACTTTTCAGCAACCACCTTTTACTTGATAGTATATGCTACCTCCAAAGAATAAGTCATCCTATAGTAAGTCAATGAGTTCTGTATTATTTTTGCTCTTGATGAGGCACAGTTGATCATTTACCATATGATTGACTTTAAATGTAAGACAACTACCAGATAACCCTATCTATGCCCATTTGATCTATTTCCCCCTTTCTGGTATCTACACAAAATGAGATAAATAATTTTCTCCCTTGGGCAATTTATTCCAAAAAGATATGGTTTGAAAAGAAGGCTTTGAGCTCTGGATCAATCAGAATTTTTACAAATCCCACAATAAGAATGGAATCCAAAGCAAGCCCACCTACTTGGTTTTCCCCACAGAAGGCAAATGAACGTGCACCTCCTAAGAGCTCTGTATTCAGAGAAAATGATCTCTATATGGTACTAGCTGGAGCTTGCTTCGTGAAAAGGTGTTTGTTAGAAAAAGCTTGCCTCTGTTTTGAATTAACTTCATGTTTCCACTTTAATCTCCCTTTTGTCCAGCTCATTTTTTTTTTGAGATTCTCCTGACCACTTTTCACCATGTCCCACGGATATTTAGGTCTCACAGTTCCTACCCCACCTACCTGTGCCATCTGTAGGCCATCCATGAAAACCTATTTAAAGCTAAGGTATTAATAGACTGACGAATTATTTCTCTACAGAGGTTTTACCCTTTTAGAGGGGCTCCTGGGCAAGAAAATGCCCTAGATCTAAGGAATATTATCCAATTGTCAGTATTCAGGCACTGTTGCAGGCTAAAGGGATAACAAATTTCACATGCAACTCAAATCCCACCACATCGGCCCTGGGACCAAGATAGCTTTATGCTTTCACAGAGGTTGTGAGTGGTTCACTGTGACTGGAAAGAAGAGAGGATCTACCAGACATTCTTAACATGAGAGTTTATGTTTTGGGTTTTCAAATTGTGCTTCTCAGTACCAGGGGATTCTGTGGAAGAAATTCACAGGTCACCAAGGACAATAGGAGAGGCAGACCAGGAGAACAAATGGGTTTTGTCTCTTTTAGCCACCCCCTCCACCGGTCAACTAATAATAGACTATTAAAATTACATTAATATTATTTGACCAATAGTAGAATAATAATATGTTCATTTATCTTTTAATAATTTGGATTTCTAATTAACTTTGTTGGAAGATAAAAGTTTATTTCCAAAGTTTTTTTTTTTTTTTTAACAACTGCTATTTAAGCTCACGTGCTCTGTGTCCAAGAATCCCTAGTTAAAATGTGTAAGTCTTTAAGCAAAAAACCCATTCACCCATTCAGCTGTCACTATCAAAGATGGTGTTAGCTATCAGATAGAGAAGCCGCGAAGTGCAGAGGGTTGAGTTTAGGGGAAGTGGGCTTACAGGGATATTTTGTTAGGGGGACAGGAGAAATAGATAAGACACAGGCATGAAGCCAGGGATGATTAGAGGTGAGATTGAGCAATGTCAAGGACAAATTTATCTGCTTCATAATTTAGCACATGATGGAACCTGTGAATGATTCTAGACTTAAGGTTTTCAGAACTTAGAGACATATCACCTCTGTTGCTTAATTGATCAGATTTAATATTCTTTCAGCATTCCAGAGTATATCAGAATGTTAAGCCATCCCTTTCCTCACTGTGGACACATACATCTCAAATGATTTATGAAAGATTATGCCACTACGGAAGCCCACTGACATAGTGAGTGGGTTATGTTGAATTTTTGTTTCCAACATTTTATCCTTTCCTATATCCACACTCTTTGCTATGTAACTTTGCATGTCCTTCCACTAAAAGAGGAATATACTTCCTTCCTTACCCCTAAACTTTGGGCTTGGTTACCTGACTTGCTATGGCCAATGGGATGTGGATGGAAGTAACACTGTGTCAGATCTGAGCTTAAGCCTTATAAGACCTTGTGTGTTTCATTTACCCTCTGCATTTCTGTCATCACCACGAGAATACCATGGTCCAGCTAGTCTGCTGATCCCACGGGGTTGAGTGACATGTGGAGCAGAGGTGGATTCAACCTGCAGCTTGAAGCCACTCAACTGAGCTCAACCAAGAATAATTGAACTGAGGTAGTTCAGCTGATGTGCAGACATGTAAGAAATAAATGTTCTCAGTGATATGCCATTGAGATTTTGTGTTTGTTTATAATGCAGTGATACCTGGTTGGGCTTGAGTTTGCAGTTAGACAGACTTGAATTTGGGCAACTTTCCTAAATATTCAGCATTCTTGTCTGTAAAATGTATGTAATCACAATAACTGTACCACAGTGTCATAGGCATTAAATGAAATCATACATGTAAAATATTAGGCACAATGCCTCGCTATTAATATTATACTTTCAGAGAGAAAGATACTCTGGTATTCTGAAATCTAATAAAATAGGATGCACTCATAGATTTGAAGATGGGGATTTGGTTTTAGAATATATGGTAGTTTTAAAAAAGGCATTTATTGTTCTGAAACTCGGGACACATCAATTCTTCTTCTTTTTTTTTTTTAGTTTAATGACCGCCAAACTTCATAAATTTACTACTTGAGAAGATGAATAATTGGCTTGGAAATTGTTTTCTTTTAAAGGAAAATAAAAACATGACTTTACCAACATCACTTGGTATATAAAGTGCTATTAGTCACATGCTGTAGTTAGCATGTTTGACTTGTTTGTGACCAAGAGTTCAGGTGAATACATTTGAGATTTATTTTGTAATTTTCCACATGCCAAAATAAAACAGCTTTTTTTGCCCCTCCATTGCCATCAGGTCGGAATAAATTGACTTTTGATGCAAAGTTGTGGCCAGAGGTTGAAATTTACGTGTGATTGATGGTCAAAGTGCTTACTAGCCGCACCCCCATCTTTTTTTATATTACCTCCTGGGCTGGGATCTGTTTTGTGTAAAATATTGAGATACTCACTGGTCTCTCTGCCCCTCACATGCCCTTGAAAGTGAAGAAAAATAGTTGACTAAATTGGCTTAAATTGGCTGTTAAAGAAAAAAAAAAAAGACAACTCCTAATGAATGAATAGATTTTCTAAGATACATTTCTAATTCTTGGGTCTTCAAGTATGCAATCTTAATATATTATTCCTGAGCCAATTAGTAAATTAATTGGTTCAACCAGCTCTCAGCACCCAGTTCAAGTTTTCTTACAGGGATTTTAGAATGGATACAAAATCCCTGGAGTAGAGATGCCCTCTTTCCTTACTGAGGCAATTCCCCTATGTTGAACTTCCATTTTCATAAAGAGAAGGACCCCAGAGGAATAGCAGCAGGGCTGCCAGCAGCTGTAAAAGGCTTTACTGTTGCAATAAAACCAAAATAGGCTAGACTTGTCTTTGTTCTTTTCATTTTGATGTGTTGCTAATTAAACTAGTAAAAATGCTTAGAACTCATTTTTTTTTTCTTTGAAACACATTTACATGTGTGTATATACAGCTTGGGTACATCACTGGGTGTTTGTTTGTTTTTGTTGTTGTTGTTTTGGTTTGGATTTCTCCAAAAGCTGACCCTGAGACAATGATTTGAATGCACATAGTTTATTTGGTAGTGACGCCAGGAAGCGTAGAGAAGGAGTTAGGAATAGAGGAAAGACAATAAAAGGTGCAAATTACTGTTGTAGGCAGCTGGAGTTTAGTTCCGCTGAGGTCCTCCTGAGAGAGCATGTAGAAAACAATTCAGAATGGTCCCACTAAGGGGGTGGGGGAAGAAGCTGAGGCATTTATTTATCCCTTTGCCCCATTGCTTCTGAGTGGTTCATGGGGTTGCTAACTTCCAGGTATTCCTGACTGCCCAGCACAGGCAGGACTCATTTCTGCAGCCAGAGATAGACCCCAGGCAGACATAATGCATGCAATGTATTTCAGTCCACCCGAGCCACAAAGGGTCAGCAGAGGAAACATGGACAAAATCTCCAAGAGCATCTGCTATGGGCACTAAAGGGAAAAACATGTTTCCTCTATTTTTATTTAAAAAGTAGAAACAAATCAAAGTTTCTCTTGTTACATGAACTTCAAAGGTAGAATATTTTTTGTTCTAAACAGTGAGTTGGAATAAATTATTTGCAGCACCCTGGTCTATTCCATAGGAGGGCTTTTATTTTCCAAATTAAACTCTTTCGTCTTTGTTAGTATGAAACATATAAGTCAAAACCCCAGAATTTTTTTCTTACAACCAAAAGCTAAAATGAGAACAATTCATTTTATCTACAAGAACAAAAATTTAGTGTTTTTTTCCCCTTCCATTTTACTTGGCTTCCTTACATTGATTTTTTTTCTAACGTTAGAGATTTTGTTACCAATTCTTGCCACGAGATGTCACTATTTTACCAGACTAATCTCTAAATGCTTTTCTGCAAATGTTTAAAACTACCTCCTATGCTGATGTTTCAATAACTTACTGAAATGCATCCATTAAAATTGTCAAAATCTTTCTGGTAGAAGAAGTTATAAGATTTCATTTGAATAAAGATCAAATCACAAAATATCTAGTAATCTCCCACAGAATCCAGGATCTTCCAGGGGCTTTGAAGGGAACCCATACACATTGGATAAATGTATCATAATTAAATAAAACATTTGACTTTTTCACTATTTGCTTCATTCTATGCTTCTAAGATTTATTAATACATCTTTTAATTCAGCACTTCTCAAACATTACAAAATGCAACCGCAAGTAATATATTTCTGGAAAATTCTTTTTGAATTTTAATTTAGCTGGCAAGGGAGAGACTCCTGTGAAACCTAGATGAGGAGCGTATCACGCGTCCACTATAAAGCACCTTCATAGAAATATTAAACCTTCAGGCAGAGGCCAAGCTCCTTACCAATTCTGCAATGCTTTCATTAGGAGTAGCTACTCTTTGGTTTATAATTCCTCTCCATGGAGTTTTCATGCAGAATCCTTTTTTTTTTTTTTTTTTTTTTCTTGAGACGGAGTCTCACTCAGTTGCCCAGGCTGGAGTACAGTGGTGCAATCTCGGCTCACTGCAACCTCAGCCTCCTGGGCTGAAGTGATTCTCCCGCCTCAGCCTCCCGAGTAGCTGGGACCACAGGCGTGCACCACCACGCCCAGCTAATTTTTGTGTTTTTAGTAGAGATGGGGTTTCACCATGTTGGCCAACTGGTCTTGAACTCCTCACCTCAAGTGATCTGCCCACCTCAACCTCCCAAAATGCTGGGATTACAGACGTGAGCCACTGTGCCCAGCCCAGAATCCATTCTTGCTAGCTGCATTATATTTCCCATATCTATAGGGATAGAAGAGTTTCATTTGGAATATAAAAGCCTCCTTATGGAAACACACTAGAACCCTGCAAGTATATGGTTCAATCAGCCCATTGTTTTGAACAAATACTTTCCCTTTAAAATAAATACATGTAAATAGGACACTTTGATATGCTTCTTTTTATTTATTAACAGGAGAAGAAATTTTTAGGACAATACACAGTGAAATATGCCTTGACAGTTCATATTAGCCAGTATGATAGAGGAGAATGGTCTGTGGACTTCAAGTCATACCTAGCTGCCAAGCTTGTCTCTATCATTCTGTAGCTGTGTACATTGCCTAGTTATTTATTGTTTTAATCTCTCTTCCTGTCTCATTTTCTTCATCTGATAAACGTGTGTGTAGTTGTATAGCAATAATACCATCCTTCCAGAGTAGTTCTGAAATTAGAAATTGTGTTGGTGTCCTATTGCTTTTGTAACAAATTCCCACAAATTTAGTTGCTTGAAACAACACAGATACATTCTCTTACAGTCATGGAGGCCAGAAGTCCAAAATCAGTTTCACCGGGCTAAAGTCAAGATGCTGGCAGGGCTGGTTCCTTCTGGAGGCTTATCTAAGGGACAACCCATTCTTTGCCTCTTTCAGCTTCTAAAAGCTACGAGAATTCATTGCCTTCTGCGGCTCATGGCCTCTTCTTCCTCCATCTTCAAAGCCAACAGCATGGCATCTTCAACTTTCTCCAGTTCCATTTTTGCATCACCTTTTCTCTTATAAAGACACTTTTGATGGCATTGGATCTGCCCAGATAATCCAGGATAATCTCCCCACCTCAAGAACCCTTATTTAATCAAATCTGCCATAGAGTAACATTCACAAGTTCAGGACATGGGAAAACCATTATTCAGTCTACCACAGCAATGTTATATGTAAAGGCCTCATCACTGAGTAAATGATCAATAAATAGTACTGCTTATTATGATACTATATGAAACATTAATTTAGCAGTGTGATGCTGTGTCAGTGAATGAACCAATAGTAAGATGGCATTCTTCACATTTTGAGTTTAGTGAAAGGATACTGGTATTTAATTTTCAATATCTACTCAGGTAAGAGATCAAATTATAAGAAAAAAAGTCAAGTTAGTATTCAAATACAGTATGTAGAATAAGTTATGCATTTCCTTTGTTCAACCAAATAACTTTCATCTTCTCTTTGCTTTAACAATTAAAGAAAGTCAGTGTTTTTTTTACAGATCTACATCTAGCTTACTGATCAGCAAAAATACCGTGTCTTTATGGGGCTTTTCTTAAGATACTTTCCTTTGTTCTTCAAATCAGCCTGAAAAAACTGTATAGGACATTGGGAATTTGTAACCTGACTTCATAAGAAAAACTAGCTGTGAATCTATGGAGAAAAATTAAACACGTAAAGTTTTAATCTCATCATTTTCATTTTATATTTGTCATATCTTGTTGACATTTTTTATGTTATGTAATCTTGGATATACTTGAAGCTATTATTTTAAAAAAATAAAGGACAACATTTTGTCAGCACTCCAACTTACGTGGAATAATTATACTGAAGAGACTGTCATTTGAATACTTCAGTTCTGTACTGAGTTTAAATGATGCATTTCACCAATATGCAATTAATTGAAGTAGAGACACCTGCAAAATAATGTGATCAAATCAAGTGTGTAAGTAGAATGTACACTTCAGCAAAGTGGCCTATCTTCTTCCATTCACATACTGCAAATTTAAGATGGCAGCAGAATTAAATGCTCTTCAATTAAGAACAGTCTACTTAATGAATTGCAGCCTTTGGAAGACCTACCAGGTGGATGAATATGGTATATTCTACCCAGTGGATGAGTAGAATACAATTCTACTTAATAAATTGAAGCCTTTGGAAGACCTGCCAGGTGGATGAGTATGGCATATTTTACCCGGTCTTATAGATTGCTCTAGTGCCTATTGCCATGTGAGTTTCTCATTCACACACTTTTCATTAACCATGTTTAGGAATAATCAGTTGCTTAATCTTATTAGACCAGTGGTTTTAAATATATAATTCAGCTAAAATGGGATCTAGTGAGGGTACATGAATCTCCTCAAATTGTGTAAGAAATTGTGTGCATGCCCACTTTTTTACGGTGTGATTTAACCTACCAATGGATAGCCAATATTCATTCTTCTTGTTACTACTTACAAGAATTTTATTCTACCTGGAAGCGTGCTTGACCAAATAGTGCATGTGTCTATTTTCCCACTTATTTTTTTATCTGGGCTTGTCCAATAAAACCTAAGTGTCCATTGTTGGTGGGACTTTGGATCTCCATAAGAAGGATCAGACAGCAGGCATATGTGTCTTTGTCTTTTCATCTTTCCATTAGTTCTTCTGTCTATTGCTTGGAATGCAGATGTGATGGCTGGAGCTTTGGCAGTCATTTTGGGTCTTTTAAAATGTTAAGTAAATACACTATTACAAAAATTTTGTATTGAGGTAAAATTTACATACAGTGACATATTGAGATCCTAAATATACTGGTCAATCAGTTGTGACAAGTATGTATTAAGACTCACAATATTTCCATCATCTCAGAAAGATCTCTCATTACTGGAATGATGGAAATATTGTGTGATTGACCCTTGGTCAGTCTCTGTATCCTGACTAAGAAGCAGCCATTACTCTGATTTGTATCACCATAGGTTAATTTCGTCCATATAGAATTTCACATAAATGGATTATATTGTGTGTACTCATTTTTGCATCTGGATCCTTACACTTAGGATACTATTTCTGACAACCACCTATGTTGTTGCATGTTAATTCCTTTTTTATTGCTGAGTACTATCCCATGATATGAATATACCACAGTTTGTTCATATATCTTCCTGTTGATAAACATCTGGGATGTTTCCAGTGTTGGGCTATTATAAATAAAGCTGCTGTGACATGCATGTACAAGTCTTTATTTACGGTTCTCATTTATTTGGGGATGTAATTGCTGAGTATATATAGATAACTATTTCAAAAACTGCCAAACATTTTTCCAAAGTGTCTGTAGAATTTTACATTCCCACCAGCAATGTCCTTGCTAACATTTGGTGTTGCCATTATTCTTTATTTTAGTCATTCTAGTGGGTATGTAGCAATATCTGATTGAATTTTTAATTTGCGATTCCTGATGATTATTGGATGTTGATTTCCATATGATTATTGGGCATTGCATTTTTTGTTTTTTGAGATGGGGTTTTGCTCTTGTTGCCCAGGCTGGAGTGGAATGGCATGATCTCGGCTCACCGCAACGTCTGCTTCCCGGGTGCAAGCGATTCTCCTGTCTCAGCCTCCTGAGTAGCTAGGATTACAGGCATGCACCACCACGCCCGGTTAATTTTTGTGTTTTTAGTAGAGATGGGTTTCTCCATGTTGGTCAGGCTGGTCTCGAACTCCCAACCTCAGGTGATCCACCTGCCTCGGCCTCCCAAAATGCTCGGATTATAGGCGTGAGCCACCACGCCCAGCCCATGGACATTGTATTTTTAATGTAATTTCCGAGTAGAGGGCAAGGCCTTCAAGGGACACATGATGGTTAATTTTATATGTCAAGTTAACTGGGCTAAGGCACAGCCAGGGAGCTGGTAAAACATTACTTCTGAGTGTCTCTGTGAAGGGTATTCTGGAAGAAATTAGCATTTGAATCTGTACACTGAGTAAAGAAGACCTACCATGACTAATGTGGGCAGGCATCTTCCGATCCTTTGAGTGCCCCAATAGAACAAAAAGGTGGAGGAAAGGTGAATGCAGCCTCTCTGAGCTGGGACACACATCGTCTCCTGGCCTCAGATATTGGAGCTCCTGGTTCTGAAGCCTTCAGATTTGAACTGATTGTTACATCATCACTGGCTTCTGTTAGTTTGAGACTCAAACTGAACTACACCACCAGCTTTCCAGGTTCTCCAGGTTACACAGCGTAGATCATGGAACTTCTCAGCTTCCATAACTGTGTGAACCCATTCCTATAATCTCTCTCTCTGTGTGTGTGTGTGTGTGTGTGTGTGTGTGTGTGTGTGTGTGTGTGTGTGTTATCTTTTAGGTTCTATTTCTCAAGAGGGAGAATGCTGACAAATATAGACACATTCCAAGAACCATAATGCTCCTTGAAACCACTTTTAAAGGACAATGGGTATTGTTAACTATTTAATGGGGCTTGAATACTTTGAGCAAGAATTGAATACTCTGGAGAATATTGGGCTCTTTGAAAGATTTGTAGTACAAAGGGAAAAAGAAAAGAGACCTGGGGCTACTGGAGTAAAGAAATGAGAATTTCAATGGGGGCTTTAATTGAGTTTTTCTGTGAACTGTGTGATGCAAACCCTCTTTGCCATTTATCATAAAAATGTCAAAAAAAAAGCTACATTATTTATTTGTGCAGGAGTGGGCAAACTACAGCTTTCGGGCCAAATCTGTGCCAACATCTTTTTTGTGAATAAAATTTTATTGAAACACTGCCACACTCATTCGTTTACATGTTGTCTGTGGCTGCTTTCATGTTACAACTGCAAGTTGAGTAGCTGCAGCAGAGACCATATTGCCTGCAAAGCTGAAAGTGTTTACTATCTGGACCTTTAGAGAAAAAAATTCTCAACCTTTGAACTACTAAACTGGGGCTGTTTGGGGAAAGAGAAGCTGCAATGAAGTGCTGAATACTAGGTCAAAGTGGGAGGAGTAATCATCTGGGAGGTTTGATCCCCTGTGTTTTAACCCTAGGAAGGACACTGGTAGATTCTCTTGTCTCAGCAGCAAAGTATTTGAAGATATATCAAGTGATGTTGCCAGGTAACGATTGAGCAGTTATTGAGCTGCCTCTTTCCTCCTCCTCCTCCTCCTCTTCTTCTTCTTCTTCTTCTTCTGATTGAGCAGGTATTGAGCTGCCTCTTTCTTCTTCTTTCTTCCTTCTCCTTCTCCTTCTTCCTCTTCTCATCCTTCTTCCTTTTCCTCTTCTCCTCCTCCTCCTTCTCCTCTTTCTCTTTCTCCTCCTCCTTCTTCTTCTCTTCCTCCTCCTTTTTTTTTCCTCTTCTTCTTTGCTACTGCGCTTGGCTATACAAAATAATTTAGATTCACATAGTCCTTACCTCCTAAGCTAGATGACATTGATTTTAGGGACATGAAAAATCACATGACCAACAAAAAAAGGATGCTAAACCATAGCTGGTATTGAAATATTTTCATAGACTATTTAATTCCCCTTTCTCTGACTTCATGTTAACAAAGCAATTTTTTAAACAAATCCAATTCCTAGAATCCAATCATGGATTAAAGAGCAAACACAAATATATGCTCTTTGATCAACTATAGCTCCCTCTATGAAACAAAAACATTGACTTCTTGATTCAAATTGGTTTCATGTGACTTTGGTGTGCACTATTTTCTTTGGGTTTTATAACTCTTAAGTAACCTAACCAGTAAATACTGAAATTTAAGAAAGGTCCCATGGACTCTCAGAAAGACTATAGCGCTGAGGTCAAATGGGACAGGGTTTGAATCTTTGCAAAGTTTACTAGTTTTGTGACTGGGAGTGACTTATTTCATCTCTCTGAGCCTCACCACTATGGTTTGCTCTGTTAATGGAAGTAATATATTGAAACCCTGAGCCCAGTGCCAGAATAGAATAAGTGCTTTATAAATAAAGTGCCCTTCACCATCTTCTGCATGTAGGGCTGAGAGCTCAGACTTTCAACAACGGTGCTATGGGCTGAATTATGTCCCTTCAAAATTTGTGTGTTGAAGCTCTGACCTCCAATATGATGGTATTTGGAGATGGGGCCTTTGAAAGGTAATTGGCTTAGATGAGATCAAGAGTGAGGGCCCTCCTGATAGCATTAGTGTTCTTTTAAGGAGAAACACCAGAGAGCTCACTTTCTCTCTATCTGCATGCCCAAAGAAGAGACCACGTGAGTGCACTGCAAGATGGCAGCCACCTGTAAGTCAAGAGAAGAGGACTCAGAATAAAAATAATCTTGTCAGCATCCTGGTTTAATCTTGGACTTTTCAGCCTCCAGAATTATGAGAAATAAATGTCTGTTGTTCATAAGCTACCCAGTCTATGGCATTTTGTTATGGCAGCCCAAACTAAGATGAACAGTAACCCAATTAAGCCTGGTTTTGAAATGCTTTCCCAATCCCCATTTATCTCCATTCCAAAGGATTTTATGGAGGATGTGGCCATTTAAGGAGCTATCCTAATAATCTGTACTTTTGCATTTCTGAAAGACAGAACACTCACCAGCCATTCACTTGCTTGTCATTCTCTACTGACTTATTATTTTCTTTATCTTTTGAGCCATTTCAAGCCATTAGATGCTTTAAGTTTCAAGGAGTTAAGCTGAGTCTGTGGTGTGTGGGTAGAAACTTCCAAACCGTATTTTACTGAGAGCCCAACTAAAGATGAAAGCAGGGTTTGGGCTAAGGATATAATGGGTTGAGAGGGTTATGTGGGCCCTATTTTTGTGGGAAAAGTTTAGGAATTCTAATTAAGAATCAGAATGACAGACTCTCTGATTCCAAAGCTCATAGTCCCTAATAACTATGTGCTGCTATTTTGTCAATAAATACCATCCTGTTCAATGGCCAGGCCAGGAAATTTCTGGTATGATTGATTGAATATAGGCTTTCAAAATCTCAGAGTGCCAGCTGTGACTATATTTAATGTTTACGTTCAATGAAAAAGCTTTGTTTAGGTATGTTTTGCTTTCTTTTTTCTTTTTCATTTAATCAGGGACTAGATATAACATGTCTGCCTGGCCAATATGATAGAGGTTAACTGAGATAACTCTAAAATTTGCCACAAAACTCTGATTATCTATCAGTCAACAAGTTACATGGAAACATATTTTTTGTTTATATCTAAATGATTCTTTTCAATTATGCAGAAATTTGCTCCTGCTCTTGCATTAGAAAAATCATATGAAGCACAGGAGGGTTGGATGTTAGAATGTGGCTTCCCCATTTTGGTCCTACTATGCATTGAAATAAGATTTGAAATATTTATTTGCTGCTTTTAAAAAATTTTTCTTCTTTACTATAGTGTGCTAAGCGTGCTAACATCTGGTGGAGGAGAAGCCTATAAACATTAAACATTGTCAGTCTTCTGGAGAGCAGCAAGTTTCCCTAGAAGGACTAGGAAATTGATCGTAATTCCACCCATTGGTTGTAAACTCCACTAAGACAGGGACTTTGCCCTGTTTACCTGCTTACTGATTGATCCCAATATCTAGAGCAATGCTTGCAGACCGTGGTTACTCAGTAAGCATTTATAAATAAAGAATAAATAGTGGGCTAGGTGCGGTGGCTCATGCCTGTAATCCCAGTACTTTGGGAGGCCGAGGTGGGTGGATCACTTGAGGTCAGGAGTTTGAGACCAGCCTGGACAACATGGTGAAACCCCGTCTCTACTAAAAATACAAAAATAAGCCAGGTGTGGTGGTGAGTGCCTGTAATCCCAGCTACTTGGGAGGCCAAGTCAGGAGAATCATTTGAACCTGGGAGGCAGAGTTTGCAGTGAGCTGACATTGTGCCATTGTGCTACTGCACTCCAGCCTGGGCGACAGAGTAAGACTCCATCTAAAAAAAAAAAAAAAGAATGAATAGTGAAAGAAAGCACATGAATTTGTTTGGGGAAAAATATTTTTTCTAACATTAAATTCTAGAAAAACATTTTAAGGATATTTTTCTATTTTTTTAAATAAAAGGAATTGAGCATACAAATTACTGCTTTTTACATGGCCAGAAGAAAGCTGGATACAACATTAAAGAAAGAAGATACAACATTAAAATCCTTTAATGCACTGAAAATATATCTAGGAAACTGAACAGGGTTGGCTTCAAGGGCACGAGACCCATGTGACTGCACAAGGCCCTGTTTTCAGAAGGGCTTTGTTTAATGCTCTGCTGTTGCTATTTTGAAACTGTTAATCATTTTTGAACATGGGGCCTCACTGTTTCATTTTACATTGGGCCCTGCAAATTATGTAGCTAGTCCTAGAACTGAGCTACTACATTCCAAGGCCATTCCATACTAACTTGATATTAAGAGCAGAGTTTAGAGGAGCTAAAAAATATAGCACATCACTAACAAGTTCCTTCGTCCCAGTTTTTCAATTATCTGTTGTCTAAACTGTACCTTGGGCAAGAACAGGTGGTTATCAATTTAAAATTGAACTTTGTAAAGAGTGTGTAAAAACTGCTGATCGAAGATACCAGCTGTGTTAGCAAAATTAATATTTTGTCATGAAAATGAAGGAGCCTAACTTGATTTCTGCCTTAGACAGAAGGGCCACTTCAGAGTAACTGATGTCCTAGCCAGATCTTACAAAACAAGTGGATACATGGCAAAAGGTGGCTGATTTTTGTCATTGTCATCTTTGTCATCTATCAGGATTTCATTTTGTGTAATATGGGGCGATATTTTATGATGGATTGAGAATTCCAGGGCTTCATACAGATCTTGTGCTGTATCCCTACTTAATTTCTAGGTTGTCCTGTATAGGGGGTAAGGCTGCCAACCACTGAGACTGAGGTGGGTAGCACATTTGAACCATGGGGAGGTCAGTGACCTGTGGTGATGTGACTTCACTCTGAGCCTCAGTTTCCTCATCTACAAAATAAGAATAGGAGCAGCTACTACACAAGTTTGTTAAGAGGATTATGTAAATAAGATATGTAAGTATGTATGTAAAGTTTTGGATAGGAAAGTAGGTGCTCAATAAACACGAATCTTCTTCCCCATCTATCTTTTCTGATGTATCATTTCTCATAGTGCTTTTTCTTGCATAACATTATGTTTTCTAATTTTTTTCCTGCTGAAATTAAAGCCAATATGTTTCATTTTAATATTTAGCAACTTTATATGTTCTGGAAATTTTGATCAATGTAATTTTCATTTGAATCACATAAATTTCCTCATGAATTACTCTTTTAGCATTCTTGTATAGAGAATAGAGTCAGACTTATTTGGTTTACAGCCTATTCGTGCTACTTACTAGTTGTGTGATTTTGAGCAAGTCACTTAACTTTTCTGTTCCCATATGGATAATAACTGTCTCATCTTCATACAGTTAATTGTGAGGTTATATGAGTTAACACTAAAGAATATAACACATGTATATAATACATATATATTTTTTAGAACAGTGTCTGGCATAGAGTAAGCTCTCAGTAAATATCAGCTATTATTTTTATAGTAGTTAATAAGAAAATCTAAGTCTAAAATTTTCACCCTCATATGGATGGTGTTATGAATTGATTGTTTATGTCTCCTCCAAATTCCTATGTTGAAATCTTAATTCCCAATTTAATTGTATTAGGTCATGGGGCCTTCGAAAGAGGATTAGGTCATGAGGGCAGAACCCTTATAAATGGGATCACTGCCCTTATAAAAAGATATGAGAAAGCTTCCTTCCTCTGTTACTACTCTCGCCATATGAGAATACAATGAAAACATGGTTATCCGCAAACCTGGAAGTGGGCCCTTACCAGACACCAGATCTGCTAGTACCTTGATCTTGGACTATCCAGCTCCAGAACTGTGAGAAATAAATGTTTGTTGTTCAAATCATCCCGTCTATTGTAATTTGTTATGACAACTTCAACTAAAGCAGATGCTTTTGTTTCTCATGTATTAGTAAATTTTCCAGGTATTTAAATAATTTAGTGTCAAGAAGGCATCATCAAACTGGGTTATTTGAGGATAGTTTAATAAATAAATATATAAACGAATGGTCAAAGTGTAAAATCACAGAGGATTGGCATACTCCAGGGTGGTAGGTACTGAATGTTGTTATCACCTCAGGGCTTAAGGTAATAAGGAGGAGGGAAATGTTATTGGGAGGTGGAGTCCGAGAAGGCAGTGTGGAGGGGGTGGAAGGGTAGTAGAAGCTGTAGCTTTTGATGGAGGAAAGCAGCCAACATTAGGTGACTGTGCAGAGAGGGAGCTGGAGGATTCAATACTCTAGCCTCAACTCCCTCCCACCTAACCTGCCAGTGCTCCTAGTGGCCAAATGGAGCCTATAACTAGCAAAGCCCACTGGTGCAGTCCAACTAGGGTAGCCTTCTGGCACACAGCAAGGGTGGGTGAGAGGGACAAATGTACAGTTATCATGCTAATTCTTAAACTTAAAAATCTGACAGTTTCATAAAGTTATATCTAATTCTTCAGCAATAAGTACTTTTTTTTAGAAAGAAAAATCTTTCATATAAGGCCAATATCTATTAAAATGGGTGAATATGTTTATGAGCTCTATATGTGTAGGACTTGTGTTAACTTTATGATTTATACTGGGGCCCATATGTCTCTGAAATGAAGAAATCAGGTTTGTTGGGGAAAAAATGCTATTTTAAACCATGGTCAATAATCTTCTAAGTAGTTGTGCTTGGCTGTAACAGAGATAAGGTTTCGAGAGTCTGGATGGGCTCAGCCCATTACGTCTCCAAAAACGTAAAGACTCCATATTTATGTCCTATCATCAGGTGGATCAGTTGCATCATCTATATAGATGAAGATGTATGAAATAGGCAAAAAGATAAATGTAAAATTTGATCTTTGAAAACTCGGATATGCTACTAACATCATATACAGCAAAGAAGTCCTATTTTTTTATTCTGTTGCTTCCTGCTCACAAAAGCATCCTACTTTGCTTCCCGTATACATGCTTTTGAACTGAAAAGCCTTGATCATCATTTCAAAATTCAGCATTTCTTTTTCCATTAGCAGGCTTTAGCACAAACTCAGTTCCCATTAGGGACAGCCTTGACAGGTCCTTCCCTCTCTTCTGCTAACACAGATTATCCAGTGGGTTCCTAAATTTGAGTTCACTGACAACTCTCTTTCCCAGCATGGCCCCTTTACTTCCTGCAATTGTACCAAGAGGGAGCAAGATGGTGTCCCTGTTTTTATTGCTGTATTTCCTTTGGATCTCAAGATCAGCTTGTACATTTAATAAGAAAATTTTCTCTCACCCACTCTAACTCTTAGTCATCCCCAGATCTACACTATTATTTTCTAAACTCTATGGAATCAATTAAAAATATTACTCAACTTTCCTTTCTTCATATCTCTGACACAATAATGGAACCCAGAACCTATAAAGTTCCATTAAAAGTGCATAAATTCCTCCCTAGCTCCCACGAAAATACATTTCCCATGTTTCTCTTTATCTAGCAGATTATTGTTGTCGTTTTTATACCAGACTGTTGGAAGTTTAATGTTAAGTGCTTCATTAATAATGTTTATACTTTAGAAAAATTTGAAACAGATAAATCTTGACAGTGAACAGAACTTATTTATTTTATTCTTTGTGTTTAACATCACAAGGAAGAGTCTAAAAACAGTTTTATTTGTACTTCAAGATATAAAAAGCAGTATTGTACAAACCACAGCCACAGAAATAGAACTAATTACTGGAAAGATAATAATGGTTTTACAATTTGAAACTAAATGTTTGCTTCTATCAGTAATAAAAGGATAACAATTGCTACATTAAAAGAAGAGAAAAAAGAAAAAAACTTATATATTTTCCTGGAATGATAGGGCAAGCACATGAGTTGCTAACAAAAGAGTTTGTACTGAAAAATAATTAAAATAGAAAATTTCTAGCTTTACTTTCTTTGAAATGAATTTGTGACTCTCATTTTGGCAATATTTGCCAGTAATTCAGTTTCCACTGGAAAATAACCTTGACTTTGTTTTCTATTCAGTTTGGTACTCTGCACATTATTTTTCTAACTAACTCATATAAAAGTTTAAAATAGAGTTTCTTTTGACATTCCCAACAGCTCTCTTTCTCCAATCCCTACTGCTCACTAGTTACATAACCTCCAGCAAGTTTCTTAACCTCTCTGTGCCCCAGTTTCTTCATCCATAAAATGGGGATAATAATAGCACACACCTTGTAGGATTTGTGGCCAGGACTAAACGCATCATTACACACTCACAGTCTCTGACAAACAGAAAGCTCTCTAGGTTGTTATTATTTTATGTTTATATTCCACCAAGTACATATTCATGCTACTCTGCATTTCCTTTTTCATGCAATGCTTCCATTATTTTTCCTAAAGAGCCAATTTATGACAATGATTCAGCAAACATTTTTGATTGTCCACTACGTACCTGATAATGGGTACTTTGATCCCTTGAATCAAAGCACCAGATGTAACCTTGAATCTGGTAGAGAGGTTAAATGACACCAGATCAGCCTTATTTCAAATTAAAAGAAAAATTTCTGCAACATCTCTGAGAGATGGCCACACTGTCTCCTTAAACACTTTTAGTGAGGGCAGCTCACCCTTTACACTTGGAGGGCCATTTTCTATGTGTCTAATTGTCAGGCCTTCTGCTGAGCAAATATCTGCCTCCCTATAACTTTGTAGCTGCTGGTTCTAGGAAGCTGCTGGAACATCACAGGCTGCTTGTTCTTTCTCCCACCTGACATACCTCTTCAGATTTTAAAGACCAGTGTCATGTTTCTCCATGCTTCTTTGCTTCGGGATAAATATTTGTAGTTTTCTCAAGTAACTTTTTTTTTTTTTTTTTTTTTGAGATGGAGTTTCACTCTTGTTGCCCAGGCTGGAGTGCAATGGCGTGATCTCAGCTCATTGCAACCTCTGCCTCCCGGGTTCAAGCGATTCTGCTGCCTCAGACTCCCGAGTAGCAGGGATTACAGGCATGCACCACTACACCTGGCTAATTTTGTATTTTTAGTAGAGACAGGGTTTCACCATGTTGGTCAGGCTGGTCTCGAACTCCCGACCTCAGGTGATCTGCCCGCCTCGGCCTCCCAGAGTACTGGGATTACAGACGTGAGCCACTGCACCCAGCCGAGACACTTTTTAATTTGTCACAGTTCTTTACATAGAGGATCTAGAAGTGCAAAAAATAGTTGAGATATGTTCTTACCAGTGCTATTAGACTGCATGATTTGATGATACTATACACCTGTGCATGTAGGATAAACATTGCATTTTTATGTTTTTATTGGACATATTATATTGTGGGCTCCAATTAATCTCGTGATTATCTAAAACTTCACATCTTTTTCCAGTGATCTGAGGTCAAGTGTGGCCCTTCATTCTAAACTTTTTATTATTTGCTTATTTATTTTTTGAGACAGGGTCTCATTCCGTCACCCAGGCAGGAGTGCAGTGTTGTGATCACGGCTCACTGCAGCCTTGACCTCCTGAACTCAAGCGATCCTCCTTCCTCAGTCTCCCGAGTAGCTGGGACTACAGGTGAGCGCCACTGCATCCAGCTACTTTTGGTATTTTTCGTAGCAACAGGGTTTTGCCATGTTGCCCAAGCTGGTTTCGAACTCCTGGGCTCAAGCAACTCGCCTGGCTTGGCCTTCCAAAGTGCTGGGATTACAGGCATGAGCCACCATGCCTGGCCTAAACTTTTTAAAATGAAATTTTAGTGCCTAAATGTAGGATTTGCTACTTATCCTCTTAAAATGTTACGTTTTTATTCCAACTCAATATTTTGGATTTTAATGATATCATCCAATGCATTACTTTCAAACATTATGGCATCTGAAAATTTGAATAGTATGCCCTTGATATGTACTTGATGTGGATAGCACATCGCTAGAGTCCCCACTGTGCTAGAAGTCAGTATACTAATCATGCATCAATAGTAGTTTGGAAGACTTTAAGTGTCCGTAATTGATTAAAAAATATGATAAACAAACCATCACTATTTAATTTTTAAACTGATATTACTGAGTGCCTGGTTGTGTCAAGAACTGTGCCAGGTAGAGTAGATTATTGCTGTAACACACCGCATTTTGTTCACACTTTCTATATCCATGCTCTTGTGTATTCTAAATCTGGGCACAGAGACACAACTTGCTTCGGCCAACAGGATAATAGCAAATGTCCTACAAGCAGAAGCTTGAAACACATTTGTGCATTAAGGCTTACTCTCTCTTGCCAGTCTTAGAAGACTGACACCTCCATTATGTGAATAAGTCAATAGTAGGCTGCTGGAGATAGGTGGCACTGTCACCCTTTCCACTCCAGCGAGTAGTCCAGCACCAACTGACAGCTAGCACCCACCACCAGGCATGGGAGTGAGGTCATCTTAGGTCAATTTGTCCCTAGCAAACTCACCAGATGACTACAACTATATGAGTGAGTCCAGATGAGACCAGCAGAAAAGCCACTTAACTGAGTGTAGCTCAAATTTTCAAACCATATAATCATAAACCTAATAAATGTTTGTTGCTTTAACCCACTAGGTTTTGGGGAGGCTTTAACGGATGTGGTAAATTTTTCAATTTTCCATCCCTGCTCATATCCATTCTCTCTTCCCTGATACTTTTTAGTCATTCTCACAAGATACAGGGAGCATTCTGTTTTTTTTTTTTTTTTTTTTTTTGAGACAGAGTCTCACTCTTGTCACCCAGGCTGGAGTGCAGTGGAGTGATCTCGGCTCACTGCAACCTCCGCCTCCGGGGTTCAAGCGATTCTCCTGCCTCAGCCTCCCCAGTAGCTTGGATTATAGGCGCCCGCCTGGCTAATTTTTGTACTTTTAGTAGAGACGGGGTTTTGTTATGTTGGCCAGGCTGGTCTCGAACTCCTGACCTCAGGTGATCTGCCCGCCTCGGCCTCCCAAAGTGCTGGGATTACAGGCGTGAGCCACTGCGAGCATTCTTTCTGGGCTTGGCCATTTCACTTGCCTTGGCCCGTGAAATGTGGGGAGAAGTGATAGTATGCCAGTTTTGAGTTGAATTCTTAAGAGTCACCATGTGTACCTGCTCACCCTCTTGTGCTTCTGCACCATAAGAAAAAGATGAAAGAGATATAGTGCTCACTTGGATGCAATCTGAGTCGTGGCACCAAGCCCATCTGAGGTCGTCCCAGATCGGCCAGCCCTCAGCCAAACTGCAGATGTGAGAACAAGGAGAAATCATTGCTGTTTTTTGCACCCGCTGTCAGGGTGGTTTGCTTTGCTGCATTTTTTTATGTTGATATCTAACTGACAAAGTGGAGATGGTTAAAGATATTGCTATGTCAACAGGATCTTTTAAAGTAACAAAGTCACGGATCATAGTAAACTGCTGGTTGAATTTGATGTACTAATAAATTTTTACATTGGGATAAACTAAAATAATAGGTATCCAAATACTACTCAGATGGTTAGAAATCATGGGTCACCGCAACATCTGGGAAATGAGCAGTAGCAGTGGCTTTTAAATTTTGCAGTTTTGTCCTATTTCTAGGTCCTACCACTGGGAGCCACTGTTGCTACTATTACTATGATTCAAGGTTCTTAGACACTTTCAGTACCAATCGTCTTGTCACATTTCCCCTTTATTATATTTCAGTAGCAGTCGTCTTGTCACCTTTCCTCTTTATTAAGCAAGTTACTTAACTGCTCTGTGTTTAAGTTTTCTCATCTGCAGAATGGTAGTAAAATAGTACCTACCATGTAGGGTTGCTGTAAGGATTAATATCATGGGAGGTGATGATTAAGGTGTTAAGAGTTAGTGGATATAAACAAGATTTCCATTAGAGGTATTTGTGCTTAGTAGGGGGTTTCTTAAACATCACAAGCCTTCAGTACTCAAAGGAGTTAGGTTACAAGAATGGTCTGACATGAGGTGTGGTTTATATTTTGGGATGGACAGCCTTCTTTCTATGCAAATCACAGAAACGTAGATTGCTCCAAGCAGCTCCAGCTGATTTATAATGTTAGTCCTGCTGGTCCCCAAGAGCCAATAAAAGAAGGTTTTTGTTTTAAATTTCTAATGTACCAAAGTCTGGTAATTTTGAAAAATCACAATAAACATGGATTCCTAGATGTTGCTGCAATATAAAATTGCTATATAAGTTTCTGTTTACTCCTCAGTTTCTGTAGCTAATTCTTTGTTGGACTGGCAACATGGAATTCATAGCCCAGGACCAGCCTGCTGACCACACTGTGAATAGTGCTGCAGTGAGGTATTTTGGAAGGGAGGGGTTGTCAGAGAAATGCTCTGTTTTATTTCCTCCCCTGTCAATACCATAACCACCTTATTGTCCCAGACAAGCAGAAAATTATAAGCGTGAAGGTATCATTGATTAGAGGAGATCACTGTTACATATAATACTATTCAATAATGAGTAACAATGAAATGATGCAATCAACACCATCTTCTGCCAACCAATATGTTTATCATGTTTTAGTATGGTAATACATGATGCGAATTAACGAAATCATCAAATATATACTGAACATCTGCCATATGCCAGACACTATCCTAAACGCTAGAGATACGTCACTGTATAAAACAGACAAGCCTTACAGTAACCAAAATGGCAGGATACTGGTACCAAAACAGATATATAGACCAATGGAACAGAACAGAGGCCTCAGAAATAATGCCACACATCTACAACCATCTGATCTTTGACAAACCTAACACAAACAAGCAATGGGGAAAAGATTCCCTATTTAATAAATGCTGTTGGGAAAACTGGCTAGCCATATGCAGAAAACTGAAACTAGATCCCTTCCTTATACCTTATACAAAAATCAACTCAAGGTGGATTAAAGACTTAAACGTAAGACCTAAAACCACAAAAATCCTAGAAGAAAAACTGGGCAATATCATTCAGGACATAGGCATGGGCAAAGACTTCATGTCTAAATCAGCAAAAGCAATGGCAACAAAAGCCAAAATTGACAAATGGGACCTAATTAAACTAACGAGCTTCTGCACAGCGAAAGAAACTATCATCAGAGGCCGGGCACGGTGGCTCACGCCTGTAATCCCAGCACTTTGGGAAGCCAAGACGGGTGGATCACGAGGTCAGGAGATCAAGACCAACATGGGTAACACGGTGAAACCCTGTCTCTACTAAAAATACAAAAAATTAGCCGGGCGTGGTGGCGGGCGCCTGTAGTCCCAGCTACTCAGGAGGCTGAGCCAGGAGAATGGCGTGAACCCGGGAGGCGGAGGTTGCAGTGAGCTGAGATCACGTCATTGCACTCCAGACTGGGTGACAGAGCGAGACTCCATCTCAAAAAAAAAAAAAAAAAGAAACTATCATCAGAATGAACAGGCAACCTACAGGATGGGAGAAGATTTTTGCAATCTATCCATTTGACAAAGGTCTAATATCCAGAATCTACAAAGAACTTAAAATTTATGAGAAACAACCCCATCAAAAATTGGGCAAAGGATATGAACAGACACTTCTTAAAAGAAGACATTTATGCAGCCAACAGACGTATGAAAAAATACTCATCATCACTGGTCATTAGAGAAATGCAAACCAAAACCACAATGAGATACGATCTCGTGCGAGATAGAATGGAGATCATTGAAAAGTCAGGAAACAATAGATGCTGGAGAGGATGTGGAGAAATAGGAACACTTTTACACTGTTGGTGGGAGTGTAAATTAGTTCAACCATTGTGGAAGACAGTGTGGCAATTCCTCGAGGATCTAGAACTAGAAATACCATTTGACCCAGCAATCTGATTACTGGGTATATACCCAAAGGATTATAAATCATTCTATAAAGACACATGCACACGCGTGTTTATTGCAGCACTATTCACAATAGCAAAGACTTGGAACCGACCCAGATGTCCATCAATGATAGACTGGATAAAGAAAATGTGGCACATATACGCCATGGAATACTATGCAGCCATAAAAAAGGATGAGTTCATGTCCTTTGCAGGGACATGGATGAAGCTGGAAACCATCATTCTCAGCAAACTATCACAAGAACAGAAAACCAAACACCGCATGTTCTCACTTATAAGTGGGAGTTGAACAATGAGAACACATGGACTGGGAGGGAAACATCACACACCGGGGCCTGTCAGGGGGTGGGGGACTAGGGGAGGGATAGCATTAGGAGAAATACCTAATGCAGGTGACAGGTTGATGGGTGCAGCAAACCACCATGGCATGTGTATACCTATGTAACAAACCTGCACGTTCTACACATGTACCCCAGAACTTAAAGTAAAATAAAAAAAATTAAAAAAAAAAAAACCAGACAAGCCTTGGCCCCTTATAAAGCTTATGTTGTAATAGAAAGTCCCCAAAATACAGAATCAG
This sequence comes from Homo sapiens, assembly GCF_000001405.40. Taxonomy (NCBI): domain Eukaryota; kingdom Metazoa; phylum Chordata; class Mammalia; order Primates; family Hominidae; genus Homo; species Homo sapiens. Next base: position 30,485,492 of record NC_000023.11, on the reverse strand, counting down.
TTTTAATGGACTCTGCATTTACTCCCTACTGCTGTTGGCATAAATGCTTGATAAACTTCATTAAATTTAACATAATTAATTCTTGGCTTCTTCCTTTCATGACAATTTTTAAACTAGCTTGGATGATTTGTGTTTATTTCCTGACCTGAGGATGTAATTTTAGAGTAGTCCTCATTTGCCCTTTGAGGAACAATTTTTAAAAAAAATTAAAGAGTTGCATTTTGAAGGTGTCTCTGACCAATTCTTTCATTTATAGTAATATGCCCAAGCAACTGACCATGTCCCCTAAGGAAAAATGAAGAATAGAAAGAGAAGAAGGATTATTGATTTGCAGAAGTACATGTTTGAAACTGAAAAGTACCCAACAGGAAGTTCAGCCTACCATTTTTAACATGCAAACATTCACCACAATAATTATTTGTTAATATAAATCTACATTATAGATCCTGGAGAATACATTTATACTAGGAGCTACTAGTGGGTAACAAATTGCAATGGAAATGGAAATGGCCTGCTTTCAACCATTAATCACCACAAACACCTTCATTCCAATCCCAGATCTGTCATTTACAAACAAATTGACCTGCTGTATTTTAATGCTGTGTGACTTGGAGCAAGTTACTTAACTGCTCTGTGTTTAAGTTTTCTCATCTGCAGAATGGTAGTAAAATAGTACCTACCATGTAGGGTTGCTGTAAGGATTAACATGATATTCTATGTAAAGTGCTTAGCACAGTGCCTGGTACATGTTAAGTGCTCAATAAGTATTTGCAATTATAAAAGGGAACTAGCCTGTTGTGTGGATCTCAGTTTTTGTATTTGATTTCCGAACATGTTGGGAAACAGCTATCAGAAATAAATTCCTCTGTTGATTGTCCAGGTACCAAGTAAATCAGCTGACAATTTTCAGATTCCTGTGGGAATGTCTATTTGGGTCTCTTAATATAATTATTTCAACCGACATAAAAGCATTTTTAAAAACTCCACAAATTTCAGAATTGTACCAAATATTAGTAACAGTCTTTTCAGGAGTTAACAAAATAAAGAGTGGTTCAAAGCACACAATGGAAGATCAGCTGAATTCCAAGATGCAGTTTCTAAAGGTCATGGGTAATTGGTCAGAGAAAGCAGACTCCCTTGCTTGTTTCCATAGCAGAATGTTCTCTGAAGACATTTCTTCCTAACCTGTTCAGCTGTTGCCTGCCTCTTTACTGCTGCTTTCTGCTACTTCAAACAAGAGTAAGCAGGGTCACCTTGATACCGAAATCTGTCAGCTGAAGAGTCTACATTCTAGAAGAAACTGTTCCCTTCTTGGCATTGACTGAAATAACTTCATGAGCTTCTTTCTCTCTTTCAAAATGACACACGGTAAAGCCTCATTTCTGTAGAGGCTGGAACTCTAAAAGGCCCACCTTCTGGAACACTGCTCTGAAGACAATTGTGCTTACTTTAATAAACATTTGCTAACTACCATTAGCTACACAGTTACAAATAAAACTGTAACATTGTTCCTCTAAACAGAAATATTCAGTAGAATAGCTAGTATGTGGAGTATCATAATGATATGATACCAACATTATCAATTTAAAAATAAGTGCATAATCTTTTTTGTTAACAGTAGGAAGTTTTGCGGTTTCTTTCTGTCCTTGACATTGTTTTTAAACTTTTTTTTCTTTCTTTCTTTCTTTCTTTCTTTCTTTCCTTTCTTCTCTTTCTTTCTTTTTTCTTCCCCTTTTCTCTCTCTCTCTCTCTTTCTACCACCCTCTTTCTCTCTCTGTTTCTTTTTGAATTGAAAAATAAAAAATAGGCCAGGCGTGGTGGCTTATGCCTATAATCCCAGCACTTTGGGAGGCTGAGGCAGGCGGATCATCTGAGGCCAGGAGTTCGAGACCAGCCTGGCCAACACGTCCCTGTAATCCCAGCTACTCGGGAGGCTGAGGCAGGAGAGTCGCTTGAACCCAGGAGGCGGAGGCTGAAGTGAGCTGAGATCACACCACTGCACTGCAGCCTGGGCAACAAGAGCGAAACTCCGTCTCAAAAAAAAAAAAAAAAAGAAAAAGAAAAAGATTTATCATGTGCAACATGATTTTTAATTGATGCATAATAGTCATACATATTTATGGGGTACATGTGATATTTTGATACAAGCACACAGTGTGTAGTGCTCAAATCAGGGTAATTGGGGTATCTATCACCTCAAACATTTATCATTTCTTCGTATTGGGAATATTTGATATCTTCTTTTCTAGCTATTTTGAAATACACTATCAATTCTTGTTAATTATAGTTGCCTTACTGTTATGAAACACTAGAACTTATTCCTTCTATTTAACTGTATTTTTGTACCCATTAACCCAACTTCTCTTCATCCTACCTCTTCCCTACCCTTCCCAGCCTGTGGTAACCACCATGCTACTTTCTACCTTCATGAGATCAACATTTTAGCTCCCACATATGAATGGGAATGTTTAATATTTGTATTTCTGCATCATGCTGCAAATGACAGGATTTCATTCTTTTTATAGATGAATAGTATTCCATTGTGTGTATATACTGCATTTTAAAAATCTATTCATCTGTTAATGGACACTTAGGTTGATTCCATATCTTGACTATTATAAATAGTGCTGTAATAAACATGACGGGGTAGATATCTCCTCTATATACTGATTTCCTTTCCTTTCCATATATTACCAGCAGCGGGATTGCTGGATCATATGATAGATCTATTTTTAGTTTATTGAGGAACCTCCATACCGTTCTCCATAGTGGCCTTGCTAATTTACATTCCCACCAAAAGCATGCTAGTGTTCTCCTTTCTCCACATCCATGCCAGCACCTGTCATTTTCTGTTTTTTGGTTTTTGTTTTTGTTTTTTAAACAACAGATATTTTATAGACACTCCATTTTAACTGGGGTGAGATGATATCTCATTGTGGTTTTGATTTGCATCTTCCTTATAATTAGTGATGTTGAACATTTTTTTCATATACTTGTTGCCACTTGTATGTCTTTTTTTGAGAAAGATCTATTCAGATCTTTTGCCCATTAAAAAAAAAACTGGACTTTTTGGTGATTTTGTCTGAGTTCTTTGTATATTCTGGTTGTTAATATTTTGTTGGATGGATAGTTTCGAATATTTTCTCTTATAGGTTGCTCTTCACTTTGTTGATTGTTTTCTTTGCTGTGCAGCTGCTTTTTAGCTCGCCGTAATCCTATTTGTCAATTTTTGCTTTTGTCAAATTTTGCCTGTGGTTTTGAGGTCTTACTCAAGAAAAATCTTTGTCCAAACCAATGTCCTGGAGCATTTCCCCAGGTGTTTTCTTCTGGTAGTTTCATAGTTTTAGGTCTTACATTTAAGTCTTTGATCCATTTTCATTTTATTTATTTTTGTTGTTGTTGTTTTGTTTTTTGAGACAGGCTGGAGTGCAGCAGTGTGATCATAGCTCACTGCCCCTCAAACTTCTGGGCTCAAGTGATCCTCCTGCCTCAGCCTCCGGAGTCACTGGGATTACAGGTACCAGGTACCATGTCTGGCTGTTTTATTTTATTTCACTTTGTAGGCGGGGCGGGTGAGGGGGTGGCCTATCTGTGTTGCCCAGGCTGGTCTTGAACTCCTGGCCTCAAGCAATTCTCCTGCCTCAGCCTCCCAAAGTGTTAGGATTATAGGCAGGCATGGTCCACCACATCCAGCCCCCTTGATTTTATTTTTGTATGTGGTTAGAGATAGGGGGCTAGTTTCAGTCTTTGAAATATGTATACGTTGTAGAATGGCTCAGTTGAGCTAATTAACATATGCAATACCTCACATATTTATCAGAAATTGAATTTTTATTCCACTTTGATGACATAATTTTATCCTATATTTCTCCATTACAAAAATATGTATAAAATAGAAATTAAATAAAATTTTTTCATGATCATTAATTTTTAGTTTTTTTTTTTTTGAGATGGAGTCTCGCTCTGTCACCCAGGCTGGAGTGCAGTGGCACGATCTCGGCTCACTGCAAGCTCCACCTCCCGGGATCACACCATTCTCCTGCCTCAGCCTCCCGAGTAGCTGGGACTACAGGCGCCTGCCACCGCACCCATCTAATTTTTTTGTATTTTTAGTAGAGACGGGGTTTCACCGTGTTAGCCAGGATAGTCTCCATCTCCTGACCTCGTGATCCGCCCGCCTCGGCCTCCCAAAGTGCTGGGATTACAGGCGTGAGCCACTGCGCTCGGCCAACTTTTAGGTTTAAAAATTTTCTTTTGTAGTAGGTTATCTGTACAATTATTTTTAGGATGCAATCAACAAAAACGTTAGAAATATATTACACAATTTGATAAGTAATTATTAATCATTAAAAATAAAAATGATCAAAAATGTATTTTTAAATGAGATCACTAGGAATCTTTTTCTAATTCATTTCTATTTCTGGATGAATGTTAATTAATGTTACAAAGAGCTAGAGTTCAACATCAAGTCTATTCCCACTGTTTGCTCTTTTAGATGTACTGATAAACCTTCAAAGCAACAAGTAGGTGAGAATAGAAGTTTTGTTAAAGTCAAAACACTCAGTTTCTTTAACTCCTGAATTATATGCCAAAAATAAGATAGTCATATATCATCAAATATAAATTTTAATGATATATTAGCTGACAACTAAATGAGATACCCCTTCCATTTTGTTGAAAGCAAAAAACTGGAAACTACTTGTCATGCTTAAGGATTTGTTGCCTAGTCAGCAGACTCATTTGCTTCCCCAAGAGTTACACTAAAATTTCTAATTATTCTTTTTCGGCATCTCAGAGATTTTAGTGCTCTGGAAAAATGCACTAGAGTAAGATTGAGAAGTAAAGTGACAGAAGTCAACTTCTGCAAAGGCAAACAGAAAAGGGATCAGCATAATCAGTTCAAATAAGAGTACATATAAAAGTTGAGGGCCTGGAAATTTATTTCCTTAAGTTCTTTGTTCCTGCACATGCCTCAGAAAGGCTTTGTGTATTCCCAGTTTAACCCAAACCCAGTTTGAAGACTGTTATGCAGATAAAATGGCAGTGACAAAGCCAATACAAAGTTTTTTCTTTTTTACTGCACTTGGAATATTTGAATTTAGGATTACTGTAAAAAATTCAGGCAATATAGAAGTACGCAGAGTAAAAAGTAAAAATCCCCCTTCACCTTCCCTCAACCCTAGTTCCTCGAGATACTGCTTTTTAACAATTTGCTATAACCTCTCAGAAACTTTTGGTCATTTTCATATATCCACAAGACGGTGTTTCATTTAAAAGGGATGTCTTGCAGAAGTTCTGTTCAGTAGGCCCCAAGGGGAGATTTCCCTTCTATTCTACCATACTCCTGTAGAAGTATAACTTAGGTTGATTGGCCTAGAAACAGACCTTGAGATGAGGATTTATGTGCAAGTGATTTATTAAGGATCTGTTCCGGGGGAAACTGATAAGGTACTGAGGGAAACAGGACAAAGAAGGGTAAGAAACCAACCATAATCTCTTTTGTTTTTGTAAACTGTGTATCTTGGAGATGTTTCTATCTTACATGTATTTCTGTCTGAGCCTTTTAAATAAATATACAGTTTCCAGGATTCCATAATATGAATGTACCATAATTCATTTAATCTTTACTAATACTCCTAAATAGGTAGACTCCAGATTTTCACTTTTGAAAGCAAGTCACAAAAGATCTCTATTTCTTTAGGCACCACATATGATCATTATGTGGGAAATATGATTGGAGATAGAATTTTCTGGGTGCAATTTATTTAGAATTTTCTGGGTGCAATTCATTTAAAATTCTAATAACTTTACCAAATTGTCCTTTAAAAAGGATGTAACACTGTCTCCCCACTAACAACATGTAAGAATCCCTTTTTCCCCATACCAATGTGTAAGAGTCCCCTTTCCCCCATACCCTTGCAAACTATCAAGTTATTTGTCAGTATTTACAATATTTTGGGAAAAGTGGTATTGTAGCAAAAGTCAAATTTTCATGTTCATGATTACTAGTGAGGTGCTTTTATCACATACTTATGGACCATCTGAATTTATTTTGTAAACTATCTGTTCATGTTCTTTGCCTATTTTTGTTATGTTTGTCATTTTCTTAGTTTTTAAGATTTAAAAAATATGGATGACAATTCTTTGCCTGATCTATGTCTCAAATATATTTTGCTTTAGTGTTTTTGCTAATCTTTTAACTCTGCCTATACTCTCTTTTGTAATGTAGAAGTTTTCTACTTTCATTTAGCAAATTTCATCAAACATTTTTTGGTGGTTTCTGAGTTCATTGTCTTGGTTAAGAGGGCCCTCCCATATCAGGAATATGAAAATGCTCTACTCTGTTTTCTTCAGGTACTTTTGTAGTTTTACTTTAAATCTTAAGATATTTCACCCATTCGCAATTTATTTTTGTGTATGGTGTGAAGGATAGCATATTAGTTTTTTTTTTTCCAGAGTGACAGACACTTGTACCAACACCATTTGTAAAATAATTCATTTTCCCCCATTGATTTGAAATTCCATTTTTTCATATTAAGAAATTCTCTTATGGGATGGGTCTGTACTCTATTCTTTTTCAGGATCTATGTGTTTATTCCTCTGCCAATGTCACATCATTTTATTTCTTTATAGTATGTTTCATATACATAAGAAAAATTTCTATGATTTAAAAATAGTCTTTTAAAATTTTTGTACATTTCCTATTCCTAATGAACATCAGAATAAGATTTTTTGGTAAACTATAAGATTTATTAAACATTTAAATGGGGCAAGGATTAGGACTGACCTTTTAGGTTAATTTTGGAAGAAGTAATCTTTTTGCAGTGCTGAGTCTTACTTCTCAAGCACATGTTATCTACAGCTACTTATTCAGATAGTCTTTCATGCTTTCAGTGAAGTTGTATAATTTTCTCCATTTAAATCTTATACATTTTACTCTTGGTTTATCCATAGGCTATTTTGCGTATGTGAATGTGATCTTTTTTACATTATATTTCCTAATTGATTATTACTAGTATATTAGAAAATGATTTTTGTGTGATTACCATATTTCTTATTACCTTTCTGTACTCTTTATAAAACTTATTTTTCTTTATCATTTGATTTTCTTGAAATTTTAGAAAGAAAAAATATTCAGTGCAAATCATGGCTATTTTTGCATTCTTTCCAGCATTTATCCTTCATATTTCCCTTCTATGTCTTTTTTTTTTAACATTGGCTAATAATGCTTATTCAATGTTTAATTGTTGAGCTGAAATGAAAGAAAGCATTTTTTAAAAAACTTGTTTTTAACTAATCAGAGTTTCTAATGTTTTTCCTAAGTTTGAAATATTTTCATAGCTTTAGGAAAATCTTGTATTTATAGATAGCTAATTTGAATTCTTTCTAAAAACAAGAATGGTCATTAAATTTTCTCCTGTTTTCAACATCCATTACAGATGATCACATGCCTTTCCTTTTTTCTTTATTTTAATTATAAAATATAATGAGATATTATATGTCATTGTTATCCTTCCTAATGTTGAACATTTTGTTACTGGGGTAAATTTTGTAGTCTAGATGTATTATTAACACATTGATTTGATGTTGCTTTATTCATATTTTTGCAACTATATTGATTGATGAATGTTCTCTCTCTCTCGTTCTCTGTCCCTCCCTCTCCCTCCCTCTCTCTCTCTTTGTGTGTGTATGCATGTGATCTTTAGTCTGAGTTTGATGCTTGCCTTATAAAAGACTCTCAGAATGAGTTGAGAAGCTTCCCATGTACTAAATATTATATCACTTTGCAGAAGACATTCTTACCATCTTCCTGAAAGCCATGTTGGTTATTATTTAGGTCAGTCTACAGCTAATTAAAACCCCAAATTAGAGTGGGAGTTGTAGTGAATAAAGATTGCTGAGAGAAAGTAAGGGAAGAAAATAATAATTATAGAAACATTGATAGCAACAAGAAATGGCCCTTAAATGCCATAATTTGTTGGACTAGCTAGAAATATTTTTTTAAAAATGGAAAACCAGCAATGAATCATAGTCTTGGGCCATTGTAATAATGCCTAACAACAGTTTCTATATATTGAATATTAATATATTTTCAAATGTTCATCATTGTCGTTCTGAATTACAAGGGAATATTTACATTATGTTCACTATGAAGAGAGGGACATTTAGAAGTTTTACTTCAAAATGTTTAAAATTTAATAAAAGGTGTGGTATTTGTGGAGGCATGTTAATCTGGGTTTTTCAAATTTAAATTTAAAAACTACCTATATCAACAGCTCTCTCAAGCTGCACTTTAGAATTATTTTAGAAAGTAGCTGTGGTCTTACCCTCAGAGATTTTATTCTAGTGGGTAGGGGATGAGGGGAAAGCATTAGTGTGTTGAAAAAGCTTCCCAGGTGATTTTAATGTGGAACTAAGGTTGAAAAACTGTCATTTGACTAGACCAGTGGTTCTCAACCAAGGGCGATTTTGCTTTCCAGGGGGACATTTGGCAATGTTTGGAGACATTTTTCGTAGTCACTGGGAGGAGAGAGCTTCTCTGTTGCTTAGTGGATGGAGGCCAGGGATGTTACAAAACATTATACAACGCACAATACAGTCCCCTACAATAAAGAATAATCTGGCCCAAAATATCAATAGTGCCAAGGTGCAGAAACCCCTGCATAAACCTATGTTGCCCTTGTTTTCCAGGTACAACCAATCACCAATCTTATTGATTCCACTGATTAATCACTGCTCCAATCAGATCAGTTTTTCTCCATCACCACTGCCACCATTTTAGTTAGAGCTACCAGCCCACCACAGTTTGATACCTTGAGGGTCTGGTCTCCCTCCCTCTGGTCTTTCTGTCTTCCATTATATTCTCAACCCTGTGGGTAGAGTAATCATTTTAAGACACAAATCTTATCATAATCCCTTATTGAAGCACTTCAGTGGCTTGGGGTTGCCAAGGGTTTATAGAGTTTTAACAGGGCTCATAGGACCATATTGAGGTTGCTCAGGCTCACCTCTCAAAACCTCATCTGTCACCAACTTTTCTTCAAATGTTAAACTTAAGATACAACTAAACATATTTGAATCCCTCTGAGATCTTTTTCTTCTTCTGAATGCTCACTGTTACTGCTACTTGTAATGCCACTGTTTTCTTCAGCCTGGCCAATCCTTTCTCTTGTTGGGGCACTGGTTTGGATGCTACTTATTCTAGGAACCCCATCTAAACTCCCATTCTGGTTTGAGTGGCCTCCCTATATTTTTCCACAGCAGGCACTTCTTACTTCTGTCAGGAAAGTGATTGCACTCCCTCACTTACAGTAAGATCCAAAATTCCACGAGGATACTTTGATCTATCTTTAGAGCCTCATAGAATTCCTGGTGGTAGTCAGTTTTCAGTAAACGTTTATGTAATGAAAGAATGAATTATACATAATATTTGATTTCTTAACATTCTGGAAGAATGAAATATTACTGTACTCATATTATCTTTTTAAATTAGAAGAGTCTGCTTTCCTATAGCATGATGTTCTTTATAGATTAAAATAGAATAGAACTTCTTCCTGAAAGCAATTTCTAAATTTCAGTGTGAGGTAAACATCTTTAAGGTAACTAAAAATCAGCCAAACTTCCAAACTAGCAATGAACAAAAAGTGTTTGTGAGCCTGGAATAAATAAACTCTGTACTGTGTTAGATATTTCAGAAAAATATCTGAAATATACTTTTTGTCTGTAGTAAAGTTGTTTCAAACATCTGGAACCTAACATGCTCATGAAATGTTGGTGAAGAAAGGCCAGAATAAGTAAACTATGACTTTGCAAATTAGTTTTCATGTATAACTTCTGCACTTCTGCACTTAAACACTTATTTTGAGAAATGCTTCATATGTGAATTATTCTGATGTTTATTATATTTTGTGTATGGAGATAAACATGCTGTGAACAGCATTCTTTGTCTTAAGTTACTTATGAGATATTGGGATCCAGTGAAACTCATTGGTGACAAAGATTAGGATTTTAATTGAAACAGTTAATTCTGAAACTTCAGACTTCTTGAAGAGCAGCCTGGACTTCAACAGTAATTCAGAAAGATATTGTAATAGAAACCACTTTATATTTTTTCTCTAAACTCATCTAGCTACAGAACATACATTTAAATGTATCCTAAAGTATGTTTATACACATACAATTTTAAGGATAAGATCACAAAGTAAACTTTTAGTAGCTGTTGACATGCAAAATTTTATGTGTATACATATATGTGTATGTATGTATATGTTTATATTTTTCCTATTTCTATTTTTCTAGAAATGATTAATTAGTGCTCCAGCTATAAAGCTTCTATTTTCCTTGTCAATGACAATCTCAAGGCCTCTGAGCTGCCTCTTGCTTGACCTTGGTTTAAAAGCACAAAGAATAGCAACCTTGAGACTGGCATCAACAAGATTCATTCTACGGAAACCAGATGCAGTACAATAGAGAAAAACCACGCATTTAATCTTAAGGTTTTGCAGAAATTGCTCTCAGTATTTCTTCTTCTTAAAGACTGTTAAGTACAAACGTCCTTCATCTCATAAAGGGAAACATTGCCGTTCTGCCACTTAACACTGGCCAAAGCAGTCCTTCGGAGACCCCTCTGCATTGTTCCTTTTGATGGACACATGGCAGCAGGGTCCACACAACCCTGGGAGAACAGCTGGATGCGACCATTTAGCAGTAAAGCTTTTATTGAGCGGATCCTGACTATTAAAGCATGCTGAAAAGTATTTCATTAACATCTGAACACGGAGGTTATGGAGCTGTAATAGAATCATACAGTTCAAATGGAGATGCATATGTTATTTTCTACTTGAGGGGAATTGTTTTCCATTGTCTTACACCAGTGTTCATTTGAAAGTGCAGTGCCATATTTGTACTTTGCTCACAGAATTGTTTCTCCCTTCTCAGGCAAGAATACCCACATCAACAATTGGAAGCAGTCTCGTGGAGTGCTGTGGAAAGGCGGTGGATGAAGATTGACTTGGGAACTTTCTCTTCATTGTTAATCTGTTTTTTTTTTTAAATCCTGCGTATTATTATCTAACTAATTTCCTAAAAGTAAATTCCACTTTGTTAAATTGTCATTTGATTGTCATCTTAAGATAAGCTATAAGTATCTTAAAAAATAAACTAAAAGGTCTTCTTATCAAATATATGAATATATCAACTCCCCCATTCTCTCATACATTCTTATTGTTTCCTTATAGTTAAAGAAAATTATTCAGATTTGGAAATCCACACTAGGAAGTGTCATATTTAAAACATGGATAACATATATGCAATAAGGTGTAAATGGCTGAAGAGTAATTTGCAAAAATGAAAGAAATACAGAGAACCTTTATTTTTCCTATTTTGCCTTTATGGCGCAATGGTATACTAGTAAATGTTTAACAACTGGCTCTCTGGGGGGAAAAAGCCCGTATTCACGGCATTTGCAGAATTCTGTGGTGCGAATATTCCTACCATGGCCTATTTTAAGCTAGTGATGAAATTTTACTAAAAGCCAGGTTTTGGAGGAGCTGGGAAGAAACGCACACAGTTGGCTCTCCAGAACTGGGGCAGGCAGCTCCAACACTGCCTTTACGTCTTGTGTTCATCTCTCTCCTTCTACTTCAACACCCAATCCAGACCTTTATTACTTCCTGCCTAAAACATTATAATAGTAGAATGTCATAATTTCCTTGCCCTATCTATTTCTCAGTGCTCACTCACTGCTTTTATTAGTCAATCAATAAAAATGACGCTGAGGCCCGATGAGCAATCTTCTTCGCACATTAAAAAAATTAATTTTAATGGCTACATAATAGGTGTATATATTTATGGGGTACATGTGATGTTTTGATACAGGCATACAATGTATGATAATCATATCAGGGCAATTGGGGTATCCGTCACCTCAAGCATTTATTATTTCTTTGTGTTAGGAACCTTCTAATTCCACTGTTTTAGTTATTTTGAAGTATACAATAAATTATTGTTGATTATAGTCAACCTATCGTGTTATCAAATATTAAATCTTTTTCATTCTACCTAATTATATTTTTGTACCCATTAACCAGTACCACTTTTTCCCCCTTCCCTGCTTCCCTTCCCAGCTTTTGGTAACCATCCTTCTACTCTCTATCTCCATGAGTTCAATTGTTTTAATCTTTAGCTCCCACATACAAGTAAGAACATTTGAAGTTCATCTTTATATACCTGGCTTATCTTACTTCACATAATGTCCTCCAGTTCCATCCATGTTGTTGCAAATGACAAGATTTCCTTCTTTTTTATGGCTGAATAGTACTCCATTGTGTATATGTGTCACATTTTTTTTAACTCTGGGATAAGCACTCTAGATACACAGAAACATAATATATGGCCACTGCCTGCACACTGCTTACACTTTAGGTGGAGAAAAAAACCCATGTATTCTGGAAATTCAAGGTTGCAGAAGACAAATATCAAAGGCGTGGTTCAAAAATAAGTTGCTCTAGGATTTCAGAGGAGGAAAGTGTGAGGTTGGTATGTTAATAGTAAAAAAAAAAAAAGTTGGGGGAGGGGTTCTTTTTGGAGGTAGAAGTCTAGTAAATATTTCAACTGCCAGCTTCTGATCCACTTCTTGTTCTTGGAGACGTTTCTGTGTTATGAATAGGAAGTGGGGCCTCCTCCCAGGTACTGGCTGAAAATACCAGACACTTAATTTCCCAGCAGCCCCTGCAGCTAGGATATGAATAGGTGACCTTGGCGCAACCAATCAGGTGCATCTGTTCGCAACAACATGGATGGAACTGGAGGACATTATGTTAAGTAAGATAAGCCAGGCACAGAAAGTCGAACTTCAAATGTTCTTACTTGTATGTGGGAGCTAAAGAGTTTAAACCCAGAGCAAGCGCACAATAGCAGGCACTACTTAGACTACATTTTGTGGATGACCAGGTGACCTTGGCTCAACCAGGTGCATCTGTTCCAGAGTTTAAACCGAGAGCAAGTGCACAATAACAGGCACTACTTAGACTACATTTTGTAGTTGAGCAGCAGCTGGAGCAGCAGCTGAAACAGCAGCAGTAGCAGCAGCAGCAGCAGCAGCAGCCCTACTGGTGTGAGCTCTGAATCCAGTTTTTTTTTTTTGTTTTTTTTTTTTTTTTTTTTTTTTGAGACACGGTCTTGCTCTGTCGCCATACTGGAGTGCAGTGGCATGATCTTGGCTCACGGCAACCTCAGCCTCCCGGGTTCAAGTGATTCTCCTGCCTCAGCCTCCCAAGTAGCTGGGACTACAGGCACGTGCCGCCACGCCCAGCTAATTTTTTGTATTTTTAGTAGAAACAGGATTTCACCATGTTAGCCAGGGTGGTCTTGAACTCCTGACCTCAGGTGATCCGCCCACCTCAGCTTCCCAAAGTGCTGGGATTACAGGCGTGAGCCACTGCGCCCGGCCTGAATCCAGTTTTTAACAGCATACCCAATACTCTCACTGGACCTATGGAACATGATTTGACTGTGGCCATGACTCCCACACAATCTCCATTTTCCTGTCCTGGCATATCCAACCTTCCTTGTTATTCCACTATGTCACTAGATTGTGATACTATGCTTAAGCCAGCCAGAGCTAGTCTCTGTTGCTTCCAACTTGGAATTCTGACTGATATTTGGGAGCAGAGAGGCTGTGTGGGTAAAATGAGCAAAGAAGTAGACAGGAGTCATGCCACCTAATTGTTCTAAATATTTCCAAAGCTAAATATATGGTCAAAGATAAAGTCTAACTTCCGTAGTCTACCCTTATGATTCCCTTTTAATTGCAACCATCTGATCTGCTATTCAGTCTTTTCCTCCTGGAATGCTACCTTGTTATCATGTTTCCACTTAACCTAATTACATGTTATCTGTTTCTTGAGGCCTAGCTCAAATGTTTTATTTTTTTAACTCTTCCTATGCTACCTTGACCCATTAAAGTCTTTCTCTAATCTGTACATTCAGAGAAGTTAGTGGCATCCCCAAGCATTTACAATGAATACTCAGATATGCTGCATGATGATCTGATGGATCGTCTAGCACACACTCATTTTGTACCTCTTCCACTGTGGGTGGAAAATACTTCTTCCCTGTTTGACGCTGTTCTCGACCTTGTGACTTGCCTTGATCAGTGGAATGTGAGCAGAAGGCTAAGTGTGCATTCTCAGTTTAGCTTGCTTCTTGCGCTCCAGCAATACACCATGCTAGTCACGCCCTAGCTGCTGGGAAAGCAGACATGAACCCAGCCTGTAGCCTGGAACCAAACCTAAAGCTGACCAGCAGAACTCTGAGTGAAAAAACTGCTTGCTGTTTTATGTCATTAAGATTTAGAGAGCCAGGCACAGTGGCTCACGCCTGTAATCACAGCACTTTGGGAGGCTGAGGTGGGTTGATCATCTGAGGTCAGGAGTTTGAGATCAGCCTGGCCAACATGGTGAAACCCCATCTCTACTAAAAATACAAAAATTAGCCGAGCGTGGTGGTGGGCACCTGTAATCCCAGCTACTGGGGAGGCTGAGGCAGAAGAATCGCTTGAACCCAGGAGGTGGAGGTTGCAGTGAGCCGAGATCGTGCTATTGCATTCCATCCTGGGTGACAAGAGTGAGACTGCATCTCAAAAAAAAAAAAAAAAAAAAGATTTAGAGGTTTTTTATGATGTGGTCTTACTGCATCGATGGCTGATACGCTGTCTTTCTTGTCTACATTTTCATGTGTCTGTGTCTTCTTGTTCTAGCTAGACTATACATTCCTTAGAGCTTTGATCATGCTTTATCCTTCTTTGGTATGCTCCACATAACACATCCAGAATGATAAAGAAATGTTATGTTTGGTAGATATATGTTTATTCATTTATTGACAAATGTTTATTGAATTCTACTTTGTTCCATGAAATCCTTTTTCCTGATACGTCAGATAAAGGTAAAAGTTACACTTTGTGTATTGAAAGAATGCATAGACTGATGATGGAAGAAGACACGAAAGTGGGGTAAAGATAGTGGATAAATACAATGACAGAGGAGTGCACAGAGACCTGGAAGGACAGTGGTGGCTAGTTCACTGAATTTGGTATTGGATTGGCCAGTAGAAATGGTGAGTAGTGGGCCCAGCATGGTGGCTCAAGCTTGTAATCCCAGCACTTTAGGGGGCCCAGGCGGGTGGATCAACTGAGGTCAGGAGTTCGAGACCATCCTGCCAACATGGTGAAACCTCGTCTCTATTAAAGATACAAAAAATTAGCCGGGTGTGGTGGTGAGTGCCTGTAATCCCAGCTACTCGGGAGGCTGAGGCAGGAGAATCGCTTGAACCCAGGAAACGGAACTTGCAGCGAGCCGAGATGGTGCCATTGCACTCCAGCCTGGGGAACAAGAGCGAAACTCCATCTCAAAAGAAAAAAAAAAAAAGAAAGAAATGGTGTGTAGTGGCTTCTCAGAGGAGGCAATGTTTAAACTGAGTCTTAAGGGATGAGCAAGATGTATCCAAATGGAGAAGGATGAAGGGCATCGCAGATAGAGAAACAGCACATATAAAGCCACAGAAGAGTGAGAGACCCTGGCATAGTGGGGAAACCACGTGTTTCCTGAGCCTGCAGCCCTCATTTTCTGTGCAGAAACAGTCCAACTTTCAAAGTGTTTCCCAAGCATTTTCTGCTTAAGAAAGTAGATATTTCAGAAAACAATATCTACTGGCAATCAATGCATGATTCAATCCACCAGACACACAAATTTTACACGATGATATGTAAGAGATTCTTAGAGCCAGTACCACTGTATGGAGTAAGGAAGCTTCAAGTAGAGGTTTCAGCAGTTTTGATTAAGCCCATGGGAGAGGTTTGTCATTGGATAATAATAATTGCTAATACTATTGAGCTCTTGCTGCATGCTTGGCACTGTTCTCAGTTCTCTGCATACATTAGCCCACTTAATCATCATGACAACATAAGATAGATACTATTATTATTCCCGCTTACCAGGTAAACAAACTGAGGCAAACAATTAGGAAACTTGCTCAAGGTTACATAGCTGGTAGTGGTTCAGCCAGATTTGGAACCCAAACAGTCTGATGCCATCTGCCATGTGCTTAACCTCTACTCCCTACTGCCTCCAGATTAAGGGTAACATAACTTTTAACTTTTAAATTAGTATAAGAACCTGAAAATAACTTTTAAATTAGTATAAGAAACTCATAAACAAAACATGTATAATATAAATGTAATAATATTTAAAGTGCCGAATATTTTGAAGGGAAAAAATGAAAAAAAAGCTTTACTCTACTGCTTCTCAGAATTCAGAAGGAGAGTTATGTGGACCCGAAAATGACTGATTACCTTTCTATCACCTTATAATAAATGAAGAATCCATTCTATTGTTATTGAAAATGGCTAACACTGAGGGTGGTGACTAAGAAGATATGAATGCTTACACAACACAAGTGAAAAATTGCTCTGAACTATGTACGAGAAAGCAATTCCAGTATTAGTTTAGTCAAGACACTAAATTAAGATTAATCTGAAGCCACACATTTTGGCAGGATCTCAAATTATCTCCTTTCCAAGACTGAAAATATTCTTCAAGGGGTGATAAACAAAGCTTGCAATCTCATCCTTAAAGTATAATTATCACCTTTTATTTGATTAGCATTTCTCAAGAACATGATGCTGTGGAGCTGGGGAAGAAACCTTGAAGATGTGTTTCCAGATTATCTAGTCGAATGGTTTTCAACAGTTATTTCCTGTCTCAACAATGGTCTCATGAGTAAACATACTGTGATGTGAATTACCAGCTCACTCACTGTTACCACATGCCATTCTTTCCCCACTCAGGAAAGTTTGGCATTCAAATGCAGGAAAATGTGTTATTATAGGAATAAATTTGAATCTCTTTTTGTATTTATAAGAAAACATCTCACTTGTGAGCAATACTTTTTGTTAGCGTATACACTGAGTTATCTCCCATGTCCCCAGGGTGTAATCTTGGAAACTATTTCCCAGGCTCCCTCGTGAATGTGAATAGGATTTCAATTAGATTTCACCAATTAGAAGCACTTGCATAATGTTTGGAAGCTGGAAGAGAAGCAGAAGCCATTATTCTCCCTAGTACAGGGTGGTAGTTGAGGTTCTTGGTGGTGTTGGCTTTGACTTTCAGAGGTTATCATGAGACTCACCCATTGCAGTGCTGGAAGTGGCTGGGGTCACTGGTGGCAGCTTCCCTGCAATTCTTCTACTCCCACATTTCCTGAAAGCCACCTTCCTGACCTTGGCTCCTCCAGCACTTTCAAGAATCATGTATGCTTTTATTATCCATAGTAAGTCTCTTCTTTCTCAAGGTAACTAGATGGCTTCAGTTTATCTAATTGAACTCTAACATATTTGTAAAATTTAGTATCATAATAATTTTAGTAATGAATTACTTGGGCCTTACTTGATATCCAATAGCTACGTTTGTGTTACAATGTCACGGTCGAGACTTGATGTACTAGGCCACAAAAATAACCAACCAACAGTGTTAAATAAATATATCTCAGGAAAATATCCTGACTTGAATAAATAGGTTGACCTCAAGGCAAGTGCAAGAGAGATGAGTAAAAAGGAGAAATGAGGACAAGTGCAGTGGCTCATATCTATAATCCCAGCACTTTGGGAGGCTGAGGCGGGTGGATCATTTGAGGTCAGGAGTTTGAGACCAGCCTGGCCAACATGGTGAAACCCTGTCTCCACTAAAAATACAAAAATTAGCTGGATGTGGTGGCACACACCTGTAGTCCCTGCTACTTGGGAGGCTGAGGTGGGAGAATTGCTTGAACCCGGGAGACAGAGGTTGCAGTGAGCTGAGATTGTGCTGCTGCACTCCAGCCTGGGTAACTCTGTCTCAAAAAAAAAAAAAAGGAGAAATGAGCAGGAAAAAGCAAAGGTTAAAAGAAGAAAGGTAAAGAAAGTTACCTAAGACCTCAAATGAGCCTTTCAGGAACGCTTTGGCCAATCATATAAATTCTGCCAGGATAGGGATTTCTATCAGTCAGGGTTCCCACAGGAAAGACATGGCACTCTCAGATCATTTTAGCAGGATTTAATAAGGGGACTATTTAGGAAGTGGTGGGTGGGGTGAAAGAAAAGCAAGGGATAGTATAGCACCCCAAGGTTATCAGTATCTTGGTGCCATCACCTTCTTCAGTCATGAAAGTTCAAGGAGAGGAGAAGGAAAGCCTAACATGAGCTGCAACTTTAGGTCAAAGATGACAGCCAGTCCATGGTAACCTTATTGGAGAGAGTTTGAGAAAGGCATACACTGACTTCACTCTTCTACTTCTTTTTAAACCTTTCTGATCTACTCATTAGCTAAACTCAGCCAAGATACCAGAGAGCAAGAGGGCCTATGGTGAAGAAAGGATCAGAGTGGATCTGGTGGGGCAGATGGAGCTTATCCAGTACAGGTATGGCATCTGTTTTGCTTATCATTGCATTTATTCACAGGGCCAACCACAGAGGCTAAGAATGGTAGCAGCTGTGGCAATCTGGGAGCTGATGCCTTGTGTAAACAGGGCAACTGTTATTCAGCTCTGCCTAATTACTGCCAAGTAAGAATACTGGCTCAGTGTCATCAGGGCTTCCCATTTCTCAAAAGAAGATGAAGATATGGATGACTTTTGAGGTAAAATACCCCGATTTTAAAGATTGAAAAATAATTCAAACATTTTTAAAACAATGTGTATTCTAAATAAAACATGCTCAGACTGAATACAACCTTTCTGTTGCAATATGCCAAATTGGAGCTGCTGTACAAGACAATTAATAAATATTTTAAAAAGTGATTGAATAATCCAATTGTCTTATAGACAAATAAGGCGGTGACATTATGCTAACTCTGTTGTTAATATACATTTTAGATAGGATAGATAACAATTTAATCCCCAAATCTCAGTGACTTACTGAATAAAGTAAACGTCCAACTGTAGGTCATCATTCTCCATGGAAACTCCCTTCCAGGTAGTAACACAGGTATCGAGTTCACTGCCATCTTGCTGTCTTAGATTATCATAATAGAAGAGGAGAATGCTGAGGGTGCCACAGCGACTTGTCATTACTTCAGCGCATAAATACCCACTTCTACTCAAAGTCCATTGCCTAGAACTGGTCAGTTTTGATTATTCAATTGCAAGGTGACCAGGAAATATATGTGAAAACATAGCTATTTGGTATATTTGATAAGTGTCCATGCCACAGGGGTGGTACTTTATATATTTGATCTATTTATATGCATGCCATTTTGGTCACTATTGGGTTCAAAAAAATGTGGAAAGGTGTGTTCTGGAATACATGTGAGCTCCTGAATCAAGTGAGTCAGGTAACAAGAGTGGGTGAAAGAAATTAAGACTTATTAAGTAAGAAACAACAGGAAGTAGGGTACGGTTAGGGGAAGGGTGTGAGCCAAGATGGTGTCACAGAGCTCCAGGGAAATCCAAGGAGTCAATGATAGTTGACTGGGAGGAAGCCAAAATGGGTGGAATCAATCTTGTGAATAAATCTCAGCTGATGATCTGGACCGAGGAAAATATCTGTCAGTGTTTGTGATTTATGTGGGGTTGTAAAATAAGATATGTTTTTAAATGGCCATGACAAATTGGAACAATGATCCTTAAAGAATACTTTTTTTTTTCAAAAAGGAAAGGCCCCTTTTAAACATTATATAGGACCCATGATGTTTTTAATTAAATATTCGAACAATATATAAGCATATAAAATAGAAAGTGACAATTTCCTACATTATCCTAACTGCAAATAAAGCTATTGGCAGTGGATGTTATCCACTGCACAAAGAGTAAACACACAGGTACATAGATACTTACCTAAATATTTACCGCATGTGCTGTTCTGTAATCTTCTTAAAATATTGTTCTTACCTCTTTCTTTGCTATTGCATATTGCTCTACCTCATGCTTTTCAAAGGTTGTAGGATATTACACATAACTGATTCAGCCAATCCTCTAATAATAGACGTGTATCTTTGGTTCTCTTGCTGTTACAAAAATGCTGCAACAAACAATCTTGAGCATACATCTTTGTGCACACAGGAAAGTATACCTGTAGGATAAATTTCTGGAACTGGAACTCTGAGGTCAAAGAGTATGTGCATTTAAATTTTGATATATTGCCTATTGCTCTCCAGAAATGTTGCACCAATTTATATTTCCACCAACAGTATATAAAAGTGAATTCTCTTTTTAGGAATGTATTCTATAGGAATTCTCACACTAGGACTCACGCAACCAAAAATACTAACCTGTATGGACATTTTGAACCACTAATAGAGAATGAAAGCTAGAACCAGCAACATTCAACAGTATATCACAATGATCTTCCCACAGCCCATGGAAACTACATATTGCAGGGCCGTAATAGGCACGGAAAATCCTGAGAGCCTGAGGGATTAATAAAGAGAGTTTTGAATATGTGCTGTGCTGAACATTTTTCCTCTGCAAATGAGGGAAGCACCACCTTCAGAATTTCCATTTAAGTAATAGGAGGCAGGGACTGAAGGACCATGAACTTTAGTAGCCTATCATTAGCAGATATTGTGGGTTTTGACTTTTTTTTTTGAAGGAGGTAGGGAGGCTAAATTTGAATGATGTTGTTACCTCCCTGAACCTACGGATAAAGACAGCAGGTGCTCAATTCATTCAGCAATGACAACCTTCCAAGATACTATGCCTACTTTAGAGACAACAAAATGGGTGCTTGGGCAGATCAAGTTCCTTCCCCCAGGATTTCACAAGTTAATGGTTTTAGAACCAAAATCCAAACTAAAGACTTATGATAAATCCAATGCTTTTTCTGGGCTGTCCAAATCTGATTTTGCGCTTATTCTAAATTTCAGTTAGACCCCAAACACATTCTGTTGAGATCCTTTTACTCAAGTATGAAATTCTACGTATTATTGAATGATTTGCATGTCAAAAATTATACTGTATCTAAATGTTACATACATTAAGAGTTACTCTGACTTCTACACTTTTCCGAGAGCCCACAATAGGTTTTTTCCTAAAAATTAGAAACCTAAAACTACAAGTATAAACAACTAAAATTACATCAACACTTTCAAACTCATGGTATTCAAATAGGTTCTAAAGTGAGTACACACAATCTTCCTCTCTCTCCCCTTGACTTCTGTTTATCATCATGTATGTTTCTTATTCTCATTTTTCTCATTTAGTTTTCACAATGTATATATATTTCCACCCAAAATACTAAGAGTTTCCCCACTGAGAAATACTAGCCAATCTAAGATTTGTCTGATTTTAATCAGATACTTTTTCTAACCAGTCATACTTTCTCTAGGGAAAATAACAAATTTATTTGAAAAGTTGCTAATGATTTTAAATGGGTCAGTGATGTTACACAAAGAAACAAAATCATAATGCCAGGTATCTTCTGAATATTTTCAAAGACTCATTTATTTAACTCTTTTCCAAAACAACATGGACTTTCTCTTCTATCTCATTTTGCCTATTCATATCTCTTGTTTCTTTGCTTCTCTCACATTTTTTTCTTTGGCATATTAAATTTCTCTGAGAACTGACCCTTGCATTATGATTTTGTTTCTTTATGTAACATCACTGACCCATTTAAAATCATTAGTAACTTTGCAAATAAATTTGTTATTTTCCCTAGAGACAGTATGACTGGTTAGAAAAAGTATCTGATTAAAGTCAGACAAATCTTAGATTGGCTAGTATTTCTCACTGGGGAAATTCTTAGTATTTTGGGTGGGAATATACACTGTGAAAACTAAAAATGCTTCGTGCATTTCCAAAAGCCCCTTAGAGAGAGAACCTCTGTGCTGAGCTGTAAGCAACTTGAAGGAATGAACTACGTTGTATTCACCATTTGATCCCCAGTCTAAAACAATGCCAAGCACTTGATAAGAAATCTAAAAGTATTGGTTGAACTAATGTAGTTATTAGGCAAGTTACTTAACTTCTGTGGCCAGGAATGTTTTGCACAGCTCCTCCAGGGCCTGTAGATAAATGATTACACATGCTCAAACACATATGTGCATTGCAACTCTACCTGTTGTGATCTTAGTCACTATTTTATGATACTTTTACTGTACTTACTGGGATGTCATGTGTTTTACCCATTTATTCTATTGACCCAGAATTTTCATTCTTAGACATTATTGAACCGAAATGTGTACATATATGTAACAAGAGACATATACAAGAGTGCTCATAACAATATTATTCATATTAACTCCAAGCTGGAAACTACCAAAATGTCATCAACATGGAAGATTACAGTAGAACACTGCACAGCGATGCAAATGAATAGTTATGCATAGTACTATGTATACTTACTAATATCAGGGAAGAAACTAACACAAAACTTTAAATATGGCCGGGCGCAGTGACTGACATTTGTAATCCCAGCATTTTGGGAGGCTAAGATGGGAGGACTGCTTGAGCACAGGAGTTGGAGACCAGCCTGGGCAACACGGTGAGACCTTGTCTCTACAAATAATACAAAAATTAGCCAGGTGTGGTGGCATGTACCTGTAGTCCCAACTGCTCAGGAGACTGAGGTGGGAGGATGGTTTGAGCCCAGGAGGTTGCAGCTGCAGTGAACTATGTTTGTGCCACTGCACTGCAGCCTGGGCAACACAGCAAGACCCTGTTTTAAAAAAAAGGTTAAATAATGCACTTATATGAAGTTAAAAAAGGCAAAATTAGGCTATAATGTTAGAAATCAGGACACTGGTTACTTTTCCGAGAAAGCTTGGGTTAAGAGCTATGAGGGGGTATGAAGGAAGCTTGTGATGCATGGATAATGGTCTAGTTCTTGATTTGGCTGGTGGTTACACAGATGTGTTAGCTTTGTGACTAATCATCAGCTTGTATAATTGTGACTTATGCATTTTCTGCATATGTGCCATTTCTCTGCAAAAACTTATTTAAAAATTTAATACCTTTGTATGCATGTACAATGATACAGCGAATATCTGGGAAAATAGGCATCTTGGGAAAGTTTGGGCAGATTTGAAAGGGAAGTAGTAAAACAGCCATTCACAAATGATATCATCGTGTGTACATGAAAAATTTAAAAGAATCAACAGACAAATTAGCCGAGTCTAACAAGGTGGTTGGTTATAAAATCAACATTGAAAATCACTGTTGATTATATAATCAAATGATTCTGTGTAGTAGCAACAAACAGAAAATAAAACAAACAGGTATAATTTATAATAGAATTAAAAGTTATATCGTATCTAGGAATAAATCTAATCTGCTGAGAAAACCTCAATTTCCCTCATTAAAGATAAAAATTAAAGAAAATCCAAATAAATTACATGATATATTATCTTTGTGGACCAATTGGTTTGTTATTGTATACATAACAATTATTCCAAATTAATCCACTGGATTCAATAAAATGCCAACCAAAAACCCATCAAATTTTTTAGTGAAACTTGACAAACTTATCCTGAAATTTAGATGGGAATACAAAAGGCTAAACAGACCAAATTATCTTTGAAGGATATTAACAAGGTAGGGAGTCTTGCACTACTGGATATCAAAACCTATTATAAAAGATAGCAGTTATTGTACTGGTATGCAGATAAATAAATAGAACAATGGAACTGATTAGGAAAGCCAGATGTAAGTCCAAACATGAATGGACACTCGATTTGTGACAGACTGGGCATGGCAGTGGAGCAAGGACAGTTTTTTCAATAAGTGAGGCTGGGACAATTGGATAATGATATGACAAAAAAAAAGAAACAGCAATCTGTTCCTCAAACCATACATAACATAATTTCTAGATGTATCATAAACCTTAATGTGAAAAGCAAAATGATAAAATTTCTATAAGTAAATATAAATGAATATTTTCATAACCTCAAGGTAGGGAAAGACTTCTTACACAGAATAGTAAAATCACTAACCATTAAGGATTAAGATCAATAATTTTAAATTAGGAGCAAATATCAAAAATCATGACTAACATGTAAAACGAAAGGCACAGAGTGGAAGATGAGATTTGCAATATGCGGCCAAAAAAGGACTACCACTGGGGATATATAAAGAACTCCTACAAGTAAATGAGAAAAATACAAACAATCCTGTAGGAAAATGGTCCAAAATCATGAACAGATACTGCGTAAAGATGACATCAAGTGATAAAAGCACAGAAAAAGTTGCTCAATTCCATTTATAATCAAGATAATGCAAACTTAGGCTACAATAAGATACCAAAATATAACCACCAGATAGGAAAAAAATTAGTCTGACAATACCAAGTGGTAGTGGGAATGTGGAGCAGCTTCATCTCTCACACACTACAGGTGAGAATGTATGAGATCATTTTTCTTCCAAGTGAAGCCAAGTATGATCTGTTGTAATCGCATGATTTTGGTTATTCCTCTATGCTGATAGGGCAGAGACATATAGGTCATTTTTGCTTTGACTTGTCAGCTTCCAGTGAAATGTTCAAATTTACTGCCCTTGGTCTGTGTGTATGTGTGGTAGTGGCTGGGGCTGGGGGAGGCAGAACAAGATTAGCTGTGTTCTTACGTGTCAGTGGTTCCATAGGGGTCCTGGTTGTGTGGAGTAGGGAGGAGATATAGGGGTCTATACAGCCTTCACATAACTTCCCATTTTCAGTCCTATTGGTATCCATGCCATAATTAGTTCCTTGATCCTGTAATTTCTGAACTTTTCTGGAGCTCTGTAGGAGACATTAGTTAGCTTTTGGATCCTGCTACCCACGGATTGCATTCAGCTTTCTCTGGTCTTCTCAGTCAGTATTACTCATTAACTGCTTTCTAGCTTCCAAACTTAGTTATTGTCTCTTGTCTGTTATTGTTCCCTGACATAATGCCAGTACATAGAATAATGGAAGTCACTGGTGACCTTACCAGAGGGATTCTGGTAGAGAGATTGGGACCACAGCCAGATGCCATAGAGGAGGAGAGCGTAAGACATGAAAACGTAGGAAGCAAGTGAAGACAGCTCTATTGAGAAGCTTGGCTCTGAAGGAGGATAGAGATGTGGCAGGAGCTGGAAAGTAAAGTGGAGCTGCAGGAGGAGGAAATGTATCTTTATCATCAAAACCATTTTACCTGATTAATCAATTCATATAGCTACCTTTCTGCCCTGGAAATTATTTTCTCTCCTCTTTAATAGGAAGAACCTGAATGTTTATGGTAGTTAATATTACAAATTCTGCCATTCTGAACATCTCCTTTGTGTACCTTTTTTTTGCAATTAAAATGGTACAAGACATCAAAGATTGAGAACTTGCATCCTTCCCCAGTGGAGACAGTACATGTAGATGTAGTTAGATGTTAGAGGCTCAGGGTTGATGTTTGTGTGATGGTTTCCTCTGGGGGACTATATTAAATATCCTGGGACTATGTCATTTACTTTTGCTTTCCTATGATTTAACCATCTGTTAACAAAAGCCCTAAATGCTTTTTCTTTTTACTTGTAGTTGATTGGCTGTAAATATATTTGACATTGTTTCATATCATTTAATAATATTACAACTCTAAAAGACCTCACTTGAATTTTGAGTGAATTTGTAGGTAAGTGCTTATATTTATGTGAATAATTTCTTTGAGTCTTAAGCTGAAATCATGCCTGTAACTACAGTAAGGAGGAAAGAAGAAGATCTGAGTCATTTTCCCTTTCTATTTGAATATCTCACTGATTTTGAAGTAAAATCTATTTTTGATTACTTTTGTCGTCAAGCATTCAGTATGAAACATTCTTAAAGGGCAAGAAATGATCTCTGGAACTACACAAATTTCTGAACATAGTTAATATTTTATGATTTGCAAAGTCCATGTCGGTACTACTTAAGCAGGTAGGACCCAGCTGCAGTAGTATTTGATCTGTTTAGAATGAGTGGGATTCTGTCTTTGAGGATCATGAGAATTTTATATTTCAATACTGTGTATCATCTTTTGCTCTCTTTTGAGTTCATTCACCTCTGCTACTTTTTCAAAGGATGTATCCTTCAAATATTTTCCTCTACAATTAATCATGTCTAGCAAACTCTAAGGTGAATAGAATAATGGCTATATACTCAGACTGCCTTCAACTTCACTTAAATTATTTTCTAAATTGCTTGTGTGTCCTGCCAGCCATGACTGTTCCCCTTCAAATACGATTATTATGATACTCTCTGCTTGCAAGGAATGGAGATAATTAAAGTCACAGATACTATTGTAATAACAATTTTAGCGAACATATTCAACCTTCATTTCAAGATTTGCCAACAATGCATCTCAATTTTATTATTTTATTTATTTCCTCTACTTCTTCTGATGTTGTATGGTTCAAAGACTTGGAGATTATGCTACTTGCTACATGTATGTCCTTGAGCGAGTTCCTCCTCTGAACCTCATACTCTAAAACTTAGGATAATAATATCAACCCCATGGAGTTTCTATGATGACTACATGAGATAATGTTTGTAAAATAATTAGAACATGGCTCCTGAGAAGTATCAGGAATTTCATAAACATTTAACTCAGGGTGAATTATATCCTGAGAAGTAACAAACATGTACTTAACTGTTTTACTAACCTCCAAATAATATGTGCTCAACGTAGAAAACTTGGTAAATAAAAAGGTATAAAGTGAGACCATCTGTAGAGCCACCAGACAGATATAATAACTATTAATATATGGGTGTATTAATTGAAAAAATTATGTACAGTCCTGAGCCACAGAACCTAGCATATAAGTGCTCAAAAATGCCTACACACACACACACTCTCTCACATTTTTTTGCTAGTCAGATGTATGTAATTGGTATATCTCTCTCTCTTATTTTTCTATGTATCTATTATCTATTTATCTATCATCTATCTATATTGATATAAGGTGATAAAATTAACACTTCAAAATATTTACATTTTAATCTATAAGTATATCTGTATCTATAAATATATCTTTACATACACCTATACAGATAATAATATGGCTTAAACTGCCAGATAAACCTTTTTGCAGGGACTAAATGTTTTTTACTGCCAGGAGTTCTGGTTTATTCAAGCTAACATCAGAGAGTACTACTCACATCATACAAGGTGGGCCAACATCTGAGTAACAGGCATGTTCCTCCCTCCTCTGTTCTTAACAATTTAGAGAAATGAAAGGGCTATCTTACTGTAGTGCTGTTGTCCAAAAGTTTTTGCAGAGCCTATAACGCTGGGGGTAGGTAGGGTAGCTTTAATAGTGTAACTAACTCCTGAAGACCTCAAGCTTGCAGCAGTGTCAATGGCACATCAACCAGAAGTGAATCTTAGCATCCTAGGCAGTGCTGATAGTCCTCACATCCCATGGGAGTCCTTTGACTAGTAGGAATTGCATATGCTCCAGCCTCAGGTAGGAACCTAAAGTCTCAGAAATCTGTTCAGGGGCACTAGAGTGGTAATATCAATCATTCGGGTTTTTGGAGATAACCTGCCATTCATTTTGCTATATGATCTCAGGCAGGTTATATGTCACCTCTTTGAGCTGCAGTCCCTTTAAATCAAGACTCTTGCTTGCAAGTGATAGTAATTTAATGTAAAGTTATGTAAATAAAAAGGGAATTTATTGCCTCTAGGATAACTAACATCCATTGAGAACTTTGTGTTTGCTGAAACCTGTTCTAAGTGCTTTACATATGCTTGCTTATTTAGTCTGTCCATAGTTCTATATAGCAGGTACTATTATTATCTCCATTTTATGGATAAGGAGACTGAGGCACAGAGTGGTGCCCAAGGATATTCACTTAGTAAGTGTGGAGCCGGAACTCAAATTAATACCAATGCCCAATAAATAGCTGTTGAATAAATATACAAACGTGAACTGGCCAGAAAGTGACCAGTGTAACTAGATCACTTGGCTGGCAGTAATAAAACATTTGTGAAGGCAAAAGCATGATCTTCTTGCCATATTCACTTAGTTTATTTCTGTTTCATGGTAGCAGTGACTTCTTTATCCCTACCTAACTCTGACTTTTGGTCACCTGATAAGCCAGTGCATGAAGAGGCTGTGTAGTTACTGGGACCAACACCTTAAGCAGGTTCTACAGATGGGAGATCAATAGCCTAATCTCATATATAAAAATGGCCAGCACAGGGATTATTCCATCACTATGTGACTGCCTTTCAAAATGTATTCAGATCTCGAAGTCCTTGAATAAAGACAAAAATGTGCACTGAGTTAAACATAGCCAGGAGGATCTGCCTCTACCTTTAAAGAGATCTCTGTATTTCATTCAATGCATTTTTTCCTATTTATATATTGTCTTCTTTCAAAAGAAATTTGAGGTGATCATTACACCTTTTTAAGGTTGTAAGTCTTCTCTAAGAAGCCCACCTGGCAAAGGATATGAACAGACACTTCTCAAAAGGAGACATTTATGCAGCCAACAGACATATGAAAAAATGCTCATCATCACTGTTCATTAGAGAAATGCAAATCAAAACCACAATGAGATACCATCTCACACCAGTTAGAATGGTGATCATTAAAAAGTCAGGAAACAACAGATGCTGGAGAGGATGTGGAGAAACACGAATGCTTTTACACTGCTGGTGGGAGTGTAAGTTAGTTCAACCATTGTGGAAGACAGTGTGGCTATTCCTCAAGGATCTAGAGCTAGAAATACCATTTGACCCAGCCATCCCATTACTGGGTATATACCCAAAGGATTATAAATCATGCTATTATAAAGACACATGCACACGTACGTTTATTGCAGCACTATTCACAATAGCAAAGACTTGGAACCAATCCAAATGTCCATCAATAATAGACTGGATAAAGAAAATGTGGCACATATACACCATGGAATACTATGCAGCCATGAAAAAGGATGAGTTCACGTCCTTTGTAGGGACATGGATGAAGCTGGAAATCATTATTCTCAGCAAACTATCACAAGGACAGAAAACCAAACACCACATGTTCTCACTCATAAGTGGGAGGTGAACAATGAAAAAACATGGACACAGGATGGGGAACATCACACACTGGGGCCTGTTGGGGGGTGGGGGGCTGGGAGAGGGATAGCATTAGGAGAAATACCTAATGTAAATGACGAGTTGATGGGTGCAACAAACCAACATGGCACATGTTTACCTGTGTAACAAACCTGCACGTTGTGCACATGTACCCTAGAACTTAAAGTATAATAATAAAAATAAAAAAATTTAAAAAGATAATATATTTAAAAAAAGAAGCGCACCTCATAGATGCCCCATTTAGAATACAGGATAACAGAATATTACCATAAAGCCAAGGTAAAAAATGCACATGCTGAAAGTGTGAAAGAGAAAACGAGAAAAAGAAAGCAATTACAGTAAAAACATGAAATTCCAAGCAAATAGATTAAACTACTTGAAGGGAGCAGATACATTTCTTTATCTAAATTATAATAACAACAGTATAGGCTTCCCTGAAGTTCAGTGTTGCTAGAATTTATTGAATACTTATTATATATTAAATACTTTTCATTTATTCATTCAACAGATTTTTTTCTTTTTTTTACTGTTTCTTATGTGTCAGGCCCAATTCTAGGTGTTAGGGATACAAGACTGAACCAAACACACAAAATTCCCTGCTTTCATAGAGCTTACATTTTAGTGGAGATGCAGAAAAAAAGCAAGTTGAGAAAGTGAGATTCATAGAATGTTATGCAGTGATAATCCGCAGAACACTTATAAGAAGTGGGAGTTTGCTGGGCTCAGTGGCTCATGCCTGTAATACTAGCACTTTGGGAGGCCGAGGCAGATGGATCACCTGAGGTTGGGAGTTCAAGACCAGCCTGCCCAACATGGAGAAACCCTGTCTCTACTAAAAATACAAAATTAGCAGGGTGTGGTGGCACATGCCTGTAATCCCAGCTACTTGGGAAGCTGAGGCAGGAGAATTGCTTGAACCCGGGAGGCGGAGGTTGCAGTGAGCCGAGATTGCACTCTAGCCTGGGCAACAAGAGCGACACTCCGTCTCAAAAAAACAAACAAACAAAAATAAGAAGTGGGAGTTATTACCTAATTTCAGAAGAGTTACATGTGAACTAGGAAAGCTATAACTCTGTCATCTCCTCCCTCCTTTGCCACTCTGGTAAGCATATAACATGACCCATAATGTGGGATTAGGGCTGCTATAGGGCTGTGGTGGGCCAAGATGCCATGATGTTGTGGTACCTCCTACCTACCCATAGTAGAACAACCTATGGCCCAGATAATAGAGCTAATGCCTAAATGTTGTACAAAGTCAAAACCAGAATAGCAAGTCCAAAACTAAGTCCCCTCATTCAGAGGACTGGGCAGAAGATGCTAAGAGAAACTTTAAATGAGGGAGTGGTAAAAGTATCACCAGGATTGAAAAATTTCTGCTGGACTTGACAAGTAGGAGAATATGACTATTTTTTGAAGGTCAGACTCAGTGGTATGGAAAAGGCAGAAACCAGAATGTAGTAGCTTAGTCAGTGACAGAAATGTGTGTAAAGATAGGTAACATATAATAGTGCAATAAAGAAATAGAGCTATGAAGTTAATAAAAGAGTAAATTTAATTATGACTAAAGGAACCATGGAACTCTCTATGAAAGAGTATATCAGGCCTCTGAGCCTAAGCTAAGCCATCATATCCCCTGTGACCTGCACATACACATCCAGATGGCCAGTTCCTGCCTTAATTGATGACATTCCAGCACAAAAGAAGTGAAAATGGCCTGTTCTTGCCTTAATTGATGACATTCCACCACAAAAGAAGTGAAAATGGCCTGTTCTTGCCTTAACTGATGACACTGTCTTGTGAAATTCCTTCTCCTTGCTCATCCTGGCTCAAAAGCTCCCCCACTGAGTACCTTGTGACCCCCACTCTGCCCGCCAGAGAACAACCCCCTTTGACTGTAATTTTCCTTTATCTACCCAAATCCTATAAAACGGCCCCACCCTCATCTCCCTTCGCTGACTCTCTTTTCGGACTCAGCCCGCCTGCACCCAGGTGAAATAAACAGCCTTGTTGCTCACACAAAGCCTGTTTGGTGGTCTCTTCACATGGACGTGCATGAAATTTGGTGCCGTGACTGGGATCAAGTGACCTCCCTTGGGAGATCAATCCCCTGTCCTCCTGCTCTTTGCTCCATGAAAAAGATCCACCTACGACCTCAGGTCCTTAGACCTACCAGCCCAAGGAACATCTCACCAATTTTAAATCAGGTAAGCGGCCTCTTCTTACTCTCTTCTCCAACCTTTCTCACTATCCCTCAACCACTTTCTCCTTTCCACTCTTCAATCTCTCCCTTCTCTTAATTTCAATTCTTTCATTTTCTGGTAGAGACAAAGGAGACACATTTTATCCGTGGACCCAAAACTCCGGCGCCAGTCACGGACTGGGAAGGCAGCCTTCCCTTGGTGTTTAATCATTGCAGAGACGCCTCTCTGATTATTCACCCACGTTTCAGAGGTGTCAGACCACGCAGGGACGCCTGCCTTGGTCCTTCACCCTTAGCGGCAAGTCCCGCTTTTCTGGGGAAGGGCAAGTACCCCAACCCCTTCTCTCAGTGTCTCTATCTCTTCTCTGCTTTTCTGGGGGAGAGGCAAGAACCCCTCAACCCCTTCTCCTTCACCCTTAGTGGCAAGTCCCACTTTTCTAGGGGAGGGGCAAGTACCCCAACCTCCTATCTCTGCACCCCGATCCCTTATTTTCATGCCCTGACCTCTTATATCTCTGTGCCCCAATCCCTTATTTCCACACCCCAACCTCTTATATCTCTGCGCCCTGATCCCTTATTTCCACGCCCCGACCTCGTATCTCTGTGCCCCAACCCCTTTCCCGCTTTTCTGGAGGGTAAGAACCCCCTAACCGCTTCCCTCCGTGTCTCTACTCTCCCTTTTCTTTAAACTTGCCTCCTTCACTATAAGCAACCTTCTACCCTCCATTCCCCCTTAGCCTGTGTTCTCAAGAACTTAAAACCTCTTCAACTCACACCTGACCTAAAACCTAAACGCCTTATTTTCTTCTGCAATGCCACTTGACCCCAATATAAACTCGACAGTAGTTCCAAATAGCCAGAAAACGGCACTTTCAATTTTTCCATCCTGCAAGATCTAAATAATTCTTGTGGTAAAATAGGCAAACGGTCTGAGGTGCCTGACATCCAGGCATTCCTTTACACATCAGTCCCTTCCTAGTCTCTGTTCCCAATGCAACTCGTCCCAAATCTTCCTTCTTTCCCTCCTGCCTGTCCTCTCAGTCCCAACCCCAAGCGTTGCTGAGTCTAATCTTCCTTTTTTACAGACCCATCTGACCTCTCCCCTCCTCGCCAGGCCAAGCTAGGTCCCAATTCTTCCTCAGCCTCCACTCCTCCCCCCTGTAATCCTTTTATCACCTTCCCTCCTCACACCTGGTCCGGCTTACAGTTTCGTTCATGACTAGCCCTCCCCCACCTGCCCAGCAATTTCCTCTTAAAAAGGTGGCTGAAGCTAAAGGCATAGTCAAAGTTAATGCTCCTTTTCTTTATCAGACCTCTCCCAAATCAGTGAGTGTTTAGGCTCTTTCATCAAATATGAAAAACCCAGCCCAGTTCATGGCTCGTTTGGCAGCAACCCTGAGATGCTTTACAGCCCTAGACACTGAAGGGTCAGAAGGCCGTCTTATTCTCAATATATATTTTATTACCCAATCTACTCCCAACATTAAATGAAACTCCAAAAATTAAATTCCGGCCCTCAAACCCCACAACAGGATTTAATTAACCTCGCCTTCAAGGTGTACAATAATAGAAAAAAGTTGCAATTCCTTGCCTCCACTGTGAGACAAACCCCAGCCACATCTCCAGCACACAAGAACTTCCAAATGCCTGAACCGCAGTGGCCAGGCCTTCCTCCAGAACCTCCTCCCAAAGGAGCTTGCCACAAGTGCCAGAAATCTGACCACCAGGCCAAGGAATGTCCACAGCCCAGGATTCCTCCTAAGCCGTGTCCCATCTGTGCAGGACCCCACTGGAAATCGGACTGTTCAACTCACCTGGCAGCCACTCCCAGAGCCCCTGGAACTCTAGCCCAAGGCTCTCTGATGGACTCCTTCCCAGATCTTCTCGGCTTAGCGGCTGAAGACTGACACTGCCCGATTGCCTCAGAAGCCTACAAGACCATCACAGACACTCTAAGTAACTCTCACAGTGGAAAGTCTGTCCCCTTCTTAATCAATACGGAGGCTACCCACTCCACATTACCTTCTTTTCAAGGGCCTGTTTCCCTTAACTCTGTAACTGTTGTGGGTATTGACAGCCAGGCTTCTAAACCTCTTAAAACTCCCCAACTCTGGTGCCAACTTAGACGATACTCTTTTAAGCACTCCTTTTTAGTTATCCCCACCTGCCCAGTTCCCTTATTAGGCCGAGACACTTTAACTAAATGATCTGCTTCCCTGACTATTCCTGGACTACAGCTGCATCTCATTGCCGCCCTTCTTCCCAATCCAAAGCCTCCTTTACGTTCTCCTCTTGTATCCCCCCGCCTTAACCCACAAGTGTAAGATACCTCTACTCCCTCCTTGGAGACCGATCATGCACCCCTTACCATCTCATTAAAACCTAATCACCCTTACCCTGCTCAATGCCAAGATCCCATCCCACAGCACGCTTTAAAAGGATTAAAGCCTGTTATCACTTGCCTGCTACAGCATGGCCTTTTAAAGCCTATAAACTCTCCTTACAATTCCCCCATTTTACCTTTCCTAGAACCAGACAAGCCTTACAGGTTAGTTCAGGATCTGTGCCTTATCAACCAAATTGTTTTGCCTATCCACCCCGTGGTGCCGAACCCATATACTCCCCTATCCTCAATACCTCCCTCCACAACCCATTATTCTGTTCTAGATCTCAAACATGCTTTCTTTACTATTCCTTTGCACCCTTCATCCCAGCCTCTCTTTGCTTTCACTTAGACTGACCTTGACACCCATCAGGCTCAGCAAATTACCTGGGCTGTACTGCCGCAAGGCTTCACAGACATCCCCCATTACTTCAGTCAAGCCCAAATTTCTTCCTCACCTGTTACCTGTCTCAGCGTAATTCTTATAAAAAACATACGTGCTCTCCCTGCTGCTCGTGTCCGACTAATCTCTCAAACCCCAACACCTTCTACATCCTAGGCATGGTTAGATACTTTCGACTTTAGATACCTAGTTTTGCCATCCTAACAAAACCATTATTATAAACTCACAAAAGGAAACCTAGCTGACCGCATAGATCCTAAATCCTTTCCCCACTCCTCTTTCCATTTCTTGAAGATAGCTTTAGAGACTGCCCCCACTCTAGCTCTCCCTGACTCATCCCAACCCTTTTCATTACACACAGCCAAAGTGCAAGGCTGTGCAGTCAGAATTCTTACACAAGGACCAGGATCGCGTCCTGTAGCCTTTTTGTCCAAACAACTTGACCTTACTGTTTTAAGCTGACCATTATGTCTCCATGCAGTGGCTGCTGCCGCCCTAATACTTTCAGAGGCCCTTAAAATCACAAATTATGCTCAACTCACTCTCTACATTTCTCATAACTTCCAAAATCTATTTTCTTCCTCATACCTGATGCATATACTATCTGTTCCCCGGCTCCTTCAGCTGTACTCACTCTTTGTTAAGTCCCACAGTTACCATTGTTCCTGGCCCGGACTTCAATCCAGCCTCCCACATTATTCCTGATACCACACCTGACCCCCATGACTGTATCTCTCTCATCCACCTGACATTCACCCCATTTCCCCATATTTCCTTCTTCCCTGTTTCTCACCCTGATCACACTTGGTTTATTGATGGCAGTTCTACCAGGCCTAATCGCCACACACCAGCAAAGGCAGGCTATGCTATAGTACAAGCCACTAGCCCGCCTCTTAAAACCTCTCATTTCCTTTCCATTGTGGAAATCTATCCTCAAGGAAATAACTTCTCAGTGTTCCATCTGCTATTCTGCTACTTCTCAGGGATTATTCAGGCCCCCTTCCTTCCCTACACATCAAGCTTGAGGATTTGCCCCCACCCAGGACTGGCAAATTAGTTTTACTCAACATGCCCTGAGTCAGATAACTAAAATACCTCTTAGTCTAGGTAGACACTTTCACTAGATAAGTAGAGGCCTTTCCCACAGGGTCTGAGAGGGCCACCGCGGTCATTTCTTCCCTTCTATCAGACGTAATTCCTCGATTTGGCCTTCCCACCTCTATACAGTCTGATAACGGACCAGCCTTTACTAGTCAAATCAGCCAAGCATTTTTTCAGGCTCTTAGTATTCAGTGAAACCTTTATATCCCTTACAGTCCTCAGTCTTCAGGAAAAGTAGAATGGACTAACGGTCTTTTAAAAACACACCTCGCCAAGCTCAGCCACCAACTTAAAAAGGACTGGACAATACTTTTACCACTTTCCCTTCTCAGAAGTCAGACCTGTCCTCAGAATGCTACAAGGTACAGCGCATTTGAGCTCCTGTATAGACGCTCCTTTTTATTAAGCCCCAGTCTCATTCCAGACACCAGACCAACTTAGACTGTGCCCCAAAAAAACTTGTCATCCCTGCTATCTTCTGTCTAGTCATACTCCTATTCACCGTTCTCAACTACTCACACATGCCCTGCTCTTGTTTACATTGCTGGTTTACACTGTTTCTCCAAGCCATCACAGCTGATATCTCCTGGTGCTATCCCCAAACTGCCACTCTTAACTCTTGAAGTAAATAAATAATCTTTGCTGGCAGGACTATGCTGAATCTCCTTAGGCACGCTCTAATCAGATGTCTTGAGTCGTCCCAGTTCTTAGACCTTTTATACCTGTTTTTCTCCTTCTCTTATTTCATTTAGTTTTTCAATTCATACAAAACTGTATCCAGGCCATCACCAATAATTCTAAATGACAAATGTTCCTTCTAACAACCCCACAATATCACCCCTTACCACAAAATCTTCCTTCAGCTTAATCTCTCCCACTCTAGGTTCCCACGCCGCCCCTAATCCCGCTCGAAGCAGCCCTGAGAAACATCGCCCATTATCTCTCCATACCACCTCCAAAATTTTCACTGTCCCAACACTTTACCACTATTTCGTTTTATTTTTCTTATTAATATAAGAAGACAGGAATGTCAGGCCTCTGAGCCCAAGCTAAGCCATCATATCCCCTGTGACCTGCACATACACATCCAGATGGCCGGTTCCTGCCTTAACTGATGACATTCTACCACAAAAGAAGTGAAAATGGCCTGTTCCTACCTTAACTGATGACATTGTCTTGTGAAATTCCTTCTCCTGGCTCATCCTGGCTCAAAAGCTCCCCTACTGAGCACCTTGTGACCCCCACTCTGCCCGCCAGAGAACAACCCCCTTTGACTGTAATTTTCCTTTATCTACCCAAATCCTATAAAACGGCCCCACCCTTATCTCCCTTCACTGACTCTCTTTTCGGATTCAGCCCGCCTGCACCCAGGTGAAATAAACAGCCTTATTGCTCACACAAAGCCTGTTTGGTGGTCTCTTCACACGGATGCGCATGAAAGAGTAGACACAAAATTCATGAGGATTCAAATGATTAGAGATGGGATAGGATAAAAAATGTGATGAAGGCAAAATACAGACGTAAGTAAGTGCAAAAACAAGTGGGAGTACTTCGATTTGACTATAGGTTAGAGAATACATTTGGAATTAGAGGCCAATAAGATTGAGAGAGTAGACTAGGGATAGATCGTGAAGCTCCTAGAATACCACACAAATTTTAACAGAATACTTAAATGTAGTCCTATAGAAGTAGACACTCTGTCAAGTTTTATTATTATTAAAAAGTGAACAGGCCGGGCGCGGTGGCTCACGCCTGTAATCCCAGCACTTTGGGAGGCCAAGGAGGGTGGATCACCTGAGGTCAGGAGTTCGAGACCAGCCTGGCCAACACAGCAAAACCCCGTCTCTACTAAAAATACAAAAATTAGCCAGGCGGGGTGGCAGGCATCTGTAATCCCAGTTACTTGGGAGGCTGAGGCAGGAGAATCACTTGGGCCCAGAAGGCAGAGGTTGCAGTGAGCCGAGATCGCGCCACTGTACTCCAGTCTGGGTGACAAGAGTGAGACTCCATCTCAAATAAATAAAAATAAAATAAAAACTAAATAAACCTTACCAGCTTTATAGCAATAAATGGTTAACCACCCCCAAGTAACAATGACATTTAAATGGAAAGTTGATGGATTTTTGAAGCATTTTTACACAGCACAGGGAATATCTGTTAAGGTTATAAGAACCAATTATACCGACTATCACAACAAGACACAGCCATACATGTTTCTGTGATTCTTGCTGCCAAATTAATTTTAAATCTGCAGTATTTTAACACATACGCATTATTCCTTAAACATTTTATTGGCACTTAAATGAAAGGCAGACTTATGTTGGAAATGTCACTTGTATGGGGTTCAATACGATTTTTTTCAAAAGGGCACTGAAAGCTAATTAACTAATCAAGCATAGTTCCTTAAGTAGCAATCCAGTACAACTTATCCTACTCAGTATTTCACCTTGACCTAATAACAGTATTTCCCCGAAATACCTGGAAAGTACGGCACTCAACTGGAACAATTGCTGGACTTCTTGTTCTACAAAGTGAAATAATTTTATTATATTCTTTGAAACATGCTGTGACTTTTCACAATTTTAATTACATATGGGGAACAGATAGGCAATCAGGTTAACTTTAATGGTACTTAAGGCCTCAAAATGTTTCCCAAAATTTTGCTTGTTGTCTCTATTATGGCAAATATTACCACCAGCTTACCCAACATCCACCCCGCTCCCTAATGTTCCCTGATGGCAAAACACAACTTACATACAGAGACTGATAGTTTCAGACACTCAGTTTCTTATTGTCTCTTGCAGTGTGAAGTGACCATGTGATTCAACTCTAACCAATAAGGAGTAAAGAGATGTCTCCTGAGGATAATTGCCTACCTCCCAAATGAAAATAGAGACATGAGACACAGTATGCATTCTCTTTGGCTACTCTTGTCATCTCCTTTCTTTCTAGGTAGTCACATAAGAATGTGATGTTTGGAGTTGCAGAAGCAATTTTTTGACCCTACGGGACAAACCTGTACACGAAGAGCCATTATATTGAATATGATGGGTCAGAAGAATGGAAACAGCCAGAGTTTTTGGTAACCCTGCTGAGCCAAATCTCAACCCTGACACCACTTATCCCTAGACTGCTAGTTATGTGAGCTAATTAAATGTGTTTTGGTTTAAGGCACTGTTATTTGGGTATTTTGTTAGTTGAAGCTGAAAGCAAATTAAATAACCTACCTAGACTGGTCATTTTCTAGGCATTCATCTAGCAATTCAACAAATATTTATTAACAATCTACTATGTGCAGGCACTATTTTCGTAAACAAGATAAGCACAGTTGTCACTTTCATGGAGCTTACAGTCTCACTGAATTACTTAATAAAATCAATTATTTAATATTGCCAACTCACATTTATACTTTAGCATAACTTTGTCTTCTTATTACCTTTGGGAGTCACCTCAAGCATTTTAAACCCTATCTCCCTCCAGTGTTTTGTATGCGGTTGTTTTGTATGTATGTAATAATATTTTGTATGAGTACCTCAAATTGAAGTACTCACACTTTTTTTTTAAATTTTAGCCCTGTCTCCCCAAGTTTGTATGATTTGTTGAGCACAAATGTTGATTTGTGCTCAGCAGATGTTTTATGAACCTAGTGGGTTCCTTTGCCTAGCAGATGCAGCTCTGTATCATTCACCTATTGCTCTAATAATTTTGCATAACAAGTTACTCTTGCTTGTTGCAAGTTTCTTTTTGTCTGTATTACGATTAAAGTGATTAATTGATTAAAACAATAATCACTTACTATTGCTCATGTGTCCATGGGTGGGCTGGGGGTTTCTTCTGGTTTTGATTGGGCTCTTTCATGCATCTGTGGTCAGCTGCAGGTTGGGTAGGTGGCTCCAATGATCTTAGGCAGGATACCAGACGCGTTTGGGGATCATCTGGCTCTTGGCTGCTGTAGAATGGCCCAGATGAAATGAGTAGACTCTCATATCCTTCCAGCAGGTTAGCTCAGGCATATTCTCGTGGTAGTGGCAGGGGCTAAGAATAAAAAAAGTCAGAAGACACAAGTACGTTTGCAAAACTATGCTTGTGTCAGGTTTCCTAATGACCCATTGGCTAGAGCAAGTCACATGACCAAACCCAGAGTAATTGTGGGAATTACATCAATAAGGTTGCCAGATGAAAATACAGGACACCCGGTTAAATGTAAATTTCAGACAAACAACTAGTAATTATTTTAGTGTAAATATGTCTGGCAACCTGACGTGGGAGGGCACTACTAAAGGTCATGGATACAAAGAGAGTAAAAATTGAGGCAATTAAAGTAATCTTCTGATTGACTACAGGCTCTTTATTATTTGAGTCTCATCCTCTGTTCCTTCTCATTTTGCCTATATTCTATCCATAGTGAAACTCTTGAATTTCTTGAGATATGCCATATTCTTTCATGTCTCATTGTCTTTTCATGATGCTGTTTCCTCAACATGGAAGATGTTTCTTCCACACTGTAATTCAGCTAAACCCTAACCATTTTCAAGGCCTACCTCAGGATTTTGGCACCTCCAGTTGGGATGAGTGGTACTAGTCTGTGCTCCCACAGTCCCTAGGACATAACCCTCCTCTGACATGTAAGTTACTGATAAATATGCATGTAACACATTATATACCAGGCACTGTTCTAGTGCTTCATTATTATTAATTTTTTTTTTTTTTTAGACAGAGTCTTGCTCTGTCATCCAGGCTGGAGTGCAGTGGCCCGATCTTGGCTCACTGCAACCTCTGCCTTTCTTTAAGTGATTCTCATGCTTCAACTCCTGAGTAAGTGGGACTACAGGCATGCGCCACCGTGCCTGGCTAATTTTTGTATTTTTTTAGTAGAGACGGGGTTTTACCATATTGGCCCTGCTGGTCTCGAACTCCTGACTTCAAGTGATCCGCCCACCTCGGCCTCCCAAAGTGGTGGCATTACAGGCATGAGCTACCGTGCCTGGCCCATTATTATTAATTATCTTAATCCTCCTAGCAACTATATGATATATATTCTATCTTATTATTATCACATTGCTTTATAACCCCTGGCATTTTTGCTGACCTTCTCTGTTCTACTGGAGGGCATGGATTCTGTCAGTTATCTCTGTGCCTAGCACAGTGCCAGACACATGTAAGTATTCAATAAGTGCTTGCTGAATGAATACATTTGCTTGTCAGCCATGTAAACAATCATTCAGAGTTAAGGTAGCTTTAGATGGGATTGGGGTAGAAAACCAAGGGAAGGTTAGCATATAGGTTTCTGAGGGAAAGGGGAGGACAGAGTAGAATCCATGCCAGGAATCCTTTTGTGAAAGAAAAAGGCAGCATGAGTGCACTGGCTGCCCAAAGGGCCACAAAAAGGATGAGGGAGCAGCAAACAAAACAATAGTAGAAACACAAGCTTTGCTTACTTCACAGTTTTGTCCCGCATCATCTCTGGGTACAAGGTTGAGGAATCCAAGGCTAGGGAGTTATGTTTTCTAGGTTGACAGGGAATCCAAAGACCTTCAGTCTGTAACAAACAAGGAATTATTACGTTGAGGGAACTAGACGCCACTTCCACCCTTTGGTAGAATAGCAGTTAACTTGCCAAAAAGCTGCATGCCTTCCCTCTCATTAAAGACTTCTGGCAAAGACAGTGTACCACCTCCCTTAACCGACTGTTTCAAAGTTTGTTCTTACTAATGACTAACTTAAATTTCTGATAGATGTTTGAGCTAATTTCTTTAAATACCCTTTGAAGAGGCAAAACACCTGGTTAAAATGTTCAATAAATCCTCAGTATTCACAGGGAATGTTTTCTTAAACTGTTACAATAGGGAAGACTCCTAACTACTCATCCTGTAAATTAATAGTAGCTAACATTTATTTTCAGTTAAGCACTGCATTTTACATGGAAAAAAATCTCATTTAAACCTCACATGGCAACGTGAACTATGCACTGTAATTAACCTTATTTTTAGATTAAAACAACTGAGTCTCAGAAAAGATAAGCAACTTGTCGAATGAATGCATGAGTACTTGTCTCTCTAATTCTTGCCACCTCCACCCTTGATAAAAACAGAATCGTTAATTAGAGCTAAAGCTGGAAATGGCTCTGACATTTGATTATTTAAAATGATGATTTTTGAGTCCCAAATCCAAAGACTCTTTTCTAAAATTTTTAATTAACTTTTATTTTAAGTTCAGGGGTACAAGTGCAGGTTTGTTACATAGGTAAACTTGTGTCATGGGGGTTTGTTGTACAGATTATTTCATCACACAGGTATTAAGCCTAGTACCCATTACTTGTTTTCCTTGATCTTTTCTCTCCACCCACCCTCTACCCTCCAAAAGGCCCCAGTATGTATTCTTTCCCTCTATGTGTTTATGTATTCTCATCATTTAGCTCCCACTTATAAATGAGAACATGCAGTATATGCTTTTTGTTCCTGCATTAGTTTGCTAAGGATAGTGGCCTCCAGCTCCATCCATGTCCCTGCAAAGGATATGATCTCATTCATTTTTATGGATGCATAGTATTCAAGGATTCCTGGCATGGATCCTACCCTGTCCTCCCTTTCTCATTTAGGTTGATTCCATGTCTTTGCTATTGTGAATAGTGCTGCAATGAACATATGTGTGCATGTCTTTATAATAGAATGATTTATACTCGTTGGGTATGTACCCAGTAATGGGATTGCTGGGTCAAATGGTTTTTCTGTCTTTAGGTCTTTGAGGAATTGCCACACTGTCTTCCACAATGGCTGAACTAATTTACACTCCTACCAACAGTGTATAAGCATTCCTTTTTCTCTACAACCTCACCAGCATCTGTTATTTTTTTACTTTTTAATAATAGCCATTCTAACTGGTGTGAGATTGTATCTCATTGTGGTTTTGATTTGCATTTCTCTAATGATCAGTAATGTTGAGCTTTTTTTCATATGATTGTTGGCCTCATGTATGTCTTTTAGAAAGTGTCTGTTCATGTCCTTTGCCCACTTTGTAATGAGGTTGTTTGTTTTTCTCTTTCAAATTTAAGTTCCTTATAGATGCTGGATATTAGACTTTTGTTGGATGCATAGTTTGCAAAAATGTTCTCCCATTCTGTAGTTTGTCTGTTTACTCTGTTGACGGTTTCTTTTGCTGTGCAGAAGCTCTTTAGTTTAATTAGACCCCATTTGTCAATTTTTGCTTTTGTTGCAATTGCTTTTGGCATTTTTGGCATGATATTTTTGCCTGTGCCTATGGGCTGAATGGTATTGCCTAGGTTGTCTTCCAGGGCTTTTATGGTTTTGGGTTTTATAGTTTTGGGTTTTAATCTATCTTGAGTCCATTTTTGTATATGGTATAAGGAAGGGGTCTAGTTTCAATCTTCTGCATATGGCTAGCCAGTTACCCCAGCACCATTTATTGAATCGGGAATCCTCTCCCCATTGTTTATTTTTCTCAGGTTTGTCGAAGATCAGATAGTTGTAGGTGTGTGGTCTTATTTCTGCGTTCTCTATGCTGTTCCATTGGTCTATGTGCCTGTTTTTGTGCCAGTACCTTGCTGTTTCGTTTACTGTAGTCCTGTAGTATAGTTTGAAGTCAGGTAGCATGATGCCTCCAGTTTTGCTCTTTTTGCTTAGAAAGCCAGACATTCTTTGGTGTAATAAAATTTCTTTCCATAAACACTGGAGATGAATTAGCCTGCTATTTTTTTTAACAACCTCTTTAGACATGGTCTATCCAGGAATTAACTAAACTTAAATGTTTGCTTTTTCCATGGGTATGATTTAGAGATAACTTAAGAATGCTTATCTTTGGAAATGCAAATTCAAACCATGAGATACCACTTTGCACCAACTTGGATAGTTATAATAAAGAAGATAGATAATAACAAGTGTTGATGAGAATGTGAAAAAATAAGAAACCTTAAATAGCTTGCTGGAGGAAATGTAAAAGAGTTTGGTGGTTCCTCAGACAGGTAAACCTAGAGTTACCTTATGACCCAGTAATTCCACTCCTAGGTATATACTGATGACAATTGAGAACATGAATCTACATAAAACCTTGTATACAAAAAGTTCATTACAGCATTATTCACAGTAGCCAAAAGGTGGAAACAACTGAAATGTTCAGCAGCTGATGAGTGGACAAACAAAATCTGGCGTATTCCTACAGCAGAATATTATTCAGCTACAAAAACGGAATGAAGCAGTGATGCATGTTACAATACATGGGTGAACTTTGAAAACATTATGCTAAGTAAAAGAAGCCTGCCACAAAATACTGCATATATGATTCCATTTATATGAAATATCCAGAATAGATAAATCTACATAGATGGAAAGTAGATTAGTGCTTGCCTAGGGCCAAAGACATGGGGAGAATGGGAGGTGACTACTGCTCAAAGGTATGGGGTTTCTTTTTGGAGTGATGAAAATTGTCAACAATTGATTGTGGTAATGGACACACAGCTCTGGGAGTACGCTAAAAAGCATTGAATTGTACACTATGAATGGGTGAATTTATGGTATGTGAATTATGTCTCAAAAAAGAGTGTTTATCCACCTTTACTCTCAATAAAACTTATTACTGTTAGGTAACCTGACAGGTTACCATGGCAACAATAGAGTTTAGTTGTATCTTGCTTTCTTTAGCACATCTCACCTCAGTTAGTTGTTGGGTATGAGACAATAATAAAAATAATTCTTATCAGAGAGGAGAAGGTTTCATGTTCTTCTTACATTACAGAATCATCACCCTTTTCCCTTGT
This sequence comes from Homo sapiens, assembly GCF_000001405.40. Lineage (NCBI taxonomy): Eukaryota > Metazoa > Chordata > Mammalia > Primates > Hominidae > Homo > Homo sapiens. The sequence continues at coordinate 30,441,599 of NC_000023.11, read as the reverse complement.
AACACAGAGGGCTCCTCTGGCCATCACACTGGATTGTCATTAAGAATTCACACGAAGAGGAAGAAGTTGGTTGGAAAATTTCCTCTCTTTCGTCTTCCAGCTCTTAAGACAGTCTCACACCTTAGACTTTTAGGCTTAGAAACTTAAAGTGTTTTTCCTTGACACAATGACAACAAAATGGAAGTAATGCCAAGGACTGATTTCAAGAAGGAAATTTTATCTCTAGCTAATTAGATTACAGAACTGGCCTTGCAACTCCCTCACCCTTCGACATGTATCCCAGACACTTCCCAAGAATGGGAAACTATTCTCAGTTTTCTATCTTATCAGCTCAGTGACATCTTTTTAAATACCAAGTCCTCTTCTTTTTATTTTTTTTAGGATATAAGCATTCTGAATGCCAAAAAGATACGGGAATATGTTTATGCTCACACTTGTATGTAACCCAACTTCATGAAGGCTCAAATGAGAAAATGCATCAGCCAAAGGGCTATTCTCAATTACTCTCTACATCATAGCTGGATAATTGAGCGGCCTATCTCCAGCTCAACAGCTGACATAGTAGGAGGCACAATTTGAAATGAACAGTGGGAATAGTTACCCAGTTCCAGGTGGGCAGAATGGAAAACATGAGAAGAAAGAAAATATACATTGCATTTTGAATGTGTGTACAATATTTCAGTTTTTTTTTCAGAAGACTGAATCAGAAATCAGGGATGTGGGCAATTGTCTGGTAAGATATGGGTGATAACAGGGTACCCTGGGTGGTGACACCCCACTGAGCATTAGTGCCTTTTGAGGCCAACATAATAGCTCTTTATTGACAAAACATACCCAGAACTATCATTGTTTTTTCAGAATCTGGATTAAGCCTCACTAAATGACCATAGGGACTGTTGATAATTTTTTTTTTGCCATTATTTTCTGTGTGTATTGATCATTCCTTCTCTGTCGTGGGATACTTGGATGCTAATTTGAGAAATGCTTAATTGGAGAAATATTTGGAAGGTAAAATTCAACAGGACTGTTGATTGTTTAGGTACAAATTGAGAGAGAAGGTGAAGAGTCACAAAGATTGCTGAATTTTTAGCTAAGAGACTGCCATGTGCAAAGAAGTCGAACTTAATTTACAGCAACATTAGTTCACCAGAAGGTACACTAATACCAGTGGGTGGAGCTTATGTGGGAAAGGGAAGAAATTTACTATTTATGGAATGTTGTTTCTGTGCTAGTCTCTGAGTTGATGCTTTACATACCAATTCCCAATTAATATAACAAGACGCTTCTTTGGAGCACAATTATTTGAAAGCAAAATATGTTGCCCTGAAAGGAAGAAAATGTCTCACCAATAAAAGGGTTCGAGGAAAGGCTAACTGTTGGATGTCCCTTGGGGGTGATGAAGAACAATGCTTCTTCAGATTTAAAGTGCTGGGAATCCCTTGGGTATTTTGTTGAAATGCACATGTTGATGTAGCAGGTCTGGGGCAGGCCTGAGAGTCTGCATTTTTAAGAAACTCGCAGATACTACTGATGCTGCTGGTTCAAGGGTCACGCTTCAAGTAGCAAGGATGTAGAACAAGTCTCAATTCATTAGCGGTTATGAAATCAATTTAATGGATTGTGATAAAGATTAAAAACAGAAATAAAATGGAATATAAGGGAAAATATTTGAATTCATTATGCATAATAAGAGTAAGTACTCTTTTATGGAAATTCTGTTTCCGTTATGATCCAGTTTGTATAGTAGTGAATTATAATGTATTTTATGTATTTTTTTATCTTGAATCACAAGCAAAATGTTGGGAAACTAATTATGAAGTAAGCTAGTACTAACGAATTGAATTAAATAATTGCTTAGGTTCCTTCTTAATTTGAAATTTTATGATTCTGTGCAATCTTATATCTCTTGTTGAAATCTTTTACTCTGGCTTTCATAGAATATTCAAAGAGGTGTGGGCATCCAGTCCATTAACTTCATCTTCATATTGAAAACCCAAGATGGTGAGCATGGCTAGACATTGCAAAGGTGTGTTATTTTCCTGTGGTTAACGTTATGATAAAAATAATCCTGAGATAGTCTTTGCTTCCAGGAGGAACATTTGGTTCCTATTTTTGCTGTTGTTTGTTTGATGCCAGAGTCATTAATTTAATTACAACATCAATTTGTTAATTGCAGGTAAAGCTATGTGGAAGTGAAATAAGAACCCAAAAGAGTTAATGTCATTTCCAAAGTTACCTTATTTACAGGGTCATAACTGAAATTCTAAATAAACCTGGCTCATTATTTTTTAGCTGAACGAAGATTGCATTTGAATTCAATCAAGACACAGCATCACTTTTATTATTGCTCTAATTTATAATTTGCTCCAAAAACATATTGGTTTGAAAGATTATGGGCTTTCCAAGAATACCAGTGTGTCTAGGGACACACAGACACACACAGACACACAGACACACACACACACACACACACACACACGGTGTTTGTATATTTAGTGTTGGAGTAGAGCAACCAAGGTCAAGGAAAAATAGCTGCAAGTGTAAAGAATGTTTTAATGAGATATTTCAGTTTGGAGTTTTACTACACTAATAGTCAGAAGGGTAAGTTTGCTGTCTGAGGAGTAGTCACAATTATATGACTTCTCTTGTTAGCATCTGAATTGAAGGAGTTAGAGCCTACCACTCCAGTTCATCTGTATTCCCCAGTAAACATCTGGCACCATTTGAATTATATTAATTATAAAAGCAGTGGATATTATGTTTAAAAACTATATAAAATGATCACTATTTCTGAATTTTACTATTTTTTTCTTGCATTATCAGATAATTTTTCATTTAAGAGCACAAGCTGCTATTTCAAATGATCCATTGAGTAAAATCAACAAAATATTTCCTTCTTTGGTTAAAAAATAATTAACTCCAAATGCAATCCAAGATAATGACTACCAATGCTAGAAACATTTAATTTGAGGGCATTTCAACAAAACTTGAATGTTTTGATGCAGAAAATGGAAGGTGGAAATAGTAGCCGCTGAAGCTCAAAATGAATCAACTTTGGGGAGAAATACAAATAATTAAATGCCCTCAATATCGTCTGAGTGGAACTTAGGAACTAACTTCTCTTGATTCCTTCTAATCTTTCAACTATGTACTTATTTTCACCTACTAAGCACATACTCAGTAATGTGCTAAGTATGTTAGGAAATACAGAAGGAACACGAACTGAGCCCTGTCTTAAAATTTCTTTCAGCTGGCTTTTCTGAATTGCTAGCATTTCAGAGATGAACGTCAACTGGATGTATATTCAATTCAATTGAAAAAAATTGCATTTAGTTATTGGTGGATCCTGACTTCTTATTCTCAGTTACATTACTATTTAGCATGTCCCTGATGTGGTTAAAAATCAAATTGTAGCCCATGTTCTAAGGGGCTAACAATTAGCAAGCTAAAAAACTGTCTTCTGATCTTAACACGAAAGCTAATTGTTCATATGCCAGGCTGTGCCTTGATTCCGGTCAGCAGGAACTCGTTAGTCCTTATTAGGGGACTTCTATAGTGTGCTTGAATTTACAAGTTCCACATTTCATATCAGTGAGCTAATCTCAATCAATACTTTTATATTGAAACACCAGATAAAAAACAAAACAAAACACCAGATAACACACTATCTCATTTCAACATACAGCTCATTGGAACTATTTAAAGTTGGCTTTTGAATGGAGAGATACTTCATGGACGTCTTAACTGCTCATCCTACTTCAGACAATGGCTGGTCTTTGGATGTAGCATATGTACCTGTTTCACAGTTGTGACATTTACCTTTGGATAAGCTTTGTATGATGCAATATTTCACATTTCACTTGTTATTTTGTATTCCAAAAAATAGAGGCACTGAAAAAATTCAGATATTATTACTAATAATACTTCTTCCTTCAGCATATTACTAAGGATGGTTTGGTGATTGTAGGTAAGCTAGGTCTGATTCCAAGAAGCATACTCATGAGTGAAATCAAGCCTTCACTTGATTTGGTTATACAAAACTAAGGTTAGAATCAGCTGAGTCTCAGTGACCACGTCCAAAATCTGAGACTTTGTGAAGATCAATAACCCAAGAAATGCTACACCTGTTTAACTAATTCATGCCGAGATGTTTAATAATAATGGCCTATCCATCTCAAATACTACTTATAGCCTGACAATCTTTCAATGACTTAGTACAAAAGAGTAAATGTGCTAGAAATTTCAGGTACTGGTAGAGAATAGAGGTAGAGAATTTGGGGGAGTGAATCTATTCAAATAATATGATTACAGATTTATAGGTAAGAGATTGCCTGGGACTATATGTAAGGGAATATTTTTAAAATTGAGACATTTGAAGAGAAAACACACATTTAGCACCTCACTGTCAAGATCCAATCATTTTACATGACTCTTAGATAACCCCTGCAATGTGTTACATATTTATATGAATGATTACTAAATATATAGGAAGTATGTTTATTTTTATTCCGCTTTTTCCTTTCTCTTTTCTCATTGTCATCTTGGTGAATAGGAACTACACATGCACCATATATGTAAAAATAATGATTTTTCTCTTCTCCAATTTCATTTCTAAGGTTTTTTTTTTCTGTTTCAAGTTATATGGAGGATGGAGAGAAAGAAATGCAGAACCATTTATTATTTTCAAATTCTCCAAGTCATAATTAATTGGAGAAGTGCTGCTTTATCATCTTTACAAAGAAAGGGCAATATAAAGGGAAAATGGTTTATGTTTATCACTGCAATTTTCCATCTGTTATAAAAGAAACATTTTTTTTCAGATAAAAGGTGCACACACACACACACACACACACACACACAACACACACACAAAAATTGAATTGTTACTTTGACTTCCATTCAGTGCAACAGTAAAATATGGCCGAACAAAATGTTCACAATAAAATCCCCAAACCAGATTCAAAGCACTAAGCAGGTATAGATTTAGCTACAGTTCATTAATCTTTCAGGGAAACACAAGAGCAAAAGATAAATCAGTAGCCATGCCAAACCGTAAAGTTTCACGTTTCTAACTTCAAAATGATACAAAACATAAAAATGACATTTTCAAATGCATCCAAATACATACTTGCTGAATTGATTTATTATTTTGTCATTTACTGCAGATAAAGAAACTGAGGCACAGAGAATATTAGCCAGGTCACAGGGCCTGAGCAGTGACAGGTCCCGATTTCAAAATTAGTGCTATTTCCTCCAGGATCTTGGAACTGGCAAGAACTAAGGAAGTGAAGGTGGGAGGAGGATGAATGCAATTCTGTGTAAGACACTGCGTTTTAGGCAGTTTTGGGGTATACGTTAATGTCTTTTACAAAAAATAGGGAGATAAGTGTGATTAAAATTATATCTCTATAGGGTTGAAATGTTGCCCGAAGCACGAGGTGGGTATGAGGGAGGCAAGAAAAGGCCACAATCCAGCTTGGCAAAATTTCTTTGTGTTGAAATAATATCCAGTAATGCGAAGTAAAGAAAACAGAAATTAGAAAGACCTTGATCATCCTTGACCTGTTATTTGAAATGAGTTCATTACTCTTCATCATTTACACAAATTAATTCACATCTCCAACTTCTGGATAGTGAGGGGTATTCCACACTTAACACACTCTTCTAGATCTGGCACCGCAATGCAAGTAGTTTTACGCTATTTTCCAGTAGAAGATAATTATCAACTTCGTACATCCCTCTCCATTTGTATTCTTTTAAAAGTTAACCTTAGCCTTGTACATGTTGTTTTGTTTTATGTCCTTGTGCCTGGTTTTTAATCTTAAGTAAAGGGACAAGAGATGCTACTTTTTTTTTTCAAAGGGGAAAAATATGAAAAGCCACTTCAACAAACCCAAATACTGTAATAGTTTTATTCCACTTCACTAACCTCTCCTACTTGTTAGGAGCTTTGATTTGAGCTAACAAGGTTATCAGATTGTATAGCTATTGTGCTGTTATGACTTCCTTGGCTGGATTCCTGCAGTAAACAGTGCTGATGTGATGTTTTGTTCAGGCACAGCATAAGAGGGAGCAGGAGGAGGGTCTGTCGAGAAGAACAGGGTCACAGATGTGTCAAGGCCTTCTCAGTGGTGGAGCTGTAGCAACTGCTACCTACGGTCAATTCGAATCAGTGCCTCAGTGTGCTGACCTTAGGGCCAGGTCTTCTTCAGTGGCCCGGAAATGGGGACTTAAACTGTAAGCTTTGTTCTTTTAAAGTGAATGCAGAGAGCAGTCAAAAGAAGAAATACGATAAAAGAGGGTGAAGAAGAAGCTGTGGGAGAAACACTGAATCTGGTCAAGGTGAATGGAGATCAGGCCTCAATTTAGTACATACCTATTTTTTTCTTATTAATTCTCAATTCACATTGTCACTTACCAAATTGCTCCAGATAAATCCTCCAAGGGATGGAGGTGATCATATTTAGCAAAGAAGTTTAAATAAAACATCGTATGAAGCCTTATCTAATCAGCTAATGAAAAATCAAAAGCATTTTTTTCATATCTCTCCAAGGTTCCTTGGTGTCCCATTGCATCCCTCTTGTTTTTGTCAAAAATGCAGTCATTGCAGTATGAATAAAAGAGTTGGTTGAGTAAAAGTTTCAGATACCTGTTTATGCACTGGTGTTTCGTCTTAGCTAAAAATTCTAAATGACATCTGTCACATACATGATGTATTATTTTCCTTTCACTGTTGTAACAAATTACCATAAAGTTAGTGGCTTAGAACAACACAAATGTATTCTCTTACAGCTTTGGAGTTCAGGAGTCCCAAATGGGTCTCATTGGCTTAAAATCAAGGTGTTGGCCATTCCTTCTGCAAGTCTCAGGGGAAAATTCAATTTCTTGCCTTTTTCCGGGTTCTAGAGACTGCCCTTATTCTTTGCATGGTGGCCTCTTCAATCTTCAAAGCCAGAAATGGTCAATTCCACATGTAAAGGACCCCTGTGGTTATGTTGTGTCCACCTGGATAATCCAGGCTTTCTTTCTCTTAAAGTCAAATGATTGGGAACCTAAATGTAACTTGCAACCTTAATTATCTCTTGGCATTTAGCATAACATATTTACAGGTTCTGGGTATTAGGATGTGGAAGTTTTTGGGAGGGCTAGTATTCTGCCTACCGCAAATGATATTTGCAGAAGTAAGAAGTAATGAGCATTATTAGGTAATTTGTATAGATAAATGTTGATTAAATTAATACTATGAAATAACATTTGCTAGAGTAGACATTGATGAGCCAAGTCAGGCAAATTTCAAATGCCCATCTACTAATCCAGATGTTCTTACATTAGTCTCTATTTTATCCTTTAGTCTAGGTTACTCATAATACATGGTTTCTCACAAATATAGGGCTGTTGTTAAGTCTAACTATGTAAGTTGTTTATCAACCTAAATAGGTTTTAATAAGAAAGGATTTACAGAAATCAGTTTCAAAATAGATACAGAGCCCCTACCATGTACCATGGAAGTGCTGGATGTGGGGGATGTACTATGATGATGGCAAACACATGCACTTGCTAGATTATTTGATGTGTCTATTTATAACTATAAAGGCAAGACTTTGGTTAAACCTAGGCTACTTTAATTCGTCTTTATTCAGATATCTAATAAGGTGGAGACAGCCTTTTTTCCAAAGGTAGTCTTCTTTCTAGTACACATTGTAAAACTAAAGAGTTTGGTTATATAACCAGTGGGTTTGAGAAGCAGTCTTAAGTTATTTTATTCCATCAACTATTTGAAAGTATAATGGAACTTATTCATTTATTGAGTTTTTTGTGCAAAACTTTACTTCAGATTAATTAGACTAGATATTAAATCCCAATACAATGTGTTTTTATCTTCATTTTCTGGGTAGCAGATTAATAAATATCATTGAAGTATTCTGAGATCAATTCATGTTGACAATTTTTAAGTGGAAACTCCTACCTTAACTAGAGCGATAGATTCTTAAGAAACAACCCTGTTTCTTGTCCTGTGTTCTTCAAACTTATTTTCCATGGTGAGCAACTTTGCAAAACACAACTTCTTAGCAGAATATGCATCTGCATTATCCGGTTCTTGCTGGAAATTTCTTCATAGACTTATTTCTCACCACTTCTACTTCACACTTAACGCCTCCTGAATTCATATTATTTTTTAAATTGCTGTTCCCTCTGCTTGGAACACCTTCCCCAGTTTCTGTACTCGGTTCATCCCAAGTCAAATATCAGGATTTTACTTAGATATGGCTTCTGCTAAAAATAAATTCCTCTACCTCCACACTCAACCCATCTTGGATAGTGATTCCCCTGACCCTTTTAGTGTTTATCCTTTTCTTGACATCATGAATAATGTCTTAATCTCTCGTTTTTCTGGCCATTGAGAAGGAAGTCTACAAGAAGATATTTAAGACATCATAGATGATTTACCAAGTCAGAGCCTGAACTTGACTGAAACAACACTGAGTGAGATCCTCCAACTAGATCAGAGCCATAAGTGTCCAGTCTGGTCTTCAGACTTGAAGGGCCAAAGGTGGTATGTCTTTCTGACATCAGAAAGGTCAGGGAACCAGTCTTCAGATTTTCAGCCTGTACTTCTTTTTTTTAGGTTGCTATGTGTTACGTAGTATTTATTTTAATTAATTAATTTATTTATTTTTGAGACGGAGTCTTGCTCTGTTGCCCAGGCTGGAATGCAATGTCATGATCTCGGCTCTCTGCAACCTCCGCCTCCCGGGTTCAAGCGATTCTCCTGCCTCAGCTTCCTGAGTAGCTGGGATTACAGGCATGTGCCACCAAACCTGGCTAATTTTTGTATTTTTAGTAGAGATGGGGTTTCACCATGTTGGCTAGGCTGGTCTTGAACTCCTGACCTCAGGTGATCCACCCACCTCAGCCTACCAAAGTGTTGGGATTACAGGCATAAGCCACTGCGCCTGGCCTATTGTTTGTATTATTTTTGAACTACGTTGTTCAACTTTCAAGCGGGTGCTACTATATTGAAATTGGGCCAACAAATTCATCCTCATAGTTATTTAAAAATTGGGTCATACTGGCCAGGTGCGGTGGCTCATGCCTGTAATCACAGCACTTTGGAAGGTCAAGGCAGGTGGATCGCGAGGTTAGGAGATGGAGACCATCCTGGCTAACAAGGTGAAACCCCGTCTCTACTAAAAATACAAAAAAAAAAAAAAAATTAGCCGGGCGTGGTGGCGGGCGCCTGTAGTCCCAGCTACTCGGGAGGCTGAGGCAGGAGAATGGTGTGAACCCAGGTCATATTTTCTTCTCTCAGCCTTAATTTTTTTAAAGTTGACAATACTAGGCATTTTACTCTACCTAATTTTCCCAATAATTTATAGAATAAAGACTTGCAAATATCAAAATGTCAATGATATGGTTTGGCTGTGTTCCCACCCAAATCTCATCTTGAATTGTAGCTCCCATAATTCCCACATGTCACAGGAGGGACCTGGTGGGAGGTAATTGAATCGTGAGGGTGGCTCTTTCCCGTGCTGTTTTTGTGATAGTGAATAAGTCTTACAAGTTCTGGTTTTATAAAGGGGAGTTTCCCTTCACACAGTCTCTTGCCTGCTGCCATGTAAGATGTGACTTTGTTCTTCATTTGCCTCCTGCCATGATTGTGAGGCCTCTCCAGCCGTGTGGAACTGTGAGTCAATTAAACCTCTTTCCTTTATAAATTACCCAGTCTCAAGTAGGTCTTAATGAGCAGCCTGAGAACAGACTAATACAGTCACTGATAAGGTATAAGAAGAAGTGGTTTCCAAATTCTTCTATTGACACACACCTCTTTCAATACATGGCAGGTTTAACTGGAGAAAACCACTAGAACACTTCTCTAGTCCTGGACTTTTCCCATGGCCATTAACATGAATTTCGTGAGACTCCTTTTAGATGGTCATCAGACTATTTACTAAATTAGATGATAATTTAAGTAATGACTTGAAGGTTGGAACTGAGTAGTAAGTCAACAAGCTGGACATGTTGGTGACAATTGTCCCATATTCTTCAAACTTATGTTTTATGTTGAACAACTTAGCAAAACACAACTTCTTAGCAGGATATGCATCTGCTAAGAAGCTTTTATCAATTGGTGACAACCGATAAAATTGTTATAAATACTTTTAGCTTCATTAACATTCTCCTTTTCCAGCCACACAGACACTCCCACTCTTGCTGAGGTCAACTGATGGAATTTTTATCTCATGGTAATAGAGAACATCTTAGTTTCCCAGGGGAATTAAGGTATTCAATAGTGCATTATTCACCTTCTTTAGCATGCATCACACTGTGCTAGCAAGATGGTAGGGAAGTATTAGAGCCAGAGTCTTCCTGTCTCCTGCCTTCTCAGACAATTAGTGGAAGGAGCAGGTATAAAGTAAGCATGTGCGTGTGTGTGTGTGTGTGTAAATCCTTCTGTTTTGCAAAGGTACAACCTGAAGTAAAACAATCTGAAAGAGATCTATAACGAGCCCTATAACCCAAACAGTAGTTTTTAGTTACATAAAAATCTGAAATAAAATAAGAAAAATTGATTTACATTAGGGGTGGTATGCAGAAAAAAATGCTTCGTGTTTAAAGAAACAAATAAAAAGTGTGAGCAGCTGAAACTATTTTTATGAAATTGGATTTTGTAGAACTTTTTATGAAGCTTAGATGTATGTAGAAATGAAGGTTATAAGAAAGTCTTCAATTGTTAAAAAGTGTAATTCATTATTTTTCATTCAAACATACATTGTCTTTGTTGCAACCATATGAGAAATTTTACAGTCTTGAGCATACTCATGATTGATGGGAACATTTAGCCTAAATCCAAAATAAGAGCTTTCAGGTACACCATTCAGACGTAGATTTGGTCTTTTCACATAGTCCCATATTTCTTGGAGGCCTTGTTCATTTCTTTTTATTCTTTTTTCTCTAAACTTCTCTTCTCGCTTCATTTCATTCATTTGATCTTCCATCACTGATACCCTTTCTTCCAGTTGATCGAATCGGCTACTGAGGCTTGTGCATTTGTCACGTAGTTCTCGTGCTGTGGTTTTCAGCTCCTTCAGGTCCTTTAAGGACTTCTCTGCATTGGTTATTCTAGTTAGCCATTCGCCTAATCTTTTTTCAAGGTTTTTAACTTCTTTGCAATGGGTTTGAACTTCCTCCTTTAGCTCGGAGAAGTTTGATTGTCTCAAGCCTTCTTCTCTCAGCTTGTCAAAGTCATTCTCTGTCCAGCTTTGTTCCATTGCTGGTGAGGAGCTGCGTTCCTTTGGAGTAGGAGAGGCGCTCTGATTTTTAGAATTTTCAGTTTTTCTGTTCTGTTTTTTCCCCATCTTTGTGATTTTATCTACCTTTGGTCTTTGATGATGGTGACGTACAGATTGGGTTCTGGTGTGGATGTCCTTTCTGTATGTTAGTGATCCTTTTAACAGTCAGGACCCTTAGCTGCAGGTCTGTTGGAGTTTGCTGGAGGTCCACTCCAGACCCTGTTTGCCTGGGTATTAGCAGCGGAGGCTGCAGAACAGCAAATATTACTGAACAGCAAATGTTGCTGTCTCATCATTCCTCTGGAGGTTTCATCTCAGAGGGGTACCCGGCTGTGTGAGGTGTCAGTCTGCCCCTACTCAGGGGTGCCTCCCAGATAGGCTACTCGGGGGTCAGGGACCCACTTGAGGAGATAGTCTGTCCGTTCTCAGATTTCAAACTCCATGCTGGGAGAAAAACTACTCTCTTCAAAGCTGTCAGACAGGGACATTTAGGTGTGCAGAAGTTTATGCTGCCTTTTGTTCGGCTATGCCCTGCCCCCAGAGGTGGAATCTACAGAGGCAGGCAGGCCTCCTTGAGCTGCGGCAGGCTCCGTCCAGTTCGAGCTTCCCAGATGCTTTGTTTACCTACTCAAGCCTCAGCCATGGCAGGCGCCTCTCCCCCAGCCTTGCTGCTGCCTTGCAGTTTGATCTCAGACTGCTGTGCTAGCAATGAGTGAGGCTCTGTGGGCATGGGACCCTCCAAGCCAGGCACGGGATATAATCTCCTGTTGTGCCGTTTGCTAAGACCATTGGAAAAGCGCAGTATTAGGGTGGGAGTGACCTGATTTTCCAGGTGCCGTCTGTCACAGCTTTGCTTGGCTATGAAAGGGAATTCCCTGACCCCTTGTGCTTCCCAGGTGAGGCGATGCCTCGCTCTGCTTCGGCTCATGCTCGGTGCGCTGCACCCACTGTCCTGCACCCACTGTCCGACAAGCCCCAGTGAGATGAACCCGGTACCTCAGTTGGAAATGCAGAAATCACCTGTCTTCTGTGTCACTCATGCTGGGAGCTATAGACTGGAGCTGTTCCTATTTGGCCATCTTGGAACTGCCTGAGAAATATAATTTTTAAGTCATATGCAGATTTGATGTAGAAGTTCCTCTCAGTATTTAATGTAGATTTACTAATGTTTTACAAAGAAAAGAATGTGTTCTAGTTTATTTAAAAGCTACAAACAAGAACAGGACAAGATCTTTTAAGCCTTTACAATCTGGTGGGGGTAAGGACGTGTCCACAGGTAGCTGCAATAAATGATATTTTTAGACAATGTCTTAAGATAAGTGCAAACCAGTGCTGCAGAATATCAGGAATGGCTTATCAAGAACATTTTTTCAATATCACTCCCTGACTTGCAGGCTAATAACACCTTTAGACTGATAATTTAACATCTGCTAGTTGGTAATTTTTAACCAGATGTTTTAACTAGTGGATATCTGTGGCTAATAGCATCTGATTTAATTTGCAGGGCTCATTTTCTGATTAGTTGTCTGTATAGATGTTCTCTTTGTTTGTGAACCACTAAACTCTCCCAAAGCCATAAACTGTATTAAAAAGGCCAGTATTCCCAGTTGGAAGAATGACCTTCTTCAGTCACTGCCACAGTACTTGTGCTCCCCTTCTAGAATGTTACTACAAGCACTCTAGAAGTATCTCTTAGCTAACTCTATATAACTAGCATCTGACATATCATATATTTCACTTAGCTGTATTTCTTTTTTTAAAATCAACTTTTGTTACAGATTAAAGGGCACATATGCAAGTCTTTTACATGTGTAAATTGTGTGATGCTGAAGCTTGGGGTCCCAGTGATTCCATCACCCAGGCAGTAAGCATAGTACCCAATAGGTGGGCTGTACTTCTTATGAATTCTTAACTTTGCAGTATGTAAGACAAATAATTTGACATTTACAAAATGTTTAAGTAGGTATGGAAAATGTTGACACCTGAGTTGTACATACTTTCCAATTTTGGCTTTTAATTTAAATGTCCTCAATTTGTCAACTGGTTAACTTTGTTTACCCATCAAGATTTCTTATTGGCTGTCAGGAATTTCCTGCTACTCTGGTTCATGGAAAGAAGGTTCCCATTTTATTGCCAGTGTATGTGTCGAGGTATTATGCAGTCTACTATTTTGTTGAGGTCTCCTTTGGAAAAATGGGGATAGGTATTTTGCCTAAGACATTTTGTCTGTGGTAGCTACCATCTACAGGCTGGTTATTCTCTGTTGTCTCTCGGATCCATTTTCTGCCTCTTTTCTATTCTGTGTCCCCAGGAGTTTGACCACTGTGAATTAATTTCCCTGGCTCCCTTACTCGATTGTCTTCAGGTTGTGTTTGGTCAATGGGAGTCATTAACAGGAAATCAGAGGTTGGGAGAAGAAAGAGAGAATAGTCTGGGTATTTCTTCTCTGCTTCAGGCTAGAGCTCTGGCAGTAGCAGCAACCCTCCACATCTGTTGGCAATGTCTCTTCCATGATTACAATAATCACTGGGCTTTGTTTCTTTCTCTTGCCCCTTCAGCTCTAGCGATGATAATAGCTCTCCACAGTTGCTAAACTCTGGGTGTCTCATCATGCCTAAGTTTCTCTCAGAACCTTATATTGAAATGTCTTAATTAGGCTCAAAAATCTCTTAAAAGGCTTTTAATAACAATCTTGTTTTCTATAAGGCAGAACAAAACTTGAACATGATTTCTTAGTATTCAAATGCAAGTTATTATGATAAGTAAAGTTAACAATGAACTTCCTAAAGACTCTATGAATCAGAAACAGGCATATTTGCTTTCTTGGAGTTTTGTTATAGACTTCTAGTTTCTTTTCTAGTCTTATTGCATCTAGTCCCATCAGCGCCTTTAAATCCCAGCACACTGATGCCAGAGTGATGTGAATTAGAGATAGAGGTCATCATGTCACTCATCTGCTGAAAACATTTCAAAGGCTGCCCATCATTCCCAATACCTACAAGGTTCTTCAAGACCCACCTGCTGCCTACATGTCCAGCATTATCTCCAGACACTTTCCTTGTCACTTAGTGGAACCACTTGGAGTTTTCTAAGCATTCTGTCTTCTTCTGTGCCTCTATACCTGGAATGCTCACCTTATTTGTCTGGCTGCCTAACCCTCTGAGGTGGGTGCACTGACTCCTCTATACAGATTTAAGGATATCTTTTCTAATGCATCTACAGTTCTTTGTAGATGCTTCCACTGCAGTATTTGTTTTAGGTTAATGAAATTGTTCATTCATTCACCTGTCTGTCCACAAAAGGTGAATGGGCTTAAGTCTTTGAAAGACTCTACATTTTTTTTGTCATTGCAGTTCCATGCCACGAAGTGTCTAGTATATCATAGGAGCCTAATCAGTCAGTGGCTTTCACTCTTAGCTGTACATTAGAATCACCTGGAGGGGAACTTTGAAAATCTTGGTGTCCAGGTCTTATCCCAGCCAGTTGAATCAGAATCTGAGGTATCAATATTTTTACATTTCCCCCAATGATTCTAATGGGTAGCTAAGGTTGAGACCTCTGATAAATCGTTGTTAAATTGTTGAGGGAGGGAGTCAATAGATGTTAAAGGAAACGTAGAACAAAGACAGGAATACACTAAAATGTTAACAGTGGTTTTCTCTACTTAATGGGATAATAAGCTAGATTTACATTCTTTGTATTTTTCTGTATTTTCAAGATTTATTACAATAAATATATGTCATTTTATTATTAGAAAAAATAAACATTATTGTTAAGTGACTTTTACCTGCTACCATTGTGAAAGCGAAATGTTTCATAAATCATGGTATTTGAGGATTAAGCCAAAGATTTTCCTTACAAACTTTACGGACATCACCTGATATATGTGTATCCATGTGTTCAGGAGGTTAAAAGGGTCGATCCATGCAGTCTGTGACCTGGTATTGCTCCATTTGCTATATTTACTGTTCAGGTTCCATTCGTCTTTTACAAAAGAAACTTATTCCAGGGATAACGAGATAGATATTAAATAATGGACAGCATCTTGATGTTTTCATTTTATTTTATCAACTGGAGACAGTAAACATATAAAACTATCCTTTTCATTGACCTTTGTTAGGCAGGACTATAGGATTTTGACAAAAGTACTCACATGCTAAAACAACAGAGGAAAATACTGTAACGACAATGACAAAATTTTATCAGCGTTTAGACCACAAACAACTGCAAGTATCACATTTTTTTTTCTAATTTGAGGATGAAGGGAGACCTTGTAAGAGGTGCTGAGGGTTGAAGGTTGCTGTGTCTTAATGAGAAAAGCATGGCTGATCTTTGGCAATCAATATATAAAAGCGCTTTTCAAACTTTTCAAGTTCTAGAGCCTGGGAACGGTTGCTGACCAACTTTTGGAGAGGGGTTAAGGTTCAGTTCACAGAGGCCATTACTTGGATCAAAAATACAGTTGTGGAATGCAAGGCCACCTTTTGCTTTCCTAAACCCGCCTGCTTTAGTCTGTAGTGTTGATCCTTTCTTGATTGGGATCAGCTCAGAGGTTATGGTGGTAGTAGTGATGATTAATTTAGTAAAACAATTTCTCTGAGTTCATGGATTGTTTAGTTTGAAGAGAAGCCTTGTGCAATCATTTTGTTTTATACATGATGCTACCATGGCCAACATCCTATAAGTTTGTGGCAGTGCACTGGATGCTAAAGTGCCAGCCCAGGCTGTTCTGACAGCACTAACATTCTTTCCAGGTAGGAGGCTATGCCACTGAGGGTCACATGCCCTTTGGTTGCATGTAGGTACACAGGCGGTGTGTTAGCATGCCCTCTGTCACTCTGTGGACTGTGTAAGGAACACATCCATTGAGCTTCCATCTGTTTCTTCCCCAGGGTGAGGGCTTACCTAACAGTAATTCCTTCCAATTCTCAATTTTACAATCTTTCACTGAAGCGTATAATTTTCTTTCTTTCTTTTCTTTTTTTTTTTTTTTTTTTACAGAGTCTCCCTCTGTCTCCCAGGCTGGAGTGCAGTGGCGTGATTTTGGCTCACTGCAACCGCTGCCTCCCGGGTTCAAGTGATTCTCCTGCCTCCGCCTCCCGAGTAGCTGGGACTACAGGCACGCACAACCACGCCCGGCTAATTTTTTGTATTTTTAGTAGAGACGGGGTTTCACCGTGTTAGCCAGGATGGTCTTGATCTCCTGACCTCATAATCTGCCCGCCTCAGCCTCCCAAAGTGCTGGGATTACAGGCGTGAGCCACCGTGCCTGGCCTGAAGTGTATAATTTTCTATAAGGCACCATCTCAAAGCTAGGGTAAAGAGAAAAATTGAGGCCTAAAGCCACTGGTGAGAGCCCATGAGAAGCCTTCTTTCCCTTTCTTCTATACTTGTGGAATATGTGTGCTCTAGTCCATCTTTGGAGAAGCAAACAAAATAAGTTACAGAGGAATTTAATGCTTAAATATCTCAAGTGCTTAGGGATTCTCGCAAGCTTGGCCAGATAACCTATTGTGGAAAAAATATCTACATACTTATTTTGAAAAAATCAAATTTTTATGTCACTAAGTAACATGTATGAAATGCCTAATAATGTACCTAGCACAGAGTAGACATGTAATTATGGTAACTATTCCTGATATTTTATAATTAATCTGTTGTCTTTTGAACAGTGGCAACAGTAGAAGTAAACTGATTTCTTTTATTCATACAAACTGTATATTGGCAATATTATTAAAATGATGACTTGTAGGCATTTCTAGTAAAAGTTAGAAAATGTGGGGGAAATTTTCAGAGATGGATACCAATAGAGGAAAATTATAGTGAAGGATTTTTCCAGGGTGTAAATACAAATTACTTCAAATCAGCTCACAGGCTGCGAGATAAAGGGTCAGTCAATTAGATTCCTTTAGGGAACAGAAATTCAAGGATGGAGCTGGGCTCTAGGTCAAGGGCAGTAATTTTTCTGGAACTCTGATTGAGCAAGTGGGTTGAACAGTTTTGTTTTGTTCCCAGAACCTTAAGTAATCATAGTTGTTTTTTTCATATAATTTTTATAATTAATCAGAACTAGATAAATAAACATTTTTTTCTCCCCATCTGAGTATCTTTCTCAAAGGTTTGGAATGCTAAAGGATATGTCATCCCAAATAAAAGTCTTTAGCAGTCAAAAACTGAAATAATTAACTGTATTATAAAACTGGCCAACTAAAAAGAGTGTGATTTTTCATGATTTGAACAAGAATCTTGATTACTGTAACTAATATTAAAATTGGCTAGACTCTGAGGATGGAAACAAACTGGAAAGTGCTTTGTTTACTTTTGTATTTTTATTATTTAAATTGATGAGTAAAATTGTGCATATTTATCATGCACAACATTGAAATTTTGAAATACATATACATTATGCAATGGCTAAATTGAGGTAATTAACATATGCATTACCTCACATAGCTATCATTTTTGTCCTGAGAACACTGTACATCTTCCCTCAGCATTTTTCAAGAATACAAACTATTGTTATTAACTGTAGTCACCATATTGTGCAAAAACATCTCTTAAATGTATTCCTCCTAACTGAAATTTTGAATCTTTTGACCAACATGTCCCAAATTACCTTCTCCTACTTCCCCATACACATACTACCCAGCCCCTGGCAACCACCATTCTACTCTCTATTTCTATGAGTTCGACTTTATTAGATTCCACATAAAAGTGAAATTAGGTGGTATTTGTCTTTCTGTGCCTGGCTTATTTCACCTACCACAGTGTCTTTCAGATTCATCTATATTGTCCCATATGGCAGAATTTCCTTCTTTTTAAAGGCTGAATAGTATTGCTTTGTGTACATACACCACATTTTCTTTATGCATACGTTCACTGATGGGCACTTAGGTTGATTCCATATATTGGCTATTGTGAATAATGCTGCAATGAACATAGGGATACAGATAGCTCTTTGACATACTGATTTCAAATATTTCCTTTGGCTATAGATCCAGCAGTTGGATTCCTGGATCATATGGTAGTTCTATTTTTCATTTTTTCAGGAACCTCCATATTGTTTTTTCATAACGGCTGTGCTAATTTACATTCCCACCAACAGTGTGCAAGTGTCTCCTTTTCTCCATACCCTTCCCAATACTTGTTATCTCTTGTCTTCTTGAAAATAGCCATCCTAACAGGTGTCAGGTGATAGCTCATTGTGGTTTTAATTTGCATTTTCCTGACAATTAGTGATATTGAGCAGTTTTCACATACCCGTTGGCCATTTCTATGTCTACTTACATCCTTTGTCTTTTTTTTTTTTTTTTTTTTTTGGAGACAGAGTCTTGCTCTGTTGCCCAGGCTGGAGTGCAGTGGCACGATCTCAGCTCACTGCAACCTCCACCTCCCGGGTTCAAGTGATTCTTCTGCCTCAGCCTCCCAAGTAGCTGCGACTACAGGTGTAAGCCGCTACACCCGGCTAATTTTTTGTATTTTAGTAGAGATGGGGTTTCACCGTGTTGCCGAGGCTGGTCTCGAATTCCTGAGCTCAGGCAATCCGCCCGCCTTGGCCTCCCAAAGTGCTGGGATTACAGGTGTGAGCCACTGCGCCCAGCCCCTTTGTCCATTTTTAAATTGGGTTATTTGTTTTCTGGCTATTGAGTTGTTTGAGTTTCTTATATTTTGGATATTAAACCCTTATCAGATGTATGGCTTGAAAAGTGATTTTATATATTCAGAATAGTTTCATGAATGGCTTTAAAGGAAATAATGTGTATGTATGTATCTTCATTAAAGCATACAAAAGCTACAGAGGTCTAGAAAATCATGAGAGGTTACTGTATGAGTAAAACATGTTTTTTAAATAGAGATAAAACACTGAGGGAGGGCTAGTCTGTTTTTTTGTTTGTTATATGTATAGCAACTTAGGTGATCAGGTGGGCCTGTAGGGGCAAGTTGGATAGTTCGATAAATCATAATCATCAATGCCTTTCAAACCAGGAGTTAGACTAAATAGTCAAGAATTAAAAAAAATTGTTTTTGGTTGGTTCCTGTATGTGCTCACATTCTGAATTCTGAATTCAGTGATAGGAAACATGAAGGATAAAAACGTGAATAACAACCACTTTCTGATCCTAAGTTGTTTACAGTTTAGAAGGAAAGATAAGACATGATTATATCACCAATTATCCTCCTCCACTAGCTAAGTTACAAAATAAGGTCACATTTCTTTTAAATGTCTAACTGTCTTGTGCTCACTAACTTTTAGGACAGTGCTAGGAATTTAGTAAATGATAAAATAAGTTTGTGATTCAGTTATCGTCTGTTTATCTAATATTATAACTGGTTATATACTACTGGATTTTCTTATACAGGATGAGTTGAGTTGAAAGGTTTATTGCATTTGCGCGGTGGCGGGCGCCTGTAGTCCCAGCTACTCGGGAGGCTGAGGCAGGAGAATGGCGTGAACCCGGGAAGCGGAGCTTGCAGCGAGCCGAGATTGCGCCACTGCAGTCCGCAGTCCGGCCTGGGCGACAGAGCGAGACTCCGTCTCAAAAAAAAAAAAAAAAAAAAAAAAAAAAAACTTCTAATATATTTGTGCAGTGTTTATTCATCTCGAATAAAGCAATGACAAATAATTTAGGAAAATTTTCTTAATTTAACAGAGTCAGTGCTGGGCGCTGTGGCTCATGCCTCTAATCCTAGCACATTGGGAGGCTGAAATGAGAGGATTGCTTAAGGCCAGATGAGAGGATTGTTCAAGACCAGCCTAGGCAACAAAGCAAGACCCCATCTGTACAGAAGATGAACAACTTGGCTGGGCACCGTGGCAAATGCCTGTGCTTGTAGCTACTCTGGAGGCTGAGGCAGGAGGATTGCTTGAGCCCAGGAGTTTGAGGTTGCAGTAAGCCATGATCGCTATAATACACTCCAACCTGAGTGACGGAGCAAGGTCTTGTCTTAGGGAAAAAAAAAAAAAAAAAAAAAGAGTCAGTTCTACCCTTTGCTTCTATGAGATTGACTTTTAAAAATTCCACACACAATTAAGTTCATGCAGTGTCTGTCTTTCTGTACCTGGCTTATTTAACTTAGCATAATGTCTTCCAGGTTCATCTCTGTTGTCATAAATAGCAGTATTTTATTCTTTTTCATGGCCAAATAATATTCTATTGTGCATATATACTATCTTTTCTTTATCCTTTTATTCATCCACGGACACTTCGGTTGCTTCCACATCTTGGCTATGGTGAGTAATTACCACACTGTTTACTTGAAATTTGATAAAACAGTAGATTTAGTATGCTCACCACATACACACACACACTCACACACACAAATGGTAACTATGGGTGGCAATGGATGTGTCAATTAAGCCATTGTGTACTGTGGCTATGGTAATCAGTACACAATGTATACATATATCACATGATCATGTTGTATACCTTGAATATATACAATTTTAATCTTCCAATCAAGTATTTTAAAATAGTCAGAAATGTTACTCACATATAGCTCAGAGACAAACAAAAGTTTGAGTATGTTATCTCTTCCACAAAACTCAACAAGAAAAAAGCAGTCCTTTTTAGTGTCTGAAAACGTAATCGCAATTTTATTATAAGATTTTATCTTTTCTCATTTAATTTTAGAATTCTTTCGAGAAACTTCTTCCTGAATGTTTTTTGTATCTTTCTGGATTATGGTCATTTTTTTTTTTCTGTTTAAGGCAACTTATTTGTGAGCAGTCTAAGTGATTTTAATTGAATTTTGAACCTAGTTTAAAAAGCAAAACGTTAGTTGATGAAATAAAGCTCCATGTCACACTTGATTGTACCTTTTCAGAATTTTATTAACATAGTAAGACAAAAAAAAAAACTATAAATAAGCAGAGAAAACAATTAAAATGGGGGAAAGACCAAGGAAGTTATTTTTAGTTAGAAAAACCAGAATGGGCGACTATGCAAAATGCACCCAATTCGTTATCTTAAAGCTTTTTCTTTAGTTTTCGAACTGTATCTTCTTCACAATAAATTTTAATACATAAAATATTTCCCAAGAAGTATTATGACATAAAGCAATCCCCAAATACTTTCAAATTAGCTAGAAGATAATTGGATGTTAATAATTGAGTACAAAATATGCTCATGGTGGATAATTTTCTTACTCTTCAGACAAGGGTTAGATTGCCACAGGGAAGTAATAAAAATTATCCTTAATAAAGCAAACTTTAAATGGGAAGTTATACAAGTAAATAAAATTACTGAATTAATTGCAGTGCTTAGTTTTGCATTTTAACTATTGCAGGGATGTAGTCAATATTTGCTACGTTGAATAGAGTGCTGTCACTTTAGAGAAAATATTTTGAGCAATTTTATTAACTTTTTTTGATTAATGCAATATGACCTTGACATAATTGACAATGTCTAGAAATAATAATTACATTTTATAGAACGTACATGAGTAAGGTCACGTTTAAGGATGCCTGAAGACGCACTAAACTGAGAGTAAATAGATTCATTTAAGAGCTCACTAGAACTGTTAAATATATAAGAGCTTTAGTAGAGTGAAGAATTTACTACCTACAAATGTTGGTGCTTGATTGTGGGAAAGGGTTTGCAAATAGTTGAAGACTACCATGATTTTAGACTTAGGCATTTTTTTTGGATCAGACTTATCATATGTTAGTTATCTCAAATTTTTCTTAAGTGTATAAAAAAAGACTTTTCAGTATATTTGATTTTGTTAATGTTTAATATATTTATTCAAATTTACATTTATTTAAATTTATCATTACTTTTGGTTACATATAGAAGTTACTATGTTGAAAAGAGACTAATGAACCCTCAGCATTGTGTTTGACTCATCCCTATTACATTTTGTTTGACTTGATTTTCTTCAGGTATATCTTTATGGGGCTGTAAGAACAGAGCAAAGGATTTCCTCTCTTCTGAGGGCCATTTAGAGGACAACACGGATTCTGGCCCAGGCTGTGAGTAAATGGCACAAAAACCAAAAGAATGGCTTAATGTAGAAATCAACAAAGACATCTGACTTCTACTACTATGTTATTTTAAAAACAGAATAAATGGTAGCTGACCTGAAGGAAAGTGCAGCAAAAAATTCTTTTTTTAACAAAAACCCAAAGAATAAAATTAGATTCATCCAAGCAATTACTATTCTATTGTGGAAAGGACAAGTCTGAGGTTAATGTGACATTATCTATGAAATACTGCAAAACCTCTTGGCCTCGAAAGGTATGTCAACATGCTGCCAGCTTTGGGTTACCTTAGTAACTAATAGAATAAGGTCCTGTGAGTATTGAGTGACCAAGGAAAGTAGAAAGCCATTTAGATGTTTTTAATGGAACCAAAATAATTTTTTTCATTGCATTTAAACTAGTTTGTTTTATTTCTTTTCCTCATTCCCAAGCATTCGCAAGAGTTTGAAAATAATTTGGTTAAAAATGAGAGCTCAATTCGTGTTAGGAAACCTAGGGCAAATAACTATGTTTCAGACATAAATGGTAGCTATTTATTACTATGAAGTTTGTACAAAATCCTCACCTTAAGTCAGCATTAAAGTAGAGAATGAATAGTACAGGAGATGTGGTCATTTTCAGTTCCACCTTCGAACTTAGGTAAAACCTTTGGTTTAAAGCAGTCAAGATAACACTTTCCAGTGATATTGTCATCTAATTGGAGACTTTGAGCATGATTTTAGTAATTATCTTTGCACAAATCATCAGGCTAAATAGAATGTTTAGAATTGTTAGTGACTGGGAATTTATCCAGTTCAATCACTCCTTTTTCCAGGCAATATTAAGGCTCACAGAAGTCACCAAGCTAGGTAGGGATTGAGCAATGATAAGAAAACTCACTACTTGGCTAGTGCTGCTTCTCCCTCAACGATGCCACTTCTCAAACATCATTGTGAAATATATTGGATCTGGTCACTGAGTTATGACAATTAGCAGATTGGCTTTTGGCTTTCTTTTTTTCTTTTTTTTTTTTCATCTTATTGCCACAGTACAGTTGCTTTCTTAGCATGGCCCAAGCAAAACAAAAAGAAAGCAGGTGGTTTGTTTTTTTTTTTGTAACACAAATTAAGTGAAATATAATTTACATGCCATAAAATTCACTCATTTTAAGTGTATGATTCAACAGTTTTCTGCCTATTTACAGAGTTGTGCAATCATCACTACAACTTAATTTTAGAATATTTTCATCCCCTACTCCCGCCAAAGAATCCCTATACTATCAATACAGCAGTAACTCTTCATTCCCAGCTCCCACCCCAGGCAAACACTAATCTACTTTCTGTCTATTGCCTATTCTGAACTTTTCATAGAAACAGATAATACAATATGTGGTTGTGGTCTTTTGTGACAGGCTTCTTCCACTTAGCATGTTGTAGCATGTCCTTCATTTCTTTTTATTGCTGAAAAATATGTGTATGTACAACTATCTATCAATGCATCAGTTGATGCCTCAGTCTTCACTCTTTGCTATTATTACTAATAATGTTGCTATGAACATTCATGTACAAGTTTTTCTGTGGATATATGTTTCAAATCCCCTTGGGAAGATAGGCAGGAGTGTATATGCTGGGTCATGTGGTTCCTCTATGTTTAATTGTTTGAGGATCTGCCAGACTGTTTTCTAAAGTGGCTGCACCATTTTACATTCCCACCAGTAATGTGTGAGGATTCAGATTTCTCCACATCCTCACAAACGCTTGTTACTGTCACCTTTTTCATTACAGCTATCTTAGTAGGTGTAAAGCGAAAGCTATCTTAGTAGGTGTAAAGTGTGAAATGTAAAGTGGCTTTGCAACTCCCTGAGAGTTAATGATGTTGAACATTTTTCCATGCGCTTATTGGCTTTTGTATATCTTCTTCGGAGAAATATCTTTTCAGATCCTTTGCACGTTTTTATTGGGTTATTTGTCTTTTTATTATTAAGTCGTAAGAGTTCTTTAAATATTCTAGATACAAATTCTTCATTAGATGTATAATTTACAAATATTTGCTCCCAGTTTGTAGATGCTTTTCACTTTCCTGATGGTATCTAACTGACCATGGTGTTTCGTTTCCAGGGAAGTTATGTTATATTATGTGTATTAGTTATATATTGCTGTTTAACAAATGACCACAAACTTAGCAAACTTAAGAGAGCACAAATTTATTATATCATGTTTCTGTGGGGCAGGAATTCGGGATAGTTTAGCTGGGGTCCTTTGCTCAGGGTCTTAAAAGGCTGAAATCAAGATATTGGCCATCTATGTCCTCATATGCAGGCATCAAAACTTAGAAAGCTATTTCACTAAACTTAATTAACATGTGGACTGAAAGTAATCTTGCTTAAGAACCCAACTTGGTAGACAGAAATAGTCTTTCTCTTCTCAGCCCAGAATATGGTGTTCCTGGTAGAGCGGGTGATAGCCTGGGAATAAACTTGCTTTTCAGTACATCAGACACTCACTTGGGGTTTCCTAAATATCCTGCAAAAGTAGGTCGGGGCTAGAAAATCTGTTACTATTGTCAAGGTAAAAATACGTCCACAAATTGTTAAGGCCTGGGAAGATGACCGAAGTAATGAAACACTGACAGCAGCCTCACGATTTGCCTTATTTTTTTCCCAATGCCTATTGTGTTCTGTTCATAATATTTCATATCCTGTAGATTGGATTGGAAATAATATAACAAGAACCAGCTCTCAGGACATGTTATGAGATCTGTGATCAGAAACCATCAAACAGAAAAAAAGAAACCATCTGCCTGCACACTCATAGACTCATCTAGTAATTCTTTGAAGAACACGAAGTTCTCGGTTTAATCGTTATATCTTTAAATTTCTTTTGACCTTTTCGTATCGTGTGGCTCAATTAGAGAGATCATGCAACTCAGTCTTGCTGTTCATTTTTCTGCAATAGTACATTAGGTTGTACTCCATGCTCATACAAATATGTAATCTCCCGTAATTCTTCCTGCTGCCCTTGAAGGGCTCTTTTAAAAGTGATTCTTTGTCCTCCATTCCCGCAGGTTACATTCTGAGAGGCTCTCAATCATAGCGTCCAGTCCTACTCTTGCAGGGTCCCTCCCAGAAGGCTCTGCTACTTAAGGCTCTTGCTGAAGCTGATGACCTCGGCTTTTACTGTTTAGCCTCCACAGATTCAACAACCATCCTCCATTTGGGCCACTGTGGAGATCAACCCAGAGGGCTAGTATTTTGAAAACTAAAGCCTATTGCTCTCGTCTGGGTAAGGTGATCCTAAACCTTCAGAAGATCAGATCTAGTTACTCTCTTTAGGGTAGGGGGTAGACTGGAAAAGGAAACATTACATTTGTTTATCTATGATGACTCCTTTGTGGAAATTAGATTCAGATTATTCCTCAGAAAATTAATCTACTTTGCTTGTTCATTTCATTGAATTCTCACAGAGGCAAGTTTTAATCTTTCTGTTTTACAGATTAGGAAAGTGAGACGGAGATAGGTGAAATAACTCAACCCAGTTTGCCCATCCAGTAAGCAGCTGAGCTAAGATGAGAAACAGAACATGAGAACAAAGTGCATATTCATTGTACTCTTCTACCCAACTTTTTCCAGATGAAGAGCTGGCCATATCTTTTTAAAGTTTGTTTATTTCTTGATACAAATGTACTCTGTATTTTGAAACATTTAAAGCTTGTGAGTTGAATAGACTATGACCTCAAGTAAAGAGAAAAATAATGTCAGAACTATTAAGAACTCATTCTTAGGGAGAAACATGTACAAATAGACTATACAAGAGGTAGGGCAAAAATAGTTGTCTATTTTTACCACTAGGAGTAGGAGACAGATCAATAAGGAGCCACATTCATGACTCTTTGGATCTGAGACATTGCTGGTCAATTGCGATTGAAAGTCACATCATTTGTTGACAATATCCTTCAGTCTACAAGAAAGATTACATTGACAATGGCTGCTTTGGGGACAGAGTAAAATTAACTTCTAGGTTATCCCCGTCAAGGACCATTAAGTTCTGAACTATGAGGGACACTGTGAACAAGTCATATTTTAACCTCCCATGAGCATACGGCCGGCAGGTTTCGCCCCCTCTCCTCCCTTCAACAAATCTGACCTTCACTAAAATTTATGTGAAAATGAAAAGGGAAAAGAAAGCTGCGGCCCTGCCAAATTCTGACGATGTTACTCATTTTAATTACTGGTATTTGGAAATTAAATGGCCTAGGGCTTGTTCTGCAATTTGTTTCAGGAAAAAATGATTTAAGCAAGCCTTAGAGTCCCAGCATCTTTTTACAGCAGGTGTTGGACAAGGCTTTCATTTTTCTTTTTACAGGGTGTCCTTGTAAGCATAATAACAATTAGGAAGCAAGGCTTTCACATCGAAACCTCAGGCTCATCTGACGTTCTTCCTTTGGCTACTTCATTGCTTATAGTTTTCTTAGCCAGCTTTGCAAGTGCCTGTACTTGAAAATTTTCTTCAAATAACACATAACACATTGAAGACTTTTTTTTGTTTGTTTGTTTTCTGTTTTTTGTTTTTTTTGGAAAGGTACAGATTTTAACGGATAATATGAAGAGTACTTTACAGTTAATTCAACTGCTTTCCTGTCCGCACATTCCATTCTCTACCTCTGGGTTTATTTACAATGCCATCAATACAACAAATTAAGGCAGTTTAAAAGGAAAGAAGGGGCTGTGAATGAAATTTGATTTGAATACATGTTTCTATCCATCAAAATGGGCCGTCGGCTCATAGTTTCATGGGTAATAGCTCACATCTGAAATATACTTTCAAAACAGCTTTAAATGTTTTTTTATTATTTGATTGTGGTAAGAAATTTATCTGCTTAAATTTTTAAGTACAATACAGTATTGTTGACTAGGTATAATGTCGTGCAGCAGGTCTCTAGGGCTTATTCATCTTGCTTGACTGAAACTTTGCTTTATGTCTGTTAATTAGTAACTCCCCGTTGCCTCCTCCTTCAATCCCCTTGGCAACCACCACTCCACTCTGATGTTATGAATCTGACTACTTTAGATACTTCATGTAAGTGGAATCATACAACATCTGTCTTTCTGTGAGTGGTTCATTTCACTTAACATAATGTCCTCAAGGTTCATCCATGTTGTCACATGTTGCGGAATATCATTCTGTTTAAAGGCTGAATAGTGTCCCATTGTGTGTATATACCACATTTTCTTCATTCATTCATCTGCCTAATGACATTTAGTGTGTTTCCACATCTTGACTATTGTGAATAGTGCTTTTGGAGGCAAAATCCCTCCAAACACAAATTGGTTTCAGGTTCTTTTTAGAATTTTAATAAACTTTTCTCATTCACTGTAAAAGAGTGCTCAATCAAACTTAAAATATTGGGCTTTGATATTTTCTTTGGTTTAAGGTTTGCTAATAAACAATTGGGTATTTCTGATATTAAGCATGTAAATGAGCTAAAACAGCCTAATCTTTTAATACTACCAAGTTATTTACTCATAAATTTTCAAGGTAAGATGACAATAGTTTCCTTTAGTGCAGGCAGTTTATCAGGAATAGTGTAACTATTAGATATTAGGCTATAAGTCTTATATACTCTACAGTTTTATATAAAATTATGATAGTGTAGTGGTGGCTGATAAAAACCAACCAGGAAAAATTATTAAAACAATATGGTATTCAATTATGTGGTAAAGAGATTAGCTGAATTAAATCAGATAGGAAAGAGATTCAGTGTTATAAAAGAGAGCTTGTGTGTCTTGACTTTGATTTTTCTGACCACAAGCTGAAGTTATAATGCCAAGTCTTAGATACTTTAGTTGGATTTTTGCAGCTATAAAAACTGAAAAAAATAATTAAGTCGAAACCATAGTAATATTACTTTATATTAAATTTAGGATATTTTTTGCCAGTTCAGTGATTTTTCTCTGCATGTTTTCTTAAGATGCTAACGCATTTGAAACAATCTGATGTATTGCAGAATCTGGCAGGTAAATCAATTTTAATTTGAAATGGTTAATTAATATTAGACTTGCAACTTTGGCTTGAAAGGTATAAGATAATCCAACTGAGTTTATAACAGTACTGTATTTGAATGTGTGGGTGGTTCTGATTTACCACATTAATGTTTCTGCTCTATTAGATCCACAGGAGTTGCTTAAGTGAACAGGAAGATTTTGTTTGTTGGGTTTGTAGTACTGTCCTGGGAGGTTTTTGAAGAACTTGTGAGAACAAAATATATTAAATTTGTAAATGTAGATTAAAATTCTTAAGAGGATTTAATTAAGTCTATTTGAGATTAATTGTTTAGGGAAGTTTAATCTGTTAAATGGGAGCTAATGAACATCAATCAAAGAATAAGTATAAATGATTATTTTAAATTTTAGATTAAAAGCTCTATTTCTCTTAGCAGTACAAAGAGATTTATAATTGAGCCTAGATGCTTGAGAAAATCTATGTTTTTAACTGTGTAACTTTACCAAATGTAGCAGCAAACATTTTTTTTATGGGACCAAAAAGCCCCCTCAGATGTTTAAAAAACTCAATAAAGTAAGATTCCCCGTTTGGTAAATATTGCTTTTTGTATTCATAATTATATTGCAAGTTTCATAAGGACATGCACAATGTTTAAACTTTTTTTTTTTTTTTTTTTTTTGCAATCTCCTGTTTTACTGCCCGGTACCTACAATCTCTGATGAGAACATAAGGTTCAGTGTATATGTTTGTTGAGACTGAAATTAGTCAAATGCTCAAATAACAATGATCACTTTTGTAGTATATAATGGAGAAAATCAGTTCAATTTGAGAGCTGTGTTTATTAAAAATCTGATTTGAAATAAAATTAAGGCCACGGAAATATTTCATGTAGGAGTCTTATAAGGGACATATACAATATGGCAAAGAACTCTGAAGGTGGCTCTCTCTCTTCACCATTCTGAAATTGTAGAGAACAAGAAATAAGATAAAATTAGAAAGAAGATGGGACACAGGGCAGAAAGAGAGAACGATGGAAAAATTGAACTAAATACTCTCTGAAGTTCTTTCTAACTGTGATGTATCTTAGTGCTAAGGAAGGAGATGGGACAACTTTGTGAAGTAGATGATGAGAAATCTGAGGCACTGAAAGGTTAAACAACCTGCCCAGGATCACCCAGATAGTAAGGTATAGAACTGAGATTCAAACCCTAGAAGTCTATCCTTATCCATCTTGATATGTTATTGATAAGGGATTTATTGAGTAATTACTATGAAACATATGGCAGGTGGCAGTAAGTTCTCTGAAGAAAAACTAAAGCAGGCTAAGGTATAGAGAGTAATGAGGTGGGGGGGCAAATTTAGATATGGTGGTCATGGAAGACCCCTCAGAAGAGATGAGTGGAAATCTGAAAGAAGAAAAGGAGATTTCCATGTGCAGATCAGATGGAACACATCCAGGTAGATGGATCTGCCAGTGCAAGGTCCCTAAAGTGGGAGCAGGCAGAAGGTATTTCAGGAATTGCAAGAAGGCCAGTGTTGCTGAAAGTGAATAGTAAAAGATTTGGTCCCCGGCCACCTCTGAAATGAAGTCTCAGAGGTGGTCAGGTTCCAAATCACACTGCACCCATGGGCCACGAAAAAGACTATTTCAAAATAGTGATGGCATTTGTTGCAATTACAATCATGCATTGCTTGACAACAATGGACACATGTTCTGAGAAATGCATCATTAGTTGATTTCAACATTGTGCAAACATCATAAACAAACATCATTACACAAACCTAGATGGTACAGTCTACCACACACCTAGGCTATATGGTATGGCCTATTTCTCCTAGGCTACACACCTGTATAGAATGTCACTGCATTGAATACTGTAGGCAATTTTAACACAGTGCATGTGTGTATCTAAACATCTAAACACAGAAAAGATAGAGCAAAGTTATGGTATTATAATTTTATGGGACCACTGTTGTATATGCAGTCCGTTGTTGAAGGAAACGTTACATGGCACATGATTTTAGTTTGTGACTGTGTAGTTTAAGGAAAGTGTATGACATTTATCAGTCAGTCTATAAATATCTGGAAAAGAATGCAACAGGAAACTACTTGGAGTCAATGCCATGTGAGGTTCTCAATAGTAGGCTGTTTCTATTCCTAAAAGCCATTTGTCACAATGGCTATAGGTCTAGATGGCAGGACCTGGCTGTTAAATATCCTGCCCTCTGAGGGACAGTCCCTTACAATGAATTGTCCTTCCCCAAATTGCAAACCACTGCACACAATTGAGATTGAAACTACTGCACACATTTGAGATTTGTTTTAATGTATTAAGAAATATGGATTTTTGCAACCTAATGTATTTCTAGAAATGAAGATTTCCTGCCCAACATTTAAATAATTTTCTCGCAGTCCATTTTAAGCTGTCTCACCTCAGTAGCTTCAGTTGTCTATCTTATCAGTTAGAATTTGGAGAGTTTTTTCTGGACCAGATTATAGGGATAATACTATTGGAAGCATTTGTTTGATCTGATTGAACTGAATGGCCATTTTTATGTGTGGATATATTATATAGTTCCATATAGAGAGGTAAATCCATTCCATTTGAGAAGGTCAAGCAAATATTGACAATGTGATTCTATCACAGGCAGTGTGTTTTCATAAAAAATGAAGGATTCCATCACACTCACAGTTAAATATGGGTGGACATTTGTTTTCCAATGGCTGGAGTTCTGCACTTTCTGCCTGACTGATTAGGAGTAAGAACAGATTGGCAGGTAAGAAATGGATGATGAGGCAAATTCTGTATAGGGTTTAATCTTCAACATCCTCCAGCATCTAGCTATTAACATAATTAGCCAACATGGCTCTTTCAGGTTTTACAACTCATAGGGCCATAATGGGTACCATTTTCACTTATTAACATGCAGAAGAATGAACACATTTTCTTGACCTTGATTTTCTTTTCTTTCACAAGTTGCCAATGGCAGACAAAGTAATTTATAGGAAGCCATTTTATGCCAAGGGAAGTAGAAAGGCTGGAATGCAGCTGAATATACTCTCGTTTGGTGGATGATCTCATATCTTTCGTTTAAGGTTTTAGATTTTAGAAGGCACTTTCATCTACACTGACTACTGTGCTTCTCATGGCAGCCCTGTAAGCGAGGCAGGACAAGTATCATTGCCACTAAATATTGTTGTGAAGAAGTGGTGTATAAGTGATGTAAAAGCAAGTTAAGTGATTTCCCATAGGTCACCTGGCTAGTGACAGTGGACTCAAAATACTTTTCTCTGATTGTCAACCCACTCCCTTCTGTGTTATTTTTTTAATTTATTTTTTATTTTTTGATGGAGCCTTGCTCTGTCGTCAGGCTGGAATGCAGTGGCGTGATTTCGGCTCACTGCAGCCTCTGCCTCCTGGGTTCAAGGGATTCTCCTGCCTCAGCCTCCTGAGTAGCTGTGACTACAGGCACGAGCCACCATGCCCAGCTAATTTTTGTATTTTTAGTACAGATGGGGTTTCACCATGTTGGCCAGGATGGTCTCGATCTCTTGACCTCGTGATCCGCCTGCCTTGGCCTCCCAAAGTGTTGGGATTACAGGCGTGAGCCACCGCACCCGGTCCCTCTATGTTTTTTATTCCATCATTAAACAAAAGAAAGCTGGGAATGGAAGCCCTATATTGTACTTTGTATTTGCAACCTGGATGAGATTTTATGCACCCAAGACTATAGATTAATAGTAGTTTACTTGCGTGAGTACAAAATATTTAAGTAAACTTCTTTCTTACTCTTATTTGACCATTTAATACCATTAGCTCTGTCTTAAATAAAATTGAAAGCCCATTGGGACATATTTCAGAAAATACAAAGGACCCTTTAAAGTTTTGTGATCCAAAGAGATATAAAAATTAAAAGCCATAAAAGAATTAATGATTTCATATCAGTTGACAAATTGAACTAAAAGCCTGGTTATAGTTTGCAGAAGGTTTCTCTGGATGAAAAAGGGACTATAGTAAAGATGGCCTTATATTCAGTGCGAGTCAGTGAATTCATTAAACAACACAGCATCGAAACAAAGTTATGTTATTTTTCCCAACTGATGATGAGTGCGTCTTTTTCTTTTTTAACTTTTTCAGCTCATGAATTGGCATCCTTGTGGACCCATCATGTATAAATACATGATTTGACTAAAGCTATTAGTTATAGATACTTTGTTTCAAAATACCATGCTTAATTCCTTTAGTTAAGGGAATTGTATAAACGTGTCCATTGGAAATGAACATTAGTTTCTAAGTGTGAGACTCTTAATATGTAAAAAGCAAACAAAATTTAAGTTTTAAAGAAACATATGAAAAGAGTATACTGATGTATTTGAAGAATGAAGACACAGCAAAAAGGCAAGGACAGGTATAATTTTAAGAATGGGCAACTTACGATGATGTTTAATTTTTCTGAACATTAAAACATGGATTTTATTAGCCATAAAATCTCAGAAGAGTGCATTACCCAGGGAAATTATTGACCATGTGAAGTTAATGGACCTCTCCCTTGCCTTGGGCTATGAAACCTTTTAGCTAGTCATCCATCAATCTTGGAAATGCCTATGCCAGAGCCATTAATGTGTAAGAAAGCTGAGAAAAGAGTGATATAGGAATAAGAAAAGATACAAAAAGGATATAAACTTTACATCTAAGGAGTCATCACTAGGAATTTTTAGAGAAATGGTCTCTCAAGCCAGTATGGAGTATATCTAATAGCAGACTCTCCCTGTATCTACATATGTGTAATCTACTTTTTCTCTTTTCTTTCTTTCTCTCTCTCTATATATATATACACATACACACACACACACACACACACACACACACACACTATATCTCTCTCATAACTTTCTTCTTTTGTATCTTTGAGACCTATACAAATTCAGAAGAAAAATTACTGAAAGAGAAATACTTAAAATCACGTTATCAAAGTGCAAATTAAATTACTGAGATTAAAATAGTCCTAAAAAATAGTCAGACATCTGGGTGGGAAGGGGTGCAGGGGAAAGGAAGAGAACTTGGGAGAGAAATTTGGCTCTTGGTAGAGAAGGAAGCAACAAGCTAGCGTGTCCACTCTAGCCGGTGTCATATTAGAGCATATTAGAGCAGTTTCCCCATTGCTATGTTGTTTAAACAGTATGACTTGACATTAGGATCTAAAGGGGCAAATCCTGCTTTGCTACTAAATTTTTCTAGCTTAAAATGATCTGTGATATTTTTCCTGTTTTATTAATGTATAATTGAAAAATAAAAATTGTATATATTCAAGGTACACAATGTGATGATTTGATAAACGTATTGGGAAATGATTACCACAATGAAATTAATCAACACATACATCAGTACACTTGGTTATCTGTCTCTTTCTCTGTGTGTGTGTGTGTGTAGTGAGAACACTTGAGATCTGTTCTTTCTGTAAGTTTCAAGTAAATAATAAACTATTGTCAACTACAATCACCATGCTGTACATTCAATCCACAGAATTTATTCATTTTATAGCTGGATATTTGATTCGTGCTTGTTTTTAATAAATGATTAAGTATGTCACTTTAAAGAACTGTTTTGGGGTCTTAAAATGCACAATATCAGCATTTTCAAATTATTTATTCAAATCAGGCAGAATATTCCAAGTGACATTCAAAATACTCCTTACTTTGTTATTTCCCATGATTTGCACGGAATGAAAAAATTAACCTAATACCAATTACTGTTTATATATTGCAAAACTAAAATAATGATTTATGACTAAAGTTCAACCATAGCCTTTGAAGAAATCTTTTTTATTTTCGTTGAGAAAAGGCCAAAAAGGAAAGGGTTTATGTAAAGCCAAAATAACAATTAAGTAGGTAGCATTTGTTGTCACAGTGGGCTTATGACTGTGCCAAGGCATACTAAAGGCATATAAGGCATGACTCTTACCCTTGGGGAGCTCACAATATGATTTGGAAAGACTGTTTAACATCCAC
This sequence comes from Homo sapiens, assembly GCF_000001405.40. Lineage (NCBI taxonomy): Eukaryota > Metazoa > Chordata > Mammalia > Primates > Hominidae > Homo > Homo sapiens. The sequence continues at coordinate 30,407,339 of NC_000023.11, read as the reverse complement.
AAAATAATGATGACAGTCTGTTAATATTGGAAATTGCATGATATGCTACAGAAATGGAAAGAAGAGGGAGATTAATGAAGACAGAGGAGATGAGGCTTCTGTTGCCCTAGAAAATGGGTGGAATTTGAGTCCTCTAAGGGAAGGAGAAAGGACATTCCATTAAAGGGCTAGGATGAACAATAATATAAGCATGTTTTATTTATGGAGATGTTATGGGCAGCAGAATGACAAGTGCCAATTTTATGTGTAGAAAAGTAATGGGAAATAATGTTAGAAAGGTAACTATGGGCAATATGATTCAGCTGAGGGAGGACAAGACAGTGCTTAGAACTTAACAATCTGGAGTTATACCCAGGCTCTGCCAAATATAGGTTGTGATCTTTTGCAAGTCATCACCCACCCTAAGGCTCAGTTCTCCCATCTATAAGATTACATGATGGTTGAGGAGGATTAAATACAAACATGTGAACCTGTGAATGTTAGTATAATTGTTATGATTATGGAAAACTGGCATTGGAGCAGAAGTATTTAGATTCTATGTGGTAAGACATTTGTCAAGCAGGAAAGTGGCATAATTTCAGTAGTTTTTAAGAAAAATTACTCCCGTTAATGACAGTTAAGACAAACTGGCTGGATGGAGGCCAGACTCAGGAAAGTTAGCCATGAAACTACTCTAGAAGGCTCAAGTTGACATGTGAAATTATGAATTATGGTGATAGCAAAGGAATGGTGAAGAAAGGATGGATTATAATTCTGGAATATTCGTTATCATTTTGGATCTCCTCATTATGGATATTTTAATAGCACATGAAATATACCTTGTGCAAAAACAACACTTAAAAATGAATGAATACGTTCCCTCTCTGGTGCTATAGATTGATGATAGTATTCTATTGATTAATTGTCAGTAATGATTCAAATGAAATAAATGTGTTTCATTGAACTTGTATATGTAAGATATAATGCCAGGCACTAATTTTCACAATATGCAAAGAAGATATAATTTCGAATATCAGGGTAAGCAGTCAGCACTTACTTCATATCAAAACACACACACACACACACACACACTACAATAATATTGACAACTCCAAAATCTAGGGGTAAATAGGAAAGACAAAATTCTCAAACAGAAAATATTTAATAGTACAATATTATATATGTGGTATCAACCATGAATAATTTTCATTTGTTTTGTTGAGTATCAGGCAGCCGAAATCATTTTACTAATCATTAATGGTCAACCAGTACATTAATTACTGTCTAATGAAATTACAGAATGCAGTGATCACCTGCCTTTATGGAAATACAAAATTGTGAAGATTCTTCTAAACCGTCATCACCTCTCCACCATTTCCTCATCTATATCTCACTCTTCCCAGAACATCCTTCTCTTGTAACTCTCATATTTTAATGACCCATATTTTTACATGTCCCTTCCCCTCTCTTAAAATGCAGATTCTTTAAGAATGGGAGAGAATGCAGATTCTTTAAAAACAGGAGCCCTATCTTATTTGACTTTGAGTCCCCAATATCTAGCACAGTGTCTGAACCATAGCAGTCTGGATGTTTGTGAATGAATATTTCTAGTCATTCTGAAGTATGAATCAGTAAAATCCTGCATGCATTGGCGTATTCTCACTCGAAAGTATTTAAAAAGAGGTCTATGCCATACGTGAAAAAGGAGAATCCTTTTTCTATCCCCCTCTACCTCCACACAAAATTCATATGTTGAAGCCCTAAACCCTTATGTTTGGAGATAGGGCCTTTAAAGAGATAATTAAATTAAAATTAAGGTGGGCCACAATCCAATGTAACTGGTATCATTATAAAAAGAAGAGATTAGGACACAGATACATGCACACAAGAAATATCAGATGAAGATACAGGAAGAAGGTGGCATCTACAAGCTAAGGAGACAGGCCACAGAAGAAACCAACCCTTGATCTTGGACGTCCATCCTCCAGAACTGTAAGAAAAGAATTTTCTGTCGTTTAAGCCACCAAGCCCGTGGAACTCTGTAGTGGCAGCCCCAATCAACTAATACAACCCTAAAAGAGTAAATTGGGATAAATTCTCTGATACTTAGAGTAAAGAAAATGAAGAATATTTCATGGGTATGAGTAATCTTCATTATGCAGACCCAGAACGCTTGAATATAATATTTGCTTTGTGGGAAACAAAATTCTCAAACACAGAAAGTCACAGAGCCAGTTAGTGGTGGAACCAGAACTTGAACACAAGTCTTCTGATTTCAGATCTGATGAAGCTTTAAGACTCAAAACCAAAAAACGTACTATAATTATCCATTGCACTTTACTGCTAGTGACCTAAGTTGGGAGTGCTAAATAGAAACTAGAACATAAATATCGTCTAATGTGGCTAATTGTTCTTAAAGATCTAAAGGAGATTTCATTACTCCGTATAAAATGAGGTGTTTCTTTAAGCATTCTTCACAATTTTGTATTCCCATAAAGGCAGATATATATACTCTATACACTTCTCTTTTATAGTTTTTTACTAATTCTTAGAGGAATTGAAGGTTTCCTTGCTTAGCAAGGGTGAAGTGGAGAAAGAATTAGATTTTAAAGAACTTTGTAAGACATTTTATACTTGAGGAAGTAAGTTTTAAGATAATGTGTGGTCATTCCGGGTTTGCCTTTATCCCTCAACAATTCCCCACCATTGTAAGCCCTACTTTGTGTCCTAGGAGGTGGGATGGGAAAGCTGACTTCCATGGAATTCATCACACTGCCTCTCTGACTGTTTAGTTCCTCTTTGGGTTTGGCCAATGGATGGGAAGCTCCACCAAGAGATTACTGAGCATGAAGGAAGAGAGAGAGAGAGAGAGAGAGAGAGAGAGAGAGCTTGCATCACATTTCTGAGAGCAGTTATGTGACATATGACAACCTGCCTATTAGACTTCGTCTCTTCTGTGGCTCCAGCTCTCATCTGGGTCTAATAGGTCTAGGGATGGTAACAGCTTCCTGGTGTTGCTGGTTCCTGAGTGCCCCGGTATCCCTTGCTGGCTCCTTCAGCCCTCCCCACATTCTGTAAAAAGTCATTTCATTTCATTCTCTTCACCATTCCAACTTAGCGTGCCTCCTGTTTCCTGCTGGAAGCTTCACTAATAGTAAATATGGCATATCATATCTCTATTACAGAAAAGGAATTATGGATGAAGGGTGGAGAGGAAACTCAAGAGGGAAAAAGTGGATAGACAGAGACAAGTTAGGACACTCTGGCAAGAGTCAAGTAAGTTGACAGTGGGAATGAAAAAGAAGGGTTGGAAAGGAAGATAAGGTCAGTGAATCAGGTATTAGGAAAAAAGCAAATCATAGAGTCAAGGATGATGCTCAGTTGTTTGTTATTCATAAATTTGAGTGATGTTATCCAGTTCAGTAGGAAGTATAGGAAGCATATGGGGTAGCAGAAATAATGAGTTCAATGAAAATATACCGACTCACCAGTGCCTATATTATATCCTGGTAGGAAGCAGGATATATATGTATGAAAGTGAATATAAAGATTATAATTACATATATTAGAGTTATAGAAAGAGGTTTAGGCCAGACAGAAAAATGAGTGAGTGAAGTAGCATACAGGTGGTAGTTGAAGCCAGGCTAAAAAGAAAATAACCTAGAAACAACACGTACAATTAAAAAAAGAAATGGCCAAGAGTCCTTGGGTCAATATTCACAGTTCAGTGAGGGAAAGAAAAACTAGCAAAAGAACATTAAGAATTATTTGGTAGTGAAAGATGCTACAGGTAAGTTTACCAATGAAGGATTGTGGGTCACTGGTTACCTTAGCCAAAGCAGATTGTCTAAGTGAATGGGGCAAAACGTTGAACAAAATTACTTCAAGAAAAACTAGAAATTTCTTAAGAAATCTAGTTATGGAGAGGAGACAGATATGAGGCATATTGATATTTTAAAGGCTGAATCTGAGCAATGCTACATAGGCAGAATATTCTTTTTCTATCCAATTGAAAGAAAATAGATAAAAGGAAACCTTCAATTCCTCTGAAAATTAGTAATTAAATTATTATAGTAAAAATTATAAGAGAGAAGGGTCTAGAGTATAAACATGTCATAATTTATTTTAAGTAAAGTTGTGTGTTTTTTTAATAACAAGAATTCCTAACTTGATATGGTTTTTCTTTTTCAGTCATTTTGAACATTTTATTTTATTTTTAGTTGCAACTCATTTTACCAATTCTTACTTTTTCCAGACTAATTTAATCACATCCCGCTTATATAATTTATAATTCCTACTATTGTCTTTAAGTTGCATTTTTAAAATGAATTCCCTACTCTATCCAACCTGAAAGCAGTTCGGACGCAAGCGTAGACACAGAACAACAGTAACAAAAGAGCAACATTTCTATCATATCAGTTTTTCCTTTTGCCACAAATGAATGTAAATGTAGGAGTGTGGATAAAACTGTCACTTTTCTGATAAGAGTTATCCTACTTGTGAGAGAACACCAAGGAAGCCACATTAAAATAGGCGTGAGTTCAAAATTTATCACATTAAAGGGAAAACACTGTAGGCTGATGCCTTGACTGGATCATTTATAAAGAGTGTGACTGAGTGGGAGAGAGAGAAATTCTGTCATACTTGCCTCCTGTATTACCCATTGCCATTCTGTCAAGTCAAATCTAATATAAATGAATCACATTAATCAGAAAATGTGAATTTTTACATGACAAGCTAAAGGGGCATGCCATTTCCAATTAGATTAGTGATCTAAAATTAGCTACTGACACAAGCAAGTATACATGGTCAATTTGCCTGCCTGAAACCGAAAATTAAATAAGACATGTTGGATAATAGATAGCCCTAGAGGGGACATGGCAGCTGTAATTCACTCAAGTTGTTCAGTTGATGTCACAAGCCACTAAAGAATATTCAATCTTGTGCACATTTTGAGATGGTTGGATTTAACTCAAGACAAAACTTGAATCAATTGTTCATTGATTTGATCTGTGACTACTGGGGGTGAGTTACAGAGAGGACATTCATTGTTGTTTCAACAGAGAAGTAAATTGAGATAGCAAAGGAGAATGGCTCATTGCAAGACCAATATCTCATTATAGTTATGTATCAGAACTCTTGAAATGAAGGAACATGTTTTTATACAAAGCCACTTAAGCTTTTGGTACCTTACTTTCTTCAACTTTACATTGTGAGTACTATACCCACCTCACCCTTGTCACAGGTCATTGCCAGTTTTGGTCAAAATAATGTACGTAAACTGGCTTTGAAGAATTAAAAGTGTCTTTCATGTTATTAGTATTGTTATTGTTACTTCAAAACATGACTCTGAGTCATTTTTGTGAAATTTACTTTGTAAATTGTGTGTGTTTGCATCTTGTGTACATCTAGTGGAGGCAAGCAGGTACCATCAAAAAAGTCACATACTGGCCGGGCATGGTGGTTCACGCCTGTAATCCCAGCACTTTGGGAGGCTGAGGCAGGTGGATCACCTGAGGTCAGAATTTCGAGACCAGCCTGGTCAACGTGGTGAAACCCCGTCTCTACTAAAAATACAAAAATTAGCCAGGCAAGGTGGCAGGCACCTGTAATCCCAGCTATTTGGGAGGCTGAGGCAGGAGAATTGCTTGAGCCCTGGAGGTGGAGGTTAGAGTGAGCCGAGATCACGCCATTGCACTCCAGCCTGGGTGACCAGAGTGAAACTCCTCCTAAAAAAAAAAAAAAAAAAAAAAAAAAAAAAAAGTCACATACCAGAGTGCACTTGCTTTAATGTCAATAATGATGAATTACCAAATTAAGGTTCTACGTCATGATCTCAGGCACTAGAAGTAAAAAGAGAAAGGCAGGAAGTTCTGGTTCATTTTTATAATGGCAGAATAAGCTTTTAATTAAGAGGAATGAATAATTATAGAAGATAATGCAAGTTTTTCACAAATTATTTTTAGGTGGTAAACATACTCTCATGTTCTCTCTGACACAGATACATACAAATAGCAGATTTGTTATAAAGTGAATGTATTTCAAGTTGATTTTTTTCCCAATTAACTCTATGCTTTTGAGGGAAACGTACTGGATCACAAATGTTATAAAACACATTAAGAATGCTGAAGATTAGAAAATGGCAACAAATTTGAATTATTACTTCACAAAAGGAGCTATCCAAGTGGGCAAAAAGCATATCCAAAAATTATCAATACTATTACTCCTTAAAGAAGTGCATCTTAAAATCTTGAAGAGATACTGTTAAATACCTACCTAAAATTGAAGACACTGAGAATACTCAGTATCGGCAAGGACGAGGGACTATTGGAACTCTCATCCATTGCTGCCAGAAGTCTAAATTCATACAACCACTTTGGAAAAACATCTAGCAATATCTATTAAGGCTAAGCATAATGCTGATTCTATGGCCTAGCAATTCCACTCTTACATTTATACCCAAGAAAATGAGTGTGAGGGTCAGATATGAGAATATTCTTAGCAGTTTAATTCATGCTAGCCTTAAATTAGAAACAACTCAAATGTCCATCAACAATAAAATGAATAAATACATTGTGGTATATTCATTCAGTAGAATACTACTCTCTAATAAGAAATAATGAGCTACTACTATGCTCAACAATGTGGATTACTGTCACACACATAATGAAGAGCCAAGAAAGCAAGACACAAAAGAGTAGGTGCTTTATGATTCTATTTGTATGAGGTTCAATAATGGGCAAAAATAGTGGTTACCTCTGGAAGTATGGTACGAGTGGCAAGAGCAAAGAGGGAGCCCTCTGTGATGTTGGAAATATACTACATATACTGTGTCTTGAACTGAGTGGTGGTTATTCTGATGTGTGTGTGTGTGTGTGTGTGTGTGTGTGTGTGTGTGTTGATAGAGTTGTAAATTTAAGATTTGTGCACTGTGCACTTTACTGTATATATCTTATACCACGAGATAAATGTTTAAAAGAATGAACAAATCTTTAAAATCACATATTTAAAGAAAAAAGAAAATGGAAATTATGAGAAGTGTAAAATATTAACAAATCAATTTCCAGCAATATCATTGGTCCATACTTTAAAATGTCAAAGCAATACTCAAAAAGATAAGGCAGTATAGTTTTTAAAACTCTGCCACTATGACTGTTCAATCTTGACACATATTTTTCCACAAAGAGCTTCATCAATTCAAATAGGCTTTCCAATTGCTTTTGATGTCCTTGAAACATTTCAGTTCCCATTCAGCATCATTTAAAAAATGGCTGCATACACATTTTGTTAATGAGCATACTGGTCTCTCTCAAACATATTTTTATCTGTGCATGCATTCAGTTACGTAAACGTGTGAAACTATTTGCAGGATTGTTGAATGAAAAAAGAGAGCTGTAAACAGATCTAGGAGGTAAAGACCGATCCTTGTATATTGGAGGTTTGAGGCAATTAGGACATAGAATTATCTGAAAACAAATTAATGCCAAATGCTGAATAAGGATGATTAATTTCTAGTGGTGCTTATTGTTTGCCTCCACATATACTGTTCCATTAACTGATGACTTGAAAAACCAAAATAATGCATACTGAGTTTTCCAAAGTATAGGCCATTTCTTGAGTTCTCTAATAAAGTATGTTGTCAAGAGATTAACCCTCTGGCTGTGATAGCTCTGGGGATCAAATGTCAGGACAAAATAAAGGTAAGAGTCTTTCTAAATACTAAATGTTTACGGGCAGAGTTTCTTATTATACTCAGGCCATGAATTCATTATGCTTAGAATTATGTTGATGGACTTCTCCTAAGGGCAGATTTCCTGTACTTCACATAACTCTTATTCTTTCTCATGATGGACACATAAAGGAACCCTTGCCCAGGCTCTAAACCTTTCAAAATTTGGTTGCACACATAAAATTTGAAGTCTAGGGATGTATACCTTGAAAGTGTCATAGGCTTTTCCCATTGTGGACAACTTGTGTTTGAGATGCCTGGAATAAGGAGGGATTAGATATAAAAAATCAGTGGTTAAACTGAATTAGGAGGGGAGAGAAAGAAAACAAAGAAGAAGGCAATGACGTTCCTTCTAGTGATATGCCATTAGTATAAATTTAAGGGGTACAAGTTCAGTTTTGTTATGTGGATACAATTGTGTAGTGGTGAAGTATGGGTTATTAGTGTATCCATCATCCAGATAATGTATATTGTACCTGTCAAGTAATTTCTCATTTCTCATCCCCCTCCCACCCCACTGAATCTCCAATGTCTATTATTCCAGATTCTTTGTCCATATGTACACATTTTTATACTCACCTATTGTGCCAATGACTTTCCCAAAATGCCAAGAAGTGGCTAAGACGTATCTTACCTTATTATCAGATTAAGAATGTGAAACACAACGAAAATAAGTGTTCAACCAAAGTTAACACATAAACTGAGTCCTTGAAAGTCCTGAGCGCTTTACCTCTAAGTACTGATTATCCATTCCTCTGGGAAGCTCTACATGTGGTTGTAGGTAGAATTAAGATTTTTAAATGTATTTTAAATAACAATGCATTCCCATCTTTCAAAACTTAAATGATTTAAATGGTCTACAGTGAAATTCTCTCTTCTATCTTTGTCCCTCGGCTACCTTGATCACCTCCCCAGAGGCAATCAGTGTTACCAGTTTCTTGGGAATCCTTCTGAAGATATTCAGTGCTTATGAGAGACAATACACACACACACATACATACAGAAAACTTTTCAACTTTTACACAAATGGTAGCTTGCCATACATATTACTCTGTAACCTGCTTGTTTGACTTTGTGTGAGTATATCATGGACATCATCCCATATCAGCAGTAGATAAAGGTTGTATATGTTCTATTTCTATGTCACCATTGTCATCTATTTTTCCACTTTCAGGAAAACTGCATGGCGAATTGAAAGCATATAGAATCTGGGTATACACAAATTATGGCTCATTAACTACTGACTGGCTTTGAGATGTGGGCAAGATGCCTAATTCTCTGAACCTCAGATTCTTCACTCAATGATGCTGGTAATGTCTTCCTCACAAGACTTTTGTGGCAATCATAAGAGCTAGGGATTGAGAGTCAGGCAGCCTGGCTAACTGCTTGCCATTTAGATGATATTGGGGGCAGTTATTTGATCTCTCTGAGCCTTAGTTTATTTTATTCAGTCAGTGTTTTTATTGATAACTACAATCAGAAAAGTTCACCAATCATAAGAATACTGTTTGAATTATCAAAAAGGAAACACACACACGCATAATCACCATAAAGATTAAGGAATCGAACATTGCCAGCAACCCAGAAGCCCCCATTCCGTGCCCCTTCCTAGTCACTATTCCTTCTCCAAAGGTAATATGACCCTAACTTCTAGTATCATAATACAATTCTGCATGTTTTTGAATTTTATATAAATGGAACTAACAGGTATGTATTTTTTGTTATCTGGCTTCTTTTGCTTAACATTTGGTTTGTGAGATTCATCCATATTGTTGAAATAGCAGTAGTTCCTCATTGTCATTGCTGTGAGTTATTCTGTTGTAAGAGTTTGTCACACTTTATATATTCATTTCATTTAATAAACAAACGTTGTTGTACATATAGCTTGGTTCCAGTTTTTGTCATTTAATAATGATGCGCTAAAAGTTCTAGGACATGTATGTAATTCTCTTGGGTTTATACCTAGGAGTGAAGTTGCTGGGCCGCCGGGTAAGCTTATGTTCGGAATATTCAGTAATTGGCAGTAAGTATTATAGTTTGTTCAAAAGCTCCATTTCAGTCAAATTTATATTTGCAAGCGCCAGAAGCCAACCCTGGCTGATTTAAGAAAAAATGAATGTATTGAAAGATCATTAAGTAAGTCTTAGGATCACTGGCAGGATTTGAAAATAGGCTCAGAAAGAAGTGAAAAGAAAGGAAGGCTGCATGGGCCGAAACTGAAGCATCACCACCCTGCATCACTAGTATCAGGACAACAATACAGTCATGCTCTGTACTACACCCAAGAGTCTGTGTAGCCAACATTGAGCTCTTGCCTACGGGACTCATAACATTGCATCCCACTGGCTATTACTGCCAGAAAGAAATGCCTCTGTCTCAGCATGGCTTCTTTATCCCCTTGGCTTCTGATTCAAAGTCTGGTGTCTGCACAGCTGATAGGCCAGGCCTAGGTCACACGTGCAGGGCAGAGCTGCAAAGAAGCATTTTCCAAACAGAGGAATAAGGTTAAGGTTGGTTCCCCCCCCCCCTTTTTTTCCCCCCCCTAAGAGACAGGATTGTGCTCTGTCACTCAGGCTGGAGTGTAATGGTACCATCACAGCTCACTGCAACCTTGAACTCCTGGGCTCAAGCGTTCCTCCTGCCTGAACCTCCTGAGTAGCTGGGACTACAGGCATGTGGCACCATGCCTGGCCTAAGTTAAATATATGAAAAAAGACGGATATCGATCTTTTTCCATTAAGAAATAAAACAAGTTAAATTCAAACAATAACCTAAATTCTTCTCTTCAAAAATTACTTTTTGCCTTGATTATATGTTAAATAAATATAACATGAAATATTAATTCTGAACACAAATTTGAGGTTTCTAAAACAATTTTGGAAGATTTTGATAGCTATGAATAAGTAGAATATACCAGAGTTTTTTTTTTTAATGAAGAAAAGAGCTGTGGTCCTTCAAGTTTTATTATAGTTTTGAATATGTGTGTACTTGACTTTTCTCACCATATTGTTGGGGCAGATACTGCCTGAGAGTAACCCAGTTCCCACCCTGTACCCACTTGCTGGAAAGTAGGGCATCCAAAGCCATTTATTTGCAACTATGTAATCTTTGGTTAACTTCTGAACAATAAACCTGTTCTATTTTCTCTGACATCTTTACCCTCTTATCATTCTATGTTTTCTTCTCCTGGTTCCTCTAGCTACTGACCCTGTTCAACTGCGGATCCTACTCGAAACTTCATTTCATAGTTAACGAACTCCTGTCCATCTTAAGATTATGGAGAAAAGCTCCCTTTCTTCTTGCCTTAACTATAACTAGCTCCTTAACCCCCTGAATCCAAAAGGTGAGCTGGCATTTTAATTCATTATCAATGTTGCTTCCAGACATTATTTTCCCATCTTCTTGTAAAATCTCATGCTTAGAGATTCGCTACAACTGGTATTACACCCCCGATCCCTTCTAATCACGGCCAGTCCGCCTGCCACCTGGTTGTCTATTCTCTCATCAAAATGCTCAACTCTCAATCTTCCTCTCTTGCCATAATTCCAGGAGATTTTAATATTCCTAGAGAGATCTTACTCAACTGAATGGCCTTGCAATTCCTTTAGCTCCCTACACACAAGCCCGTACCCTGAATCTTGTCATTGCTTAAAAAAGGACTCCACATCAGCTTCCCACTTTCTGACCACAGCTTCTTATCCTTTATCTTTTTCACCACTTTATTCTTACCTAGAAGTTTCATGTTGATAGAGATATTTTAAAATGTTTACATGCAATGGTTGTATGTTTGGTTGAGCTTTCAGTATATTCTTCCGGTCATTTTACCTGGTCAGGTAAAATTTACCTCAAGTCCCTTCTTCTCCAAACAACTGCTGATTTTATTCTCAACAGATGACCCTGTCTTTACATCAGTGGAAATCTTGAGGTCATCAGAAAGGTCTCTCTCAATTTCTCTGTAACCATATCTATACTCACTGATTTTCAGTTACTTTTGTTTGTTTTAGAAGTTTGTAATGTTTCTTACCAGTTCAAGGCCAACTCACACCTGTGGCCCAACTCAAACTCCCTCTGTGACTGCCCTGTTCTTGCTCTGTCAGTCACCTCTTCCTCATCCTCTTTATTGGACCTTCCCCTCTGTCTATAGACACTTAAGGAACTTTTTGGTTTAAAAGGCCTTAGACTTGTAGCCCATTCAACTCCTGTCCAGTTTCTCTCTGTTCATTCACTTTCGGATCTTTTGAAAGCACAACAAAACTGGCTTTCTTGGGTTTTCCATCTCAGTTTTACTCCATGAACTCTGAAACCCGCCTTTCTCATTCCACTCCTGAAACTACTTTCCCTAAGATACATAATGACCTCGTTGCCAAATCTAATATACATTTTCCGGTCTTATGCCACCAAACTTCTCTCTGTTTTTGACACTGTTAATTGCTTTTTCCCTTTAAAATGTAATGTCTTTTTCATGAGTATAAAAATAGGTCAGGTGCACTGACTCATGCCTATAATCCCAGCACTTCGGGAAGCCAATGTGGGAGGATCGCTTGAGATTGGGAGTTTGAGACAGCCTGGCAACATAGCAAGACCCCATCTCTAGAAATATTAGAAAAATTAGCTGGGCTTGGTGGTGTATGCCTGTAGTCCCAGCTACTAGGGATGCTGAGGTTCACTTGAGCCCATTGAGCCCAGGAGGTCAAGGCTGCAGTGATCCATGATTGTATCTCTGCATAAGACCCTGTCTCAAAGAAAAAAAAAAGCAGTATTTGGTCATTACAGAATATTTGGAAAATGTAGGGAAGTACAAAGAAGAAAAACCATATTTGTAACAGCACTAATTGGTGATAACCTCTGTTAACGTTTTGAAGTACATACATGATATCAACCTAAAATAATGGTACAGAGGCAGTCTCTCCAAGAAAATAAAAGAGTTTATTTGGAAATATGCAGGGAATTGCAATCTGGGATATGCATGCGATGATGGATCATAAGCATATCCAGAGAGGCAAAAGAATAAAAGGGTTTTTACAGGTAAAATGAAGAGGGTTACATAAGTTGTTTTGAAATGACTATCCGTAGTTACAAGTTTCAATAACAAGGGTGGCATCAATCCAAGCAAGGTTGAACAGATAGTTGCTGGTAGGTATAATTTTAGAAGTATTTTTTTGTGTAAGGTTGTGGTGGCCTTTGTGCAATGTTGTGGTTTTTGTAGTCTTTTGTGATAGTTCATGTTATTAGGCAAATATCTGTGAGGACACTCCCCCCAGCCTCGCAGAAATTCATGGCCTCCTGAATCCATTTTGTGAAGATTTGGAAATAAGTAACTCTAATTTCATTCTGATGACTTTCACAATATTTATCAATACATAGAAAGGTAGATATAGATATATGTAGACACGGTTCTGTACGGTAGGTTTTACCTACTTTTTAATATAATTTTGTAAATATCTTCCCATATCCTTAAATATTTTTAAGATGCTGATTACTGCTTCACAACATTCTGTAGCTGAATTATTGTTAAGTTAGCCATTTCCCCACTATTGGATATTTGACTCATTTTAAAATCTTCCCTATTATAAATAAAGGTGCTACACACATCCTTGTACATAAATCCTTGACAATTTTCTTGGGATTATTTCTTTAGAATAAATTATTGCAAGACAATTATTGGGTCCAAGGGTGTAAATCTTTTCTAGTTGTTTTCACACAATGCCAAATCGACTCCCAGGAAGGTTGTGGTGATTCATCATCTCACTTGTGATGAATATGAGTGACTGTTTTCCCTTTTTGTCTTGAAACTTTCTACTCTATTCCCATTATAATGTCATCGAATACATTTCCATGATAATACCCCTCTCTAGTTTTCCTTGTATTTCTCCTTGTTTTTTGTCTCTTTGGGGGAGTTTATATTTCTATAACTGTCCCTTAAGGTTGAAACTCCCTATAGTTATATCCTTGGTCCACTGCCTTTCTCACTCTGTTATTCCCTACTTCAATAGTTTCAACTATCTCCACTATACTAAAAAATTCCTGAATAAACAACACCAGACTTGGTCTCGCTCCTGAATTTTAGACTCATGTATAGAACCATCTGTAGGGCATCTCTTTTCTGTTATCCTACAAATAACTGACAACTAAACCTGTCAAAAAGATGAGTTGCTAGTACAGCCAGCCAAGGAATCACCCAAACTTAAAACCTGGGAGGCATATTTGCCTTTTCTGTCTTGGTCAATTCCACCACTACAGCCCCGCCTCCCTTCACAGGGAGAGACTTTCGGTTGCCACCTACCTGAGTAGATAATATATTAAGGAGTAGTATTCTCAAATTTCTCATTTTTCTTCTTGTTTGAGAGAGAAACATTTGGTGGATTTTGTTGTTGGTCGAAGTTCATAGGGCTTCATTGTGATGTTGGTGAGCTCTAGGCACGTTTGCCTTTGTGGGCCACTTCCTCCATAAAAAAATGAAAAGTTATATTTTATGACTGCATTGGTATAACTATTAATATAATCCAGGCTAGATTCATTATTATATATTTAGTTTTATTATTATTTCCTTTTTCCTTCTCATTTTAAGAGAAATTAAAACATTGGTGTAGGTTCTTAGGAAATACCCTGGGCCCTAGGCACTGTGCCTACTGTGACTAGTGGATAAATCAGTCTTATTCATAACACGTGGTAAAGACTCTCAGAAGTCTTGCAAAAAGAACGTCTGTTTACTTTTGTTTTCCTTAGCATTTTCAGAGTTTTTCTTATAGGGCCCTATTATCACCTCAAAGCACACTGGTATTCTATAGAACACAGTTTAGAATTCACATTCTCCACTCTCAAACTGCAATGATAATCACTTTGCAGAAAGGTAAATAGTAATACAAAATCAAGTTAATTAGAATAGGCTGTGGTTGAGATCTCTGAATTAGCTGTAAAATACTCATAAAAGCTTCTTGAAGATGTTTTATAGAGTAGGCAAACACACTACATTCTCACATATAGTTCATATTAACATAGGGAGTATATGATGATTATATTTTATTAACACATCTTTCTAGTACATAGGAATGGCAATATATCATTAACTCACTCTTTTGCTTAAGCTAATCAAATAAAATTAGATGTCTATAAAACTAGATTCCTAACTCATTTTCAGAAGATGGCTAATAGAAATTTCATGAATTAGAAATGATAGTATTCATTGCATATAATGACTACTTTAAAAAGTGACCCCATTCTCTATGTTTTTATGATTCTTTGCACATATTGATATGAAACAATCAGCAAGTATCTGAAATGCCTTTAGTAACTAACTGTCAGTATGCCTTTTAAGAAGAAGGATTTGTTATGAGTATCAACAGAAAAACCTGGGGCATTATCTGAGGTCTGAAATAAGAGCCATGCCTGCAGATTCGGAGAAACATCTCTTTTTCTAAGGGTATAAGTTAGTTGATAAAGAAACAGATGCCACCTCAGAGCTACACACATCCTCTATATATTTGACTTAAGAAGTAGTTAGGTTCAACAACATTCATTGGTTGCCTTCTTTGTGCTAGGTACTAGGCATAAATGGATATGGCCCCTGTGGGTTAAGAGCTTAATTCTAATATGTAAAACAGCACATTTTTAGATCAGTGATGGGAAGTATGTATAGGGTTTATGGAAGCATATGGAGGCAGCAAAGGGAGATGTTGGGTAGGCACCTAATCCCGCCTGTGTGAAAAGGAAAGTGAGAAAGAAGGTGGGGTCATGGATGTGCTTATTAAATGAGGGCGAGGAGAGGAGCAAAGGACAAAAAACAATTCCTAAAGGAAGGTGTGCTTGAAAAATGGGTTATACTCTGTTTTGCCTTCCTGTATAAATATAAAGTAAATAGAATAACTTGGAGCATGCAGATAGCAAGGATTCATGTTCTATTGAACAAATAATTTGAAATTGTGGAATGAGAGATATGAAGAGCTGTTATGTGTGAGTTGATTTGCTTGTCTGTACAGCAAGAAAATCTTTTCAATATTTGGTGTGAAGTCCAAAGATTAGTTATAAATTTACAATAATCAAATCCCTTTCTGATCTATACTTTTGTAGAGCTCCTGTAGTATATTGCCAGGTGATGATTCAGGATATGATAGGCTTATGCCACAGTGACAGACAAACAAAAATCTCAGTGGCTCAGTACAAGATTTACGTTTTGCTCACAAAGCCTAATGTGAAGATAGAAACTTTCCAACATAAATGCTCTCCATGAGATGACAGAGATGCAGGTTATTTTGATCTTCCATCTCCATAAACTCAACGTGAGGCTTCCTCTAAAATTGCTGTGGCAAAGGAAGAGAACCTTGGGAGGTCAAACATTGGTTATCAAATACTTTGGTCTAGGAGTGACACCTAGTATTTTTTCCCACAGTCCATTGACCAGAACTAATTATGTGGTCTTATTAAGGTATAACCCTCCCCTATATGTGGATGGAGAGCAAAACTGGGTATAGGGGAACACAGACATCTTTACCACACCAATCTTTAGAAAGTAATGTCTTTTTTTTTTTTTTTTGAGACAGAGTCTCACTGTGTCTGGAATGCAGTAGCATGATCTCGGCTCACTGCAACCTCTGCCTGCCGGGTTCAAGCGATTCTCCTGCCTCAGCCTCCCGAGCAGCTGAGATTACAGGCGCCCACCACCACGTCTGGCTAATTTTTTGTATTTTTAGTAGAGACAGGGTTTTGCCATGCTGGCCAGGCTGGTCTCAAACTCCTGACCTCAAGTGATCCACCCACCTCGGCCTCCCACAGTGTTGGGATTACAGGCATGAGCCACTGCGCCAGGCTGAAAGTAATGTCTTTTTTGCCTACTCAAAGGCTGAACTCTCTGAATCAATAAAAGCTGATTGTTACTCTTTTCAAAAAATTAAAACAATAGAGTCAGATTGTTAACATTTTCTATTTGAATTTTGAAGTAGTTAGTTAACTGCTTATGTATAGTTTTAAGCTTAAAATTAATGTCAGCATTTAGAAATTAACAAGTTTTTTATCAGAAAGTTAAGGTCAATAGGCACTATGAGTATCAAAACGTCTTAGCATAATATAATAGTCAATATTTTTTATAGTGATCTCGATTTCTAGATTTAGACTTCTGAAAGTTGGAGTAGCCTTATCAAGATCAACAGAGATACTTGCTAAAAATGAAGATTCGGAACCCCACTTACAGAATGTGGCTCTCTGGAGGTGGGGATAACTATGCTGGCTGATACTTGAGAACCACTGACTCAAAGGAAGCAGATGATCAATGCTGGGGAAAGGAAATAGGCTTTTTCGAAACCCAGCTGTTGAGTAGAGCTTGCCTTGAGGCTTTCCTGCTTGGAAGCAAGAAAATATGTTTTGACTCATCTTAGTTCTAATCAGGAGAAATCTCAAAGAGCGGGACTCTTATGGAAATACCCCAGCTATCTATTCAAAAGGCAGACCCTTTTGTGCTTGGAGCCCTTGGATCTAGTTTGAACTCAGAGCTGATTCAAAAATCTTGCATTTTTACTCTGAGTTTTTCATTTTCACCTCTTGTCTTTTCTAGGTAGCCTTGTTCCCTAAGGTGATCTCACTTACTCTCATTGCTTTACATATCTTATATATGCTAACTCTTTACAAATGTCTACCTCTAGACTAAGCCTTTTCGCTAACTCTGGACTAGTCTCTCCTCTACATCTCCACTCAGACGGCTAGTAGGCTTTTCAACATTAACACGTCTAAAACTGATCTCCTGATAGTCTTTCCCCAAACAAGTTCTTCCCATGAATTGACTTTGCATCTCAGTTTACGGAAACTTCATTCTTTGTTAGTTCAGGCTAAAGTTTTTGGAGTCGTAATTGACTTTCTTTTATCTCACACATACCATCCAATCTACCAACAAATCCTCTCCACTTTACTTTCAAAGTACACCCAGGGTATGACCACTTCTCGCCTACTGTCTGTCTTCCAGTCTGAACAACTAGTATCTCTTACCTGGCTTGATGCAATAGCCACCAAGATGGTCTGTCTGTTTCTTTTTGCTCAAGTCCCCTTTAGTCTGTTCTCAACATGGCAGCCAAGTTGATGCTGTTAAAACATTATGACAGATCGTATCTGCTCCTGTGCTCAAAATCCTCCAAAAAGCTCCACACATCACTCAGAAGAAAAGCCAAAGTTCTTACTTTAGCCTGCAAGGCCTTGCATGATCTTTTCTCCTTTCCAACTTTATCTCCTTCTATACTATCCCTTACTCACTCATTTAAGACACACTAGGGGCTGGGTGTGGTGGCTCATCCCTGTAATCCCAGCACTTTGGGAGGCAGAGGCGGGTGGATCATGAGGTCAGGAGTTCGAGACCAGCCTGGCCAACATGGTGAAACCCCGTCTCTACTAAAAATACAAAAATTAGCCAGGTGTGGTGGTGCATGCCTGTAGTCCCAGCTACTCGGGAGGCTGAGGCAGGAGAGTTGCTTGAACCTGGGAGGCGGAGGTTGCAGTGAGCCAAGACCATGCCATTGCACTCCAGCCTGGGCAACAGAGTAAGACTCCTTCTCAAAAAAAAAAAAAAAAAAAAAAAAGACACACTAAGCTTTTGTTTAATTCCTTGAACACACAGTCAATGTCTCCCCTCAGGATCTTTGTATCTGATTCCAACTGCTTGGATAATTTCCTATAGATATTTCCTGGTCATCCTTCAGGTATTTGTTCGAAGGGCATTTTCTCCATGAGGTCTTCCCAGTCCACTATACCTAAAATGTTACCTCCTCCAAATCCAGCATGTTATATTACCTTTTCTTTCTCATTAGCACGTGTCACTACCTAAGGCACTATATTTTATTGCTATCTTGTTTGTTATCTGCCTCTAGATCGAATTTTAAAACTCATGAAAGCGAGCATTTTTTCGTTTTGTAACTGATGAATTTCAGCATCTAGAACAGTGGTTAGCGCATACAGTCATTCAATAAATGTTTCTTGAAATAATGAATGGATATTTATCTTTTAATGATATCCACTTCTTGATTCATACAGTTATGAGGTCTGTATTTTATAGATGTCTTCGTGAGCTGCTGTTTATCATGGCTTCTTATATATCTTAAACTGAAACTTTTCACTCAAAATTGCTGAGTTGTCAAGAATAATGCAGAGCCAAGTGACAGAAAGTGGACATGATTACTAGAGTTTTGGCTCCCACGGGGAGAAAACTCCAGGAAGATAGGCTAGAGTGAAAAGAATGGGATGAAGAGTTCATGCAAATATGAAGATATGTGGCTCTGGTGAGCAGCCTCTAAAATGGCTTCCTGTGATCCCTACTTCTAGATATTCAAGAGAAATCTCTCCCATCAATGTTGGCTGAACCTAGTGACTCACTTCTAACAAATAGAAAATAGCAAAAGTGATGGCATGAGATTAGGCTACAAAATGATTTTGGCTTTTCTGTTGGATGTCCCGCTTGCTCTCTCTTTTCACTCTGATTAAGCAAAATGCCATATTATGAGCTGCCCTCTGGAAAGGCCCATAGAGCAAGGAACTGAGGAAAGCCTCCCACAACAACCAGTGAGGGACTGAGTCCTTCAGGACAACTACCTGTGAGAAGTGAATCCTTCCAACAACCAGGGTGAGCTTGGGAGCATAACCTTCCCCTTTGGAGTCTTGAGATGGCTGCATACCTTGATTGCAGCCAGAGAGACCTTGAGCTAGAGGACCCCGCCATAGCACTCCAAGCTTCCTGGCCCACAGAAACTATGAGATAGTAAGTATTTGCTGTATTAAACCACCAAATGTTGGGGTAATTTTTTATGCAACCACAGATAACTAAATACAGTGGCTGCACAGCAAAATGTATTTCACACAAGAATATTTTTAAGGAAACATGAAAGTGTGGTGATAGGTGAGTGATAATTTTGAGCGGGGACCTATGGTAATAGTCATGTTTATTAAGCTGGTTATATTTATTCATTCATTTCAAAGTATTTTATTGAGAACCAACTTAGTGACAGGCAGAATTCAAGATGATGGAATAAAGTAATCAATAAGTATCTATTTTAATGAGGTTTATAATTTAGTGTTGGTGGGGGTGACAAGGACAAACATCAAGTCCAGAAATAAATGATTAATAATTTCAGTCAAAAAAATAAAATTGATGCTGTAGAGACAGACCAGCCATGGAAGTGGGGCATCTTTGTTGAAGATCTCTTGAGTTTGTAACACTGAGTTGAATTCTGACTGATGAGGAAGATGCTACAATGGGAAATTCTGTGGACAAAACATTATAGGCAAAAGAAATGGCAAATACGGAGTTGGGAATTAGTGTGGAGATGGGGGATAGATCATGTAACTTGTTTGTATTTTATTCTAAATGCCATGGAAAGCCCTTAGAGAGTAGAAATAAGGGAGTTGAACATTCCATTTTAAGCCTTTGGATGGTCATTCTGACTTCTGTATGAAGAATGGATTGTGGTGGATTAGGGTTAAGGGAAAAAGAAATAGTTACAGGGTAATGAAGGTGAGAATGGTATTACGTGGATACAATATGTGGTTGGTTGGTCTACTCACCAGGGCTTAATCACATCCCAGTTACTTTTATAGACAATGGAGCACTGACCCACCATGCTCTTACACTAGGGAAGACAGACTGCTGCTGACTCACAAATGGGTCGCATTTACATCCTTGTCAGTATAACCCAACTGATGGGCAAATTGGTTGCGCATGGGGAGATGTTAGGGGAATAAAAAGAAGCCAAATTTGCAGTCAACTCATTTGTTCCTGGGACAGGGTCATGTTTACTTCTGTTAATCAAAAGAACATTTAAAGATATATTAGACAGTGTTTGTGCAAAGAACAACTCCTCATTGCTCAAGAAGAAAACGCAACTTTGATGATTTTATAACAGCTGTTAACATTTTCTTTTTGTGTTTATAAGTAAGATTTTTATGACCTTGAAAACTAGCTTCACAGCACTATAAACCAATTAAATGTTAAGCATAGTCTCTCTTAACCTTGGTAATAAGTATTCCACATAGAAGTGGCTTTTCAACTCCCTTTATGCTGATTAAGACTCCAAGTAAAAAACAAATTACAAGAAGACATATACTCTGTTGATTGGCCTTATCAACTTCCATAAGAAAGAAAGAAAATGATGAAATGTATCGTGGGATGAAAAAGTTGAAATGCTTACAGCTGTTACTTTAACAAACTGCTAGCTTGATGCTGACTCACAGTTTAAAGATCTATGGAAAATAAAGGAGAGAGAGGTGAAGTAGGAAGTGGGCACAAATTTAGCAACTCACCAGGGTTCTTGAGGAATCATAAAAAATGATAACGTCTGGTTAACATGATTTATTGCAAGTTTGGCAGTCAAGTAGGGACCACCGAGAACAAAATAGCCTCTTAACTATAAGTGTGCCTTTGTCTGAATGTGTGTATGAGGAGGGATGGATGGTACAACATTAGTTTCCGAAGTCTACCACAACAAATTGTCACAAACTTCATGGCTTAAAGCAACAGAAATTGATTCTTTCACAGTGCCAGAGGCCAGAAGTCTCAAATCAAGGTGCCAGCAGGGTTGGTTCCTTTTGGAGGTTCTGAGGGAGAATCTGTTTCATGCCTCTTTCTCACCTTCTGGCAGCACTAGCAATCCTTGTCATTCTTTGGCTTATGGACATATAATTAGAATCTTTGCCTCTGTCTTCACATGGCTTTTTCCCCTTTGACTCTTGGAGTTTCAAATATCCCAATATTTTCTCTAACAAAGACAATCATTCACTGGATTTAGGGCCCACTCTAAATCCTGTGCGGCCTTATCTTGAGATTCTTAACGACATCTGCAGACTCTATTTCCAAATAAGGTCATATTCAGAGGTACTGGGGGTCAGGACTTGAACATACCTTTTTGAAGGATACAATCAAATCCCTTACGGATGGCATATAAAAAGTGGCTAAGTCTGAGAATCATGACGCAGACTCATAATTTTTTGGAGTGAGTTGATAAGCTTTTTCTGATTATAGAATAAAATAATTTTTATATTGGAATATTTAGAAAATAGAAGTACCAAGAAGAAAATCAAACATATGATTTAATTTTTCAAGACTATTTTTTAGTCCAATAGAAAACAGCCATTTTTAAGTGACTACTAAAATAACTATTGTAAGGTCAGTTTTTTAAAACCAAAAATTGAACTATAACATGTATAACACAAGTCCATAATTCATAACTGTACTGATGAATTATCATAAAGTAAACACATCCTTGTAAACACAATTTATATCAAGAAATTGAACACTATCAGTATCCCAAAGTCTTCCTTGTCATTTCACTTACTACCTGTATCCCTGAGTATAACCACAATCCTGACTTCTAATACTCTATAACATATTCATTCCTGTTTTTAAACTGTGTATAAATAAATCATAGAGTATATTACTTTTTTGAATCTGGCTACTTTTATTCAATATTATATTCACATGTTGAAAATGGCAAACATCCTCATTGCTTAAAATAATTCACTGTGTGGATATGCTACAATTTTCACCCATTCGATTGTTAATGTACATTTGAATTGCTTCTAGATTTGGCCATTATGAATAGTGCTGCTGTGAACATTACTGTACTTTGTCTGTGGTGCATGTATACTCACATTTATTTTAGATATGCATGTGAAAGTGGAGTAGTTGAGTTATAGAGTATGCATATGTTCAGTTTTAGTAGATATTGCTAAACCCTTTTCCAAAGTGGTCATATTAATCAACAGTCTCACCAGTAGATTAACAGTCTCACCAGCAGTGTTTGAGAATTTGAATTGTTCCACATCCTTAGCAACACTTGGTATTGTCAGTCTTTTAAAATTTTAGCCAATTTGGTAGGAAACTAAAGTAAATTATGATATGATTTGAAGCAATTGATAACATTAGAAATGAGACTATATTTTATTTTGATAGTAGGAATATTCCTCTTTAAGGAGTCAGAATTGATTCGATCTATTGGAAAGTAATACCAGTTGACCCTAGAGTGAACGATATTTTCACCATCATAGTAACTTTTCAGTGTTTATCTTTTACAATATTTATTTATTTATTTATTTATTTATTTAAGGCAGAGTCTCGCTCTGTCGCCCTGGCTGGAGTGCAGTGGGCGTGATCTCTGCTCACTGCAATCTCCGCCTCCCAGGTTCAAGCGATCTTCCTTCCTCACCCTCCCAAATCGCTGGAATTACAGGCGCCTGCCACCACACCTGGCTAATATTTTGTATTTTTAGTAGAGACGGGGTTTCACCATGTTGGCCAGGCTGGTCTTGAACTCCTGACCTTAAGTGATCTGCCCGCCTTGGCCTCCCAAAGTGCTGGGATTATAGGCGTGAGCCACTGTGCCCGGCCAGGATCTTTTACAATCTTCAGATTAAGCATGAAATACTTAAATATGACCGCAGGTTGGAAGGAAAATGTTAGCAGCCCTGACAATATAAAGTAAAGGGAAAAAGATGAAAGGTGGGAGGTGGATGGAAGAAATGGAAAAAAATGTGGGGTCCTTGTAGCTTCATCCCACAAGGTGGATAGTAAAGAGATAGCAGATGAAAGTTAATAAAACATGAAAAAGAGTTTAATGTACATTCTTTAAAGATATAAAAGCAAGGAGTAGAAAAAATAAGAATAATAACATAATTCAGATAAATTTGAAGGGAGATATGGGTTAGGTGGAATTTTTGTATACTATTTAAAGTTACAAAATCTGTCCATAGAAAATCTTCAAGATAACCCAACTATGAAAAATACAAGAGATAGAGGATTTGGGTTAATACAATTGAACGAAGTTCAATCTACAAGCCAAGGAAAGAGGCCTCAGAAGAAATCCACTCTGCCAACACCTAGTCCCAAAATTCCAGCCTCCAGAACTGTGAGAAAAGTAATTTCTGTTGCATAAATCAGTAAGTCTTTGGTACTCTGTTATAGCCTCAGAAAACTAATAATTAATATGCTAAGGGCTCTAAAGGAAAAAGTGAGCAGCATGCAAGAAAAGATGGATAATATAAGCAGAGAGATGAAAACTTTAAAAAGGAATAAAAAAGAAATGCTAGAAATTAAAAAAACAGAATTGAAGAATATGTTTGATGTACTCATCAGTAGAGTGGACATAGCTAAGGAAAAAAAGTAGTGATCTTAAACGTCCATGAATAGAAATTTCTCACACTGAAAAGCATAAAGAAAAAATAATGGAAAATAGGGAATAGAATATCCAAGAACTGTGAAACAATTACAAAGAAAGTAACAAATACATAATGGGAACAGCAGCAGAAGAAGACAAAGAGAAAGGGGTAGGAGAAATATTTGAAGTAATAACGGCTGAAAATTTTCAAAAATCAATGACAAACAGCAAACCACAGATCCAGGAAGCTCAGAGAACACTAAGCATGATAAATACAAAAAATCTACACCAAGGCATATGTGCTAATTTCCTAGGGCTTCTGTAAAAAAGCACCACAATCTTGGTGGCTTAAAGCAACAGAAATTTATTGCCTCACAGTTTTGAGGTTTTGAAGTTGGAAATTAAAGTTTTGGCAGGGGCCTTGTTCCCTCTGAAACTTATAGGGCAATGCTTCTTGCTTCTTCCCAGCTTCTGGTGGTTTGTTGGCAATTTTTGGTGTTATTTGTTTTGCAGGCTGCATACATGACATTCTACCTGTGTATCTCTGTGTCTTCATATGGTTGTCTTCTTATAAGAACACCAAACATATTGGAATAAGGGCTCACTCTACTCCAATATGACCTCATCTTAACAATCCTATTTCTAAATAAGGTGACATTCTCATAGAGAGTGGAATGATGGACAATGGACACTAGGAAGGTTGGAGGTATGGGGTGGATGATGAGAAATTACTTAATGGGTACAATGTCCACTATTCTGGTAATGGATGTCGTAAAAGCCCTGACTTGACCACTACACATGTAACACAATTGTACTTGTACTCTATAAATGTGTATATAAATAAAAACAAAAATAAAATTTAAAAATGTACAAAGAAAGCATGCTTAAAAAATAAAGTAAAAGCTTCATGTACCCAGCAAAAACAATAATCACAATAATAATGTCAAGTTCCAAGGTACTGAGGATAAAGACTTCAACATATCATTTTTCTGGGCAAAGGGAGACACAGTCCAACCTATAACATTATAGCATGTTCAAAGTGCAAAAAATCAGACAAATAAATAAATTTTTAAAGAAGCCAGGGATTGGTGAAAAACCAACTTATCTATAGAGGAACAATAATAAGAATTAGATTTTTCTTCAGAAACTATACAAGCAAAAAGAGAGTGGAGTAAACTGTTTTAAATGTTCAAAAAGTGCCCCCCTCAACCTGTTATTGTGTACTCAAAAATGAACTTTCAAAAGCAAAGGAGAAATATTTTTAGACAAAAATTGAGGGAATATGTTACCAGGAGGCCTGCATTGTAAGAAATGCTAAAAGAAACTTTCTGTAGAATGCAAATCAAAACCACAATGTGTAACCACTTCACTCTTGTAAGAATGGCCATAATCAAAAAATCAAAAAATAATAGATGTTGGTGTGGATGTGGTGAAAAGAGAACACTTTTGCTCTGCTGGTGGGAATGTAAATTAGTACAACCGCTATGGAAAACAGTATGGAGATTCCTTAAAAATCTAAAAGTAGATCTACCATTTGATTTAGCAATCCCACTACTAGGTAACTATCCAGGGGAAAAGAAGTCATTATACAAAAAGATACTTGCACATGCATGTTTATAGCAGCACAATTTGCAACTGCAAAAATATGGAACCACCCCAAATGTAAATGTCCATCAATCAATGAGTGGATAAAGAAAATGTGATATATATACATACCATGGACTATTACTCATCCATAAAGAGGAACAAAATAATGGCATTCACAGCAACCTGGATGGAATTAAAGACTATTATTCTAAGTGAAGTAACTTGGGAATGGAAAACCAAACATTGTATGTTCTCACTCATATGTGAGAGCTAAGCTATGAGGACACAAAGGCATAAGAATGATACATTGGACTTTGGGGGCTCAGGGGAAAGGGTGGGGGTGGTGAGGGATAAAAGAATACACACTGGGTACAGCGTACACTGCTTGGGTTATGGATGCACCAAAATCTCAGAAATCACCACTAAAGAACTTATTAATGTAAACAAACCCTACTGGTCCTCAAAAACCTATTGAAATAGAAAAATTAAAAATTAAAAAAACTTAATGTTTGTGTCATGAGCTGTAGATAAAACTGCTATGAAATTCTGAGCCACACGTTCTGGAAAGCAATTAGTAAAGCAAACTGCTGAAGTATCTCTCTATATATCATTTAAAACACACAAAAAAGGAACTTTCTGTAGAGTAGAAAAATGATATCACTCAGAATCTCAAATCTATATTTAAAAAGAAGAGCACTAAAAAGTAATAAATGAAAGTAAAATAAAATTTTTATTTTTCTTTTAATTAATCTAACAGATAACAGCTTTTTCAAAATAATAATAGTAATAATTGGTGAATATAGCTTATGAATAGGTAAAATGAATGACAGCAATGTAATAAGGGATAAAATGAGAAACTGGATATACTTTGTTATAAGGTACTTATAACACCCATGAGGTGGTAGTGTTATTTGGGATTAGATTAGATTAGTTATAAATGTGTATTGCAAACTCCAAGACAACCTATATTAGTCCAGTCTCATGCTGCTAATAAAGACATACCCGAGACTGGGTAATTCATTAAGGAAAGAGGTTTAATTGACTCACAGTTCAGCATGGCTGAGGAGGCCTCAGGAAACTTATAGTCATGGCAGAAGGGGAAGCAAACATATCCTTGTTCACATGGCAGAAGGGAGAAGAAGAATGAGAGCTGAGCAAAGGGGGATGCCCCTTATAAACCCATCAGATCTCACAAGAATCACTCACTATCACGAGAACAGCATGGAGATAACCACCCTCATGATTCAATTACCTCCCACTGGGTCCCTCGCATGACACATGGGGATTATGGAAACTACAATTCAAGATGAGATTTCAGTGGGGACACAGACAAACCATATCATTCTGCCCCTGGCCCCTCCCGAATCTCATATCCTCACATTTATAAAAACAATCATGCCTTTCCAACAGTCCCCCAAAGTCTTAGCTCATTCCAGCCTTAACCCAAAAGCCCAAGTTCAAAGTCTCCTCTGAGACAAGACAAGTCCTTTCCGCCCATGAACCTGTAAAATCGAAAGCAAGTTGCTCACTTCCTAGATAAAATGGGGGTACAGGCATTGGGTAAATACGACCATTCCAAACGGGAGAAATTGGCCAAAATGAAGGGGCTACATGCCCCATGCCAAGTTTGAAATCCAGGGGCTGTCAAATTTTAAAGCTCTGAAATGATCTCCTTTGACTCCATGTATCATATCCAGGTCTTGCTGATGCAAGAGGTGGGCTCTGTGGCCTTGACCGACTCTTCCTCTGTGGCTTTGCAGGGTATAGCCCACCTCCTGGCTGCTTTCATGGGCTGATGTTGAGTGTCTGTGGCTTTTCCAGGCACACGGTGCAAGCCGTAGGTGGATCTACCATTCTGGGGTTTGGAGGATGGTGGCCTTCTTCTCACAGCTCCACTAGGCAGTGCCCCAGTGGGGACTCTGTGTGGGGGCTGAGACCCCACATTTTTCTTCCACACTGCCCTAGAAGAGGTTCTCCAACAGGGATCTGCCCTTGCAGCAAACTTCTGCCTGGACATCCAGGCCTTTCCATACATCCTCTGAAATCTAGGCGGAGGTTCCCAAACCTCAATTCTTGACTTCTGCATACTGCAGGGCCAACACCACATGGAAGCTGCCAAGGCTTGGGGCTTGCACCCTCTGAAGCAATGGCCTGAGCTGTACCTTGGCCCCTTTTAGCCAAGGCTGGAGTGGCTGTGACTCAGGGCACTAAGTCCAAAGACTGCACACACCAGGGGGCCCTGGACCTGGCCCAGGAAACCCTTTCCCTCCTAAGCCTCCAGGCCTGTGATGGTAGGGTTTGCTGTAAAGGTCTCTGACATGCCCTGGAGACATTTTCCCCATTGTCTTGGTGATTAACATTTGACTCCTTTTTACTTATGCAAATTTCTGCAGCAGGCTTGAATTTTTCCCTAGAAAATAAGGTTTTTCTTTTGAATCACATGGTCAGGCTGCAAACTTTCCAAACTTTTATGTTCTGCTTCCTCTTGAATGCTTCGCCACTTAGAACTTTTTTCCATCAGATACCCTAAATCATCTCTCTCAAGTTCAAAGTTCCACAGATCTCTGGAGCAGGGGCCAAATGCTGCCAGTCTCTTTGCTAAATAAAGCATACCAAGAGTCACCTTTGCTCCAGTTCCTAACAAGTTCCCCATTTCCATCTGAGACCACCTCAGCCTGGACTTCATTGTTAATATTACTATCAGCATTTTGGTCAAAGCCATTCAACAAGTCTCTAGGAAGTTCCAAAATTTCCCACATCTTTCTGTCTTCTGAGTCCTCTAAGTCTTTAGGTAGTTCCAAACTTTCTTTTCCTGTCTTCTGAGCCCTCCAAACTAGTCCAACCTCTGCCTGTTACCCAGTTCCAAAGTTGCTTCTACATTTTCAGGGATCTTTATAGCATACCACACTCTCTGCAGTACCAATTTACTCTATTACTTTTCTCACGCGGCCAATAAAGACATACCCAAGACTGGGTAATTTATAAAAGAAAGAGGTTTAATTGACTCACAGTTCAGCATGGTTGAGGAGGCCTCAGAAAACTTACAATCATGTCAGAAGGGGAAGCAAACATGTCCTTCTTCACATGGCAGCAGGGAGAAGAAGAATGTGAGAGCCATGAGAAGGGGGAAGCCCCTTATAAAACCATCAGATCTTGTGAGAACTCCCTCCATATCATGAGAACAGCATGAAGGTAAGTGCCCCCATGATTCAATTACCTCCCACTGGGTCCCTCCCATGACATATGGGGATTATAGGAACTAGAATTCAAGATGAGATTTGGGTGGGGACACAGCCAAAACATATCAACCACTAACTAAAATTTAAAAAAAAGTATAGTTGACACTCTGCAAGAAGAAAGAAATAATATGGAATGCTCAATTAAAACCCAAAAACACAGAAAAAGAGTGGAACACAAAATAAGAGGAACAAAGAACAAGGACAAAAAGGAAAATGAGGAAAAATATTGTAGATATTAATCTATATAAATAATCACTTTAAATTGTAATAGTCTGAATATAGCAATTAAAAGATAGAGACTATTAAAATGGATTTTACAAAAGATCCAACTAAATGTTGTCTATAAGAAATCTATTTTACATATTAAGGCACAGATAAATTAGAAGTTTCTGGATGGATAAAGATATACCATGTTAACACTAATCAAAAGAAAGCTGGAGAAGCTGTATTAATTTCAGACACAACAGTTTTCAGAGCAAGAAAAATGTTCAGAGATAAAGAGGGGCATTATATATGGATAAAGGAGTCAATTCTCCAAGAAGACACAACAATCCTTAATGTGAATGCACCTAACCACATAACATCAAAATACATGAGGCAAAACCTGGAAGAACTACAAGGAGATATCAACAAATTCATTATTATAGTTGGAGACTTCAGCACTCCTCTTTCAGTAATTGACAGATCCAGCAGGTGGAAAATCAGTAAGGATATAATTGAACTGAACAGCACCATCAATCAACTGGATGTAACTGATATTTATAGACTACTCCATCCAACAACAGCAGAATACATGCTTTTCTTAAGCTAACATGGAACATTCACCAAGATAGACCACAATCTCTGTCATAAAACACATCCTAACAGATTTAAAAGAATAGAAAACATAGAAGTACACTCTCAGACCACAGTGGAATTAAACTAGAAATAAATAACAGAAAGATAACTGGAAAATCCCAAAATATCTGGAGAAAAAACAGCACACTTCTAAAAACCATTCTTATTTTGTAGTAAGAAAACATAATAATACTAGTTAAATAAATAAGCCCATGCTTCAATTCCTTAGGAGCGAAGCACACATTTTCCTCTAACTATCAAGGAGTATTTTCTCTTTCTCCAGAAGAAGTGAAAAGCCACAATTCAAGTTTATCTGGGCCTCTATTGTAAATCACAATTTTCAGTTTCTCATAATTTTATGGAAATTTCTTCTTTGAGGCTTAACTACATACACTTGACCTTAGCCCAGAGGTGATACACAATTTAGAAGCATTCACATTACTAGGGGCACACTAACTTTTCATTTTCAAAGTTATATGTAAAGTGGTAAGCCGACCTAGTGAATCTACATTTAAAATACTTGCCTATGTGCCTCTGGATGAAATATGAGACATTATTTGTAATTATGTGAAGTAGCTCTTTAATCTTTATTTTTTTCTGTTCAGCTCCAAAGGTGTAGCAGTGTAGGAATGTGAATCCTGGAGATAAATTTCAGGGCACGTTTCTGCAATGCTCCAAATCTAACCATTTCAAAATATGATTAGATGGTCAAATCAGTTGCTGCTATGAACTTGAATTATCATCCAGTGTATGCATTTAGAAAGGAAACCAAACAAGGCAAAAGAATTATTTGGTAGTTAATTGCAGAATGGAGGTGAGTATATTATTTAGAATAGGTCTAACTTCTATAAGAACCTACTCCAAATTTCAGAGGCTTAATAAGTTCAGTTCTTGCTAATTCAAACTTCAGAGCAGTTATTTCTGGCTAAAAAGTTCTTTTGGGCAAATTCTCTCTAAGCAGTGACTCTAGGATTGAGATACCTTCCTTCTTATTGATTAGCTTTGGAATCCTCCACTGCAGCCTCTGTATCCAGTCAGATGACAAAAGAAGAGAGCTTAGAAGATCTCATGGAAGATTTTAAGGACATAGCATCCAAATGAGGGTATATAACCTGACCCACAATCCACTGGACAGAACTGGTCACATGGCTTCATCTAGGTGCAAGAGTGATAGGAACATGTTGTCTTTCTGTAAACCCAGGAAAAAATGAAGTGGCCTCATGGATACATACAACTTTTTCTGCCATCGGGGGCAAATATATACAGTTGAAATTGTGACTTATTGTCTGTATTACTGTTGTGCTTAATTAGCTGCGGAATCTCAAACTAGGATCAACCATGTTTTCCTTTTTTTATTTTTTTGAGTTAAAACTACATAGAATGTCAGGGGTCTATAAGGACTCCAAGGGGAAAGTTAAGTGAGACAATGGCACAGCCTCTGTCACTGACAGATAGCCAGGCGATGAATACCTAATGAAGGCCAGGCTCTACAATATTCACTCTATATATTTCAGTTAAAGAATTAGAAATGAGAGAGGCTGTGGGGCACAATCAAGATCATATATTGAGACATTGGTAGATATCGGATTAGATCACAAGCCTTCTGTCTTGTAGCCCAATAAATGACTTTTCACTGACCTAGCTTTCCAAGATGAACACACAAAGCACAATACACAACTTTGCTAGTTAGGAAGAGAGAAGTTGCTTCCCAGTATATTTCTGATAAGACTCAATTTAAGTCACTCCTATTTACTGTAACTTGAAACTTGAAAATTGACTACAATTCCTGAAATAAGGATTCCAAATAAGCAAACTAAAGTTTAGAAGGCAAAACAAAGAATTCAAAAAGAGAATGTTTAAATCTTACCCTGCAAAGTCTGTAAGTATACCTGGTGATTTTGTTGTCAAAGTTTAAGCTTTTACCTATTATGTAACATGTTAAAATTTGAATATGAATTCATCAAAATAAACAATTCCTAAGAAAACAATTAAATTAATGTTTGCTAGATTTTTGAAGAGTACCTGAAAAATTTCTTACTTTCATAATTTAATCATCGCATTAGGTTATTTTGTTTGCTTCTTTTCTCATGCTTTTCAGTGTTTCTGAAATTTTCCAAGAATTAAATTCCTATGCCAATTAAATATGATGCTACTAAAAGACACGATTCAGTCTTTTAATTTTTTATCACGGGAAATGTCATTATACTAAAGTTAGCTTTTTCTAACGAAAAATCTTAAAGATAACTTAAAATTGGAGCAAAATAGTCATTTAAAGCCTTTACCATGAAATTTCAGAACTGGAAAGGACTGTAGAGCTCTCTTACCCTAGCCCCTTAATTTACACACTTACACATTCACTCATTCATTTAACAAAATTGTAATACCTCTCATATGTTGAGCACTGTTCTAGATGTTTAATATCGAGCCACGCACACAGTAAACAACAATACCTGCTTTCATGAGGTTTATATTATAAAGGGGGCAGTGAAATAAATACTAAGCAAACAAGTAAAATAAATAGCATGGTAGATAATGATAAGTAATTTAGAGTTTCAGGGAAGAGAGGGTTTGTGAATTTAAATAGGTGTTCTGGGAAGTTCTCACTAAATTTCCTCAGTAAAGGTATGAAGGATGTTGGAGAGTGAGCCATGTGGATTTTGAAGGAAAAGCATGCCAGGGGAAGGAATTCAATACCAAAGAGTTTAAGTAACTCATTTAAGGTCAAAGAACGTTGGGGCCAGAATCCAGATATCCTAAATCCGAGTTTGATTTTTTAAATAATACACTATGTTATTGATGCCAAATTAATTATAATCAAACAATTAATCATATGTTGGCATTTATTTTATGACTCAGCTCATGTTTATTTATCACCATCTGGGTGTAGAGCATTGTACCAGATGCTCTGGCAGAGGAAGGGAAATTTTCCTCTTTTCATGAACTTTCACATATAGATTCTCATTTAATTCCTACAGTGGCCCTTTGAGGCAGATATTATTATCACTTATAAATGGGCTCAATTAGGTTAACTAACCTGCCCAAAGAGCTCATAGCTAATAAGTGACAATTAGGATTTGAACCCAGTTGACCTACTCCCAAGCACATGTGCCTTCTACCACATCATGCTGCTTAAATTGGACTTTTGCTTCTGCTTGTGTGTATGTGTGTGTTTTAATTTGTTTTGTTTGTTTCACACAGGAAAAATTAGCAGAAGAATGACTATAAGTAATTTCACATTGACATTACTTACAAAATTAAATTAAATCCATCAGTTATTTGGTGATTAATATACATAAATGGAATTCAGTTAGACCCAAAATTGGTCAATTCAGCTCTGGAAAATTGAATACAGAATTCTAAAATGTAGCTCATACTGATTAATCCTGGGTCTTTCTTTGTTTCTACCTTCTTGTGTATTATTTCTTATTTAATTTAAGTTGTATTAATGACTTGTGAGTTGATAATATATTTACATAGCTCGAAATTCAAAAGTTCCAAAGGGAATGTGAGGAATCATCTCTCTGCCCCACTACTCTCCAAGCCATCCAGCTCTCCCTAGAGTAAATTAGTTTTTTCTCAAATTTCTTATGCAGACTTCTAGAGTTATATTAAGCAAACATTCAGCTTCTTGGATGTAACTGGAATTTCCAAGATCAGATCAGAGCGAGACCAAGAGAAAGAAGATGTGACTAATACTTGTTCCAGTCCACTAGACAAAAGCCACGCAGAGAAATAATAGCTCATACTTCATTGAATTTTGGACTTCTCTGTTCTCCCACACTTTATATACTACCCTCAGATTAATCTCCTTAAAGTGCATCTCCAGGCATGTCAGCCACCACTCAGTCTTCCAATGATCTCTCACTTCTTCCCTGCTCCACAAAGTACGAACTTCCCAGTTTGGAAGCATTGCCCTATGTTTCCTGTCTTACTTATCTGTAGTTTTCTCTTTTTACTCTCCTCTCCAGCATCTCCTCTAAAGTTTGCTTGGCACGCAGCATGAATTTGTACTAAAATACCTAAAGAATTCCAAGTTCGTTTAGTGCAATCAGTTGACTTTTTCACCTTAGAGGCCATCTAGGGGATAGAAATCCTCCATCTGGGTCACCAGTTCACGACTGGGGGGTTTCCTTGGATGTGAGATTTTTCTCTGCTAAAACCGGGAAACTCCCAGGCAAACCAGGATGAGTCAGACTCCCTGTCTGAGATACTGGTAAGGATGCTATTTTGGGGCTTTTCAAGACACTGGGAGAGCATCATGAACACTTCCTGCTTTGATCTGTAGACAGAAAACACCAGGGGAGATACAACAGGGGTGGCGCAGAGAATTGTGATCTTGTGGGAGCTGCTATCACCATGCTTTCTCCATGAAAGAATGTCGGCGTTATGCTGCCATGGATGATGTTCTTACCCCAATCTGTTCCTTAAAAATTACCTGCTTTTCCAAAGCCTTCTTTTTCTTTGGCACTATGTGACACGGATGCTGTATTATTCTCTAGCGCTCTCCCTGGATCATAGTTAGGCAAACACTGTATGTATAATAACGGGTTGTAGTGGATGCTGAGTCGCACACATATTCCTTTCACCGTGATGCTGCACCCATCCCCCAGATGCTCAGCGTATTGGCTGCTAATGGTCTACAGCTGCCCTCTTCTCTATAGAACTGTAGTCACTGGTTTCTGCCAAAAGGGAGCTTCGTTCAGGAAGTTATATATCTTCCATCCCCCAGGGACAGCTAATGACCAATGATGGGCTGACACAAAGTTATAAAAATTGGCTCTCTTACCACAGGGTGGGCTAACCAGTTTGTGTCTTCAGAGTCCCCCATGGACCATATTGAAACGAGCCTCCAGCCGAGACCACTTCCTTGCTTAGCTTTCTTACTGTGCCCTGTGTTGCTTCCTTTACTTCCTTTTTTTCGCTGAAAACACTCCTTCACCATATCACTTGGTAGGTGATCAAATCATCCTGGTTTGCCCAGAACTTTCCTGGCTTTCGCGCTGAAATTACCACACCCTGGGAAATCCCTTGGTCCTAGGACAACAAGAACAGTTAGTTGGTCCCTACACTTAAGCAGGAATCTCAGTCTCAGGCTTTGCCTCTGCAGAACCTGACCTAAGACAGCAGCTTACATCATGTATCAGCTGGGATTGTGAGTGTGCCGTAAGCTACTAGATAGTGCTATTGGTGGTCTGCTGTTAGGAATTGAGCAAGATCCTACTAGTCCGTAGAATACTCTTGTGTGAGTTAGAGTAAGGCATCCCTCTTGTCTAAAGCAATCCCACTGGCATCTGGCTTGGTACACTGTAGTTGCCTTTGCCTTGTTGTGGAGAAAAAGGCACCTTTTCCTCTGGGAGAATGCAATTGCCTGCTGGGTGCATGGCTTGGCAAGAGGAGTGCAGCCTGGATTTCATCTCTCCTCATCAGCGGGGCTTGGTGCCTTTGTGCAGTGCACGTGCTGAATGGCCATACATGGCAGTCCTGGAGTAAAGCAGTAAGGGCAGCCCTGATCCATGTACCATTTTCTCTACATCTTCGGTCTTCCTGCCATGTAAATTATATCAGAGGACAAATTCAGATATGCAAGAGTATTGAGGTTTGCTTGGACTCTAGTCTACAGAAAAGGAGAAACAGAGATGCAATGTCAGGAGAAAGTGAAAAGAATACAAGTCCAGGAAAAAAAAAAAGAAAGAAAAAAAAGAAAAGAAAACCAGTCTAGGAACGTCAGTGTCACCACCTGTTTTCTATAGATAAGAGCATGAATTCTATTCTTGATTTTTTCCAGGAGAGACTCAAAATATTTGACACTAAATTGACAACACAGGGCTACTAGCATTCTCAGACAATGGCTAGCAAAGAGAAATAAAACAGGTTTTAAAGCTACTGTTGTCAAGCGCTCAGATAATACTAACTCATTTAGGTCTAGAGATCACTCCTGGAGTGGAATCAGTTTAAGAACCATCTCACTGCAACATATGAACCTGTTTCGATAAATTTTTCCCATCTTCATGGGTTCTAAGTTATGAAGAAAAGTAACTTTTTCTTTTTTTTTTGGTATACTGACCATAGGAATGCAGGGAAAGGATATCCTTTAAAGTAACAGAAATTGTAATGACCCAGGAGTGATCAAGGCTATAGGAGGAGTGAATTTTGCTTTATTTCCAGTTGAGCTTTACAGAAAGAGTTAGTCTTTGCCAAATGTCTTTCAAAGGCTTTGTGTTAAAACCACATCCAGTAATATTGTAACTGGATTATTACCCACCTACTATCAGGCCAGTGTTTCAGAAAGGACTGACACAATCTCATGGACAGTTAAAGTCAGAACTCCTCCCCTGACATCTCCAAAATCAATATTGGCTGACAGGAGTTATTTAACTTGCGGAGGTGGAGTAGAGAGAACTGACTTAAGGAATCACTGTCCAGTGTGTCAGGAAACAGTAGCAGAATTAGATGTGTTGGAAAAAATTTAAAGACAGGACACATGGAGGGTGTTCTTTGCTTCTAAACTTGGTAAGCAGGGCATGGGGCGTCTTAGAAAATGCAAATACTGTTTATGCAATATCCGAGTGAATATTGTACAGACTGTTTCCTCCAATCTCTGGATCCTTTGATATTCCAAAGAAATTTTCCAGGAAAATTAACTACGGGGAAAAACTAAAAGCAAAGCAGAGCTTCCATCATTTTAGCTTTCTTATATTGCTTTCTTGGTCCTGAAGATGGCTGCAGATCCTCACTGTGTCTCTTTTCCCAGGAGAGAATCCTGTTCCTTCCAAAGAACCAACCCAGTTAATGAATGTCTTCCAATGTGATTTTGTTTGACATTATTTTCTTGATGAGAGCTAGGAAGCTGAGGCTTACTGTCACCTACAATGCTACTCACTCTAGGAATAGATAGAGAACCTCACCCAGTTGCTTGCCTCATGAGCAGAGTCCCTCTTCCCAGCAGCTCAGTTATAGGGTGATTCACTTCAGACAATCAGACCCACCTAATCCTGGCATCGTCACCCAGGCTCTGGCTACACATTGGTATCACCATAAACTGCTAAGGCAAATCAAATCCTCGCTTTGCTGTAGTTCCAATGACTATAAATATGCTTCTGGTATCTGGTAGAATAGGGCCCAAAACCAGAGATATGGCATTGCTACATTTTATTATAGGTTACTATAATAATAGTAATTTTATGATAAGCTACTATTGATTTTTAAAATTCTTGTGTTTTACAGGGATACGTTTACAGTTATGATGTCCCCAGGCCTCTGAAGTCGCACTATCTGGATCTCAATTCTGACTCTGCCACTTTGGGCCGTTCTTCAGTTTCCTTGTGCTCCAACTTCAGATTCTTCAAATGTAAAATGGGATAGTGCATGTAAGATATTTATCACAATATCTTACTTATAACAAGTGTTTCAGGTATATTTTCCAACCATCATATTTTTGAGGGCTAATATTTACTGAACCACCCTAAAGAAGCTCAGGTATGTTATCAGGGAATACATTTTTGATGCCCCAAGTGTGTTTGGATCTCTCTCTAATATGTCCATACTGCATCATGTGTTTATTTAATGAATTAATTAAGCACACTTTTATTGAGTGCCTTCCTTGTATCAGATCCCATACTAGGCAGCGGGAATATAGCACAAAAGAAAATACCTTCTCTCTGTTCTTACAGACTTATGGTCAACAGAGGTCACAGTTAAATAAACTAATCACGATCGCATATTTAATAATTATTCTAAGTTACTGTGAGAGGAGTGGGAAAAGAAACTTATATCTAGTGGAAATGCAGAAGTGGCTTCCTTTGGGTATGATGTTTGAACTGAGACAAAACAGAACTGGGAGAGCATTTCAGGTATGAGAACAGCCCTGACATATCAGGAGCTGGCTGGGTGCAGTGGCTTATGCCTGCAATACTGGTGTTTTGCGAGTCTGAGGTGGAAGGATGGCCAGGAGTTCAAGACCAGCCTGAGCAACATAGCAAGACCCTGTCTCTACGAAAAAAAAAAAAAAAAAAAAAAGAGAAAGAAAGAAAAAAAAAATAAACAGGCCAGGATAATGGAGTCATAGAGAGAGACATCGGTGTGAGATGGGAGTAGTGAGGCAGACAGGGGCTAGGAAATCCAGGGATATTGGTATTATTAAGAATTTTATTTTCCCCTGTGGAAAATGAGATGTCATTTCCATAGGTGGTATGTGATTATATTTCTACTATTAAAATGTCACTTTTGATGTAAAGTGTGTAAATAGATAAAAGATAGATTGGAATAAATATGGGGCAGCTAGTTTGGTAGCATTTGTTATGGCTGTGGGCTTAGATTTGGATAGCGATCAAGATGGAGAGGAGTGGAAAGATTTGTAAAATATTGAGAAAGTAAAATCAACAGGACTCTAATGTTGAGAAGAGATAAAGATTGAGGACGAAAACAAAAAAGGATGTCGAGAACACTCCCAAACTTGGG
This sequence comes from Homo sapiens, assembly GCF_000001405.40. Classification (NCBI taxonomy): domain Eukaryota; kingdom Metazoa; phylum Chordata; class Mammalia; order Primates; family Hominidae; genus Homo; species Homo sapiens. Next base: position 30,369,396 of record NC_000023.11, on the reverse strand, counting down.
ACTTGCACAACTGAGTGTGTGTTGTGAGGAGGGGATGGTGTATCATTATTTGTATTGAAGAACATTTGGAGCTGATCAGGTTTGGGTCAATTCTGAATTCAATTTTGGACATGCTGAGTTTGAGATGTCTGTGAAACATGCAATTGATACGCAGTTCAGTACCTCCGTGGAGATCAGAGGGGGAGTTCGCGTGGAAGGATGTACACTGAAAGCAGTCAGAATATAGATGTTAAAGTCACAGACAAGCTTATCTGGGAAAGAGTATCAGGTGAAGAGAGAATTGCTTGAGGAGTCATGATACCAAGTTTCTGCTTACTTTCCTCTCCTCCCCACCACTATGCAAGTTCCCTGAGGACATGAATTTTTGTCTTTATATCCCTTGGGAATTGTCTCACTTTACACTGACATTCCTCATTTTATTGTGCTTCTTTATTGCACTTTGCAAATAACACAATTTTTACATAATGAAGTTTTGTGACAACCCTGCATCCAGAAAGTCAATCGGCACCATTTTTCCAATAGCATGTACTTATTTCATGTCTCTGTGTCATATTTTGGATAGTCTCACAATATTTCAAACTTCTTCATTATTATTTTACCTGTTATGGTGAACTGTGATCAGTGATCTCTGATGTTACTATTGTAATTGTTTTGGGACCCCATGAACTTCACCCATATAAGAATACAAACCTAACTGATCAAAGTTGTGTGTATTCTGGCCATTTCCCTCCTACCCACTTCCTCTCTTTCAGGCTCCTTATTCCTTGAGACACAGGAATATTGAAATTAAGCCAATTAATAACCCTGAAGTGGCCTCTAAGTTTTCAAATGAAAGGAAGAATTGTGTGTCTCTCACTTCAAATCAAAAGCTAGAAGTGATTGAGCTTTGTGAGGAAGACATGTCAAAAGCCAAAGTGGGCTGAAAGCTAAGCCTCTTGTGCCAAACAGCCAAGTTGTGAAGGCAAAGGAGAAGTTCTCAAAGGAAATTAGGAGGGCTACTCCAGTGAACAAACAAATGATAAGAATGTGAAACAGACTTATTGCTGATATGGAGAAAGTTTGAGTACTCTGCATAAAATATCAAACTAATCACATCATTCTCTTAAGTCAAAGCCTAATCCAGAACAAGGCTCTGGAGGTGAGGAAGGTGAGAAAGCTCTGGTGGTGAAGAAGCTCAGAAAGGTGAAGAAGCTACAGAAGAAAAGTTTGAAGTTAGCAGAGATTGCTTCATAAGGTTTAAGGAAAGAAGCCATCTCCATAAAGTGCAAGGAGAAGCAGCAAGTGCTATAGCAAGTTATCCAGAAGATCAAGCTAAGATCTAAGATGATGAAGGTGGCTAAGCTAAACAACAGATTTTCACTGTAGACAAAACAGCCTTCTATTTCATTTTAGAAGATGCCATCTAAGATTTTCATAGCTAGAACGGAGGACACAATTCCTAGCTTCAAAGCTACAAAGGGCAGGCTGACTCTCTTGTTAGGGGCTAATGCAGCTGGAGACTTTAGGTTAAAGTCAACGCTCATTCTAAAAATTCTATTGCCCTCAAAAATTATGCTAATTCTACTCTGCTTGTGCTTTATAAATGAACAACAAAGCTTCGATGATAGCACATCTGTTTACAGCATGGCTTACTGAATAATTTAAGCCCACTGCTGAGACCTATTGCTCAGAAAAACAGATTCCTTTCAAATATTACTTCTCATTGACAGTGCACATAGTCACCCAAGAGCTCTGATGGAGGTGTATAAGGAGATTCATGTTGTTTTCATGCCTGCTAACACAACATCCATTCTGCAGCCCATGGATCAAGGAGTAACTTTGACTTTGAAGTCTTTATTATTGGAGAAATACATTTTGTAAGGTCATACCTGCCACAGATAGTGGTTCCTCTGATGAATCTTGGCAAAGTAAACGGAAAATCTAGAAAAAGTTCACCATTATCGGTGCCATTAAGAACATTCAGGATTCATGGGCAGAGGTCAGAATATCAGCAATAACAGGAGTTTGGAAGAAATTAATTCCAACCATCATAGATGACTTTGAGGAGTTCAAGAATTCAATGGAGGAAGTAACTGTAGATGTGGTGGAAATAGAAAGAGAAGTGAAATTGGAAGTGAAGCCTGAAGATGTTACTGAATTGCTGCAATCTCATGATAAAACTTGAATCTATGAGGAGTGCATTGTGGAAGGGCAAAGAAAATTGTTTTTGACATGCAATCTACTCCTGGTGAAGATGCTGTGAACATTGTTGAAATGACAACAAAAGCTTTAGGATGTTCCATAAACTTAGCTGATAAAGCAGCAGCAGGGTTTGAGAGGATTGCCTCCAATTTTTAAAGAAATTCTACTGTAGGTAAAACGCCATGAAACAGCATTGCCTGCTACAGAGAAATATTTCCTGAGAGGAAGAGTCAGTTCACGCAGCAAACTTCATTGTTGTCTTATTCTGAGAAATTGCCACAGCCAGTCCAGCCTTCAACAACCACCACTCTGATCAGTCAGCAGCCTTCCACGTTGAGGCAAGACCATCCACCAGCAAAAATACTATGAGTTGCTGAAGGCTCAGATGATCTTAGCAATTTTTACCAGTAAAGTGTTTTTAAATTAAGGTATGCACATTGTTTTCTCAGACAAATTGTTATTGTATACGTGTTAGACTACAGCATAGTGTAAACATTACTTGTGTATACACTAGGAAACCAAAACATTTGTGTGACTTTATTGTGATGTTTGCTTTATTGCAGTGGTCTCAATCCAAACCCACAAGATTTCCAAGATATTCCTGTATATGTGGAGGCAAACAGACTTCTGATACCCAATATAACATTCCCAAGTGGTTTCTCTGAGCGCATTTTGTGTAATTCTCATAAAAATATCTTTTATATTTTACAACTACCCAATGATTCCCAAAAGACTCTTCAAGTAGAAAAGATGAGGCTATCCAAAAACTAAAATGAAAATCCCTTGATGTCAGGAGTGCTATCTCACTCATTCTTCCATTCATTCCTCTGTAGTAGTTAAGGTAAGTAAACCTAACTTCTGCAACATACAAATCTGGAGATTTCTGGCTTAATACAAGAAACAGCATTTATTCCCCCTCATTTCTCTCTTCTATGTGGGTTTATCAGAGGAAGAGATGGTCCTGTTCCACGCAGTCATTCAAGGACCCAAGCTCTTTCTATCTTATGGTTTTGTTCTCCTTGAGGTCCTTGGAGTCCTCTCCATTCAGCTTTTGGATGGGGATAGAGCAAGAGGATCATGAGTGGAAGGTTTCTATGAGCCAGTCTTGGATGAGTTACCTTTTTAGTTTGTTTACATTGAATTGGACCGTAGTCAGCACACGTTCACACCTAATTGCAATGGAGGTTGGAGAAACTGTCTAGCTGTGTATTCAGGAAGAATGAAGAATGCAGATGGGATGAGCTTATCCCTCTCTACCTCACTGAGTGGCTGCCAAATAATCTATTAGGCACTTGTGGTTCTGTATTAAATGTCGTATATGTGCTTTCTGCTCTCATGATGTCTAGTAGCAAGTTAGACAAATAATCAGAAAATTTAGAGTCTGAGGATTGTCTAATGGTTTCTGGGATCAGGTAAGAGGGGCAATTTAACTAAAACTGATGGGTCTTACCTAGTGCTCAGCACATTACCTGGTATACAGTGAACATTCAACAAAAATTTAGGGAATAAATGAGAGAAATATTTTTGTTAAGACCAATTACACATATCTCCTCTCAGAATTTATACTTTCTGCATGCAAGTCACTCATCCTCAACTCCATATGTTAAAAATGCCAGAAAAGACAGATTTATTTATTTATTTATTTATTTTAAATATTCTAAACATCTTTTGTTAACTATCACAGACAGCTAAAAAGAAAATGAAGGAGTAATCAAAATTGTGTTAATACTCAAAACTTTGTGAAATAAAGACAGTGACAATTTCTAAAACACCAGAGAAAAAAGCAAAAGTAATTTTCAATTAAGTTATTACTTTTTATAATGCTTTTCAGTCTTTTTACCTTTTACTTCCTCAGATGAATGGGAAGCTCCCGGAGGAACCTCTTTGATAAAAATCCTACATTCTGCACAGGAGGCATAACTAGCAAAGGAATGATTTGGAGGATGATGATTTTTGTTGCTTAAAAGTAAACTGTGGGCAGAGGAAGTACTGAAATCCAGTGGCCAAGCACCTGGCTTTTGGAATCTGGTGGTCCGACCTTGATTCCCGAAACCACTGCTAGCTGGGTTCCTGATCCTAAAAGCATTAAATGACATAACGCAAGTAAAGTGTTAGTGCTCTGCCTGGCCTGCAGTAAATGTGTATTCATGTTGCATACCATCATTTTTAGCAACATGAATCATGAAGAAAAAAAATGGGACGACTATGTACTCTGACCACTAGGTGATTTCCTCTATGACAAGAGAGTCAAATTTTTAGTCTAATTGTGATTTCCAGGTATTAGGTTCCTTCAAGAAGCCACAGCAGGTACAATAATAAAATAACATGCACAGCATAAAGCAAGCCTGAATAATTCATAATCTGAACAGTTACTACTTTCCAACTGCCTTTTTATTTTCGTTTCCAGCTAAGTGCCGTTTTCTTTCTATGCTAGTATCCAAATAAACACTTAAATTAAAATAAATGAAAGAGAAATTTGCAGAGCAACAGCCATGCCCATGATTAATGCAGTATTGTGTTAGCCCTTTAACATAGGTGGAGACATCTCTGAAAGCCAGGATTGATGGCTGTAAGGAATAGAAGATGCACTTTAACTGTACACATTTCCTGAATGATCAGCTTTGCATGACCTTCATATAAAACCCAAAGGTATTTATTGGGCTTGTGCACGAGCACATCTCAAGCGAAGGCAGCTGCCTTTCCTCATGGTACAAGTGAAAGGTTTTAGATTAGGAAGCAGATGAGGTTAAATTACTTCATTATTTACTCATTGGGGGGGAAATCAATTTCTGGAACATAATCCTATTGACCTGACTGGCACCGACCAGGAGCATAAGTAATCACAACCCTAAAATAAATATCCTTTCATACCTTGAAAAGACTCCCACACTAACCCTTCTCCTTTATGCATTAAGGGTATCAAATAACCATGCAAACCAAACTCAAGGATAATGGGCCTCTTTTTTGAATATGTCACTGAAATGGGATGGTAAAAATTCTGCTTATATTGTTCTGTCCTTGTGAAATTCACACTTTTTATGATCAAGGCTGTATATTTCCTATCTCCAGTTAATACTAGGATTATGTTGCCAGACAACATTGAAACACCAAGCATCACGGAAACAAAAGAAAATGTAACCCAATTACACTAAGAAATTACCATGCTCACATCCAGTCAGCAACAAATTATGGTGCAGCATAATATGCGTAGCATATTTTAACCCTATATCCAGAGCTAGGATCCATAATGTTCTCATTCTACTTTCTTTCTCATGGAAATTTAAAAATTCTTTTCCTTCCAGGTTTGTCCTTTAGCAAGGATGTCCTAAGCTTCCATCATGTTGAATTTAGCCTTGCAAAGATTTTTAATTAACAGCGATGATCCACAAGCCATGATTTATATGCAAGAAAGATGCCCTATTTTATCTTCTTTCCCCAGGCTATGATATATAGATGCTTCTAATAAGCCAAAGATACAAGTGGTTTGTACCAAAAAGCACCTATTTTCTCAAAGATGCACATTAAGACCGCACCTGTCAACAAGGGAATAAAGTAGAGAGCCCAAGTGACAGAAAATATAAAGGAAGTAGAAAATAATCAAGGTTTAGTTTATGTATTTATGATAAGACTCTATTTTTTTCTAGAATTACTAAATTTCGACTTTACATAAAACTCTATATTTAAAAACTACAGTTTTGTGAGGAGTCGTATGAGATATTTGTGAAGTAATATGATTCTATCTTTGAAAATACTGTTAAATTGATACATTCAAGTTCATGCTGCTCATGAAGCTATCCACTTATTGCAATGATGTTCCTTTAGCTAAAAATATGGCAGCATGTCTGTTTCTGGTAAAATTGTCAGAGACAGTGGCATATTCTTTTGAATACACGTGGTGTTGGAAAATCCTGATATTTTGTGGATGGAGTGAGAATCTGAAAGCCTATCCTCCAGCCCTGGCTCTGCTATAAATTAGCTGGTTGACCTTGTGCTGTCACCTAATCTCTCTGGGGCATGGTTTACTTTTATATATAAAGGCATGATTGTATTATGTTACTTCCAAGGGCCTTTCCAGCTATAAAATTATACACTGTTGTGACTTGATATTTAGAATGCACTAGAAATCAGTGTTGAAACTGGAGAAATACAATTTTATACATTTAGAAAGAGAAATTCTTATAAAGCCATTCATTCATTTAACAAATATATTTTGAGTGCCTACTGTGTTCCAGGCTCTCTTCTTAGGGCTGGAGATATATCAGTGACCAAAACAACAAGCACTGTCTTTATGGAACTTAAATTGTAGCTGGAGGAGACATAGTAGACAATAAATGTAAGAAAGAAATCAATTACATAGTACTACAATATATTATAGGGTACATACAATGAAAAAACTAAAAGTAGAGTGAGGTAAGGAAGGTGGAGACTGTGGCAGTTGGGGAACTGGGAAGGCATGGGCAAGTGGCAGTATTAAAAAGAGTAATCAGAGCCAAACTCATTAAGAACATGAGGCTTATGCCAAGACTTGAAGGGGGAACAGGGATTTGACCAATGAGGCCTAGTAGAAGGATAATTCAGATAAAGCACATAGATAAAGCAAATGTCCTGAGGTAGGATCATGCATGTTTTGTTTAAGAAGGAGCAGAGGCTGGGCACAGTGGCTCACGCCTGTAATCCCAGCACTTTGGGAGGCTGAGGCAGGCAGATCACGAGGACAAGAGATTGAGACCAACCTAGCTAACATGGTGAAACCCCATCTCTACTAAAAATACAAAAATTAGCTGGGCATCGTGGCGCATGCCTGTAGTCCCAGCTACTTGGGAGGCTGAGGCAGGAGAATCACTTGAATCCAGTAGACAGAGATTGCAGTGAGCCGAGATCATGCCACTGCACTTCAGTCTGGCGACAGAACGACTCTGTCTAAAAAAAAAAAAAGGATCAGAAATGCCAGTGTAGCTGAAACTGACTAAGCCAAGAGCAAGTGGTAAGAGAGGAGGTAACAGGGCTGATTGTGGAAGGTCTGGTAGGTCATTGTAAGGACTTTGGCACATATTCCAAGTGAGATGGAAGCCATTGCAAGGCTTTGAATCAAGGAGTGCTCTACTCTGACTTAAATTTATAGAGGACTGCCCAGCTGCTATGTTGACAATATTTATGGGAGAACAAGGGTACAAGCAACGAGACCATGACATTTTTGCTTACATGTTTTGTAAAACGCTTTTGAAACTGATACCAAAAGTGTTGCAACAGTGCTTTGTGGAATGCACGTTGGAGGAAGTGAATAATTTCAAATACTAACTAGGTCCATGAATTTTGATGAGTTTGTAACAAAACAGTTGCAATAGTTACAACCCATAGATCTCTCTTCTCTATATTCCCATGGTATTTTGCCTAGACCAATGATGAAACTTGCAGAAGGGAAAATAATGTTCACTGTTTAAGACTGTTATTTGGCATATAGTCAAATCATTTCAGGGAGCAGGAGACCACTTACTCATAATAGAAAGACAACTGTTCTTTGTATTCTCATGTCTTTGAACAACTATAAAGTACTCTCCTCAACTCTTCAATGTGTTTCCTATTGCCCCACCTTGCTCTTTTTGTAACGAACTGCCTTTCTCCAGTCTTGCTCAATATGCATTAAGTCCATCACCATTCATTCTTACCCTAGGAGAAAATTAATAAGACTTCCGAATTGCCTAGTAAAGCTATGATTCTGCCTTTAACAAAAAATGTGAAATTGTTGCTTTACTAGTGGTTGTCAGGGCATAAGCTTGAACTCACAATTTTTCAGTGACTATTGCAGACTTGGCTGAGATAAGCTTCTTTGAAAAATTGTCAGTACTGTATTCTTGTTCTGGAAGTCTAAGTCAATATCATCCAATAGAACTTTCTGTAATGACTGATGCATTCTCCATCTATGCTGTTCAACACTGTAGCACTGTAGGACTAGCCACAAATGGCTACTGAGAACTTAAAATGTAGCTAGTGTGATTGAGGAACTGAAATTTTAAATTGTATTTAATTTTAATTAATTTAAATTTAAATATAATTAGCATTATGTGGCTAATGGCTACTGTTATTGAGTAGCTCAGTTCTAAATCCTTAGTCTAGATAATGGCAGATTAGACTTGAGACATTCTGCCTCATATTGTTTTTGATCTCGGCTCACTGCAATCTCTGCCTCCCAGGTTCAAGTGATTCTCCTGCCTCAGCTTCCTGAGTAGCTGGGATTACAGGCACGTGCCACCACACCCAGCTAATTTTTGTATTTTTAGCAGAAGCGAGGTTTTACCACGTTGGCCAGGCTAGTCTCAAACTCCTGATCTCAGGGGATCCACCCGCCTTGGCCTCCCAAAGTGCTGGGATTACTGGCTTGAGCCACCGCATCCAGCCATATTGTTTTAATCTCTCCTAGAAATGCTTCTCTTGAATGTTCTTTGATAATATGCCACAGTCATTCATTAAGGAGATTTAAAAGTCCTATGAAATCTATTTCTATATTCATCACAAGGAAGTTGTTGAACTCATTGACAATAATGTAACATAGATAATATCCTAGTACTCTGGCCTCAATACTAGGAAAAGTTGTGATTGTTCTAACCGGCTTTTCTGTGTCATGTAACTTACTGGGTTGCATCTTTGCATTTGCTGCAGGGTAGCACAGATCCAAACAGATAGTCCATCTCTAGCAAGTTCATTTAATATAGAGTCTCTCGGGCTATGTTCTCTGTGCTTATTTTACTCATAACCTCTGTGTCTAATTGTTTCTGTCCTTATATCTCCTTTGCCTATTTTCATGCTTATGTTAAATGTTATCTGGTGGTATTGTATTCATTCCTGTATTCCATAAACAAGTAAGATAAAAAATAAATTAAAACCCTGTCTTTTTGGGAAAATGTCCTCAATCTCTTTCTTCAAAGAGCTGACTTCCCAAGCCTTTTATTGTTATCATTATATTTGCTTTTGTATGAATTATTTCCAAATTCTACATACATCATGTTAATTGTTCATCTTAAACTGAAACTATGACATTTGAAACACCTTAGTGATGAAAATGAGAATAAAAAGAGAATAATCTTATATATATGCCAAGTTAGATTACAAATTGGTCTTTTCAATATCTTGCTTGCTATGTTACTAAGAAATTTTGATATTATAAAAGTTTTATATAAATTTATGTTCGTGAAGGTCTTGAGTTATACTAAGAAGGTAGCATGTCTCCCAGGATTGAGAGAATGGAGGTTTGTTTTAGAAAATGAACCATTTCAGAAAATGTACAAGAGTGGCTAAAAAATGAGTTTTTGCAACATCTATGAGTGTGTAATTTAGTGATCAGTCAATAAAATAAACTATTATTCACCACTTCTCCTTGATCAAGTTTATTATTCTTAAAAAAAAAAAAAAACTTCTCTACCTGGCTTTATTTTCAGAGCCAAACAACAAACAACTTGATAAGGTTTATGATGTGGCTTCTGCCATCTAAGTCCTTGATGGTTTTCAAAAATTGGAATCAGTTACTTTATTTCTGAGATTATGAAGATTCTATTTATCACTTGGAAAAATATCCATCACTTATTATGCTTATGGGAGCTGGGTGAGGAGTACAGAGTCTTCATTTGTCTGGTTATCATCACAGCATGAATTGGGTACTTGGATCCATCACTACAAAGCTATTTCCGAAGATGTCTTCTGGTGTTCTACAGAACAGTGAATTGAGAAAATAAAGGAGCTGAAGATTTGAAGCAGGCGAATCCTCTAGAGTTTCAGTGGCAGAGACAAACCTACGTGTTTACTCAAACATTTCATTTTTCTTCTAGGCACAAAATCAAATTACACTTCCAAGACCCTTTGCAGATAGTTGATAGCTTATCAGAATAGTTGTTTATTTATTTAGCCTCATAGAAATAATTACTAGCAAAAAGTAATTCTGCCTCCCTCAATTTCTCTCTCTCTGATTTACTTAAAATACTTAATTTGAGTATATACTGGAATTTTGGTCATAAATTTGCCTTTCTTTCTCCCAAATGATGTGCTCCTTATCTTGATATTTTTCCAATTTCTAAAAGGAGCTTATTATTTTCTTTTGGTTTACATGTTCATAGGGCTGTTGCACCCTTTCTGCACCATATTCTATCATTTTCCTATTGCAACCTGGGCAAACAACATTGGGCTGGAGTGTGCTGGAGTGAGCTCTTACTGGTTCCTGATAGCCTGGTGTGTGCATCTCTTCCCAACTCTGTGTTTATCATGTTGGTAACTTGAAATCAGCCATAGTGGGAAAAGTCACACGATGGAAGTGGACAAAACACTGCAAACCAAAACTTTTATTTTCCAGAGAGCCAACTGTTAATCAATTACCTACACACTACTGATGGTAACCCAAAAACATGAAATGCCAGCTGATGGTAGAGGAAACACAAATTTGGTGTCATGGAATGAGGACCTGGGAGGTGGACAGCAGTAATAACTAGCAACTTTCTAATTCTTAAAAGAGACTGAGTCAGTTTGGGGCAAAGGGAGAGAGGATGCCTGCTGTTCTAGTGGAATTCTTGCTGTAATCCCAGTTTGGACTACGTTTTGCCATTACCTGGTAGTACGGCAAAAGTTACATCATTTTGAGTGGAAGGGAAAATAAATTAGGTTTTCAGATATGAAAAGGTGATTCTCCTCTCACCCCAACCACAAACCCACTTTATATTACGTTTACTAGGGGAAAATAAAATGAGACATCTCAATCTTCACAGTTGCCTGTGTATGTGCTAGAGGTAAATTACTAATCAAGTAAATAGGAAGCCAATTTATCTAACATCAAAAAAATGGAAACAAATAGTAATCAAATGGTAATACAAATTCCTCATATTGGAAAACTAATATTTTTAAAAAACGAGTTCTGTATCTTTTGATTTACTTTTACATTTATTTGCAACAGATCTCTTTCTTATATGAACGCTATAATTTTGACTAAAAAATGTACAACAAATTATAGTCCTGCTCTTCACATTGCAAGGACAAGATTCAACCTAACAGCTAACTCTTAAATAATTAAAGAGGAAAGTAGGTCAATGCCATGTATTAAATGACTAGCTCTGAAGACAGCTATATCAGCTATTGTGATTTTAGAGATGCCTCTCAAAGATGTGAAGTTATTAAACTACCTTCGAAGCTAGTCTTTTGCTTCATTTAAATGTATGGAATTGACCTCAGAGATTATCCTCATATTGAATTAAATATTAACTTGGTTCTGCTTCATCATTTAATACATGGCATTTATATTTCAAGATAGAAAATAACTTTTATTGATTTTAAAACTCTAATTACAATAGAGCTGCCTAACAATGTGTCCTTGGAACATGGTAATTATCCAGACACGCTTGTCAACCATACACTATATTACATTTAGACCTGCTTAAAAATCATCCACTTGAAGTCATGCTCCTCTTATTCCACCCCTTATGAAAGAGAAAAAGCATGAAAGGGTAAGTCTCCACTATCTTACCTCCCTCTACTCTGAAGAAGTTCTCTTCAAGGTCACCAGTAACCTACTTAATACCAAGCTTTATGATCAATTTTCATTTCCCACCTCCTTTGAACTCAGCAACATTTGACACAGTTGATGATACTCTCCTCCATGAAACTCTGTTTTCACTTGAATTTCCAGATTTTCCTCCTACCTCACTGGTTGCTCCTTCTCAATTTCTCTTGCTAACCCATCTTCCTCTTCCTGATCTCTAAATGATAGAGTGTCCTAGAGCAGTCTTTGCCCCTCCTTTTTATCCACACTCTGTCCCATGGTGATTTCACAAGTCCTGTGACTTTTAGCTACTATCTAGATGATGATAACTTTAAAATGTATATCTCCTGCCTTGATTGCCTTCCTGGATACCACACTCATATATGAAACTGCCTGCTCAATATTTGTATGTGGAATAAAAAAAATAATTTTTAATTCCTCTTCCAAACCTGCTGTGTTCTCAGTGTTTCCTATTTTCTTATATATTAACTCTAATCACTCATTTGCTCAGACTCAAAACTTGCGAGTCATCTTTAATTCTTTCCTGTTCCTTCCAGCCTCTTCCAATCTATTATCAAGACTTTTTATCTCTTTCCTCAAAACATATCCTCAATGTGACCACTTCTCATTGCTTCCACTGCATTAAGACTTTTACAGTAATGTACACAGAGCTTGGAAAACATTATTTTCACTCAAACTTCTTATTCAATCCATCAGCAAATCCTGTCAAGCCTACTTCAGGATATATTGAGATGCTCATTGCTTCTCACAATGACCACAGCTATCACCCTAGCTCAGGTCACTGTCACCTCCAGTCAGGAATATGGCCATAACTTCCAAACTGGCCCCCACTGATTTTCATGCCTGCCCCACTACAGTGCAGAGTGATATTTCAAAAACGTAAATCTGATGAACTGTTTCTCTATTTAGAACTCTCCATTGGTTTTCTAATATACTTAAATGAAATCTAAACTCCCCGGCATGACTCGCAAAGCTCTACATGATCTGGGCATTGTTTTCATTCCTGAGTGTGTGTTATATCACTCTTCCTTTCACTCCTTCTACCTCAGTCACACTGGCCTTCTTGCTACTCTGTGAATACACAGGTCTGATCTTGCTTCAAATGCTGCACTTCATGTTTCCTGTACCTGTAAAGCACCTTCCTACATAAATTCACATGCCTCCTTTCCTTTTTTCATTTAGGCCTGAAATATTAACCCTCAGAGAGGTCCTTGCTGCCAAACCTATCTCAGAAATCACTGATGAGTTTTGCTAAGGGGAGGCTGCTGATTTGATGAATATCCACCCAATGGAAGGCTGGATAGCCTTACATATCAAGCTTAAACTTTGCATTTAGAAATCATTGGTTCAGCCCTTAGCACAACCATTTAGTAGTAAGATGACTGTAGGTTCAGTTTTCTCATCTGTAAGTAGGGAATAAAATTAGAAGTAAATATAATTGTTGTGAAAAAGTTCATAAATAGGCTAACCAAATAATATATCATCTAAACTGGGACACTTTGGCCAGCCTATTAAAAGAAAAAAAAAATACCTATCCCGAGGTCAACAACCTCAAATATTGAAGGTAGATTAACCCACAAAGATGAGAAAGAGTAAGTGCAAGAATGCTGAAAATTCAAAAAGCCAGAGTGCATCCACATGTCTGCATCACCTCTCCAGCAAGTGTTTGAAATCGGGTTGAGGCTGAGATGGCTGAAATGACAGAAGTGGACTTCAGAATATGGATAGGAACAAAGTTCACTGATCTAAAGAAGTACAATGTAACGCAATGCAAGGAAGCGAAAAATCATGATAAAATATTGCAGGGGCTGACAGACAAAATAGCTAGTACAGAGAAGAATATAACCAATCTGATAGAGCTGAAAAACACACTGTAAGAATTTTATAATGCAATCACAAGTATTAATAGCAAGCTGAAATATAATTCCTCTCCATGACCCTATCCATAAAGAAAAGGAAAGCAATTAAGATTGGGAAAAATAAAATATTTACATGACTGAAAATGTGATGAAACTAAAAATAATTAGGTCTTATCATTCAGATGCTACCTCTTTGGAGCATCCTAAAGAGGTAGCATCCAAAATTATTTGGAAAATATTGTACCTCCTCCATAGAGATGGTCCTATATTTGAGGCAAGATGCCCCTCCAACCACTCAGGTGGTCTTCGGCCAAAAAGAAAACATAGTTCCCCAAGGGTGTATAGAGCAAGTGGAGGAAAGAATCTCAGAGCTTGAGGACTGCCTTTCTGAAATAAGAAAGGCAGCAAGAATAGAGAAAAAAGAATGAAATGGAATAAATAAAACCTCCAAGAAATATGGAACTACGTAAAGAGACCAAACCTACAACTGATTAGTGTACCTGAAAGAAATGGGGGGAATGGAATCAGTTTGGAAAACATATTTCAGAATATCATCCATGAGAACTTCCCCAACCTAGCTAGAGAGGCCAATATTTAGATTCAGTAAATGCAGAAGACCCCAGTAAGACACTCCACAAGAAGATCACCCCCAAGACACATAATCATCAGATTCTCCAAGATGGAAATGAAAGAAAAAATGGTAAAGGCAGCTAGAGAGAAAGGCCAGGTCACCTACAAAGGGAAGCCCATCAGATTAACAGTGGACCTCTCAGCTGAAACCCTATAAGCCAGAAGAGATTGGGGGCCAATATTCAACATTCTTAGAGAAAATAAATTCCAACCCAGAATTTCATATCTGGCCAAACTAAGTTTCATAAGCAAAGGAGAAATAAGATCATTTTCTAACAAGCAAATGCTGAGAATTTGTTACCACCAGACATGCCTTACAAGAGCTCCTGAAGGAAGCACTAAATATGGAAAAGAAAGACCATTTGCAGCCACTACAAAAACACACTGAAATACACAAACCAGTGACAGCATAAAGCAACCACATATGCAAGCTGGCATAATAATTAGCTAACATCATGATGCCAGGATCAAATCCACACATATCAATACTAACCTTAAATATTAATGGGCTAAATGCCCTAACTTAAAGACACAGAGTGGCAAGCTGGATAAAGAACCAAGACCCGTTGCTATGCTATCTTCAAAAGACCCATCTCACATGCAATGACACACATTAGCTCAAAATAAAGGGCTAGAGGAAAATACACCAAGCAAATGGAAAACAAAATGCAGGGGCTGCAATCCTAGTTTCTGACAAAACAGACTTTAAACCAACAAAGATCATAAAAGACAAAGAAGGGAATTACATAATGATAAAGGGTTCAATTCAACAAGAAGAACTAACTACCCTAAGTATATATGCACCCAACACTGGAGCACCCAGATTTGTAAAGCAAGGTTTTAGAGACCATCAAAGAGACTTAGACCCCCACACAATAATAGTGGGAGATTTTAACACCCCACTGACAATATTAGACAGACCCTTGAGATAGAAAATTAACAAAGATAATCAGGACCTGAACTCAGCTCTGGATCAAATGGACCTGATAGATACCCACAGAACTTTCCACCCAAAAACTACAGAATATACATTCTTCTCATCGTTATTAATATTAATAAAATTCTCTATTCATAAAATAGACCACCAGCTAGATTAATAATGAAGAAAAGAGAGAAGACTCAAATAAACACAATAAGAGATGACAAGGGAGATATTACCGTTGACCCCACAGAAATACAAACTACCATCAGAGAATATTATAAACAGCTCTATGCACATAAACAAGAAAATCCAGAAGAAATGGCTAAATTCCTGGAGACATACACCCTCCCAAGACTGGACCAGGAAGAAATTGAATTCCTGAACAGACCAATAATGAGTTCTGAAATTGAGGCAGTAATAAATAGCCTACAAGCCAAAAAAATGCCCAGGAATAGATTAGATTCACAGCTGAATTCTGCCAGGTGTACAAAGAAGAGCTGGTACCATTTGTACTGAAACTATTCCAAGAAATTGAAAAGGAGGAACTCCTCCCCAACTCATTCTATGAGGCCAGCATCATCCTGATACCAAAACCTGTCAGTGATACAACAGAAAAAGAAAACTTCAGGCCAATATTCTTGATGAAACTGATACAAAAATCCTCAACAAAATACTGGCAAAATGAATCCCGCAGGACATCAAAAAGCTCATCCACCACGATCAAGTAGGCTTCATCCCTGGGATGGAAGGTTGGTTCAACATACACAAATCAATAAATGTGACTCATCACATAAACAGAACTAAAAATAAAAACCACATAATTATCTCAATAGATAAAGAAAAGCCTTTCAAAAAAATTCAACATCCATTCATGTTAAAAACTCTCAATAAACTATTGAGAAGTATTGAAGGAACATACTTCAAAATCATTAACAAGAGCCATATATGACAAACCCACAGCCAACATCATACTGAATGGACAAAAGCTGGAAGCATTCCCCTTGAAAACTGGCACAAGACAAGGATGCCTTCTCTCACTACTCCTATTCAACATAACATTGGAAGTTCTGGCCAGGGCAATTAGGTAAGAGAAAGAAACAAAGGGCATCCAAATAGGAAGAGAGGAAGTCAAACTATCTCCGTTGGCAGATGACATGATCCTATATCTAGAAAACCCCATAGTCTCAGCCCAAAAGCTTCTTAAGCTGATAAACAACTTCAAGCAAAGTCTCAGGATACAAAATCATTGTGCAAAAATCACTAGCATTCCTATATACCAACAACAGTGAAGTCAAGAGCCAAATCAGAAACAAACTTCCATTCAAAATTGCCATAAAAAGAATAAAATACCTAGGAATACAGCTAACTAGGGAGGTCAACTACAAGAAAATGAAAGGAGGGCTACAAGTGATCTAAGAAATCAGAGATGACACAAACAAATGGAAAAACATTCCATGCTCATGGATAGGAAAAATCAATATTCTTAAAATGGACATACTGCCAAAGTAATTTATAGATTCAATGCTATTCCCATTAAACTACCACTGTCATTCTTCACAGAACCAGATAAAACTATTTTAAATGTATATGGAACCAAAAAAGAGCCTGAATAGCCAAGGCAATCCCAAGCAAAAAGAACAAATCTGGAAGTATCACGCTAACTGACTTCAAACTATACTACAGGACTACGGTAAACAAAACAGCATGGCACTGGTACAAAAACAGGCACATAGACCAATGAAACAGAATAGAGAACCCAGAAATAAGACCACACACCTACAACTATCTAATCTTCAACAAACCTGACAAAAACAAGCAATGGGGAAAGGATTCCCTATTCAATAAATGGTGCTGGGATAGCTGGCTAGCCATATGCAGAACATTGAAACTGGACCTGTTCCTTACACCATATACAAAAATTTACTCGAGATAGATTAAAGACTTAAATATAAAACCCAAACCTATAAAAACTCTGGAAGACAACATAGGCAATACCACTCATGATATAGGCATGGGCAAAGACTTCATGACAAAGATGCCAAAAGCAATAGCAACAAAAGCAAAAATTGGCAAATGAGATCTAATTAAACTAAAGGGCTTCTTCACAGCAAAAGAAACTATCAACAGTAATCAGACAACCTACACAATGGGAGAACATTTTTGCAAACTATGCATCTGACAAAGGTCTAATATCCAGCATCTATAAGGAATTTAAAAAGATTTAGAAGAAAAAAACCAAATAAACCCTTAAAAAAGTGGGCAAAGGACACAAACAGACACTTTTCAAAAGAAGATACACATGTGGACAACAATCATATGAAGTAAAGCTCAACATCACTTATCATTAGAAAAATGCAGATCAAAACCACAATGACACAATGAGATACCATCTCACACCAGTCAGAATGGCTGTTACTAAAAAGTCGAAAATAACAGATGCTGGTGAGGTTGTGGAGAAAAAAAAGCTTATACACTGTTGGTGGGAGTGTAAATTAGTTCAGCCATTGTGGAAGACAATGTGGCGATTCCTCAAAGATCTAAAGATAGAAATACCATTAGACCCAGCACTCCTATTACTGGGTATATAACCAAAGGAATATAAATCATTCTGTTATAAAGACACATGCTTGTGTTATGCTCATTGCAGCACTATTCACAATAGCAAAGACATAGAATCAACCTGAATGCCCATCCATTATAGACTGAATAAAGAAAATGTGGTACATATACACTGTGGAATACTATGTAGCCATAAAAAAGAATGAGATCATGTCATTTGCAGAGACATGGACGGATCCGGAGGCCATTATCCTTAGCAAACTCATGCAGGAACAGAAAACCAAATACCGCATGTTCTCACTTGTAAGTGGGAGCTAAATGATGAGAACACATGGACATATAGAGGGGAACAACACACACTGGGGACTTTTGGAGGGTGGAGGATGGGAGGAGGGAGAGGATCAGGAAAAATAACTAATGGGTACTAGGCTTAATACCTGGGTGATGAAATAATCTGTACAACAAACCCCCACAACACACGTATACCTACGTAACAAACCTACACTTGTACCACTGAACTTAAAATATAAGTTAAAAAAATAAAAAAATAAACTGGGACACTTTAATAGGAAAATGGAATACTTAAAAAAATTTCTCTATCTTTTGTTTTGTAAATTATTTTAAAGTTAAATTAACTTTTGGTTTGGTGTACAGGTCTGTGAAATTTAACATACGCATAAATTTATGTTACCAGCATCACAAACAGTATACAGAACACCGCAGTAAACTCCCTAATGCTATGCCTTTATAGTCATATTATTGTATTTACTACAGATATCCCTCACAACCACTGATCTGTTCATCACTGTGGTTTTTGTTTTGTGGCAATGCCATGTAAATGGAATCATGCAGTATGTTACCTTGATATTGCCTTTTATGCTTAGCATAATTCCCTTGTGATTCATCCAAATCATTGTGCATATCACCAGTTAGCTCTTTTATTAAGTTGAGTAGTATTCCATTGAATGAATATACCACTGTTTGTTTTTTCAGTCACCCGCTGAAGGACATTTAGGTAGTTTCTAGTGTTTGGCAATCATGAGTAAAGCTGTAATGAAGTCATGCACAGGTTTTTGTGTGAATGTAAGTTTTTATTTCTTTAGGGCAGGGATCAGCAAACTACATGCAGCACTCAGGCCAAATCTGGCTTACGGCCTGTTTTCATAAATAATATTTTAATGAAATACAGCCACAACCATTCATTTGTATATGTCTATGGCTGCTTTGATACTGTAACAACAGAACAGTACTTGTGACAGAGGCCGTATAGCCTACAAAGCTTAAAATATTGACTATCCACCTCTTTACAGAAAAAAGATTGCCAGTCACTGCTCTGGGGTAAATACCTAGGATGGGAATTGCTGGGTCATGTGGTAAATGTATGTTTATTTTTTAAAATAAATTGTTAAAACATTTTCCAGAGTGGCTCTACAAGTTTGCATTCCCACCAGAAATGTGTGAGAATACTTGTTGCTTTGTGTCCTCACCAGCACTTGATAGTGACAGTATCTTTTTATTTTAGTCATTCTAATAGTTGTGTAGTAGTAACTCATTATGGTTGTAATTTGCATTTCCCTAAGGACTATGACATTTAACACTGTTTCATGTGCATATTTGCCATTCTTACATCCTCTTTGGTGAAGTGTCTGCTGAAGTCCTTTGCCCATTTTTAAGTTGGGTTATTTATTTTCCTATTGTTGAATTTTGAGGGTTCTTTATATCTTCTGGTAAATGTCATTTGTCAAACATGAGATTTGTGAATATTTTCTCCCAGTCTGCTAATTGTCTTTTTTCTTTTAATAATGTCTTTAACAGAACAAAAGTTATTAATTTTTGTAAACTTATATTTCCTTCTATGAATTGTGTGTTTCATGTCCTAAGAATTCTTCATCTAAATTCAAGTTACAAAGACGATTTCTTATGTTTTTTTCTAAAAGTTTTATAATTTTATGTTTATATTTAAATCTATGATCCACTTTGAGATAAGCCTTGTATAAAGTGAGAAGTAGGTTGGAATTAAGTTTTTTGCATATGGATGATCAATTGTTCCAAACCATTGATCTTTTGTTGAAAAGTCTATCCTTCTCCATGGATTTCTTTTGCAGTTTTGCCAAAAATTAAATGCCCAATTGGTTTGTATGGGGGAGCTCTATTCTGTCTATTGATCTATGTGTTTATATCTCCTCCAGTACCACACTTTGTTGATTACTGAAACTATACAGTAAGTCTTAATATTGATTAAAGTGATTCTTCCCATTTTATTCTTCCTTTTCAAAATTGTTTTAGCTATTCTACTTTGTTTTCCTTATCATATAAGTTTTATAATTAGGTTGTCTATATATACCAAAAATATTGCTGGAATTTCAACTGGTACTGTTTTAAAACTATTGAACAATGTGGGGAGAATGAACACCCTTAATATGTTGATTCTTCAAGTCCATAAACACAGAATGCATCTCCATTTCTTTAGATCTTCTCTGATTTCTTTCTCAGCATTTTGTAGTTTTCAAGATACAGATCATGTAAGTATTTTGTTAAGTTTATTTAATGGTTATAAGGACATTCAGATTATCTAGTTCACATTGGGTGAGTTTTGGTGGTTTGTAGTGTTTAGGGAATTTATCCATTTTGTCAAAGTTATTGAATGTATATGTATAGAGTTATTTATAATATTCTCTAATTTTTCATGTCTATGGGGTCTTTAGTGATAGTTCCTCTTCATTTCTAATATTGGTAATTTGTGTTTTCTGTCTTTTTTTTCTTCATTAGACTTGCTAGGAATTTATGTTATTGATTTTTTTCAAAAGCAAGGTTTTGGTTTTATTGATTTTCTCTCTTGTTTTGTATTAAATTTTATTGATTGCTGCTCTTATATTTGTATTACTTTCATTCTGTATGCTTTGGTTTATTTTTATTTTCCTTTTCTAATTTCTTTTCCTTTTTTTTTTTTTTTTTGAGACAGAGTCTTGCCCTGTTGACCAGGCTTGATTTCAGTGGCATAATCATAGCTCACTCCAGCCTCAAACTACTGGTCTCCAGCCATTCTCCCACTTCAGCCTCCTGAGTAGCTTGGACTACAGGTGCACACTACCATGCCATGCTAATTTTTTTTCTTTTTCTTTTAGTAGAAATGAGGTCTTGCTATGTTGCCCAGGCTGGTCTCAAACTCCTGAGCTCAAGCGGTCTTCCCACCTTGACCTCCCAAAGTGCTAGGATTATAGGCATGAACCACTGTGCCTGGCCTCTACTTTCTTAAGATGGAAATTTAGATTATTCCTTTCAGAACTTTTTTCTAATGTAAACATTTCATGCTATAAATTTCCCTCTAATATTACTTTAGCTGCATTCTACATTTTGATATGTTATATTTTCATTTTTGTTCAGCTCAAAATATTTCTAATTTTTCTTGACACTTACTTTTGGACCCATGGTGAAGTGTATTGTTTCATTTCCAAACATTTAGAAATTTTCTTGCTATTTGTCTGTTATTGATTTCTAGTTTAATTCCATTATGATCACAGAACATGCTTTGGATAATTTTCATTCTTTTAATTTTTTAAGGCTTGATTTTTTAACTGGTTTAAAAATGTTTATGGATACATAATAGTTGTACATATTTATGAGGTACACGCGAATTTTGATACAAGCATACAATGTGTAATGATTAAATCAGGATAATTCAGATATCTCTCACTTCCAGTGTTTATCATTTCTTTTTTTTTATTTTGTCGTATTTTCTTCCAGCTTTATTGAGGTATAATTGACAAAGTTATATATATTTAAAGTACACAATGCGATGGTTTGATACACGTACACATTCTGAAATGAATACCACATTTGGGGAATGAACCCGTCCATCACCTCAAGTAGTTACCCTTGGGGGCAAGTTGACAGTGATGAGGACAGTTAAGATCTGCTCTCTGTAAATTTCAAGTATATAATATGATACTATTAACTATAGTCACCGTGCTGTATATTAGATTCTTAGAACTTTGTCTTACATTTTGTCATTATTTTATAGTTTAGTATTTTAAAAACTTACTCTGATAATAAAATGTAAGACATGTTTATTATTCTTAAAACATCAAATATAAGATAAAAAGGTTTGACTACTTAAAAATATTAAGCTTCTGTCCATTCCCAAATACCAAAATATTTCTAACAAGATCAGTACCCCAAACAAACAGATAATTCATAAGACCAAAACTAGAAATGGCCAGTAAACAAGAAAAAAATACTGAGCCTCACTAATAAGTGAAGATTTACAAAACAGGAGGAGAGTACATATTAGCCTTATTAGCTGAAGATTTATTTTTATTTTCTCCTTTCTTTTTAACCCAGTGTTTCTGAGAGTATTATAGAACAAGTCCACTCAAATACTGTTGATCCTAGTATAAATTGATACTGTTTTTCTGAAGTATCATCTGGCAGTAATCTCATGACCCTCAAAAATCCTTAATACCTTTGTAATAAGTATAAAGCAGTTTATAAAATTGTATATGTAGTATAGTCTCAATTCTGTTTTTAAGTAACTTTTCAAGATTGTCTGTAATAAGTTTTACAAAGGTTCTTGTCAAACAAATTATAGTTTCCCATAAAAGTATTTTATAAGCAGTTGTGGCAAATATACTTCAAAAAGTATATGCCTGGCATTCTTGCAAGCACGTTATGTGAATCCACTTGCTTTTTGAGACGGAGTCTTGCTCTGTCGCCAGGCTGGAGTGCAATGGTGTGATCTCGGCTCACTGCAACCTCCGCCTCCTGGGTTCAAGCGATTCCCCTGCCTCAGCCTCCCAAGTAGCTGAGACTACAGGCGCGTGCCACCACGCCCGGCTAATTTTTTGTATTTTAGTAGAGACAGGGTTTCACCACGTTGGCCAGGATGGTCTCGATCTCCTGACCTCGTGATCTGCCCGCCACCTCGGCCTCCCAAAGTTCTGGGATTACAGGCGTGAGCCACTGCGCCTGGCCTGTCTATCATTTCTTTATGTCAGGAACATTTCAATTCCACTCTTCTAGTTATTTAAAAATATATAATGAACTATAGTTAACTATAGTTGCCCTATTGTGCCACCAAACACTAGATCTTATTCCTTCTATCCAACTGTATTTTTCTACCCATTAACCAACCCCTTTACATCGTCCCTGCTTTCCCACTATCCTTGCCAGCCTCTGGTAACCATTGTTCCAGTCTCTGTTTCCATGAGATCAGTTTTCTTAGCTCCCACATATGAATGAGAACATTCAATATTTGTCTTTCTATGACTGATTTATTTCACCTAACGTAGTGTCCTCCAGTTCCAACCATGTTGTTGCAAATGACAGGATTTCACTCTTTTTTGTGGCTAAATAAGATTCTATTTTGTATATGTACCACATTTTCTTTATCCATTCATCCACTGACGGGCACTTAGGTTGATTCCATGTTTTGGCTATCATGAATAGTGCTGCAATAAACATGGAAGTGCAGATATCTCTTTGGTATACTAATTTCTTTTCTTTTGATATATAGCAGCGGTAGAATTGGTTTGAGGAACCTCCATACTGTTCTCTATAATAGCTGTACTAATTTACATTCTTATCAACAGTGCATGAGGGTTCCCCTTTCTCTACATCCTTGCCAGCATCCATTACTGCTTGTCTTTTGGATAATAGCCATTTTAACTGGGGTGAGATGATGTCTCCTTGTAGTTTGTATTTGCATTTCTCTGATGATCAATGATATTGAGCAACTTTTCATGTACCTGTTTGCCATTTGTATGTCTTCTTTTGAAAGATGTTTATTCAGATCTCTTACTCAATTTTTAGTTGGATTATTATTATTTTTTACTATTGAGTTGTTTAAACTTTTTTTTTTTTTTTTTTTTTTTTTGAGACGGAGTCTCGCTCTGTGGCCCAGGCGGGAGTGCAGTGGAGCGATTTCGGCTCACTGCAAGCTCCGCCTCCCGGGTTCACGCCATTCTCCTGCCTCAGCCTCCCGAGTAGCTGGGACTACAGGCGCCCGCCACCACACCCGGCTAATTTTTTTGTATTTTTATTAGAGACGGGGTTTCACCGTTTTAGCCAGGATGGTCTCCATCTCCTGACCTCGTGATCCGCCCGCCTCGGCCTCCCAAAGTGCTGGGATTACAAGCGTGAGCCACCGCGCCCGGCCTAAACTTCTTATATATTCTGGTTATTAATCCTTTGTCAGATGGGTAGCTCGCAAATATTTTCTCCCATTTTGTGGGTTACCGTTCATTTTGTTATTGTTTCTTTTGCTGTGCAGAAGCTTTTTTGCTTGATGTGACCCCATTTGTCTATTTCTGCTGTGTTGCCTGTGCTTTTGAGTTCTCACACTTTTAGAATTGGTAGGTTTCCTTGGCAAATTAACTATTTTATCAATATGTAGTGCCTATCTTTATCCCTGGGAAGTTTCTTAGGTCCAAAGTCTACTTTTTCTAATATTAATATAGTCTCTCCTACCTTATTTTAATTAATGTTTACATGGTATAGAACTTTCTATCCTTTTTATTTTAAGACACCTATGCCAGTATATTTGAAATGAATTTCTTATAGAGAGCACGGAGCTGGATCAGGTCTTTTATGATACATTCTGACAATTTCTGTCTTTTAGTTGGTATTTTTAGAACATTTAAATATAATGTAATTATTGATATATATCTACCATTTTATTGTTTTTAATTTGTTTGCATGTTCCCTCTTTTTTTGTCCCTCCATTTCTTCTTTCCTCATTTCCTTTAGGATATTTAAACTTTTTTGGTATTCTATTTTAACTATTTATAATTTCAACTATATATCTATGTATTTTATTATTGTTGTCTGTTGTAGAGATTTCAAAATATATAGTTTTCACGATCTATTTAGAGTAAATATTTACCACTTCAACTGGCACATATGTGCCTTACTACCACATAGATGTCCTCATCTGCATTTTTAATTGTGTTATATATTACTTCTATGTACATTGAAACCCCCTTCAGACACTGTTAATTTTTTTGCTTCTAACCAACAAACATATTTTAAAGAATCCAGGAGGAGAGGAAAAATATATTATATTTCCCAGATACTTACCATTTCTGATTTTCTTCCTTCATTCCTGATGTTCCAGGTTTCCTTCTGGTGTCATATACCTTTCATCTGAAGAACTTCCTTTAGAAAGTCTTCCAGAACAGGTCTTCTGGCTCCAAATTCTCTAGTTGTCCTTCATCTGAGAATGTCTTTACTCACCTTTATTCTGGAAGGATATTGTCTCTGGATATAGAGTTCTGGATTGAAATTTGTTCTTTTCCAGTGCTTTAAAATTGTTCTACCTCTTTTTTTCTAGCCACCATGGTTTCTGAAGAGGAATCCATTGTCAATTAAATCATCGTTCTCTTACAGGTAATGCATTATTTTTTATGGCTGCTTTCAAGATTTTTCTTTGTCTTTTGTTTTTTAGCAGTTGGATTACAATGTGTTGGCACTTGAATTATTTTGGTTATTACTAATTGGGGTTCATTTATTTTCTAGAATGTGTAGGTCTTTTGTAGAACTTGGGAAGTTTTCAGCCATATTTATTCAAATATTTTTTTCAGCGCCACACTTTTTCCGTTTTCCTTCTAGCACTCCAATGACATGAATGTTAGATGTTTTGTTGTAGTCTCACAGGTACACTTGTGACACTGTTTATTTTTATTCAATCTATTTTTCTTGTCTCTTGCTCAGGCTTGACAATTTATATTGATCTATCTTTAAGTTTACCAATTCTTTCTTTTGTCACCTTCACTCTGCTATTAAGTACATTCAGTGAGGTTTTCAAAATTTTTCAGTTCTGCATTTTTAAGTTCTAAAATATTCACTGTTTCTTTTTTATATATTCCATTTATTTGCTGATACTGTTTATTTTGTGTTTGAGGAGTCTTCATGATTGCTCTTTCTAGCATTCTTATTATAGCTGCTTTAAAGTGTCTCTCAGAAAATTCCAATATCTATATCATCTTATTTTTGGTAACTGTTAACTCTTTTCCTATGTAAGTTGAGATTTTTGAGATTCTTAATATGCTGAGTAATTTTGGATTGTTTCTTGGACATTTTGAATATTACATTATGAAACTATGTTTAAATTCTATAAATGACATTCATATTTTTATTTTAGCATCTACTTTAAATAGTTAAGACATTTTTGTGATAGTACGTACTTCACTTGGTCATATTGAGGTAGCAAGTTTCAACTCACCTTCTGTGGCCTGTGGTACCACTATCATTACAGTTGTTGAAGGCTTTGCAGGATATTTGGAACTGTCCCTCATGTGCACCACCCAGCGGTCTGTTTGGAATCTAGGTGGAGGTCTACCTGTTAGCTCAGTCTTTAACGTCTTTGGTAGGTAAGATCCAATCTATGCATGCACGGGTTCAGGGTGAACTCAGGAGTTCATAGGTGTCTTTGTTGGGTTTCTTTCTCAATCTCCTTTCTCTCTGCTATTACTCTGGTACTTTCTGGTTCCCTGGGTCTCCAGAAAGGAGGCAGTTTTAATAATTATACAAGGAGAACAGGCATAAACTGGGACCATCCCAGCAAATTTGGTAATATTGTTATGATATTAACAAAGAACACAGAATGAGAATGGGAAGCAGCAGAGCTACTCTATGGCTATTAGGAAGAAAAGACTTTCAGGTGTAAACCAGCCAAATTTTGCTTTCCCTCTAAAATAGTTGCCCTTGTTGTCCTCACGGAGTCAAAATATTAATGTGTTCTCTAGTGAGAGAAGTTTTCTTTTGGGCAACTTGTGAGGTTCCCGCTGGTGGGGATGCTGAATTGAGGAACGAGGATGGGACACCTGTTTCTGTCACTCATCTCACAAAACGAGAAACATACCTCATTTCTGAAGTATGAGGTACTGGAGAAGGTAAGAGACAAGAAGGGACTGAGCTGTGTAACATTTTTCTCATGTGGGAAAAGGTTAAGTTTCCTGGAAATTCTGCAAAGAGGACAGAATAATTATGGAAAGATAGAGGTAAGGTTAATAAAAATGTCCATCAAGACTCTTCTTTTTTAATGTAATCCTAGGGAAAGTGAGTCAGATGAAGGAACAGCTTCTTCTGCCCCTGCACTGTCATGATTTGTGAGCACTGCCCCCACTCTTCAGTAAACTATCCATATATGTCTCCATCCTAAACCAGTGTGAAGAGCACTGGGGTGGGGCAAGGGGCTGCTTCTTGGGGAATGTGTAGGATGGGTGATTCTTGCAGTAACGACATTTAAGTACTTCCCAGTCCCATAATAATGACAAAAACAAATTTTGTAAACCTGCTGTTTTCCTGTGACTGAAAGCTCACAAAATATCAAAGATGCTCAATTTAAATTTTTATTGCACATACCTAGGGCTGGTGATGTTTGAACTAGTGATAAAATGAATAAGTATATTCTTCATAGTCCATTATAAAAATTATCTTATTATCAAAAATTATCTTGTTTGCTTTCACTTCAGTAAAATCATTAATTATATTACTTTGAGGAAGATTTTCACATAAATTGTGTCTATTGACAGAATTAAGTTGGTTATGTCCAACATAGCCACATTAAAAAAGTAAACAGAAACAATTGAAATTAATGTTAATAATGTACTTATTTAGAACCCAATATATCAGAATATTTCAATTCCATCATGTAACAAATAAAAATATAAGTGAGCTATTAAACACTGTTTTTTCATATTAAGTGTTCACAATCCAATGTATATTTTACATTTATTGCACATCTCAGTTTGGAAGGGCCGCATGTCAAGTGCTCAATAACACGTGTGTGGCTGGTGGCCACCATATTGGGCAGCAAAGATCTGAAGAATTAACAGATAAACTTATTTTCAAGGTGCACAAATTTGGGATGTATTGTCATTAAAATATCAGTTTAAACAAATATAAAATCAAAAGTTTTAATTATGTTTCAAAAAGTTTTTTTCTTCAAAATGTCCAAAATAATATTTTTAGGTTAAAATACAAACACAAATTTTAATTAGTGTCAAAATTTTAAGTCAAGCTTACTCAAATAAAACTGACATCTTATGTAATTTTTAAAAATTGTAATCAAATCTTATGAAATATAATCATAAAAAAACTCTTTGTATTTCTAGCATTCAGTGTTCATTTAGTCGTCATTCCAAAAAATGATTCATACTTTATGCATGTTACATGTGTATCTACGTAAATACAAATTTAAGAATAACATGAATTGATTAATATTGAAAAATGTTCGCCTGGGGCCATGTGCCAATTTGCTAATTTGTGAATATCTCCAGATATATAACTGGAAAAAAATAAAAGTGAAGAATGAAATAATAGGCACTACTGGAAAATAATATTTTGTAATGCTAACATCTATTTCATTCAGGCTGAGGGAAGAGATATAGCCAGTAAATTACTTTATTTTTTTCTTGCCTAAGTGCTTCTGCCACTCAAATCTTTCTGCAGTCTGACGTAGGACTCAACTTCATCTCTAATGATGGCAGTGGGACAACCCATAAAGGATTTAGAGAGCATAGGCAAGAGATGATGGGAGATATTTCTCTGGGATCTGGATGGCATTAGTTGTGAAAGCGGATATTTACGACACCTGCTGTGGCTGTGCCAGAACTACTGAGTGCTACATCTCTAGGGAAAGAGGCACACATGTGTTGTTTAGTTGTGGGTTGTGCGTGTGTGCGTGTGCGTGTGTGTATGTGTGTGATATGTGTGGCTCAAGGCAAACATTCTGTTTTGCTTGGGTCTAAAGGCAGTACTGTTCTCAAGCCATCTGGCAAGATGAAGTAGTTAGCTTATGAAGCTGTGGCCAGCTAGGAAACATAATTTTTTATATTTGCTTTCGCTCTCTGCCTCACTACCCTTTTCTCTCACTGTTGATTCTTGAAATTGCATGCCTCAATAAAGTAATAGCAATAAGCATTTGTCTTACGATTTCTTTTCTATGGAACCCAGACTAAAATAGGGTACTCCTCAAAGACTACTGGAAATAGTTTCATGATCATATTGGCAAGTTTTTTTTTCCAGCTGCCTGGGAAGAATTTTTTGCACCCAATGACTAGAATGAATTTAAACACCTACATTGGTCACATCTTATTTTTTGAAAACGAAGCCAACTCTTAGTGCTGTTGTCCAGTCCTTACTGCCAATGTCTATATTTTTCAATTGACATTTACTGAGGGCTTACTATGAATCAGTCATCATGTGCTAAGTAATTTGCTTGCATTATCTTATTTAATACAGATAACAACCTTATGAGATAGACACTATTATCTCTGCCTTATAAATGACAATATTTAGGCTTGGCTAGGTTAAGCAATTTGTCCAAGGTCACTTGTTTAAGGTCACTGAGCTGGTAAACAAGAGAAGTATGTATAAAACCCTACTTCTGAATCCCGAGTCTACACTCATAATCACTGTGCCATACTACCTCTCTGGGAGAGAAACTTTTCTCACTTTCTTTAGCACTTGGATCATAGTAACTATCCCACTTCTATCACTACCCTTTTCACCAACCATTTGATATCATGGATCCTTGCTCTACCTTATCTCCACATAGCTATAGTTGACTCTGGAATTGTCACAAATTGAGACTTACCGTCACCAGAACGACTCCTCATCCAAGATTGGAAACTGAATTTCCCCTTCTGACTACAGGCCACTCTCTTTTTACCTTTATTTTACCCATGCTTCTATCAAATGTATGTTTTTCTCTATCACTGGAACTCAACCCATCCTATTAAGAAACATCCCTTTTGGTTTTACTTGCTTCCCCTTCAATTGGGCCCGCCTTGCAAATTATCAACATTGGATGTCACCACCACGCTATTTCTCTGCTCTTGCCTTTGAGCTTCTAAAGGCTGTGGAGGAGGAAAACACAAATGTCTCATTAACTGTTCCCTGAGGGCTTTTGAATCATTCTTTTGCTTTCAAAACACTTTTTAAAATTTTTACAATGATCAAGTAGCGTGTTAGATGTTGGAAATTTAGAGATTAAAAAAATGAATTCTCCCTTCAAGTAGCTAACAAATAAATAGCAAACTACAGTTTATTTGGTTGTGTCTCAGTCTTCTCTTAATAGCTGTGACTCAGTATGGTTCAGAACAATTTGAGTTGAAGACAATGAATGTTATTACAATTGGTCCAGAAAGTGCTCCCATTTATAACTAAGCCCAAGCAGAGACACTTCGTCCTTGCACCATGGGTCATGTCAGCCTTATTTTCTTAACTCTTCCTTAATTAGTATCTTGAAAAATAACTTTTTTCCCAATACACATGCTCCTGCTATACTACCCCAAGCTTGAGGATTTCCCTCAGTAGGTGGTATTCAAATATTAACTGCACTAGGATAGAATATGGAGGGATAACTAGACTTAGAGAGCAAGTTAGAAAAGAGAAGTATGTTAAAGAGAGAGGAAAAATGTTCAGAGAGGAAGAATATGATATAGGAGAATATAGAAACCTGGAAGTCAAAAATATTTCATAAAGAGGGGATGCCAATTGGATTTTCAAGTAGGAAAGCATTGGAGATCTCTTAGAAGTAGTTTCAGTAGAGTGCTAGAGGTGGCAAAGTCTTGAAAAGTAACAGATTGAAATTGAGATGTTTATGATATATACAGAGGAAGTTAAATATGCAGATCTAGAATTTAGACCAAAGATTTGTGTTGGATTTAAAGATCTTGAAATCAACAATATGTAATAATTAACTAATGGAAAATATATAAAGTTTAGAAGAGTGTCAAGATCGGGATTTTTGTGGAAAAGGATGCTTAGGGTGAGAGGAGAGGGAATGAAGCTTGTAAAGAGACTGACAGAGAGTGACTAGAGAGGCAGGAGAGAATGATGTCACTCCACATAGTGGAGAAGAGGTTTCAAAGGGAAAATAAGTGAAATTGTTAAATGTTGTGGAAAGGACAAGTCAGGCAAGGAGCAAAAACATTTTAGTTTTAGCAACTGGAAGATTACTGGGGACCTCTGCAATAACAGTTTCAGGAAAGAAGACTTGTCATAAACCAGACTGTAATATGTTGGAAAAGTGAATTAATTGAATATAGACTACTCTTTTTTATAATTTCAACTTTTATTTTAGATTCAGGGGGTGCATGTGCTGGTTTGTTACATGGGTGTACTACATGATGCTGAGGTTTAGGATACGGATCCCATCACCCAGGTCGTGAGCATAGTACCCAGTAGGTAGTTTTTCAACTCTTGCCCCACTCCCTCCCCTCTTGTAGTTCATAGTGTCTGTTGTTTCCATTTTTATGTCCATGGGTACCCAATATTTAGCTCCCACTTGTAAGTGAGAACATGCATTATTTGGTTTTCTGTTCCTGCATTAATTCACTTAGGATGGTGGCCTCTGGCTGCATCCATGTTGCTGCAAAGAACAGGATCTCATTCTTTTTTATGACTGCATAGTATTCCATGATGTGTATGTAGCACATTTTCTTTATCCAATCCATGGTTAATGGGCACCCAGGTTGAGACCATGTATTTGCTATTATGAATAGTGCTGCAATGAACATATGAGTGCATGTGGGTTTTTTTGGTTAAATGATTTATATTCCTTTGGGTACATACCCAGTAATGGGATTGCTGGATTGAATGGTAGTTCTACTTTAAGTTCTTTGAGAAATCAATCTGCTTTTCACAGTGGCTGAACTAATTTACATTCCCACCAGCAGTGCGTAAGTGTTCCCTTTTCTCTGCAGCCTTGCCAGCATCTGTTATTATTTGACTTTTTAATAGTAGCCGTTCTGACTGGTGTGAGATGGTATCTTATTGTGGTTCTGATTTGCAGTTCTCTGATAATTAGGAATGTTGAGCATTTTTTTTCATATGCTTGTTGGCTGCATGCATGTCTTCTTTTAAAAAGTGCTGCTCAGACCGGGGGTGGTGGCTCACGCCTGTAATCCCAGCACTTTGGGAGGCTGAGGTGGGCAAATTACGAGGTCAGGAGATCGAGACTATCATAGCTAACATGGTGAAACCCCGTCTCTACTAAAAATACAAAAAATTAGCCAGGCGTGGTGGTGGGCACCTGTAACCCCAGCTACTCGGGAGGTTGAGGTAGGAGAATCACTTGAACCCAGGAGGCGGAGGTTGCAGTGAGCCAAGATCATGCCACTGCACTCCATCCTGGGTGACAGAGCGAGACTCCGTCTCAAAAAAAAAAAAAAAAAAAAAAAGAAAGTACTTGTTCATGTCCTTTGCCCATTTGTTAGTGGGATTATTTGTTTTGTGCTTGTTGATTTGGTTAAGTTCCTTATAGATTCTGGGTATGACAACTTTGTCAGATGAGTAGCTTGCAAATATTTTCTCCCATTCTGTAGGTTGTCTGTTTACTCTGTTGATAGTATCTTCTACTGTGCTGAAACTCTTTAGTTTAATTAGGTCCCATTTATCAATTTTTGTTTTTGTTGCAGTTGCTTTTGGGGACATAGCCAAAAATTATTCGCCAAGGCCAATGTCAAAAAGGGTATTTCCTAGATTTTCTTCTAGGATTCTTATGGTTTGAGGTTTTATGTTTAAATCTTTACTCCATCCCGAGTTAATTTTTGTATATAGTGAAAGAAAGGGGTCCAGTTTCACTCTGCATTTGGCTCACTAGCTATCCCAGCACCATTTATTGAATAGAGAGCCCTTTCCCCATTGCTTTTTTTTCTCATTGACTTTGTTGAAGATCGGATGGTTTTAGGTGTGTGGCTTTATCTCTGGGTTCTCCATTCTGTTCCATTGGTCTATGTGTCTGTTTCTGTACCAGTACATGCTGTTTTGGTTACTGTAGACCTGTAGTATAGTTTGAAGTCAGGCAGTGTGATGCCTCCAGGTTTGTTCTTTTTGCTTAGGATTGCTTCAGCTATTCAGTCTGTTTTTGGGTTTCATATGAGTACTCTATTTTTTTGCAGAGAAGGGAAAGAGAAACAGGAAAATTACCTTGAGGAAAATATGGGGTCAAAGAAGAGATTTTTGTTTGACAGTTTTTTGTTTGTTTGTTTTAAAGATGAAATATACAAATAGCATTTTTGATCTCTAATTAATTGAAGGGAGAAGTTAATTACTGAAGCAAAACACCTGAGGAGAAAGTACAAAGAGAAACATCTCATATGTTGAAGCAAGAGGAAAGAGGCAAGGCTGACATAAATGCAGGAGAATTTTACATGTTTGTTGAGAAGAAGCATGAAGTTGTGGGAGGCTGTATCTCTTGGGTTCAATATATTCTGTGGCTAGTAGAGATGGGCCAGGATATTCACAAGCTGGAAAAGATGCCTTACCTTGTCAGGTTGCTTTTTTGATAACAAGTATTCCACAAATTTTAATTTCACATGTCCAAAAATCTAAAACTAAGCTTCTCCAGCTTTTATAGAAAAGGGAACTATAATGGGTTCTTATTACATAATAGAAAGAAATATACCAGTTCGTGAGGAGAAACAAATCTTTTTCTTTAGTTGTGAACTGTGAAGGAATTTTAGCTGCAGTAAACTTAATTAGAGGCTGTCCTTTGGCTACAGATTGGACATAGAACTTTGATGAAGACATTCAGGCTGGCAGGCTATTGGCATCAGAGACACTAGGCAACAAAGCTTGAACCTTAGGATTAAAGTTCAGATGTTGGCTAAGGCTGGAGGAAATTGGATGAAAATAGAGGGTTTGGGTGCTGGGAAAGTTATTAAGGCCACAGGGTGCAGTTACCACAGTGGTTGAATAAGAAAAATAATTGTTTCCACGAGAAAGTAAAAACCCACTTACCAAGACAAAGCCAGAATTAGAACTGGTGAATTGATGTACAGTATTAAAGTGGAACTTATTAAATACTTTATTAATATAATCAAATGGTTCTAAATCATGGCTGCATATTGGAACCACCTTGGCAGTCTTACAAACTATAGAATCTTGGATACTGCTCCTGAAGAGTCTGATTTAATTGGGCTGGAGAGAAGCCTGGATATCACGATTTTCACAAGCCCCCTCAGGTGATTCTAAATGGGTAACCAAAATTGAGAACTATATATTAAACCAGAACTGGAAATGAGACTGGAGGGAATCAGAAAAAAACTTAAATGTCCCTATACTTCTTAATTGACAGAAAAAATCTAATTTCATCATTTCTCTGTACCCGCCTCCCCCCACCCACAAGCTGCATATTCTCTGCCTTTCTGTGAATTTCCAAATGTCTTAAGCTCAAAAAAAAATACAGTTATCTACTTCTAATATAAAGTTTCTATCTTCTTATTACTTCTCAACCCCCTTATTACTCCATGGTCCCACCAATTATCATTGAACTTGTTTTCTTGAAACCATTTCCAGAACGTTTTGTCTTTTCACCTTCACTGTGACCGCTATACCCACAACACAAGTTATTCAAAGCTTGATTACCATTACATAAATTATACTAACAGTTCTACATCTGGTTGTCCTGCTCGCCAGTGTTTACCCCATATCCTAGAAGGTATATTCAGAAGATAATATCCTATGCGCATCTTCTTAATACACCTGTCTTCATAACATTCAGCTTCTCACCTAGCTTCAAGACCTCCATCGCATACTGAAAATTATCAGTTTGACCGCCAAGACCTCTGTAATAGACTCTGTTGATGCACTTTCTCATATACTCTCAGTTCGTCTGAGTTCACCTGAAGTGCAGATGGAGTTCCCAGCCCATTGTCAGATTTTCATCCCAAGCAACCATGTTTCTCCTTATCTACCTGAGGGATTTCTCCAGCAACCTGAGAGCTTGACTAGCTGCCTTCAGTTGTAACCCAAAAGTGTGGTGGTATAGTAGCCCTTATTCCTCAACCCTCAATCAACAGGGAGTGAGACTTGGCAGATAAATACCTTAGCTTCCTCATCCTCTAGTGGAATAATTCTGTACTGTGTTCCACATGGTTTTCCAGGATTCCTGGAGGAATTGGGCTTCAGTTACCAACAATAAACTTTTTTTTTTTGCCCTTCTCCCTTCACTTTCTCACTTCCTTATTTACCCTTTCTGAGATTAATCTCCAAAGGAACTACCTGCATCCAAGTCTTTGTCTCAGGATCAACTCTGAGGGAAACCTAAATTAAAACTGGCTTTCAGCATATCTGACACAAATTAACCTTAAAATCCACTCCACACCATACTGGATAACTTGAAATTTCCAGAGGATTTTCTCATCTCCATTCATTATTCACATCATCTTCTTCCTTAAAAAATCTTTCCTGCCGTTGAATGGAGTATCCCCTTCCTCAATACCCAGCTCACATGTAGCCTCCGTGAAATCATGTCCAGTATTCCCAAGACCAAAGAGATTTCTGGATTGTTTGCACTCTCATAGCTTTATATATATTGATGTGTGTATATATATATATTTATTATTGAACACACCACTGTGAAACGGATCTAATTGCTTACCAGTATGTATGTGTGTATAGATATGTGTGTGTGGATATGTAGGTGTGTGTGAATATATATATATATATGTAGGTATATATATATGTGTGTATATATGTAGGTATATATATATGTATATATATGTAGGTATATATATATGTATATATATGTAGGTATATATATATGTATATATATGTAGGTATATATATGTGTATATATGTAGGTATATATGTATATATATGTAGGTATATATATGTATATATATGTAGGTATATATGTATATATATGTAGGTATATATATGTATATATATGTAGGTATATATATGTAGGTGTATATATATGTGTATATATGTAGGTATATATATGTGTATATATGTAGGTATATATATGTATATATGTAGGTATATATATGTATATATATGTAGGTATATATATGTATATATATGTAGGTATATATATGTATATATATGTAGGTATATATATGTATATATATGTAGGTATATATATGTATATATATGTAGGTATATATATGTATATATATGTAGGTATATATATGTATATATATGTAGGTATATATATGTATATATATGTAGGTATATATATATGTATATATATGTAGGTATATATATGTATATATGCTGTTCAAACTGTGGATAGAGGCTCAATTCAAAGTTTTTTTATTCTTTAAACAAGCAGGTTTTAAGGAAAATAGATTTTAAAAAATGAAACAAAACAAATACATACTATTATCTAATAGTCTGCAGATCACAGACATGGCTGTTCAAAAAGGGCAAACATAGCAAAGGTTATTATTTTCAATAGACTTTGTTTTCAAGGATTTATGATAGGAAACTATGTTTTTATATAATAAATGCTAAGTTATTGGTTGGATAGTTATACCTATAATGTTAATATGCTAAGTAATAAGGATGAATACTATTATTATAATTCTACAGGTTGGTAGATACTTCTACATTTAATAAATTTTAGACAGATTGGTGAGAAATATGACAAAGACATAATTTTAAGACATTCAATAAAGGATAGTACATTATTTCACTAAATCTATGTGGAAACTCACCTTTCCTTTGAAGTAAAGAACATGGTTTTATCTAGAGAGATTGATTATCCCCTAGCCTTTAGGAAAGCATTAAAATGACATACACACTTCCAGGTACGGTTAAGATCAACATTTCTCTCTTTCTCATCTTATAATATATTCAGTCTTTTATATAGTGCTCTCCACATTCTTTTTCAAATAGGATTCAATCCAGCAAATATTTATTGAGGCTCATATATAAAGACCTTGTACTAAGCTGTGAGTGGGTACAAATGTGAGTAAAACAAGGTCCTTGCCCTCAAGGAGTTTGCAGATACCCTGAGCCAATTTATTTATGATCATGTTTCGCATGAAACTAGCACTTTACTAGTGTGAAGGACTTTTTTAAAGCATGGCATAGCTGCTAGAGGCAAAGCTTGACTAACCCTGTTTTATGTCCTCTAAGAATCAATGATCAAGATAGAGAAAAGAAGATCCCACAGACTTTTACTTCCTTGTCAATTTTTAAAAGAGAATATAAATTTAACCAGAAGAGTAGAAGTTTCTTTGTTATTCTGCTTTTGTACTGAAGATTTATGCCATTTCAAAACTAAACAAGCTCTTAATTATGTATGACATTCAACAGACAGCTAGAATATGTACACTAAAATAGTAAAACCCTGTCCGAGGTTGAAAAAATAAAATGTCGTGGACTAAAACAGGAAAAAAAGCAGGTCTGTCATTAATCATCCTGGGAGGACAGACACATAATGTTAACTGCAAAATTAACAGGGCACACTTGTCCTCCCAAAGCTGTGTAATAGTTTTTAATGTCATGACAACCATCCTTTCCACCTTCTGCCTCCAAGTGAGTGTTTTCTTACTAATGATGCTCCCAGGTACACTTTGCTGTTCCTATCTATTACTGGGGGGTACCCAATTGCTAAATTGTCCTTGACTTATGACAATACTCAACCCCTAACTAATCCCTGCTTCTTCTGATCTTACCTTAGAAAAACTAAAACCAGTCCAGAACTGATCCCCACTTCCCTGAGACTCTCCACAAAATCCTTCAGCAGGAGCCCAAATCTTACCAAAGACTCTTCCTTCCTTCTTGTTGGGAGCAGCAACCCACAGTCTCTCTGGAATGTGCCCCTCTTACTTCATTGAGGCAATAGTTATAATTTGGTCAGACTATAGGTTGCCTCTGGTAATCTTTGGCTCATTAGATTTCAACAGCACATGTGTTCATGTAGAATAACAAATGCTTAAAGAATAACATACTCTTCATAGTTGACCTGGGAGGTAAAACACTTATTTTAATTATTCAAAAACTTTGTGTAATTTATCTCTTAACTTTATCTTTAGAGGTGATGGTTCTATCTCTTTCCTTCCTGCCTGCCTTCCTGCCTTCCTGCAGTTTTTGGTGGTAAATACATGGATGATGGATCTGAAGTTCGGAAATAATCAAATATTACTTGGAAACATTTTGCTTTGTACCCCCCTTCTATCCTTGTAGATATTTGTTTAAAACTTTTTCTGAATTTCTGTTAGAAAGAGAAAACTCTTGATGTATGGTTTTAAATGTACTGGAATTGTTACCATTGTTTTGGCATAGGCAGGTGACAGAAAGGTACACAATTTCTCTCAATGATAAAATATAATATGCGTCCTTGTGCATAGGTAGTATACTATTGCCCATTTATTACTATCTACAATTATTTTCTCACTCATGTTTTAAAATAGAAAATTCTAACCATTAAACATTTAATTACTTCTACTCCATATACTATATTTTCTCAAAAAACAATTTGAGATGACTATCATTAGCTTAAACTATTTGGATTGTCCAGTCACCTGTGACTGAGGTCAGAGGTCAGAGGTATATTTAAAACAACCTCTGTCAATCTGAATACCTACACTATAGGCATCTCTTGTTTTCCCTTTAAATCATCCCTACTTGAATTTTCATGTCACTTATGGAATTCTTTGACTTAAAATGATATCTCCATCAGCCTGTCTGGGCGCTGCTTTGAATTTGCCACTTCACGCTACTCTCTGATTTTTCTGAATTTATCATCATCCAACAAAAAGCCTGAACTAACTCTGTTCCCCATATATTGATATATATGGATAAGTAATATATAACACTAAATATATAATATATACATATATAATAAACATATGTAATCTTTTCTTCATTCATTCGTCTATCGATGGGCATTTAGGTTGTTTTCATGTTTTGGCTAATAGGAATAATCTCACTCTATGAGGCCAATATTACCCTGATACTAAAGCCAGGTAGTGACATCACAAGAAAAAAACTACAGACCAATATCCCTTATGAATGTAGATGCAAAAATGCTTGATAAAGTACTAGCAAAATGAATTCAGTAGCATTTTAAAAGAATTATACACCATGCCCAAGTGGAATTTATCCCAGGAATGCAAAGGTGGCTTAGCATATGAAAACCTGCTAATGCAACAACCATACTAATAGAATGAAGGAAACAAGGCACATGATCAACTCAATTGATGCAGAAACAGGATTTGACAAAATCCAGTAACCTGTCATGAGAAAACAACCAGCAAACTAGGAATGGAGGTTATCTACCTTAATCTGATAAAGGGCATTTATGAAAATCTCACAGCTAGCATCATACTCAATGGTAAAAGATTAAAAGCTTTTACTGTAAGATCAAAGAAAAGACAAAGATATCTGCCCTAACCACTTCTACTCAATAGCGTATGGAAGTCCTACACAGGGGAATTAGACAATTAAAAAAAAGGTCTCCAAATTGGAAAGAGAGAAGTAAAACTAAAACTTAAAGAGTCACACATAAAAACACAATTTGTGCTAATAAACAAGTTTAACAAAGTTGCAGGGTACGAAATCAACATGCAATAAACAGTTGTATTTCTTTTTTGAGATGGAGTCTCGCTCCATCACCCAGGCTGGAGTGCAGTGGCACAATCTGGGCTCACTGCAATGGCAAGTTCTGCCTCCTGGGTTCAAGTGATTCTCCTGCCTCAGCCTCCCAAGTAGCTCAGATTACAAGCGCACACCACCATGCCCAGCTAACTTTTGTATTTTTAGTAGTGACAGGGTTTCACCATGTTGGCCAGGCTGGCCTCGAACTCCTGACCTCAAGCGATCCACCCACCCCTCCATCTTGGCCTCTCAGAGTGCTGGGATTACAGGTGTGAGCCACCGCACCCAGTCTAAACAGCTGTATTTCTATACACTGGCAATGAACAATACAAACATGAAATTAGGAAAACAGTTTCATTTACAACAGCATCAAAAAGAATCAAATCAAAAGCGAAAACTATAAAACTCTTTGAAGAAAACATGTAAATCTTTGTGACTGTGTATTAGGCAGTGGCTTCTCAAATATGACAACAAAAGCATGAGCAACAACAACAACAAAAATAGATACATTGGACTTTATCAAATTAAAAAAAAACTTTTGTGCATCAAAGAACCTATCAAGAAAGTGAAAAGACAACACACAGAGTGGTAGAAAATATTCACAACTCATATATCCAATAAGAGACTGAACCAAAATACATAAAGAAGTTGTACTGCTCAAAAATAACAACAAAAAACAAGCAACCCAATTAAAAATTGAGCAAACGACTCAAATAGACATTCCTCCACAGAAGATATGCAAATGGTCAACAAACACAAGAGAGATGTTCAACATCGTTAAGCATTTGGGAGATGTAAGTCAAAACTAGAAAAAAATGCCATTTTGCATTCACTAGGATGCTATAATTAAAAACAAAACAGAAAATAAGTATTGGTGAGGATGCAGAGAAATTGTGAAACTCATAAACTGCTGATAGGAATGTAAAATGTTTCACATATTGTGGAAAATAATTTGGAAGTTCCTAAAAAAAATTAAGCATAGAATTATCATACGATCCAGTAATTCTACTCCTGGGTATATAGTCAAGAGAAATGAAGCCATATGTCTTCACAAAAACTTGTACACAAATATTTATAGCAGCACTATTCATAATAGCCAAAAAGTAGAAACAATCCGTGCACCTATCAACTAATTAATGGATGAACAAGATGTGGTATATTCACACAATAGAATATTAATTTGGCCATAAAAAGGAATGAAGTGCTGATACACCCTACAACATAGATTAACCTTGTAAACATTATGCTAATTGAAATAAGCTAGACCCTAAAGGCCACACATTGTATAATTGCATTTATATGAGATGTGCAAAATAGGCACATCCATAGACATAGAAAGCAGATTAGTGGTCTCAGGGGTTGATGGAAGGGGAAATGTGGATGATTCCTTGATGTGTAGTAGGAGGTTTCTTTTTGGAAAAATGATAATGTTCTGGAATTAGTTAGTGATGATGGGTGCACAGCACTGTGAATGTGCTATGCCACTGAAAAATACATAAAAATGTTTAAATGCTAAATTTTGTGTTATGTGAATCAATAAAAGAGATCCTCTTGGAATAATCTTTGATAAATTGTAAATTTTTAGACCCCAAAGAGAATTACTCTTATACGTCAGTGATTAGATTGAGAACTCTAGGAAAACACTTATTTCAAAACATAGTAGGCCGGGCACAGTGTCTCATGCCTGCAATCCCAGGACTTCAGGAGGTCGAGGCGGGTGGATCACCTGAGGTCAGGAGTTTGAGACCAACCTGGCCAACATGGTGAAACCCCGTCTCTACTAAGCATTAAAAAAAAAAATTAGCTGGGCATGGTGTCGAACACCTGTAATCCCAGCTACTCGGTAGGCTGAGACAGGAGAATCACTTGAACCCGGGAGGAGGAGGTTGCAATGAGCCAAGATCGGGTCATTGCACTCCAGCCTGGGCAACAAGAGCAAAATTCCGTCTCAAAATGTAGTAAACATATAACTTACATTTCTTTGATCAAGCCACACATCACAAAATCATAGAAATGCTTGAAGATTTGGAATAAGGGCTATAGGATGGGTGGTGGGTGACAAGTGCAGGGAAGAGGAGGATAGCCAAGACTTAGAAAAGGCATATATCATTTTACATATTGGATAAAATTACTTATTTATTTTTAGATTTCAGAACGTATTCTGTACCAGAGATGTTTGTCTACTCAAAAATCTATTTCATCTTTCTTTTCTAGTAATAGAATCCCTGAGTTTACCAGAGCACATGGCTGTGTGGAAGTAAGATTATGCTTCCCAGTCTTTCTTTCAGCCAGGTGTGTCTTTGTGACTACGTTCTGTTCAAAGATGTGTAAAGAAAATGGTGGCATGAGCTTTCTACTAATCATGTTCAGAGACATTTTGCCACTTATTCCCATCTCATTCATCCTCCTGCTGGCTGGAATGTGGATTGGATTGCTGAAGCTAACACTATCATCTTGACTATAAGGTTGCGGGCTAATAATGATTGTAGAAAAGGAATATAGGAGGATGTTCGTGATGGGTCCTTGATGAATCTGGAGATGCCTTGGCAGACATGGAGTTTCCATCCTGACTAAATATGGTTGAGATGGAAGCGAACTTCTATGTTGTTCAAGACGCTATTATTTTGGAATGAATGACTGATTACCACGGACAAAGCTAAGCTTATCCAACTAGGGCTTTAATAAGAAACATGGGAGAGAGATTGAAATGAGTTGAACATTCTGAAAGTTTTAATAAAATCATTAAAGCGAATACATAGTTCAGTGAAGATATACCCAAGGAATTAACATTACTCAAGTGCCTGATATTCAGTAATTAACATGAGGACAGGGAAAGTATCAAATTCTATATTTAAACATAAGACACTATTTGATTGCTTTGTTAAGTACACATTCTCACTGAAGTTAATGAGAATTCTAAATTGTGTTAAACAATATTATGATGGTAGAGTATTCTATTAGAAAGAAATCCACTTTACTCAGATTGGCTTTATTGCCTTTCAAAATATGTGTGGGGCTATTGTCAACATAAAGAAACCCTCAAGGTACCAGGATATCAGTATTAAGATAAAGCACATAAAGAATTACCTGAAAACTAATCGTATGCCTAAAGAATGTGCTCCTTAGTCTGATTGGTAGAAATGTGAAAAACGTGACCCATTTTATAATTCTGCTTGCTGGGTTGATTGTTGCAGAATACTTACCACAAAATTTTCTTCTATGTCTGTAAACATAAGGAAAAGAGGAGTTGGGTTTCTTTTAAAATAAATACCAATGAACACTCATAAATTAGCTACAGAAAATGTGGGTTAGCTCATTATCTCCATCAAAGGCCGTGGCATTTTTAACTTGATCCATTTGTTCCCTCTCACAGTGTGTCCCTGTGACATTCAGCTTGAACATGCTAAGATTTTTGCCCCCTGAAGGCTTTTGCCCATCTGTACCTTCTACCTAAAATGCTCATCTATTCCTGTTAAATCCCATGGATTCTTCATGGGCCTGACTTAAGAATAACTTTCACAGAAATTATTTCCCGATACGCCTAAAGTGAGTGAAATAATCCATAGCAAATGCTTAGCCCATTACCTGGAATATACCAGATTCTTCATAAAAATCTGTTTTTTTTTTTGTTTTTTTATTATTATGATTATACTTTAAGTTTTAGGGTACATGTGCACCGCGTGCGGGTTAGTTACATATGTATACATGTGCCATGCTGGTGTGCTGCACCCATTAACTCGTCATTTAGCATTAGGTATACCTCCTAATGCTATCCCTCCCCCCTCCCCCAACCCCACAACAGTCCCCAGAGTGTGATGTTCCCCTTCCTGTGTCCATGAGTTCTCATTGTTCAATTCCCATCTATGAGTGAGAACATGTGGTGTTTGGTTTTTTGTCCTTGCGATAGTTTACTGAGAATGATGATATCCAATTTCATCCATGTCCCTACAAAGGACACGAACTCATCATTTTTTATGGTTGCATAGCGTTCCATGGTGTATATATGCCACATTTTCTTAATCCAGTCTATCATTGTTGGACACTTGGGTTGGTTCCAAGTCTTTGCTATTGTGAATAGTGCCACAATAAACATAAGTGT
The DNA here is from genome assembly GCF_000001405.40 of Homo sapiens. Taxonomy (NCBI): domain Eukaryota; kingdom Metazoa; phylum Chordata; class Mammalia; order Primates; family Hominidae; genus Homo; species Homo sapiens. The sequence goes on along the minus strand of NC_000023.11, from coordinate 30,326,272 downwards.
GCATGTGTCTTTATAGCAGCATGATTTATAGTCCTTTGGGTATATACCCAGTAATGGGATGGCTGGGTCAAATGGTATTTCTAGTTCTAGATCCCTGAGGAATCGCCACACTGACTTCCACAATGGTCGAACTAGTTTACCGTCCTACCAACAGTGTAAAAGTGTTCCTATTTCTCCACATCTTCTCCAGCACCTGCTGTTTCCTGACTTTTTAATGATCACCATTCTAACTGGTGTGAGATGGTATCTCATTGTGGTTTTGATTTGCATTTCTCTGATGGCCAGTGATGATGAGCATTTTTTCATGTGTCTTTTGGCTGCATAAATGTCTTCTTTTAAGGGATCAATTCAACAAGAAGAGCTAACTATCCTAAATATAGATGCACCCAATACAGGAGCACCCAGATTCATAAAGCAAGTCCTTAGAGACCTACAAAGAGACTTAGACTCCCACACAATAATAATGGGAGACTTTAACACCCCACTGTTAACATTAGACAGATCAACGAGACAGAAAGTTAACAAGGATATCCAGGAATTGAACTCAGCTCTGCACCAAGTGGACCTAATAGACATCTACAGAACTCTCCACCCCAAATCAACAGAATATACATTTTTTCAGCACCACACCACACCTATTCCAAAATTGACCACATAGTTGGAAGTAAAGCTCTCCTCAGCAAATGTAAAAGAACAGAAATTATAACAAACTGTCTCTCAGAACACAGTGCAATCAAACTAGAACTCAGGATTAAGAAACTCACTCAAAACTGCTCAACTACATGGAAACTGAACAACCTGCTCCTGAATGACTACTGGGTACATAACGAAATGAAGGCAGAAATAAAAATGTTCTTTGAAACCAACGAGAACAAAGACACAACATACCAGAATCTCTGGGACACATTCAAAGCAGCGTGTAGAGGGAAATTTATAGCACTAAATGCCCACAAGAGAAAACAGGAAAGATCCAAAATTGACACCCTAACATCACAATTAAAAGAACTAGAAAAGCAAGAGCAAACACATTCAAAAGCTGGCAGAAGCCAAGAAATAACTAAAATCAGAGCAGAACTGAAGGAAATAGAGACCAAAAAAACCCTTCAAAAATTAATGAATCCAGGAGCTGGTTTTTTGAAAGGATCAACAAAATTGATAGACCGCTAGCAAGACTAGTAAAGACAAAAAGAAAGAAGAATCAAATAGACGCAATAAAAAATGATAAAGGGGATATCACCACCGATCCCACAGAAATACAAACTACCATCAGAGATTACTGCAAACACGTCTACGCAAATAAACTAGAAAATCTAGAAGAAATGGATAAATTCCTCGACACATACACTCTCCCAAGACTAAACCAGGAAGAAGTTGAATCTCTGACTAGACCAATAACAGGATCTGAAATTGTGGCAATAATCAATAGCTTACCAACCAAAAAGAGTCCAGGACCAGATGGATTCACAGCCGATTTCTACCAGAGGTACAAGGAGGAACTGGTACCATTCCTTCTGAAACTATTCCAATCAATAGAAAAAGAGGGAATCCTCCTTAACTCATTTTATGAGGCCAGCATCATCCTGATACCAAAGCCAGGCAGAGACACACACAAAAAAGAGAATTTTAGACCAATATCCTTGATGAACATCGATGCAGAAATCCTCAATAAAATACTGGCAAACCAAATCCAGCAGCACATCAAAAAGCTTATCCACCATGATCAAGTGGGCTTCATCCCTGGGATGCAAGGCTGGTTCAATATATGCAAATCAATAAATGTAATCCAGCATATAAACAGAACCAAAGGCAAAAACCACATGATTATCTCAATAGATGCAGAAAAGGCCTTGACAAAATTCAACAACCCTTTATGCTAAAAACTCTCAATAAATTAGGTATTGATGGGATGTATTTCAAAATAATAAGAGCTATCTATGACAAACCCACAGCCAATATCATACTGAATGGGCAAAAACTGGAAGCATTCCCTTTGAAAACTGGCACAAGACAGGGATGCCCTCTCTCACCACTCCTATTTAACATAGTGTTGGAAGTTCTGGCCAGGGCAATCAGGCAGGAGAAGGAAATAAAGGGTATTCAATTAGGAAAAGAGGAAGTCAAATTGTCCCTGTTTGCAGACGACATGATTGTATATCTAGAAAACCCCATTGTCTCAGCCCAAAATCTCCTTAAGCTGATAAGCAACTTCAGCAAAGTCTCAGGATACAAAATCAATGTACAAAAATCACAAGCATTCTTATACACCAACAGACAAACAGAGAGCCAAATCATGAGTGAACTCCCATTCACAATTGCTTCAAAGAGAATAAAATACTTAGGAATCCAACTTACAAGGGATGTGAAGGACCTCTTCAAGGAGAACTACAAACCACTGCTCAATGAAATAAAAGAGGATACAAACAAATGGAAGAACATTCCATGTTCATGGGTAGGAAGAATCAATATCATGAAAATGTCCATACTGCCCAAGGTAATTTATAGATTCAATGCCATCCCCATCAAGCTACCAATGACTTTCTTCACAGAATTGGAAAAAACTACTTTAAAGTTCATATGGAACCAAAAAAGAGCCCGCATCGCCAAGTCAATCCTAAGCCAAAAGAAGAAAGCTGGAGGCGTCACGCTACCTGACTTCAAACTATACTACAAGGCTACAGTAACCAAAACAGCATGGTACTGGTACCAAAACAGAGATATAGATCAATGGAACAGAACAGAGCCCTCAGAAATAACGCCGCATATCTACAACTATCTGATCTTTGACAAACCTGAGAAAAGCAAGCAATGGGGAAAGGATTCCCTATTTAATAAATGATGCTGGGAAAACTGGCTAGCCGTATGTAGAAAGCTGAAACTGAATCCCTTCCTTACACCTTATACAAAAATTAATTCAAGATGGATTAAAGACTTAAACATTAGACCTAAAACCATAAAAACCCTAGAAGAAAACCTAGGCATTACCATTCAGGACATAGGCATGGGCAAGGACTTCATGTCTAAAACACCAAAAGCAATGGCAACAAAAGCTGAAATTGACAAATGGGATCTAATTAAACTCAAGAGCTTCTGCACAGCAAAAGAAACCACCATCAGAGTGAACAGGCAACCTACAAAATGGGAGAAAATTTTCGCAACCTACTCATCTGACAAAGGGCTAATATCCAGAATCTACAATGAACTCAAACAAATGTACAAGAAAAAAAAAACAACCCCATCAAAAAGTGGGCAAAGGATATGAACAGACACTTCTCAAAAAATCTGTTAAAAGAATAGATTTAATGTTCAATAATGCACAAAAAGTCAAATATGCAGGACACATTGAAAAATACACTTGTTGAATGGTCTTAAGGTTTTTGGACATCTGATATGTTTAGTGTCTTGGTTATTTCTGTAGAGATTGAAATAAAGTATTTAGGAATAAAACATATATTTAATTATCTTATTTAAGTTAACTGCTCATGTTTAGGCAAAAATGCCTTGTCTAATTTACCTTCAGAATGATTGCCATAATAATTGTATGTTATCAGCTCATGTTTCAAAGGAGCATCACACTATTTGTAGGAGCAACATGGCATATGAAGATGTTCATGGAACATTTAGAGCACAAGAAAGAGCAGGTTTCATGGTAATTAAACACATTCAAATTGTCACATATTAACATATAAATATACTCTGGGATGAATGTGTCCATGATAGTGCTATGTTAAATATGAAAGATAGATATTTGACAAAAAAAATCATTTTCTTTCTTTTTTTTGGTAGCATTTGTTAAGTAGAGTTTAACCTTCTTAGACCAAGATTTTACTTGATAAATGTTGACAAGGACAAAAAGTTTCTGAAGCCACATAATTGGCTTGTTAATAATTGGCTGGATAATGGAAAGTAGAATCAGGACTTCACTTTTTTTCTTGCATTAGCCAGGAAAATGCTATCAATCCTGATTTTAAAATCTGATGTTGTAACACATCTAATCTTCAACACTAACTCTGTTATCTTAACTCTATATTTGTATTCCTTATGTGAATGAGAAGAAGCAGTTGAACTTGCTTTGATGTCTCAGTGGAAGTGGTTTAGTGGTCATATGAGGATTGAAATTGGGAATTACAGTTTTAATAGTGGAAGAGTGGTGGATGAGGTTGAAACATGTATTGTGCATCTGCAATCAGTGAAACTGTGTGTAAGGAGTTTGTTTTCTGATGACTCATACAGTTAAAGGACTCATACAGTTAAAGGCCAGTCCTGACCTGAGGTCAGGAGTTCAAGACCAGCCTGGCCAACATGGTGAAACCCCGTCTCTACTAAAAATACAAAAAATAGCCAGGCATGGTGGCATGTGCCTGTAGTCCCAGCTATTTAGGAGGCTGAGGCAGGAGAATCACTTGAACTCCGGAGGCAGAGGTTGCAGTGAGCCGAGGTCACACCACTACTCCAGCCTGGGCAACAAAAGCGAGATTCTGTCTCAAAAAAAAAAAAAAAGTCTCGACTAGTCCTGATGAAAGGTGATGTTATTTTCATGTACTATCTAAAATAGTGCTGCCACGGGGCAATAGGGCAGAGTTTTCAATTCACTTGGCCCTACAGCTGTGAAATTGTGTAATTTTGGGTGAGTTTTCAGATATAAGAAATTTTCATTATTTCAAATTTTATGTTTATAGTAGGATTTTATTAATATTTTAATGCTTAAATACCACACGAACACAATGCAAGTTTGCATAAAATGCAATTTCACTGCGTGAAGAACAGGTGAATTTCCTGTAGTGTAGGTGACTCTGTAGTACATGGCATTATTTATTGACTCCTCTCACTATAGGGATATCTCTATGTCATTGACATCACACTTGGCTATGTAAGTTGAAGTGTCCATCTCTTTGGTAAAATTATATATCATGGCCCTGCGTAAATTGTATATCATGGCACTGTCGAATAAGCAGGTAGTTTAGCAGGCCATCCTCTTAAAGCAGCAGCCATGCAACTTGCTTTAGCCAATGAAATATGAGTAGAAGTGGTATGTATCAATTCCAAGCATAAAATGTTCAGTGACATGGATCATCTGATCACTTTTCTTTCTGTCACAAAACCAGCCATATTCCAGGTGAAAACTGTTCTATCACCCTAGGTCTTGGAGTAAAGATAGCATGAAACAGAGCCACATCATACCTATGATATAAGCAAGAAACACACTTTTGCTGTTGTAGGCTACTGAGATTTAAGGGGTTGTTATACAGCATAACTTAGGCCAAACTGACTGATGTAGACCCTAAGTTGAAGAATATGCTAATTAGGAAAATGGATAAGACATGATTTGCATCAGCAAGAACCCCATTTTATAATAGGGAATGATACACCAAAATAATTATGAAACAACATGTCAAAGCGAATAGGATATATGGAAAGTACAATGATCACACCAAAAAAAATAGAGATAAACCCTAATTGAGGGAGTTTGGGGAGTGCTTTGTGTAGGAAGCATCTCCTACACAAGGCATTCCCCATACTCCCTCAATTAGGGTTTGAGGGATTTGAATTTGAATTTGAAATGCTATGTAATTGTTCAAAGATTTCTTTTTAAAAAGAGGGCATTCCAGAAACAAGAAATACCATCTTCAAAAGTATAGAGGCATAAAAGAAAATTAATTTTTAAAGGAATAGCAATAAGCACGACATGTTTTGGAAATGTTAAATGTCTGTGGGGGCATCTATAATATCGAGAGAAGGTTGGGAGATAAATACAGAAAGACTGTTAGGTAACAAAGAGTCTTATGTTCCATGCTAGAGAGGTAGTGAAGATACAGGTAGATCAGAGTTCCAATTTTGTCTCTGCCATTAAATATTCTCCTCTTGAAAAAATCCTTTTATTCACCTGTACAATGGGATCAACAAAATCTATCTCATATATCCTGTTTGAGGAATAAAAGAAATACCTAATACTCAATAAATCTTAGTTTCCTTCATACCCTTTATGCTAAGGAGGTAATGTTTCATGAAATGGAATGTATTTGGAGTGTTTCCTTTTAAGAAAAGGAATAAGATTAGAACCATACTTTAGAAAGATCACTTGGGCAGCATGTAGGTAGTGGGATGATGAGGGAGAGACAGGAATACCAGTTAGGAGTTCAGTGTTATAAAACAATCAAGAGATGATGAGGCTTCAGGCTAAGGCAGTTATAATACTTGGCCTTTCCCCTTCCTTTGTATGACTTTGTTAGGTGACACACACATATAGCAATGCCCTCAATAGGGCAGGACAGACAAGAGTACCACTTGTGGTTTCCAGGATCCTCAGTTTTCCAAAGGTGAATTCAATGCTGACTCCTTGTTTACCACACTAGTCTATATACTGAACCTTTGCTATCAAGGGCCCTGTGTTTTTGTACTTCCCAGGGTCTAGCTTTCTAGGCCTCACCTCTTGTTTCATTTCTTATCCTTCTCCACCACCACTTCTGTTCCATCCCCTTATCATTCTGTTAACCTGATAAACTGATCAGTGTAAAGGTGATTATGCACAAAATACTTCCATTAATTACAGTTCTTATGTTTGCTTCCATCTGTGCTTTCTGAAGACTTCATTGTCCCAAAATATAACTTCTTCATCACATTATTATTATTATTATTGTTATTATTTCACAACGATGATGATGTTGGGTTCTATTTTTAAGAGCAATTATTCTCAAACTTAGCTGCTCATTAGAATTACCTGGAAGGCGGGCGGGGCGGGGGGGGTGTTTCAAACTCTCTCTACTCATGTCACATCCCATGCTAATTAAATCAGAACCTCAGTAATTTTTTAAACTCTCAAGATGATAGCAAAGTGCAGCCAAATTTGAGAAGCAGAGCTTTACAGAGTGATTCTCAAGCTTTAATGTGAATACAAATCATCTGGGGATCTTGTTTAAATGCAGATTCTGATCCCATAGGTGTGGGGGTTTGGGGTGAGGCCTGAGCTTCTGCATTCCTAACAAGCTCCCAGGTGATGGCAATGCTGCTGATCTGAGGAACCCAAGTTGTGTAGCCAGGACTTAATGCACCATTAGTGTCTCTGTCATAAAACTATTTTAAGATATTTTAAATGAAATACTATTATTTGTGATTGTCAAGGAACATTTCTCTTCTCCCTCCTTGTTCCCAGGGCTACATTTGGAATTTTGCCTAAGTATGTATCCCTTGTTTGGCCATCTCTAGTACATTATAAGTAATTGGTTGAGTGCTAATGAAAAACCAAGTGTGCTTTGTCTTAATAAAATATAGCTGAGATTTGCACATAGTGAAGCAATGCATTATATAATGTACCATTTTAAGAGAACTGAATGGCCTTGATATGTGAAAGGTTATGCTGTAGTGATCATTAATCAAGAAATTTTCAAAGGATACTTAGGAAATAAATGAATAATCATAATTAAGTTAAATGAAATTTTAAGAAATGCCAAACAAAGCAAACTCATTTAGAATGACCTTTCCTGTCTTAAAAGGAGGTATTTATTATAAGACTAATGTTCATCTGCAGAGTAAAGGATGCCAATAACACGCAAGTTACCTCTTTCTTACATACAGCTGTAGATACAGGAGAAATAGCAAACTATATTTGATTTACATTGCTTCTAGTTTAGGTGGATTTTAATAGAATTTTTACCAAAAGTTTCATTTTTTGTTTGTATGTGTCCTTTCTTACATGTGGAATGCCCATTTCAAATGCTGCTGAATGGTTATTGAACCGATGTTTAGAATCTGGTCCCTAATGGTGCCTTTTTACTTCTGTACATCAGAACTCCAGCAGGAAAGAATTTCCCTTTACCAGTCTGTAAACCAAATTCTACCACCTTGAACCTTGTAGACTCTGGTCAACTTTTGGTTAAGTCTCTGCACCTAATACTGCACAGTTTCTAAACACACACACACACACACACACACACACACACTCCCAAGAGTTTCATGTTTGACAAACTCAACCAGAAACATGTGGCTCAAGGTAACAGAGGGAACATATAGGTTTACTTTTTCTCACAGAATGCTATTGGAATGACAAAGTAAATGATACAGACAGGATAAATCTGTTACAACTTTGAGAAAGAAATAATCTCTGGACAGAGATTTGGATACATTTTTGGAAGATAGAAGGGAGCTATAGTTACATTGATGGATAAACCAGGACAGAGGAACACATGACCCAGAAAACACACCCAAAAAATGCACGCTTTTTTTTTTTTTTTTTTTTTTTTAAGTAACAAGCTCCTGAGAAGGTTGGCATTGTCTACCAATGTCTTTCTACCTGAGACTCCTAAACCAGAGAGGGAAGCCACGGAGACAGAGCAGGAGTGAGTTGCCAGATAGTTGTTCAGGTTATTAATTAAGGAATTGTCCATGGAAACCTTTGCCCAGTAAACAGGAAAATAAAAAGAATTTCCAGAAGGCACTCAGGTACAGTAGATGTAGAGAATAACCGGACCACATTATTCATCACCTCCCAGGTTCCAGGCACTACTCCCCGTGCTAGAACTATAGCAGCAAATACCTCAGTCTCTCCTCTCATAGAATGTATATTCTCCTGGGAGAGGCCAACAATAAATAACCCAAAATAAACATATATGTATACTGATAAGGATCAAGAAGAAAAATAAAGCAGACAGCAAGGATAGAGTGGTGTGGTGCTATTTTAGACAGGGGGGCCAGGGAGGACCTCTCTGAGGTCATGACATCTGAGCAAAGGCCTAATGTAAGTGAAAACAATGAGTCATGTGAAGATCTGCAGTTGGCCCAACAGTCCAGATGAGGGAGGTTGCAGGTTTGAGGCATATCAAGGAAGCCATGTGGCTAGAGCCACATAGTAAATGTGGGATGGAGTTGGAGAGAGATCCAGGGCCAGATCCTGTAAGATTTTAAAGTCTAGGGCCTACAAGGCTACACTTTCCTATGTGTGACAGGAAGGTATCGGAGGCTATGAGCAGTGAACACTCATAATCTCACTTATCTGTAAGCATCAGTCTTTATTTGGAAAACTAGCTATAGGCAGAAAAGGAAAAGATGCATGGGACCAGTGGGAAGGTTATTGCAGGAGTTGAGGTCAAACAAGACGGCGACTCGGGCCAAAGTGGTGTGATGGTGCTCATGGGAAAGTGTTGAATCTGAGATACATTTTGAAGGTAGAGTTGATCAAATTTGCTACTAAGTTAGTTGGGTGGGTTGCAGGATATGAATCAAGGATAATTCACATTAGAATGAGAGATCATAAGTCTCCAAGAAACATATCCTGGTCATGTAGTTCAAGTATCTGAATCCAGTCATGCCTCAAGCCTCAAGACGAGGCTTCTATAAAGGTTCTGATTTTGCTTAAACCCCTTTGAAACAGATTGAAAAATTTTAAGAACCTGTGGACAATGTCAAAGTATTCAGAAATACCCAACTGATACAAGTAATGCCACGACCTCTAATTTTGCAAAAGCTATGGCTCTCTAATGAAATTTTGTTGTTTTACTGGCCAACAGTGTTTTCTTTTTTTCTCTATCTATGAAAGAGTGGCTGGTAACACTGTTGAATAAAAGCTCAGTCAGGATAAATTATTATCCAGTGCTGGGGGAATGTTCTTTCCTGCTTCCCTCATTCAGGCCTTGCTTATCTAAAGAATTGAACAACTTGGACCATAATGGTAACATGCTTTTCAAAGATGAACAAGCTCAGCGGAGAAATCCTGGGGTTGTTACTACATCACTTCAACCAGTCTCCATATCAAGTGGGATTCATCTCGTGGCAGTGAATCAAGGATGATTGGCCATGAGCTTTTAGATAGCTCTGATTTTCTACCTTGTATCTTTTTTGTCCATACCTCTGATTCCAAGTATAGGTGGGTAGACAGTTCCATGTGGGCTGGGACTTTTTTCATGTCACTATATTTTGCAACGCTAGGATACCAGTGGAGACTTGGTGGCAACCTTCAACCTTGGAGGATGGAAACTAATGGATAAATGCTGTTGCCACCTCCCTGGGGCAGACAATTCTGGTTGGCATTCTGTATGTTTCCTTGGAGGTCCTGGTGGAATTACCCCTGTTGCTCAGAGCAGTGAGGATAGTAATGTACCTTAATACTGGCTTTTCCTCCTTCCCAATTTCACTTTCCTGCACTCACCACTGCTTCCTGGAATCATCTCTCAAGGAAGCGTACACAGTCCTTGTCTCATTCCCTGCTTCAGAGAACAAAGCCAGCTTCTTTTCATTTACCCAGCCACACTGATCATGGTAAAAACATCAGTTCAGAAATAAAGGTTCTGATTTTCTTCATCACCAGTGTTTCACTTTGCTGCAAATAAATTCTCCTACATCTATTCACTACATTTTTTTTCTTCATACACTTGTCATTGTGGGCTCAGAGAAAGCAATTAGGCTTATGACACTACTAATGTTGAATGCATTTAACTCCAGACTTGAATGTCTTCTTATTGACAGTTTATTGGCTGTGATGGTCCCTTATTTCAAACCCGTTGGGCTTGTATATCTGCAGAGAATTTCAAATGCACAAATTTGAGTGAATTGGGAAGTATTTCACTTCATAAAGTCTGATGCCACCAACTTAAGAAATTGAGATCTTATGGAGGTAAAGAGTAGAATGATAGGTACCAGAGGCTGGGAAGGTTGGGCAGGGAGGGGGCAATGAAGAGAGATTGGTTAATTGGTAAAAACATACAGTTAGATAGAAGGGACAAATTCTAGTGTTCAACAGCAGAGTAGAGTGACTAGCGTTAACAAAAGCATACTGTATATTTCAAAACAGCTAGGAGAGAGGGATTGAGATGTTCCCAACACATAGATATGATAAATACTTGAGGTGATGGATACCCTAAGTACCCTGATTTGATCATTACACACTCTCTGCAAGGAACAAAACATCACATGTGCCCCACAAATATGTATAAATATTACATATCAATTAAAAAAAGAAAAAAAAGAATTTGCCATCCAGCTCTAATAACTCACAGTTGTGAGGTACTTAAAAATATATATATATATATATATATATAACATTATTTCATACATTTGGCAAATTGTGAAATAAACATAAAAAATTTACTCTCATTTTAGAGACTGTCAAACTATTAGTTTGGTGCAAAAGTAATTGCAGTTTTTGCAATTGAAGGTAATGGCAAAAACCGCAATTACTTTTGCACCAACCTAATAGACGTCAGAGTGGTTAAGACAGATAATTTGACAGAAGGGACCTTAAGTCTAGCCACCAGGGCTGGCAAAATTGCTAAAAACCACAAAATCAGGGAAAGGAGTGAAGGCTGAGCAATCTCGTGAAGTTAAAAGATACACAGATGTAGAAGAAACTTTTCACTCACTGTTTCACTCAGCAGGTGTTTGTTGAGCACCTTCAATATGCCAGGTAATGTAAAATGGACTCTAGATACAAGGACTGTGAGGAATTGCCTGCTGTGGTGGCTCACACGTGTAATCTCAGCACTTTGGGAGGCTGAGGGAGGCGGATAACTTGAGGTCAGGAGTTTGAGACCAGACTGGCCAACATGGTGAAACCCCATCTCTACTAAAAATACAAAAATTAGCTGGGCATGGTGGTGGGCACCTATAATCCCAGCTACTTGGGAGGCTGAGGCAGGAGAATCACTTGAACCCAGGGGGGCAGAGTTTGCAGTGAGCTGAGATTGCACTGCACCACTGCACTCCAGCCTGAGTGATAGAGCGAAACTCCGTCTCAAAAACAAAACAAAACGAAACAAACAAAGAAACAAACAAAAACAAGGATTGTGAGGAGTAAGTTGCTAAGAAAAGTTGGAGGAGACAAGAAGGCAATTTTTAGGAGGACGATATTAGAACAATTCCAGACCCAAAGCAGGGAGTTTCTAACTAAAATTATCATTGTTATTGGGGAACAAGTGATGTGCACCAATAGAGAAATGCTTTTCAAACTGACCCATTAAATCAATGGGGCCATAATTTTTAAGCCTGCCAGTCAGTTAAATGTATTAATTAGATAGTATCATCAACATCTGGTATTGAGGTAGATTTAGAATTGGCAGACTCAGAAAAACAAATGGAATTAAATTTTTCCTTGAACAAAGTGGTTGTTTGACTGATTTGGAAAGCTTATTTTAGAACATTTCAGGATTACAGGAACTATTAGAGTCACAATTCCAGATCAGCAACTCTGTGACCCCTAATGCAGCTGATTAACTTCATTGTAGTTCATCGGAAGAAATAAAGACTAATGATTTGATCTTCTTTAGGGGTTTCATGAGTCACCTAAAGCCTATTAATTCTTTCATAAATATAGCTTTAGACATTCTGGGTCTTAGAAAGGGAAAGGTAAAAGACCATCTCTTGGTTTTATCAGCTAGTGTTTATCTACAATAGTGTTTACCTGATATTTACTTTAAAAAACAAGGAAAACACTATTGTTACTCCCTGTCACCTGTCTCTGAAGGAACTGAATTCGAAGGTATTGTAGCTCTTTTAAGCCCAGGTTAAAAATTCGTATCATGTTTCACATCGTCAAGGCTTCCCAGGTCAAGAGCAGCTTGCTGCGAAAAGGTCAATTTTACAATTTTACCCAGCTTTATCCCTACCTGTACTTCACTCCTACATCCTTTAGTAAAAACTGCATTACTTTGAAGTTGAAGGTTGCATTCAGGCAGGCAGAGCAGCTTTACTCCCACCCTGAGTTGGAGCAGATAATGGATTCCGCAGAACAGGTGTCCAACTGGCCAAGGTCATCGCACAATGAGTCAGTGTAAATATCCAAATTGCAGTTGTGGACAAACTCAGCACATGACAGGTGCAGTTGATAAGTGTCCTTTTGTCTAGGTGTCACAGTGGTCTGAGGACACGGAACAAATCAAATGAAAAAGGCTGTGCCTGCTTTAGAAGGTTATGTCTTCACTAATCCTGTAGCAACCAGCAGGCTGGCATTAATCTGTGCAAATCTCTGCTCTGGTGTGTTTGGACGATTTTGTTTTTCAGGAGCTATTTGTTCAGGGGAAAAAATGGAAAGTGGAAAGATGAAGTCAGTTTTCTCGTGATGTTTTCAAGGATGAATACTTGTGAAGGACAAGCACGCAATCTCTTCTTAGAAAAAGTCAATCCAGAGAACCTAGAAGGTCCTTCGGAGTGGCAAATAGAAGATCGCAACTTGAAGGAAAACAAAAGTAAGAAAATCGGAAGACTCAACCCCTGAGAAAGATGAGAAACTATGACTAATATGTTACAAATTCATGGTTCTCAGCACTGCACTTAAGTTTCAACCTCAGATAATGCCTAAAATTCAAAGGCATCAGATATGTGTGAGGTGGGAATGATTGCTCACAGAAAATGGATTTAAGTTTCTAGAATTAAAAAAAAATCTAGTTGATGAGATGAAACAAATTTAGAAAGATACAGGACCAAGGTGCATGTATTAAAACTAGTTTTTAGCACTGCTTATTTTCTAGATGAAAAGGCTAACATAATGTTAAATACTTTGCTCACAGTTAAATCATTGAAAGTAAATGAGTGTAAATTTGTTTATTTATATCCCAATGTAATGGAAGAGTCAGCAAACATTTCTGAAAATGGCCATGTTAAAAAAAAATAACTCTCTTACAGACTTAGAACAGAGTGTACATATCAATATTGGTTCATAGAATTTTGTCCCCACTTCAGAAATGAGAAGGGTGAAGTTAAATGACTTGTTTAATGTTATTTTGTTAGAGTGGAAGAACCCAAATTCAAGGTCAGGTCTTTTGACTGTTAACCCACTTTTCCTGTTACTTTACCACAGTCCTTGTAGCACTCTGAGTAGCAAAACAGGCCTCCAGAAAATGCTGAGTCTAACAAGGCCTACTACATTGTCCTCCTTCCAGGGTCAGCGCAGCGATAGCTGGGTGGGAGTGCTCGGCCTGCCCATTGGCAGTAGGAGCCGTAGCCTTCTCTCTCCCTCAAGGTACAGTTTGCCAACAAATGTATTTTTTGAGCACCTACTACGTGTCAGAAATCATTCTAATTGCTGGGACACAATACAGAGTGACAGATTCCTTGCCCTCAAAGGACTTTTGTATTAGTGGAGGAGACACAATCAGTAAGCATCGAACAACTAAATAAATCATGTCAGGTGTTGGGAGGAAAAGGAAATCGTGACTAGCTCTGGCAACATAAGGTAGGGACAAAGGTCGGCTGGGTTTTTCAGCTAGGCTGGTTGGTGGGTTCATTAAGCCACTGATCTCAGTGCCTGTGTGGCACTTGAGGGATGAGGCTGTATGGCGAGTGAAGACTGCCACAATACTGCTAAAGCAGTAACGACGATACCCCAAACAGTAGCTTGAATACTGGAAATGGCAAATAATGAAATAGCCCATGAAACAATATTGCCAACACACAATTGTGTGAACCAGGTGACCCATCCAGTGTTTAGAGTCTGGGCCAAGAAATGTGGACACACAAAGAAAGTAGGATAAAATCTTCTGGGTGGAAATTGTGTGTGTGTGAGGCTTCCCTAGGAGAGACAGAACTGTGGCAGTGCTGGTACAGGAACACCTCCTAACTCTGAAGTTATTCTGCGTTGTCCTAAAATGGTTGATACATCCACCACTTGACACATAACAAACATTATTATAAACACTTTACACAAATTAACTCATGTATAAAGATTACCTCACAGACGCTGTTGTGCATGTTTGACAAATGAAGAAACTGAGGCACAAACAGCTTAAGTAACTTTCCTGTGATAGGCTGAATAGTGTCCAAAGATGTCCATGTCCTAACCTTTAGAACCTGTGCATTTGTTAACTTATAGAATGAAAAGGCCTTTGCATATGTGATCAAGTTAAGAATTTTTGGATAGAGATATTATCTTGGATTATCTGAGTGGGTCCATTATAGTCACAAAGATTCTTACAAGAATCAGAGAAGGAGATGGAAGCAGAGGCCAGAGTTATGTGATCAGATATTAAGGAGCTTAGGCAGCTTCAAGAAGCTAGAATAAGCAAGGAAATAGATTCTGTCCTAGAACTTCCAGAAGAAATGTCACCTTGACTTTAGCTCAGTGAAACTGATTTCAGACTTCTGGCTTCCAGAATTATAACATAAAAAATTCGTGTTGTTTGTGTTGACTTAAGCCACTACATTTGTGGTAAGTAAAGCAGCGACAAAGAAACTAACACATTGCCCAAGGTTATGATGCTACAAAGTGGCAGGGCCAGGATTAAAACTGAGGCAATCTAGTGCTAGTTCCAGGGATTTAACCACTGTGCTATTTAGGGCCTCTCACAGGCAGAATGAAATTTAACGCTGCAAGCAAAATGGGGGTCTCCTAGGTTTTCCTCTTATGCTGAGAATTCCAGGTCCTGGAGAAGAAGAAAAAGAGAAAGAAAGAGAGAGAGAGAAGGAGTGAGAGAGGGAGGGAGGGAGGGAGGGAGGGAGGAAGGAAGGAAGGAAGGAAGGAAGGAAAGGAAGGAAGGAAGGAAGGAAGGAAGGAAAGGAAGGAAGGAAGGAAGGAAGGAAGGAAGGAAGGAAGGAAGGAAAAGAAACAGCAAAAAAAGAAAGAGGGAGGATGGGAGGGAGGGAAAAAGTAAAAATGATTCTGTATCAGCTGGTATATACCAACACCCTTCCCTGCCCCATGTCTTCACAGCTGTGTGGCAAGTGAAGACTAATGGATCCAGGCTTCCTGATGCTTCTATTTATCATTATTCACTTAGGAAGGGTGGGAAAAGAAATACTAATTACACACTTACCAATGGAATACTTTTACAAGGATCAAAATTTCTCACTGCGGCCATGAAAAAGAATGAGAGCTGGCGGCCATCATGCTTAGCAAAGTAATGCAGGAACAGAAAACCAAATATCACATGTTCTCACTTGCAAGTGGGAGCTAAATAAAGAGATCACCTGGACACTAGGAGGGGAACAACAGACACTGGAACCTACTTGAAGGTGGAGGGTGGGAAGAGGGAGAGAATGAGAAAAAATACCTATTGGATACTATTACCTGGGTGATGAAATAATCTGTACACCAAACCCCCACGACAAGCAATTCACTTATATAACAAACCCGCACATGTACTCCTGAACCTAAAAGTTAAAAGAAAAAAAAATATATACTAAAATGAAAACAATTCTCACTGTAACAATATTATCCCCTCGTAATTATTATATTCCTAAGTTTTAGGCACTTTTACATCCTGCTCGCTGCCCCCAGCTCTCTTAACACAGCATCCAGGACATAGTGGGCGCTTATAAATACTGATGGCATTAAACTGAGCGCTTATGATAGCATATTTAGAGCAGTGCTTTTCAAACGTCTAGGTGCATGTGAATCCCTGGGGACACCGTTAAAATGCAGATTCAGAGTTAGAAAGTCTGGTTGGAGCCTGAGATTGGGCATTTCCACCGAGTTCCCATATGATGCTTGTCTATGTTCTGTATTTTTCAAGGTCTCAGAAAATGAGACCTCCCTATCCATATACAAATATAAGTCACACAAACTGTGATAATTTAATGAAAGTTTACAAAGAGCATAGAAGTAGATGTTTCCTCTTTTCCCCTGCCCTCCCAATAAAGGGAACAAATTAGATGCGAGGGTTCAATGGAAAGAGTTGCAACAGCATCCAGGCGCTCGCTCTCCTCCGGTCTTCCTGAGACAGGGAAAGGGGTAATGAGAGGAAGGAGGAAAGTGTCCAGGAGCTCCCACGCTGCTGTTCTTCCATTTCCAGCTTTTAAAGAGCACCCGCCCCTTCGAACCACCGAGGTCATGGGCGAACACACCGGAGCGCAGCACCGCGCCCCCCCGCACACACCGCCCGCCTCCGCGCCCTTGCCCAGACCGAGGCGGCCGACGCGCCTGCGTGCGCGCTAGGTATAAATAGGTCCCAGGAGGCAGCCACTGGGCAGAACTGGGCTACGGGCGCCGCGGGCCATGGCGGGCGAGAACCACCAGTGGCAGGGCAGCATCCTCTACAACATGCTTATGAGCGCGAAGCAAACGCGCGCGGCTCCTGAGGCTCCAGAGACGCGGCTGGTGGATCAGTGCTGGGGCTGTTCGTGCGGCGATGAGCCCGGGGTGGGCAGAGAGGGGCTGCTGGGCGGGCGGAACGTGGCGCTCCTGTACCGCTGCTGCTTTTGCGGTAAAGACCACCCACGGCAGGGCAGCATCCTCTACAGCATGCTGACGAGCGCAAAGCAAACGTACGCGGCACCGAAGGCGCCCGAGGCGACGCTGGGTCCGTGCTGGGGCTGTTCGTGCGGCTCTGATCCCGGGGTGGGCAGAGCGGGGCTTCCGGGTGGGCGGCCCGTGGCACTCCTGTACCGCTGCTGCTTTTGTGGTGAAGACCACCCGCGGCAGGGCAGCATCCTCTACAGCTTGCTCACTAGCTCAAAGCAAACGCACGTGGCTCCGGCAGCGCCCGAGGCACGGCCAGGGGGCGCGTGGTGGGACCGCTCCTACTTCGCGCAGAGGCCAGGGGGTAAAGAGGCGCTACCAGGCGGGCGGGCCACGGCGCTTCTGTACCGCTGCTGCTTTTGCGGTGAAGACCACCCGCAGCAGGGCAGCACCCTCTACTGCGTGCCCACGAGCACAAATCAAGCGCAGGCGGCTCCGGAGGAGCGGCCGAGGGCCCCCTGGTGGGACACCTCCTCTGGTGCGCTGCGGCCGGTGGCGCTCAAGAGTCCACAGGTGGTCTGCGAGGCAGCCTCAGCGGGCCTGTTGAAGACGCTGCGCTTCGTCAAGTACTTGCCCTGCTTCCAGGTGCTGCCCCTGGACCAGCAGCTGGTGCTGGTGCGCAACTGCTGGGCGTCCCTGCTCATGCTTGAGCTGGCCCAGGACCGCTTGCAGTTCGAGACTGTGGAAGTCTCGGAGCCCAGCATGCTGCAGAAGATCCTCACCACCAGGCGGCGGGAGACCGGGGGCAACGAGCCACTGCCCGTGCCCACGCTGCAGCACCATTTGGCACCGCCGGCGGAGGCCAGGAAGGTGCCCTCCGCCTCCCAGGTCCAAGCCATCAAGTGCTTTCTTTCCAAATGCTGGAGTCTGAACATCAGTACCAAGGAGTACGCCTACCTCAAGGGGACCGTGCTCTTTAACCCGGGTAAGGGTACTGGCCTTAGGCGCCGGCTTTTCCCAGCTCACAAAAGCATCGGGCAGTGCCTATCTAGGGGCGCGGGCAGTAACGAGTTTTCAGTGATCAGGAGAGTGTCGGGGCAAAGGTGAAGAAATCGTGACTAACTCAGCAGAGTTGGGGTGGGGAGCTCCAGGAACCACTTCTGCTGGGTGGGCTGCTATCAGAAACTCAGCCAAGAGGAGGGGAGTTGTTTGTTTAGGTTTGTACTTGGCTCTCTACACATTTCTTACCATAGAAAAGTTTGTGCCTTCATGGGAAATGGTTATTCTTTCTTCTTTAGCTTTCTTTTAAGTCCAGAGCATATCTTTTTCTAAAAAAAGTTTTTGCTCAC
Source organism: Homo sapiens (assembly GCF_000001405.40). Taxonomy (NCBI): domain Eukaryota; kingdom Metazoa; phylum Chordata; class Mammalia; order Primates; family Hominidae; genus Homo; species Homo sapiens. The sequence goes on along the minus strand of NC_000023.11, from coordinate 30,307,831 downwards.
TGAAGATTCTGCAACATCGATTTCTGAAACCCCATTCTGAAATTTACTAGAACCTTTTTTGGGGGGAGGAAATCTATTAAGGCTAGCAAAAAAGGAAACATTTGTTAAAGGGTCCCATAGAGAGACTATTCCCTAGGGACACACAAGACACTAGATGTAGTGTTTCATGGGCCTGCCTCTGAATGGTTATTTGTATGGTCCTAAGCATCTGGACTATCCCTTCCTCCAAATCTCTGTGAATAATATCAGGTTGGCAAAGGGATAGGGAAAAAAGACACATTAGGGACTGAGAGCAGGAGCACTGTATTTTAGAATTCAAAGAGACTTTAGAGACCTGCTAATCAACCCCCTTTGCTCTGTAGCCTCCCCCCACCCCATTTTACTGAGTAGGTAGATGTGTCCCAAGGTCCCAAGTAAATGGTTGGTGTGTTGTGGCACCTGAGGGTCCTGTCTTCTGGGCCCAGTGGGATATTGGCTGCACTAAACTTTCAGGTTGTCTGTTGGGTGCTGGACACACTGTCCCACAGAGTGCAACCAAATCACTGGAGGAACGTCTCCCTGGACAGCCAGGCACCTTGTCTTGGGTGTTTCTCACTATTAGAATCATCTTCAACCAGCGTCCTTTCAAAATGATTGAAGTGGGAACAAAATTTTCCAGGCAACTTGAGTTGGGATAGTTTTTATAATGCTCCTTTTGTATCTTTTTTCCCTGGTGCTGGAATCTCTGATTAAGTCCCTGCCCCCTGCCTAGCATTTTTGAGGGTGCATAGATCAGTATTTGGTGGGATAATAATTTGTTCAAACCTCACGTTTCATGACGTAGAGACCTCAGCTCACCCCAGTGTCTATTATATGTTACCTTTTTGCTTATACCATTGTTTTCCAAACTTGCCTGTGCATAAGAAGTACTTGTGTGTGTGTGGTTGGGGGTGGGAGGGAGTAGATAAAAGTCTTTCTAGGCTCCTGCCTTATATATTCTGATTCAGTAGCTCTGGCCCAGGGTCTGCAAATCTGCATTCATAATAAGTGTCGCAGATGATTCTTAAGATTATTTGGAAAACAGTCTTCTTATTCCTTCAGCCAGTGTTACTAATCATCCACTATGTTCCTCGTCCTGTTGGGATATAAAGGTGAGAGGGGCTCAGCTTCCAGAAATTTACATTCCATTAGTTTCAGTATCAACAGTTTCCCTTGACTCTGTTTTATATACTTTTAACACACACACACACACACACACACACACACACACACACATTCTTCCTTATTCTTGATTGACTTTTCCTAATCCTCTCTCAATATGAGTTTAACCAGCTAAGCTGAGTGTGTTTGAAACACAAATGTACCTATATTTGGGAGAAAGGTAATGCCTATTAAGAGTGTGGCCTCTCTTTGCTGTTTATCCTTTGTATGTCCCATATATAAATTTAAATACATTATATATATAGGTTCAAACTTAAGGAGATATAAAACTGTGGAGTCCATTTGCATTTTCTCTTCCCTGACCTTATTTTGAAGGCCAGTTTGTGTGTCTCTGTGTGGGGGGGAACCACTTGGGTGGGGAGAAGGTGGAGGGGTATATTGTGAACACAGAGAAAAGTAATGTGGCATACACAAGATGAAGTTTTCACAAGCCATGAATCTAGACCTAGAGAAGCTTCAGATTTCTGGTGGAGTTTCATGCAAGCCTCTTCCTACTTTCATCGATGGAATTCAAACACAACAAAATTGGGTCTTAAGCCTGGATCTCAAGCTGTAGATAGAAGGGGATGATAATGTGTGGACTAGAGTAATCAGAACTGGAATATGGATTAAAATGGTTGCTTTATTTTTGTTCTTATTTATGAGATTTGATATTCGCCCATAATAGGAGTGCCTCTCGCTTATTACCATTATTATTTTTTTAAAGAACACTGGTTCTGCTGCTCTGTGATGATTGGCATGGTGCTTTTAAAATACTTTTCTGTTGAATTTTTTAGGAAAAGGGAAGGAAAATGATTGCAATCATCATTAACATCATTTAAACCAAGTGGTCAACTGCTAATTACTTGAATACAAGTTAAAGAACTTTGCAACGATATTATCATCATGGAAGATCAAAGGACCTTCAAAAGCAGCCTCCTCTTATTACTTTCCTTATAAAAACTTACATCCACTTAAACTTTCCTGCATTTATTTCTTTCACTTTTACTTCGGTATCACACTATACTGCAAAAGGTCATGTGTTTTCTATTACAAAAGTTATTCTTGAATCATGGTACAATTCGTGATGTTTTCATGTTTACTTTTTAAACTTTTAATGACTATAAGAATTTTCAAAAACTTCTTACTTTAATATTTTTGAAAAGAGCCTTTTTGAACACTCATTAGAATCATTCTTTTATTTTTTTCAAAATCTTCCCCAATACAGAAATCATGGTGCAATGAGCTAAGTGGCCAGTGTTAGCTTTCAAATTATTCGGGCCTCTAGACTAATATTGGCCTGCAGGCAAATAGGTAAAATGAAACTGTGCGTCAAAGTTTGTGGCTGTGAAGTTTACCACCATTGGCTGAACGATCAGTGTAATGATGGAAAGTTCAAAGAAGAATGGTAAAAACATTTGTCTCATGGCAACACTTCTTGTTTATCATGGCTTGTTTCTCATAGGTAAAGTGCCCACCTCTTGAAATATCATGAACTTCTTCATATTTGCATAGAAAGTGAACTGGAGTGATGATTCATTAAACCGTATTCTACTGTCATATTAAATTGTGTGCGTTTGTTGGCTCATGGCCAGTGTATTTGCAAACGTGTGCATAGAAACATAGTAAATATTAAGTAAGATCACATGATGTTTCATTCTTGGACACGTTGCTTCTGAAAACGTAGACTGGTTTGGCCTTTTACCCTTTTAACCGGGAAGCTTTGGGTCTTGTTTAATTGGGATGAAACAGAAATGGCTATTTTTAAAAAGCTAGCAAAGGACTCTGTGGTGAGCTGTTTTATAACAAAGAGATTTTTCTCCCTCCAGACGTGCCGGGCCTGCAGTGCGTGAAGTACATTCAGGGACTCCAGTGGGGAACTCAGCAAATACTCAGTGAACACACCAGGATGACGCACCAAGGGCCCCATGACAGATTCATCGAACTTAATAGTACCCTTTTCCTGCTGAGATTCATCAATGCCAATGTCATTGCTGAACTGTTCTTCAGGCCCATCATCGGCACAGTCAGCATGGATGATATGATGCTGGAAATGCTCTGTACAAAGATATAAAGTCATGTGGGCCACACAAGTGCAGTAGTGCAGTTCACCATGAGGGAAGAATAAAGAGCTGTGGGCAAAAGAGTGTAAAATATTTTAAAATAAACTTTCTTAATATTTTTACATGCAGAGTATTTTTGTATTCAATTAAAGAAATAATTTTATTCCAGACAGTCACAAATTTCTCTGTTCCATAGTTAAAGAAGACATTTGCCAACAGGTAGCATAGCTCTGTACATCTTTTAAAAAAAAAATAGCAGGGTACTAGTATAATAAGCTATTTTCACAAGTGTAGCAATTTCATGGAACCTGCTCAAATCAAATTTGTACATATTGTTATAATAAATTTTAAGGTCTTAACTATTAACTTGATTGAAAAAAGCTTCAGCAGGGTTTAAGTAAGGCCTCAAAAACTATTAAAACCTAGCCAACATAAGCAAAAAGTATCTTTGGAAGTAACAACATGACATTGAATGTAATTATGTGCCAGTATCAGTGGGAGGTCACTTTGCTCTATCTTCATTTCCACTTCCCTCAGCTGTATGGAAGACTGCGTTTGCATCCAACTGGAGTCAAGAAGCAATCTGTAATTATAAAGACATGCAGAAGTGAAAGAGGAGATTTTCTGTTTTATTGGGGGATCTTTTTGGTACACAGTTATGGATTTAAAGATCCACAAGGAACATACATTCTATAATGAGGGGTTATAGTTCCAGAAAGCTCAACATCATTATAAAACCACTAATTACACTTCATCTTTTAGATACATTACGTTTGTAACTGGTATATTGAACAACATGGCATGAAATCATAAAGCAACTTTATTGTTATCTCCTGCTGCCCCTTTAATTATAATCCATAGAACTAATTTTTCTTTGTGTCCAGATAAAATCAAGGCTACTATATGTCTATTTGTTTATGGGCAATAAATTGCCTGTTATTAATGAGTGTATCTAGTCTAGGGTAATAACCCATTGCAGGAAGTCTTAAACTTTCTTTCGTGCAGATCCCTTTGGCAGTCTATTGAATCCTATGGACATTTTCTCAAAATCAGGCTCTCAGAGGAATGCAGTAGGGCGGAAGCAAGCGTCATGATAGTCACAGCACACACACACACACACACACACAATCCCCGAGGGCTCATGTGGTCCCCTAGAAACAAAGAGTTAAAAATGTTAGGGCACCCCAGCAGGATATGCATTGGTTAGGCAGCCCCCAGTGCGGCCTCCCACCGAGGTGCCTCCTTCCCCAAGGTATTCAGTCCAGTGAAAGTAATTCAGTTCAGCCCCTGGTTTTAGAGGGGCTGCCTGGGGCTGTCAGTCTCAAATAGTCTGTCAGTGACACTACTTCATCTGCCTGGTGAGTGTAGATGGCATCTGGACATGTTCTGCGGGGACATGCAGTAGAAGCTGGCCCTCTGCTGCCAGCTCATAGTCACGCTGTCACGTGCCATCTAGGCTCAGCCCTTGGTCTGAGTCCAAAGCGCCTGCAGCACTTGCAAAAGCAGCACAAGAGTTTTCTTCGAAAAGAGGGGAAAGCTTCCAGAAGCAGTTCCAAAAAGCAAAAATCATTAATGCCCTACTTCCTCCCCGAGCCTTCCCAGGTGTCAGGGTTGTTTTTCTTGACTGTTACAAAATCAATGTGCCCCATTCAATAATCCTAACTTCATGTAATTTTTCCTAATCACTTCTCTTTTCACCTAGACCTTCTGGAAGGATTGTGTGTAAGAGGGACAGAGGCATTTTCACAGAGTAACGTTTTAATACAACTTAACCAGAAAGACACAGGAACTGGTCAGGGCAAAATCCTGATTTTCAATATTTTTTCAAAATGGGTTTACGTACCCCCCGCCCCAAGCCTTTTTCCATGATCATTTATTTAGTGAACACCTAGCAAAAATCAGTCCTTTTCTGAGGACAGCTGCATTGGATGATCAAACTGCCTTACCAAGTTGTGTACAACAGGAGAAAGGCAAGGGAAGTAAAGTCAGGCTATCGGTCCACTGTTGCAAACTGCAACTAACCTGGAAAGTGGAACACAAGTCAACAGCCTTGAGACATCCCTGAGAGTCTGATCTATCAGGGGTGGGCAGAGGGGTCACATACCCTGTGGTGTGCCCTTCCCTAAATTGCAGCCTTTGGCTAGAATCAAAAGTTAGGAATGCAATCAGGCTCTTGTATCCCGTATCAGAAATATCGAGTCCATCAGCAGCTCCATTTCTAATGGTCCCATCAGAGAACAAGCCTTTTTCTCTAGGGCATCTGCAGGTGACCCAGATGGTCAGCTAGCATCCATGATGTTTTATAGCTGTGACCCCACAGGGATGTCTTAAATTTGTGGCAGTTCCAGAGACTGAGTTCTGTTCGTTGAGCCTGTGCCGACTTGCAGTTCAGCACAGCTCAGTGCTGAAATTGAAATAGCCTGTAGCCGGCAGTATCAGGTTTCATTCAGGTCCAGGGAATTAGGATCTGTGAATTCAGTATTCAAAAAAGTTAGAGGCTTTTCTTCAGCAGCGGCAGCAAAGCTAAGACGCTGTAGGCCAGATACCTGTGTTTCAAGTCCAAGTAACAGGCAAGGCTGTTCCTAAGGACTTTTTTACCCTGTTAGGCCAGATTGTTCAAATTGACCCTTGCAAAAATATGCATGTCAGGCTAGAAAATCATCAGCCTCTAAGGGTCAGAAATCTGATTTCACAAGAGCTTATTGGCAAAAACAAACAAAACCGCACAACTCCCTAACCCCCGAAACCTGCTTTGAAAACCCCAGAAGTGTGTCTTCATTTGGAGATTGGCTCCCTTTTCCAGAGTCTCCAGTAGGCAAAATTATGGCAAAAAAAAAAAAATCATCCATTACTGAGCCTTGTTTCCAATACCAAGAGTATAAATTCCAATCCACCCGCCTGTGGCAAAAAAGCAAGGGAGCTGTGTTTCATTAACACTTTTTCTTTGCAGCTTTTCCTGATTGAGATGACCCTTCTAGCATTTATGAAATTATAGGCACATAACATTGCACATCAGTTTTCATCATACATCCACATGCAATAGCCACAAATGCAAAGCTGTGAATTAAAATTCCTGTTTTTTTCTCATTACAAGTTTACTAAAATCCCTAGCAGTAAATTTTCCATTTACAGGGTTCACATCACAGCTGCCAGGAGAACCCAGCTGGGATGGAAGAGAAAGGGAGGGGAGCAGCAGCAGCTAGGCTGAAGAAATAGCTACAGTGGGTTTCCCTCCCTCCCTCCCTCCCTTCCTCCCTCCCTCCCTCCCTCCCTTCCTCCCTCCCTCCCTCCCTCCCTCCCTCCCTTCTTCCTTTTCTCCCTCCTTTCCTCCCTTCCTCCCTTTCTCCCTTTCTTTTCTTTCTTTCTTCTTTCTCTTTCTTTCTTTTTTCTTTCTTTCCTTCTTTCTTTCTTTTTCTTTCTTTCTTCCCGTCCTTCCTTCCTTCCTTTCTCTCTCTCTCTTTTCTTCTTTCCTTCCTTCTTTCCTTCCTTCCTTCCCTCCCTCCCTCTTTCTTTCTTTCCTTACTTCCTCTCTCCCTCCTTCCTTCCTTTCTTTCTTTCTCTCTTTCTCTCTTTCTCTCTCTCTCTCTCCCCTCTGCTTTATCTAAATCCTTGCTCCAGCCCTGGAAACAGACTTAATTCTTTTTTTTCTCTCTACTTGGAGGAAAGAACAACTACAAACTATATTTTATGATATTTGGCACATCCAAAGCCCATTGTGCAGAATGTTTGGGCCCTTTCTCCTCCTGCGAGGGTGTTAGGGAGGCGGAGAGACTACAAAAAATAAAGCTATCATTGCCTAGGCTATGCTACTATTTCCTACCCTCCCCCACCCCCCTTACTTCAGCAGAGCCAACTCTGTATGATCAAAAGCACCTAGGGTATCCAGAGAGCCAACTCTCCCGGGATGAATCTATTATTTCCGATTTCCATAGGTAACTTTTTACCTCTGATCACAGACAGCTGCTCAGCTGCTGTTTCGTATTATGGTTAATGCCATAGCCACTCAGGTACCAGGGTTTCATAATTCCCTGCCCCTCTCTCTTTCTTTTCCCCACATAATGCTGTAGCTACATTTCAGTGAATTGCGGTCATTCTAGCAAATCCCACCACTGCCACCATTGTGTCGTTGTTCCCAAGACCACCCTCTCATTCAGATATTTGCTAAAAGGTCTCACAGCACTCCACAGGTACTTGTACTCACAGTTGTACATTACTGCGATATAGTAAGGGTATATGGCTGGGTCATACAGAGAAGAGACACTGGTGGAGAAATCCATATGCAGGCCACTTTATGGTCTCTTCTTCCCATGAGGGGTCACACAGGATATACTTTTTTCCCAGCAATAAAAACTCAGCAACATGTGTGTGATTATTTCTGCTCAGGGAAACCCTTTTTAGATTCCATGCTTAGGGCTTTTATTGAGAGCTGGTCACATAGGTACCCTCCACCTAGCATGTTCCGAAATTCCAAACACACAAAAAGGAAGTACGTGCTCAGTGTGAGCTATGTTGTTTGCACAAACTGTCCAGGCAGAGTGATTCGCCCCTATGAGTTAGGGAACATTGAGAACACTCTCAGAATTGAAGTTCCCAGATGCCAGCCAAAAACTAACCTTCCGAGCAGGCCATTCTAAGGATAGCAGTCTCAGACCTACTATGTTAACTCTTTCCTGCGCAGGTACTGCCAATACTACTGTGTTGTGTTACCTACATTCATAATGTAAAAATGTCCTCTCCCGTTTCAACTTCGAATCATTTTATTCACTTGATGAGGGATTAAGAGTCATGCAAACATGATGGTTCTTGCATCATTTTCATCTTGCACTTAGACGATGTATGTGAAATACAGCCACTAAAATGAAGGTGAGTGAGATAGTGCTCTGAAGCCATTTAAACATTCTTTAAAATTGTACACTTAGGCATTGTCACAATCAGTCAATAAGTTGCGTGTATGAGCGAAAGACACCACCAGTTAGTCTTTTCAAGTAATAATATCTGAGAGTTGACCATATGTTTGCCTATGTAGTTATATAGACTTCTTACTGATCAATAGTGCTGAATTAGACTTGTTTTTTCCATTATAGTCATAGTCAATGGACCTCTGTATGAATAAACAGTGATGTCCAACCATGAACCTGATGTTTTAGGTCAGAAAGTTTCCTCCATGAAAACATATGTTCAGTTTTGGAGTGGAAGACTTATATGGTCTGGCTCTGTGTTCCCACCCAAATCTCATCTTGAATTATAACTAGAATTGTAATCCCCACGTGTTGGGGGAGGGACCTCGTGGGAGGTGATTGAATCATGGGGGTTGTCCCCCCATGCTGTTCTTGTGAGTAAGAGTTCTCATGAGATCCAATGGTTTTAGAAGGGGCTCTTCCGCCTCTCGCTGCAGTTCTCTCTCCTGCTGCCTCGTGAAGAAGGATGTGTTTGCTTCCCCTTCCGCTATGATTGTAAGTTTTCTGAGGCCTCCCCAGCACGCAGAAATGTGAGTCAATTAAACCTCTTTCCTTTATAAATTACCCAGTCTCAGGTATTTCTTTATAGCAATATGAAAACAGACTAATACAAAGACCAAAAGTTCCCACAGATACTTTAAGAATATTTGAAGTGATTAGAAAAAGATGCAGGTGGTCTACAGAAAACAAAATATAAAAATAAGTAGAACAAAATGGAAGGTAGCAACTAGCAGAGGGTGGGGGTTGAAATAAATGGAAAAGGAAACAAATTTGTTGTAATATAAAATAAGTGGCCAGGCGCAGTGGCTCACACCTTAATCCCAACACTTTGGGAGGCTGAGGCAGACGGATCACTTGAGGTCGGGAGTTCGAGACCAGCCTGGCCAACATGGTGAAACCCCATCTTTACTAATAATGCAAAAATTAGCCAGGCGTGGTGGCGGGCACCCATAGTCCCAGCTACTCGGGAGTCTGAGGCAGGAGAATCACTTGAACCCGGGAGGCGGAGGTTGCAGTGAGTTGAGATCATGCCACTGCACTCCAGCCTAGGTGACAGAACAAGACCCTGTCTCAAATAAAATAAAATAAAATAAAATAAAATAAAAGTGTCTGATTTACCTAAAATAGTCTACATTATTACATTGTTTTACTCCTAATACATAGATCTAAAAACCCATGGTGTATTCAAGTAAAAAATCATGGTGTATTTCAAATTAAAAAGCTAATGTTTATTGTGCCAAGCACTGTTTTGAGTGGTTTTCATGGAGTATATCTTTTAATCTTGATCCTAGCTCTACAAGGTAAATATTGTCTTCCCAGATAAGAAAATCTGGGCTCAGCAGTTGGGTATATTTCCCATCAGTAGCATAAGGCATGGCTAGAGTTTGAAAGTAGTCTTGTGTGATAAGAGCCTCTGAGTTCCTACCATACCACTCTGTGTTACAACTGAACTGCAAAAGTTAAATAGGAGTAAGTACATTTGTGACACTTTGTAGAATACATCTAATGTACTTCATTTTTAAATCTAGATATCTAAGACTACTTTTGTTTTTCAACTGCGGATAAACGTGGTATTGCTATTATATACTTACAATGAAGATATTTTCCAAATCAGAAACTGGAACCAAAGGTTTTACAAAGACAGTTTCAGTTTTGTACACATATGAACAGTCTTATGAAGATATAAAATGTAAAATACATTTAGTTATATATTGAACAAATTACCTTCATTCAAAAGAAAAATAAAGTCACATGAAATAAAGTCCAGTTTGAGAATACTAAACATATGGTTCTATAAAACATAACTTCTATTCTTTATAGCCAAATCTTTTTGTAGTTGCTCTCAGGTCTAGTTTTCACCCTCACTAATTTAGTCACAATCCTTGTTTAGCTAAGGACTTTGAAGCCATTTCATGCTTCAGTGCAGAAAGGTAATTAATGTTCGAATTTTGACCTTTAAAAACACACGTAGAAGATTTAATAACATTGATGTAATTACAATGCTTTAAGTGGTTATTTCTTTTCTTACCGCCACAAAGTAATTGTAATAGAGTCTGATGCTACTATTGTCATTGCTGTTTAAATCATAAACAAGGGAATTGCCAATGTGGAAATGTATCCTAATTCAAATTAGGCATAACATGTAGAATATTAAAATACAAGAAACCTTGCTTCCTTTACTTCCTTTGTTTCTGACACAAAATAAACATGATTACTTTCAATTAGCTAAAAACCTACCCGCACATATATCTAGTTAAATACTATGAATTATTTATCCAGAAGACTCACAGGAGACATTTAAACAGTAAAATGATAAATGATAAATCCTTTCCAACCTACTGGATGAGTAATTTAATCTGTGGTTCCATAGCTAACTTGAGAATGATAGTTTTCACTGGCCATACCAAAAACAAAACAAAACAAAAAACCCCCAAAAGCCACACAACGAAATAAAATCCTCTGGTTTGTAGACAGCTTCATTATCTAGTTTTATAATTATGAGCACAGTATTATTGGGTTTCCATGCATCAGTTGTGAACTGGCTCCCCATACAGCCTGCAGACATATATCTATGAATTGGATCACTTTTAAGAGGTCAGGCTTGTTGCCTCTGCTTCACCATGATTCATCCCACTCCTTATTGTCTTATATCTATACTGTTTTACTCATTTGGGTAATCTTCTGGGCTTTTAGGATCATGCAAGTTTTTTAGCCTTGATTTAGAGGATAAAAGAAAACGTATATTGGCCATTACATTAAAAAAAAAAAAACTTGGGCACCTAAGATAGGTTAATCATATATATGAGTGTGCCAACTGCTTATTTCTTGACTCTCAGCCCTATATCTTTCTTTTATTATTTGCCTTTCTTTGTGATATCAGTCGGACACTCTGTAAACATTTCTGCTTTGCCATTTGGCATAATGCTTCAACTAAAGTAAGAGCTTGAGTGAAACTGCAAGGTAATAGCAGCAGGAAGGCACTTTCCCTTCAGGTTTTTGTTCTCTTTTCTTATAAAGCAGCACCTGAGCCTACTGGCCCTCATGCATCAGCTCCAGCCAGCCACACTCTCACGTCATATTCTCCCTACTTGCGGGCCCACCAGCTATGATCTGTGCCCTCTGGCAAGTGTCTTTGCTCCTGGAAGCTGCCTGTTCCTGCTCTCTTTAAAGAGATCTGAACCTCCATCTTGAGGGGATCCTCTGCTAAGTTATTGTTCTTACATTGTCAACTCTCTTCAGCCTAGATATTGTGGCTATTTGTTTTAAAACCTGCTATCTCTGGGCCCCTTAGAGTTTTCTTTCACACCTTTTAGTACTTACGTATGTTTATTGGTGATTAATTCTTTATCTTCGTCTTCTATATTCAAATTACTAGTGTTATTTCTGTGTTCTAACTAAATCCTGGCTGATACAGTGAGCAATTATAGAGAAGTTTATTCTAGATAAGATGCACCAAAATGTCTTATGAACAAGGCTAATGAAGTTGTATTAGCCCATTTTCACACTGTTGATAAAGACAAAACCGAGTTGGGGGGCAATTTACAAAATAAAGAGGTTTAATTGGACTGACATTTCCACGTGGCTGGGGAAGCCTCACAATCATGGTGGATGGTAAGGAAAAGCAAGTCACATCTTACATAGATGGCAGCAAGCAGAGAGAGAGGAAGATGCAAAAGCAGAAACCCCTTATAAAGCCATCAGATCTCATGAGACTTATTCACTACCATGAGAACAATATGGGGGAACTGCCCCCATGATTCAATTATCTCCCACCAGGTCACTCCCACAACATATGGGAATTATGGGAGTAAAATTCAAGGTGAAATTTGGGTGGAGACACAGAGCCAAACCATATCATTCCACCCCTGGCCCCTGCCAAATCTTATGTCTTCACATTTTAAAACCAATCATGCCTTCCCAACAGTCCCCCAAAGTCTTAACTCATTTCAGCATCAACTCAAAAATCCACAGCCCAAAGTCTCATCTGAGACAAGGCAAATCCCTTCTGCTTATGAGCCTGTAAAATCAAAAGCAAACTAATTATTTCCTAGATACAATGGGGGTACAGACATAGGGTAAATACAACCATTCCAAGTGGGAGAAATTGGCCAAAACAAAGGGGCTACAGGGCCTGTGCAAGTCCAAAATTCAAATGGGCAGTCAAATTTTAAAGCTCTAAAGTGATCTCCTTTTACTCCAGGTCTCACATCCAGGTCACGCGATGCAAGAGGTGGGTTCCCATGGTCTTGGGCAGCTCTGCCCCTGTGACTTTGCAGGGTACAGCCTCTGTCCTAGCTGCTTTTACAGGCTGGCGTTGAGTGTCTGAGGTTTTTCCATATGCAAGGTGCAAGCCCTTGGTGGATGTACCATTCTGGGGTCTGGAGGATGATGGCCTTCTTCTTACAGCTCCACTAGGTGGTGCTCCAGTAGGGACTCTGTGTGGGGGCTCCAACCCCACATGTCCCTTCTGCAGTGCCCTAGCAGAGGTTCTTCATGAGAGCCCTGCCCCTGTAGCAAACTTCTGTCTGGAAATCCAGGCACTTCCATACATCTTCTGAAATCTAGGTGGAGGTTCCCAAACCTCAATTCTTGACTTTTCTGCACCTGCAGGCTCAACACCACATGGAAGCTGCTGAGGCCTGGGGCTTGCACCATCTGAAGCCACGGCCCAAGTTCTACATCGGCCCCCTTTCAGCCATGGTGGGAGCAACTGGGGCACAGGGCAGCAAGTCTATAAGCTGCACACAGCTCAGGGACCCTGGGCCTGGCCCTGGCCCACAAAACAACTTTTTCCTCCTAGGCCTCCAGGCCTGTGATGGGAGGGGCTGCTGTGAAGACCTCTGACATGCCCTGGAGACATTTTCCCCATTGTCTTGGGGATTACAATTTGGCTCCTAGTTACTTATGCAAATTTCTGCAGCTGGCTTGAATTTCTCCTCAGAAAATGGGATTTTCTTTTCTATTGCAATGTCAGGCTGCAAATTTTTCAAACTTTTGTGCTCTGTTTCCCTTTTAAAACTGAATGCTTTTAACAGAACCCAAGCCACCTCTTGAATGCTTTGCTGCTTAGAAATTTATTCCACCAGATACCCTAAATGATCTCTCTCAAGTTCAAAGTTCCACAAATCTCTAGGGTGGGGCAAAATGCCACCAGTCTCTTTGCTAAAACATAACAAGAGTCACCTTTGCTCCAGTTCCCAACAAGTTCCTCATCTCCATCTGAGACCACCTCAGCCTGGATCTTATTGTCCATATCATTATCAGCATTTTGGGCAAAGCCATTCAACAAGTTTCTAGGAAGTTTCAAACTTTCCCACATTTTCCTATCTTCTGAGCCCTCCAAACTGTTCCAACCTCTGCCTGTTACCCAGTTCCAAAGTTGCTTCCACATTTTCAGGTATCTTCTCAGCAGCACCCCACGCTACTGGTACCAATTTACTGTATTAGTCCGTTTTCATGGTGCTGATAAAGACATATCCAAGACTGGACAATTTACAAAATAAACAGGTTTAATTGGACTTACAGTTCCATGTGGCTGGGGAAGCTTCACAATCATGGCAGATGGCAAGGAGGAGCAAGTCATGTCTTACATAGATGGCAGCAGGCAAAGAGAGAGTGAGGAAGATGCAAAAGCAGAAACCCCTGATAAAACCATCATTTCTCAAGAGACTTATTCACTACCATGAGAACAGTGTGGGGGAAACAGCCCCCATGATTCAATTATCTCCCACCAGGACCCTCCCACAATACATGCGAATTATGGGAGTACAATTCAAGATGAGATTTGGGTAGGGACACAGAGCCAAACCATATCAGAAGTGTTCTAGGAAATAGAAATTGAAGCAGGATCTATGATATGCCAGGTTGCACTTCTATGTACATAAATTAAGTTTTACTTTTTAAAAATCTTATTTAATATCAGTAAACTTTAATGAATGGTAAAAGCAATGGCTGAATTTCTTACTAGGAAGAAGCTGAAAACAGGGCTATTAATTTTCAGCCTATGATATCTGAAACTATATTGAATAATGATTTGAATTAAAATCAGTCACTAAGAATACACACACACAGGTGCACAGAAAACCAAAGGGGCCTTTTCCTTATTCATCAATTAATTCACATGACAACAAAAGGCCAGTAAGTTACAATTGGGTAGATTGGGTGTCCTTTGTCCTCAAAATATTTTTTTCTTTTTGTATATAGGTAAGGATTTGTAGATCAATAATCATTTTGATTTCAGCATGCAATTACATTCTCTTTGCTTGAGTTCCTTTGAGTTATGTACAAAGCTTCCTGTTCTGAAGCCACCGTGTATTTGTTTTTCTGCTCTGGTTTCATTGCATCCTGATGGCAAGTTAAATTATGAAAAACGTTAGTCTTTAATTCCATCAAGATGTTGATGTCAGAGAAAGGTAAAGTTACAAATTAGATGGTACTAGGAAACTTGAGTCATGGTGTACTGGAAGGACCCCTATAAACTTGTTTTTTTTCTTTTTTGATTTTATGGAAATTAAAGATGCAAGTAAGGCAGCCTGGTAAACTCATCTGCTGATAGTTCGCATGAAGTCTTTTAGTTAGAAAACTTCATAGTACCAAAAATATAAACAAATTGTAACAAGTGATAAAACTGAATCCCAGATTGTTAATCATTTATACCAGACATTAACGTCCTCAAAATGTATCCTAATACATTTTGGTAGGGATTGTGCAAGTTCAGGCTAGAGCTTCTAGGTCAGCAAGTAATTAACACAAGTAACATTCAATTCAATCCAAATAAGGATTGAAATGAAATCCTTTGTACATTGTCCCTACAATGTACAAAATAATGGGCCATCAAGGAGCTTAAGATCTGATGGGTGTAGAGATGGTTCACTCCGAAGTACTCCACATAGTGATGCTTTACACCTAAACAAGAATCCTCAGCTATTGCATTTTGACTTTGGTTTGGCTAGATATAAATTATTTCTCCTTTTAAATTTCTTATTCTTTATTTTTCCCCCAGTAGTGAACCTCCAATTTTTGCCAGCTTCTTACTATCGCCAGGGAAAAAGTGAAGCAGGTGGTTGAATAAATCTGAAAAAACTGTTGAAATGACTATTTGTTTGAAAATATTTGGATAATTGTTTTATACCAGTTTTGTTTTACCAGCAGGTGCACTTTGTTAACAGTTTACTGGCAAATCTGTGAAAGACACAAATCTTAGTGCCAGGCCATTTAGATGGAATACTTTTGACCATGGTGTGTTGATAGCCTTTTCACTATCATCAGTTCCTTTCCATAGAGGACACTTATTTATTTAACAAACACCTCCTTAGCATGTATCAATATACCCAAGGCTAGACTATTTGCTCCAATCTGAAAGGGCAAAATCCTGGAAGAGGCCTTTCATTGGTTAATATATCTCTCCCTCAAAACATAGATGTGACAAAGGTGAAGTAAATTTGTCTCTCTGCTGCTGGCACCCTGCACTCGCCCCCTCACTTTATTGTGAAGATATTTTCATTTAACAATTTGAAATATAAATTGGAGGACTTCCAGTGGTTTTTTAGGGATTTTAGGGTGTCTCTTCTCCAACCCTGGAAATGTACAACTCATCAAGTCATCAGAAAAAATTCTGCCTCATCTTTGGGATCTATAAACCCATTTATAAAAAAAAAAAAGTCAAAACACACATCAATAAACATTTGCAACCACATGACATTTGTTGCAGTTGTCTTCATTTTAATGTTTGAAAAGAAAAGAAACATTCTTTTCTAAACAAGAACTCTCTTTCTTTTGAATCTTTTCTCATAATGGAGGTGTTGTCTTCCCAAAATTCCATTTAATAGTTAAAAATTGTGTATACTTTTCTAGGCCATTTCAAATAATCTTTTCTCTAGGAAACTATTTTATCTGTCAAACCAAGATAATATTTTCTTCTACTCCACAATACTTTCTAAGTTTTGTTTTTTAAAGTTTTATAACATTGCAGGTACTATGAGTAGAAAAATACTTTCCTCTATAATTTTTGTTTGTTCACTAATGTATCAGGAAGATATTAATATCATATTGCTTTATTGTCATTAATAAAAAGAGAACAGGGAGGGTAACTCCGATTATACGTCTTCAAAGGTAAATACAATTTATCATTTGAATTACTCTGACAATCAGACCAAAGATAACTTTGTCACTGGAAAATCATGAAAGAAAAGTTAAAAAACATCAAAAAATTTGTAACCTGCCTCCATGTTTATGTTTGGAGCACCTGTCTCAGGAATATTTCCCTCCTTAGAATGTGGAGTGTTTGGATGGGGTGTAAAGTAACGAATCATTCCCCATTACTCTTCAACACAATCTGCCATCTGCTCCTTTTCAGAATAGTGGCAGCTGCCAGGCACCCCAGTGAAATTGCTTTACAAGTTTCCTCAGAGTGCCACGGATGGGCAGAAGCTGAAAACAGTCAGAGGTGGGAAACCTTTGCTTCCTTTCAACAGGGACCTCAGCCTCACCTGCTCAAGACTGCAATCTCTCTGGGGTTAAGGCTTTCTCAGATGTCCTCCTTCCAGTCCAAGAAGACACCGTGGGCAATATGGGGCAGTTTTCCTCCACTCCAGGAGGCCCTGTGGTAATTCCCCTCAGCTCCCAGTCAAAGTCCAGTTACCTAAGAGAGGATCTCCACCTGCTAGTTCTGCCTTTTTATTTTTTTGAAATTTTGTGTTTTAATATTCAAGGTAAAATAAATTAAGTCTAAAAGAAATAAGAAGTAGAATAGAAAACTCTTGGTGTGGGGTTATACTAGGGAGGGAAGATGCCTTTGAAAAATAGCCCAAGAGTGCAACATGTCCTGATCCCAGTACTCCACAGAAACCTACCTCTCCTTATCCCCTCTTTTGTGCCCCAGTGGCCACAGGGATGTCAGCCATTGGCATTTTACTTTCAAGTAAGCCTCCAGATCCTTTATAGTGCCTCCTTCCTGAGGGTTCCCAGACACGAGTCACACCTGTCCTCTTCAGAACTGCCTTCTAATATGGTCTCAGAGTCTTTGGAGTGAGGAGATATTAGCACTTCTGTGTTCTTTGTAGCTCTATTCACACTAGCCAAGATATAGAAACAACCTAAATGTTCATCAACAGATGAATGGATAAATAAAATGTGCATACATACAATGGAATATTATTCAACCTTAAAAAAGAGGGACATGCTGAAATATGGGACAACATGGATGAACCTTAAGGATGTCAGGCTAATGAAATAAAATAGTCACAGAAAGACAAATACTGCATGATTCCACTTACATGAGAGTACCAACCAGTCACCTCTGTGGCCAATTCCAATGCCTTCCCTTCAAGTTCAACTGGCCTTAGCAGGGAACTGATCACTCTACAGCCCCTCATGCAGTTACCAGAGAGAATTGCCAGAATTCTGACAAAGCAGGAGCAGATTTACCAAAGGGTCTTGCTAGTTGACTACCTTTGCTTTTTAACCTGGGACTTGGGCACTTCTGAATTCCAGAGGTCCCTGCTCTGACTCATTTCAGCATCAATTTTTACTTCCCAGAACAAAGAGCACAATGCCCTTGAAGATCTTGTGATAAGATTTAATCAGGTGCTTTTAAGACCAGATGTCTCAATTTTGAGTTTTGACAACATGATCTCTAGTGACATTTGTCTAGTCTAGCCCATCCCCTTTTCCACCCATCAGGCCTTTTTAGCAGAAACTCAAAAACTGACAGATCTGGGTACGGAGATCAGGCAGGAATTGTAGACTTGAAGAGAAATGAAGCACCCCACTCCAGCTCTCTGCATTTCGCCAAGATCTTCAATCACAGAAAGTCAATCCCAGGTCTATGTTTACTTCACTTTCTTTTCTCCAAGGATGGAGATTTACATCAAGCAAGAGTTGAACTAATGAGGAACAGAAGGAAACTCTTAGCCTGTTATGATGTTGAGGAGGAGGGTTGGGGGAATTAAGTAAATGGCAATTTAGGAAAACGTCTTCTGTGGAAAAAAAAAATTATGGTTGGAGAAAAAGTGTGTATGGTTAGGCCAGCCAGCATCGATTTCCTCTTCTTAAAAGCACTCAACAATTTTTGGAGGAATTACCTCTTCCACACTGAATGCAGTCTGGTGAGCTCTGAACAAAGGCTCTGCCTCCTTCAACCAATGGGTTAGCACCTGACCCAGTCTGAACCAGTGTAAATCTCAGGCAGAGGAATAAAGACTAACAATCATAGAAATTTTATTCCCTCTTGGGGTGGAAGATGAAAAGGAGGGATGTTCTGACTGCCCCAACTGCTGAATCCTGTTTTCCAGCCTGGAAGACAGTCTTGAGTCTGGCCCATTTCAAAACCCTAGCCTGTATTAGCTCCTGATAGTTTTCCACATAAATTCTGTTTAACCTCAGCAAAATGAGATTATTTCTGTTGCTTAAAACTAAAGAACCTTCATTATGTGATTATATAACTCAGAAAAATAAGCCATAGAATGAATATTGATATTGCAAGTACATTAGATCCTTGTTACCTGGCCCATGGTTTGCTTGATAATATAACAAGATTAGGCACCAAATACATCAACATTAAATATATAAGGGAATCTGTATATGTTTGTTCACTTCACAGAAAACAAACACAGCAATTGAAAGAGTTTTGGACATTTCAAAGAGAGCTGACAAGCAGTGCCCTTGGAATGGTTCTAAACCTCAGGCATCAACAAACTGAATTATGAGAACATGAACTCTCCCCTTTCTCTTTTAGATAAGATTGCTTGCAGTAATAAACAATAGGGTAATCAGGAATATAGTCAACCATATACACTCTGAATAGAAAGCCAGAACAACTTATTCCCATATACAGTTGATACTACTGGAGAATTTGCAGCACTGTGAAAAGATAATTTCTTTGAAAATGTTTGCAGACGAGAAAAAATATAAAGTAACAATCTTGGAACAGATTTACTTATTTTGTATTTTATCATGAAGGTATTTGAATGCCAACGTGCTTTCCAATACGTGGCCCAAAGGCTTTATGACTGAAGTTTCTTCAAGAAAGGCAGGGGTCAAAAAAAACAAACCCAAAACATAAATTAACCATGTCAAAAATATGGTGGCATCACAACAGAAGCTCATAAAATGAAAATCAACTGTAATAAATATTTCCCTTAAAAATTCCTGAGGGAAGACATCCCCATTGGAGATCATCATGGTGTTTCCTGTTGTAACTATAATGAGTCCAACGCTAGTTTGTCCCCCAATATTGGAACATATTACTCTTTATTAGATGTGCACAAGAAGATTAAATAACTTGCTTATGTTTGACAAAAAAGAAAGCTTTGCTATAACCACACTTATTGAGGCAAGAAGCTCCCAACTGTCAGTCAGGCAGAGCTACCTGAAACAGAGACTGTTAGAAAGAAGATTCACCATTTCATGCTGACTCCTAGGCTTAAGATAGCTGAGGTTTTCTATACATTGAAATTATTGATTCCCTGTCTGTTATTTTGGCAAGCCAACTTCTCAAAAGTTGAATATATGGTTGATATGACTCCACTGTAGACTAGTGAATGATTCTTTGGGCAGATCTCAACTCAACTGAAGCCTACTTCAGTCATGCTTTCCTTTGGCTTATAACTCCATCTTGCGGTTTACCCTATTGGCTAGAGAAAATTATAGATTGACTGCCATCCAGTTAGTTGATTAAACAATAATAGCCACCAGTGCTGGCATCATGAAAGGCTCTTAAGAAGTTTTATCAAATTTAATCCTGAAAGGTGGGTATTATTATCTTCATTTTACAGACTTTCATAAAAAGGAAGGTTCAGAGAAGTTATGTAAACTGTTTTAGGTCACACAGCCAGTAAAAGACAGATCTGACATAAACCTACCCTCCAAAACTCATGTTCTTTATTCTTTACCACATTACCTATTTAAAAAGAATTGTCAATAATTTCATTTTAGAGCTAGGAGTCTATTCAGATTCAGTAAACTGTAATAAATAATAGAATAGGCTTTAGACCCACACAGCTTGAGCTTCATTCCTACTTCATCCTCTTACTCAGGAGTAACCAAGGGAAAGTTAAGTAATCTCACTGCTCTGTGACTCAGTTTCCTCATCTGCAAAATGGGGATAATAATGGAACCTACTTCATAGAGATATTATAAGGATTAAATGTGTAGAAGCATGGAAAGCTTTTGGAACCATGTTTGACACACAAGTGCTCAGTTGCTCCATAAATATTAGCTATTAATATCTATTATGTGATTGATGGTGATGTAATTCTCCTTGACAGTTTTGATTAAGTCAAGGATTCTGTGGGCACTGGTTTCGAAACTACATGGTGTTACTTTCTTGAGACCTCTCATTGATCAGTTAGCATTAATTATGTGGCTCCTGTGAGTGTCTAATATCAAATTATGTAGATACAGGATAAAAAGCAATGGAAGATAATTACACTGTCCATAAGGAATTTCTAGCTGGAGTCAAGTCTTAAATGAAAAGGGTGCAGCTAAATGGCAGAAGCTAAAGGGCTGATTGGGAGTCCACCAGGAAGCCTTGCACCATGGAAATGATTTGGCAGTTTCATCATTGGCCAGCCTCTGTCCCTCTTTATTGTAGGCCCAGAAATCCAAACTCCCCAGTGCCTCTTCTTTTTATCTATTTCTGCCTAACAACCTAACTGAAAACTTAGTGTCTTCAACCAACAATATACACGTATTTTCTCTTATAGTTTCTGTGCTCTAGGAATTGGGGGAAAGCTCTGTTGGGTGGTTCTGTCTCAGGGTCTCCTACGATTGCAATTGGTTGGTGAGTAAAGCAAGAACAGCAGGTGACATCTGGAGTAGCAGGAGACATTTCTCTCGCTACAGGTAGTCTCAGGCCCTCTTCACGTGGTCTCTCCATATGGTCTCTCCATCCTGGTGGCCTCAGGGTAGCCAGAGTTATTACTTGGTATTCAGGGATCCAAAAGTGATCATCCCAGGAGAAATAGGCAGAAGCCTTTTATTGGCCACCAGAATCACTTCCACTGCATTCTCTTTGTCAAAGCAATGACAAAACCTTGCCCAGTTTCAACTGGAAGGGACACATGCCCCACCTTTTGAAGAGAGGAAAGTCAAAGAATTTGCATTGTTTTAAATTACCACAATGCCAAAGAACTGGCTGTATCCAGGACATATCTAAAGCTCACAGAGCTATCATGTAAAACTGGAAAGCTAATTTATAATAAGAAATAAGACTGTCAAGCAGATCACATACTGAAGCCAGCTTGACACACCAATTTTCACCCAGTGGACATGGTATGCTATATACCAAAATATCAGAATGCCAATTGCTGAATATGGAATTAGGCAATAAGTGTAAAAATGTTTGAAATGTTTAATGTCATCAGAAATTCATCTCCTCACTGTTGGGAAGATCATGTTGACATGACCGGGCTTTTGTTTTCCTATACAATGCTGCACTGATGGTGCTTGCATTAGCTTTTGTGCTTGCATTGCCTTTACCTAAAATTTTTGTTGCCAATCATATTTCCTCCAACATGAACATTTTGAAAATTGTTAATATGATACCCACCATGTTTTGCTGTCCTGGAAAAAGTATCTCTTTAACATGCCATTCCAAATCTTTGTGCCTAGACGATAGTCTTACCTATGTAACAGGTATGAATCTCAACCTAAAATTCAGTTGTTTAAGAAATATTCAGTTGTTTATTTCTTTAAATCAAATCAAACTGTACTCCAAGTGCTAAACCTACAAGGTCAGTGAAATATTCAACCCTAATCATTCTTCAGACATCCCCGCCTCCAGTGTTGGCCAAAAATCCTGGGTGTAATGGTGACTTTTGGGTTGCTCAGGGTCCTGATGCCACTCTCTGCTGCTTCTTTGCCATGCTTAAAATATAGGAATCTTTGGCAAGCTTGGACATCATGTAGCTCAAATGCAGCCTCTCCTGAACGCTTTCCAAATCCCTGGAAAATTGCCGCAAATTCATGAGCTGATCCTGGTTGTCTCCAGGATCCACCATGCTTCAGGATCCTGGTTGTTTCCTTCATAGTCTCAGGCCCTGCAAGAACTATCTGTTTTTTTCAACTCTGCTGTGGGTCATCCAGCCCTATCTCTTCAATATACTGAAGCACTTCAAAATACAGACAAATAAAATAATGAGAACCAATGGCTTCAGGTAGGCTTAGCAAAATCCCCAAGGCCATAAAGTAAAGGAGAAATTCTCTTAGCTAAGGTCTACTTATCAACTCCTGATTACATGAAACCCTGCGTTCTCTCTGTTAAACACTTGAACTGTCTCCCAGCATAGATTGAACAATGCCTGTCTAGAATGCCCTACTTTTCTTAGCTCAGACTGGTTGAGTTATATGTTTACCAAGAATCTACTGTGTTAAATAACAATTTTATTTAAGCCTATTTTGTTATTGTAATTTTATACTTTAGGTAAATATTACACATACAAAATGAGTACCAATATAAAGTGTTCTTTACATTAAAATTAAATACTTTTAAATGCCCAAGGTGAGTTGCACAAATATAAATTGCTGCTAAATTAGACGTGAACAAGAGAACTGTGAAAGTTGGAAAAAGTCATAAAAATATAAAAAAATTATGCACTCCAATTGCTCTCTAAATATGTGCAATTTCTCATTCCTTTTTGTAGAGACTAGCATGACGGATGTATGTTTCTGCAAGAAAAGTGATTGGGAAATTCAATCAGTAGACCTGGACCGGGGAATTTTTCCCAGATAGAGATTCAGGGTCTAATCAAGAAATGTCTTGTACCTCAGCAGGATTTCATAATTGCCACAGATCGGTGGCTGCTAGGGGTTTTTCATTTTTCTCTATTCTAAATAAAAGTTTTTATGACATTTATTCTGCCCCTGATTTATCATTACATAACCAAAGTGTATCTGGATCATATGGAGAAGAGTGCACATCACTCAGAAGTCCTGGATGTTCACCTGGATGAAGTGAGTGAAATAGACTTTCAGTTGCTTGAGGAGGGAAGTGAATGTGTTCCATATGAGGGAAGAAAAATGAATATATAGTGGCAGAAGAACAAATTCCAAAGAGACTGTCTATCTCTTTACAAATTAGGGCCTTCTTCTTCCCAGACACATAAATAGGATATATCACTGAGCATAACTTCTTACCTTGTAGTTGGTGCTCTATTGGATATACAATGGAGTTCTAGACAATGAGATATGAACAGAAGTGATATGTTCTATTTTCAAGCTAATACATACAGACCATATACTTGATATCCTCCATGTTTTTCCTCTTCCTGCTGGCTTGATGCAGATAAGCATGGGTGTCTTGGAAGCCACTTGTTTAAGAGGGATTGTAATCAGTCCTGGATGTAGACACATACAGCATGAGAATTCTTAGAAGTTTTGGATTAACTTCCATATGTTGTAGGGAGGAATCTTACTCTTTAAGCTCAGATATTCAAGAAATATTCACTTTTTGTCCCGCTTGAATAAAATTAAGCCAGAATTTAAACCCAAGCTTCAGCCCACCAGGCTGGCGGGAAATGCAATTTCAGCCTTTATTAAGGCTTGGTCAGAGTCTCTTCAGGTCAGATAGTTTCACTGTTTCTAAGACATGTTTGTGACTCACTTGGTGAGTCTGGGAGCCCCTGTCCAGATTCCCTGAGCTCATCACAAGCCATCCCTCTGAAGGTTGTCATCTCCTTGGAGGACAGCCTCTGAACTATATATAGGTTCCCTTACTCTCACCAGGACCCTCAACCTGTGGTCCTTTTCCAACCTCAGCCCCAAATTTTAATCTCTTTCTTTTTCTTCCCTTCTCTGCTTCAAAATCTATCTCCCTCTATCCCCATGTGAACTGTGGAACAGGCAAAATGATCATTTAATAGATTGAGATTTTACAAAGGACAGGGAGAGCCAATGACCTTAGCCATTCTATCTCTCTGTGTTTTGTAAAAATCCATGAGTCACAGTGACAAAGGCTGACCAACAATTTGAAATGACAAAGGAGAAAAATATTGCTGAAAACATGACTCATACAAATGAATCATCATGGCACAGCAACATAAAACTCTGGAGTCTTTACTCAAGGGGTTGCTAGGGCTAGTTTTCGTGGTCACACTTCAGCTAATGCTCATTAAGTGATCATGTGGAATATTGACCATTAATGTATAAATGTTTTCATTAACCCAAAACTGATATGTAGTGACTATTCATATGAATTGAATGCAATTCTGGACATTAACTTAAACAAACAATCGATCTAGGTTTTTGGATGTTTAATCAAATATTGACAAATTTTCTGAAGGATATCGATGACTAAACTTTGTGTAAGAACTCTGTGAGGCCTATAGAAAAAAATTTGAATGACATATGAAAAGAGAAACCAATAAGCTATGAGCTCAAAATAAACACTATGGAAGCAGAGATAGGCAAAAAGCACTAAAGATTAAAAAATAGGAATTAAGCAAAATAAGAGGAAAGCATCCAGCAAATACCAATAGTCAATGAGCCATAATAATTACAGACAAGCATATGGTGAGTATGTGAGCGAAAACTGGGAGCACTGAGATGTACAATTTTGAAGACAGGAATTAAGCTTGACGAATAAATATTTAGAATGGTGTAATGACAGAAAAGGGTTAACTTCATTCAATCTCTGAGATACCTGCTCTGCAATGAGAGCTGCTGCCTGTGAGACACAAGAAGCAAAACTCCACAAAGAAAATAAACGATTGTACAATTCAGCAATGGCACTGGTCTCACTGAGCCCCTAGGATCAGATCTCTGTCAGGAAATGGTTCCTAGTGCTTTGAATACTCAGAATAAATGTGTTCCTGTTTTATGAAGAATTTTAAAAACATGCTGAGCTGATACATGTTGAGGTAGAACATCTAGGTTTTCATACACAGGCATACCTAAGAGATATTGCAAGTTTGGTTCCAGACCACTGCAATAAAGTCAATATTGCAGTAAGGTGAGTCACACAGATTTTTTTATTTCCTACTGGATTTTAAAATTGTACTTACTGTTGTTTATTAAGTGTGCATTGTGTCTCAAAAACAACATGCACACCTTGCTTAAAAAATGCTTTATTGCTAAAAATGCTAATGAAGATCTGAACCTTCAGTGAGTCTTCATCTTTTTGCTGGTGGAGGGTCTTGCCTTCATGTGGATGACTTCTGACTGATCAGGGTACTGATTGCTGAAGGTTGGGGTGGCTGTGGCGATTGCTTAAAATTTCTTAGAATAAGGCAACAATAAAGTTTACAGAATTGATTGACACTTCCTTTCATCAAATATTTCACTGAAGCATACAGTGCTGTTTCATAGTATTTTACCCCAGTAAAACTTCTGTCAAAATTGGAGTCAATCTTCTCAAACCCCGCTGCTGCTTTATCAACCACATTTATGGAATATTCTAAACCCTTCATTGTTATTTCAATAATGTTCATAGCATCTTCACCAGGAGTAGTTTCCAACTCAAGAAATCACTTTCTTGCTCATCCATAAGAAGCAACTCCTCATCTGCTTAAATTTGATCATGAGATTGCAGAAATTCAGTCATATCTTCAGGTGTCTAATTCTAGTTCTCTTGCTATTTCCACCACATTTGCAGTGACTCACTCCATTGAAGTCCTGAACCCCTCAAATTCATCCATGAGAGTTGGAATCAACTTCTTCCCAACTCCTGTTAATGTTGATAATTTGACCTTTCTTCATGAGTTATGAATGTTCTTAATGGCATATAAAAAGGTGAATTGTTTCCAGAAGATTTTCAATTTACTCTTCCCAGATCCATCAGAGAAATGATAGCAGCTATAGCCTTAAAAAATGTATTCCTCAAATAATAAGACTTGAAAGCCAAAATTACTCCTTGATCCCCGAACTGCAGAAGGGATGTTGTATTAGCAGGCATGAAAACAACATGAATCTCCTTTAAAAAGTCAGGAAACAACAGGTGCTGGAGAGGATGTGGAAAAATAGCAACACTTTTTACACTGTTGGTGGGACTGTAAACTAGTTCAACCATTGTGGAAGACAGTGTGGCCATTCCTCAGGGATCTAGAACTAGAAATACCATTTGACCCAGCCATCCCATTACTGGGTATATACCCAAAGGATTATAAATCATGCTGCTATAAAGACACATGCACACGTATGTTTATTGCGGCACTATTCACAATAGCAAAGACTTGGAACTAACCCAAATGCCCATCAATGATAGACTGGATTAAGAAAATGTGGCACATATACACCATGGAATACTATGCAGCCATGAAAAATGATGAGTTCATGTCCTTTGTAGGGACATGGATGAAGCTGGAAACCATCATTCTCAGCAAACTATCGCAAGGACAGAAAACCAAACACCGCATGTTCTCACTCATAGGTGGGAATTGAACAATGAGAACACATGGACACAGGAAGGGGAACATCACACACCGGGGCCTGTCATGAGGTTGGGGAGGGGGGAGGGATAGCATTAGGAGATATACCTAATGTAAATGATGAATTAATGGGTGCAGCACACCAGCATGGCACATGTATACCTATGTAACAAACCTGCACATTGTGCACATGTACCCTAGAACTTCAAGTATAATAATAATAATAATAATAATAATGATAATAATAAAAGAAAACAACATGAATCTCCTTATACATCTCCATCAGAGCTCACAGGTAACCAGGTGCATTGCTAACGAGGAGTATTATTTTGAAAGGAATCTTTATTTCTCAGAAGTAGGTCTTAACAGTGAGCTTAAAATATTTAGTAAACTATGCTGTAATGAGATGTGCTGTCATCCAGGCTTTATTCTTCCATTTATAGAGCACAGGTAGAATAGAATTAGCATAATTCTTAAAGGCCCTGGAATTTTCAGAATGATAAATGAACACTGGCTTCATCTTAAAGTCACCAGCTGCATTAGGCCTCAACAAGAGAGTCAGCTTGTTTTTTGATTCTTTGAAGCCCGGCATTGAGTTTCCTCTGTAGCTATGAAAATCCTAGATGGTATCTTCCTCTGAAAGAAGGCTGTTTCATCTACAAAGAAAATCTGTTGTTTAGTGTAACCACCTTCATCATCTTAGATCATATCTAGATCCTCTGGATAACTTGCTGCAGCTTCTATAAGAGCACTT
Organism: Homo sapiens; assembly: GCF_000001405.40. Lineage (NCBI taxonomy): Eukaryota > Metazoa > Chordata > Mammalia > Primates > Hominidae > Homo > Homo sapiens. The sequence goes on along the minus strand of NC_000023.11, from coordinate 30,280,515 downwards.
GCTGCTTCACCTTGCACTTTTATGTTACAGAGATGACTTCTTTCCTTGAACCTCATGAATCAGCCTCTGCTAGCTTCAAACTTCCTTTTGCAACTTCCTAACCTCTCTCAGCCTTCATAGAATTGAAGAGTTAGAGTGTTGCTCTGGATTAGGTTTCGACCTAAGGGAATGTTGTGGCCGGTTTGATCTATTCAGACCTCTCAAACTTTGTCCATATCAGCAATAAGCATGTTTCACATTCTTATCATTTGTGTATTACCTGGAGTAACACTTTTGATTTCCTTTAAGAACTTTTCCTTTGCATGCAAAACTTGGCAAACTGTTTGGCACAAGAGGCCTAGCTTTCAGCCTATCTGAGCTTTTTCATGCCTTCCTCACTAAGCTTAATCATTTCTAGCTTTTGATTTAAAGTTGAAAGTCCTACAACTCTTCTTTTCACTTGAACACTTAAAGGCCACTATAGGGTTATCAGTTCACCCAATTTCAATATTGTTGTGTGTCAGGGAATAAGGAACCCTGAGAAGAGGGAGCGAGATGGGAGCAAGGGAAACAACCAGAGCACACACAACACTGATCGATTAAGTTTGCTGCCTTATATGGGTGCAGCTTGTGGCACTCCAAAACAATTTTAATAGTAGCATCAAAGATCACTGATTGTAGATAACCATAACCAATATGATCATAGTAATAAAGTTTGAAATATTGAGAAAATTACCATAAGGTGACACAGAGACCTGAAGTCAGCACATGCTGTTGGAAAAATGGTGCTGATAGCCTTGCTCAACACAGGATTAACACAAACCTTCAATTTGTAAAAAACACAGTATCAGCGATGTGCAATAAAGTGAAGCACAAAAAAACAAGATATGCCTGTGTCTACATTCTCAGGAAATGCATTACTCTTACCTACCTCACCCCACCTTGAATCCGTTAGATAATAAGAAAATGTATGTATGGTTTTGGTAAGGTCCAAGGTGTTTGTACTTAATTATGATTCAATAATTATTTAATAATTGTTAACTGGGACAGCTATCAAAACAGTAGGTATTTGAAGGAGGATCTTCATTTTACATGAACTGGGCCTTTTAGGAATGGTTGTGATCTGCTTATATAGGAAAGGCTCTGAGATCCCCTGATGTGGAAAAAATGAACTCATTTCATAATTTCAACCCACTGAATCCAACGTATTCAATAAACTACCTGTATGTATTTTTTAGTCATAAATATCTGTCTGTAATAAATATCTTCTCAACTTCTTCTCATGGTTCTTATTAGAAATATTATTTCAAAACATAACTGTTTTATAGGGCTATAATTTGATTAGATTTTGTATATTATTTTTTGATTAATAATGTCTTCATGATAATCAACATATTCAATCTTATCCCACATTAAATGATCAAATAGGAGCTGCAGTAGAAAAAGCACAGTATCGTATTTTACCATCTTCCATTTTTTTCTCCTTGAAATCACACAAAACAATGAAAAAAATCTTATAATATTCATCTGTGGCTGTGCTATTTATTAGCTATGTAAACTTGGCCAACTGATTAAACATATTTAAACCTTAATTTTCCTTGTCTGTAAAATGGGATAATAATACCCACAGTACCTACTTCAAAAGTTCTTGTGGAAATTAACAAAAAATTTATATATTTACACATATATAATCATATATATGATTATATTATATATGATTTTATATATATTATGACAGCTCTCAGAAATAGTAATCAATGCATATTTATTTATATTGTTATTATGTATTATTATTACAATTTCATTTAGTACTTTTCATGCTTTTAAATTCTTTTTTCCCCTTTTGGATTATTTGGTGTTTTTTCTCATTTTTGGAGACTGGATCTCACTCTGTTGCCAAGGCCAGAGTGCAGTGGCGTGATCATGACTCACTGCAGCCTCAACCTTCTGGGTTTAAGTGATTCTCCCACTTCAGCCTCATGAGTAGCTGGTACTACAGGCATGTGTCAGCACATCCAGCTAATTTTTTCATTTTTTGTAGAGATAGGGTCTCACTATGTTGCCCAGGTTGGTCTTGAAATACTGGGCTCATGTGGTACTCCCACCTCAGCCTCCCAAAGTTCTGGGATTACAGGTGTGGGTAATTACATCTTGTCCTCTTTTGCCTTTTAATGCCACACATTTACGTAGAACTTTCCTGTTTCTAAGGCCTATCCACATATAACATTTAATTTGAACCTCTTTGTAACCTCTTGAAGCAAGCTGTTGCCTTGTTTTACAAATGAAAACATAGGATCCCAAGAAGTCAAGTAACTTCTCCAGGTTCACTCATTGTGAACAGTGCCAATGGGGCACAACCAAAATCTTCTGGTTCATAGACCAGTGCTTTTTAATTTTACTGCATCCCAATTTTTTTGTTGTTGTTTCTCTAAATGTGTGGGACTTGCGTATGTCTCTATTTCCACAGGGGCAAGGGCCCTTGATGGCAGAACCATCTATTAAGCGTCAGTGTGGTCAAATTGCCTTTGTCTTTGACAGTGTGGGGTCTCAACCATAAATTGCCAGAGTAAGTTCTGCCCTACCTACCTTACAGGGAAATTATAAGAATACATGAGAAATTATGAGAAAACAGAAACATATGTGTGTTTTTGTGATTTCTTAAATGCTACACAAATATAAGACATCTCACCCATGACTGACATTCAATGAATTCTTGCTAGTTGTGTTATGTAGTTCGTAGTTTAGGACACTGGAAAAATGAGAGTATTTTGATTTTGATTTTAAGTTAAAAAAAATCTTTCAACTCTTACTACCCTCTTCCAAAATATTGCAGTCTAACCTCAGAAAAAAATTCCCAAATCACAAAATAAACATTAAGGAAAAAAGGCAAAAAGCATCTTTTTGTATTTACTGGGCTCAGGCGTGTCTCTGCTCTGAGATCAGCCATTTCACCTCTGTAGTGAACTGTCTTTGATAGTTAGGTGTGGTTTTATATGCACATGTGTTATCTCTCAAGTGAAACACAATAAAGTAAGGTATGCCTATATCTAAATTCTCAGGGAATGCATTACTCTTACCTGTTCCACCCCACCTTCATGTGCTGATTGTATATATGGGTCAGTTAGAGAATAAGAAAATATATGCATCATTTCAGTACGGTCCAAGATAATATAATTTTTAAAATTATGATTAAATAATTATTAAATAACTGTAAGGTAAGCTCAAGGTAAGATGCAAATTCCTTGAGGGAAGAACAATGTTTTTCTTATTTTTTTCCTTCATGCTACCTGGCATAGTGCTTTGCAAGTTCTAAAGAATCAATTTTATTACTGTTGTTGTTATTGATGCTTTTCTCTTTGCTGATCCCTTATTGAGAAGTTGAATTAGACTCTGCTCGTGTTTCAAGTCTCAAAGCCTGGAGATTTGCTTTCTGTCTCTTTGTCTTCTCTGTTTTTGCCAAATGTTCCATTCCATCTACTTGACCTAGCATGTCTATGCTGTGCTGTAAGAATGACACCTTCTACCTCTGGTCCTATGTACCCATTCTCACCTGGAAGAATGGCAATAGAAGGGATAGCGATTTATTTGAATTTGTATCAAGGAAGAGGAAGAAGTCATTTGGATGCTTCCTAAATCTTGCTACATAGGCAGACACCTACTTCCCTCATGCCTAAGGCTAACTCTTCCTGTTAGAGTGAAATTTCTTATTTTTAATAAGCAGTGGATGTTGTTTGCACTTATTTATCTCTGAGAACTTTACCTGGACAAAAATGTCCTCATGTCATCCGTGAAGCTGATGATTTGCCCGATAATGTGTGCATGGACTTTTCCACTCTGCCTGAACAAAATTGAAGAGAGGATTTTGCAGCTGCAGCCTGGGTATAGATACCTGGAAACTCCCATAGGCATCACTATTGAAAAAAAAATTGTCTTTATATGCTGTTAGTATCTGCATTTAAATCCAGTATTTCACATCTTGGAGCCTCAGGTTTATCACTTATGAAAAAGTGAAAATGACAACTGGTCTTCTTGCTTCAAACAGGGTTTATATTTCATGAAAATCAGATAAGATGATGTGTGACAAAGGCCTAGAGTAATATATTCTCCATCTTTGATGACAAGTACCAGACTGGATCTGGAAAGACTTTCCTAAAACCTTCCCCTCTCTAATGCTGCCCTTCAACCTTTGGTTCATGGGGGCATAAAGCAGAATCAGATGGAAAAGATACAATATTTCCAGCTTTAAAGATCTCTTGCCCACAAGATACAGCACCTGTCTAAATAATGGATTTCAGTACAATCCCAGGAGCAATCTTGCACATTATAGTTGGTTCCACTTCATTACCCAGTTATTTTGTACCTTCCCAGACTGTTAGTCAAATCACCCCGCTGCCTAGCAAGTTTCTGATTAATCTGGATTTTACTAATTACCCTGCAGTCACAGGGATTGGACTAAACTGCTTTTTGTATTATTTTGCTATAGATTTTAAATCCATTTCCATGGACTCTGTTGCAAAGACACTACCATTGCTTCCCTGATAATGAGTCTTTTCACAGGAAGGACAGCCAGGAACTTTGTTTTAATTCTTCCTCATACAGTCTTTCTTTTAGACAAATATTCCTCCAGAGAATCAGAGATGTGTTCAAGGAAAAAAAAAAAGAGTAAAGAAACTTGAAAAAAGTAAGGAATCAGGCCTTGTTGCTGCTCCATTGACATGACTGGGGATAAATAGGTGCAGCTAGATAGGATTCAGTAAAATAATAAAATAAATGCTAAGGGTCAAGCCCCAAACCTACAAACCGCTGATATTATCTTTCAAGAAGCAACACTGCCATCTGGCTGTGTAAGATTGAGAAATGTTGCTGTCTTTTTCTAACCAAATATTCCCAATATTCAATCTACTTCCTGATTTCAAGATTCTCTAAGTAGGATTGTGGAATTCTGAAAGATTCCTATGGTATCCCCAAGAATACCAAGTGCTAAGGCACAAAATCATAATAGAATAATTGGAAAAGATCTTAAGGACCATCCAAACCACTATTTAGAGTGCATGAAGATGAAGCCCAAAATTGAATCACAAAGGTAGTATTATAACGCAGGTCTCTGATATGCTGATCCATTATATTTCCACTGTTCTGTGAATTGCCACCAGAATCCAAATTCAGAGTCATGACTACTTTACAAGTAGCACATAAACTTTGGGAAACAGCAAAGAAGGGAATATGAGTGTAATGGTATTTCTTAAAGTTTTATTTTATTTTAAATTGACACACAATTATACATATGTATAGGGTACGATGTATTGTTTCGATACATGTATACATTATATATTGACCAAATAAAGGTAATTAGCATATCCATCACCTCTAATATTTGTGGTGAGAACATTCAAAATCTTCTCTTCTAGCTATTGTGAAATATACAATACATTAATGTTAACTATAGTCACCCTACTGTGTAATAGAGCACCAGAACTTATTCCTCCTATCTAACTGTAACTTTGTATCTATTGACCAACTTCTCCCTAGTTTCTATACCACTTCTCTCCCCAGACTCTGTAACCACTATTCTACTCTCTACTCCTATGAGATTAATGTTTTTAGGTTCCACATATGAGTGAGATCTTGCAGTCTTTGTCTCTCTGTGCTTGGCTTATTACAGGCATAATGTCCTCCAGGTTCATCCACGTTGTGGCAAATGACAGTATGTCATTCTTGTTTATAGTTGAATAGTATTTTAATCAAAACCACAGTGAGATTTTTTTTACTTGTTTCAAGCTCTTTAATCTCTTTATAAGTTAACTAATAAATCTATTTTCTTTTTAAAAAAATTTATTTTATTTTAGGTTCGGGAATACATGTGCAGAACATGCAGGTTTGTTACATAGGTGACCGTGTGCTGTGGTGGTTTGCTGCACCTATCAACCCATCACCTAGGTAGTAAGCCCGACATACATTAGCTATTTGTCCTGATGCTCTCCCTCCCCATAACCCCCTGCCCCCGACAGACCCCAGTGTGTGTTTTTCCCTTCCAAAACCACAGTAGATATTGCCTCACTCCAGTTAGAATGACTTTTTAAACAAAGAGAAAAGATAACAAGTGTTGTTGAGGATGTGGAAAAAAGTGAACCCTCACACACTGTTGGAAGGAATGTAAATTAGTACAGCTATTATGGAAACCAGTAAGGAGGTTCCTCAAAGATATAAAAATAGAACTACCATATGAACCAGCAATCCCACTACTGGGGATATATCCCAAGAAAATGAAACCAGTATAACCAAAGAGATATCTGTATTTGTAACATTTTGAGCTATCAGAACTTGTTTTGTTCAGAAGAACCACTGTCAGTTTTCACTGCCTTGAAAGGTTTAAACCCTAAAACTGCCATTTGCCATAAAACACACTTTTTGTGATTGGCTTATTGAAATTTTACCTAAGCATCTCTTTAATGTGGCAATTTTATGCTAGACTCATGCTTATCTTTTCTCTGCAAATTATAGTCTCCACCACAAAATTCTGCAGTGGAGGTAGGTTTAAGAAGAATGTAGTCTCATACCCTTTATTGTATTTGCCCGAAACCTATTGTAGTGGCTGTGTAATGCATGGTCGACTTGGCTAAGCTGAGTTACATTTTCCAGAATTCCCTTCCCTGTATATTTTCAGTTAGCTGTGGCTGCAAGTGTGGCATGCGTGAGACATACAAGACTGAAGTGAAGCAGTATCCATGTTTACTCTCGAAGGTCTATGTATTAGTCTGTTCTCACGCTGCTTATAAAGATGTATTAATTTCCTTTATAGATTTTTTTTAAGATTCCACATATGAGTAAGATCTTGAAGTATTTATTTTTTTGTGCTTGGCTTATTATAGGCATAATGTCCTCCAGGTTCATCCATGTTGTGGCAAATGACAGGATGCCATTCTTTTTTATAGCTGAATATTATTTTAACCAAAACCACAGTGAGATATTGCCTCGCTTCAGTTTTTATAATATTTATGACTTTTATAATAAAGACAAAAGACTAATTTACATTCCCTCCAACAGTAGGTAATTTATAAAGGAAGGAGATTTAATTGACTCACAGTTCCACATGGCTGGGGAGGCCTCACAATCATGGCTGAAGGTGAATGTGGAGCGAAGTCACATCTTACATGGTGGAAGGCAAGAGAGCTTGTGTAGGGGAACTCCCCTTTATAAAGCCATCATATCTCATGAGACTTATCCACTATCACTAGAACAGCATGGGAAAGACCATAATTCAATTACCTCTCACCGGGTTCCTCCCATGACACGTGGGAATTATGGGAGCTACAATTCAAGATGAGATTTGGGTGGGGACACAGCCAAACCATATCAGTCTATGTCAGTTCATACCTGATGTAGCCCACTCATGTTTGTGTGGCTGCACTGGTTTATTTGTTGATATGGGCAGCAGCTGGGGCCACAGCTTCTTCCGCTCTCATTGTAACTTTTTTTTTTTAGCTTCTCCAGACTCTGAGTTAGAAGCAAATGAAGATTGGTGGCAAGAGCACCCACTCCTCCTGCAAGTCGCCCAGCAGTGAAGTAGGAGGCTTGGACACAGGGAGAGATAAATGTGGGTTCTTCTAAGACAGATGCAGGATCCAGCTTATTCCTTGAAGTTTCCAGTGTTCTGCACTCTACTACTTGACATCCATCTTTCCTTCATGACCCCCTGCTCTATAACTTCAGGCTCAGCACCAAACAGAATAAACAGTTGAATTAAGTATGGCAATTACATAAGGTCAGATCTCTATAATAAATTCTTTACTCTACCTCATTATCAGTGATTGTTTCTTCGATTGAACCATGGCTGACCCACCTCTCGTGTTCATGTTCTTAATCGTCCTTAGGAGAAGCACAGGTGGTACTAGACCCTATAACTATAGTAGGCAAGGTACCTGGGCACTGAGATATAAGGAACCCAAGTTGAGGACTTGAGAAAAAATAGGACTGAAGAGGGGTTAACAGTCTTGGCTTTAAATCCCTGTTTTTGAAATAGTGGGGGTTGTTTCAGTCAAAGTTTTCATTTTAATGGCTGACTTCTTATTTCAGGTAGTTACTTTGGCTTTCATTTATCATATCATTATTGTGAATTGTTTATTAAAATCTCTTGACTAATGCTGTTGACTGTAAAATTTCTATAACTTAAGCTGCTTCTCCACATTCATGGATGAACAAAGACTTTACCCTGAACACCCTTTCAACTGGACTGATTAGCTATAGTATTTTACACTGTGGCCAATAAAATCACATTGAAGTATTATCACTGCCTTTTGGCTCCAAATACAAAGTTTTAGGTCTAATCATTTTATCATTCATTGATTCAACAAATACTTACTGAGCACCTACTCTGGATTAGATACTGTGTTTGGTGCTGTTGGAGCCAGCAGTGAACACGGCAAACAATCCCTGGCCATATGGAGGGAGATTTTAAACTAATAATTGAACAGATCATTATTAAAATACAAGTAACATACTCTCATAGCTTTGTTTTTTGAGAACATATAGAAGGGGAACATATAGTCAAGACGTAAGAGAAATATAAGAAGGTTTTCTAAGGCAATGACATTTTAGTTGAGGCTAAAAGACTGAAGCAGAATCGGGAAAGTAAAAGGGAAAGAGCATTTTAGAAACAAGAAGCTGTAGTGTGGAGGACTTGAGAGTGGAAGGGACTTGGCTGATGGAAACACACACAGTTTATCTAAAGCAGGGGTTGGCAAACTATCATCCATAAGCCAAATTCCAACTTTTGTCTGTTATTGTAAATAAAGTTGGTTGGAAAACATCCTCACTCATTCATTTCCATATAATCCATAGCTACCTTTGTCCCGCAAAGGCAGAGTTAAATAATTGCAACAGAGACTATATGGCCCACAAAGCCTTGAATATTTGCTATCTATTCCTTTACAATTGCCAACCCGTGAACTATCAGAGAATAGGATTTGTATAACTCAGTCTCCTTCTCCACATTTATGGAATAATACATTTCCACATTGGCGGAAAAGGGGTTCAGACTTAAAATTCGAGGAAGAAAGAATTAAAAGGGTACATAGAAGCATATGTAGGGAAATCAGTGGTTAGAAGGCAAATGAACAAATCAAAGCCAAGGGTAGTGGTGAGGAATAGTAGTAGTTAAGACACATGAGACTATTTAAATTACAGTAACAATAGAATCAACAGGCCTTGATTCTTGATTATAGTTTTGGAGGATAATGAGGAAGAGGAATGCTGCCCAGGTTTCTGGCACTAGCATCAGGGTACTTAGTAGGACCATATACTAAAATGAGGACTTAAGGAGGCCCTGGTTCGGGGGAGAGCCCGTAAGTTCTGTTTTGACATATTGGGTTTAAAGAATCTGTAGTGATTTGAGGAAAGCATTCTTTGACGGTTCTACATAAAAATTCTTTAAAAGGTGAAGTTTAAGACTCTTTAATGCTGGTTTTCAGCTGTTGGTAGAAGTGAGTTAGACTCTTGCAGGCAATTAAAAGATACAGCATTATCTTCTCATCTAAGGCTAAGGTGACTACCAGAAGAGATTGAGACAGAAGTCTAGGTCATGTCAAGTGAATGGGAAATAAATATTTTGGCAGAAACCAATTCAGAGATGATGAGAAAAAGGAAGTAATACTTACTAGGCCTTTACTATAAGGCCAGTGCTCCATGGAGCATATTTAATATGTTAAATCATTCTACCCTGAGGCTTAAAGGTCAGGCAATACTTCTCCATTTAACATTCTTCACTTGACTAACTATGACATAATTCATCACGGTTTCCTCAAAAAAGTCTATTTAACCCACCACACAAGAATCATTCATTCTGTCTTTAACTTCAGTGACACGCTTTGCCCACGCTACTCCCTACCACTTTTGTTATAAGTATCCACTTACCATTACTTATTTTATGCCCATTGTACCCATTAGGTTAGTCTAGGTTATGCTGCTGTAGTAAACATCTCCCAAATATTACAGCCTTAAAATACATTTTTTTTTCTCACATTACATGTTCAAAGCAGGTCAGCAAGAGGGTCCTTCCTGTTCATGTTAGTTACTTGGTGACACATGCTGATGAAAGTTCCAATAGCTTATGGCATTGCTATCTCAACATGTTTGCCATAATTGCTAAGTGGAGAAAGTGAGGGCTGGAGAGTTGAGCACAGGCAACCAAATTCCTTCTCATGAAAGTGACACGTATCTATATTTCATTTGGACAAAGCAAGTAACATGGCAAAAATCTATCTTTACAGGGGAAAAGAAAGTGCAATTTTCCTATTTGCTCAAAAGTAGAGAAAATAGATATCAGTAAATAATAATTTCTACCATTCCAACTTTCCCATTGAACTGTAAGAGTATGTATGCTTTGTTCACCTTAGTATCCGCTATTATATTGATTTGCATACAGTGGATACTTCTGTATGTATTAAATAAATGAAAATGGCAAGGCTGGCACATAGATCCTAGACTACCTCCAAAACTCATATTCTTTCCACTTTACCATGTTAAGCCACACATATACATTGTGCTGGTTCATTTCCATCTTTATAAATTCTCTAAGGTATAATTAGATCACAATAAAACTTTTTCTAGAGGGGTTATTAAACATTTTCTTTCCAAAGGTAGAGACATTCATTATTTTGTAATGAGAAAAACATCCATTTTTTATTTCTCTTTGAATTTGTCCTAATTTAACAGATCATCTGAAATGAGATTTTCTGAGTAATAACCTGAGTATAGATTATGAAAGATTTTAGAAACAAGATAAAAATACATGAGAAACTATATGATATGTAGCGAAGGCCATATAAGAAAAATGATGTTTTATCAAGATTTTAGAACCAGCTAAAAGGCTAAACTGTTCAAATAATTTTTTACATAATTTAATAAGCCCAGCAAAGTCTCATAAACTAGGAAATGATATTTCTAGAATTAATGGCTTTTACAATTATTATTTTACCAAACATTTATTTTTAGCATCAACTATATGTCAGGCAGTTTTAGAAACTAGTAGTATGATCTTCCAAGTACAGAGTTCTTTTTCCAATTTGTCCAGAGCATGGCAAAGATTTCATTATGATCAGATGAAGTGTGGGTTAAGAATTGTGAAAAAGAAACTATAGTCAGGACAAGTGTGGCCTTATATGACATCTTAAGAAACATATATTTTTTGGGGGGGATTCACAGTTAAAGATTTTGAACATAAGGGTAATCTAACACAATTTGTGTTGTATAAATATGACTCTAATGTGTGTGTGAAAAATGCATTAAACGGGGGCAAGAATAAAATCATTGAGAATAGTTGAGGTTATTCATTAATGTGGGGAGAAATTAAGAGGAACAAACCAAGGCATTGACAGTGGTATGGGGAGAATGGAATTAATTTGAGTGATGTTATTAGGTTGTGGTAGGTTGAATCATTAGTCTCAATTTTTTCTTCCTTGAAATAACAGTACATATATACACTCATGCTAAGGTTTCATGATGGCCAACATGTACTTTCCTGTCACTTAATCATGTGACTATCTTTGGCCAATAGAGTGTTGGTGGATATGATATGAGCAGAGCGTTGGCATGTACTTCGACTATTTGGCTTGACTTTCTTGGATTCCTGTGATCTTCTATGAGAACTACTTCTCAGGCAGTTACTGTCCTTTCAGTCTTGGTCTCAGAATGAACACATGTATAATACACCTGCATCTAACCTTCTGACTCAGTCTAAAGCAGAGTTGTCCAAAAATCTGACAGAATGATGACTATGAGAATAATTGTTTATTGTTGGATAGCACTGAGTTTTGGGGTGGTTTATTAGGTAGCATTATTGTGGTAATAGATGACTAAGACATAGGTAGATATGCTAGATGTCAGAGAAAGACTGATTATCTGAGGGAGGTGTAGGGATTAATGTTGATTCCCAGATTTCTGGAATTGGTAATGGAATATGGTGGTGGTATTCTCCTAGGGGGGAAAAAAGAGGAAAAGCACTATGGTGAGGAGAAAATTATGAGTTTAGATTGGGGGCAGGTTTCATTTGGAATACCTGACAGACATATAAGTGGATGTATTTTATAAGATTCTGTCTGAAACCTCACAGTAGAGAAGGTGATTAAGCCAGGTCTTTAAGGAGCCAACATCTCTATATCAAAGATTGTTTACTGATAGGATGTATCTTCTAGAACCTGGTGCATAGAAATGTTGGAAATTTTGAGTTGAGAGATATCAATACTTAGGTAGAGGCTGAAGCCAATGGAGAGAATAAAGTCTTCAAGGAGGGTTTACATGATGAAAAAAGAGGAGATGCAAAGATGTGACCTTTGAGAACATTAAGCGTTTCAGGATTGGACCCCAAAGTTGAAGACCACAGGACAATGAGAAGAAAAAGGTAGAAATATGAGAGGAAAACTGAGGGTGAATCGAGTTCCAGAAGCATCTTGGAAGAAAATGCCAAGCATAGAAGGGTAACCAATTATGTGAAATGTTTTAAAGTAGGATAAGAATCAAAAAGTGCTTTTGGTAAAAATGATAAATTAGCATATGGGTCATTAAAAAATATGTAGGATTAACTTAAACCCACCCAAAATCTCAATACCATTTTTATTTAGAATTTCACAAAGTAATTCTAAAAGTTGTCTGAAAGAATAAATATAGCAAATAGCTTATAAAAGATTAAAAAAGAAAATCACTGGGAAGAAATATTACCTACCACATTTTGAGATATAAATATATATGTATATATATATGTATATATATGTGTATATATATACATATATATATATGTATATATATGTGTATATATATACATATATATATATGTATATATATGTGTATATATATACATGTATATATATATATGTATTTCTTTTTTTTTTTTTGAGACAGAGTCTCACTCTGCCGCCCAAGCTGGAGTGCAGTGGCAAGATCTTGGCTCACTGCCACCTCCGGCATTCAAGTGATTCTCCTGTCTCAGCCTTCCGAGTAGCTGGGATTACAGGCACCCGCCACCACAACTGGCTAATTTTTGTATTTTTAGTAGAGACTGGGTTTCACCATGTTGGCCAGGCTGGTCTCTAACTCCTGACCTCAAGCGATCCACCCGCCTTGGCCTCCCAAAGTGGTGGGATTACAGGCTTGAGCCACCGCACCCGGCCTGAAATATATTCTAAATATATAATCATTAAAACAGTATTATATTGGTGCTAAATAGACATATAAATGAAACAGATTCTCATATGTGTGAAATGTTGATTAAAGTGGAGAAATGGTTGCTCTCATGAAATTATACATAAAATGCACCACTCTTTGTACAGATCAATCATTGATATTAGGTGAATATTTAATACATGCTAATATATTTATATATTTATGAAGTATTATTTTTTAAAAGAAAAAGATAATTCTGTCTTATAGCACTTTGTTACCATTCTGTAATATACATTATTGTCAGAAATATATGTATTTCTGAAGGATAATGCATCAAATTATTAACAATGGTTTGAAGTGCTAACAATGGTTAACTGCTATCTTTGGGTGGTAGGATTATGGGTAATTAGTTCAATTTATGTATTAAACTTAAAAAATTTCAAATGTGCTATAGTAGACAAATATAACTTTTGTTAAAAATAAACATCAAAATTTAAAAAATTTCTATTGGATTGATCACCCAGGAGATCCCTACTGATGGTGGTGAATGTTTGAGTAGAGAAGTAGAAAAGATGAATAAATTGAAATGTATTGAAAAGTGGTAGAAATAAGGTAGTTGATAGATCCGTTTGGACACTGATTTAATGTACCTTGGCCATCTGATTAAAAATAAACTTAAAACAATTTGGTGGAGTCCTTAAGAGTAAATGTAGTAACACCCCATTTATCTCAAGATTCTAGCTGGAACATCACAGTAAAGGAGATAATTAAGCAAGGCCTTTGAGCAGCCAGAGTCCCTATATCAAAAGAAATGCACTCTGCTAACAATACAGTCATTCAGGTCATCCACAAGAAACTGATTTTACTTTGATATGCTTCTAAAAAATCTCGTTGTCTGGATTCATCCCTTGGCCATTTAGAAGCTGCCAACATTTTGAAAGGAGTTGCTAAAACTGTGAGAAGCATAAAGTTAGTTTAACAATAAGGGAGGAGACAAAGAAACTATAAATGGCAGAAAACAAAATGAATAACTTCAAGATACTGAAGCTTGTCAATATCAGAGTCTTCAGCTCAATTAACCAGGATGGAAGTGGCAGAGCTCTAAATAAGAGAAAAAGAGCACACACACACACACACACACACACACACACACACACAGAGCAAATATGTTTTATACATATACATATATATGTAAATGTATATGGTCAAGTCTGAATAGAAGTGGCAGAGCTCTGAATAACAGCAAAAAAGCAAACACACACACAGAGCAAATATATAATATATTATATATATAGTTATATATATCATATATATATATATATAAGATTGGCAAGTCTGAAATACATAAGGTAAGCTGGAAGGCTGGAAACTCAGGTACATGATACGGTGACAGTTTCAAGTCTGAAATCTGCAGGGAAGGGCAAGCAGACTGGAAGCTCAGGCAGGATTTCTATGTTGCAGTCTTGAAACTGAATTTCTTTCTTCAGGAAACCACAGTTGTTGCTCTTTAGCACCTTCAGCTGATTGGAGGAAGCACACCCAAACTATGGAGGGTGATCTGCTTTACTCAAAATCTAGTAATTTAAATGTTAATCACATCTTAAAAAGGAAACCTTCACAGCAATATCTTGACTGATGTTTGACCAAACACCTGGGGACCATAACCTACTCAAGTTGCCACTAACAGGTGGGAATGATAAGGAGGAATCCAGACTTGGATATATGATGCTGCCACTAAGGAATAAGGAATAAGGAAACAGAAGAAGGTAATTTTGGAAGAAAGGATGAGTTTATATTTCTTTACATTGAGCTTGAGATTTCCATGAATCAGTCATAGTTTGATATGTGTTTAAAGCTTTGTGGGTAAATTAAGGCTTGGGATAATAGACGTCGAAGTTAGAAGCGTATGGTTAGTAGTTGCAACTGTAGGAGTATATGAAGTTACCTAGGGATAGCTGTGCAGGGAAGGTATTAGTAGCCTGGATATGGTAACTTAAGGAACATCAATGTTTAACGGGTGAGACGAAGAAGGAGAATTCTATTGAGGAGATGAAGAAAAAAAAAGCAGTCTGAGAAGTAGAAGAGCCAGAACAGGGTAGTGTCTTGAAAACTGTGGCAGAGACGGTGCTATACTCACCAAATGTAGCTTCATATCCCTTCTTCTTAGGCACAAGGAGAACTCTGCTTCTCAGACCTCTTACACCTCACCAGTAACGTATAACTAGTTCCAGCCAACGAAATGGGAAAGAAAATTATTGGTTTGGCTAAATCAGAGAAAAGCCCCTTGGAGACTTTCTGGCTTCTCGTTCCTACCTCAATAAGCAGGGAATTCACAGATGGAGCATCTGTCAACCCGAATTTCTGAGTGTCAATGTGGAACAAACACTTAACGCCCCTTTCTTCCCCATATCCATTGAACATGTAATGCTATAAATAAATAAACCTTTGTTACAGTAAGATGCTAACATTTTAGGATTAATACTAACATTTCAGGATTAATTTCTCACTCTAGCATAACCCAGCCTATTCTTGACTAATACAGAAGCTAAAGCAATAGCATGTTTAGCAAAAAAAAGGGAATAGTCAAAACAGTATCATATGTAGCACAGTTCCAGAAAAGAGACCTTTCTATAGATTCCTGGATGTGGAATTCTTGTGCCAACAAGTCTAAACATTTTAGAGGCTTTCAATTATAACAGTCTGACAGATAATCTACATTGTGTTTGGCTTTAGGTAACAAGTGTGCTTATCAGATCAATAAAATGTAGAGCTAACTTGAACTGGAAATGAACACTACAACATACATATGCATTTCGGTATATTATCCTTGTAGTTTGACTTGAAATCTTGAACATATAAATGATGGTTGAATTATCTTGCCTTAGTTCTCCATTTATGTTTTGCATGGAGAGATTGGTCTTTTTTTTTTTTTTTTTTTTGAGATGGAGCCCCTCTCTGTTGCCCAGGCTGGAGTGCAGTGGTGCAATCTCGGCTCAGCATAACCTTTGCCTCCCAGGTTCAAGCGATTCTCCTGCTTCAGCCTCCTGAGTAGCTGGGACTACAGGCACATGCCACCATGCCCGGCTAATTTTTGTATTTTTAGTAGAGACGGGGTTTCACTATGTTGGCCAGGCTGGTCTTGAACTTCTGACCTTGTGATCTGCCCAAGTTGGCCTCCCAAAGTGCTGGGATTACAGGTGTGAGCCACTGCATCCGGCCTCAGATTGGTCTTAATATTTTCCTCTTAGTACAAGCAAAGCCCAATTTATAAAGAACTTTTCTTCTATACATTTAGCTATGAAGTTGGTTGTTTGGAATTCCAGGTGCTCTCTCCCAATTGGAATGAAATGATAAAGGATGGTTAGTTTCCTAGGCTAGTCCCCACAGCCTAAACCACAATGTGGCTGAACTAGAAAATATATTTTATCCCAGTACATAATTAAGATTTATATTATTGTTTCTAGCCAATGAGAAACAAAGTAAATGTCATTTTACATAGAGCACAACAATAGAGTCAAGCAGAAAAATGTTTCAGATATATATGTATTCTATTTGAAAAAGCGTAATGCTGAATTCCAAAAGCCACATCTATAAAAAATAAAGGAAGTCCAACTAGCCTAAATGCACACATCTAATCATAAATTCTAAACATTTGTATAAATAAAAGTTAAATACCTTATGAGGCTAATAATTATGATAGAAAATATTCCAGCTTGGAAAAATTAAGTTAAAAATCACTTAAAATCTATAGAGTATACATGAAGACAATGCTTTGGATATGCAGCACTTCCAACATATTCTAATTCTTCTTCCATATTACTCTCAAAAGAGATCATCAGAACGTTCTCAGATTTATTTAAAAAATGCAATAAGAGATATCCTTGGACACCAAACTATCCTGAAATCTTACTTAGTCCAAGATGTGGTCCAAGCTGAGTTTCTCAGCTTTTCATTGCTTAGCTATATACTCATGACAAAAATGGAAATATCTCTCCATTAAAGCACTTCGTTTATCCTACATGAATGGGAAGTGAGAAATTAAGGCTAATAAATTTATGTGATAGCCATAGCTGAACTTTAAAAATATTAATGCTTTTTATTGACTTAATTAATACTATAGTGTCTTAGGAACTATTCCCTGTCAGAACTTTATTATTTCTGTATCCCAGCTTTTCTTTTAAGTACTAAGTTTCTCTATGGAGTCTATTTTCTCTCTGTAGTAAAGGTCAACTAATTCCCAACATGCAAAATAAAAACTCAGCAAAAATGTTTTTGATAATAAAGTAATAGTTAACATGTACATAAAATGCTTATGAATTTGTGGACACTGTTCCGAATGTTTTGTAATTCTCAAAGTAATTTAGTTAAGTACTATTATTACCCCAAATTTACAGATGAGAAAAGAGGCACAGAGAGGTTAAGTAACTTACACAAGATCACACAGCTAGTAAATGGTAAAGCCTGGATTCAAACACTAGGTATCTGATTCCAGAATCCCATTCTTTTAAGTACTGCATTTGCCTTTCTAGACAATGTGAGATAAATACTCTCCATGAACTATATAGAAAACCATGAACTATTAAGGATTTATCTTCTAAGTTTGCTTTGTGTTAATCTGCCATTTTGGGAGAGAATAGTCTATGGATAATCTTAATTTTTGTGCATTTTATAAGTGAAATAATCATATGTTATTTAACAATTCTTTATAATTATTGGTTATTTTTCTTCATTTTAATGATTTTTCAAATATGTACAATTCAAATTTTCCATGCCTTTTAATATGCATTTTTCTTAACCTTCAAAAATATATTTAAGAATAATATGTGCTCCCTGTGGAAAACAAGAACATAAAAAAATCAGTACTTTTTTTGTGACCACTAGTATCCTTTAATGCACTTATTTCTTAATTGCTGCTGCCTAAAGAACAGCCACAAAACTCAGTATCTTAACACGGCCGTTTGTTCTCATGGTCTGTGGGTTGGCTGAAGTGGCTCTGCTGCACACTGTAGGTTGGCTGAGACCAGAGAACTGATCGGAACTTTTTCTAATTGTGATGGCATAAGTGTAAGAAAGCATGCCTCAATGTAGAAACACATTTTAGGACCTTGCTTAAGTCACAACAATTGGCCAAAGCAAGTCACATGGCCGAGCCCAAAGATAATAATTGGGGAAGTACAATCTGCTCATGATGAGGCCATGACAAGAATAGAGATTTATGGAGGGGTGAAGAACTGGGACCAATAATTGACTCCATCACAGTGTATTCCATTCAGTAAATAAAACTATCTATCTATCTATCTATCTATCTATAGATAGATAGATATGTTGATGTAAGTGTATTTGTTTATATACGCAGTCTAAATTTTCCCTGATATCACCACCCTATCACTAGAAAATGGAGCCACATCTACATTTAAATACAAATTACTGCAACAGTTACATTTCCTGCCAACGCAGAAATCATGGCCTTCTCAATGTGTCCCCTCATTATTTCTGTCACCAAAGGAGTGATTTACATATTTCCACAGACCTGCCTGTCACCAGCAGTTACCTGCCTGCCATGATTTTCCCTTGGCCTTGGCTTTGGTTCATGCTTGGCTAGAATGAACATCATCATATACTAAGTTCTGTGTGTATCTCTGGTTGTTAACTTAGGCTAAATTTCTAGAAGTGAAAGTGCTTGGAAAAATGTTAAAGATCTTTTTAAAGCTCTTTGTATATAGTAAAAGTCTCACTCTATCCTTTTACTAGTGTTAGATGCTATTATTTTTAAAATCTCTATTTTATGTACAATAAACAGTATTTATTTTACTAACAAATAAGTGAAATTAACATTTAAAAATATTCATTGACCATTAATTTTTTTATTCTTTGCTTTCTTAATTAATTCATTCACACATAGCAAGTTGCCCATGTCTTGGACCTTACAATTTATGATGTTATTTAAATACTTAGATTACATAGAATTAGAGTCAGAGGGAGACTTAGCAATTATCCAAATCACCCAGCCTCCCCATCCTTCTGTGCTAATGAGGCAGACCTAGAAAGAAGTCACTTATCTATTGACTTACATTTATTAGTGGTAGAAATGTCCTAATAATTATGAATAACATTGGCAAGAATTATTGTCTTCTCTCTCACTCTTTGAGAAAAAACTGGCCAAAAATTTGCTGAATAAACAATATCCAGACCAGCACTACCCAAAAGAAATTTAATGCATGCTACATTTTTAATCTTATACTTTCTAAAAGTCACATTAAAAAAGGAGAAACAGGTGAAAATATTTTTAATCATATATTTTATGTAGACTTAAGATATTATGAGGTTTTTAAAATATGTTTTAGATCTTTCTTATTATTTAATTTTGTATGAAGTCTTTGAAATCCGAAGTGTATTTTATACTTATAGCATATTTCAGTTCAGAGGAGCCACATTTCAAGTGCTTAATAACCACATGTGATTTTTGGCCACAGTATTGTATACCATATATCTAGACCATATTCTCAAAATCTGAAGGAATCTCAGTAGAAAAAAAGGCTATGCATCAATTAAAATTGTACACTTTTATAAAATATATATTTTACAGAGACATGGAGAAGGCGTATAGTGAGTATTCAGTATAGATTTTCTGAACAATCTTCATGTGGAAATTAATTTGAGTAAACTGCTTAACATATTTTCTTTTATACTACATCATGAGATGTGTCATTTGCTTATCAATTTTTAAAAATTGTTCGAAAAGAACATCAGAAATTCTCAATACAGATTATCCAAATTCTATTCCTTCTTGCACATTTGAATAGCTTGGTAATCTTTTAAGAGAGAAGCCTTAGTTAGAAAGGACATGCAAATATTCAACTTTAAAAAGAAATAATTTTCTAACTCTATAGAATAAAAACTTACTTGACCCAGTATGTTGTTATGTGGGACATTAACAGACAAAATACTTTCGGCAGGAAACTGGAGTGAAATTGTACTTTTTACATTTTTGTTTTAGTTTTATCCCAAGAGCTTGACCAACAGTTCAGCAAGGTAGAACAGGAAAAGAAAAACAGCAAAATCAAAAGAGTACAAGACCTAGTTGTTCCCTTCCACCTTTTGAACTTGACAAACATTTTACAGATTGAGGAATGGGCCTATAGGAGAGGCCATTTGGACCAGAAGTAAGTAAACATGGTAAGCCACTGAGCTCTGCTCTGGCAAGTTCCTTCGGTATCCACGCCCTGGGAGCCTTAAGTTGTTAATTCAATGTATGTGTCATAGCCAGTCTCCAATTTAGTGATGTTAGCCTTCCTTCTGCTTGCCATCTGGTGTGATGGATTAGAGGGAGACATACTGAAAATATAAAAACTTGGAGGAAAAACACTGTAGTAGTTTATATAACAAGGGCCTGAACTGCTCAGATGGCAATAGGAATTTTTTAAAAAGGACATATTCAAGACAATAATTATTAAATTGAGTTGATAAATCGTCAGAATATCATTCTGAATATTGCACCTTCCCCATGCTCAATGTGCATACTTCACTTGTAAAGTTTAACAATGTACTTTATCTTATTAAAGACATTGAGATATGCTGAAGAAAAAAAGTTAATCTAGAAGAACTTCTGCTTCCCACCAAGATGGAGTAACAGGGACCAGTTTTACCCTCCTATTGGAAACAACAACTACAAGAAGAACAGGGAATATATGTTAAAAAAAAAAAAAAAAAGTGGAGGGGAGTGCTTTTAAGACATTGGACATCCAGTAAGGAACCACAGCAATCTCTGGGAGGCGGGAAACAAAAGAAGCTTGCTCTATGTTCTAACTCAAATTGCATGAAAACTATAAACCCACAGATCCAAGATGCGAAAAGAACCCCCTAACACAAGAAACATGAAGACAACAACAGTAAGGCACATTGTAATCAAGTTGCCTAAAGCCAGTAACAAAGAGAAACTCTTAAAAGTAAACAGAGGATATTAACAAAAGACACTACCTCCAGAGGAACAATGATAAAGATAGCAGCAGATTTCCCTTCAAAAACAATCTAAGCTAGAAGGTAGTAGTGTTAATACCTATCTTCTGGTGTCGTTTAGTAAAGTACTGAAAGAAACAAAAAGTACCTGTTAACCTAGAATTCTATATCAAGTGAATCTATCTTTCAGAAACAAACGTGAAATAAAGGATTTCTCAAAAATACAAAACCTGAGAGGATTTATCACCAACAGATGTCCACTATAAGAAACATTAAAGCAAGTCTTCCAGGAAGAAGGAAAATGGCATCAGACAGAAATCTGGATCTATACAAAGGAATAAAGAGCACTGGAAATGGTAACAAGATGCTATATATATGCCATATATATAATGTCTTTAAAATACACTGTTTTAAAGTAAAAATAATAGCACTATATGGTGGTGTTAACATATGTTGAAGAATAATTATAATAATGACAATAGCCCAAAGGGCGAGAAGTGAGAAGCAGAATTATACTCTTGTTTCTTGTGTCTGAGTATTGAGTACCAATGGGTAGGGCCAGCTTTTTCCTCTTAGTACCTGAAGCCCTGGTGACAAGATGAACCCATACACATACCAGGCTTTAAAAAAACCCAACCAAACAAACAAACAAACCAAAAAAAAAAAAACAAAACAAAACAAAACAAAAAGAAACCCACATCATTGAAAGTGTGAATGCAGTGTCACTAGAGATAATACTGTGAACCTCAGACACAAATTATCCTTCTCTGTTCCTTGAAGCAGGAACTCATATAAGAACTTGTGATATCAAAGGGAATTCAGCTGCACATCTGTAATAGATGTGGTTGAGACTGAGCCATGTGAGCATCAGCCAAGGCCATTGTATGCCACGTTGGGGAGCAGAAACGACAGATGAAAGCAAAGCTGGCCAAGCTCCCTGCACTTGCTGAGGGATTGCACACATGGATGCGAACTGAGAAGACTTTCAAAAAAAAGAGACATGGGTGACAAGAAATCCCACTGTCCTCTTAAATGTTAAAAGGATACTAGGTAAAGGGAGTAGCAGAGGTCTCTTTCCCATAGGAGAGTTTGAAACAGGGCTAGAAAGGGAGTGGAGACAGGGATTGGGGTCAGCACGAAGGCAAGGCCTGTGCAAGTTACTAATGAGGACGGTGGGTTGAAGAGAAAGCAGCCAGTCCTGTGCTGAAAATAGAAAAGAGATGAGTGGATAGGAGGACAGAATATGCCTGTATGTGTCCAGGTGGGAGTGGGGTGGGCAATAAGGGGTTTGAAAACAAGAGAAGGGATGGCAAGGTAGGCTGGGCATGCAGAGGTAGGTGGCCACATTTTTGCAGTGCTGGAGAGCTAAGCAGCAAAATTGGGATACAGTGTATTGGACAGAATGAAATCCACACAGATAGGTGCCTGTGCTGAAGCAGAGTGCATTTGCAGTGGAAGAAATTTTATAGAATTTAGGCCACTATATGCAAAACACTTGATTTTACCTCAACCTATGGCCTCACATGACCTCTTCTGACAGCCAAATCTGATCTTGCTTCTCTCCTGATACCCAAATTCACATTTTCTACTTTACATTGAACATCACTTGGATAACCATCAGAACATTACCATCCATAGAGCCCACACTGACCTCACCTGCCACACCCTTACTCATTTCTACTCCTAACACAAATCACCACCAACTCTTCCTTCTCCTTTATCCTCAATCTCAGCTAAGAGAAACTTCTACCTAGTTATCCAACCTTCAGGATTCAGTCATTATAGGCTGTCCCTCGCCCTTTCACATAGTCCCTAACTTTCCAAAACTCAAACGTGACTCCTACTCTCCATCCTCACACCCACAGCCTGAATCAAGTGCCTTGCCATTTCCTTTTCTTTTGTTTATGTACGGTTTCCCTCAGTATATGTTCAATAAATGTTTAATGAATAAATTAATGAATCAAAGCACCAAAACTGAATAAATCACAGTACCAAAATGTGGAGCCTACCCCGTGGTAGGGTCTTCTGCCTCCATGGAATCTATTACTGACAGTGTGATTATGAACGTCTCCCTCCCAAGCTTTCACATTCTCACCTTGGAGGTGGATATCCTGGCAACAGGATGGTATGTGATGCTTTCTGCATTGGATTTCACACATCTCTATCAGCCACCATCATTTTAAAAAGGTAGTGTGCCATCTCCATCAGCTCACCATTCACTCTGCAAATGTCTACACCTTGGGCCGATGCTCTACTCTACAGTATCTGGTGGCAACATAGGCCAGCAAATACAGCCAGCAGGCACCTACCCTCTGGTGTGCCAAGAACTCTGAGACTATGGGAAGCAGTCAGAGTTGAGGGCATCATCTGGATTGTTTTAGGAGACATGTCTACACCCAGCCTTTTGTCTGCAGTATAACTTGCAGTACTTAGCATCAGTCAATCTGCTCTCCAATTTCCCCTTCCTTGCAGTTGCATACCCCCTTTCACTGTTACATTGATACACTGAGCCTACCTCAACTGCTGTCACATCACTAGTGAATGTCTGTCATATTCCACTAACCCTACCTATTCACATAGCCCTAGCCTCAGTGGAGAGGATCCACTGTCCACAGGGGAAGAAATACCTGCCTCAAATAGGCATGAAGATAGCTGTCAGCTCTGGCACTCTGGCAAGGGCGTATCGGACCCTCAGGGTAGTCAAGACATATAACTCTCTCAAAATCCATCACTAGAATTGCTGAGTGACAAAGGGGAGCTAGATAATAAGTAGGGGGGAATTCTAAGGGAGCATGGGGTGTCCATGCAAATAAAACCTGATATGGGTTGGCAGAGGCTCTCTGCCTTCAGGTGACCCAGGAAACCAGGCAGCCTCTGATCCTTTCATTCAATAGATCTGCCCACTCAGATCACCCTACAATTTCAGGCTGGTAACGATTATTCAGAGATTTCCCAAATCAATTCATGGAAGTTGTTCAGGCCCTCCATCAGACTCTCTGCCCTCTCTCCTTCTGGTTCCTTCTCTACTGTTGCGGGAAGTCAGGGACCCTGAATGGAGGGACCTGCTGAAGCCGTGACAGAAGAACATAAATTGTGAAGATTTCATGGACATTTATTACTTCCCCAATCAATACTCTTATAATTTCCTATGCCTGTCTTTACTTTGATCTCTTAATCCCATCATCTTCATAAACTGAGGATGTATGTCACCTCAGGACCCTGTGATGATTGCGTTAACTGCACAAATTGTTCGTAAAGCATGTGTGTTTGAACAATATGAAATCTGGGCACCTTGAAAAAAGAACAGGATAACAGCGATGTTCAGGGAACAAGGGAGATAACCGTTAGGTCTGACTGCCTGGGAGCCAGGCAGGACAGAGCCATATTTCTCTTATTACCGAAAACAGGTGAGAAATATTGCTGAATTCTTTCCCGAGTAAGGAATATTAATAATTAACAGCCCTGGGAAAAGAATGCATTCCCATGGGGGGCCTCTAAAATGGCTGCTCTGGGGGTGTCTGCCTTATGCAGTTGCAGATAAGGGATGAAACATGCCCTGGCCTCCTGCAGTGCCCCCAGGCTTGCTAGGATTAGGAAATTCCAGCCTGGTGAATTCTAGTCAGACCGGTTCTCTGCTCTTGAACCCTGTTAAGATGTTTATCAATGACAATGCATGCACAGCAGGACATGGAACTTCATTAGTAATTCGAGTTTCACCCTGACCTTGTGATCTTGCCCTGACCTTCTGCCTTGTGATCTTTTGTTGCCCTTGAAGCATGTGATCTCTGTGACCCACATCCTATTTGCACACTCGCTCCCCTTTGAAAATTGCTAATAAAAACTTGCTGGTTTTACGGCTCAGGGGGCATCACGGAACCTGCCAACATGTGATGTCTCCCCCGGACACCCAGCTTTAAAATTTATCTCTTTTGCACTCTTTCCCTTTATTTCTCAGACCAGCCGACCCTTAGGGAAAATAGAAAAGAACCTACGTTGAAATATTGGGGGCTGGTTCGCCTGATAGTCTACCTTATGCTGTACTCTAGATCCAAACCCCTGACTGCCAGCTGCTTTGGGTTCTGTGGGCTTAGTTTAGCATGTGGTCTCTCTAATGGACTCTGATATATATTTTCATAGCACATCTCAATATATTTTCATAGCACATCTATGTATTAAAAAGCTTTGAGTCAGCTTTAAAATGACACAACAAATTATTAATCGTGGTTACTTTTGAAAAGGGGGCTGAATTTTAGAGGAATGTTGTGAGGGAGGAGATTGTGATTTATTGGTATTAAATTTTTTTCCAACAAGAATATGCATACTACCACTAGCTTTGTGATTAAAATATTTTTAATAGGCCTGACAGACAATAGAAATAGTAGTTGTGTATATTACTCAAATAAAGTAAATGCTAACTGATCCAACAACAACAACAACAAAAACCTTGAAATATGAATGGGTTAACATGATAAATGTTTCTTTTTTCGTGCACATAAAACCTGAAGTGGGTTGGCAGTGACCTAGGGAACCAGGTTGTTTCCATCATGTGGCTCCACACCTCAATGTGGGTTCTCCATGTTTGCTGTTGAATGGAAGAGAAAGCATGGAGGTGGCCGACTGGATCTCAGTGCCTTGGCCTAGAGGTGACAAACATGCTTTTACTCATATTTCAGTGGCAAGGGTTAATCACATGACCCTTTTTAACTATGAGTAGACTGGGAAGGTAGTCTCTCCATGAGCCCGGGAAAAAGAGCAGGACATCATGTGGATAAACACTTGCCATCTCTCCCATAAACTAGTACACAGTAGATGTTCAATGAAGAGCAACTCTTATAATTGGTTAGGACAATAACCCTCTTCATTTCTTAGAGGAGTTTGTAAGAAGGCCAAATTTGCCTTGAAATTTGCAACATTTTTCTAGTGTCTACTATGTGACAGATGTTTTCAAACACAAGGTCATGTCTAATTTTCAAAATGATCCTGGAAATTTCTACAAGGAGGATTTGTCCTTTGTCAATCAATAGCACCTTTCTGCACGACTCTTTATAATAACCTGCGTAATCTTAACAGGCTGAGAATTTTCTCCTACCTTTGGTGCCTGGTCAAATCACAGCTACCCACCACCTACTTAACATTCCCAAACACCTGAACAGGTACAATGAAGCACACTGAAAAACCAATATTTTCCTCTGGGGCAGATATAGATAAGAGTAAATTGAAGGATAGTAAGTTATTTTTTTCTTTTTATTCAAAGTTGGCATGTCTGCCAAGGGACCATTTTCTGCCTCTGAGGACTTAAAGAAAGATTTTTAGGGATTCAGCCACAGTAGATGTTTGCTTACACAGTGATTTCCTCTGTCTTTCCTTATCTACCACTTAAGAGGGAGGCTTTGGATGTTGACCACATAGGTAAATTCACTCATTGGTGTATGTGTTCAGTGGCCTGTCTCAAATAAAATACTCTATTAAAATCCTACTGCAAATATCAGGGTGGTTTTAAAAAGCCTCTTTTCTAGCCTCAGGGTTATAAACCAAGAAACAGTAGATTCTGCGCTAAATCACTCCTCACCAGTAGATTTGAAAACACTTTAACAGTGTGGTGGCAGTACCCAGAGACATGAAGAGGTGTCTAAGTTTCACTGTTTGAAGTGAACAATTACACGAAAGGGGCTGTTGCTATCAAAGGGCATCTGTGGTGAGGGGTGGGACCTCCAAGCAGTTGGAACCCTCTGTGTCAGGGAAAACGCAGGTGAGTCTGGGCTGTCTTTTCCTCTGGGAGCAGGTGCAGGCTCCAGAGAAAGATGCAGTGAAGTTGACCAGTAGGTCAGTTCCAGTGTGGACAGGGGGGCACACTGGGGAAGACCCCAGGGAAGGGCACTGTAATGTTGGAAAGCACTGGACTAGACTTATGTGCTGGGACCAGAGCAGAGTCAGCTCTAGAGGAACCTGTGGGCTAAGGCGGGAAAACCCCAGGCCAATGAACCCCACAGACAGTCCAAAACTTTGTTTCTCATTTTAACTTTCCTTTCACTAAGAGGCCTGCTTTTAGTACTTTGGCCACAGGGCACTTGTTATCACTTGAGAGATATTGTGGAACAGTGAGAATTAAGAGACAGTTTGGCCTCAGATTGAGAGAAGCAGGACAGTGTGGGCCCTAGAAACATTCAGACCAGGGGTTTTGTCCCAGCCCTGGCACTTACCAGCCATGTGAACTTGAGAATGTTACAAGTTTTTCATCTCCTAATTTGATAAGCCCCATCTTGTAGAATTGTTGGAACACATGTAATGTATGTAAGGCATCTGGCAAAATGACTGGCAAATATTGGGTCTTTAATGAATGGCAGTTACTACTATTATATTCACACAAGAAAGGCTATTCTCATCTCTGGAAAATTTTTGTTTTGTCCAGGAATTGTCAGAGAACATTCAGTGCTCTAAAAAACCACCACCAAATAAGCCAAAATGCTGCAAAGCAAGTAACGCTATGTAAATTCTCCCCATGAGAGAATATGTTATTTAATATGGGAGCAGGGACTTCATCAGAATTCAACTCTAAGCTTATAGAGTTTATGTCAAGGACCAACGACTCCCCTCCCTCTGAGATTCCCTTCCTACAAAAACATTCTTATTTTCACTTATTTCGTCACCAATGAATCTAGCCCTACCTTGGAGTTTTGCGAAATTATATATGAGAAGACCTAATTAATGGAGTAGGCTCTGGCTGCACAAGCTTAGGGAAAACAGTGTTAGCTTAGTGGCTTCTTGGCATCTCACCTCAAGGAAGTATAACCCTTATTTCTCAAACACTTTCTGGAGACAATGTGCATAAAACAACTAGTTTGTGCACTGTGTTTGACTGCCCTGGGACGAGAGCACTGTATTCTTCCACTCCTCCTCCAGACACAGGTTCTCTCTGCTTTACCCACAATCCCAAAGTAACTGTTAAGGGCAGTTTCCCTTTCCAGGCTTAATCTCTCAACTCTAAGGCTCATGATCTGAGGGTTTGGCACCTTCTTATGATTATCACAACCTCATCCAGTTCACCATGGAGCTAACTTAAAATGACCTCCCAACGAGGGACTTGCATTGTCCCACACCACGAAGTGCCTTGGCTAGGAAATTAACACTTGACTGCTCTTGTCTGAACCTTCTCCCACCATTCTCACTTCTTTTTTTTTTAAATGAGTGTTTATATGTAAAAAAAAAAAAATCTGTACATGTTAGAGTGTATCTCACCATCTTCTTTAAATAATAACTGTCCTTAGACTAAAAATCTGTGTGCAGGCGAAGGGTCTTCTTTAACTTAGTACAATCACTACTATCACAGAGCCTTACAAAGAGCAGATGCTCAATTTATGGTGAGAATAAATGAGCCACTGAACAAGTAATATAATTTATTACTATTTATTTTATCTGCATTCTTGAAAAGGCTAAAAACAACCAGGTATGTATCTTTGGATTTTACAAAAACAAAACTGAATGCAGAAAACAAAAACTTGACATGCTTTGCTTACTCTTCCTCTATTTTAAGACTCCAATTATGTTGTGTGAGGTTCTTTCACACATTTCTGAGAAAATCTCTATTCTAAAGCTATGCTTTCTTCTTCTTCAACCCAAAAAAGATTCAAGGATTTGAAAAATATAGAATATCAAAACTCATATGCTTAAAGCTGGCAGCACCAATAAATGTGTGATCCATGTCGCTCATAGACATAGATCCCAACTCTAAATAAACATTCTATTAAAAGAAAAACACTTGAAAGATACTAATGTTTAACAGGAACACAAAGGAGATATATATGATGATCTCTCTAGCCATATCTTGGCTGCTCACTACTTCAAAAGGTTGGCATCTTGCCACAAAAACAAAGTGAACAATCTGCCTGAGTTCTCACATGGGGTGGGAGGACCTGCTGAATGGGGCTCTAGAACGCGCTCTAAAAGTCGTGGCAGTAGTGCGACGCCTGGCTCTAACACTGGATCGGACTTGGGCTCTCTCTTCCTCATCTCTCAAAGCCTCTTCATAATGGGATGGGAAGTCACGGGGAGTGGCACCATTCATCTTGGCCAAAAACTCGAGGACTTTCATCTTGGTGGTTTCAGCATAGGCTCTCGGACCCCATAGGAATTGATAGCGTGGGGGATCACTGTTGGGCACCTGCTCGTACTTCAGATATTTTTCCTGCACCAGATCTTGGGTGATGAACTTACGGGGTTCCCCATAGATTAAGTGCTCCTCTCCATCATAGGCTCCCAACACATTCATGAATTTCCAGATCTCTTCCTCGGTGGCAGAGTTGCCCTTTAAGAAGATCACACCCAGGAGAGGCATCAGAAGCCCATTCCTGGGAAAGTCCCAATCATTGCTCAGGTTTCCATCATTGGTGAGGTTTAGCTTACTGACGAGGGTGTAGGTGTGGCCACTAGGGTTGTCTTCCTTCAAATCAAGGCCAAAGACGAGCTCCAAGCGGCGAGAGGCTCCATTGAGGATCTCAGTGAAGTGATCCTTGTACTTTTCATCAACAACCTTCAGCATATCTGCCTTC
This sequence comes from Homo sapiens, assembly GCF_000001405.40. NCBI lineage: Eukaryota > Metazoa > Chordata > Mammalia > Primates > Hominidae > Homo > Homo sapiens. Next base: position 30,250,882 of record NC_000023.11, on the reverse strand, counting down.
ATAATGGGCTCTCTCATTTTATACTTACGTAGAATGAAGTGCATCAGCATTCCTGCCTCCCAGGCTACAGGATCTTTGACTGAGCTCTCAGTGGATGTTGTGGCCTGGGAGAAACTTGCATTTTCCTCACCTTGGCATTTGGCACCTTCGTCAGATTCGGTACATGACACAGCTGCAGCAGCAGTGGTGGTGGGTGGAGCTCCCTGAGGCTTCTGGGGAATGCCAGCAGCAGGGGAGCTTGTGGGAGTATCCCCTAAAACAGGAGAGGAGGAGGGGCACTCCTCTTTCTCTGCTGCAGTGGCGTGAGCAACCTTGAGACCCTGGGTCTCCTCTCGCGCCTTGCGGCGTTTCTCACGAGCACGGAGCTTACTCTTCTGACCCCGAGGCATGATGGCTGTGGTCAGGCAAAACAGGCAGGAAAGTGAGCAGAAAGGCAGGAGATGTGGCACCTGAAGGAGAGAGAATGAGATCCTGTGAGTACTTGCAGCAGGGAGGTACCACCTTGGCTTTTAGAGAGCCACTTCTGCTGGTTTTCTTGAGGGCATTGCTCTAGGAACCCACTGGGTTCTTGTTGCCAACCCTGCCTGGGGCTGACTGGGTGACAGCAGAGGTTGGCAGTGTAGACTCCCTCTGTGTTCAAGGGCCCTCTCAATTCATATACAGGATCTTCATATCTACTCTTGGAAGGGTCTGGGACCTCCTTCCTGTGCTGCTCTGAAGCTGACACTTCAAAGCTCCCTGGAATCCACCAAAGAAAAATGAGGCACTGCTTCAACCTACCATCCTTACCGGGGGCTGGGCGGGATGGCAGTGCTGACAGTTCTATGGAACTCTCTCTGTCCTGGGCTAGTTGGACCTCAATCTTAATTCAGAGTCCTCATCTCATCTATATCTAAGTTCTGGGAACCTGTCTTCTGCTAACTGGTGCTGCATCTTCAGACCAAAGCTGTCACCTCCCTTAGACCTGATGCAAAGAAATAAAGTCTCAGCCTGGCAACCCTTGGCCAAGGCCTTTCAGAGCTAAGTGCAGAGACAGGGCTAGCATCGTTGTTTTTCCTCTATTTGGGGTGGGGGTTGGGGGCTTGGGGGAATGGTGCCTTCAGTCCACACTCACACTTCGACTCCCAGAAGGGCCTAGGGCTCTGTTCTCTCTACACCTGAGGACATTTACTCATAGTAAGGCCTACATCTGCCTGAGACCCAATGGAGGAAATGAGGGTGGCTGTATCTGGTCACAATGCCCATATTCTCCAGAGGCTGAAAGCTGTGGCTGGCAGGTTGAAGCCCTGTGATGTGTAGCCCCACTCATGGTCCTCACTCAAGGTCTCCAGTTTGACTCCTGGGAGGGCCTAAAATGCCTCCCACCCCTCCTGCTAACCCATCTGACTAAGACCTTCATTTCCCTGTTACTTCTGAAGAGGAATTTAGGGGCATTTCTGACATTTATGCTCGGGGCTTCCTAGCGCTGACATACAGAGGGACTCTGAGGGATCCCCACTGATGAGGTGGGAGTTCCCTCAAGTCCTCTCTATGAGGCCTGGCACAACCTGGAAATCCTCTCTCTACTGACCTGAGGCCCCTTACATCAGATTAAGATTCTCATTGCCTCATAGTCCCAAGATGAAAGAAAGCCTGAATCACATCCAGTCACCACGTCCTCTATGGGGCTCCACTGTTCTGGGGTCGTTGTTCTCTTTAGTCTTCACTCAAGCAGAGTCTGAGCTCCTCTCTAATCCCACTTGATTCTTCCAGGCTCATACAAAAGCCTTCACCTCTCTGAGTACCCAGGGCTAGTCTTGAGGGGATGACACATCTGGGTACTTCTGCCTGGGGTTTCCCAGAGCTGAGAGGGGGTAGAACTTGGTGAAGCCCCACTCTCTAGGTAAATGCTCATCTCATTCCTCCCTCAGTGACTTCTCTGTCTTGATCTAACGCCTATCCAGTCATACAAAGCACCCCCCGACAACTCCCTGAGGAAGAAGTGAAACTTTTCCCATCTGGCTACAATTGTCCATCATCTCCCAAGGATGAAAATCAGGAAGGAATTCCGTGTTTCTTTCACTGTTATGGGATGAGTGGTTCCCCCAGTTCTCAGGGTCTTCTTTTTGACTCCTGGAATTACCTAGGAATCCTCTAGCTGCTAACATAAGGCTGCCCCCTTTGATGAAGTTCCCCACTTCCCTGAGATGCTCTAGGAAGAAGTGAGTGAGACTCATCATGTCACCATACCTGGATCTCCCAGGTCTCAGTGGGGATAGGGCTCTATCTGTGTTACCTCTTTCTTGGAGGGGGTCCCCTCATACTCCCTCAGTGTCACCATCTTTTAGGAACTGGGCCTCCTCCCTGTACTAAACAAGGGCTTTCATGTTAAACCAAAGCCATTATGTACCTGAAACAGTACCTGAAGGAAATGAGGGGCATCTCAACTTGAGAGTTCTAACCCTGGCTTCTAAGGAATGAACGCCAAGGTAAGACTGTGTTCCTGCCTGTTCTGGACTAGACGGTTACCTCATTCCTCATAAAGAAATTGTACCTTGACACCTGTCTTGGCGTATGACTCCTATCTCTCTACTGAACTGGGGCAGTGAGGCCTTAAACCAAGGCCCTCCTCTCTCTAAGACTATGAAGGCAGAAGCCAGGGAGTACTTGAGCCTGCCAGCTCTGGCCTGGGACTCCCAGGGACAGCATCAGGCGCAATTGTCTCCCTCGTGTATAGAGTAGCCGCCATTTCCTCACTCAGTGTCTCCACCTCCACTCAGCACTCTTTCTGGGACTCCACCCATCAACTGCTCCTAACACCATGCCCCGTAGACAAAAGTTCTCATATTCCTTGGACCTAAGTTCACAGTCATAGTGGGCCACATCCCACCAAGGCTGACTGGGGCCTGCGTGTGCCGACAGCAGGAGCGGGACTTTTTTTTTTTTTTTTTTTTTTTCTTGAGACTGAGTCTCGCTCTGTCACCCAGGCTGGAGTGCAGTGGTGCAATCTCGGCTCACTGTAAGCTCCGCTTCCCGGGTTCACGCCATTCTCCTGCCTCAGCCTCCTGAGTAGCTGGGACTACAGCAGCCCACCACCACGCCTGGCTAATTTTTTCTATTTTTAGTAGAGACGGGGTTTCACCGTGTTAGCCAGGATGGTCTTGATATCCTGACCTCGTGATCCGCCTGCCTCGGCCTCCCAGAGTTCTGGGATTACGGGTAGTAGGGTTTAGGACTCCTCCCTCTATTGACCTGAGTCTATAAGGCTTAGGCCAAAGCCTTCGTCTCCCTGAGTCGCTGAAGAGACAGTCAGGGTGCTACCCATCTGGTTACCTGAGGCCTCCCAGGACCAAATGCAGAAGCGGGACTTAGAGGGGACCTCTTTGTTACGGGTGGGGGTGGTCTCTTCAATTTACACTCAGGGTCCTCACCTTGACTCCCGACCAGTCCTGAGAATTCACCCTCCGCTGACCAGACGCTGCACCCCACTCCTTAAGCTCGCTCGGGTCCTCGCCTTCAAAAGGGAAATGAGGATGAGCCACATCCGGCAGCCCAGGGCCTCTGAGGGCTGACGGCAGAGGCAGGACGCTACGGGACGTCACTGTTCTAGTGTCGCTGGTCCCTACGTCCCCACTAGGGTTCCTCACCTTAGTATCTAGCAGCCTGGGACGACTTCCGCCTGCTGACCCAAATCCGCCAGGCGGACACTGCGCCCTTACGCTCGCTGGGGTCCTCGCCTTCAAAGCGGAAGTCAGGATGAGCCACATCCGGCAGCCCGTGGCCTCCGGGCTGACGGCAGGGGTGGTACGCTTCTGGACGTAACTGTTCTAGCGTCGCTGGTCCCTACGTCCCCACTAGGGGTCCTCACCTTAGTATCTAGCAGTCTGGGACGACTCCGCCTGCTGACCCAAATCCGCCAGCCTCAAACAATAGCCCCACCTCTCTCAGCCCCCAAGGTGGAAATCTGAGCGTGCCACACAGGCCACCCCTGCCTGGGCCTCACAGGCCTGACAGCAGCGGCAGGGCTCTGTGAAAGTCCCGTTTTGGGCAGAGGCCTTCTCATCAGCTCTCAGAGTCCTCACCGTGACTCTGGTTTCCTCTCCAGGCAGAACTGAAGCTACTCCCTTCAGGCCCCACGCTCCCCATCCTCCATGAGACCTTCCAGGCGGAAATGAGAGGCACCTTAGGTAGATAGCTCTGTCTGATGCCTCAAAACGGGGTGAATTCTGTGGGGACTCATCTGCTGGTGGAGTCCCCTCTTAACACTTAAAAGCCCTACATTGATTCTTGTTAGGGTCTCGGCCTCTTCGCTCTGTAAAACTGAGGCTGCCCCAATTAGACGGAACCAGTCATCTCCCTGAGACTTTCCAGGCAGAATTCAGCCTGCCATCTCCGCCAAGGCTTCCTAGGGCTGACAGCAGAGGGGACTTTGTGAGGCCATGTGGGTGCTAGCTACCCTTAGTCCACATTCAGGTCCTCACCTTGACAAGTGAGCAAACCTGTAACTTACCCTTTGTTTACCTGAACCTGCTCCTCTCACATCAAGGTCCTGTTTTCTGAGAATTTCGAGTTGTACTCCTGGATGATCTTCATATGATCACAGTCCTTTTGCAACCTGCAAAAACAGATAATAAGGAAAGGACTCCATAGAACCCCACAGTTTTGGCTGGGTCCTTCCATCAGTCTTCATTTATGCTCCTCGCCTTTACATGTATCAGAACCTGGGACTCCTCTATCTACTGAACTGAGGTCACTCTCCTGAGGGTCTGGATGAACCCTTACATTTTGGAGTGGTTTTCTCCCCACCATTCATTCATGAGGGTTCTCATGTTGGCTTCTGTCTCTTGATCAAACTCTTCCAGGGAAATGTCACATCCCTGCAAAAATTTGACCAGTTTCCTCTTTGCAAACCTTGCAGAGAAGAGGTCCCTGTCCCAGAAGTGATGTGATGTTGGGAAACTGAAACGGAAGGTGGAGAGCCTAGGACAGATGTTGTGCTCTCAGGGAAAAAAACATGCTGATCTATTCCTTCACTTCACCAACCAAAGGGTAGTTCTAAAAGTTTTACTTTCTACAGAAAAGGGTGGAGCCAGATGATTTTTGTAATCTTTTGATCTTTTGAAGCTATCCAATTTTGCTTCTGTCGGTGATCATATTGTCACCGAGTATTATTTCTTTTTCTCTTTAATTCACATCTGTCAATTATTTTGGTATTCTTCTTGCTCTGGTTATGTATTCCAATCCAGTGTTTGGGGTACAGAGACCTCTTCTTTCTTACCTGAGACACACTTTGGGGTTGTAGAAGAAAATGAATTAAGCAATTCACAGTAAGCTTCAGTTTGGGAGGAGTGGAACAGTGTGGGCTCTAGAGGAATTCAGACCAGCAGTCTAGTTCCAGCCCTATCACTTACTAGCTGTGTGAACTTGGGCACATTAATAAACTCTATGAGCCTCAGGCTCTACATCTGTGAAATGAGCTTGATAAGCCTTGTCTTGTAGGACTGGTGGAATGTGGTGAAAGTGTGCAAAGCCCTGGTGTGCATTGAGACTTTAAACAATACTTGTTATTACTAAGATTATTTCAACTACAGAAGAAATCATCCACCCTGCTGATTTTCTTTAAGTCCAAGAGATAACAAAGAATATACAGCATTCTAAGACATGGAACAATAAAATCAGCCCAAAACGCAGCTTACAAAGAAACTCTAAATAACTTTTCCATATTAAATCATATTTTGAGTGTGGAGTTGTCTTTCTCAGCTGAAAGCAACTCAAACCTTCTAGGCTTTGGTTCAAGGACCAACTCTGACCTTTCATCCAAACCAGTCTTATTTTCATTCATTTTACCACCATCAAAAATCTAGATCTCCCTTAGAATTTGCAAAAACACATGAAAGGAAAAAAAATTCCTTTTAATGGAATGGGTTCTGGCTCCCCAGCTGATAGCAGAGTATTAGCCCAGTGGCTTATGAGTTTCCAGTCTTAAAGGAGTATCACCTTTATTTCTCAGAAACACCCTGGGGACTACGCTCATAAAACACCTAGTTTGTGTACTGGATTCACTTCACTTGCACTGGGACAAGAGCACCGGCCACTTTCAATCCCTGCTCCAGGCAAAGATCCCCTCTGGTTTTTCCACAATCCCAAAGTAACTGTTAAAGGCAATTTTTCATTCCAGTCTCCATCTCTCAAGTGTGAGATCCACCATCTGAGTGTGTGACCCCTGCTCAGTGCGCCCCATATAGGCACTATGCCAGGACATAAAATTACCTCCTATTGCAGTATGTTCAGTTTCCCGAAGTCTCAGTTACCTTGCTTAGGACATTTACACTAGATTCCACTGCTGGTAATACCCCCACCTTCTTTTTTATCCCCTTTTCACCTGTCTTTAGGTCTTAAGGAGTATCTCATTACCTTCGTTATATGATAGCTGCTGTTGGATTCTAAAATTCTGTGGGCAGGGATTGGGGTTTTTTTGTTGTTTGTTTGTTTTTTGTTTTCTTAGCTTATCCGGTACTAGCCAGGAGCCCTCCAAAGTACAGCTGCTCAATTAATATTTGGACAATTGAAGTGTAAGTGACCAGGAAGTCAAATGTATTGCTATTTAATTTCCCCCACATTCCTGAAAAAGCTAAGCAGATCCGGGTACATATACTTCAGTTTTACAAAGAAAGACTAAAAAGAATAAAACAAAGCAAGAATTGACCACATTTTACTTTTTTTTTCTCTACTTCCTGGTCCCACCAACTTTATTGCAAGGTAATTTCCTTTTCACAAATTCCATATTCCAATGCCATATTATCTTGTTCTAGATCACAGAAAAAGACTTAAAAGATTTTTAAATTGTTTTACATAATGCAAAAATTCTCACTCTCCAACCTGATATATTTTAATAAATGAGTGATTCATGCCATTCATAAACTTAGATTCTGAAACTAAATAAATCTACAATTTAAAAAAAGAACACTGAAAAACAGGAAAAAGAAAAGATAAATCATTTTACATACAAATATGTTATACATGGTGTTCCCACCAACTCCCCTTTGGCTCTCCATTAATTAGAAGGTTAAGTGTTTTCTTAATCAAAAGTAAAGAATATACCTCAGACTTCACAAGGAGTGGGAGACACTGCTGGACACCACACTGAAACATGCCAGGCCCAGTTGCAACACTGTCTCTGGCTCTCTCTCCCTCATCTCTTAAAGTCTTCTCTTAATGGAGGGAAGACAATGGAGACACTGTCATTGACCTTGGCCCAGGCCTCCACATTCTTGAATAATCTAAGCAAACCAGGTATGTAACTTTTAAATTTATGAGCAAAAAAAGACTGAACTGAGTAAGACAAACCACGAATAAAGCAACTTTTACTTTTCTTCCCTTTCTATCTTCAGATTCTACCTATTTTACTGTGGAGTTATTTTAAATTTCTAAGGATAACCTTACTCCCATGCCGTGTTATTTTGCTCTGTATCACAAAAATTATTTCAGGATTTTCTATTTGTATTTCAAAAACAAAATTATTATCACTAAACCAACCTGATAAACAGCAATAAATGTGTGATGCATGCCATTTCTAAATTTATATTCTGAATCTAAATAAACTTTCTATTTTAAGAAACATCATGGAAAATACAACAAAGAGATAAATCAATGAGTTATTCATGCATCACAGGAACAGAGAAAGCAGCAGGTCTTTCAACCACAAAGTGAACAATTTGCCTTAGATCTCACATGGGTTGGGAAGAGCTACTGGATGTGGCCCTGGAATACGCACTAGTCATGGCTGTAGTGCCACGCCTGGCTGCAACTCTGGGCCGGGCTCCAGCTCTCTCTTCTTCATCTCTCAAAGCCTCTTCATAAAGCAGTGGGAAGTTATTGGGGGTGGTGTCATTCACCTTGGCCAAAAACTCCAGGACTTTCATCTTGCTGGTTTCTGCATGAGCTCTTGGACCCCACAGGAATTGATAGCGTGGGGGATCACTGTTGGGCACCTGCTGGTATTCCAGATATTTTTCCTGTACCAGATCTTGGGTGATGAGCTTTCGGGGTTCCCCAAAGATAAGGTGCCTCTTTCCATCATAGATCCCCAGCATATTCAGGAATTCCCAGATTTCCTCTTCACGGGCACAGTTGCCATTTAAGAAGATCACACTCAGTAGAGGCATCAGAAGCCCATTCCTTGGAAGGGTCCAGGCACTGCTCTGGTTTCCATCGTTGGGGCCTAGCATGCTGACGAGGATGTAGGAGTGAGTGGTGGGGTTGACCTCCTTCAAGGCAAGGCCAAAGACCAGCTCCGTGCGCTGAGAGACTTTCCTGAAGATCTCAGGGAAGTGCTCCTTGTACTTTTTGCTGATGATCTTCAGCATTTCTGCCTTTGTAGTGGGCTCTTTCATTTTATACTTGTACAGCAGGAACTGCACTAACATCTTCGTCTTCCTGGTTAGAGAATCTTTGAGTGATCTCTCAGTGGATGTTGAGGCCTGGGAGGAACTTGCATTTTCCTCATCTTGGCTCTCGTCGCCTTTATCAGATCCAGTGCATGACATAGCTGCAGCAGCAGAGGTGGTGGGTGGCTCTCTCTGAGGCTCCTGGGGAATGCCAAAAGCAAGGGAGCTGGAGGCAGTATCCCTCAAAACAGATGAGGAAGAGGAAGGAGACTCTTCTTTCTCTGCTGCAGTAGGCTGACCAACCTTGAGATCCTGGGTCTGACCACGGGTCCGCTGGCGTTTCTCACGGGCACGGAGCTTACTCTTCTGACCCCGAGGCATGATGGCTGTGGTTAGGCACAGCAGGCAGGAGTGTAGGCAGAAGGGCAGGTGATGTGGTTCCTGGAGAAGAGCAAATGAAATCCTGAGAACACCTTCAGCAGGCAGATACTACCTTGGCTTTTCAGAAGCCGCCTCTGCAGGATTCCTTGAGAACACTGCTCTAAGTATTCACTGGGCTATTGTTCTTAGTCATTCTGTCCCCTGAGAAGCCAGCTGAGGAAGTTACAATGTGCCTTAGGCTGCAGCTTGCCAACCCTGCCTGGGGCTGACTGGGTGACAACAAGGCTCGCAGTGGGGCTTTCTGTGTTCTGGCTTGGAGAGGATCCACTCTGATTACCTTTAGAATTGTCATGTCAGCTCTTGGCAGGGCCTGAGCCTCCCTCTATTGGTGTTGTGAAATTGACTCTTTAGTTTTCTGGGACCCAGATGAGGGAAGTCTAGGGGCCCCTCAACCCACCACCCCTGCCTAGAAGCATTTAGTGCTCTCTCTGTCCTGGGCTCTTTAGGTCCCAAGTTTGCACTCAGGATCCTCATCTGGACTCCAAGCAGGGTTGTGGACTGTCTCTTCTGCTGACTGATAACTGCAACTTCAGACCAAGAATTTCATCTTTTCTAGTTCTGGTATAAAATGTGATGGGCATCTATGAAAGAAAATAATTGATAATCTGGACTTCGCTAAATTAAAACTTCTGCTCTGCTAAAGATACCACAAAGAGAATAAGATAACTCCCAGGTTGGGAAAAAATTATTTTCAAAAGACATATCTGATAAGGGACTGTTAACCAAAACATACAAAAATGTCTTAAAACTGAACAATAAGAACTGACCAACCCTATTAAAAATGGACAAAAGATCTAAACAGGCACCTCAACAAATAATATATATGGAAGGCAAATACGTACATGAAATGATGGTCAACATCACATATCATTAGAGACTTGCAAATTAAAACAATAATGTGATACCACTACATACCTATAAGAATGGTCAAAATCAAAAACCCTGATAACCCCAAATACTGATGAGGATGTGGAGCAACAGGAGCACACTGTCATTGCTGATGGACATGAAAAATGATACAGCCACTTTTGAAGACAGTTTGTAAGTTTCTTACAAAGCTATGCATACTTTCATCATATGATCTAGCAAGTGCGCTCCTTGTTATTTAGCCAGATGAGTTGAAAACGGTATGTCCACAAAAAAAACCTGCACACAAATGTTTATAGTAGCTTTATTCATAATTGCCCAAACTGGGAAGCAAGCAATATGTCCTTCAGAAGGAGAGTGGATAAATTAACAGAATAAAATATTATTCAGCACTAAAAGGGAATGAACTATCAAGCCACAAAGAGACATGGATGAAACTTAGATACATATTACAAAGTGAAAGAAGCCAATTTGAAAAGTCTATACATTGCATAATTCCATCTATATGACATTCTGGAAAAGGCAAAAGTATGGAAACAGTACAAAGTTCAGTGGTTTCCAAAGGTTGGGGAGAGTGAGAGATAAATAGATCAGGCACAGAGAACTTTTAAGGCAGTAAAACAATTCTGGATGATTCTATGGTGGTAAACATATGTCATTATACATTTTTAAATATTAAAACCACAGAATGTGCAGCAACAGGAATGAATCCTAAACTACGGACATTGGGTGATAATGATGTGTCCATGTATTCTCAATTGTAACAAATGTATCACCCTGGCTTGGGAGGTTGATATGAAGGAGGCTGTGTCTGTGGGAGGACAGGATGCCTGTGAGACTCTCCTTTCTGCTCAGTTTTGCTGTGAACGTAAAACTATTCTAAAAAAGAAGGTCAATTATTAAAAAAAAAAAGTGATGGTGAGTCCTCAGCCTTACATGTTGCCCTGGCAATTTAAGAGTTATGCAGGGGGGTGGACTCTGTTGCTCTCTCTATTCAGAGGTGAGCAGTCCCCTCAGTTCTCACTCGGTTTCCTTGATTTGGCTCCTAGCAGATCCTAGGGCTCCCCTCTTTTTTGACCTGAAGACCTCTCCATTTAAAAGGCCTGCACCTCCCTGAGATCAGATAGGAGGAAGAGGGTGGCCTTATCTGGCCACAGCTGACCATGGTCTCCCAAGAGTGGCAGCTGTGGTAGACAGGTTGAGGTCTTATGGTGGATTGTCCTACTCAGGTCCTAACTCAGGATCCTAAATCTCACTCACAGGAAGGCTTAATATTCCTCCCTTTGCTGAGCTGGGATTGCCCACCTCAGAACAAGACCTTCACTTCTCTGTTACTACTGAGGATATGAGGGTGCCTCTTTCTGACATTCATGCCTAAATCTCTCAGAGGTGACAATAGGGAGGATTCTGTGGGATCCCCACTGATAGGGGTTTGGTGGTTCCTGCACTCTTCAGGGTACTCACTTTACTCCTGGCACACATTAGGAATCCTTCCTCTATGGACCTGAGTCAGCCAGCCTCAGATCATGGTCTTTACCTTCTTAAGACCTCCGGAGTAGAAATCAGGTTCAGCCACATCCTGTTAAGGCTATTTGGGTGAGTGCTTCCCTCATTCTTCATTCAGGGTCCTCAACTTGGTATGTGTCAGAGAATGGCACTCCTCCCTCTACTGACCCGAGATGCAGGAACTCACAAGTCCCTGAGAACCTTGAAGAATAAGTGAGGAGATGCTCAGGCTAAGAACTCTGTCTGGCATGTTGTTCTGCTGAGTCCTCCTATATGAAGGTCTTTATCTTGGCTCTTGTCCCTTAGTTAATGACTTCCTGGGAAATGCCGCATCCCTAAAAATTCTTGATCAGTTTCCCTATAATAAATCTTGCAGACAATGCATCCCTGTCCCAGGAGTGATATAAGATAGGGAAGCTGTAACACAAGGCAGAAGCCCGAGGATAGAAGTCATACTGTCAGAGAAAAAAAAAAAAAAAAAAAAAACATTGATCTATTTCTTCTCTTTACTACCCTCTTATGTATTTCTCTTGGAAAAGATTTAACTTCCTATAAAAAGGGGGACAGTCCAGAATGACAGAATGTGACCCCATGATCTTTTGAGTTTATCTGACTTTGCATGTGTAATCTTATTGTCACCAAATATTATCTTTCTCTCCTTAATTCACACCTCTTGACCATTTTGGTAATTTCCTTGCTCTGGTTCTGTATTTCAGTCCAGCAGATTGGGTACAGAATCTTTTCATCACTTGATATACGTTTGGGAGTAGTGAGAAGAAAAGTGAATAAGGGGACACAGTCAGTCTCAGGTTGGGAGGCATGGAACAGAGTGTGCTTTACACTAATTCAGACTGGGGGTCTTGTCCCAGTCCTGTCACTTACCAGCCATGTGAAATTGGACATATTAATAGACTGTGGGCTTCAGGCTTTTTATCTGTGAAGTGGGTTTGATAAGCTCTGTTTTGTAGGACTGGTAAAATGTATACAATGTATGTAAAGTGCTTGAGATGTATTGAGACATATAATAGTGCCAGTTCTTATTATGATTAATTTGTACCCTGACGTTGCAATCTACTACACTGGGACTTATTTTTCAATGCAGGAGATGTCAGAGATTATACCATATTCTAAGACAAAGAAAGCCCTATCAGACAAAGTGCTACCTAGAAAGGAAAACTAAATAATATTTCCTCATTACTTGATAGATCATTCAATATTAGTATGAGGTAGACTTCCTCAGTAGATGCAACACAGATTCTAAAATGAGTTTCAAGGACCAAAAACTTCCCTCTCTCTCAGCTATCCTTCCATCTAAACCACTTTTATTTTGATTCATTTAACCACCTCTCAAAATCTAGACCTTGCCTAGAGTTTGCCAAATCACAAATGAGGTAACCTAATTGAATGCGCTTTTAATGGAACAGGCTCTGGATCCCCCAGCCCAGGGCAAAGAGTACCAGCACAGTGGCTTCTGGGCCTCCCCCGTCCCTTGAGGGTATTACCCTTATTTCTCAGAAACTGGCTGGAGATGATGTGCACAAAACACCTAGTGTGTGCTGTGTTTATTTGTACTGGGACAAGAGCACAGGACACATTCCTACCCCAGATTCTCCCTGATTTATCCATGATCCCAAAGTAACTGTTAAGAACTGTTTCCTATTCCAAGCTTTGTCTCGCACCTCTGAGAGGCAACTTCTTTTTTTTTTTCTTTTGAGACGGAATCCCGCTCTTTAGCCCAGGCCGGACTGCAGTGGCACAATCTCGGCTCACTGCAAGCTCTGCCTCCCAGGTTCACGCCATTCTCCTGCCTCAGCCTCCCGAGTAGCTGGGACTACAGGCGCCCGCCACTGCGTGAGAGGCAACTTCTAAGAGCCTGGCCCCTGCTCGCCATTCCCACAGCCTCATCCAGCCCACCATGGAGCCTCACTTAGATTAACTCCCATTGAGGGACCTGCACTTTCCTTAGGCCCAACACCGCCTTGATTAGATAATTCATACTTGACTGTTCTCATGTGGAACCACCTCCCTCCCTTCTTATCATGTATCCTTTTGGTCTTAGAGTGTATATCACCATTTTCCTTAGATGATAGCTGCTTCTCGACCTTATAATTTTAAGGTCAGTTGCTAGGTCTTCTTTTTCTTAGCCCTCCCAGTATTAGCATGGATCCTTCCAAGAGCAGATGCTCAATTAACACTTGGAGAATGAGTGTGTCAGCATGAGGTCTAATTTATTATGATTTAATTCTACATTCTTAAGTAAGCCAGACATATATGGTTATTTATCTTTCATTTTCTTAAAGCACAGAGTAAAAGCATTTAGGAAACCAAATATTGACCATCTTACACTCTTTCTCTATTTCTTAATGCCATACATTTTACTGCTGACTTTTTTTTTTTAAACATTTTCAAGGAAATGCTTATTCTAATTCCAAGTTATCTTGCAACAGATCACTAAATAAGATCGAATTTTTCTCAATCTGTTTTACAAAACAGCAAAATTTTTACTCTTAAACAACAAATGTGACCAGTATCAATCCTAAACTTAGATTACAATGTTAAATAAAAGGAACATTTGAAAAATATGCCCCAAAATACAGATAAAACTTCAAATTATCCATTTAGAACAGAAACAAAAGGTATTATACAGTGTGTTCCCTCCAGTAACACCCAGTCCTTCACTCCTTGGAACAGTGACTGCCCTCTTTAACCACAAAATGCAAAATTTGCTTCAACTTCACTAGGCGTGGGAAGAGCTGCTAGCCTTGGCCTTGGAACACTTTCTGCCCATGGCACTACTGCCATCATTGAGCATAGCTGCAGCTTGGACTCTTTCTTCCTCATCTCTCAAAGCCTCTTCATACCAGAACTGGAACGCACTGGGGACAGTTTTATTGACCTTGGCCCAAAACTCCAGGACCTTCATCTTGCTGGTTTCAGCATGGGCTCTTGGACCCCACAGGAATTCATAGCGTGCAGGATTACTGTTGGGCACTTGTCGGTACTCCAGGTATTTAAGCTTCACCAAATCTTGGGTGATGAGCTTTCTGGGCTCCCCAAATATGAAGTGTTTCTTCCCATCATATATTCTCATCTTATTCAGGAATTCCCAGATCTTCTCCTCAGTGGCACAGTTGCCCTTCATGAAGATCACGCCCAGGAGATTCAGCAGGAGACCTGTCTTGGGAAATCCCCTCCCACGAGTCACTGTCCCATTGTTGGGGAGATCCATTTTGCTGACAAGGACATAGGAGTCCTTGGTAGAATCAACTTTCTTTAAATCAACACCAAATACCACCTCCATGTTGAAAGAAGCTTTTTTAAGGATCTCAGGGAAGCAATTCTTATGGCTTTTTTGGACAATTTTTAGCATATCTGCTTTCATAATGGGCTTTTTCATCTTGTACATTTCCATCAGGAACTGCACCAACATATTTGTCTTCATGATTAGAGGGTCTGTGCGAGACTGCACAGTGGAGGATAGACCCTGAGAGAAGCTTTGCTTTTTCTCAATTTTGCTGTTGGCTCCCTTGTATGACTTTTTGTAAGAAACATCTACAGATGTAGTGGTGGATAGTGCTCTCTGAGGCTTCTTGAGAGCACTACGTGACCTACCAGCAGACTTTTTCTGGATAGTAGCCCCCAAAATAAGAGGGGATGAAAAGGATACTTTTTTCTTGTTAGTTGCAGTGATCTGAGCACCCTGGTGATCCTGGGTCTGACCCCGGGTCTGCTGGCGTTTCTCACGTGCATGGAGCGTACTCTTCTGACCCCGAGGCATGATGGCTGTAGTCAGGAACAGCAGGCAGGAGTGTCAGCAGAAGGGCAGGTGATACAGGCACCTGGAGGAGAGAGAGAAAGAGAGGGTATGAGTGCCTTCAGCAGAGAGGTACCACTTTGGATTTAAAAGAAGGTCGCCTCTGCAGTTTTCTGTGAGAGCACTGCTCTGGAAACCCAGAGGGCTTCTGTTCTGATCAGTTTGTCCTCTGAGAACCCTGTGAAAGTAATTAAAGTGTGCCTTAGGCCACAGCCTGCCAGCCCTGTTCTGTGTATACTGGGACTGAGAGCAGCCGTGGCATGTCTAGTCCTTGTGGATCTCCTTTTACTCTGGGGTAGGAGGTTTCTCTCAGTTCACACTCAGGACCATCATAAAAACTGTCAGGGCTGGGTCTTCTCCCCTGTGCTGCACTAAATTTGACACCTCCAGCAAATGTCCTCATCTCCTTGGGACCACCTAAGAGGAGGTGAAGGAATGTCTCAGCCTTACCACCCCTGACAGGAGGAACTGGGTGCTAACAGCATTGTGGAGTCCTACTCTTTCCTGGGCTTATTGGAGTCCTGACACCTCATTCATAGTCCTCATCTTGTCTCTAGATAGGACCTAGGACAGCTGCCTCTGCTGCTCTGATGCCCCTCACTTTAGATAAAGGCTCTCAGCAACCTAATGCCATTAAAAGAAGGTGAGTTCACATACACCTGACCTCCATGCCCAGCCTCATCAGCGCTGCAAGTGGGGAGTGGGGGAATCTTTGTTGTCTCTTCTTTATGTGGGAGGAGTTGTATCACTAGTCTTCATTCAGGGTCCTCACTGTGACCCCTGTAAGGCTCTGGGTCTCCTCACTCTTCCCTCTGCAGAACTGGGGCATGTAATTAGTTCAACCTTTCTGGCACTCTCTAGGCAGTAAGGGGGGCTGACGTTATTCCAAGGCTTCCTGGAGCTGAGAGAAGAGGCACAATTTGTGGGACTCTACTTTTTAGAGAGAGTGTTCCCTTTAGTTTTCTCTCAGGTCTCTGACCTTGACTCTTAGTAGGATGTGGGACACTTCCCTCCATTAACCTAAGTCCTCCAGCCTCAGAACAAGACCCTAGACAGGGAAGTCAGGGACCCCTCACCTATGAATACCTTTGCCTGGAGGTTGCAAAATGAGTGCAAGGACATTGTTTGTGTTGACACCTCTATTGCAGAGAGATTGCTTCATTAGCACTCAGGGCCCTCACCTTGACTCCAGTTAGGACCCAAGTCTCTCTTCCACCTGCTGAACTGGGGCTACTTTCTTAGACCAAGGCCCTTCCCTCCCTGAGACTTTCCAGGTAGATATCTGTCAGACAGCTTTCAAGGTATTCCCAGGGAAGACTTCCGGGGCAGGATTTAGTGTGGCCCTCTTTGTTACAGGTTGGGGGATGGTGGTCCCTTTCATGCACATTCAGGGTCCTGACCTTGACTCCAGACAGTCCAAGGAATTCACCCTCTGCCGAAGAGATCCCGTGCCCCTCGCCTCCAGATCCTCCCCTTCAAAGCACTTCCAAGGAAGTGAGGAAGAGCCTTATCTGTTCACAGCTTCCTGGGGTCTGATGGCTGACAACACGGGTGGAACTCTATGAGACTTCACTGTTTTGGAGTTGCTGGTCCCTAGATTCTCATTCAGGGTCTTCACCTTGGTATCTTATCACAGCCTGAAATTTCTCCCTCTACTGACCTGAGTTCGCCAACCTCCAAACAAAACCCTCATCTCCCTGAACACTTCCCTCCCTGGATGGGGAAGTCAGGGCCTCCGCTTATGACTACACTTGTCTGGAGCCTTCTAAACTGGCTAGCAGCAGTGAGACCTTGTCTGAAAAAAAATAAAAATAAATAAAAAAGACAAGGACCACTGGTGCTAACCAGGAGGATGCTAACCAGTAGGGCTGCTGCTGCTTTCTGTTGACGCCCCTACTGGGAACAGATCCCATCCTTTAGCACTCGGAGACTTCACCTTGGCTCCAGTTAGGGTCCAGGTCCCCGCCAACTGAATAACTGGGGCTGCTCCCTTAGTGAAAGACCCTCCCTCTGGGTGCCTTTCCAGACAGAACTCAACCAGGACCTCCCAGGGTCAACCACAAGGGTGAGACGTGTGGGTCCCCTTTTGTAAGGGGCAGGGAGTTGTGAGGGTGAGACACGTCCCGCTCTGGGTCTCCGAGGGCTGACAGCAGGGGGTGACACGCTGGGACCCCACTGTTCTGGAGTCAGTGGTCCCTAGGTCCTTATTCAGGGTTCTCACCTTGTTACTAAGCGGAGCAGAGTAACACCTCTACTGAGCGAAGTCCGCCAACCTCCAAAATCCTCCCCTCCCATAGTCCCTAGAGGGGAAGTCTAGGCATGTTATCGGACCATGTCCTGGGGCTTCAAAGACCTGAAACAGGGTTAGGGCTTTTGGTGGGCCCTTCTTTTGGAGAGAGGTTCCCTGGTTAGCACCGGTGGGCCTCATATTTCTTTCTTTCTTTCTTTCTTTTTTTTTTTTTTTTTTGTGACAGGGGCTCTCTCTGTCTTCCAGGCTGGAGTGTAGCCGCGCAATCTTGACTTACCACAACCTCCACCTCCCAGTCCTCGAACTCCTGTGCTTAAGCGATGAGGCTGGCTTCGTCCTCCCAAAATGTTGGGATTACAAGCGTGAGCCAGAGCCCTGCCTTAAAATTAAAAAAAAAAAAAGTTTATATCTATTTATTTATTTATTTATTTATTTTGAGATGGAGTCTCGCTCTGTCACCCAGGCGGGAGTGCAGTGGCGCGATCTTGGCTCACTGCAACCTCTGCCTCCCGGGTTCAAGGGATTCTCCTGCCTCCACCTCCCGAATAGCTGGGACTACACCTGTGCCCCACCACGCCCGGCTAATTTGAGACAGTGTCTCTCTCTGTCGCCCAGGCTGGAGCGCAGTGGCGTGACCTTGGCTCACTGCAGCCTTGACTCCTAGGGCTTAAGCGATCCTCCCACCTCAGCCTCCTGGGTAGCTGGGACTACAGGGGCAGCTCACCTCCCAGTCCGCGAACTCCTGTGCTTAAGCGATGAGGCTGGCTTCCTCCGCCCAAAATGTTGGGATTACAAGCGTGAGCCACAGCCCTGCCTTAAAATAAAAAATAAAAAAAAGTTTATATTTATTTATTTATTTACTTATTTTGAGATGGAGTCTCTCTCTGTCACCCAGGCGGGAGTGCAGTGGCGCAATCTTGGCTCACTGCAACCTCTGCCTCCCGGGTTCAAGCGATTCTCCTGCCTCCGCCTCCCGAATAGCTGGGACTACACGTGCGCCGCACCACGCCCGGCTAATTTGAGACAGTGTTTCTCTCTGTCACCCAGGCTGGAGCGCAGTGGCGTGACCTTGGCTCACTGCAGCCTTGACCCCTAGGGCTTAAGCGATCCTCCCACCTCAGCCTCCTGGGTAGCTGGGACTACAGGGGTGCTCCACTGCTGCCCCGCCATTTTTTTTTTTTTTTGTAGAGACAGGTTTTCGCCATGTTGTCCCGGCTGGTTTCGAACTCCTGGGGGGGCCCAAACAGTTCACTCGCCTCGGCCTCCCAGTGTGCTGGGATTACAGGCCTGAGACGCCGTACCGGCTTGGTCTTCATCTTGACTCTAGTTAGGGCCAAGAGACCTCTGAAGAACTGAGGCTGCCCTGTTAGAGAAAGCCTTCCCCTCCCTGAGACCCGCCAGGCTGAAATGAGAGGCAAGCCAGTTTTATAGTTCCGCCTAGGGCTTTCCAGGGTTAAAAACATGGATTGTCCCTTCAGTCCCCGCTGAGGGTTCTTACCTTTACTCCGGATCAGTTCTAAGACTCACGCTAGGCCACGAACCTGACTGAAGCTATTGCACCCGTCAGGCCAACTGCCTCACTTTCAAAGCGGAAGTGAGGCTGAGCCACACCCCGCTCGGGGTCTCCGAGGGCTGACAGCAGCGGGTGACACGCTGGGACCCCACTGTTCTGGAGTCAGTGGTCCCTAGGTCCTTATTCAGGGTTCTCACCTTGATACTAAGCGGAGCAGAGTAACACCTCTACTGAGCGAAGTCCGCCAACCTCCAAAATCCTCCCCTCCCATAGTCCCTAGAGGGGAAGTCTAGGCATGTTATCGGACCATGTCCTGGGGCTTCAAAGACCTGAAACAGGGTTAGGGCTTTTGGTGGGCCCTTCTTTTGGAGAGAGGTTCCCTGGTTAGCACCGGTGGGCCTCATATTTCTTTCTTTCTTTCTTTCTTTTTTTTTTTTTTTTTTTTTTTTTTGTGACAGGGGCTCTCTCTGTCTTCCAGGCTGGAGTGTAGCCGCGCAATCTTGACTTACCACAACCTCCACCTCCCAGTCCTCGAACTCCTGTGCTTAAGCGATGAGGCTGGCTTCGTCCTCCCAAAATGTTGGGATTACAAGCGTGAGCCAGAGCCCTGCCTTAAAATTAAAAAAAAAAAGTTTATATTTATTTATTTATTTATTTTGAGATGGAGTCTCGCTCTGTCACCCAGGCGGGAGTGCAGTGGCGCTATCTTGGCTCACTGCAACCTCTGCCTCCCGGGTTCAAGCGATTCTCCTGCCTCCGCCTCCCGAATAGCTGGGACTACACGTGCGCCGCACCACGCCCGGCTAATTTGAGACAGTGTTTCTCTCTGTCACCCAGGCTGGAGCGCAGTGGCGTGACCTTGGCTCACTGCAGCCTTGACCCCTAGGGCTTAAGCGATCCTCCCACCTCAGCCTCCTGGGTAGCTGGGACTACAGGGGTGCTCCACTGCTGCCCCGCCATTTTTTTTTTTTTTGTAGAGACAGGTTTTCGCCATGTTGTCCCGGCTGGTTTCGAACTCCTGGGGGGGCCCAAACAGTTCACTCGCCTCGGCCTCCCAGTGTGCTGGGATTACAGGCCTGAGATGCCGCACCGGCTTGGTCTTCATCTTGACTCTAGTTAGGGCCAAGAGACCTCTGAAGAACTGAGGCTGCCCTGTTAGACAAAGCCTTCCCCTCCCTGAGATCCGCCAGGCTGAAATGAGAGGCAAGCCAGTTTTATAGCTCTGCCTAGGGCTTTCCAGGGTTAAAAATATGGATTGGGCTCCGAGAAGTCCCCTTATTTGTGGGTTTAGTTTTCCCTTTTTTACTCACTCAAGAACCTCACTTCGCTGCTGGCCAGTCCTGGGACTCCACATTCCATGCCATGAATCCTGCTCAGATCAAGGTCCTCCGAGATCTAGGCTGAAGTTTTGATGAGCCACATTAGGCCAGGGATGTTTGGGTCCTGTGAGGGCAGACAGCGGAGTCGGGTTTCTATGGGACATCACTGTTCTGGCTCCTCCTGTTCTTCATTCAAGGTCCTCCCTGATATCTGCCAGACCCTGGATCCTCCCTCTAGTTAACTGAGGTCACCTTAGGTCAAAACTCTCACTTCACTGAGAACTCTGAAGGGTAAAAGAGAGGATGCTCAGTCTGACTGCACTGCCTGGGGCATTCTAGGCTGAGAAGAGGTTTGGGTAGATTGCCCCGTTATCTTTTGGTGTGGTTGTCTTTCCAGTATTTATTTATGGGTGTCCTCCTTATTTTCTCTTGCCTCTCTGAATAAAGGCTTCCTGGGAAATGCCACATCCCTGCAAACTCTTGGGCAGCGTTCCTACTGCAAACCTTGCAAGTCTGTGCCCCAGGGCTAATGTGAGGTAAAGAAATTATAACACAAAGCAGGGAGTCCAAGGTAGCTGGTGGGTTGTCAGAGAAAAATGATGCTGATTTACTCTTTTCAATAGCCAGCACTAGCCTCTTATGTGACTTCTGTTTTAATTGATTTACTTCTTAAGGGGAAGGAGCTGTTCAAGATGATTGTGTGGTCCCTGATTTTGAGGTTATCTGACTGTGCATATGTAGATGATCATATTGTCACTGAATAATATCTCTTTCTCCTCTTTATTTGTAGCTTTCATTTATTTTGATATTCTTTATTGCTTTGGCTATGTATTCCAATCCAATTCTTTGGGCACAGAATCCTTCTTTTTAACCCCTGAGATATATTTGGAAGTATTGAGAAGAAAAGTGAATTAAAGAACACAAAGTCTGCTCCAGGCAGAGAGGAACAGAATGAAGAGTGTGGGCTCTAGAAGAATTCACAACAGGAGTCTAGTCCCAGCCCTGTCACTTACTCACCCTGTGAACTTGAGCATATTACCAAACTCCAAACAAAGAAATTATAATCAAACAAAATGCTGCTTAGCAAGGAAAATTATATAATTTATAAAGTGTTTGTGGAAGAGCCTTCTCCAATTGGATACAACTCAAGTCTCAAAATTTTTGTCAATGACCAATATTTTTTTCTAACTCCTAGGCACCCTTCTATGTTAACCACTCCTGTTTTGATTTTTATTATTTATTTATTTTTTTTTTTTGAGATGGAGTCTCACTCTGTCACCCAGGCTGGAGTGCAGAGGCACTATCTCGGCTCATTGCAACCTGTGCCTCAGGGCTCAAGTGATTCTCGTGCCTCAGCCTCCCTAGTAGCTGGGATTACAGATGTCCACCACCACGCCCAACTAATTTTTGTATTTTTGGTAGAGACGGGGTTTCACCACGTTGGCCAGACTAATCTTGAACTCCTGATCTCAAGAGATCCACCTGCCTCGCCTCCCAAAGTGCTGGGATTACAGGCATGAACCACCATGCCTGGCTGCACCCCTGTTGAAAGTCCTTTTAATAGAGCGGGCTCTTGATTCTCCAACCCAGGACAAAGAGTGCCAGCACGGTGGCTTCTGGGCATCTTACCTCCCCTGAAGCTGTCATCTCCCTTATTTCTCAGAAACTCACTAGAGATGATGTACATAGAACACCTAGGTTGTGCACTGTATTAGACTGTGCTAGGATAGGGACATAGAACACTTTTCACTTTTGTCCTAGGTAGGGGTTCTCTCTGGTTTTCCCACAACAGGAAAGTAAATGTTAGGGATAGTTTCCCATTCCGGGCTTAGTCTCTCAACACTGAAATGCACCAACTGTATAAAGCACCTAGTTTGTGCACTGTGACTATGTTCTGCTGCACTGGGACAAGAGCACAGGGCACATTCCATTCCTGCCCCAGGTGCAGATTCTCTCTGGTTTATCCGTGAGCACAAAATAACTGTTAAGAACTACTTCCCATTCCAGGCTTTGTCTCACACCTCTGAGAGGCACCATCTGAGGGCCTGGCCCCTCCCACAGTCTCATCCAGCCCACCATGTAGTTTCCCTTAAAATTACCTCCCAATGGGGGACTTGAGGTTTCCTAACACTCCAAACTGCCTTGCCTCAGGGCATTTACACTTGATTGCTCTCATCTCAAACCTCCTCTTTTTCTCATTCCTCCTTTGTACTTGTTCTTTAAGTTTTAGAGAGCACCTCATCATCTTTTTTTTTTTTATGACAGCTGCTCCCAGACTCTAAAATTAAATGGGCAAGAAATTGATTTGTTTTGGGGAAAACATTCCCAGTACTAACATGAAGACTTCCAAAGAGCTGATGCTCAATTAATGATTAAGGAATAAACAAGAGAGTGAGTATGAAGTCCAATAAATTAGGATTTAATCTCTCCTACATTCTTTAATAATCTAAGCAAATCCAGATATGTAACTCTTAATTTTATAAGAAGAAAGACTAAAAGGAATTAGGCAAACCAAGAATAGACA
The DNA here is from genome assembly GCF_000001405.40 of Homo sapiens. NCBI lineage: Eukaryota > Metazoa > Chordata > Mammalia > Primates > Hominidae > Homo > Homo sapiens. Next base: position 30,228,284 of record NC_000023.11, on the reverse strand, counting down.
AACTTTTTTAAAAAAATTTTTTGATCTCAACAATTTTTAATACAGTATTCAATCACATTTCCAACATAATCAGTACTCAAGAAAATTCACTACTTGTATGACATTTCTCAAAGAAGACATAAAAATGTCCAATAGCTATACAAAGATGTGCTCAACATCACTAACCATCAGGGAAATGCAAATCAAAACCACAGCGAGATATCACCTCACACAAGTTAGGAAGGCTATTATAAAAAAATAAAACAAAAACAACCAAACAAAAACCCACTGGAGATGAATGTTGGCAAGAGTGTAGAGAAAATGGAACGCTTCTACACTATTGGTGGAAATGCAAATTGGTACAGCCATTCTAGAATACAGTATGAGCTTTCTCAAAAAATTGAAAATGGACTACCATATGACCCAGCAATCCCTTGTCTGGGCATAAGGAAACGAAATCATCACCTCCTGTAGATATTTGTGCCCCCATGTTCACTGCAGTATTATTCTCAATGACCAAGATGCGGCAACAACAAAATTGTTTACCAATGGATGAATGGATAAAGGAATTGTGGTATATATGTACAATGAAACAGAAAACCAAATACTGCATGTTCTTTGTGGGAGTTAAACATTGAGTACACATGGACACAAAGAAGGGAACAACAGACACTGGGGCCTACTTAAGGGCGGAAGGTGGGAGTAGGGTGAGGATGGAAAAACTGCCTATTGTGTACTATGCTTATTACCTGGGTGATGAAATAATCTGTACGCCAGACCCCCATGACATGCAATTGCCTATATAACAACCTGCACATGTACCCCTGAAACTAAGATAAAATTTAAAAAAATGTTATTTAGCCTTGAAAAAGAAAGAGATTCTGCCATTGCAACAACACAGATGAACTTGGGGGACGTTATGCTGAATGAAATAAACCAGACACAGAAAGAAAAATGCTGCATGCTATTAATATCCCTTATATGTAAAATCGAAAAAGAAAAAAATGTTAAATACATAGAAAAAGAGAATAAAACAGTAGTTACCAGAGGCAGGGTGGGGAGGGGATGCAGAGATGCATGTCAAACAGTACAAAGTTGCAGTTTTATAAGACGAATAAATCTAGAGATCTAAAGTACAGTATGAGGACTACAGTTAGTAATATTGTATTGCATACTGCAAATTTTCTAAGAGTAGATTTTAGCTGCTCTTACCACAAAACAAGGTAACTATATGATATAATGGATATATTAAATTGCTTACCTGTAGTAAGCATTTCACCATGTACTGTAATGCATTGCTTAACAATGAAGATACTTTCTGAGAAACGCGTTGTTAGGCAATTTCATTGTTGTGCAAATATAATAGAGTATACTTACATAAACCTAGGTGGTATATAGCCTACTACACACGTAGGCTATTTGGTGTAGCCTATTGCTCCTAGGCCACAAACCTGTGCAGCATGTGACTGCACTGAAAACTATAGGCAAATGTAACACGGTGCTAAGTATTTGTGTACCTAAACACAGAAAAGGTACAGTAAAAAATATGGTACAAAAGATTGTTAAAAATCATACACCTGTGTGGAGTATTTACCATTAATGTAGCTTGCAGAACTGGAAGTTGCTTTGGGTGAGCCAGTGATTGAATAGTGAGTGAATGTGAGGGCCTGGGACATTACTGTACACTATTATAGACTTAATAAACATTGTACAGTTAGACTACACTAAATTCTCAAGCATAGTTTTCTTTCTTTAACAATAAATTAACCTTAGCTTACTGTAACTTTTTTTGCTTTATAAACTTCTTAATTTTTTTTAGCTTTTTGACTCTTTTGTAGTAACACTTAGCTTAAAACATAAGCACATTGTACAGCTGTACAAAAATATTTTCTTTCTTTATATTCTTATTTTATAAGCTTTTTTCTATTTTTACTTTTTAAATTTTTAAACGTTTTTGTTAAAAATGAAGACAAAAGCACCCACATTAGCCTAGGCCTACACAAGGTCAGGATCATCAATATCACTGTCTTCTACCTCCACATCTTGTCCCACTGGAAGGTCTTCAGGGACAATAATACGCATGGAGCTGTCATCTCTTATGATAACACCACCTTCTTCTGGAATACAACCTGAAGGACCTGCCTGAGACTGTTTTTACAGTTAACATTTTTTTTTTTAGTAGAAGGAGTGCACTCTAAAATAATAATAAAAGTACCACCTGTAATCCCAGCACTTTGGGAGGCTGAGGCGGGTGGATCACTTGAGGTCAGGAGTTCAAGACCAGCTTGACCAACATGGTGAAATTCCATCTCTACTAAAAGTCCAAAAATTATCTGGTCGTGGTGGCAGGCCCCTGTAATCCCAGCTACTCAGGTGGCTGAGGTAGGAGAATTGCTTGAATCCAGGAGGCAGAGGTTGCAATGAGCTGAGATTGCACCACTGCACCCCAGCCTGGACAACAGAGGAAGACTCCGTCTCAATTATTACTACTTTTAATATTACTACTTATTAATTAATATTAATATTTTAATAGTACTACCTATTAATATTACTACTTATTTAGTATTACTAGAATATTATTACTACTACTACCCCATCTCAATTCTTATTACTTTTAATGGCAAAAAATGTAATTACTTTTGCACCAACCTGATTTAAAAAAAACTATAGTATAATAAAGATATAAACCAGTAACATTGTTGTTTATTATCAGTATCAAGCGCTATGTACTGCACATAATTGTATGTGCTATACTTTTATAGGCCTGATAGTGCAGTAGGTTTGTTTTCACCAGCATCACCACACACATGTAAACAATACAGTTTTTTAGCTCCATTATAATCTTACGAGACTGCCATTGTATATGTGGTCCTGATTGAAACATCATCATGTGGTGCATGGCCATATATGTATATCAAAACGTCCTACTGTACAACTTAAATTTATACAATAAAAAAGTCCTTATTCATATGCTATGTTATCTTGTTCTGGACCACAAAGAGAGACCTAAGGATTTTCAGTTTGTTGATAAAAAAATACCAGCACTTTTACATTTATATATGGAAAACAGAAATAAATATGTTATCCATGTTATTCATAAACACAGATACTGAAGCTAAATAAATCTTCTATTAAAATGAATACATTTTAAAAGTACCAAAAATAAAAAAGATACATCTTCCAATTATTCAAGTAGAGCAAAAACAAAAATAAGACATACAATATGTTTGCCCTAGGTCAAAATTGACTCTCCACTACTTAGAATGTTGACTTATCTTTTCAACTACAAAGTGAAGAATCTGTCTCAGATCTCACTAGATGTAGGAGGAGCAGCTGGACGTGGCTCTGGTATGTGCCATGGCCATGGCAGTAGCACAGCCCTGGCTGCAGCTCTGGCTCAGGCTCTCTCTGCTTCATCTTTCAAGGCCTCTCTATATTTCATCCAGCCATTGAATTCAGGACCTCCAAGGGTCAACAGCAGGGCCTGAACTCTTCGGGACCCCGGTGTTCTGGATGGGTGCTTTCTTAATTACTTTTAAGGGATCTGGCATTTGTATCTAACAGATCTTGGGTCTTATCTCTCTCCTGACCTAAGCTTGCCCTCCTTAGGCTAAAGCTCTCAAGTTCCTGACAACTGTGAAAAATAAATGAGAGGATGCTCATCCTGACAGTTCTGCCTGGGACCCTCTAGGTCTGAAAGCAGGCAGGGGATAGTCTTTTGGTAATAACCAATATTCTGCAGTGTTTGTTTTTCCAGTCCTGATTTATGTATGTCCTCATACAGGCTCTTGCCAGTGGGATTAAAGGCTTCCTGGGAAATGCCACATCTCTGCAAACTCTTGAGCAGTGTCCTCTCTGCAAACCTTTCAGAGAACAGGCCCCTGCCCTAGGAGTGATGCAATATGGGAAATCTACAGCACAAGGCAGGGGGCCCAGGATAGGTGGTAGGCTATAAGAGAAAAAGCAAATGTCCATCTCCTATTTTTGCCCAGCCAGATTTAGGGTCTCATGTAACTTCTGTTGTGATATATTTACTTTTTCTAAGGAAGTGGCTCAGATGATTTTTTTGTACCTCCTCATTTTTTGAATTTATTGGACATCACATATGTATGTAAATTATGTCATCAAAATATTATTTTTTTCCTTACTCAAACCTTCCATTTATTTTGATATTTTTATTGTTCTGGCTATATATTACAGTCCAATAGTTTGGCCACAGTCTTTCTTTTTATTGCCTCTGGTACATTTTGCAGTAACGAGAGGAAAAGTTAATTAAGGAACAAGGTCATCCTTTGTCTGAGAGGAGTGGCACAGTGTGGGCTTTTGACTAACTCAGACCAGTGTTCTCATCCCAGCCCTGTCATTACTAGCAGTGTGACTTGGGCACATTACTAAATCCTATGAGCCTTAGGTTCTGCATCTATGGAATGGGTTTGGTAAGCCCTGTCTGGCAGAACTGGCAGGATGTGGGTAATGTATGGAAAGCACTTGGCACAGTGACTGGCATGTATTGGATCTCTTCTGCTGACTGGTAGCTGAACTTTCAGACCAAAGATTTCCCCTCCCCTAGACCGTATATAAAGAAGTGATGAGGTGCCTCCCCTGACAGCCCTGCTCTGAGTCTTCTAAGGCTGATATCAAAGGGTAGGGCATGACACTTTGTTGTCCCCTCTATTCAAGGCTATGTTGTACCATCAGTCTCCACTCAGATTCCCTGATTTTACTCCTGGCAGGGCCTGGGGATCCCCTCCTTCTTGACCTGATGACATCTCCTCAAAGTGAGGCCCACACCTTCTTAAGATCCAGCAAGAGGAAGCAAGGATGGCCTCATCTGGCTATATACCTGCCAATGGTCTCACAAGAATGAAACCTGTGGCAGGCAGTTCAAGGCCCTATCATGGGTAGTTCCATGCAGGGTCCCAACTCAGGGTCCTAAATTTTTAACTTCTGGACAGGTCTAAGATTTCTTTTTCTGTTGATGTGAGACTACCACCCTAAGATCAAGACCCTCACTTCCCTTGTTACCCTTGAGTAGGACCTGATGGGAAACTCCACCTGACATTTCTGCTTGGGGTCTCTGAGGGCTGACAGTAGGGAGGATTCTGTGTGGCTCCTACTGATGTGGGGTCTGTGGTCCCATACTCTTCAGTTTCCTCATCCTTATTCCTGTCACACCCTGTGCAAATCCTCCCTGTCTTGACTTGAGGCCTGTCTCCCCATATGAAGGGAATTGAAGACCAATTTCCTGGTACACCCTAAGAAGAAGTAAAATTTGCTTCATATTGCCATAACTGCTCATGTTCTCCCTAGGCTAACAGTAGTGGAAGGAATCTGTGTTACCCTCACTGTTATGGGGTAGGTGTTCACCTCAGTCTTCAGGGTCCTCACATTTACTTCTGCAACAACCTAGAAATCTTCTCTCTACTGACCTGAGGCTGCCCACTTTGTTAATATTTTTCACCTCCGCGAGATTACCTGGGAAGAAGTGAGTATGATACATCATGTCATCATGTCCAGGTCTCAGGTCTGACAATAGGGACAAGGTTCTATGTGACCCTCTTCTTTCTGAGAGGGGTCCCCTCATTGTCACTCAGTGTCATCATGTTGAATCCTGTTAAGGAGCCAATCTCCTCCCTCTACTGAATGGGGCCTCTCCTATTAGTCCAAGGACTTCCTGTCCCTGAGACCACTCCCCTCCCCTCAGCGAATGTGGGGTAACCTCAGCCTGAAAGCTATGCTTATGGCCTCCCAGGGCATAACTTTCTTTTCTTTTTTTTTTTTTTTTTAAGATAAAGTCTCGCTCTGTTGCCCAGGCTGGAGTGCAGTGGCGTGATCTCAGCTCACTGCAAGCTTCGCCTCCCAGGTTCAAGCAATTCTCCCTGCCTCAGCCTCCCAAGTAGCTGGGATTACAGGCGCCCACCATCACGCCCAGCTAATTTTTGTATTTTTTAAGTAGAGACGGGTTTTTGCCATGCTGGCCAGGCTGATCTTGAACTCCTGACCTCAAATGATCCGCCCACCTCGGCCTGCCAAAGTGCTGGGATTACAGGCATGAGCCACCGCGTCTGGCCCGGCATAACTTTCTAAGGACGTCCTTGTTCTGTTCACCTCTCTAGCAGTTGTTTGCCTCTTTCCTCATATGAGATTTTTACCTTAATACCTATCATGGTCTGGGATTCCACTCTTTGCTTAACTGGGAGGCCAGCCTGTAAATCAAGTCTCTCATCTCCTTGAGATTCTCCAGGAAGAAGACACGGGCACCTGGGCCTGCCAGCTCCTCCCTAGGCCTCCTAGGGCTAATAGCAAAGGAATGACTAGAGGCACGCCTGCCAGTTATGGGTTGAGTGGTCCCCATATCCACATGCCAGGCCTTCACCTTGACTCTGCCCCCTTCCTGGGACTCCACTCCCTACTGACCTGAGGCCATAGCCTTCAGACCAAAGTCCTCACCTTGCTGGGACCTGAATTGGAAGTCAGTGTCCACCAGGACGGTTCTGGACTTCACAAGACTAACAATTGGAACGTGACTTTACAGGCCCCCAACTGTTCTGGCTGGGTCCTTCCATCACCCTCATTTAGGTTTATTACCTTCATTCCTATAAGAGGCTGGGATTCCTTTCCCTACTGACTTGAGGATGCTGCCCTTAGGGCTCTTATGTCTCTCAGACACCTGAAGAATATGTGAGGGGATGCTCAGACTGACAGCTCAGCCTAGGACCGTGTCTGAGAGCAGAAGGGAATGTGTCTATGTTAAACCCCTGCCTGATATTCTGGGATGTTGGTCTCCCCAGCCCTCATCTTGGCTCTGTCTCTTGGATTAAATGCTTCCTGCAAAATGCCACATCTCTGCAAATTCTAGAACAATTTCCTCTCTGTAAACATTGCAGAGAATGGGTCTCTGTCCTAGGAGTGGTGTGATACCGCAAAGCTGTAGCACAAAGCAGGGGGCCTAGGATTGGAGATGGGCAGCCAGAGATAAGATACATTGATCTATTTCTTCTATCAGCCAGCCTTACATTCTCATGTAATTTCTGTTCTGATAGATTTATTTTCTACAGGGAAGAGATTGTTCAGGATGATTTGGGGAGCCCCTGATCTTTTGAGGTTATCTAACATTGCGAATGTAGATAATCATACTGTCACTGAATATTGCCTCTTTTACTTATTTATACCTCTCAGTTTTTTTGGTATTATTGTTGCTGTGGCTATGTATTCCAATCTACTAGTTTGGGTTACAAGGTTATTCTTTTTATCACCTGAAACACATTCCGCAGTAATGAGAAGAAAACGGAAATATTTTTTCAAGGTTTGCCTCAGGCTGAGAGGGGTGGAACAGGGTAGGCTCTAGGGTAATTCAGATCAGGAGGCTTATCCCAACCCTTTCACTACTGGCCCTGTAAACTTTGGCAAATTACCAAACTCAGTGAGCCTCAGACTCTTTACCGTAAAGTGGGTTTGATAAGCCCCATCTCGTAGTACTGGTGGAATATATGTAATGCATGCAAATGTGCCTGTCTCGTCAACTGAGACATCAGGAAGTGGCAATTACCACTATCATTTTGATCAGAGACATTACCAACATTCCAGTTGAGATTAAAAAAAAAAAATCCAGGATATCTCAGAGAATATGCAACAATTTTTTTTTTTTTTTTTTTTTTTTTTTTTAGAGGGAGTTTCGCTCTTGTTGCCCAGGCTGGAGTGCAATGGCGCAGTCTCGGCTCACAGCAACCTCCGCCTCCTGGGTTCAAGTGATTCTCCTGCCTTAGCCTCCCGAGTAGCTGGCATTACAGCCATGCGCCACCACGCCTGGCTAATTTTGTATTTTTAGTAGAGATAGGGTTTCTCCATGTTGGTCAGGCTGGTCTCGAACTCCCGACCTCAGGTGATCCACCCACCTCAGCCTCCCAAAGTGCTGGGATTACAGATGTGAGCAACTGCACCCGGCTGAGAATACGCAACATTCTAAGACTGAAAAACCCCATTCAGCCAAAATGCTGCTTAGCAATGAAAACTATTGCTTTCATCACTTCTTTTTCCTATCTTTTATTTTTTATGAAGTGTCTCACCTTCCATGATGACAGCTTCTCCTAGAATCTACAATTGCATGAGCACAAGCTTGGTCTTCTTTGACTAAACATTCCCAGTACAAGCAGGAAGACTCCCAAAGAACAGATGCTCAATTAAAATATTTAAAGTAAGAGCCATAAACAAGAGGATTAACTAACTATGGTTTAATTTCTCACACATTCTTGAATAACATAAACAAATCCAGGTATGTATCTTTATGAAAAGAAAGATTAAATGAAGTAAACCAAGAATTGACCACTTTTACACCTCTGGCTTCTGATCCCAAATATTTCACTATGGGGTCTTTCACATTTCCAAAGATATTTCTACTCTAATGCCACATTTTCTTGTCCTGGATTACAAAAGTGATTTAAGGATTTTTATTAATAAGTTGTTTCACTCAAAAAACAAAACACTTTCTACTGTCCCTGAAAAACAGCAATAACAGGGTGATCTATATCATTTGTAAATTTACATTCTGAATCTAAATAAACCTGTTGAAACACTAGTTGAAAAAGAGAAAAAAAAAAAGTCAACAAGTTATTCATGCATAACAAGAACAAAGGTTAACAGGCCTTTTGAATTACAAAGTAAAGAATCTGCCTAAGACCTCATTGGGGGTGAGAACAGCAGGTAAACTTGGCTTTGGGAGATTGATTGGCTATGGCAGTAGTGCAAGGCCTGGCTACAACTCTGGCTCAGACTCCGGCTTTCTCTTCATCTTTCAAAGCTTCTTCGTAATGGGTTGGGAAGGCACAGGGGGTGGTACCATTTACCTTGGCCAAAAACTCCAGGACTTTCATCTTGCTGGTTTCAGCATAGGCTCTCGGACCCCACAGGAATTGAAAGCGTGGGGGATCACTGCTGGGCACCTGCTTGTACTCCAGATATTTTTCCTGCACCAGATCTTTGGTGATGAGCTTCCAGGGTTCCCCAAAGACTGAGTGCTCCTCTCCATCATAGACTCCCAACATATTCAGGAATTCCCAGATCTCTTCCTCAGTAGCTGAGTTGCCATTTAAGAAGATCACACCCAGGAGAGGCATCAGAAGCTTTCTCCTGGGAAAGTCCCAGGAACTGAGCAGGGATTCCTCATCAGTGAGGTCTACCTTGTCGATGAAGGTGTAAGTGTGGCCGTTGGGGTTGACTTTATTCAGCTCAAGGCCAAAGACAACACTGAGGCCCTCAGAGGCTTTCTTGAGGATCTCAGGGAAGTGCTCCCTGAACCTTTTGCCAACAATTTTCAGCATTTCTCCCTTTGTAACGGACTTTTTTATTTTATACTTGTACAACAGGAACTGCACCAACGACCCTGACTTCCTGGTTAGAGGATCTTCGCTTGGGCTCTTAGTGGATGTTGAGGCCTGGGAGGAACTTGCATTTTTCTCACCTTGGTGGCTCTTGGCACCTTTTTTAGATTTTGTGGATGAAACACCCGCAGCCGCAGCAGCGGCAGTGGTTGGGGCTCTCTGAGGCTCCTGGGGAATGCCAGCAGCAGGAGAGCTTGAAGCAGCACCCCCAGAAACAGAAGAGGAACAGCAGGGGGCCTCTTCTTCCTCTGCTTCAGTGACCTGAGGAACATTGAGACCCCGGGTCTCATCTCGGGCCTTGCGGCGTTTCTCACGGGCACGGAGCTTACTCTTCTGACCACGAGGCATGATGGCTGGGTAAACCAAGAAATGTGGGCAGAAGAATAGATGGTTAGTATACCTGGAGATGGGAGAATGAGATCTGTGAGCACCTTCAGCTGGAAGACCCCATCTTAGCTTTACTGAAGGAAGCCTGCCTTTGCAAGTTTCCCTGAAGGCACTGTTCTAGAAAGCCACAAGGCTCCTGTCGTCCTGGTTATCCTTTCCCCTGAGACACCAGAGAAGAACCACAGAACCCCTACAGTGAGTTTCAGACTGCATTCTGTCAGCCCTTCCTTGGGCTTACTATGGTGACAGGAGGTACTGGCAGTGCGGCCTCCTGTCTTCTGGTGTTTGGGGTTTTATCAGTTAACTTTTAGGATTATCATATGAAGTCTTGGCAGGGCCTGAGCCACTCCCTTCCGCTACTGTGAATTTGACACCTCAAAGCACCCTGGGACTCATGAGAAGAAATTGAAGGGGTGCCTCAACCACCACCCTGAGAAGTGACACCCAGTGCTGAGAGTTCAGTGGGGTCTTTGATGTCTTGGAATCATTAGAGTCTTCAGCTCTCATTCAAGGTCCCCACCTTGGCTTCATGTAGGGCTTGGCACCAGCCCCCTTCTGCTGAGTGGTGGCTACACCGTCAGACTAAGAATCTCACCTCTCTTAGATCTTATATAAAAAAGAGAGGGGGACACTAAACCTGATAACCCTTTCCTGAGCTTTCTAGGGCTGAAAATAAAGGGTTGGACTGGATTCTTTGATGTCTCCACTGTTAAGGGTTCAGTGGTTCCTTGAATTCTCAGATTCCTCAATTTGACTCCTGGTAGAGGAGCTCTCCTTTTTATTGAACTGAGGCCTATGTCGTCATGGTAAGAGTGAACATCCCTGAGAACCCATAGGAGGAAGTGAGGGTGGCCTTATCTGACCAAATGTGGTCTTCCCAAAAGTAAAAGCTGTGGCAGGCAGATAACTGCCCTGTGATAGATGGTCCCACATACAGTCCCAACTCAGCCTCTAAATTTGACTCATGAGAGGGTCTAAGATTCTTCCCTGATATGGTTTGGATCTGTATCCTCACCAAATCTCATGTCTAACTGTAATCCTCAATGTTGGAGGTGGAGCCTGGTGGGAGATGACTGGATCATGAGGGCAGGTTTTTCATGAATGGTTTAGCACCATTCCCCTTAACGATGACTTCTCATGAGATCTGGTCATTTAAAAGTGTGTAGCGCCTCCCCTGGCCTCTTGATCCTGCTCTGGCCATGTAACATGTCTGCTTCCCCTTCCCCTTCTGCCATGATTGTAAATTTCCTGAGCCCTGCTCCCAGAAGCTGAGCAAATGCCAGCATCATGCTTCCTGTACAGCCTGCAGAACTGTGAGCCAATTAAACCTCTTTTCTTTGTAAATTACCCAGTCTTGGGTATTTATAGTAATGCCAGAATGGACCAATTAGTACATTACTTCTGTTGACAAGTGATCACCACCCTCAGATTAAAACTCTCATTTCCCTGTTACCCTTGAGTGGGAACTGATGGGCACCTCTGTTTCACATTTCTGCCTGGGGTCTCTCAGAGCTGACAGTACTGAGGATTGTGTGGCTCCCACTAATATGGGGTGGGAGCCCCCTGCAGTCGTCAGAGTTCTTATCATAACATCTGGCACAACCTGGAAACCCTCCCTCTGCTGACCTCAAGCTGCCTTTTTTTTTTTTTTTTTTAAGAGACGGAGTCTCGCCCTTTCGCCTAGGCCGGACTGCAGTGGCTCTATCTCGGCTCACTGCAAACTCCGCCTCCCAGGTTCACACCATTCTCCTGCCTCAGCCTCCCGAGTAGCTGGGATTACAGGCGCCCGCCACCGCTCCCCGCTAATTTTTTTTTTGGTATTTTTAGTAGAGACAGGGTTTCACCGTGTTAGCCAGGATGGTCTCGATCTCCTGACCTCGTGATCCGCCTGTCTCGGCCTCCCAAAGTGCTGGGATTACAGGCGTGAGCCACCGCGCCCGGCCAGGCTGCCCTCTTTAATGGGGTCGTTCACTTCTCTGAGATGTCTTGGGGAGAGTGAGTACAACTCAACATGCCATGCTCAGGTCTCCCTGGTCTGACAACAAGAGTGGGCTCTATATGGCACTTCTTTCTGGTTGGAGTCCCCTCCTCATCACTCAGTGTCACATCCTTGCTTCCTGTTAGAGACTGGGCCTCTCTGTCGCATTAGACCTACCCCATTACACCAAGACCCTCACCTCCCTGAGACCACCTCCAGAGGAAACTAGAGAGCATCTCAGCTTGCTAGCTTTGCCCTGACCTTCCTATTGCTGGCAGCAGATGTGGGTCTTGGATGTAGCCCTCAACTTCTTTAGTCCCGGGAGAGGAAGTCAGGTTGCTCTGCATTTGTCATGTCAGCCTGGGACCATCTAAAACCCAGTGTCACCTCGGCCTGGGAACTGCCCAGCATGACTCCTCTTTTGGGTAGAGGTCCGCTCATTAATACTCAGAGTCCTCACCTTAACCCCAGTTAGGTTTTAGGTTGATGCCATATGAGCAGAAGCAGGGCTGCTTCCTAGGTTCAAGGCCCTCCCCTCCCTGAGACTTTCCAGGCACAGCTTTGCTGGGGCCTCCCAGAGCCGTCTTCAGGGACGAGACTTAGTGAGGCCACCTTTGTTAAGGGTAGGAGATGTTCTCTTCAGTCCACATTTAGGGCCCTCAAATTGATTTCAGTTAGGGCCTACACCCACCCTACGTGCAGAATGAGGCCTATTCCCTGCGTCCAAACCTCCTTCCCCCGCGACTGCCCCTCCCCCCACCCTTCCCCTGCCCTGGAACTTTCCAGGTGGAACATTGCCGGACGGCTTTACCGGAGCCTCTCAGGACCAAATGCAGAAGCGGGACTTAGTGGGGCCCTCTTTGTTACAGGTGGGGGTGGTCTCTTCAGTTTACACTCAGGGTCCTCACCTTGACTGCCGACCAGTCCTGAGAATTCACCCCTGGCTGACCAGACGCCGCACCCCCTACACTCGCTCGGGTCCTCGCCTCCAAAGCGGAAGTCAGGATGAGCCACATCCGCTCGGGTCTTTTTTTTCAAAGCGGAAGTCAGGATGACTCACATCCGGCAGCCCGTGGCGTCTGAGGGCTGACGGCTGGACGCTACCGGACGTCACTGTTCTAGCGTTGCTGGTCCCTTCGTCTCCACTAGGGGTCCTCACCTCAGTATCTAGCAGCCTGGGACGAATATGCGTGCTGACCCAAATCCGCCAGCCTCCAAACAATACCCCCACCTCCCTCAGCCCCCACTGTGGAAATCTAAGCGTGCCAAACAGGCCACCCCTGCCTGGGCCTCACAGGCCTGACAGCAGCGGCAGGGCTCTGTGAATGTGCCTTTTTTGGGGAGAGGTCTTCTCATCCGCCCTCAGAGTCCTCACCTTGATTCCCGTGAAAGCCAAGACTCTCTCTCTGCACAACTGGGGTCACCCTCTTCAGACAAAGGCCCTTCCTTCCCCGAGACTATACAGGTGGAATGAAGGGGATTCAGAGATACTTATTTTGGGGCCTCTCGGTGCTAACAATGGCGAGGGGCTCTGTTTGGCCCCCTCTGCTGGTGTTGCAAGGGGGAGAGCCCCCTCGTAACACTTAGGATCCTCACCTTGATTCCTGTTAGGGCGTGGGTTTTGTCTCTTTGACCTAGGGCCATTTCCACTAGTCCAAGGTCTTCACCTCTGTGAAACACACGAGGCATATTGATGGGATTTCTCCACCTCATAATTCTCTTCTGGGCTCCCCAAGGGTGACAGCATTGGTGGAATTTGTGGGCTCCTCTGTTCTGGGGTGGGTGGTTTTGAAACTGCCCCTATGAACTGTATAAAATTAATCAGGGAAGAGGGAAGGGAGATAAATGAAGATACGCCAAGCTTGCAGAACATTCAGCATTAATCATGAAGTCAGCTGCTCTCTGACCTGCTTCCTCATAGTAGTTTGGTGCCTATTATCCCAGAATCATGTAGATCCTGTTACTAGATTATAGTTGCCCTTAATTGCTCTATAGATAACAATTTTAACATAATGAAACTTTTTTTCTTTGAGATATTCCTTAAGGTCCTGCATACTGATGATTCTAATGACTCAGCTGGTCTGAAGGACCCCACTGATGCCAGCTGCTCTAAAGGACCCTACTGACATCAGCTGGTCCAAAAGACCCCACAGGAGCTGACTAAAAAAAAAAAAACGCAGTTTCCACATTCTGATGATTTCATCCCCTTTACCCCAACGAATCAACAACCTCAGTTCTCCAGCCCCTCGCCCTCCATGATCTCCTTGCAAATCCCAGCCCAGAACTCCTTGGGGAGATGAATTTGAGAGTCTCTTCTCATCTCCTCACTTGGCACCCTGCAATCATTAAACTCTTTGCTGCAAACTTTGCTGTTTTATTATAGTGGGTCTGTTACTTTGCAGCTGACACAGAAACTCGTTGGTCCTATAACAGTTCTCTTATTTCTCTTCAGGGTCCTCACCATGACACCTGGCCAGTCTTGGGGCACTCCATCCTCCACTGACCTGAGGCTGTTCCCATCAGATCAAGGTACTCACCCTCTGCCGACCTCTGAACTGGAAGTTGTGGTGAGCTACATTTAGCCAGGGCTGTTCTGGACTTTGAAGGGCTGACAGCCTGAGCTGGACTTTTTGGGACCCCACAGTTCTGGCTGGGTCCTTCCATCATCTTCATTCAGGGTCCTCACGTTCATATCTATCAGAGGCTGAACTGCATCTACTGACATGAAGTTGACCTTCTTAGGCCATGTCCATGAGAGGTCTGAAGATTAAATGAGTGGATGCTCAGCCTGACAGTTCTGTCTCGAGCTCTCTAGGTCTGAGAGCAGATGAGAGTCAGTCTATGCATAACCTCATATATTCTGAGATATTGGTTTCCCATGTCCTCTGAACTGGGGATCATCTTTCATTAAAGGCTTTCTGGGAAATGTCACATCCCTGCAAACATGACCAGTTTTTCTACTGCAAACCTTGCAGAGAAGGAGCCGTGTTCCGGGAGTGATGTGAGATAGGGAAGCTGAAGCACAAGGCAGAAGCTCCAGGACAGGTAGTGGGCTGTCAGAGAAAAAAACATGCTGATTTTTTCCATCTTGCTAGACTTAGATTCTCACGAAAATTCTGTTCTGACACATTTATTTTCTACAGGGAAGAGACTGTCCAGGATGATTTTGGGAGCTTCTGATCTTTTGAGATTACCTGATATTGCTTGTGTAGATGAACGTATTGACACCAGGTACTATTTTTCTTTTTTTTATTTATGCCTCTCATTTATTTTGGCATTCATATTGGTCTGGGAATATATTTGACCCAGTAGTATGGGCACAGAGTCCTTCTTTTTATTGCCTGAGATACATTTTTCAAAAATAGAGAGAAAAAATGAATGAAGCAACATGAGGTTAGCCTCAGAATGGGAAGACTGGAACAGTGTGGGATGTAGATTAATCCAGACTGGGGGTCTGGTTTCAGCCCTGCCACTTACCAGCTATGTGAACTCAGGCACATTACTAAACTCTGTGAGCCTCAGGCTCTGCATCTGTGAAATAGGTTTGATAAGCCCCTTCCTTGTGGAATTGGTGAAATGTGGTTAATGTATGTAAAGCACCTGGCACAATACTTGGCCCATATTGAGGTTTCAACATGGCAGCTATTACCTATGATTAACTTGATGATACCACCCATCCCACTGTGATTGCTTTTTCTTAATCCAACAGATGTCAGAGAATATGCAGCATTCTAGAAGAAAGAAAACCCAATAAGCCAAAATGCAGATTAGCACGAAAAATCAAGTAATATTTCCCCATTAAATGATAAATTATTCAATGTGAGGTAGACTTCTCCAGTTAGGTGCAACACAACGCATTTGCGTCAAGGACTAACAACTTCCTTCCCTCCCAGTGTCACTTCCATCTAAATCACCTTTATTTTCATTAATTTAACAAGCACCAAACACCTAGAACTTGCCTAGAGCTTGCCAAATTATGTACATGATAGCCTAATTTGAATGCTCCTTTTAATGAAATTGACTCTTAACTCTTCCAGCCCAGTGCAGAGTACCCAGCGGCTTCTTATCATTTCTTCTTAAGGGAGTATCATCCTTATTTCTCCGAAGCTCACTGGATACAATGTATATAAAGCAGCTAGTTTCTGCACTGTGTTCATCTGCACTGGGACAAGAGCATAGTCACTTTCCAGTGCTGCCCCTGGTGGAGCTTCTTTCCAGTTTTCTCCAAAGTTAAGAGCACTTTTCCATTATAGGCTTAGTCTCTCAACTCTGAAGCTTACCATCTGAGGGTCTTGCCCTGCTCACCACTCCCACAGCCTCCTCCAGTCCAGCATGCAGCCTCACTTAAAATTACCTCCCAGTGAGGGACCTGCAGTTTCCCAAGGCCCTAGCTTTCTTTTTCTCAGAGCATTTACACTACACACTCTCATCTGGAACCCTTCCCACTTTCTTACCTGCCTCCATCTTTTTTAACCTTGTCCTTTGGATCTGAGAGATACTTTCACCATGTATTTGTATGATAGCTGCTCCTAACGACTAAAATTCTTTGGACAATGGGTAAAACTTTCTTTTTTTATTTCTTCTCATCTCCTTCATCTCCAGTACTAACATTGAGCCTTCCAAAGAGCAGAGAATTGATTAATATTTAGGGAATAAAAGAGCCAATGAACAAGAGTACTAAATGAGTACAATTTAATTTATCTTACATTTTTGAAAAAGCCAAACAAATCCAGCTATATATCTTTTAATTTTTTAAAAAGAAAGGCTAAAAGGAATAAGGCAAATCAAGAATTGAACACATCTCACCTTTTTTTTTTTATTTCATGATTTTAACTATTTGAGTGTGGAGTTATTTCACATTTCCAAGAAAATACCTATTCTGATGCTATGTTATTTTGTGTGGATCACAGGGGGAAAAATCAAGGATTTTAACTTTTTTTTTTTTAACTAAAAACTCTCATTTTTTAAATTATTTATTTTTCTTTTACTTTAAGTTTTGCTATACTTGTGCAGATACATGTACAGGTTTGTTATATAGGTATACATGTGCCATGGTGGTTTGCTGCACCTATTAACCCGTCATCTAGGTTTTAAGCCCCACATGCATTAGGTATTTGTCCTAATGCTCTACCTCCCCTTCCCCCCTCCCCCGACAGTCCCTGGTGTGTGATATTCCCCTCCCTGTGTCCATGTGTTCTTATTGTTCACCTCCCGCTTATGAGTGAGAACATGCGGTGCCAAAACTCTCATTCTTAAACCTGATAAACAACAATAAATGTATGACCTGTGCTATTCAAAATCTTAGATTCTTAAGTTAAATAAATCATCTATTAAAAAGAACAACATTTGAAGAATACCAATATATAAACAAATCTATAAGTTACCCATAAAAGCAAGAAGACAAAGGAGATATTCATTGTGTACCGTGTTTCCTTATCCTAACCCTCTACTATTGAGAACATTCACTGCCCACTTCAAACTCAAAGTGAAAAATTTGTTTCAGTCTTTACTAGGCATGGGAGAAGCTGCTGAACATAGCCCTGGAATGTTGCTTGGCTGTGGCAGTAGTGCCAGCCCTGGCTTCAACTCTGGCTTGAGCTCTGTCCTTCTTCATGTCTCAAAGCCTCTCCATACCTGGATGGCAAGGCACTGGGATGGTATTCTGAATCAATGAAAATGACTGAGGCATGTCTCAATCATTTAAGGAGGTTTATTTGCCAAAGTTAAGGATTCATGCCCAGGAGACAGGTCTATGCCTTTCTCCAAAAGTGATTTTGAGGGCTTCGGTATTTAAAGAGGAAAAGGGGGAGATATTGGGGGAAGAGGAAGAAATATTTTTAAAATGTGTTGGTAGATAAGAGACAAACAAAAGTTGGCATCCTTTTGAGTCTTTGATTAGCCTTTCACTGAATACACAATTTTCCTGTGCAAGGGTGGGTAGAGGAAATATTCACTTATGCCTTCATCTGGCTCAGTGACTCTGCATTTATACATAAGATAACATAAACAATAGGGCAAAAGAAGCAATCAGATATGCATTTGTTTCAGGTGAGTAGAGGGATGACTTTGAGTTCTGTCTTCTGTCCCACACCTATGAAGATAAGCTATGAATTTACATTGCCAGGGTGAAATTCAACAGAACTACTTTAGGGTAAAGATCTTGGGGCCCACAAGGGATATCCCTGTGGCCAAATTGTGAGGGAGGTATGTAGTTTTTTTTATCTTTCTAGCTATCTTATTTAGGAACCAAATGGGAGACAGGTTTGCTTGACCCAGTTCCCAGCTTTTCCCTTTGGCTTAGTGAGTTTGGGGTCCCAAGATTTATGTTCCTTTCACAGTATCATTAACCTTGACTCAAAATTTCTATGACTTTCATTTTTCTGGTTTCAGGGTGGGCTCTCAGACCCCATAGGAATTCATAGTGGGAAGAATCACTATGGGGCATCTGCTGGCAGTCCAGCTACCTTTCATGCGTCAGATCTCTGGTGATGACCTTCCTGGGATCCCCAGAGATGAAGTACTTCTTCCCGTAATATATACCCTTTATTTTCAGCTCTTCCAAGATTATCTCCTCATTGGTTCAATTGCCTTTTGTAAATATCAGGCCTAGGACAGTCATCAGGAGGCTGGTCTTGGACATGCCCTTTTCATATCTCAACCTCTCATCATAGGTGAGGTCCAGTTTTCTGACAAGGGCATAAGAGTGGTCTACTTCTTTTACTTCAACCCCAAAGACAGGCTGCATACACTCAGAGGCTCTCCGGCTCTCCTCAGGACCTCAGGAAGTGCTCCTTGTGCTCTTTTATGGCATTTTTCAGTATGTCTGCTTTTGTGATGGGCTTTTTCATTTGATAACTGAGCAACAGGGAATTCATCATAAAAACCGCTTTCTAGTATAGAGGGTGCCTGGGCAAATTCTCAGTGTCTGGCAAAGGCTGCAAGATTCTCTGACTTTCCTCCTCTTCTTGACCTCTGAGTACTCATCTGATACCCTTGATGAAGTTGGACACTTTTGGCTTTGGATCTCCTTGTAGGCCTGGAGGCATTGCTCACATGTACAGTGCTGATGCTTCTGGCATGGAGGCATGCTATTTCTTGGTGGTATGTTAGGCAGGCATGTTGGTAGGAAGTATGCCAATGGGGGACCACAACCTAAGGAAGAGAAGGAAGATGTGGGTGTCTTCAGCTGGTAAACTCAACATTGTTAGCTCTGACAAAGGCCACTTACACTAGGCTTTTCCTAAGGGCAGTGCCCTCGGGCCTCACATGTCTCCTGTCCTGTCTTGTAAGCACTTGAAGAAGGAACTGAGAAGGCTCTTTACAGTACAGCCAGCCAGCAGCCTACCCAGGGCTCACAGTAGGACAGGCAGATGTGGACTCTATGAGGATGCCTCTGTATTATGATGGGTGACCCCTTCAGTCCCCACTTAGGGTCCTCACTGTGCCTCTGGGTAGGTCTCAGGATACTCCCTCTACTGACTTGAGGTTATCTCACCTCAGACCCAGGCCATCACTTCTCTGGGGCCCCCTAGGAGGAAGTGAGAGGGTATCTCATATGACCACTCCCATCTGGGTCCCCCCAGAGTTTATAGCAGGGTCATGACTCTTTAGGGCATCCTCTGTTGTGGGGTGGGTGGTCCCCTTGCCCCTCATTATGAGTCTTACTCCTGACAGAGTCTGGAATGTATCCTTTTGCTGAACTCGGGTCCTTCAGACAGAGGACCTTACTTCCTTGAATACCCTGAGGAGAAAATAATACAGGGCAAAGAAATTCAGGGCCTGTTTTCTGTATACAGGGTGCCTGGCAAACCTACCTGAGAAATCTTAGCTTGAAACTCTGCTTGGGCCAGGCACAGTGGCTACGCCTGTAATCCCAGCACTTTGGGAGGCCAAGGCAGGTGGATCACCTGAGGTCGGGAGTTTGAGACCAGCCTGGCCAACATGGTGAAACCCCATCTCTACTAAAAATACAGCAAATTAGCCAGGCATGGTAGCAGGCACCTGTAATCCCAGCTACTCAGGAGGCTGAGGCAGGAGGATTGCTTGAACCCAGGAGGCAGAGGTTGCAGTGAGCCGAGGTTGCACCATTGCACTCCAGCAATGAGAGCAAAACTAAGTCTCAAAAACAAACAAAAAAAAACCCTGCTTGGGCCTTCCAATTGTCATAGCAGGGGCAGAGCAGGACACTGAGGTCTCTCTCTTCCGGAGTTATATTACTCCCAGTTAATATAGAAGGCTCAAACACATCAAGAAATCATGGTACTCTGAGACAAGCAAGCTTGAAGACCTGCCAGGGAATGGGGGAAGGAGTGATGGCAATGAATATCTCTGGCTAAGACATTGTTCCTGGGAATCAAATATACCTCCCAATCAGTGCTAGAATGATGTTTACATCAGCATTTCCAAAAATAGGACCTGTGGAATAATATTAGGCACTAATAAAAATGTGAAATCATTTTAGAGTAAGCTGCCTTAAACAAAGTTGAATAGGTTTTAGTTTCTGATTTTGTTTTGACTGCAAGACTTCCCAGGACCCTCAATATGCCAATATGCACTGGAAAACTCCAAAAGGGATGATATAGGATGATGAGTTTCCTAAACCTATTTAACCAAGAAAGCATGCCACACCCCCCCGCCCCGCCCACCTTTTTTTTCACATTAGATCTTAAGACGTCAAAACAGAACACTTTGTGGATGGTCCTGGAAGATCCTCAGCTTATGTTTTTCTGAATGTTTTCAGTGAAAGTGTGGTGGCCCTTGGAGGAAACCAGAATGAAGACCAGGGGCATTTTCAAAACAAAATGCCTGCTTTAGTGCCTGTAAAGATGATATCCAAAGTGCAACAGCATCTCCTTAATAAGTGACATGAAATATCAGCTCTTTAGGTGTTTTTCCAAAAATCCAATTTAGAGTCAACAGGGTTCAACCACATTCAAACCTTGCGTGAAGTGCCTGATCATTGAGAGACACAGTCAAAAGGTTATGTTAAATATATGTCACCCTAGATTTCCCCCAAAAATGATACTGTATTTGGGCTACTGAAAGGAAATTAGATTTGTATTTTCTCAGCCCCCAAACCTCCAAGGGGGTAAATAGGCTAGTGCTAGCCAAACTATGGGGGATCCAATAAAAAAGAGTATGTGTATGGCCAGGTTTTCAGCCCTAGAGGAGAATGAGAATCTTTGAAAACCACGCAGGAAAAACTATATCTTATGAACTGGCTTTCCATAGTGGAAGTGGCAAGGAACTGTGTTAATGAGGAGGCTACTCAAGTGCCTGCATTTCATCCAAGTGTTACAGGATACTGCGTGTTTCAAAATACCTAGTTCTGGGACCTCTGGATATTGGGAATGAAGTGATTGAGATTCTTTCTGCTATTCTTCTAATAGTTAGTTCAGAAACTGGAGCAGGCCATGTTTCTGCAGAGGTCACACATAGTAGATCCATCTGGGACAGACAAAGATAGGGAATGGAGACAGGGACTCCCAGCAATGACCCAAAGATGCCTGTAGAAGCCCAGAGGGATACAGTTCAAAATACATCCATTTCTCTCTTCATAGTTCAAATAAATTTGAAAATGAAAGCTATTTACAAGGCAAAACTATGACACAAACCAAGCCTTTATCTTGTGGTTTGAACTTAATTAGAAGTGTGTTTATCTGGTCAAGTTACTTTCTTAAATGCTGTATTTTAAAGCATTATCAAATACAAGGAAAATGAGGTGATGACTCAAGATGGCTGACATTTAAAACAACAGCATATGAGTAATATATTTAAAGCTATATTTATTGCGTCTCCTGGGTAATTTTAGTATTCATTAGTGTCTACATCTCCCAGTGGAACAAAACTCATGAATGTCATTAATACATTGTTTTAGTCATGTTCTACCTAATTAATAAACATATTAAATATAACAATTTCTGAAACCCATGCCTCTGGCGTATATTTTGGCAATGCCTCTTCAATGGGCTTTTAATATTTTAATATTTCCCTCTATGATATTTGGATGTGTATACAGTTTTAAAATGTTATAAAATTATTCATCAGAGAATTGGAGCAGGGCTTTGAGACATTGCTAGAAGTGTTTTCAGTTGAAAACAGATAGTAGCCAGTGATAGTGACAGAAAATTTGAGTTTTATGATTGTATGCAACCACATACCATTCTTTCATTATAGAGCAAGAAACCCAGAATGTAATAAAAACATCTCACTCAATGTTTAAGCAGATTTTCGTTTTTCAAAGTGACAGTTTTGCTTTACAGAATCATTCTTATATTTCTTCCAACTGGTATTTCTATTTCATAATAAAAGCCTCTTCAAAAATGTTAATGTTCGTTGTTTAAAATGATCATTGAAGAGAGGTGGGAAATTAAGAAAAGCACAAACAAAATCAACAAAAATAACAATATAATCCCCACCATTCAGAGACATCCGTTGCTATAAAATTGTTTTTTTTTTAATTTTTGATGATTTGTTATTTTTTTTGTTTGTTATTAGGCAATTTTGGAAGACTGAAAAATAAAAAAAAACCTCAGCTTGGTGTACTCAAATCATCTAGTGAACAATGACAGAATCCTACCTCCTAGTTATTTCTTTTCAGTTTGCCGGTGGGTAAAGAAATTCAGCCCCAAGAAAAGAATGCTGCTTTTAAAATTATTCCTTCCTGCTTTTCTTCATCCAATGAATATACACTGCTTTGATTACAGTAGGGCTTTGCTTAAGCTGTTGACAATGATTTTTCTTTTAAGAAAAAACCCTAGGGAGAAAATAGCCAAAAAATTACATGAAATATTCAAAGACCAAGAATAAAGGAAACAAAAAATCCACCATCAGAATTTGAACTTCAGTCTTTGTCAGTGGTTGACTGAGATCATCTAATGTAGGATGAAATTTGTCTCCAAACTTTAATATCTATTAAGCACACAATGGCCAGGTGGCCTATATATGTTATATATTTACTTAATATGTTGGATTTGATGTGACATTTCTGACTGAAAGCTAAAGGCCTAAATCTAGTTTTGTGATCTACAGAGATGGATGCTTAAACTGTGGATTATATCAAATGTTTACTGAAGTCTAAGGCTTCTCTGGCTTTAAGTTCCTGATTGATGTTAGCTATCTGAAAAACAAAATGTAGTCCAAACTAGGAGTAAAAAAACACTGTTTATTTAATGATAAGAACCACTGAGTATCCAAAATCCAGAATAATATCAGATGATTGACAAAATGCATAAAAGATTAAAATATAAATTAATAAATAGGTATTGAAATGAAAGGAGTTCTGTTTTATAGTGTAATACAAAGATCTTTGTTAAATTCAGGGTCCATTCCCATGTTGGGAGTACGGATTATGCTCCAGAAAGAGTCACACAAATGGTGGAGGGAAAATATCTACTTGTATGTGTGTTGGAGGGAATGGGGTGGGAAATGGGAGAATTGGAATTGGACAAAACGGTGGGGAGCTGGAGAAGTGGTGGATTCTTTTCTGTCTCTCAGCAATAGATAACAGGACTTGTGAGTTCTTAAAAAGCAGCAGGTTCTACCCACTCTGGTAATAAAAATTACTTCAGAAGTTTATTAAGAATACGGATTTCCAGGCCCATTTCAACCCCTGAATCAAGAGAAGCCTTAAAATCTAGATTTTTAGAAAGAAGCCTCAGGTGATTCTGATAAGAAGCCAAATTTGGAGCCAAACTGTTACTCACACTGATGTCTTGTTAGCACTTCATTAACAAGTGTTAAACACTTGGAAACTGAGGTTCCCCTAGAATATAAAAAAGTGTTTTCTGATTAAATTCAAACATGTTAATAAGAAGTCCATAGATATCCTGACACTGTTATTAAAATTTTTAGTGATCATTTTCAACTGCAGAGCTTTTCTTCAGGAATGACCATTTTTAGCTGGCTATGGACATCTATTAAAATTCGTATCTCAAACTGTCCAAATAGTGTCAGGGTGAATAAAATTAAGACTGGCTTAAAATGTTAGTTGAAACCTGCTAAGGCATTGTTAATATTTAGAATTTTTTGGTAGGTCAGAATAAAAACAGGTTTTGGGTCACATATAACATTCTTTATTCATTCATTTTCTAAGACATCTCCCTATATTTATTAAACTCTTTCCACTTTTATACTTATAAATAAGTTTCTTTATAGCTTTAATTGCAGTTTAAAGCAGTGCATGCAGGTTATGTGTAAAAGTTACATTTTAAGTCGTTACTTAATCATTCAATACATATTTTTCATCTCTTTTTGAATAAATTTCCAAGAGAAGGAGCACAGACTTTTAGTTCCCTAATATCCAGAGCATTCAAAATAGTATTTTAAGTGTGGAAGACCCTCAATAATGACTTACTCAATGGATTTTTAAAAACATTAAATTTTCTTAAGAAAAGTATACACAGGTGTACCCATGCTGTTCAACACAATAGCTACTAGCCATATTTGAATATTTAAATTTAAATGAGGGCCCAGAGCAGTGGCTCACGCCTGTAATCCCAGCATTTTGGGAGGCCAAGGTGGGTGGATTCCTGAGCTCAGGAGTTTGAGACCAGCCTGGGCAACATGGTGAATCCCCATCTCTACTAAAATACAAAAAATTAGCCAGGTGTGGTGGTGTGCACCTGTAATCCCAGCTACTTGGGAGGGCGAGGCAGTAGAATCGTTTGAACCCGGGAGGTGGAGGTTGCAGTGAGTCGAGATTGTACCACTGCACTCCAGCGTGGATGACAGAGCAAGACTCCATCTCAAAAAAAAAAAAAAAGTAAATGAATAAAAGTTAAATAAAATTAAAAATTCAATGCTTTAGTTGTACCACACACATTAGAAGTGTTCAATAGTCATATGTGGCTCTTATGTTGTACAGCACAGATATAGAAAATGTCCATTAGTGCAGAAAATTCTATTGGACAGTGCAGAAAATTCTATTGGACAGTGCAGAAAATTCTCTTGGACAGTGCTGATCTATACAAATCATTCCTCCCTCCCTTCTTGCCTCCCTTCCTTCTTTCCTTCCTCCCTTCTTTCCTCCAATTATTTACCATTCTTTTAATAAGTACATATTGGATTCCTTCTGACGAGCCAGACTATTTATGTTATAGATATACTAGTGTACAAAAAGCATAATTATCTTGCCCTTTAAGGAGCTGACTGTCTGGCTAATAAGCTATTTAGTATGTACATATCACAATGACTGCATAGTGTATTTTAATAAAAAGTCTTAATTAAATGCTTTGAATATATGGGCAATTTATTAATGTTAACTATACCAATGTTTTCAATAAACTATGATGTAACTCTCCATTTTATAAATGAGAATACTAAGGTACAGAAAAGTTCTGACTTATCAGTACCTAGGCCATACTGCCACACTGACTGATAAATATATGGACTATCACTCCTAGAAAAAGGTGCCTCAGAATATGGAGCACATGTAAAGGGTTTTGTTTTTGTTCATCTTCATTCAACATTCATCTAAACATTTATTAAATTAACACTATATGTTAGTAAAGCAATGAACATATTATAAAAATATCCGAGTCCTATTACCAATAAGTTTATATGCTGCTGGGAAAATAAGACATAGATAATAATGGTACAAAGTAATAAATTCTTTATTGTAAATGTTGATGAAAAGAGTCAAACTCTGTAAAATATCTTAAGAGATTTATTCTGAGCCAAATATGAGTGACCATGGCCCGTGACACAGCCCTCAGGAGGTCCTGAGAACATGTGTCCAAGGTGGTTGGGGTATGGCTTGGTTTTATTTATTTTAGGGAGGCATGAGACATCAATCAAATACATTTAAGAAATACATTGGTTTGGTTCAGAAAGGCGGGACAACTCAAAGAGCGGGTGGGGATGCTTCCAGGCTATAGGTAAATTTAAACATTTTCTGGTTGACAGTTGGTTGAGTTTATCTGAAGGCCTGGGATCAATAGAAAGGAAATGTTCAGGTTAAGATAAAAGATTGCAGAGACCAAGTTTTATTGTGCAGAGGAAGCTCTCAAATAGCAGACTTCAGAGAGAAAAGGTTGTAAAATGTTTCTTATAGGACCTAAAAGGGTGCCTGGCTCTTAGTTGATTATCTCCTGGATCTGGAAAGGAAGGAAGGAAAACAAAGGGGAAAGGGGATTCTCTGTGGAATGTGGATTTTTCCCACAAGGGAAGGCTTTGCAGCGCCATTTCAAGATATGACAGAAAAACATGTTTTCGGGTAAAATGTTGTGATTTTCTTCCTTGTTATGCCAGAGTCAGATTGGAAAGTAAGTCATGATATACAGGGTTAAATAAAACCCATCTGATGAGAATTTATGGTTTGTAGGGCATGACTCCCCAGACCCCTTAGATAGGAATTTGGGCAAGATAAAAAAAAATCAGAGCCTAGTCCTCACAAATAAGTATAAGAACAAGTGGGTGCAGGGAGATATCTCAGACTGTCTGGGGTGATTAGGAAAATTTTCAATGAGGAGGTGTCACTTGGTCTTGGAAAAAAAGGCAAGAAGGCCTTTCCTAGAGGATAGGACAACAAAGGGAGACAGATCAGAAACACCTTGGCAGATTCTGAAAGATGCCACAAAGTCAAAGGTCAATCCTCTTTGCTGGTTACAATGAAGATGATTCTGCTACCAAATCCTTAATTATGCATGGCTTGCAGTCCTGGAGACTACTTTAGACATGTGGTTTTTTTTCCTTATATGGGAACTATTACCTTTATATTTATTTATTTTTAATTAATATACTTTCTTTCATTTTATTTTTTTTTTTGAGATGGAGTTTCGCTCTTGTTGCCCAGGCTAGAGTGCAGTGGTGCGATCTTGGCTCACCACAACCTTCACCTCCCAGGTTCAAGTGATTCTCCTGCCTCAGCCTCCTGAGTAGCTGGGATTGCAGGCATGTGCAACCACGCCCAGCTAAATTTTTTTTGTATTTTTAGTAGAGACGGGGTTTCTCCATGTTGGTCAGACTGGTCTCGAACTCCCGACCTCAGGTGATCCGCCTGCCTCAGCCTCCCAAAGTGCTGGAATTACAGGTGTAAGCCCCCGCGCCAGGCCAGTATACTTTATTTCTTAGAGAGCTTTTAGATTTACAGAGAAATTGAGCAGAAAGTACAAAGAGTTCCTATATAAGGAATTCCCAACAGTTTCCCCTATTATTAACATCTTGCATGGATGTGCTATGTTTATTACAATTGATGAACTAATATTGATATATTACATTTAATTAAAGTTCATAGTTTACATAAGAAAACATCTTTGTGTTATACAGTTCTATCGGTTTTACCAAAGGCATAATGACATGTATCCACAACCACAGTATCATACAGAATAGTTTCACTGCCCAAAAAGTGTCCCCTCTGCCTATTCATCCCTCCCCTCTATTTCTAATTTACTGAGCATTTTTATCATGAATGGGTGTTGGATTTTGTCAGCTGCTTTTTCTGCATCTATTGATATGTTCGAATGATATTTTTGTCTTTATACTGTTGGTATAATGAATTGCATTAATTGATTATCAACTAGCCTTGTATATCTGGAATAAATCCCACTAGGTCAAGGTGTATACTTTTTTATTTTTTATTTATTTATTTTTTTGAGACAGAGTCTCCCTCTGTCACCCAAGCTAGAGTGCAGTGGCGCAATCTCAGCTCACTGAAACCTCTGCCTCCCGGGTTCAAGCGATTCTCCTGCCTCAGCTTCCCAAGTAGCTGGGACTACAGGTATACACCATCATGCCTGGCTAATTTTTTGTATTTTTAGTAGAGACGGGGTTTTGCCATGTTGGCTAGCCTGGTCTTGAACTCCTGACCTCAGGTGATCCCCGCCTTGGTCTCCCAAAGTGCTGGGATTACAAGCGTAAGCCACTGCGCCTTGCCAAGTTGTGTAATTTTTTAAATGTATTGTTGGATTTGATTTGCTAATATTTCGCTGAGGATTTTTGCACCTACATTCATGAGACATACTGGTCAGTTTTTCTTTCTTGCAATGTCTGCCTGCTTTTGTTTTAGGGTAATGCTAGCTTATAGAATGAGTTAGGAGTTAGGAGGTATTCACTCTGCTTCTATTTTTTGGAAGAGATTGTAGAAAACTACTATCATCTGTTCCTTGGATGTTTGGTCAAAGTCACTAGTGAAGCCATCTGCAGACTGGTGCTTTATGTTTGGAAGTTTATTAATTGATTTACTCTCTTTGGTAGATAATAGGCTTATTCATATTTTGTGGGCATAAAATTGTTCAAAATATTCTTTTATTATCCTTTTCATGTCCATGTGAACAGTAGTGATCCTTCTTTCATTTCTGATATTAGGATATTAGGACTTTGTGTCTTCTCTGTTGTGTGTGTGTGTGTGTGTGTGTGTGTGTGTGTGTGTGTGTGTGTTTTGGTTAGCCTGGCTAGAGGTTTGTCAGTTTCAAAGTAAAAGCTTTTGGTTTCATTGGTTCTCTCTATTGTTTTCCTGTTTTAATTTTAATAATTTCTGCTCTGAGTTTTATTATTTGTTTATTTTCTTATTCTTACTTTGGATTTAATTTGCTCTTCTTTTTCTAGTTCCCTAAGGTAGAAGCTTAGATTTTTGATTTTAGATTATTACTCTTTTCTAATGTATGCATTCAGTGCTATACATTTCCCTCTAAGCACTGCTTCTGTTGTATTCCACTAATTTTGATAGGTTTTACTTTTGTTTCCATTTAATTAAAATAATTTTTTAAAATGTCTCTTGAGATGTTTCATTTGACCCATGTGTTATTTAGAAGTATGTTGTTTCATCTCTAAATATTTTAGGATTTTCCCAGTTATTTTTCTGTTAGTGATTTCTATTTTAATTGTAGTATAACAGCACTGTGGTGTGACAACATACTTTTTATGATGTTGATTTGTTTAAATTTGTTAAGGGTTATTTTGTGGCCCAGAATATGGTCTATATTGGTGAGTGTTGCATTTGAGCTTGAGAATATGTATTCTGCTGTTGTTGGATCGATTATTCTGTAGATGTCAATTAGAGCCAATGGATTGATTGATTGAGTTCAATCACAGCCTTACTAATTTCCTGCCTACTGGATCTCCTAATTACCGATAGAGGGCTGTTAAAATTTCCAGTTATAATAGTGGACTTATCTATTTTTCCTTTCATTCCATTTTTTTTTTGCAAGAGGTTTTCAGATGCAGCCGTTCTTTCTATTTAGGCTTAACTTTGCATTATATTTACTACTTTCTATATTCTCTAATGTGCTGTTGATTAACTTTAAGTCTGATACTGTTGAGCTCTAGGCTGTCAGCCAGTTGCACAGTTTTTTGAAGAATATATTTTTACTTTCAAGCCATGCTGAATTACCTTGAAAATCCTCAAAAAACTCAGGAATTAACAGCATCAACTGTCTCTGGCATTGGGACAAAGGGTGGAGCCTCTGACTTTCCAATCAGTTTTTTAGTTCCTTTAGTCTTAATCATGACCAGACAACCAAGATTCAATGGAAGTATGAAAATTGTTTACATTTGAAATTATAATTCTCTCATTCTGGCATGGAATGGAAAACCATTTTTTAGCCTCATCTTCTCTACCCCATTGTGTAAACAGTTTTTACAACGTGGCAAGAGATCCTTGCTATAGACTGAATGTGTTCACCTCAAATTTATATTTGTTGAGAAGTTTCAGCTCGGTGGGATCAAAGATAAAATGGCTGCAGTGCTTCCAACTACTGTCTTCTCTCAGACTGTTAGATCTTCCTTTTCCAGTCCAGCAATATGATCCGGTGAAGATTTCATAGCTTTGTGGCCACTTTTGGCTATTAAAGTTTAGTTCAAATTAAAGCCTTAATTTCAAAGTTGTTTTTAATCTCATCTCTTTTCTTATCCTCAAGTCATGCTTGAGAGGTAGCCCTGACTGTTGTTATGTTGGAGCTGGGGGATATGAGGTGGGGTCTGACTCTGAGACACCCCTTTCCCCTCTCTCTATTTATTTATTTGTTTATTTATTTTGAGATGGAGTTTTGCTCTTGTTGCCCAGGCTGGAGTGCAATGGTGCCATCTTGGTTCACTGCAACCTCCGCCTCCCGGGTTCAAGCGATTCTCCTGCCTCAGCCTCCCAAGTATCTGGGATTACAGACATGCACCACCACGCCTGGCTAGTTTTTTGTATTTTTAGTAGAGATGGGGTTTCCCCATGTTGGTCAGGCTGGTCTTGAACTCCTGACCTCAGGTGATCCACCTGCCTCGGCCTCCCAAAGTGCTGGGATTACACTGCGCCCAGCCTCCCCCTCTCTCTTTAAAGCCTCACCCTCTATCTGATATGTTCCTGTTGCTCTGACTAATACTGACAGGCTGAAGATGCCCTGGGTGTGACAGTGGCCACACTGATCTACTCATTAGACACACATGTAGGTCCTTTGGGAGTCTTTAAGAAACCTTTCTACTATGCTTTTCCCTACTAGAAGAGGCACCCATGTAGCAGAACATCCTATAGCCTCTTGCTGTTGAGGTGCGCTCATCTAGCAGCCAGCCACCTTGATTGGGCTATGGGTAAAATTCCTCTAGTCAGGTAATCGCAGCAGTTCCCCCTGGAAACTCACACATTTTTTGCATGTTAAATAAATATTGGAGGGAGAAAGGTGTGGGAGAAAAAGAACAAAGGAAGGAATAATAAGAACTAATTAAGCAGTTGGATTTTTCCACCTTTAAGCAGATCTTATAGCACTTGGCAGTAGTAATAAAGGTGTCTTAGCAGCTTGACTGCTAAATCTCAATTGTGCTTAAACTTCCTATTCTTTTCTACTGTATCAATAGACATTAGAATAAAAAGTTTTTAAAATCAAGTTTACAGCCTATTTATTTTTTCCTAATTGATTCAACTATTTACTAAGTATGTCTAGCCACCATGAGAAATACAGTGAAGTATAAAGCATAATCTCACCTACCAGGAGTTTAAATTTTGTCTTTTTCTTTCTTGATTTGTTTTGTTTTTACCCCGATAGCAAAATAAAGGACACCGTATTAGTTGAGGTTCTCCAGAGAAACAGAATCAATAAGAGAGAGAGAGAGAAAGAGAGGATTTGTTAAGGGAATTGGCTCACAAAATTAGGGAGGCTGAAAAGTCTCAAGTTATGCCCCCAGCAAGCTGGAGAACCAGGAAAACAGGTGGTGTAATTCAGCTCCAGGAGGGGTGCGGGGTGGGGCCCGCTGGTATAAATCCGAGTCTGAAGGCTCTAGCACCTGGAACTTTAATGTCCAAGGGCAGGAGAAGATGGATGTCTCAACTCCAGAAGAGAAACAAATTGCCCTTCCTCTGCCTTTTTTGTTCTATGCAGGCTTTCAAGAGATTGGATGGTGCCTGCTCACATTGCTAAGGGTGGTTCTTCTTTTCCTAATCTAGGAATTCAAATGCTAATCTCTTCTAGAAGTACCCTCACAGATGCACCCAGAAGTAATGTCTTCTCAGCTATGTGGGTTTCCCTGACCCCAGTCAAGCTGACACATAAAATTAAGTATCACAGACACCAATGAGCCTAATCTCATTATGTGTTATTATCCACCCCCTGATTGCTGTTACTGTTCTTCTCACTCCTACTATTAAGAAAATGCAAGAATAACTTCTGACATGTTAGCATGAGTTGTAAATACTGAATCAGACCTCCAGAAAGGTTTTATTTTGAGTCCATTTTATCACTAAAAGCCAAAAATGACTTTCTGAATTTCTAATTGGCATATTCTTTCTCTGTGATTTCCATGAATTTGAAGTGACCGCTTTCATCAAGTATATATGTATGACTTACATTGATTTTCAAAATGAGCTGCCAAACTGCTATTCCCATTTCAAAAATGAAGATCAACGAGGTGAAACAAAGCCCCATTTATTACATGGATTTTAATTTTAGCAAGATCTCTTGTGTCATTTGTTCCAGCTTAATTGGTCTAACCTTTCCTGTTGGTTTCTGTGAGAAAGACACATTTAAACGTAAAGCAGGAAGGTCTGTTAGTCCATTCCTCAGCTGATAGTAACCATATCCTATTTAACAATATCCTTGCTGCCTGTAGATGTCACTATACCTTTATAATTCTCAGTGACCCATCCACACCCACCCCCCCCACCTCACCTCAGTGTTACAGGGATGAATATTTGAAGGGATGTTGAATTCTGTTTTCTAAACAGAGAATTGGAAAGCAAGATTTCTCAATATATAAAACATAAAATTGCAGATCAGGCAGTAGCACATATATACATACACACACACATACACAAAGATCAGAAGGAGTACTTTTAAAGGTAGACAATTAAATTTACCACCTTTGTTTCATTAGTTAATTGGATAATCTTTTGGGTTAGAAAATAAGATTTAACCAAGAATGTGGCTGTGTCTCTTATTACCTCTCTTTTTTCTTCTTTATTTAGAAATGATTTATAAATATGCTTAGCCTACAAATAGCTAAAATCATGTTTCAGCACTTTGTTTCTCATAAGATCTTAGAGGAGTTAAATAAAATGGATTTCTTGTTTTAAAAACAGAATGTGAAAATGATGCTTTCATGGATTAATGGTGGAAGAAATACAATCAAATATACCTGGTTTTAAGAATAGGTTTTTGCTTTGGCAGCCTTTTCCCTGAGAACTGAAATCGGCTAAAGCTCCAAAATTAGGCATGAGCAATTTGTTGTCCCCTTTCCACTCAGTTGTGTGACATAGCAGTTGACACAGAGGATGGGATGCTGTATAAAATATTTATGGTTAGTAGCATAAGAATTTCAGGGGATCCCAGAGCTCATTTAAAATATGTGAGGTAGAATATGGATGTTGAAAATGTAGGAAATCAATAGGCATGGGTGCTAAGGTTTTGGCAGTTTTCCTTCTTGCACTGGGCTACAAAGCTATGGACCCAGTATTTGTTTATTGTGCAGCCATGCCCTTTTTATTAATTTGGGCCTAAGGATTACTTTGTCACAGCTTGTAGCAGGCCAAAATGTTCCAGGTGAGAAGAGAAGGATACTCAGAAGTGACTTAGGTTCCTTACAAGGTCTAGAAGGTCATTCTTATCCTAACTGCAAAAAACAGACCTCAACCAGTGAGAAAAACAGAGACCCCCCGAAGCAGTAAATGATCTCAGATTTTCAAAAGCAAAGAGAGTTAGAGAAAGGGAGTTCCCGTTAGTTGAAATCAGCTTTCGGGGTAGAAAGTGCATTGCCCAGGTTATCCTCTGGTTAATGCTAGTTGCCAAAGGTAAAAACTCGAAACAAACAAACAAACACCCAACCTCCATTGCATTAAGAGGATCGTGCAGTCGTATCTTTCTACATATAGGTCCAGAAGAGAGGGAAAAACAAATAAGTCGTGGAGTTGGAAGGGCTATGTGTAGAAAAGTAAAAATAAATAAATAAATTAAGATGTGCAAAACAGAAAGTCTAAAATAAACTCTACAGATGGGTATGAATTTGGGCAAAATTCAATAGGAGCAAGGCATAACTGATGCATGACTGAAGCCAAGGGTAGCACTGCCAGTGCTATTAAGGTCTTGCATTATAGCTGTGCATGAACGTGCTTCATATTCCTTGTTAGACAGTAATTTCTTAGAGGGCTAAAACAGAGTTTTGTTCATTTTGGTTCCCCCTAAGAGACCTACCAAATCATCTGGCACCTAGTGGATTCTTTAAAAAAATTGTTGACTAAGAATGAAAGCAGAAGATTTCTATTGGGGAGTACAATGAGATTTGGATAGTTCTTGGATACTGTCAATGAGAAAGAATACAATGTCAAAAAGTAGTTTGAATGTCTTGATTTGGAGACGGCGAAAAGTTGGTGCTGTTGCCAGACACATGGAATGTAAGAAGGGAGATTTTGTTTGTAGGCAAGAGATTCATTTCTTTTGAAGATATATGAAGACGGACTATGTTTGATGGAGGAATCTATAATAAACTGGCCTTCACTCTGATTAGTTGGAAATATAAGATGGAAGGAAAGAGGCTGGAGAGGCTGATTTGGGATTCCTCAATGGAGAGGAATGGATGAATGGATGAAACCCTTGAGGGAATGTATATACATATTATGTGTATGAGGACAGTCAAGAACTAAACATTTTGGGATATCTGGAGTCAACAGATGGGAGAAGAAACAGGAGTCAGAGCAACAGAAGCAAGAATAGTGTTGTATTAGCTGAGAAAAGAAAATTGTCAAAAAAGTAACCATTCTACAAGAATGAACAACATATAGTAAGGGAATTTAGATGGTTAAATAAAAAATAGCAAACAACAAAAACCTTTACCAAGATTTCGCCAAGAGGTCTTTAGTCACCTAAGGGAGCTGCGTTATGATATAGTTTCACGAACGTCCATGTGAAGAGACCACCAAACAGGCTGTGTGTGAGCAATAAAGCTTTTTAATCACCTGGGTGCAGGTGGGCTGAGTCTGAAAAGAGTCAGGAAAGGGAGATGGGGTGGGGCCGTTTTATAAGATTTGGGTAGGTAGTGGAAAATTACAGTCAAAGGGGGTTGTTCTCTGGTGGGCAGGGGCGGGGGACCTGCTCAGTGGGGGAGCTTTTGAGCCAGGATGAGCCAGGAGAAGGAATTTCACAAGGTAATGTCATCAGTTAAGGCAGAAACAGGCCATTTTCACTTCTTTTGTGATTCTTCAGTTACTTCAGGCCATCTGGATGTATACGTGCAGGTCACAGGGGATATGATGGCTTAGCTTGGGCTCAGAGGCCTGACATATAGTACACTTATAATTTAGATTTTTGGCATTACAGTAAGAAGTTGGTGAAGGTGAGTGGGGCAATAGGTGAGGACATAGAAACCACATATATAGGTGGAGTATGTAAAAGAAAGACAACCTCTTAACAGATTAATTATGTAACATCAGAGTGTGTAGCATTTTTTTTTAGTCCCTGGTCTTTTGCCTTCTTCATGAATAACTGCTTGCTGGTATTTAAAGAGAAGTTTAATAAGAAGAACTGAAGCTAGACCAGCTTCATATGTGGATAGCTGAGGGAAGTAATAAGGATAGAGTGTTCAAAACACTTATCCATGACTTTTTTTATTAAGACAAAGCAAACATTTATTTAGTTTAAAAGTTTTTATACCTCATTTGAAGGGGGCTGGGGTTGGTATGGGCTCTTCTGTGTGTCTTTTTTTTTTTTTTTTTTTTTTTTGAGAAGGAGTTTCACTCTTGTTGCCCAGGCTGGAATGCAATGGCGTAATCTCGGCTCACTGCAACCTCCACCTCCCGGGTTCAAATGATTCTCCTGTCTCAGCCTCCTGAGTAGCTGGGGTTACAGGCATGTGCCACCATGCCAGGCTAATTTTGTATTTTCAGTAGAGATGGGGTTTCACCATGTTAGTCAGGATGGTCTCAAATTCCTGACCTCAGGTGATTCGCCTGGCTCAGCCTCCCAAAGTGCTGGGATTACAGGTGTGAGCCACCGCACCTGGCTGTGTCTTTTGAAAGCTATGTTCCTCCCAGAGGAAAATGCACACATACTGAAATTGACTTGAAACTACAGAAGATCTGCAAATCCCTTCCAACAATCTCAGTGTAAAAACCCCAAATTTAGCCAATAGCAAGCAAATTCATTGACTCAATTCTTAAAGTGAAAAGAGCATGGAATAGGAATCAAGAGTCCTGAGTCCTACCTAGTTCCACTTCCCTTGGTCTGGCCTTTGCTATCATGAAATGATACTATGATCTTCTTAGACTACAATATTGTTTAAATGATCCTTTTAGTAAAACATGTATGCTATGCTTCTACCGAAAACACCAATAAAGAATATTGTCACATAATAAATTCTTTTCTATGTTTATGATTATATTTCTATTCAAAAAAAGTACCAAGCCATTTTACAGATTCTGAAATATACATTTCAATTTATGCTTACCAGGTATTTAGAAGACAGGTGCTAATTGCATTTTAGAGCTCTGTGTGATCACCAATTGCTCCTAGATAACTCTTAGTCTATCAGTATAAGTTTTGGATTTTTCCTTATTTTTCCAGTAACTTTGAACTCTCTTTTATAGGATATGCCCTAGCAGCTTGGGATACACTCACAGCAGGTCACTTTCACCAGGTGAATGATCAAATTTAGCTTCTTAGGACAGTTAGACTATTGTTTCTTTTGAACATTTTAAAGTTTTCTGCAAAACAAGAACTGAAGAAAGTCAAACAGGCTTCTTCACAGAAAGTGAGCTTAGTGGCAGGAAAGGGCAACCGGGTCAAAGGATAGTGCTCAAGATAACAGGTAAAGAGAGAAGGGGATGAAGGACGGAGAAGTGAAGGGAGAATGAGAAGAGGACAAGCTAGCTGAACTTTTCATTTGATATTGTACAGTATGGGTCTATTAGGAATGACTTTCTGGGACAAAACACCTTGCCAAGGAGTTATTTTTTACAAATGGACACAAGACAGGTTTTATCTTCAGTTGAGAGTATTGAGCCCCCAGACTTTTGGAACTCACATCTTGATTATTTTGGAGGAAAAAGAAGAGTTATCTGGCAGTTTTCATCCTAAATTTTCCCTTTAGAGTCATTAAGCAAAAATTTCAGGAAGGCATCTGTCTTCTAAACTAACACTTTTCTAGAACAGAATAAAGAGGAATTTGGGGAAAATATAGTTCATCAAACTTAGCAGGATAGGATGATTATCTGTGTAGCTAACCCCTATGATGGGGCTGCTTAAGTTATTAGACTTAATTCTAACATGCAGCCAGAATTTTTAGACTGTATTTCAAAAAGGAGAAAAATATTTGAGTATCTGAAAGTCAGCAGTAGAACACTCTTATTCTCAAATAATCTTTAGAAAGCCCATCAAGAATCACATAAAAATGGATTCAAAAGTACTAAGAAAAGAAGTCAAGCTGCGATAGAGAAATCAGGAGAGTTGCACCCTTGCACTGATACTTGATTTTAAAACTCACCATAATTGCTTGAAAAAGGCAGAGGCAGCAGTTATCTAATGACACTGTAAGGATGGCAAATAACCTTATCGATGATTTAAAAAAACTGAACATTACCAGAATTGGACCCAACAAGCATTTACAAGCCCATTTTCTTGACAGAGGAAATATCCAGTTCTTTCGAGTACATCTTGCAAGTTGTTTTGAAATATTCAGCTGTTGTCTGCCGCTAAAGAGTTTTAGCATGGTGTATGGAGACAGGTTTTTCGAATCTGCAAACTCCGGAGCTTACAATAAGAAAACAAAGATAGGGCCAGCCTATGACATTAGGCTATACTCTCAACTTCACTTGGAGTTTCAGAACTGGACAATATGCAGTCCATAGTAGCTTAAATATAAATTTCTACATAAATTTCTACATAAAGACTTCAATGAAATTCTTCCTTCTCCATCCATGGTTCAGCTCACTCATTTATTCATTTATTTACTTAACAAACATTTATTGAAGACCAACAATGTGCCAAAAATTAAAATTGATGCTTTGAATACAAAGGTGACCAGGCAAAGTCCTATATTCAAGAAGTTCAGAGTCTAGTTAGTGAGGGAGACAAATACAGAAATATAAAATTATGTGATGAATTCTAAGGGGGTCGCAAGAAGGAATAATCTAACTCAGCCTGGTTGGACTGAGCTGAGTCAGGGTTAGACATTCGTTCACTAATTGAACAGAGCAGGGTGTAAAATTCAAGACAGATGTTGCCAATATTTGGTGCTCTTATCTCTTGCCCTTGCTTTTTAAAAATAGCACTTTTAGCATTGTGTTATAATCATTCCTTTTCATGTTTGTCTTTCATACTGGATTACAGTGCCTTAAGGGCAGTTCTGGTTTCTTTATCATGTTTCATTCCCATTCCAAATGATCAACAAAGGAGAAAAAGAGACATTATAAAAATCATCTATCCACTTATCTATCTAAATCTATCAATTTATCCATGGGTACTCAGTTATGACTATGGAATCTGGATTGAAGCAAAAGTTTCATATAAGACTTCCGTTTTTAGCATTTTTAAATTGCGTAATACATTTCCATCATCTATCTATGTAACAAATGAACAAAACTGCACTTGTATCCCTTAAATTTATAAAAATTAAAAAAAATTCTATCATGGAACAGATTCTTTCTTATATACTATCAGAGAGAGTCTCTAATTTTATAATAGAGAATGATGATATGATGGGAAAATGTCATTGAATCCTGCATATTATACACAATTTCATTAAAATACAGATATGTTGCATATAAATACTGATGAATTTTAAACAGAAGTTTTTCAATTCTGGAATGTTTTCTTACAATAAGAATAGTCTGAGATAGATTCCAACTGTGAAACAAAAGGCATGGGTGAAAGATTTTGGTACTCTAATATATTGATGATGCAACTCCATGTGGAATGGCAAGAACATTAGAGAAGGAGACAGAGCTTTTAAATTTTTAATTGAAAGGGACAAAGGCAATTTCTTCTTCCTGAATGGAACCACTAGAGTGGAATGGAGATTACGATTTAGGCAGAAGCATTGGGTAGTGAGTTTTCAAACAAGAGTATAGACAAGTGGCCCTCTAGGTGTCTGTAGTTAGGAGCTGAAGGAAGTAAGATTTATAAGCCTGTGTAAGCGATAGTAGATCGTAAGAGGCAGCCGGCAACATGAAGTCAACTGTAGAAGTTGGAAAGATACTGGAGTGGGGCAGGAGGGGTGGCAAAGTATCTGCCCAAGGATTGTGGTACTCTCTGGCAACAACTCCAGCCCATAGCAGCTGTGCAGGCAGCAGCAGAAGGGATGTTAGCCATCAGAGGTCCCTTCAGGGCATGTCAGCATTATTCCAGGCTGACACCAGAAGGTACTCTGATTACCTCTCTAAGTCTGAATGCTATTTACTATAGCAAGGGACTTCCAAGGCCAACCCCTCTTGGCATTGAGCCAGGAACCAGAAGTACTAGGGCTGTGTAGGGGAGCTGGAAATAAGGTCATTAAAATAGTAAGGGTTCCTTAAGAAAGGACTATGTGTCAGACACTGTTGGTGCTACACCCAGATTCTCCCTCCCCTCCTTTACTTGTGTGTCCCCATGGCCCATCTTCTGTGTGCTTCATCTTTAATGTCTCTCACCTATGACCTTCTTCAAAGCATTTCATGCAGAGAATTGGAATGCCTGGGAGTTGATGCCCTACCTCACCCCCGTAGCCAATGACTGACAGATGGGGCAGTATGAAAGCTCAGCTTCCTCACCTTGTAGGTGTAATGTACAAACTCTGAGGTGTAATGGGTGCTCCACAGCTCTCCATGGGATCAGGCTCAGAGTGGGTCTTTACCTGAAATCACACCTTTGGCCTTCTCTTTCCTGCTGTCCCCATTCCCTTGTCCAGTTTCTCCTGGGAGCACTTCTGAAGGAAATCAGTGGCACCTGAAGATTTATCTTAGGATTTGCATCCAGGAAGCTTCACTTAAGACAATTGATTTAGTTGCAACTGCAAAGAGAGTTGCCTGCACCGCATTACAATTCGAACACAGAATTAGGAACAAATTGCTATGGGAGCACAAGAAGAGGATACCTGGGGGACCATGCAAAGCTTGACAGGAAAGGTGATGTTAAAGATGTGCCTTGAAATATACAAAAAAACTTCCAGATGAAGTGGGAAATAATATCTTTTGTCCTTAAACCTACCTATTCACAAATGGTGAAAATAACATCCCATAATGTATATCCGTAGTGTGTTTTTAAGTGCCTTGTGCTGCACTAAGAATACCACATTTTATCTCATTCAATCTCTAGAATGAACATATGAGGCATGTACAATCATGATACCCTTTCACATATGAGGAACCCAAAAGGTCTAGTAATTTGCCTCCATCTTACAGCAAGTTACCAAGAGAGCTGGGATTTGAACACAGGTAATTTGACTCTAGAACTCAAATATTTGAGTTCTGATCACTTTGCTGTATTGCCTTCTTGGTAAACAACATTAAAATAGGAATAATCCTCAATCTCATTTCCACTACAGTGTCAGTGTTATATTTTTTTCTCTTGCTGATCCTTTTAAAACCTACTCATGATGAAAATAATGTTTAATTCATATGTGATTCTGTGTGTTAACATTAAGACTGTTAAGGACAGAAAAAAGGAAAAAAAATATGACTCTTTAGGAGTCTGTCATTTGAAACAAAAGTAGAAAGAAAGTGTCTTAAAATTATTTTTAAAGGGAGTCATATTTTAGGTCAGGATCAATGGGAAAGACAGCTGTAAAG
This sequence comes from Homo sapiens, assembly GCF_000001405.40. Taxonomy (NCBI): domain Eukaryota; kingdom Metazoa; phylum Chordata; class Mammalia; order Primates; family Hominidae; genus Homo; species Homo sapiens. The sequence continues at coordinate 30,188,398 of NC_000023.11, read as the reverse complement.
CTGGAGTGATGATCTCTAAACTTGGAAGGCCAGAGTTCCTACACTTAAGTATGATCCAAGTTGATACTAGAGGGAGAATACTGTCAGGTCAATGCAATTCTTGAAAGACTTATTATTATTATTATTACTCTAAAATCTTGCTCTTTTCTAGTCTTTCTCAATGATTATTTTATAGTAACTCCTATTAATTTCTGTTTTTAAAGCAACTGAGCACAGATGAGAACATTATTTGGAATACTTTTATTTTAGTTTGCTATAATGAGAGAAGATTAATTATTGGAACTGTATTAATACTTATCAGCACCTCCGTAGCCCATTCTTCTTTGTGAACCCCGATTTGACCCTCCACACTTCTATTGCCCTTCCTCCTTTGACTTTGTGATATTTTTCTTTAGTTACCCGACACCATTTCCATTTCTGTGCTTATATCTGTTTTTCCCACTAGAATGGAAGCTTAATAAGGTCTTTGTCTTGTTCATCACTATGTCTTTAGCATCTTGAGCAGTGACTGGTACATATTAGGAACTCAATAAATATTTGTTTAATCAAATAATGAATAAATGATGACTGTGTCTAAGGTTAATGCAAAATGCCTGGCAAGAAATTGATATGTCTCTCTAACATTCATCTTGAATCCTTAAACTCTTGTATAGCAATGGTAGATTGGGACATACAAGGGAACACAAGCTTTGTCGTTTTAACTGGTTATAATCCTGAGTTAAAATGATGGCTTTGTAATTAATTAGCTGTTCAGTCTTAAAGAGATATTTAGCATTTATGATCCTAAACGTTCTCACCTATAAACGAGAATAAGAATGACTGCCTTGTAACCTATGTGCATGCCATAGTTGTCACTTATTAAATTTTAGTTTCCTCTTGTTATTTAAAGACTCAGAGTCAAAACTTTTAGAAAATGAGTTTACTTGTAAAGAATTTTTGAAAAAAGTGTTCAGGCTTTAGAAGGACTGAGTAATCAAATTAAAAATAAAACAGGGTTTGTAACATCCCCAGGATGGTGAAATAAAGGGTAATCCAACAGGCTTTTAGGTAAATAAAGAATGCTTCCATGATTTCAAATAGAAATGAAACCATGTTTACTAAGGGTACAGTTAGTCTGTTTAGAGTAAAATTAAATTTTCTCATATTACTGCCATGTATGTAAAAGTTTTCACATACTTCCGCATTTTGACAAATGTGAAGGATCAAGTGTTTTGTTATTGTGTAATTTTTGTTTTTATTTTGTTTTGTAGGAAATTAATAACATTTAGGAAAAGTGAAAGGTTACATATATTCTGAGGACTATTTGTGACCATAATTATGCAGGGCAAGGTGTCAATTCTGCTGCCATGAGAAGAAGGATCAGAATAAGTTTACTTTGGCTGCCTTTTCTTAAAGCTTCTCTATGAAGGATGCAGTTCTATATAGAGTTGGGGCTCTGTCCTACTGTAATGTTAATGTTGTGATTACAGGTAGGTGAGGTTATCGATAATGATGCCTTTGGAGACTGAAAATTATGGGATAATCATGATAGTGATCCTTTGAGGCTTAAAGTAGGCCAAACAGCTGAAATAGAGGATGTAGGATTGAATTAATTTTAGAACAAGTTGTGATAAATAGAAATGAAACCAAAGACATGTTGGCAATATTTGTCTTCAGTTAGTTATCAGCTAGTGTGTTCAGAAATATAATTTATATAAATATAAAGAAATTTAATGAAAAATTGGTATATAATGTCAACATTTATTTTTATTTTTATAATTTAATTGAATCTTATTAAAAAATATTTTTGCTTTCATACTTGTCCAGAAAAGTGATGACTCCGTTATATTTAACTAAGTAATAAGTAGTCAAATTAGTTAGCTTTTATAAACACAATTTGTACATTTGAAAGTTCTATACACATGATAAAATTTTGATAGGTTTAAATAGTTTCACCTCATCTTAAGGGGATTAGTCTATAGAAAATATGTTAATTTTTTGCCTTTGGAAAAAAACAGGAGATTCTTTCTGCTTATTACTTTGTTATATGACCAAATATTTAGTACTTATAATGTACTAATGGTGTTAATAATCTTTTTCCATTCATTCCTTCATTTGTTTGTTCATTCATTCATCATTTGACAAACATCTGTGAGTCCTTATTATATGTCAGATTTTGTATGAAGCAGTAGGAATATATTATTGAGATGGGATAGTTCCCTCGGCCCCTTCATGGGACTTGTGAAGGGGTGGCTTGCTTACTCAGTCTGCAGCGCTCAAACCCCTTGTGGGGGAGAGCCTGCAGGTGAGCTGGTGCAGGGGCCGGGGTGAGTGCCTTTGGGCACCGGCAGGAATGAACCCTGTACTGGCCTGTGGCAGCGTCTAAGGGTTGCCTGCAACCTCTGGAGCTCCAGAGGGCGTGTATTACAGTGTGCTCTTTTAGCTTGGCCATCTGCGGATGGTGTAAATGTTAAACAGCTCAGTGGATAGTCAGTGTGACAGCCTCTTGCACCTGCATCCAGGTCCCTGTTCAGTGCCCAAGAGGAATGAGTCACATGGATTTCAAGGATGGTGAATGCAGAGATTTTGTTGAATGGTGGAAGTGGCTCTCAGTAGGTTGGGGAGCTGGAAAGGGAAAGTGGGAAGGTGGTCCTCCTCTGGAGTTCGGCTGGGGATGGACTGTCATTTAGGGCCAAACTCCTCTCCAACCATAGTCTTCGATGTCCAGCTGCTTCTTCTCTGTACTGTCCAGAGTTCATATCCAAACTCCTCTCTGACCGTAGTTTCCACTATCCAGCTGCTTCTTTTCCTCTCAATGTTCAACTGCTTCTCTCTTCCATGTGCTGTCCTGCTACGCCACACCAGTCTGCTGCTCTGCCAGTGGAGCTTGGGGTTTTTACGGGCACAGGATGGGAGCATGGTGGGCCAAAAGGCAACATTCAGGTGGGAAAATGGGGAAGTGAAGTTCTCATTTAGGACCACAGGTCCAGGCTTGAGGGTGGAACCCTCGCCAGGGACCCTGCCCTTTTCTACCCAGTATTTCCCTGCCTCCTGTCCATATCATTGTGAGTAAGATGTGGTCCATACTCTTAAGGAGCACATATTCTTGTGGCAAAGGCTGGCACCTAAACAACTGACAGTGGGACCAGTGCTCTTAAAGGCTGTGGTGGATTTGTGTTTGTTACCTTAGCCAAATTGGAACTATGTTTCCCAGAACTTCCTTCTCTGCATAGGTCCAGGTTAATGTGAGTCACAAGAGACATATTCTGTGAGATTTGGGAGGTAGAAGTGGAGCAGCTACCATCTTTATTTCATGCTTTAAAAGTCAGTGTAGCGCATGAGACCCATACGAAGCAATCACATAAACTTTTCTGTGAGCTTTCAGGGTTGGTGTGGGGTACCAGCTGGACCAAGAGCCTTTCCAACTTCTCCTTCAGCTTCTCTCTCTGGCTAGATGAATCTTTAGCTTTATGGTTCTGGACAGCAGATTTTCCTGCAGGACACTCCTGTTGTGGAACTTGGAAGATTGAAGTGGTGAGAGATCAACCTAAGCTCTGGTAAGTTGCCACGAGTTCTAGCTCAGCTTTGTGTATTCCAGTTTGTTCTTATTTCCCCTAATATCCTCCCCCAATATATTTTGAATGACTTTTCTTCAGGCTTCAAGCTTCAATACCAGACACAGAAATAACTGCTCCACACAGACTCTTTAAACAGTTCTCCTGATGATTGTGAAAAGTCAAATCCCTTTCAGAAATCCCATGTATGATTGTCTATCTATCTCCATCTAGTCATCCATCTATTCCTCCATCCTACTAATTATTCTCTTATAGAACACTGAGAGAAACGTAGGCATACATACTGAATATTATGAGATGAGACAGGAGATGATGTGTAATTTTTCCTGAAAGAGAAAAGTGGTCCGAGTAAGGATAGGGAAAAATTTCACTAAGACAGATATTTGAGCTTGGATAGAGGGATGAATGAGAGTGTGATATGTGAAGAATGGGGAGAAATTTATTCCATGGGACAGAAAACACCATGGGTAAAGATATGGAGTTGGGAATCACAGAGCTTATTAGAGTGGTGGTGAGATGATTATACTTGAGGATGGTGAGCAGGGAGTCAAAGATAATGGTATCAGAAAGAGATAAGGGATTAGCAGAAATAAGAAAAGGAACTCAAAGTGTGAAAGACTATATATCAGAAATACAGGGGAGATATTAACAAAGTTCAATGAAGAAATGACATATTCTGATCACATACGTATAAACAATGTAGCCAAACACACTAAACTTCTTGAGGATTACATAATTACTTTTTCCTCCCTCAATTCCCTTTACATAGAATGAAATCTCAATAAATATTTTATGATGATGTAGCCCTTTACATTTACTTAAACAAATTCATCATCCAGCCTACTTCTCAACAAAAACTCCCTGAAAGGTGGAAAGTGATAGACCCATACAAAGCAGTCTGTACATAATGGATAGCTATTTCAAATAGCTTCAAATATATAGGAAATGATATAAATCCCTGGTCCCCAAGCTGTGTGCTAAGGTGTCCTGGAGTAACACAGTGAACTTGCAGAAGTACCATGGAATAACTTAAAATTTCGAGGAAAACTCAGTGACATCTGTGAGACGTAGAGTGAGTTACATTCTCTTTGATGATGTCATATTTTTGCAAAGCTGGCCTTCTGGCAGTCTTGATAAAAAGCAGCTGCTGTCCAAAAATCAATGTGAAACAGGAAATGAAGGTAACAGTGTCCAATCTGATTCCAAAGTTTGCGAATCTGTGCAGTGACCAACAGACACATATATCCCATTGGTAAGTAATTGTAAAAATAATTTTTAAAAGATTTATGAGTGCTGTCTTTCAAACGGCTAAATTGCTAGGATATAAAATACTTATTTAAGTAGTTATGACTCAACTACTTAAGAAACAGCGATTAGGTATTTCTTTTGACTTAGGGAGCCATGAAAAAATTACTGAAAATCTAAGAGCACCATGAATCAAGAAAGTCTGGGGATCTCTGAGTGAGGCTATGAAACTACAAAATCTGTGTGGTCTAAGACAAAGTTGGGCCAAACATTTCAAACTGTAGGATTTAACATTTGGCCTAAGGGTGCTATTGGGTTCCATAATTGCAGCATGCTATAGTGGCATAAATATTTCTCTGCTTGCCTAGCTTTTGATAGTAACTCTAGCTGTGAGCTCCTTATGCCACATTTTCCTTGGAGCGGAAGCCATGTGGAGAAAGAACAGAGGATTTCAACAATTCAGTGCACCAAATTTCTATATTGCCAAAGTGAATTGCATTACTGAAAAACTCTAAGTAGCTAAAGCAGCTGTTTGACTTTCCATTTGATGCAAGTGGAGGTGTATAAGGTAGCTTCTACTCTTCTGCATGACCATTTCCTACATTCACACATAATTGTTACCATTATATTCTTTTGCCTTCTTATAAATATGAATATTTAGTCTATCATGATTAGGGTTCCAGATGTCTGTTCCTTACCATAATGTTGTTGGATTCTAGTTCATTCGTTTTGCTCCTGTTTGCATTTCTTGATTGTGTCCACTTGAACAAGGCAAAGGAAAGCTGCCAATTTTTTAATGAATTTCTGCTATAATAAAAAGTGAATACCTGTTTGCTTATCATGTGCTAGGCACTTTTCTAAGCATTTTATAAGTATATGCATTAAATCTTTATTGCAACACTAACGTGTAGGTATTGTTATTATTCCTATTTTATGGATGAGGAAACTGAGGCACAGAATGTTTATGGAATTTTCTCGAAGTGACACATCTAGTAGACAATAGAATCAGGGTTTGATCTCACAGTTGGCTGATTCCTAGGATAACCATCTTAACCATTGTGCTCTACCAATTTCCTGCTGTGCCAGAATTTGGTAAACATTTTAAGAAAGTCCTATTGTTTAAATCTCCCAACACTCCAGAGTTTTAGAGATGCAAATTAATATCTCAAAGCTCCAAGGATACCTAAATGGTGAGATCAAAGTTTTGCCTCCCAATTTTATGCTCTTTTGGTCATATCATTGGCCTTCAAAATAGGATTAAGTTGAACCACATGTGATTGCCAATATTTAACCACTTTTGATTTCAAAAACACAGTTTCATGTTGACAACTTTCAATAATATGATCCATGGAAATTAGTATAAATTCGATTAAAGTTTATTTTTAACTTACAATGAGGAGTAAATTAAGCTTTATGAAGTTTTAATTTTATGATCAGTAGCGTGCCCTTTCCACATTCAGATTGTCCTACCCACACACTGTAGATGAAGTTGTTGAGGGACCATGTAGAATGTAGTTCTACATTACAAAGGAATGAAGAGTACACCTGTATCACTTCGTTTTCCATATATTGTGCTTTTGTATCAATTTTTTCTGTTTTTTTGATATTATGAATGTCAGTAATTTTATAATCTTTGGACTTTAAATGATAAAATGTGTAAAATATTTTGTAATGAAATGGAGAGTGACCCCGAAAATTACTGATTCCTTTGCCAGAATATGGAGATGCTAGGTTGGACCATCCTCCCACTGAAAATGAATGAAATACACCAAAGTGCTGTCAAGAGAATACAAAATTACCACACAAAAATTCTAAGGGAACATGGGAATCCAGAGAGATAAACGCAGTACTGAATTTCCCATTGTTCTAGGTATTTATCAGTATAGGCTAACTTGAACTTTTTTTTTTTTAACAAATACATAAGGAAAAGGGGACAAGAAAAGAAACTTTTGTGTCCATCTTTGTTGAAAATTATACTAGATGTTCTTTCTGTATTGAATTGAAACCCTTAGGGTAAGAGTCAGCCTGTCTCATTCCACCCCCACAATTGTTGACTTTTTGTTTCTCTTTTGGGTTTCTAAAGACCTGGCTCCACTATCTTCTGGCTTGCACTGTTTTTATGAGAATTCTCATTATTCTTTGTTCATCTGTACATAATGGGTCTTTTTTCCCTTGCTGCTTTCAAAATTTTATCTCCATTTCGTGTTTTGAACAATTTGATTATGATGTTGCTTAGTGTTTCTATATTTCTTGTCCGTCTTGTCTCTTATTGAGATCCTTGGGTCTGAGGTTTATAGTTTTTTAAAAAACAAATTGGAGAAAATTTTGCCATTACTTAAAAAAAATGTTTCCCCAACCCCTTCTCCTATCCTTTGGGAACTCTAATTAGACATATATCTGGCTACTTGCAGTTGTCTATAGCTCACTAATGCTTAATTTTTTTTTCAGTGTTTCTCCTCTCTGTGTTTAATTTTGGATAGTTTCTTTTGCTATTTTCAGGATCACAAATCTTTTGTTTGGCAGTAAGTGCATAAATCTGTTGTTAATTCCATTCAGTGTATTTTTTATCTCAGAATTTTTTAAATCTCTATTTGTTCAATTGTGATCTTTAGAAAATATATTTCATTGCTCTCCTTTATAGGCCAATGTTTTCTCTCTTTTCTTAAATATATGGAATATGGTTAATTTAACCATTGTAATGTCCTTGTCTACTAATTCCTTCTGTGTCATTTCTGCTTTTGTTTCTATTAATTGATTTTTCTGCTCAGTATGAGCCAAGTTATTCTGATTCTTCACATGCCTAGTAATTTTTTACTGGATGCCAGATGTTATGATTACCTTCTTGGGAACTGGATATTTTTGTATTCTTAGAAATATTTTTAAGGTTTGTTTTTTTCCTGGAACACAAGTAAAGTGTTTCAAGAGAGTATCATTCTTCTAAGGTTTGTTTTTAAGCTTTGTTAGAACCGGAACAATGTTGAGTCTGGGACTAATTTTTTTCCCACTACTAAGTTACTAGGGTATCTTGAGTCTTCTACCTAATGTGCTGGGAATAATAAGTTTTTCCACCCCAGTGGTGGGCACATGAACTATTTCAGGCCCTGTGTGAGCTCTGAGGATTGTTTCACCCATTCACTTCTTATATGGTTCTTTCCCTGGCCTTGGGTAGTTCCTCATATACATGTGCTCACCAGTTCTTAAATAGAGGCTGGAGGGATGTGCTTTTTAGATCTCTGGAGCTCTCTCTTTTCCAGTGCTTTTCTCTCTGTTACTCTATCCTGCAAATTCTAGCTATCTTGACCTCTTCTGATTTTTTATTCTGTCTCTTCAACTCAGGGAGAAAACAAGCTGTGTTTGAGTTCTCCTTCCCTGCACTGTGTCCATGAAGTTCTCTCCAGGCAGTGAATTTGGACTACCTCATTTATTTCTCTTCTCTCAGAGATCACTTTGCTGTGCTTCCTGTTTTACAATGTCTGAAAGCTGTTGTTCCATATATTTTTGAGATGGGAGAGTTCCCTCACCCCCTCGCAGGGTTTGTGACAGGGGTGTAGCTTGTTTGCTTGGCCGCCTTATGGGAGGGAGGGCACACAGATGGACAGGTGCAGGAGCCGGGGTGAGCGCTTTTGGGCTCCAGCCCAATGACAGTGTCTAGGGGTGTGTTACAGTTAATGCTCTTTTAGCAGTTGCTGTTCCCAGATGAGTGTGTTACAGTTAATTCTCTGTTAGCAGTTGCTGTTCCCAAATGGCTAAGTGTTAACCATCTCAGTGGAGAATCAGGATGACAGCCTTTTACACCCTGTCCTCTTGGTACCTGGGTCCTTGTCCGACATCCAGGAAGAATCAGGTCACACGGACTTGGAGGATAGTGAATGCGGGGATTTTATTGAGCTATGGAGGTGGCTCTCAGCAAAATGGATGGGGAGCTTGAAAGGGGATGGAGTGGGAAGATGGTCTTCCCCTGGAGTTCAGCCATCCCGTGGCCGATCTCCTCTCTGACTGTCCCCAGCCAAACTCCTCTCAATGTTCAAATGCTTCTTCTGTTCAAATGCTTCTTCTCTCTCCTCTGCCGTGCTGCTCTGCCACTCTTCTTGCTCTTCTGCTTGTGAAGCTGGGGGTTTATAAGGGCACAGGATGGGGGGCACGGCCAAAAGGCAAAATTTGGGTGTGAAAAGAGGAATGCCTGTCCTCCTTTAAGGCCATGGGTCCAGGCTTGAGAGTGGAGCCTTCACCAGGGACCCTGCCCTCCTGCCTCCTGTCTTTATCACTTTGTCCAATAATTCAGTTATTTAAATTAGAAGCATAAAGTGGCTTTGATTACTCCATTTTAGCCATAAACAAAAGCTTCGCTGTGATTATCATATTAAAAAATATGTTTGAAAATATCAACAGGGAACATACTTAAAAAAATCTATCCCATTTAAAAAATAATCAAGCATGACTTCTAGAAAAGAAAAATAATATAATCAAGCTTAAGAATGTCATGAATGAGTTTAACAGCAGACATGACTTAAGAGAAAATTAGTAAATTGTGGCTAATTCAGAATACATTATATAGATGCAAGATATCTTTGCAGTATAAACTTCCTAATATGAAAGAGAGGGTAAGGGGCATGCAAGGCTGTGTTTGAAGGTATAAGGTACATGTAATCACAATGTCAAGAAGAGAAAAGGAAGAGAATGTGGCAGGAGCAATATTTGAAGGTATAAAGACTTGAAAAATTTTCAGAACAGAATAAAGACATCATTCCACAGACTTGAGAAGATTGATGAATTCCTCACAGGATAACTACTAGAATCTGTAATTAGACACATCAGAGTGGAAATGCAGAACACTAAAGACAAAGGAAAAATATTAAGAGCAACATAGCAAAAAACCGTCAAAGACATGACAGAATGACTTCTATAGAGAAAACAGAAGAAAGAGATAGTGGAATGAGCTTTTCAGTGTGTTAAAATAAAATAACTTTTAACCTAAAATTGTATCAAGGGAAAAGAATTTTAAAGAATGAGGTCAAAATAAAGACATTTCAGACCAAAACAATGAAACAAACATACAAATATGGGACAGTTTACCAATAGTAGCTCCTAATTTCTTTGAAAAGCTTTAAGAAAGTTACTTCAGAGAGAAAGACTGTAATCTCAGACAGAAGGTCTGAGATACAAAAATAAGGACAACTGTAAAAGTGGTAAATCTAAATGAACAGAGACTAAATATAAAGTTATAATAATTATGTCTGTGTCTCATGTTATTAAAAATTAGAATAAAATATAGGTTAATAATAATGTATATTAGGAAGGGTGTTAATTTTAAGCTGGATTATAGTATTTAAATTTTCCAGAAGGAATTTAGAAGTATTAAATTCATAATTTGATACATTTGGCATATTATTGTAATTCCTAGAGTAACAAAGAATAGAAAGAGACTGTAATTTTCAAGTGAGCTAATGAAAAAATAAGGAAAGATAAAGATGTTAATATACAACCCTCCAAAAAGAAGATGAGAAAGGAGAGAAACAAAAATTAAAAATAGGTGGGAAAATTATAAAGTCCAAAAATATAGATATATATTGAATCATATCTATCGAAATTTACATTAAGTTAGATATATTAACTGCTCTGCTTAAAAGGCAAAGATCATCAGATTGAAAAACAACTAAATTCAACATATGCTGTTTTTAATAAATTCATATACAACATAAGGTTAAAGAAAATCTGAAAATAAAATAAGAAATAAATTAGCCTGCAAATACCTAATTCAAGAAAGCCCATCTACGTGTATTAATATTACATAAAATAGGCTTTTTTTTAAAAAAAAGAAAAGACATTTTTCACTAATGGTGTCATATCATTATAATAAACCTTGTTTTCATCAGGAAGGTATAAAAACAAATTCATATGCACTAAATAATATAGATTCAAAACAAATAAGGCAAAAATCAATGGCAACAGAATAAGCATATATATAAACATGGTGAAAAATTACATATAAACACCAAGAATGTGGAAGATTTAGCTGTGATTAGCAAATTTTGCCTAATGGATATATATGTATAAAACTTGTACCCAATATCTACAGAGTACTCATTCCTATCAAACACAAATAAAACAGTTCTTAAAAATTCAGTACATATTGTGTCAATTTTAAAAATAAGCTTCAAAGTTTTGATACTATAATTTAGAAACTATCTCGAGGGAAATAATATAAATAGTTTAAATAAAAGTGAGGTGAAACTAATGTATATTTAGATGAAGCAGTATAGTTTTAAATTTACATATTATAAAAGAAGAATATTAATGAACTAAACATACATCCTAAGAAGTTAGAAATAGAATAGCAAAATAAACTCAAAGAAAGCATAAAAAAAGAAACTGGTGGAACAGGAAACACACGTAGAACATGGTATCAATGAGTTAGAAATCAGTTCTTAAGTTGAGAAACCTCTGGGAAGTTTGACCAAGGAAACAAGATATAAGGCAAAAATAACCAATATCTACCTAATCAGATTATATTTATCCCTTGAAAGTAGAGGCAAGGTATTAAAAATAGGTGAGAAAATAACTGCTTTTTGAGACAGAATTTTTTTTTTTTTGAGACAGAGTCTCACTCTGTCGCCCAGGCTGCAGTGCAGTGGTGCGATCTTGGCTCACTGCAAGCTCCACCTCCTGGGTTCAAGCAATTCTCCTGCCTCAGCCTCCCAAGTAGCTGGAATTACAGGCGCCCGCCACCACTCCTGGCTAATTTTTGTATTTTTGGTAGAGACAGGGTTTCACCACGTTGGCCAGGATGGTCTTGATCTCTTGACCTTGTGATCCGCCCACCTCAGCCTCCCAAAGTGCTGGGATTACAGGTGTGCACCACTGCACCCAGCCGAGACAGAAATATTTTTGAGAGATCATTTTGATAATGAATATTTGGAAAATTCACCTTTACCAGTGATTTTTTTTTTGTTCCAAATAATGTCACCTATGAAAACTCTCACATATTCCTGCTTTAAAATTTTTCAACAAAACTTTGAGTAATGCTTAGCAGATAAAAACAATATTATGGCTCATAAATGAAAATATTTTGATTTCATCAGCACAGTCAGTGATCTCATGTAGGTTTCAATAATTTTGTGAAATAGAGTTTTCTACTCACTAGATGGCAGTGGCATCTCCTCCCACCCTACCCCTTGTTGTACCAAAATATCTGGATGTCAAAAATCTCTCCAGATATTGCCAGATACCCGCTGGTGGACAAAATCAATCCTGGCTGAGAACCACTGAGCTACAGCAATGTTGATAACAGCCTTGTTTCTAACACTAAAAAACTAGAAATAATATAAACATTCCCAAATAGGAGTAGATTTAAAAAGTCTTACAAATTCATATGATGGAATGCTATTCAATTTTTAAAAAATAAAGTTATAAAATAATATTCAGTGATAAAGGAGACCTTTCCCATATATCATTAAGATAAATTGTTATATTACAAGACATTTTTTATCATGTTTGTTTATGAACTGTAAAAAGCAATTAAAGGATAATGTTAACAGTGGTGGTTCTCTCCTCAGGTGATAAAGTTAAAATGATTTTATGCTTTGTTTTTCTGCATTTTAAAACAGGCCAATATCAGTGCATTATTTTTATAATAAGAATACAAAATTATTTTTGCTGTTGCCTTTAAAAAAAAAGATGAAAAGAAACTCCTGAAATATATGACCAGAGAAGAAGCTACTTTGAGACAGGATCTCAATTTGCAGCTCCAATTATGTCATGTTGCCAAGATAGCTGCCCACATTGTCTAATCATAAATTAATGTTAATTGGAGATGATATTATAGAAGATATGGGATGAATTTTTAATGAACCACATCAGATCATGCAAGTTGCCTGTCTCCCTGCCTTCCTACATACATTCCATCCTTCCTTCATTCTTTCCTTCCTTTTCTCTAAGAACAAAGTCTTTAATATCTCCCTGTTTCCTTTTAATTTTCTTCTTACTCTTTTCAAAGGGTATAAAGCACAAAAGAGTCTTATTCATCTAGGTTTTCTCCTCCCAGCAGCCAGAAGTTAAAAGGTTAGCAAATTGGAAACCTTAAAAATGATCAGTGGGTTTATTTTGCCTTAATCCTGGACTCTTGTGAAGAGAATATACCTATTCCTAGAACAAGACCATGATCTAACTTGGGATGTGAAACACACACGTAGTATTGAAGGTAATGTCATATATGTCATGCTTGCTTCCTTGTTTGAAATTTTATTTTTTCCCCTGCTTTTTGTCCAGTTTATAAAAATTCATTCATATATTTCCTTTTCTAAAGTTTCCAGCCAGACCATAACAGCAGACTCTATTATTCAACCTTGACTTTATTTAGCAATGACTAAATAAAATGCTCACAATCGCTGCTAACTGCATTCTAAGAGCCCTGGTGGGTATGACTGTTTAATTATCCTAATTTCTCAGGTGATCATCTCCTTAGCCTTTATTTGCCATAACTTCCTCAAAGTTTGCTTGAATAGCACCAGTTCCAGCAACCTCTCAGGATGACCATGGGCTATGTAATTACAAATTGAAAAATTGGGCCTGTTAGCATGAAGTAAAAAGGAACAATTCCCTCACCTGTATCTCCAAGGGACACACAAATCTTTAAATGTTGTGTGGAAGGCCTGCCGTATGAATGCAATATATGCTGCTGCTAAAATCATAGCTACCCCTAAAGACATTTAAATCAAACTGAACTAACATCTGGTTTTCCATAAATCAAAATCTTAGATGCTGTGTTTAAAGGACCATTTGCCATTTCAAAGGGAGAATTTTAATGAAGGAAATAGAGTAATTAAAAAAATTACAGACTTCATTTGGAAACATTCCCCTGATAACTTCCCTGTATATTTATTTGCATGACATATCTTTTCAGCCCAGAAGATGCTAACTTATTTTGGATAACTTGTAAATCTCTCTCCTTTGGAGCACTGACAAGATGCCTCTCTTTATATTTAGTAAAAGGCTGTAGACCTTGGGCTGAAGTAAGGTGGACTTAGCTTACCTTCATCAGCAACTTGCAAACTTTCTTCATTGCTGAAATATCACTAGTGTCCACAGTAACAAGCTTTCTCAGTCTTCTAATAGAAGACTTAACAAAGTAAAAAATGTAAAAACAAAAACCAAACAACAAAACTTTTGCCCATGGTAGAATCAGGCTATGTGGTTTGTTATTAAAATTTATTGAAACAGACTCTACTTGATTCTCTAACTGCCAACTTTTAAAAATATGGCATACCTCTAAATGCCTATTAAAAAGTTACAAATGAATTGCTTAAATATTTTTCTACATTTCACCTTCACCTCTGAGAAACCGCCAGAAAAATCTGTAGAACTGTAGTTTCCTTGGTTGTTAATGAGCAGGAACTTGGACACTCTCCTTATCACACTGCATTTTGATAGTGCCTTTAATGGTGGTGGCAAGTTAAAGAATAGATGGGTAGGGAGGATAAGAAGGCCCCAACTTGACAGTGTTATTCAAGGCAGAGAAATCTAATGAGTGACAATAGGAGGGCACAGGGGCAAATTCTTGCCCTAGTATAAAACCACTTCACAAACACAGTTGAAGCGTGTCCAACTTAGCACTCCATTTTTCTCTTATTTGAGTCATTTCATTTTTATAGTAAAACAGAGATGGGGGACTGAAGACAAAGGAAAATGAACAGGAGGAAATAGCATCAAAGTTTTCAGTATGTTTGTACATTGCTCTCTTTGAATCCCCTCCTAACAACTGGATAGTTTGTTAAACCATGATTTCCAAAATTAATTGTGTACACAACACCTGGGGATCTTATTAAAATGTATATTTTAATTCTGTAAGTCTGGATTGGGGCCTGAGATTCTGCATTCCGAGTAAGCTCCCAAGTGCTGCTGCTGCTGCTGGCCTGGGGACAATCAGTCAAATAGCAAAGCTGTAAAAGACTTTAACACATGAGAGTCTGAATCCTATCTAATGTTAAACAATGCAAGTAAATTCATCTCCCCCAGGTTGAAAATAAAAGAACAAAACTCATAGGCAGAATAAATGTCAAATCAAGGCACAGTTAACAGGTATACTCTCACCTTTTATTCACAATTAATTTAATCTTAATAAAAATTTCAGGAGCTAGAGAACATTATCCCCATTAAGCAAGTGAGGGAACTGAGGAATAGAAGTGTTAAGGAGCCTGCCCAAACTACATGCCTGGGAAGGGGTGGAGCAACATTTCTCACAGAGGTTTCATGTCTTTTCATCCAAGTACTTTGTATAGTATTTTATATGAGTAAAAGGGCTTTCATATGCATGAACACGTTTGATCTTCACAATATATGCCCTGTGAGAAAAGTATGGTAGACCTTATTATTCTTATTTTGTAGATGAGGAAAGTAAGGCTGGAAAGATGAAATGGCTGATGCAAAGTCCTACAGTTAATTAGCAGCAGAGCCAGAGCTGTCATTGAGCCCTTGCGACTCCCAGTCCTCTTCTCTCTTTTATCATTATCCTCCTACCCAACAGTGATCAATTTGTAAACTAGAATGAAAACAACGACAACCAGTAATATGCTTCAGAAACTTCCAACAGGGAAAAATCAGCAAATTATTTACAAACTAAACTTATTAAAATAACTTTTAAACATGAAACACTGGTGTTCAGCTTTTATTTCAGGTTCAAAGTTCTCAAAACTTAAATTTTCAGTGATTCCGAACTCTACTGTGATACCCCAGGTCAAGGGGAGTCTCGAGGGAGCATGGATCATACTATGTTAAAGTTAACAGTTTGGATAATTACCTTATTTTCATTCTCATACTTTAAATTATGAATTGTTTTTCTTGATTTTAAAGGTTTATCTTGGGTAGCTGGAAGTAAAACCCATTTCTGGTGAATCTGCTTCATTTCTCTTCATTCTTCTTCATTACAAGAATAATATCCACCTTACTCTAAAGATCATTTTAATTCCTGTATCTTCAATCCTTCTACTGGCTCTCTTCCATCAGTATTTAAAAATAACCATCTTTCTCCTTTTCACCCACATGTTGCTACACATACCTCTCTATTTTTTTTTCCTTTTTCTACAGAGATAAGCATGTTTAAAGACTTGTCTAGAGCCAGGTGCAGTGGCTCACCCCTGTAATCCCAGTTACTTGGGAGGCTGAGGTGGGAGGATTGCTTGAACCCAGGAGATCAAGGATACAGTGAGCCATGATCACACTACTACTCTCCAGCTTGAATGACAGAGTGACATTCTGTCTCTAAAAATATATATTTTTTAATTTTGAAAAGGCCTGTCCATAGGCACTATCTCTCCTTCTCCATTGAAGCAACTATCCCTAAACTCATCAATTACCTACATATTGGCTAACTCCATCTTCATAGGCCCACTTGACTTCTCAACAGCATTGGATGTGTTTACTTTTCCTTTGTGAAATGTTCTTCTCCCCCAGCTCCTGAAGCTAAAGTCTTCACCGAGTTTACAACTGCCATGTTTGTGTTTTTCTCATCTTCCATTGTAGATTCTTCTTCCTACATTCAGTCCTCATTA
Source organism: Homo sapiens (assembly GCF_000001405.40). Taxonomy (NCBI): domain Eukaryota; kingdom Metazoa; phylum Chordata; class Mammalia; order Primates; family Hominidae; genus Homo; species Homo sapiens. The sequence continues at coordinate 30,172,056 of NC_000023.11, read as the reverse complement.
ATTCAGCAGGTACTTATTGAGTCATACTCTGTTTTTTGTATTATGCTGGGTGCTGGGTATAAAAATGTGATTAAAAGATATATTGTATCTATCCTCCTGGATCTTTCATTCTAATAGGAAGCAGGCCATATGAGTCAGGAAGTCAGGAAAGTTTTTCCCGAGGGAATGATAATGTAGATGAAATTTGACAGGTGAATAATAATTGATGAGGTGAACAGAGAAGGAACGAACATTCTATGCACAAGGAATGCATACAAAAAGGCCTTGGGTCATGAGAAATAAGATAGGGTACAGGATTAGATTGGAGAGACAGAGGTTGGTAGAGACATGTTAATGATTTTGTTTTCTCCTATAGGACGTATTGAAATGTTTTATGTGATGGAGAGGCATGATCTTATCTGAATTTCTGAAATATCCAAAAGGATCACTTTGGCTATAATACAGTAAAGAATTTGAGATTATAATATTAGATCAGGGCCGATCACTCAGAGGCAATTGCACTGGCTCAGCCTATAGATGATGATGTTTTGTGTAGGCTGACAGCAGCAGAGATTGAGAGAACAAAGAATTGGATTATATATGAGGAATGAGGAAGAGGAAGATTTCAAAGATGGCTCATGGGATACATTTTCCTTGAGTTATTTGTGTTGGAATGGGTTGGGAGACTCCAGACAGTTTAGGAGACTAGTGTGAGTACAGGGAAATTGACACTTTCTATTATAATGAAAGGGAGAATGAACAGTTGAGGATGCAGATAAGTTTGTAGATCTGGAAACAGGAAGGTGAATGTGTTCTCTTTTGGTAATTTCTACGTTTACTGCAAAAAGGAATGTAAATTTAAGCCCTGAAATCGAAGTAGAGCATGGTGAGATAGTAAGTTTAACAAGTTTAGTCAAAGAAATTGAAGTGACAGCTGAAAATAAAGTTAGGCAAACTTAGAAAAATTGCTGACCAATGGGATTTTGATGCCAAAGATGAAAGTAAATTCTTCACCAATGAAAAGACTTCTTGCACTATGCAGAAAACCATCACTCTTTCCATTCTTTTGAAAATTTTAGGTAGATTTTGGAAGAAATATTAGCAGTAAGGGGAAATACAATTTTTTTTCTTTCTCTGCTATACTGAGGCAGGAAGTATAGCACACACATTCTAAACATTGAAAAAAATATGCTGATTCAGTGCTGTGGGACCACACAAAAGGAAGTTACAAAGTATTTGTTCAAAATGAATTTTCCTAGGAGGACAGTTGAACATTGATTGAAGTAAGTAGATGAAATCTGGTAGGAATTTATAAAAACTTCCTTAATAATGAAGGCTACAGTTTGGAGGTGAGGGTGAATTCTGGGAACACTTTTCGCTACTGAGTTTAATAGCAATGAAAATGTTTGGAGTCAAATCTTAGAAGTCACCAGTGATGGTAACATCAGAAATGGGGCTGGCGCGATCACCGAAGTTATTGGGTGCAGGTGTGGGAATATTTGCTATAGAAAGCGGCTTTCATAACATCATTACACAGAGAGAAGAATCTATACAAGGTCGACATTCTTCACAACTCTGATTTTTTTCCACTTCTTTCTGGCTGCCAAATCATTGAATGGATTATATAAATATCCATCATATTCCCTTCTTCCAATGTACCTGAGCTCTAATTGCATCTAGGGCATTTAAGGGCCTCTAGGGGCCAAAGAGGTGATGCAGGAAGAATCTTTCCACCAGGCCAGGGAGAGCCAACTGGAATTGCACTGTGAGTGATTAGTAAAAGTCAAACACTGAGCTAATGGAAAGGAATTACCTACAGGAGAACATAAGAACAGATGAAATGGAAGAGCATAATTTTGAAAGCATTGATTACAACAAAAAGCAGTAAATATTAGGTAACCTATGATATATGTTCGCAATACTGTTTAAGAAAATATGACCATAAGAAATAAGAGATATGGTATAAAATATGGTAAGAAAGAAAGGGAGGAAAGAAAGTGGGAATTAAAAGAATGTTAGCTACAAAGCTTAATAAATGAATACAAATTATTTAGCATATTAAAAGCCTATATTGGAAACAGTAATGAGGAGTTACCCTGCAAAATCACTAAGATGGAGGAAAACTTGAGGCGTTTTTTTTTTTTTTCCATTAGGTTGAGAGGAAGTATAAAGAGATAAAAATGATAAGAAATTATAAAGGTGGAGGCCAGATAGGAGAGATCCATCAGTGAAGATAATCATATATCTGAAGATCAGATCAAAAGAAATGGAATAGAAATAGTAACAAAAGATGCAACGAGAGAAAAATTTTCCTAGGAAATCAAATACTTGGAATTTAGATAAGTGTTTGGGAAACATCCTGAAATATATTATTTTCTTACCTTGAAAAAGAAATCAAAATAATATTGACTGCATTAAGTTTTGATTATGAATGTTCTGATGTTTTGATTTAGATTATTATGTTTTGATTTAGAATGTACTGCAATATGTGAACTGGAATCAAAGGAAACTTATTGATTAGTGACACCCTATACAAAATGACTTTATTCTATGTATAAACTTTGATTCCCTATGTAAGCTAGAATAGGGTCAATGATGATTGTGATCCCATTCATCACAGCACACTTTATGAAAAAATGAGGTAATAAGACAAAAACTCTCCTCCTTCTGATCGTAAAATTCTTTGTAGTACTGTAGGTCAGCTCATATATTTTTCACTGATGCTTTGATTTAGAATTTAAAAACCCATGTCATTCTTATTAAATACAAGCAACTGAGAAATTGGCAGCAGCAAATAAAGCATGGCTTGAGATGCATAACTAACGTATTACACATCCCTCTTATACTATCTGTATCTCAAAGAGCATCAGATGTTGAAAATATTCTACTCAGGGACAAGGTTAGAGAAGATAGGCAATTGGGATCACTCTCCGTTTTTTTTTTAAATTTTTTTATTATACTTTAAGTTTTAGGGTACATGTGCACAACGTGCAGGTTTGTTACATATGTATACATGTGCTATGTTGGTGTGCTGCACCCATTAACTCATCATTTACATTAGGTATTTCTCCTAATGCTATCCCTCCCCCCACCCCCCACCCCACAACAGGCCCCGGTGTGTGATGTTCCCCTTCCTGTGTCCAAGTGTTCTCATTGTTCAATTCCCACCTATGAGTGAGAACATAAAAAAGGCCTTGAGTCATTATCTAAATGCCTCTGCTCCATTAGATTGGTTTGCGAATGGGTCAGAAATTAATATAGTGAATATTTAGTTAAATTCTGTAGCTAAATTAGAAGGCTTCTGGAAAAAACCCACCTAACCATGCATATTTTTTAAAAGACAGGTTCTTGGTATTTTCAGCTTTCAATAGACTATGCTGTAGAAAAAAATCAACCCTTAATTTTTAGTGTCTTACAACAACAAATATTTACCTTTCACTCATGTTACATTTTGGCTGAGGCTCTGCCCCACATGTCTTCATTTCAGGATTAGTTCTGAAGGGATCATCCCCTATATGGAACAGGTACTCCTCATTTCAGAGGGAAAAAGAGGAGACTAAAATACACAAAGGCCTTTCTTTTCCCCCTGCTTCTACTCAGTTATAAGGTATAACCAGTCCATTGGCATTACATTTACTAAATCAAGTCATGTACCCACATCTGACATCAGTGGAGAAGTGTCACATACACTTCTCACAGGGCATTTTTAAAGATCACGTGGCAATGGGCAAGGATCTACTATCCTCTTATAGGAGGGGAGCAGTTAATTGGAAAATCTATTACACTTGGCAAAATTAAATGTTTGGAAGCATGAAAGTCATAATGTATGAAACAAGAAGAGAAAGATAAGATCAAACTTTTCTTTATTGAAAAAATACATTGGATAAACAAATAAAACTATGTATTTCCTACAGAATAACAAGGAAAACAAAGTCAGAAAGATTAAAGGAATCAGTAAGTCCATCTTATGAAAACATTAACAAAAATAAACCATACAGCCATATGAAATAGAATATGATTTATCATACCAATTAGTGAGTGGAGAAAAAGAAAACCCAAATGATCAAATTATTAGGTGCCCAAACAACATGCTATTAAATTCAACATCTATTTTTAATAATAATTATTTGTAAATTAGGAATAGAAAGGTACTTCCATAGTAAGATAAAATGTATGTGTCTCAACCCAGGAGCCGATACCCATTAAATACTGAGTATAGAGGCAATCCCACTACATTCAGGAGCAAGGCAAGAATGGTCTCTATCTTTACTATATTTCAGGTTTTTTTTTCTGGAGCATCTATCCAATTTTATACACCAAGATAAAGAAATGAGCTGTCAATATTAGAAATGTGGAGGGAAAAAGTCACTGAAGAAAATATCTACATAGAAGCTTAATAGGAAAAACTTTAAAAACTATTAGAATAACAATAAATCTCAACAAAGCAGCTGGTTACAAACTAATTATAAAAAATTAATACTGTTTCTATAAAACAACAATAATGAGTTAAAATATAGTAGAACAAGATTCTTAACAAACATCACAGTCTGTATGCCTACTGTATCCACAGCCACCTTCTTAGCACGTATCCAACGCATAGTTTGCTAGACTTTATGCTACATGACTTCATTTCCCTATCCACAGAAAATTTGATCAAGGGTGGCTCCCAAGAGCAGTCATGCATAAGTAAACCAGAAACTTCTGGCCTGCCCAAATGAGGTGACCCTTATTTTATTAATGACTCTGTGAACTAACCGGATCCTCTCTATTTATGTGAACACACCTAGGGGCATAATCCCTAGAATATCTCAGAAACTGAGACACATACAGGGAAAAGGGGAATTAGTACAAGCCAGAAGACAGTTTTTGTTTTGAATAAGAGTGGACAGGCAGAGAAGGCAATGAGAGAGGAGGAGGAAGAAGATCCAGGCAGAGAAACAGAGATAGAGGAGCTGAGTTACAGATGTAGTGCACTGGTAGAGTTGTTTTGCCATTCCATCTGGAGACTATTACTTGTTATGTAAGGCCTAGTTGGATAAGCTGTTGAAAAATGTGGAAGTGAAGTAAAAACAAGGCAGTTTGAATGTAGGATCATGGCTTACCATCTAATATTGCCAAACACAGATGCCATTCTCAATAGTAACACAAAATATTTTAAAAAGAAGTAAAAAGTCTATCTTACCCCAGTCAAATGGCCATCATTAAAAAGTCAACAGACAATAGATGCTGGCGCAGATGTGGTGAAAAGGGAACATCTGTACACTGTTGGTGGGAATGTAAGTTAGTACAACTTCTATGGAAGACAATATGAAGATTTCTTTAAGAACCAAAAGTAGATCTACCGTTCGATCTAGTAGTCCTACTACTGTCTATCTGCCCAAAGGAAAATAAGTCATTATATTAAAAAGACACCTGCACTTGTATGTTTATTGCAACACAATTCACAATTGCAAAGATATGGAATCAAACTAAGTGCCCACCAATGACAGATAAAGAAAATGTGTGTGTGTGTGTATATATATATATATATATATGCCATGTAATACTACTCAGCCATAAAAATAATGAAATAATATCTTTTGTAGCACCTTGGATGGAACTGGAGGCTATTATCCTAAATGAAGTAACTCAGACACAGAAAACCAAATACAGCATATTCTCACTTATAAGTGGGAACAAAGCCATGGGTGCACACAGGCATACAGAGTGGTGTAATGGACATTGGAGGTTCAGAAGCAAGGAGAGTGGAAGCAGGGTGAAGGATAAAAAAATCACCCATTGGGTACAATGTACACCAGGTGATGGGTGCACTAAAAACCAAGACTTCACCACTATACAATTCATCCAGGTGACCAAAAACCACTTTTACCCCTAAGCTTATTGAAATAAAAAATAATAAAAATAAAAATAAAACATTTAAAGGAAAATTACAATATTTTAAATTAGGAGTAATTAAATAAGTGGATAATTATATATCAGAGCAGAAAAATTTAATGTGCAAATATGTTAACTAGACAAAAATAACTTATGAATTTAAAATGTAATGTTTACCAAAATGTCAATGGGATATTTAGAAACTTGACAAAACTCTTTTTAATTTTCTTTGAAAGTTTCAAATAGATGAGCTGTTTCCACAAATATGTGTTAAAGGAATGCTCAGATGCAAGACATATGCATAAGGATATTGATCATGGCATTCTTTACAATAGTAAAATCTAAAAATATCTAATATGTGTACATGCATTATGGTGTATCCATACTAAGGAAAACAACCAAGTCATTAACATGCTACTGTCAAAAATGTTTAATTACATTAGAAAATCTGTATAATATACTTAAAATTAGAATCAAAGTCATCTATATATTAAGTACATACTGCAAAAAATCTACCATCTATTGTGAATAGTTATCACTCTAAGTTTATAGTCCATAGCATTATGACTGGGTAATTTGATTGTAGGTACTGTTATTTTCTAATTTGTATATACTTGAATTTTCTAAAATGTCTCCAGTGAAAATATATTATTTTTATAGTAAAATAACAAATACTATTGTAATGCTATAAAAATTACAAGTTGGCACCAAGAGCCTGAAACTGAGCATAGCAAATAGTAGAGCTGAGTAGGTGTTTGTAGAATGAATGAAAGAATAAACGGCCATGATAATTTTGCAAAGGGACACTTGTGTTATCGAATGGTGAAGTTCACACCGCCAATAATATAACATTTTAAAATCATAGCAAGTTACCAGTTGAAACAAATTCAAAAATAATCAGTTAAATGAAATAAAAAGCTCAGCAACAAATCCAAGTACATAAAACAGTTTAGTACATGAAACATGTAACATTTTCGGTGAAAATTTTCAGGAAAGGGGCCATCAGTTGTTCTGAGACAATTGATTAACAATTTTTTGTGGGGGAAAGAGGAGGAAACGAAATAACTCTACATTCTATATCATAAAAGCATCACAAACAAATTTAATAGGAAAAGACAGACACAAATATTCACAACAATTTTAACAACATTAATGTAGACAGTTTTTTTTAAATAAAAAAGAAAGAAAAAATAAAACAAGAACTACTTATATAATAAATTAGTTATTTGTTCCAGGACATGAATAAGCAACTCGCAATGATAAAAAATACAAGTAGAAAATAACCACATATTATTAAACCTAACTATAAAATGAAGGAAAACAAATTGCAAAATAATATTTCATTTATGCCTCTGAAAGGATTTTTAAAAAGTGATAACTTTTGCCTAGGGTGAATTATTTGTGGGATTAATACAGGTATAGTTTTCTGGAAGGTAAGTGGTCCGTGTGTATCAAAAGCTTAAAGTGTGACCTAATGACTCAAGTTCTAGGAATCTGAAAGAATCAAACATTTAAACTCAGATTTAATTGCAAAGTGTATTCATTATGGTGTTACTTATAATAGCAAAACACTGGAAACAACTTTAATGACTAATATAGGGAATTAATTTAATATATTAATAAATTACTTCCATAATATACACTACTACAAAATCACATTTTAGAAGGGGATTACATGGAGTAAAAGTGTTCACAATATATTATCAAGTGTAATTTTTGGATTACAAAATAGTATCTACAATATGAGCCCAGTGTTTCTAAGAGAAAAATTGTGTTTGTGTGTCCCTAAAAAAGAATAGTGAAAACAGCCGGGGCGCGGTAGCTCACACCTGTAATCCCAGCACTTTGAGAGGCCGAAGTAGGTGGATCACCTGAGATCAGGAGTTCAAGACCAGCCTGGCCAACATGGTAAAACCCCCGCTTCTACCAAAAATACAATAATTAGCTGGGCATGGTGGCGCATGCCTGTAATCTCAGCTACTCAGGAAGCTGAGGCAGGAGAATCACTTGAACCTGGGAGATGGAGGTTGCAGTGAGCCAAGATCGCGCCATTGCATTCCAGCCTGGGCGACAAGAGTGAAACGCCGTCTCAAAAAAAAAGAAAAAAAATAGTGAAAACAACTGAATACCATAATATTAATGTTTATATCTCTACATGGTTGTGCTGCAGGGATTTTTTTTTCAACTATGTCAATTTCAAATTTTTGTTAAATAATATATTTACATTTATGATACAAATTACTAGTTATATTTCTTTAATTCAGGGAATTTCTATGTCTTCACTTTTTCAGGGAATATTTTTATTTATACACTTTTCCTTAACTCCACCCTACCTTCTCTTCTCCATCAAGTCCTACTTTGTTTCATATGTTTTTTACAGGCTGTGTTAAGATGCATTTAAGTCTATCTTTTCTGGTTGTAAGTTGCCTAAGTGTAAAGACTATGCAAAGTCCATGTCTTACATTTTATTACTTCATATATAAGCTGTGCATAGGCAACAAATGTAGATTAAATATATGAAGATTACAAAGTGTAGGAAGTACACACTGATCATTCAGACACCAATAAACCAAGGAACATGATTGATCCTGTATGGCTAAATTGAGTCACTGTAACAAAGCTTTTATCACTCATGAATCCAGCGAGAATGGGTTACCCTCTCATATATGTTCCCAAAACACCAGCACATATTGTTTTATAAAGATTATGATATTAGTTACATATTAGTCCCAAAACTAATGTGATGCTTTAAAGACAAGTCTCAACAGTCAAGACTTTCTCAAGACTGTGACTCCTCATTCATCATACATTCCCTCATAGCCCTAGTTTTAACAGACGTTTGTCCCATTGTAAGGGTTCAGTAACTGCTTAAATGAATGGTTTTAACAGCAGAAGGAAGACTATGGAAAATATAGACTATGAAAATATGGGAGCTGTGTTACAACAGAGTGAAAAGGATCCTGAGGCTTGTAAGATTGGAGTTTTTCCACTTTTACGAATCAGTCACAGAAACTTGCATAAGTCATTTCTGTGTCAAAGAAGCCATTTAGATAAGATGAGCCTTAAAACTTCTTTTATCTTTGACAACTTGGAAACCAAACAATGGATTTAACATCACTGACTAAATATTAAGATGGACCCAGGGCTGGGAGTTAGATTTTCCATTTATTTTGTGAGTTTAGTAAAATTTTTTCCTAGTCTGGGATCAAAACATTTCATTTGTCCAACTCGTAACAAATTAAATTGATATTTGGAAACTGGGAATAGCAAAATAATCTGATATGTAGTTCTTAAATATTGAAAGAGTGAGGCTGAAGGGATAGCAAGTTATATATATATATATATATATTTAGTGGAGAAGTTCTGCAAATTCATAGCTGCTCTTTAAAGAGGCACTATAGAAATGCAATACACTCCTTCCACACAGTGAAAGAAAAGCACCCTTTCCCAGTAATGGCCTAACTTAAAATATACTTTTTATTTTTAAATGTAACTTTCAGGACTATCCACATATCAGAAAGAATCAACACTTTCTCAAGGTAAAATGCAACGTGTAATAAACTTTCACATTAGCAAATATGTTTTATCCCCTGCCCCCACTGAAATGTCAAGGATGAATTTGCTGAAGTTTTCACAATCCAGATGTCCTTGAAAACCATGTCTGTGTCTGATAGCAGAGAGCCAACCAATGCAAAGCAAACAATTACTGAAGTTCATAACATTATTGAAAACATCCCAATTTCGATAAGGTTTTCCTCAATCAAGATATGTTTCTCCAGTAATTCTTTGATTCAAGAGAGGAAATGGGATCCTCTTAGATGTTTAACTCATAGGTAAGGATGTTCTGTTCCTCAGGCTTAAGCTAGCCTTCTGTTTAATTAGGCCAAGCCTCCAAGGTAATCTCTATTGGAAGCACATTTTGAACTTTCAAAATGGCATTGCAAGCTTTTGATGGCAAAAGTCTCACGATAAGAAGTAGATATTATTTTAAAATATAGTTATTTTTATATAAAATAAAATGCAGCATTATCTTTTAGAATAGGAAATTGGATAATTTGAAAATATTAAAATGAGACAAAGAGCGGACTTCAAAAGGTTTAGATAGTAAATGTCAGAAGTTGGCTAAAATATTTTAAATAATTTACTGCAATTTTCTTCCATATATCCACATATAAAAAATATGAATACATCTATACAATAGAACCAGTATGTTCACCTATGCTTTTACTTCTGTCTATTATACTTTCTACTGTTGTTCTCTGTGTATATGTCTTTGTGTGTGTGTGTGTGTGCATGTGCACATGCATGTGCATGTATATATCTATAATCATTTCATGGGTATATCATTCTATGACATCCTGGTTTTTTTCCTTTTAAAAAACATATTTATCCCTTTGTGTCTGTATATTTGTCTCTTTTTCCTAGAGTTTTCCCTTCTCATTCCCTACCTCCCATTCCTATCTTTCTTCTTTATTTGACCATAATTTAGATCAGAGGCTGGCAAACTATGGCCTGTGGGCCAAATCCAGCCCACTTCCTGTTTATGTAAATAGGTTTTTATTGGAACGCAACTATTCCCTATTTGCTTATCTATTGTCTATGTCTGCTTTTGCACCTCAAATACAAAATTAAGTAGTTGTAACAGACACTGCATAATATGGCTTATAAAGCCTGAAATATTTACTATCTGGCCCTTTACAGAAGAAGTTTAATGACCCCTAATGTAAGTGATCAATACATTGTATATATTTAAAATACTTTTGTTTTTGAATTCAGAAGCATTTCCCAAGGCATGTTGAGTAAAACACTTGTTTCATGGGGACGTTTCATGAAACAAATTTCTCTGTGGGATAAGTTTGGGAAATTCTGCAACCTACAGTTCTGCCCACCTCCAAGTTTTAAAATAAACATTAGCATTTGAGGAGTTCTGATAAATCCTGTAAGCTGAGTAAGCTCAGTGGTTGTGAAAGTGGTTAATCATATCCCTTCCTTCCACCTTTTAAGCACTAACATTGTTTCCTGAATGTGGTGTTTCAAAAAAATTCTTTAGAAAATACTAGAATAGAAATGTATACTTTAATTGAACGAGTGGACGCCTTATTTATTGTCCTAAAATAATTATCCAATTATTTTTTTCTGTGGCTCTGGAGACACCACTGAAAAAAGCCATCTTATCCTTGTTTCAGATGCACTAATGGGGAAGGAATAAATAAGGAGGCAAGGAGCAACAGAAAGGATATTAAATGCCTTCCAAAATGGTGAAACGCCATATATTGACTTCAATGTATCAGTGGGTGTGACCTAGATTCAAGAGTGAAGAGGCACTGTTACTTAATCTTTAGAAATAGTATCAGATACTTCCTCCAGGTGCATGTAAATATGCTCCTGTAATGGTAAGATTAAATATATTCCTTGTCACTGGGACTTGCTCTGAGAAAATGTAAAGTTCTGTGCTTGCAAAAGTGTTGGCAAAAGTGATGGAAAAGCTGCAAAATAAACTGTAACAAATGTTCAAGTAACAGATTCATTTTTTTCAAAGATGAGAAAATTTACTGGGGGGCTTTCAGAACAGGAATTATTGGTGGGCACTGATGGATCACTACTGAGGCTAATAAAAGATAAATTTTCTTCACTTATTCTCTCTTAGGCACTGGTATACAACCACAGAGATGACCTCATTCCTCTCCTTGCTCCTTTGATGTGACTAAGAGGCAGAAACACATGACATTAACATGAGATGATGCACTGGGTAGAAGCATGCACAGGTGCTTTGGAAGCTCTGATGAGAATATACCTGTCTGGTGGATTATTGGGGTTGCAATGAAGGGGTGTGGGCAGTAGGAAAGTTTCCAAAAAGAAGCTGCTTGCCAGTATTTTTCTAAAAGGAAGACCTGGTTCTGTATGCTGAAAAAGGTTGCCTTAAGCTTAGAAAAGTGATTTTTAAGTTCCTTGTAAGATGTAATTAAGAGTTGTGCTCATTCTTATGAGGAACTTATTCCACCAATGAAACTGCAAGCTGTAGGAGAGGTGGAATCTTTGTTGTTGTTGCCGCTGCTGCTTTCCTTACATTCTTCATTGTACCTAGCAGCCTAACAGTACCACTGTTGTTAGAATAAAATAAGAAGAGATCCTGCCTTGGTTCCAGTACTTTTGAGGGACTGCTTTGGTCTTTTACCAACCGGAGTGAGAGATCTACTTGGAACTCAGGGCCTTCCCAAATTATTCTAACCTCATTTGAGTGTCCAAGGCATTTATGTGCCTCTTTTTCAGTTTGAAAGTGATCATTGCTGGTATGTGCACCCCTGGTTCTGAGAATTTGCTAAGTGGTGGCTGTTGGCAGGGGAGTAGGTGGATGGAGTATAATGTTTGGACGTGTGGGCTGAGTGTTCACATGCCTAATGTATGTAGCCCCTGGTAGAACAGAAACAAGGTGAGGAGAAAAGAAGTGGGGCAGGCTTGACACTGGCTCTTTCTTTACTGCTCAAGGTAGGAAGATGGACATACATTATTTCTCTGCCAGCTTGATTTATAACTTTCTCTGAGACCCACAAATTTTAGGTGTGGCTTGGCCTAGCAGAGTGCCTCATTTAAAATAGGGAGTTAGAATAAAAATAAATGTGTGACTTGACTTACAGTTTGAAAACTGTGAAATGTGCTAAAAGTTTTATAATTATAATATTCATAACATAGTTTGGATATTTGTCCCCCACCCCATCTTATGTTGAAATATAATCCTCAGTGCCACATGTGGGGCCTGGTGAGAGGTGTTTGGGTCATGGAAGTGGATCCCTCATAGTTTGGTGCTGTCTTCACAATAGTGAGTTCTTGCAAAATCTGGTCTTTTAAAAGTGTGTGGCACTTCCCCCTACACTCTCTGTCTCTCTTGCTCCTACTTTCGCCATGTGATATGCCTGTTTCCTGTTTGCCTTCTGCCATGATTGGAAGCTTCCTGAGGCCTCCCCAGAAGCAGATGCCGGTGCTGTGCTTCCTGTACAGCCTGCAGAACCAAACCATGAACCAATTAAACCTCTTTTCTTATAAATTACCCAGTCTCAGGTATTTCTTTGTAGCAATGCAATAATGGCCTAATACCATTTATTATATAATTTTATATATAACTAAAGAATTTTTTAGTGGATGCAAATAATATTTGTTAATATGTTTATTATATAATTCATTGATTATGCAAATATGTATTAATATGTAATAAATACATAATATGTTCTAGATCTAAATAGGTGCAATAATTATCAGAATTGAGTTTTCACTGAAATCCACGAGGGTTCTTTATTTAAAATGGTATCAAAAATACCTTAAGAATCTTGGCACATAGCTCAGCTGCCTAAATAGTTACTAAGAGATTGTTACTTCTGTTGTATGGCACCTGGCATTAGTTGAACTATTCTCCCATTTATGTATTACATCTGTTGGCATTGAAACCGCATGATGACATCTATATTCAGTTGCTTTTCTGACTCAGGAATGTCTCTAGTCAGATTTTTTTTTTTCTCCTGGGGAGTGATAAAGGGTGTTTGAAGGCTCTTCCTAGCAAAATATGTATGAATCTAAACATACTCCATGGTAGAATTCAAGCCTCAATTCCAGCCAATATTCCCCAAGTATGCACCCCACACCTGAGGTTCTTCTTATCAGATGTCAGTGTAAGGATTTTCCCACATGTCTACCACAGCTGCAGGGCAATCAAGATAATTTTGTTGGTAAATTGTTTTTAATTGGTCTGAAATGTATGCATGTGATCACCTATAACCATAAGTGGATTATCTATCAGCTACTTATTTTTAAGACAGGAAAGAAGTGTATTCTTTATATTTTAAAAAACTTTTGTCTTTTAATCAAGTGTTCAAATCTGTGACAGATGAAAAATAATTGTGGATCTTCATAGGAAATATAATGATATCATATTGACAGTGAAATAACAATTATATCACAATTATTCTTAAACTCCCAAATAATAACTATTCTACTTTCATCAGCTATAGTTAAGATTCAAAATGGCCGTGCGCGGTGGCTCACGCCTGTAATCCCAGCACTTTGGGAGGCCGAGACAGGTGGATCACAAGGTCAGGAGATCGAGACCATCCTGGCTAACACGGTGAAACCCCGTCTCTACACGGTGAAAAAAAAATTAGCCGGGCGTGGTGGCGGGCGCCTGTAGTCCCGGCTACTCGGGAGGTGGAGGCAGGAGAATGGCGTGAACCCGGGAGGCGGAGCTTGCAGTGAGCCCAGATCGCGCCACTGCACTCCAGCCTGGGCGACAGAGGGAGACTCCGTCTCAAATAAAAAAAAAAGATTCAAAATGGCGTTATCTGGAGAATGATTCATAGGAAGGAAAACTTTACATTACAGATATGTGTAATTAAAGGAAAAGTTAAAACGATTTTTCTGTAATTGCCTATCAGAACTGAAACTACCTTAATTTTTTTTCTTTTTTATTGTGGCAAAATATACATAGTATAAATTTACCATCTTAACCATTTTTACATGTACAGTTAAGTAACAATTAAATATAATCCCATTGTTGTGCAACCATAACCACTATCCATCTCCAGAACCTTTTTAACTTCCCAAACTGAAATTCTGTACCCATTAACAATTCCCCATTTGCTTCCTCCTCCAATCCCTGACAACCACCTTTCTGCTTTCTACTTCTATGAATTTGACTACTCTAGGTGGCTGATATATGCAGGACATATGCTACTTTTGACAACGTCTTACCTTTGGTAAATTAACTCTTCTAGAGTGCATAAGCCTTTTCTCCTGAAGTTTGACATATGACTGTTGCAACACTGTGCACACACAGACTTTCAAAGTTTCATAAGTAAGTTATCCAGACTGCCTCAAAGTGGAACTTTGGTACTTAAGCAAGCTTGCAAAAAGGAACATTTATAGAGAAGGCAATCTTCTTTTACGTTAATTTTCTGTGTGGTAATGTTACCCAGGTAGCTCAAAAGAGTTAATGCACCTCCCTAAGGGTCCAGCTTACTACCAGTGAGTAACTGAGGAATTGGGGAGTCAAGAGCTCCGTATCAGTGAAGTCAGCACTTCTGCAGCAAAACATACATCCTTGCTTATGTGAGTCCTACAATGCCAATGAATCTTTCTGGTTAGAGGATTTACAGCTTAGAGGATAAACGGACTGACTTACAACTTAGATATGTGGTTTTTAAGCTTTCTGTTTAAAAAGCTGAATTATTTAGTCCTGACAAAACAGCTGGATTAGATAACATGTGCACATCCTGTCTGGAATACTGTGCAAATTATGGCTCTTGTCTTATTACTGTACATAACAGCTATCATCTCAACTGCTGTTTCTGTAGCATTAGCAGCACAAAAAAAAGTAAAGAACACACCTCCTGGGTTGTTCAAAATAGGGTAATTGTCCAGACTTTCCACTAATTTCCATGGAAAGCTTGTTAAACATTTAAATAGGAATATCCCCATAAAGGAGCTCTGAAAATATAGAAAACTGATAAATAATAAAATAAACTAATTTTTTAAAACTAATAAAAAATAGTCCCTCATGGGAAAAGGAGGAGTGAGATCTAACTGAATGAACATGGGACAAAGGTGGAAATGATATATTTTGCAATATATTTTAAAATTATTTTTGAACTTAGTAACTATATTATACATCCAAAAACTAAATTCAAAAATTAAGTAAGGAAAAGAAGTCAATCCTATAGAAAATTGGGCAAAAGTCTTAAATAGACAAAAAAATATGTAAATGGATGATAAATACATGAAAAGGTGCTCAACTTTGTCTGTCACTAAGGAAATAAAAATTAAAACCACAATAAGGTGTCACATCTCAACTATAATGGTTAAAGTGCAAAATAAAATGACGTGTTGGTGAGAGTGTAGAGCAAGGGAATTCCCATACATTGTAGGTGGGAGTGTGAAATGGTTCAAGCATTTTAGAATACTGCTTGGCAGGGCCTCTTAAAGTAAGTATATGCCTACCTGCTGACCCAGCAATTTCCATTCTAGGTACATACCCAAAGGAAATGCTGCAAATGTGCACAAAACACATGTACTAGAATGTTCACAGAATCTCATTTTAAATTGCTCCAAAGTAGAAACCACAGGAGTGTTCATCTAGAGTTGAATACATAAATAAATTGTGGAGCATTCATACAACGGAATACCTGACATTAATAAGAATGAACAATCTTTGGCCGAGCACGGTGGCTCACACCTGTAATCCCCCCAGCACTTTGGGAGGCCGAGGCAGGTGGATCATGAGGTCAGGAGATCAAGACCATCCTGGCTAATACAGTAAAACCCCATCTCTATTAAAAATACAAAAAACCAGCTGGGCGTGGTGGCGGGCACCTGTAATCCCAGCTATTTGGGAGGCTGAGGCAGGAGACTGGCGTGAACCCGGGAGGCGGAGCTTGCAGTGAGCCGAGATCGCGCCACTGCACTCCAGCCTGGGCGACACAGCAAGACTCCGTCTCAAAAAAAAAAAAAAAAGAATGAACAATCTTTAACTATATATAGTAAAAGGCATTGGATAAGTCTTACAAAGTAATCTACATATAGAGTATACATGTTTGATTCCATTTATGTAAAGTAAAGTGACAGAAAAACAAAACTCTGACCTATACTGTCAGAAGTAAAGTTTGGTGCTTCCTACCTTGGTGAGAATGATCCAGGTGGTGGTTCCATGGCTTCATTAAGGTTATGAAGATATATTGTGTTTAGGTATGTACAATGTCCTGCATATGAATTACTCTTAAAAATACAGTGGCACCTTAGAACTTTGTGATCCAGGATTTAGGGGGTTACTTCAGACCCAGCAGAGTGAATGTTTCAATCCATGGTTTTCCAAAGCTGAAGAACATACAGTTATAGGATGTGACAAATATTACTTTCTGTTTGGAGCATCAGCTATAATTCAAGATCCAGTCAGAGCTCAATGAACTGTGAGCAAGATTTCACAGGATTGTGGCAAAGTTGCTTCTGGAAACCCATAAGCGTAAATCCACAGGTTTATTGCTCAATAAGTGCCTACTTCATCACACACTGAAATGATCCCCGTTAGGCTGGTTTTGAAAAGCAAACTTTAAAATGGAGAAGGAGGGGTTTGAAACTCAGCTTGCCAGAATTGAGTCGTCAACCATTAAAAGGCCAGAATTTTGAAGATGACAGTGCTAGTAAAGTGAAAATGCCCACTGAGAAAGGAAACTTAAGCCTAACCTTAATGAGACTTCCACTAGTACCCAGGGCCACCTGAAGATGTCAGAATTATTGGCAGGGACACTGCAGCTCATGAACTAGATCCCTGAGAGCTTTTCTCACACCTTGGCATGCCCAGGGTAAAATAATGGCCTGTCTGCTGCATATGTATTATGCTCAGCCATCCACACCAAAAGCAAAAGGGAGGCTGTCAGGTTCACCTGGAAGACAAAGCATATGTTGTACTCATTTTCATTGTTTCCAACATTGTGTTTCCCAGTGAATAAGCAGTTGGGGCAGAAATGTTGACAAAAACATGATTAAGTGGTCAGGGATTTGCCAAGATTGGCAAAACAATACCATACAGTGTCCAATATGGTAGTCACTAGCCATGTGTGCCTATTTAAATGTAAATTAAATAAGAAATTTTTTTGATTCTCCGTAACACTAGCCACATATCAGTTACCATATTGGATTGCTCAGATTATAAAATATTTTCATTCTGTAGAAATTCCTATTAGACAATACTGCCTTAGGCCGGGAGTCAAAAAACTAAGTCCCATGGGGTAAATTCATTCTACCACCTGTTTCTATAAATAAAGTTTTACTGCAACTCAACTCATTCATTTAGGTATTGTCTCTGGCTGTTTTTGCACCACAATGGCAGAGATGAGTACTAGCAGCAGAAACTATCTGGTTGCAAAGCCTAATATATTTAGAATCTGGCCCTTTACAGAAAATGTTTGCTGACTTCTGCTTCAGACTTTTTTAGATCATCTCAGTTTAGAAACTTTTCCATGGAAATTCCCAAAGACTTCACGGAGGCATTTAATTCCTTAACGCAAGAGACTACACAGACAATTCCTTCAGGCTCTAAAACAATAACTAAAAATGTGAATTAAGAGGCTTGTGGTTCTTAGACTGACTCCCTGGGGGAAGGAATCCAGTTGCATCATTTGAGCATTTACTTGGTGCTTAAGATTATTCTTGGTGCTGGTGGAAGAATGAATAACACAAAACTTGTACTGAATGGGCTTAAGTAGGAAGAGCAAATTATTTGCCTGCTGTTTTCAGCCATATGTTAATCAGAATGCTTGGAGCCCGGCTCCTCTAAAAGCGTATGCATTTATCAATTTTTTACCCAGAGACGGAGCCTTTCTGCATGCATGATGCTGAGGTGGACATGGTGCCTCTTCTCCCCAAGCTGAAGCATGTCTGAAAGTGGTGGGAATCTTAGTTTCCCCAGAAAGCAGACACCAAGATAAGGACTTAAGTGCAAATAGTTGATTTGAGAGGTAATAGTTGATTTGAATCATCACAACAGGAGCGGGAAAATGAGACAGGGAAGGGAAGGAAGCCACGTCGGATTGCATTAATGAGCATATTATTGCTGTGCACAACTGTGGCTGAATCAAATTGGGAATCTCTGAGATACAGTACAGAGCACATCTCTGAGTTTTTCCACTCTTGGGCAAGCAAGGGTGTTTACCCACCAACTTCTGTCTCCAATGGTTGAGTGCTGCTCTCAGAGACATGGATTTCACACTCTACCCACAGCCCCATCACACTCCCACACACTAGCACCTCAAGCCTGCCCTGCACATGTGTTGAGCATGTTCCTTCTGTTAGAGAAAGCTTTCAGATAGAGAGTGCACGTAAGGGCAGCCAGGGAAGCCTCTGAGGTGTTCTATCTGTGTTGAAGTGAATCAGAGTCTCCCAGGAGGTGGCATGAGGCCACACGGACCCCTTCAATCTCTGAAGGTCCTGTCAATTTCCTGTTAGGTCAGTTGTCTGACCCTCTGACCGTGATAGCAGCAGAGGGAAAAGTGGCTGCAAACTCTCTGCTGACCTTATCTACTTTGTTCAACACTGTGTGTCAGCAGAATGCCAGGGATATAGTAGGCGCTTAACATGTATTTGCTAAATCAATGGGTGATTGATCATTTTTTTGTTGACTTCCTCAAAATCACTGAATTTATTTGTTCAGAAAATATTTTTAAAAGGATATAAATGCAGTAGATTAAATTTTACTCATAACTAGGGTATACAAGATATATCACATTACTTCACTTTTCAACGTTTAAATTCAATTTGATTCTCAGCTCCCATCATGCTGACCTGTTCATGGTCCAAGCCTGCATATTCCCTTGAAGAGGTCCTGCAGGCCCAGTAATTTTGCTGGGGTTAATACTGCAATTTCTCATGTCCAGCCTCTCTAAGTTGCAAAATTCTGCTTGTCTCCTTTGAGGTCTTGTTGAAGTGTAAATATGTGGTGGGCAGGTCTTGTAGCTTATAGAACACAGAACCCCAAATCATTGATACAGTCCAGAGTAATGCTATTTTCCCAAGGTCAGCCACTTGCCTTTCATCCCCTCTCTCCATCTAGACCCTTAGAAAACCCAAGCACATTTCCATCGTAAATTTTGGCTAGAAAACGGGATTGTCTTGAAAGAACACAAATGGCCCCAAGGCAAGGCCTGATTATATTTTTGGAATGGAGAAAGAAAACATGCAAAAAGAACAACACATAGTAGTGTCGCAACAAATCACCCGTGTGGTAGGTTGTGCTTTCAAGCAGCACACCCTGCAATGGGAGTTAGAGTACAAGGTATTTATTAAGGATTACCCTGTGAAAGGAAGGAGGAAGAAGCGTGATTGAGCAGAGGGAGAAACTGAACTGACATGCAGGTCCCATGAAGCTTCTGCCAATCTGGCAAGGAACTCTGTAAGGAGTACTGTGTATCAGAGTTGAGGCAGAAATGGCTGAGCATTTATACCCTTGCCTGACTCAGTCACTGGGCACAGGCTGATCTGAGAAGAGAACGGTCCTCTGATAAGGCAGCTCTCAGCAGTTGAGGCTGACCTTGAAGCAGCTGCCAGATGGAGGATGTCTGCTGACCACGCTGCTCACAGCTAGGGAGCAAACCCTTCCTTAAAGGGACATCTTGGTGGCATATTTCCATATCTACCACAGTCCTGCTGCAGAATGATGAACAGTTCTGTTCTCCAAATATATAACAAGTTAATAATATCTTGGGAGCACATAGTGCTTCATATTTTAAAGTAGATTTTTCACATAACAATATCCCAATTTGCATGTAAAGCAAGTGTTATCACCAATTTACAGACAACAGTGAAGAATCCAGAAATGGTCATTGGCTTGTGATCAGGTGGCAGGAGTGGGCCTTGAAGTTAGCACTAGTCCCATGGGCTAAATCCTGTTCACCACCTGTTTTTTAGAAGTAAAGTTTTATTAGAACTCAGTTCATTTATGTACTGTCTCCAGCTGCTTTCTTGCTACAATGCCAGAATTGAGTAGTTGCAAAGGAGATTGTCTAATTCACAATGCCTAAAATGCTTGATAACTGGCCCTTTACAAGCCACTTTTCCATCCTTTCTCATGTCCCATAAGTCTCTTAATTAGCTGTGAAAAATGAGTAAGAAGAGATCTCAGACTCAAACGTCTATAGGCATCAGCAGGTAAGGAATATGAGTGAAGCCACCAGTGTAAGCAGACAAGCCTAAATTGTATAAGTGGCTGGGACTGTGATCAACTGGAGCTCATTCCATGCAGATCTCCAGGTCTGATCATGCTAAGTTTTCCTCTTTTGCAAGACATGCTACATTTTTAAAACAAACTGTTTTTAATATGAAATATAACAGACTTAAGAGTTGACTAGAAACTAAAAGCAACAACCTATAAGGGCCACCAATAATGTATCTAAAGGCTTTTTTTTTTTTTTTTTTGAGACAGAGTCTCGCTCTGTTGCCAGGCTGGAGTGCAGTGGCACGATCTTGGCTTGCTGCAACCTCTGCCTCCCAGGTTCAAGGGACTCTCCTGCCTCAGCCTCCCACGTAGCTGGGACTACAGGCATGTGCCACCACACCCAGTGATTTTTTTTGTATTTTTAGTAGAGACAGGATTTCACCATGTTGGCCAGGATGGTCTCAATCTCTTGACCTCATGATCTGCCCGCCTCGGCCTCCCAAAGTGCTGGGATTACAGGCGTGAGCCACTGCGCCCGGCCTTGTAAGGCATTTTTCTAACCTCTCTACTGTGGAGATTCTAAGGAGAAGGTGGACATAACCAGTTGTATAGTAAGAAAATTTGGAAAAAATAAACATCCCTGAGAGTTGGGATGCTCCCACTGAACATAAACAACGCACAAGAAATATAAACAATACATATGCACACACAGAGTATGTAAACAATGATCAAATAGGGCCACAGAGGCAAGGATGCTCTGCAAAAGCAAAGTGACTAAACCACCTCTTCTTCTGACTAATATATGCTCTTCTTCCCTGATGATGTCACAGGATCCTTAGGGTGCCACTTCACCAGCTAGAAACTTCTGTGGCTAGTGGTGCCTTCTGCCTGAGTATTGCTCACACTTGCTTCTGCCAACTCGGCCCAGCAGGCTATGCTCAGCTTGTGCTACTGGCTCTATCCCACACCTGCCAAGTGTGAGGCAGGTGCGGAGTGGTGAGAGAGTGTGGGCAAGTGAGCACAGGGTCCAGTCAATGCTCACAGCCAGGCACACTGGCTGCTGAGGTGGGGTGGGCAGCTCCACATGCCAGCACAGGCACTGGCTCTGTGTGAGGCTGTGGCTGGACCAGGTGTACTGCATTTGGCTTCCACTGTGGGCACCCATGTCTGGACGACGGGAATGCAGTGGGACCCAGACACTTGGAGATGCCAGGAACCTCAGAACCCCAAAGAGGGTGTCACAGCCATGGCTCGAGGAACCCCCAGGTCTGGGGTCCCCCAAAAGCTGCAGCTCTTCTCTCCTTCTTGTCATCTGCAATGTGGCAAGTGGGAGGGAGTGTTTCAGCCCTGTTTGTGTTACAGCTCTTTTAGTCCCATCATTTGGCAGGTCCTGAGTTCTTGTCCTGCATCCAGGTAGAATAAGGAGCTGTTGCGGGAAGTCAGGGACCCCGAACGGAGGGACTGGCTGAAGCCGTGGCAGAAGAACATAAATTGTGAAGATTTCATGGACATTTATCTGTTTCCAAAATTAATACTTTCATAATTTCTTACACCTGTCTTTACTGCAATCTCTGAACATAAATTGTGAAGATTTCATGGACATTTATCACTTCCCCAGTTAATATTCTTATAATTTCTTATGCCTGTCTTTAATCTTTTAATCACATTATCTTCGTAAGCTGAGGATGTATGTCACCTCAGGACCCTGTGATGATTGCATTAACTGTACAAATTGTAAAACGTGTGTTTGAACAATATGAAATCTGATTGTAAAACATGGGTGCTTGAACAATATGAAATCAGTGCACCCTGAAAAAGAACAGAATAACAGCGATTTTCAGGGAAAAAGGGAAGATAACCATAAGGTCTGACTGCCTGCGGGGTCGGGCAGAATACAGCCATATTTTTCTTCTCACAGAAAGCCTATAGATGGATATGCGAGTAGGAGAAATATCACTGAATTATTTTCCCAGCATGGAGTAACCCTGGGGAAAGAATGCATTCCTGGGGGTAGATCTATAGATGGCGGCTCTGGGAGTGTCTGTCTTATGCGGTTGAGATAGGACTGAAATATGCCCTGGTCTCCTGCAGTGCCCTCAGGCTTACTAGGGTTGGGAAATTCCAGCCTGGTAAATTCTAGTCAGACTGGTTGTCTGCTCTCCAACACTGTTTCCTGTTAAGATGCTTATCAAGACAATGCGTGCACAGTGGGACACAGACCCTCATCGGTAATTCTAATTTTTGCCTCTGCCTTGTGATCTTTTATTGCCCTTTGAAGCATGTGATCTTTGTGACTTACTCCCTGTCCGTACACCCCCTCCCCTTCTAAAATCCCCAATAAAAACTTGCTGGTTTTGCGGCTCAGGTGGGCATCACGGAACCTGCTGATATGTGAGGTCACCCCTGGCGGCCCAGCTGTAAAATTCTTCTCTTTGTACTCTTTCTCTTTATTTCTCAGACCGGCCAACACTTAGGGAAAATAGAAAAGAATCTACATTGAAATATTGGTGGCTGGTTCCCCTGATAGGAGCACAGACAACTGGAGGGTGAGCAAGGCAGAGAGGAGCTTCATGGAGCAGCAAAGCAGTTCTCAGGAGACCAGAAGTGGGTAGCTTTTTTCCTCAGGCAGGTTGTCCCGATGAGTGTCCAGCTCTCAGTGGAAAGGAGATCTGCAATGGGTAGCTCCCGTCTGCAGGCAGGTCGTCCCGACATCTGTGCAGCCCTCAGTGGAGAGGAGACTTGGGAGTGAGTAGCTCCTATCTGCAGGCAGGTCATCCCATCATCTGCCCAAGTCTGGCTGAATCCAGGGTTTTCATGGGCTTCAGAGGGGAGGAAGCGCATGCTGATTGGTCCATGGCCGGCCATGAGTGGGCCTGGAGAAAACATCATAATTTCTCACTCTGGTCCACGGAACTGGCAGCCTGGTCCCCAGGCTGCAGGCCATTCCTTGCTTGAAGGTGAGGTTTCACTGGAGACCCACCCCTTTCCGCCCAGAGGCCTGTCTGCCTCCTGCTGCCATCAACCTGCCGTCCATGGCACTCATGGCGCCCAGGCTGTTCCTGCTGAGGGGTACCTGCAGGCCTGCACTGAGTTGCCCTCACCCCCACGTTGGCCTCCCTCCCGTGCTCCTAGGTACCTAAAGTCTGGAGGGAGCTGAGGTGGCAGAGGGCTGGCATGTCAGTGCTGCCCTGAGTGCACGCACACCTGGCCGGGTCTTGACAGCGTCTGGGCTCAGCCTCAACTTTTCTCCTAAATCAGGGTGGGTGCTGGGAGTGGGGAGAGGCCATGCAGCAGGAGCAGGCAATTCTGAGCCTATGGGGCAGGAGGGTTTCCTGGGTCCCCGAGAGCGCAGGGATGCCCGGGTCCATGAGGCTGGGCAGCTGCAACTGCAGCTGCACCCAGGAGGGCGGGGCTTCTGCCCCTGAAACTCACAATGGGGCAGGGCTCCCGCCTGTTCCTGGCTCCTGCCAGCTCCATGGAGTGCAGAGCCCCGGCCACGCCTCCCCCACTGCAGCAAGCATCATGGCAGTGACCACTCCAGACGGGCCACCGCTGCCATCAATGACAATTCTAACATTGCTTTAATTCTCCTGCCCTTTGGATAAAATGTATCAAGATACCTAATTACCAAGTGGTCCCTGCTTCTTGACAGCATCCAATCCAGAAATGCCCCCAACCTTTTTAAACCCTTCTTAAATCGTTCAGCACAAACCCGAATACTGATGGTTCCTCTGATGCATTCTTCTGAACTACAGCAAGTTAAATCCACATTGACTACAGTTGTGTCACAGGTGGTCTGTGGCTGGTGAGTTTTTACAAAAGATAAGGAAAGCCTTTAAGAAGTTAGCATCTGAGGTTGGCTTTGAAAAATGGGTTATTTAACCAGTGGGGATATATGGAGAGGATGAGTTGGAGCAGGGCATAAGCACAAAGAAGCCACAGAGAACAGGGTTTGTTAGGGGACAGTGAGCCCCACAGTTTGCCAAGAACTCAGGCTACAGGTAGGGAAAGTAATAAAGTAGGAAAGGTATGGGGGTGAGGGTCATATTGCAAAAGGCTTTCTCTAGCAGGTAAAGGATATTGATAAGCCATGGGGGGCACCTGAAAGTTTTTGAAAGGAGAAGTAGGACGTTCAGAGCTATGCATTAGGCCATTAGTGTTTCTTTGACTATCCCTGTGGGTAAATCCACAGTGAAGTACTTTCTGGAGATTGAAAAATCATTTGGCCCTCTGGGAAGCAACAGCAAGAGGGTGGACTTGACTTAACTAAAAAAACTTTCACCAAGATCCAGCTGCTACTAATAATTGAATATTTTCTCTTTTGATTTGTGTTGTTTTGGTGAGCTCCAGAATAGCAGTTTAAAGTGTTTAATTGGTTTTCCTCCGTTCAATTTTATTAAGCTGTCCTGGGCTCTTGAGTCGGCAAACTTAGCACTTTTTTTTTTTAAAGCTGAGCTTGCTTTCTCCAGAAGGTTTTCCTCCAGTTTATTCAGCTTAACTTCTCATATCTAATGCTGAACACTCACCAGCTGCTGGGCATGCAGGAAAAAAAGAAAAAAGGTCTCAGTAATGTTATCTGAAGTTTTTTTAAAAAAAATTTTGCCTCAGAATATGTGGAGCTCAAAGAAAAACAGTGTGAACAAGCTTTCTTCTGCTGTTGGACAATATGCCCAGTAATTAACTTGTTGTGAATGCCTGAGGATATCACTGTTTTCCACAGCATGAAATGATAGAAAAAAAACACCAGGCAGGGTCTCCGGAGATCTAGCCAATGTCACTGCTCTGCCATTGACCAGCTATGTGACCATGCATGTAATGATCATAATGACTGACATATCAATATATATTCCCTCTCAATGATTACTCCAAATCAAATGTGTCCAACTCTGACTGCACACTAGAAATACCTTTGTATCTTGCTAATGCTTCACCTACCTTTAATGATACCAGGGTGGAGAGCCTCTGGTTTAAATTGATCATTGTTATGACTGTTTCGTTAATCACCTCATTGTTGGTGATTGGTCAATGAAGCTCAATAGCAAATTATAGCTAATTCTTATTGAGTGCTCACTGTATCAGTTAGCCTTAATTAATATTTGGTACATAACAAACCACCCCCAAAACTGAGTGACTTTATTTATTTCACAATTCTATGGGTTGGCTGTGAGGCTCTACAGGTCTGGGCTGACTTGGCTAATCTGGACTGAACTTGCTCAGGTATCTGTGGTCAGCTGGATGGATGACTGGTGACTGGTTAGTCCAGGATGGCTTCATTCGTATGTCTGGTTGTTGGACAGAGCAACAGAAGCAGTGTGTCTTTCCTCTCCAGCAGGCTGCCCTGGGCTGCTTCATATGACGGTGTTCAGAGTAGCAAGAAAAGGCAAGCCCCCAATAAGCAAGTGCTTTGCATAACTCTGCTTATGTCATGCCTACTATCCTTTCATTGGCCAAAGCAAGTTACATGGCTGAGCCCAAAGTCAGTGTGGAAGGGACCCAAGGATGTGAATACGTGGAGACTTGAACAAATACTACAACAATCTACTATATACATTACGTGCCAACTAATATTCTAAGCTCTATACAAATAATAACTTATGTAATACCTCAATTAGGTAGAATAAAATGTACTTATTCCACCTTACAGTTGAGGAAAATTCGGCACAAAAAGGTTAAGTAACTTGTCCAAGAAAGGCTACACAGCTGCTAAATAGCAGCATTGTTATTCTAATCCAGTCAGTCTGGTTCTAGATTTCATGCTCAGAATCACAACATACATAGCTGAGGGGTGTTAGGAAAACCTCCTCACTCTCATGTAGAAGACACAGGAAGAGACAGTCCTGCTCTTTCTCTGGACATTATCGTGTGTGGAAGTGAGGCCTGGTGCTGGGGCAGTCATCTTGTCAATACACAGTAGAGTCCAGGGCCAAGAGAACTGTCAACAGCCAGAGTTCTGTGACTCTGTGATAAAGTCCATCCTGTTTCTGGTTATGTGAGATAGTAAAACTCCTTTTTGTATGCATCAGGGTGAGTCAAAACTTTTGATTACTGATTGTGGCAGAGGGTCTACACAGCGGTAAAAAGATTAAACGTTGGGAGATGTTTAGCTTTGCTTTTGTATTAGTTTTCTGTTGCTGCTGTAACAAATTACCACAAACTTAGCAGTTTACAACAACACACATTTATCATCTTCCAGTTCTCTGGGCTTCATGTTCAACACGGATCTCACTGGGCTAAGATCAAGATGTAAGTAAGAACTTCACTCCTCTCTGGAGCCCTGAGGGGAAAATCTGTGTTCTTCCTTTTTCCAGCTTCTAGAGACCATCAGCATTCTTTGTCTTGGGGTTCCCTTCCTCCGTCTTCAAAGTCAGCAAAGGCAGGTTGAGTCATTCTCACATCTGTCTTTCTGACCCTTCTGTCATTGCATCTCTCTCTGACCGCAGCCCATGAAAATTCTCTGCTTTTAGGGACTCATTTGATTAAATTGGGTCCACCAGATACTGGAATGATCTCTATCTTAAGGTCTCTGACAAACCCTTGATCAGATATTTAAGGTCCCTTTTGCCACGTAAGGTAAGATCTCACAGTTTCTGAGAATTAGAACATGGATATTTTGGGAGACCCATTATTCTGCCTACTACAGTTCTCTTGGCAATTGTATTTACTGAGCAATGCATGTATATACTGACACTTTTAATCTTAAAAATATACTTTAAAATTTCTAATCGTGAAGCTAACAGACATTAAATGCATAAAATCTTGAATGCACTAGAAAGCACAAAGGAAATTGTAAAATTATCCATAACCTTCTATCCAGAACTAAGCACAATAGCACTTTGGCATATATCCTTTAGCCTCTGTGCATATATTTTTTGACAAATGGATGCATATTGTATACATCTACACTATCTTCTCTTTTCACTTACCACTAAATTATGAGCATGTAAAAATTGTCTTAATTTGAATGGCTACATAGCATTCCAGCATGTAGACAGAACTGACATGATTTACTTAAGGAATCCTTTATTGCTGGACATTTATACTGCTGCTGAACTTTCACCCTTATCAATAGCAAACATTCTTGCACATATATTTGTACACAAATAGTTGGGCACATTCTTTAAGACTAGAATAAGTAGTGATAACATCTTGGTTTTAGAGTCTGAGTTACTAGAAATGGAATTTTACAAGTTTTAAAGGTCCTTACTGTCATGATTCTCAAAGTAGGGTACTAGAATCACCTGGAATTCTTCTGAAAATGTGGGTTCCTGAGCATGACCTATATATACTTAGACTCTGTGTGACGAGAATTGAGGTTCTGCATTTTTAAACAACCTCCCCATGATTGTTATTTACACTCAGCAATATCTAATTCTACTTCCAACTTTTCCTTTTCCTGAAATCTGTGGACACCTACATGCAATGACAGTTATTTAAATATCATGTCCCCTATAATAACTTGCAAAGCAATCTGGGAAAAAATGTGTGTGATATGAAAGATATGAGAGCCATTTTCTCTGTCCTGTTCTCAAAATTTGTCCAGTTTGTTGCTTAGAGGCTAAATTTTCATAGCTTGCCACCCTCAATCAGAGTGCTTTGCTTTTTTACTTAAGAATGTCTAACAAATGAAAAAGCACATATTAAAATCAGGTTTTTCTGTACACAGATAGCTCATTCTGAGGGATGATTAGAAGCTTCATTGTGTATTGGTTATATACTATATCCTTCTTAAGTACATTATGTTTTTTTTTTTTTTTAATTTTCACAATGGCCCAAAAGAAGTAGCTATTCTCCCCAATCTGCCGATGAAGAGACAAACACATAGGGGGTTAAGTAATGTTCCCAAGGTCTCACAATTCATAAACAGTGAAATACTGAAGTGAAAGTAATGGCACCAGATAGGAACAAGTTGAAAGCATGGAGTCTGTACCACATCTTGTGTTTCTATTCAGGCTTTAAACTTGTTCCTATCTGGTGCCATTAATTTCACTTCAGTATAATCAATATTAAAATAGTAAGAGCTACCACTTTATGGCATGCACTCTCAGTGCTAATCATTATATCCACTAACATTTTATTTGATCCTCGCAGAAAGGCCCTGAGGTATTGTTTTTATAATATCATTTAGGAAACCAAACTCAAAGGAGTCAACTACTTTTTCTGAGGTGGCACAGCTAGCGAATGGCAGAGCTAGAATTCAGCACACATCTCTCTTACTCTAAACCCCAAGGTATTAACCACTGTTTTATTCTAATATTAGATACTATATCATTAAACTAAAACATCTTTGGGACACATGGTGTGTTAGGCAATCATCAGTAAATATTCTTGTTCCACTTAATAGCATAGAAAGAATTAGCAAGAATGGCAGACAGGACTGGTCACAGAAGGGGAAAAAAAAAACTACAGGGGAGGACATGAGTAGAGTTTTGCATGGAAATATTCCTGATACTGATCCCCAAGCAGAAGGTCCTTACTCTGAAGATGCTGCTGAACTCTGGTTCCCCGGTTCAGAAAAACAAGCGCTTTAAAACTGTACTCTGAAGCCAGTTCCCATCCTCACACTGAGGTTTCTAACATCTCAGTCCAACCCCTGGAGATCCGGCTGTCTCAGGCAAACATGCCCTGTGAATTAGCCCTGAATGTGTCATGGAAAGTCTTATGTGAATAACCAAAGCCCTTCAAGTGGAGGTTCAGCCAGAGATGAAGAAGCCACATTCTTGAAATCTGCCATTTATCATGGGAAAAATGGTGCCCAGGCACGGTTAAAGTGCCTTTACTGTCCTTCTCAAAGCAAATGAAAATTCAAAAATCAGTCAGGATATTTAACAAGTACTTTATATGCTATATACAAAATGGAGTATTAGGAGACTCTACTGATTCATGTTTTTTGTGCTAAATCATCTAAAGGAAAGGCAAGACAAGAGCTAAGTGTGAGGAGAATTGAAGAAATGTGTTGTGAAAAAAAGAGCACTAAAAAAACTTATTATTATGTTAGAATGGGATGGAATGGAATGGAGGTAAGGGGCTATAGCTTGCCATAAATGAGTAATTATCACGATGAAAATGTTTTGGAGTCGCCATGTTTTTTTTTTTTTTGCTAATAATTTTTTTTTTGCTATTTATTTTAATAAATGTTATCTAGTTATTGGATGGAATTTTCTTTTTTTTAATTATACTTTAAGTTCTAGGGTACACGTGCACACCGCGCAGGTTTGTTACATATGTATACATGTGCCATGTTAGTGTGCTGCACCCATTAACTTGTCATTTACATTAGGTATATCTCCTAATGCTATCCCTCCCCCCTCCCCTGGAGTCGCCATGTTAGTGAAGACTAAGAACCCAGATTTCAGAGCAGAAGCAGAACTCTGGGGCCACCTAGAGGTACTTCTTAAAAAATCACATGGATTTCAGTTGAGTGTTTTGTTCATTGTACTTCACAGCTTTTGGAGCAATATGTAACTAGTTGGATGAAGCTACTTAAATCAAAGGTTGCATAGAAACCCAGGTTCTCCTATAGGTAAAATTTTCCTTACTATTAAAGTAGTAGAGTTTGGAGTGTTGAAAGGGTTTTCACAAAATTTTTAAAGAAAAGGTTGGTGGCTACTTGTGGTTTTATGGTCTTAGACTAGACCAACTCTGAGAGACCAAAAGCTTCCAAGTAAGTAAAAATGGGTTTCTATGATCTTGAACAAAACTGAAAAATTCAGAAATTTCTCTGAAAATTTCTCTGGAAATAACCCTTCCTATTTTGTCAAGAGGTAGAATATTCTATAGATTGGTGCTAAGCCAAGATTTTCCAACGTGGTTGATGTATTGAGTAAGGAGGTTAGGCCTGAATGATTTCACAGACCATTTGCTACTACAAAACAAAGTTCATGAGAATTACTGGAAAGAATAGCATTCTTTTGATGAAAATCTGCTGATTTGAGGTCTACTTTCAAAATTTTAATACTTCATCCATCCAAAGTAAAATATACATTCTTATCATCCTTGAGATTGATACTATTATTGATGGGAGAGTAATCTAATGGGAAGAAAATTGGCTTCTAGGGACAGTTTTACAAGTATGTATCTTTAGAGTTGTTACTTGGTGTGTCAGTTCACCTGGGTTGGAACTGCATTTCCAATATTTCCTCTCCCTTGTGGCTAGGGTTGGCCCCAAGAGAAACTTACGTGAGATTAAGGAGGTGCAAGTGAGCAGCCTTTATGACCTAAAGGCCAGCGCAGGGCTTCAAGCACTGCTATTGCTCACGCATATCGTTGCCTATCTGCTGGCTCACTTTGTTGGTTCCAGCATCCACCAGGTCTTAACTTGTTCAGCTTCCACCAGGTCGTGCCCTTCAGTTTCTCCAAGACTTGAGCCAAGGATGTGTATAATTCTATGGTAAAGGATACTGTCTCCTTTTTCAGGTTATTTATATTATTAAGGTTGGAGTTAGTGGGAGACAGTTTGTCCTGGTGGGTTCCAGTTTGTTTGCGAAAGTTCTAGTTTGTCTTCTCCCACTCTTTCATCTCAGGTCCAGCTTTGCTTCCTGGTTGCTGATTCTGCTGACCCACAGTGACCTTGGACTCACCACCAGACATGAAAGCAATAGCTTTGCATAGACTTCTTCAATTGCCCAAGGTCTAATACATGGAAGAAAACCATTATTTCATGTTCTGCTTCTTCAATCAAACCCTAACTGATACATTTGATGTTATAGGGCCTCAATTCTATAAATTCTTGAATCTACAAAATGGAACAAGGATACCAAAAGACATCTTAGTTTCCTTCCTCTATTAATTACCAAAACTTTTATCTCTTGTTAAGAGTTCCTATAATAATTTTGACAAAGGTAAAAGTCTTTCAAAACACTATTAATATGTTGTTGCATTCAGTCATTACTATTATACATTGAGAATAATTATTCATTAAGTAAATGGTTACTTTTCTTCTCGTTATGATAATAGCTAACATTTATTGAGTACTTACCATATGGCAGGCACTGTGCTTTATTTACATGGGTTAATATCACTTAATCCTAACAATAACCCTGCAAGGGAGATAATGCTCCATTTCATAGATGAGAAGCAAGGCTTAGGAGGAGGAAGTCAGATGTTCAGTAAATGATAGAGCTTAGATTTAAATTCAAGACACATGAAGCAGAGCCCATGCTCTCATGCTATTTACAGAGAGTAACATTCCTGAAATTATAGTTCCTGTCTTCGAGAAGCTTACCTTATAATAGGAAACACCGGAAGTAAATTCTTATAATTCAATAATGTAATTCTATCATATTTGAGTACACATCAAGACATACAAATCAGACATTGAGGCTTAGAGGAATTAATGTTGGAGTTGAACTATGAATGACAAAGTTGGATTTACTTAGGAAAAAAGGGAAGGAAAAGTATTCTAGGTAGATAAACTGCATAGGAAAAGGCATAGCTATAAGAAGCAGCTTGTCACATACAGGGATATTCTGAAATAATGGCCAGAGACAAAGATGTGAGGGTGAAGGGAGATCGGGGAGAGGCAAGGCCAAAGAGGGAAGAAGGGGCCCCATTTTTGTGTGCTGATCTAAGAATTTTAAATGTTGTCATAATTCTATGTGGAATCATTAAATACTTTTTCAGAGTCAAGGTGGCATAGATTTGCATTTTAGAAGCCTTAAGACTCTGGCAGCAGCATAGAGGATGTTTTGGAGTTGGAGGAGACTGGATACAGGGAAAAGATCAAACTTGGGTAAGGCATGAGGAAATGGGGATGTGGACTGTTTCAAATCGAGGTAGTATTGGCCTGGGGATTGTGTCTTGTCCCTTCTTGACATCTTGACTTTGGTCCAGGCCAGTCTGCAACTGATGGCTGAACCTTCCTTGCTGTTCTGAAACCCATAACTGGAAGTTGGTAAGCATCCCTTGAGATTCCTCAAAAAAACTTTGCTGGTGTCAAAATTGATATGAGAGTGTCATGGTTTGAATGTGTCCCCTCCAAAATTTAGGTGTTGAAACTTAATGGCCAATGTGATAGCAGTAAGAATTGGGGCCCTAAAAGATGATTAGTTCATGAGGGCTCTTCCCTTTATGAATGGGTCAAAGGTCTTAATAAAAGAGGCTTCAACCAGCATTCAGCTCTCACTTGCTCTTCCACCTTCCACTTTGCACCATGTAAATGTCAGAGGTATGTGAACCAGAGCAACTCCATCTTAAATAGTAGCTGGGTAAAATGAGGCTGAAACCTACTGGGCTGCATTCCCAGACGGATAAGGCATTCTAAGTCACAGGATGAGATACGAGGTCAGCACAAAATACAGGTCATAAAGACCTTGCTGATAAAACAGGTTGCAGTGAAGGGGCCAGCCAAAACCCACCAAAACCAAAATGGCGATAAGAGTGACCTCTGGTCATCCTCACTGCTACACTCCCACCAGCGCCATGCCATGGCAACATCAGGAGGTTACCCTATATGGTCTAAAAAGGGGAGACATGAATAATCCGCCCCCTGTTTAGCATATCATCAAGAAATAACCATAAAAATGGGCAACCAGCAGTCTTTGGGGCTACTCTGTCTACGGAGTAGCCATTCTTTTATTCTTTTACTTTCTTAATAAACTTACTTTCACTTTGCACTGCAGACTTGCCCTGAATTTTTTCTTGCATGCGACCCAAGAACCCCCTCTTGGGGTCTGGATCAGGACCCCTTTCCTGTAACATAAGGACAGCATTCCTCCCATCCAGAAGACACAGCAACAAGGAGCCATCTTGGAAGCAGAGATAGCAGCCTTCACCAGACAACCAAACCTGCCAGTGCCTTGATCTTGGGCTTCCTGACTGTAAGAAATAAAACTGTTCTTTATCAATTACTCGGTGTCAGGTATTTTGCTATAGCAGCACAAATGAACTAAGACAGAGAGACAATAGCCTTGAACTTGGAGAACTGTTTGGTGCACTGGCAGGTGAGCATGAGCATGTTAATTTCAAGCTTTCTTATAGGACATTAAGTATGTTAACTATCAGAGAATTGGTCCTTAGAATGAGAAGGCCAAGTGGTGTGGCAGAAAAGTATTGTGCGCAGGCAGACATGGCTCTGATTCCTGAATCCACCATTCACTAGAGGGTAACACTGATACAAGATGTTTAACCTCGATGCACCTCAACTTTCTGATCTGTAGAGAGCTTAGTAAATCATACCTGAGTCATTACTGAAAGGATTAAATGAGCTGCCACATATAAAATATTGAGCTTGTTACCTCAAACATAATAGGTGATCAATAAATGCTAGATTCTTTTCACCTTTCCCTCTTTTTTTCCCCACATCTACGGCCCCATCTGTATGTGGTAAATGGTACTATATGTGAATATCATGCAAACACATGCTGGATGAAATCTAACCTTAATAAGTAACAAATGTGTAATAATGGTGGTATGTATTTCACATTTATTAATTCAATTTTTAGAAAAATTTGTGGCCGTTCTGATTTTCATGAGAAGTAGGAATATAAATCCCATATCACCTGAATAAAATCCCCCATGATTAGGATTAGTCACATAAACACTCAAATAGAAGCCAGAGAATCAGGATGTTGGGTTTTAAATAGGAGTGATTTTGAACTTGAAGGTTAAAATTTCAGGATAATATGCTGAAACATCCAGTCTATATTTCAATGATAGTAATAATATTTAATCTTCTTTTCTTTTATATATTCTTATAATTTTAAAATTAGGCACTGGTTTTTCCAGGTTAGATTAAAAATATTCAGCTCACTCTGTCCTTGATGTAACAAATCTGAAATCCTTCTGGCCATGTTGGTGGTCTCCAAGCTCCTCAGGACTAAAATTGACAGCTGAACTCTGCTCAAGGGAGCAATGGGGAGATTAATGCTACTTTGCATTTTTCCCAATCACAGCATTTCTATTAGACTCGTAATAATTGACCCTTATGTGTGGATTCTCCACTTGGGAATCACTACAGAATAAGTACCTCATAAAATGGCACCTGCTCAATTGTCCCTTCACAACAAGTGCAATAAAAATTGCCCAAATTCATAAATGTTATAGAAAATGCTGCCATAATGATGATAATGCATCTCCTTAGGTCTGTGATATTTTATCTGTTTCCCTGTGAAGATTTGCTTTTCATATTTCTTTCATTTCCTTAACTGAAAATCTTTCAAAAGTTTGATGTAAAGCCATAAAACGAAGTCATTTGGTGCTAAGTCAGTCTTCTCTCTTAGCCCACTATACAGTGACTGGGCATTTTAATTAGTGCAAATCTCTTTTGTCCATGAGTAATTTTAATGAGTGTTTTTGGCTGTGCTGTTCTATATGGCTTTAAACTTGCATATATTTATCCTAAGTTTTGCTTTCATCCCTAACTGCTATTTGGTTGATTTTCAAATGAGAACAGGAGTGTCTCGGGGCCATTTTGCTAAGTTACTCAATGAGTTTGGGTTGCTGAGGAAAAGCACTGTGGCAGAGGGAGTTGTTTATGCTCAAAATATAATTAGTCACATAGCAAGTCCCAGATAACAGTGGCATCATTGGTTTATCTTTTTCAGATTGGTATTTTCACTTCACTTCATAATTTTTCTTCTAATTATAGCAAGATGGAGACAGGTCAAAAAAAATGGGGGGGAGGGGGGAGGGATAGCATTAGGAGATATACCTAATGCTAAATGACAAGTTAATGGGTGCAGCACACCAACATGGCACATGTATACATATGTAACAAACCTGCACGTTGTGCACATGTACCCTAAAACTTAAAGTATAATAATAATAATAATAAAGTGCACCAAAAGACACAGACAAAAATGTTCATAGCAGCCCTGTTAGTAATAGCCCCAAACTGAAAAGCACCCAGTTGCTTATCAACAATAGAGAAGATAAATATATCATGGTATATTCATACAGTGGAATACTATAAAGCAGTGAGAACAAGCAAATTATAACTACTCACATGTGCAAAGGCAAATATCTCAAAATGAGTAAATGAAGCTCGACACAGAAGAATACACATTGAATATATATGTTTTTTATTGCTACAAAGTTCAAATACAGAGAAACTAGTAAATGGTGTTAGATGTCAGGATAATGGTTATACCAGGAAGAGGGGTTGTGACTACAAGCTTACCAAGTGAGGTTTCTAGGTAACAGTTTGTATCTTGATATGAGTGTTGGTTGCACAAATATGTTCACTTGATGAAAATTCACTGAGGCATACACTTATGATCTGTGCACTTCTCTAAATATATATAATATAAACAAATATATTTTCAATAAAACTTTTAAAGTTGGCAGTGCAAGAGTTGTTTATTCATTGGTTCTGTTGTTTCTTGTTCATGCTGCATATGAAAAAACATGAGGAATTTCCGGCTGTGAATAATGACCGATAAATATGGAAGCAGTTTTGGCTTACATTTAGGTACCAGAAAACGCATCAGCAAGAATATTAAAGTGAGTTTATTCATGCAACTGAAAATACCATTGGCTCAATAAGCCAACAATTATACATGAATTGCCAAGTCTATATGGCCCAAATTAGGTGCCTCCTATTGCTCTATGGCACAAATAACCACGTTAGGAAGAAATTAACTGCTGTCATTTGGGCAGGGACCTTTGAAAATATTCCTTCAAAGAGTGGTCTGCCATCTGGATAGGAGGTTTACAGCCTCAGCGCTGTGTGAATGTCTATTAAAAGGACACATAAACAGGAGACAATGAGGAAGAATAAATATGAGCATTCTTTACTTACCTAGCCAGAGTGTGAACCTCTCCAGCAAGTCTGGACACCGGAACCTACCTCAGCCCCTCAGGTAAAAGTCCTAATGAAGGTAAGTCCTGAACATAATGCACACAGCTAGGAGAGGAGTAATGTTTGCTGCCCAAAGGATATTCAGTTCTATATAAACTAGGATAATAATCAGCCCATTTTTAGATAACTCATTAGAAGATTTTTCTCTATATGGATTTTAAAATAAAACACTCTAAACAGTGCCTCTTGATTTAAGAATTGAATTGGAATTGTGTAATTCACTGAAAGGCAGATTTGTGCCTATAACTCTGAGGAGGAAAAAAAAAAGAAATTATGATCTTGATCTTACCAAACAAGGTGTCCGTTAATTATTTATGCACACTTTTGCCTTACAGAATCTAGTGGTGAAGTGAGGCTCTGAATGAAAACACAGTGCTCTGAAAGTAAGGCACTTAAACAGCATCCACACCTTTTACTTGCAGTGAACTGGCATTGCCATTATTCTTCCTGATGCAGGAAAGGTCTTTGCAAATACCTGACATTGCCTAAGTTTATCACAGCCCCTTGTTGATGCTGTTGGAACAGATTCCCAAGCGATAATTCCCTGGGTGATATTTCCCAGCAAATTTCTTCAGTTGCCTCTGTAATTTGAGCTTCCAGATAGCTGAACATGTGGAGATTTGTGGAGGGTGGTGCACCTGGAGAGGGCATGGAAGCCCCGCACCCCTTCCCATGTGCCTTACCCGATGTATCTCTTCATATGTACTTTTTTTGTACTATTTTTTACAATAATTAAAGCAAGTATTTCTCCGAGTTCTGTGAGCTGCTCCAGTTTATAGCTGGTAAGTTAGAAGCACAGGTAAAATAACCTGGGGCTTGCAATTGGCATCAGAAGTTGGGGGAGGGGGTCATCTTGTGGGACTGAGCCCTTAACCTGTGGAATCTGATGCTATCTCAAGTGTAAATAGGGTCAGAATTGAATTGAATTAGAGTACACCCGGCTGGTGTCCACTGCAGAATTAATTGCTGGCTTGATGTGTGGGGGAAAACCCCCACAGATGAACCAGATGTGTTGTGACAGTATAATAGGAAAAACTGAGTTTGTTTATTCCTCTATATTCACAGAATGTCTGTCTCTTCCACTAGACTGTGTGAGCTCCTTATAGGCAGGGACTAAGTTTAATTCATGTTGTATGTCCATATCTTAGCATGTTGATAAATAAGTAATAGATATGTGGTTTTCATGCATTAGTTCGTGGCAAATCTCTTCATTTACCCAAAGTAAATGGAGAGAATCATGCAAAGGAATTTTAATTCGTAAAGTGTTTCTTTGGATCATTCTAAAATGTAGGTATAGATGACTGAAATAACTAAGTGGACTTTTTTTTTTTTAGAAGATTGGCCACTAAACTATGCCACTTTTCTCATTGTTCAAGAATGATACTCTATGCCAAATTGGAGTATGAACCATCCATTTGGGAATAGGGTATCATCGTCTTGTAATGGTAGGATCCCAATAAGAAACAAAAACATATGCAAGATCTTATCCCAAAAAGAAACAAGAACATATGCAAGGTCCATTGCTTCTTTCGTTTTCTTCATTTAAGCTGGGCTTTTCTAGGTACCATGGACTTGACCACTGGCAGATTTCTACTAATGACTTTGGGTTCTGCATTAAGGAAATTCCGGAAAACAAAAAATTTACTCAAATGGAAAGACAACTCTAAGAATAACTTGAAAATAGAAGAACCACCAGAAACATTTTTTGTTAATTTTCCTTCAAATAACAAATTTATGAAAATCGTACTTTCTTCTAAACCAATAATTTTTTTAACTATTGCAATGGAGCCATATATTTCTATACCTAACTTCATCGATTAAAGATTATATTTAAGATAAATGTGGTATTTATGTTTCCATGAAATTCTGCAGTTTAACATGAGTCATTTTTGTTTCTTTGGTCTCTTGTAGTCAAATATATGAATAATATAAGACGTAGTTAGCCACTTCGATAGCCTTTTGAAGGTCTTCTCTTCCTGTCTGCATTGTTGGTTTATTTCAGATTTCGTATTTGGATTTCCAAAGCAACTGAACAGATATGAAGATATCAAGTGATGAATTCATATTACTTGGAGAAAGAGATATAGAGAAAGAGAATCCAGCAGTGAATGTTATAAACAATTTTTTTTAAAAGAAGATGAATTGGGGAGAAAGAAAAGAGGAATCAAGATTTAGAGGGAGTGCAATATGTTTGAATCCAAGAAGCATAAATTAGGTAATGTTTTTCAAACTGGCAAAACAATGCTTTTAAAACTTTTGGGGCTGGTGGATCCTCTTGAGAATCTGATAAAACCGGAGACACTCATGATACAAAGTTAGGAAAAGCAGTACACACACACACACACACACACACACACACACACAATGTCACATTCCCAATGACACCTACTCACATACCTGTAATTAAGAAACACTGCTCCAATATCTCAATCTTACTGAAAGAATTAAGGAATTGGATGTGGTCTGAAGAAATTAATGGTCCCAATATTGCACCTAGTGAAGTGCTTGTGCCCCTCTTGAGTGGTGAAAGGAGATGGGCAAGGAAGGGCAAACAGTGTCTATAATCTTTCCACTCACATTTTCTGTCATCCTGTAGACTTTCAAAAAGGAATAATAATTTCTGAGGTGTCAAACTTCTTGAAAGCACATGATTTCAGTTATATTATCTGTAACACTTCTGCTTGTAGGAAAACAGAGATCTTGCTGTATAAGCCTAGTGTTCATGAGTGAACAACCTTGAATAAGGAGACCAATCACATCGTCACTCCCTTCAAAACATTAGTCTTTCAAAGGGAAGCATGCCTGCTTCAGGGTACTGTGTTAGTCTGTCTTGCATTGCTATAAAGGAATACCTAAGGCTAGGTAATTTACAAAGGAAAGAGATTTTTTTATAGCTGCATTGTATTCCAAGGTGTATATGTACCACATTTTCTTTATGCAGTCTACTATTTATGGGTTTTCAGGTTGATTCCATGACTTTGCTATTGTGAATAGTGCTGCAGTGAACATATGCATGCGTCTTTACGATAGAACGATTTATATTCCTTTGGGTATATATCAAGTAATGAGATTGCTGGGTCAAATGGTATTTCTGATTTTAGGTCTTTGAGGAATTGCCACAAAATAATCTGTGCAAAAAAAACCCCAAGACACAGGTTTACCTATATAACAAACCTGCACATGTACCCCTGAACCTAAAATAAAAGTTAAATTAAAAAAAAGAAAAAAGGATTTATTTGGCTCACAGTTCTGCCTAGCAACACCATCTGCTTGGCTTCTGGTGAGGTCCCAGGAAGCTTTTACTTAGGATGGAAGGTGAAAGGTGGGCAGGAGTGTCACATGGCAAGAGAGGGAGCAAGAATGACGAAGCAAAAGAAACAGCGGGGAGGTCCCAGACTCCTTTTAACAATCGTATTTCTTGGCAACTCACTACCATGGGGAGAGCACCAAGTCATTCATGAGGGATTCCCCTTCATGACCTAAACATCTTCCACCACGCTCCACCTCCGGTATTGGGGATCACATGCCAACATGAGATTTGGAGGGGCCAAACATCCAAACTATATCAGGCACTTTCTCTGACTGCTAACGTTCTTTACTTTACAAAACCAACCATGGTTGATGGGGTGAATCATGTAGTATACTTCAGAAAAGCTAGTCTATGAGGATCATGGAAATCCGTAGCAATACATTAGAATTCCATTTACTTCATCAAACATCAGCATTTTTTTCTCATCTCTTAGCTTAACTCAATAGGATTGTCCTTCATTTTCTAAATGGGATTGTATCATTGCTTTGGCGGAGTGTTGTCACAAAGTTAGCTAAGAAGAATTTTGCAGTTGGTGTTTTGTCTCCAGATAAACAGGTCCACCTTCTGAAATGTCATATCTAATTGCTTTAGATTTTTTCCCTTCGTTTCTCTTGCTGCTTCACAAACATTTTAGCAGTTCTAAGAAAAATCGATTATAATAGGCCTCTAATGTTTTTTGTTTTTGCTTTCACTAGGGAAAAGTTGATTAAAGATTTCAAGAAGCAGGTTCAACATTGATCTTGAAACATTAATATAGTTATTTGTATTGATCAAAAAAGTAAATGCAAAGCATTTTCAGGAACCACGAAATACTATTTCCCCAGGAATTTTTTTTACAGAGACATGGAGGTCTAAGCATGTAGCATATATGCATGATAATAATTACTAGGGATGCTTAGTTTTAGGGTATAATGCTTTCTTTATAACACTCAACCATTCAATCACCATCCTTTAACTTCAATGTATTAATTAGATTGAGTAATGGATATGTAATGAGGAACAGTTTGACTACTGTTAGTGAGCAACCCAGAATAAAATTACTCACTACTGTATACCTAGATAGAAATCTGGCAAATAAAAGTAGTCATGTTTGATTCTTTTCTTTAAAAATTATCCAATCTTTAGGGCAATTTGCAGTTAATGCTCAGTTAGAGAATTCAGGGATTATATCAGTCTCCAGCACACTCTGTTCAGTTTAAGCGACAAAAAGAACTGCACAGCACAATGTTTACATCTTTTGGGCTCTGATCTGTAAATTGATGATGTAGGAAGTCATTTCATCTTATTTTCTTTGCAATGGACTGCCAGATCACAATTTCAAGCAATATTTTTCTTGCTAGTTGAAAAACTAGGAGGGCGTTTTGCTCTGACTGTAGTTTGGTTTTGTTCTATTATAAGCTCCATTCTGCTGCTGTTCACTTGTTATTAGTGTATGATGGGTACTACTACATAGTTGCTATGTGTGTGCACATTTTTGGCAAGGAAAAATTCATAGATAGCAATCTGACGATGAAGCTTTATTAGAATTGTTAGAACAAGCACTCTGAGTAGTCTGGTACCCTTTTTCTGTTTGTGAATGTCTGCAGGATGGGAGACGAAGAAAGAACAAATATGTTCTGAAAGGTATTAGTGTAAGCCTCATTATGTCATGTATTGTATTAAAAATATATATGATACAGATTATACAAAGACTTTATCTGCAAGATATTTGGGGTATAGGTATAAAACATATTACAAAGGACTGTTTATTTAGTGTAGTGACTGCTCAGCACTTTCATGAATGCCATTCGACTCAATCCTCATGTTAACTCTAGGAGATAAATATTAACCTAATTTGTAAATGTTTTGTGACAATAAAATAAAATACAGGTAAGTTAGTATGCCGTAATTCTATATCTCTTTGAATTTTCTCAAACTGAGCACACCTGGGAAACTAGCAGCCAAACCAAGAAATAGAATTTGATCAGCACCGCAGAAGCTGTCCCTCTGCTTCCTTTCCATCACAAACTTTCCCCCTTCAAGGGAACCAATACCCTTACTTCTAATAGTACATATTAGTTTTTCGTTTATTTGTTCGTTTGTTTGTTTTGAGATGGAGTTTCGCTTTTGTTGCCCAGGCTAGACTGCAATGGCACAATCTCGGCTCACCACAACCTCCACCTCCCGGGTTCAAGCGATTCTCCTGCCTTAGCCTCCCAAGTAGCTGGGATTACAGGCATGTGCCACCACACCCGGCTAATTTTGTATTTTTAGTAGAGATGGGGTTTCCCCATGTTAGTCAGGCTAGTCTCGAACTCCTGACCTCAGGTGATCGGCCTGCCTCAGCCTCCCGAAGTACTGGGATTACAGGCGTGAGCCACTGCGCCCAACCAGTACATATTAGTTTTACTAGCATTAACATTTTACATTAATAGAATCATACAATATGTACTCTTCTGTGTCCGTCTTCTTTCACTCAACCCCAGGTCTGTAAGAATCACGCATAGTGCTGAATGTAGTTATAGTTTCTTCTTAGCTCCGTACAGTTTTCTCTGTTTGAATATGCCATACTATATTTATGCATTCTACTATCAATGGGCACTTAGGAACTCTCCAGTTTGGGACTATTATGTATATTGCTACTATTAAGTTTCCTGTACATTCCTTTTGGTGAAAATACAGGCAGACATTTCTTTTTATTATTATTTTTTTATTTTTCCATAAGTTATTGGCATACAGGTGGTATTTGGTCACATGAGTAAGTTCTTTAGTGGCAATTTGTGAGATTTTGGTGCACCCATCACCCAAGCGGTATACATTGCACCATATTTGTAATCTTTTATCCCTCACCCTCTTCCCCCTCTTCCCCCCAAGTCCCCAAAGTCCATTGTATCATTCTTATGCCTTTGTGTCCTCATAGCTTAGCTTCCACGTATCAGTGAGAACATACGATGTTCAGTTTTCCATTCCTGAGTTACTTCACTTAGAATAATAGTCTCCATTCTCCTCCAGGTCACTGCAAATGCTGTTAATTCATTCCCTTTTATGGCTGCATAGTATTCCATCATATAAATATACCACAGTTTCTTTATCCACTTGTTGACTGATGGGCATTTGGGTTGGTTCCACGATTGTGCGGGTATGAATTGTGCCGCTATAAACATGCGTGTGCAAGTATCTTTTTCGAATAATGACTTCTTTTCTTCTGGGTAGATACCCAGCAGTGGGATTGCTGAATCAAATGGTAGTTCTAGTTTTAGTTCTTTAAGGAATCTTCACACTGTTTTCCATATGACTGTACTAGTTTACATTCCCACCAGCAGTGTAGAAGTGATCCCTGTTCACTGCAAACACGCCAACATCTATTGATTTTTGATTTTTTGGTTGTGGCCATTCTTGCAGAAGTAAGGTGGTATCGCATTGTAGTTTTGATTTGCATTTCCCTGATCATTAGTGATGTTGAGCATTTTTTTTCATATGTTTGTTGGCCATTTGTATATCTTTTTTTAAGAATTGTCTATTCATGCCCTTAGCCCACTTTTGATGGGATTTTTTTTTTCTTACTGATTTGTTTGA
Organism: Homo sapiens; assembly: GCF_000001405.40. Lineage (NCBI taxonomy): Eukaryota > Metazoa > Chordata > Mammalia > Primates > Hominidae > Homo > Homo sapiens. The sequence continues at coordinate 30,128,856 of NC_000023.11, read as the reverse complement.
GTTCGTTGTAGATTCTGGATATTAGTCTTTTGTCAGATGTATAGATCGTGAAGATTTTCTCCCACTCTGTGGGTTGTCTGTTTACTCTGCTGACTGTTCCTTTTGCTGTGCAAAAGCTCTTTCGTTTAATTAAGTCCCAGCTATTTATCTTTGTTTTTATTGCATTTGCTTTTGGTTATATGCCTAAGAGTGGAAATCCTAGGTCATGGAATATACATTATTAACCCAGTGTTTACTTATGAGGAAACTGAGGCTTAAAGAAATTAAGCAACTGACCCAAGCTCTCACAACTGGTAAGTGACAGAGTTTCAATTTAAGTCCAATTAGAAAATCCACTGCTCTACATATTTTATACTCTAACAATAGAAGAAATATAACAGGCATTAAGCATTTTTTGATTGTAATATATTACTCCCTACAAGGCATTTTCTAAAGCCTACTCCAGTTTTTGTCTTTTGTTTTTAAATGTAGCAAGTAATGAATCAATATGACAATTAATAAAAGTGACACAGAAAAACGTTGGGTAGTGTTTAATTTTTAGAACAAATACTTTATATAACCTCATTTACACTAAAAATAAGGAATTGTTGTACAAAGGTATAGCTCTTGTAACATGCTTCAAGCTCTGTATTTATGGCAACGTATTTATGTATATCTACATGTATTTCTGAGGTAATATATCCCAATTGCAACAGTCAACTTTCAAGTCATGTATACTTACAGTAACCTAATTAACTGTTTCTTTGTTATCTGCTTATGTAAAACTAACTTATTGGTTGACTAATCAAATTGATAATAAAGCAATGAAAAGTGACCAGTGAATCCATTCAATTAACAGCTAAACAGATTTTTATCAAAATATTTATTTTGGCCAGATATGGTGGCTCACACCTGTAATCCCAGCACTTTGGGAGGCAGAGGCAGGCAGATCACTTGAGGTTAGGAGTTCGAGACCAGCCTGGGCAACATGGTGAAACCCCGTGGTGGCGCATACTTGTAGTCCCAGCTATTCGGGAGGCTGAGGCAAGAGAATTGCTTGAACCTGGGAGGCGGAGGCTGCAGTGAGCCGAGATCACACCACTGTAGTCCAGCCTGGGTGACAGAGCGAGATCCTGTCTCAAAAAAAGAAAATATTTTGTACCTACTATGTGCCAGACACTGTACTAGATGCAAACATGCCACGAACTAATCATCTTATTCTATCAATCAACAACTTCTATTGAGTGAGTAATTTGTGCGGGACACTATACTAATGCAATGGATGATGTAATGGGAAAACAATGTGTACCTGCCCTAAACACTTTGAAAATGGAATATACAAACATATATACATAGTGTGCGTGTGTGTGTGTGTGTATAAAGGATATGAACAATACAAGCTCAGAGTACTAAAAATGCAGTGTTGTGAAATAGGGAGCCAAACAGACTCAAATGAGATTGCATTGATCAAAAGGAGGGCAAGAAGAAAGGAGCATTTCTTGATGAATCGTTAGAACAAGCATCCTGAGTAGTCTGGCATATGCCCAACTTAGAGCTGGAAAGAGGGTCATGGGCAAGAGCTGGTGCCCTGCAAAACCCTTTTCTTCTGTGATTTCCCTAGTCTGCAGCAATTTTCCTTGCTCTTATTCCCTATAGCACTTGAATTCCATGCAACATAATTTAGTGCACTTCTGCATTGCTTGCTAATTATGTTGAGAATCTTGATTCCTTAAATAGATCTTTATGTCCTTGAGGGCAGGAAACTTTCCATAGCATTTTTTGGTATTTTTCAATATCTTACATTGTGCTGTGACTCATCTATTTGAGGATCCAGAACTGCGATTTGATCTTTAAGAAGCAGCATTTTTCCCTTGGAAATGGACCTGCTTGTGTTTCACTCTCCTGAGGCCAGCACATTAGAGAAACTGATGTAAATAGTGGGCTTACATAAAAGGTTTTCATCTCAGCCATCCCAAGGCTAGGTTATAGCTAGTGATCAGAGTTAAAGTGGCTTTTGGGGGCCATTTTACAATGAAGAGCAATGAGTCTCACTTAGATACAAAAAGCTATCTCATGTGCTTAAAAATAATAGATTGAGTTTCCCACTAAAAGGAAGCCGAGATATAGTATGTAAATAAAGGAATTTTTTTTGGATAGGGTTACAAATTGGACATGCAGCCTACCAAAGAGGGAATAACTAATAATAAGGAGAAAGAAAGCCAGAAAAATCCATTGCCAATGATATGCAAAACGAGACTACTATGACTCCGTGGAGGCTTGGATCTGCATATTTTGTGTGTATAAGGATGTATTGGTGCAACCAAGGGCCATGTAAATATTTGTAATGAACACTTTCCTAACTAACGTAAATTTCAGTTAATAAATATTATGATGAGTGTACAATTTTCTCATAAGCTTCAGGTCATCAATTTAGTTCATCCCATTCTAACTCAGGAAGCATAAGGTGAATACCTTCTGTGAAGTAAGAGATGGGCTAAGCAGTGGAGATTCACATAGGAGATCCCTGCTCTCCAGGAGGTTTCTGTCTCATGCAAGAGGTAGGCATATACATCATTTTTTAAAAATGGTTAAGTACTTTAATAAAAGAGCATCGAAAACTTACTTTCAACTCCATCTCTCCCATGTACACTTAGATCTTGAGTAAATCATTTAGGTTTTTTAAGATTCAGTTTTTTAACTGAAAGAATACATCTGCTCCTTTTATTGCAGGGGATAATTATGAAAAATCACACAAACTAATATATTTAAATGTTTTACAAATTTAAAGCAGCATAAAATGTAAATTTTTTAAAAACAACTTATTTTTGTTCTTCTGCCTTTAGATTTTTTCAGCTAGACATACATCTGTTAAAAATATTCTATTTATGGAGGATGCATTGTATTTATGGCTTGTGGGGAATCAATTTCCCATAGTGAGAAAGAAGTATTAATTAACACAAATAAGTATGGAATTGATTGCAAATAGCCAATCCTTTTATTAGTAAGTCATCATTCTATAACTCTAAGGAGATTTTAAAACATTATATTGAGAAAAGTTATTCCTTTCTGTATTGCTTTTTTTTGTCAGTTATATGCATCATTTCGCACTTTTAAATTATCAAGACTAAATCTGGCTTCATCATTTTAATGAAGTAGAGAAAGTCAAGTGACCCTCATTATTCTGTTTCTGCCAAGTGTCTCTATAAGGCGAAAGTGCAAAACACCAGTAGTTCTGACTCTATTTAACATATTATCCTTGTTGACAATGACATTCTATAGAATAATTTTATACCTTTATAATTTCTTGTGATTTGTTTGAAAATGAACATAAGGTTTTTGCCTTTTTGTAGGCAAAACGTTCTTTTAATTCATTAGCTTGATAGAAATTATCACCTAAATGATAGTGTATAAGTTATCTTTTTCACTTAATATTTTTCAAGATAGTTATTTTTATATCTAAAATGTATCAAGAATGTGGACATTTCTCATATAGGTAGAAAAGTTCAAGTATGAGGAACTGAAAATTATTTGCCCGAAATACGGTAGTGGGGAAAGAAGATATTTTTTGCAAAAACAATTTGTCATGATTTTTAGTGCCTCAAATTGTCTACGTTGGGTCACTGATGCATTGCTGTGTTGGTAGTTTAGTTTCTGCCTCTTCATTGAAAGATGTAGACAAGTCTCTACTACCATAATTACTACCATTTATTGACAAACATATGTGCAAAGCCCTCTGCTAGATAAACTGCCTTTAATCAGCTCTGACAAAGTTATATAGCTGTTATTCTGAAACAGTCTGTCTTTCAAAAGATGAAACACACAAATAAGCATCAATGAATTGGAAGAAGCAGCTTACTTTATTTGGAGTAAGCAAAGGGCTCTGTCTGCCAAACAATGCAAAAAAAATTTTTTTTTAACAGGAAAGGTCAATCCTTTCAGAATCTACTTTGACTTACATAAAAACTACTCATCATACATCAGAGCCAATCCAGCCTAGCTTTGATATATATATTTCCCTTGAATAATCATTTACCCTTCCAAAAAGATTACAATGCTGTTTGTTCTGTTTTCCTAAGTATCAGTCAGGTTGAAAGAGGGTTGGACTGCAGTCAATGCTTCTTAGTAATTAACAAACTCCTGCTGCAAAAGCAGAAAATCGTCATGTAGGAGAGAATATGGTAGTCAAAGTTACAGAAAGCAAATGAAACTACGTATTTCCTAATATTCCTTCAGGAAGAACTGCTGATTTTTCCTCATGAATAACAGTCACACCTCGGGAACATTGTGGGTTTGGTTCCTGACCACCACAATAAAGTTAATATCATAATAAAGTGAGTCGCACAAATTTTTTGATTTTCCAGTGCATATAAAAGTTATCTTTACCCTATACTGTAGCCTATTAAGTTTGCAATATCATTGTGTCTAAGGAAATAATGTACATACCTTAATTTAAAAATATTCTATTGCTAAAAAATGCAAACAATCATCTGAGCCTTCAGCGAGTCCTCATCCTTTTGCTGGTGGTGGGTCTTGCCTTGAGGTTGGTGGCTGCTGACTGATCATGGTGGTGATTGATGCAGGCTGAGGTAGCTGTGGCAATTCCTCAAAGCAAGACAACAATAAAGTTTGCAGCATCGATTGACTCTTCTTTTCAAGAAGATTTTTCTGTAGCATGAAACACTGTTTCATAGCATTTTACCCACAGTAGAACTTTCAATACTGGAGTCAGTCTTCTCAAATCCTGCTGCTGCTTTATCTACTAAGTTGATGGGATACTCTAAGCTCTTTGTTGTCATTTCAACAATGTATAACATCTTCACCAGCAATAGATTCCATCTCAAGAAATCATCTTCTCTGCTCATCCATAAGAAGTAACTTTTCATCAGTTCAAGTTTTATAATGAGAGTTCAAAAATTCAGTGGCATCTTCAGACTCTACTTCTATTCCTAGTTCTCTTACTAGTTCTACAACATCTACCTCAAAGTCTTGAATCTCTCAAATTCATCCATGAGAGCCGGGATCAACTTCTTCCAAATTCCTGTAGTTTTACTATTCTGACCTGCTCCTATGAATCATAATTGTTCCTAATGACATGTAGAGTGGTGAATACATTCCAGATGATTTTTAATTTACTTTGCCCAAATCCATCAGACAAATCACTATGTATGGCAGCTATAGCATTATGAAATGTATTTCTTAAACGATAAAACTTGAAAGTTGCAATTACTTTTTGATTCTTAGGCTGAAGAATGAATGTTGTGTTGGCAGGCATGAAAACAACATTAATCTCCTTGTACATCTCCATCAGAGCTCTTGAGTTATCAGGTGCATTGCCAATCAACAGTAATATTTTCAAAGGAATCTTTTGTTCTGAGTAGTAGGTCTCAAACATGGGCTTAAAATATGCTGTAAACTATGCTGTAAACAGATGTGCTGTTATACACGTTTCAGTGTTCCATATACAGAGCACAGGCAGAGTAGAATTAGCATAATTCTTAAGGACCATCAGATTTTTAGAATGAGCATTGGCTTCAACCTGAAGTCACCAGCTGCTAATGCCCCTAACAAGAAAGTCAGCCTGTCCTTTGAAGTTTTGAAGCCAGACATTGACTTTTCCTCTCTAGCTATGAAAGTCCTAGGTGGCATCTTCTTCCAATAGAAAGCAGTTTCATCTACATTGCAAATCTGTTGTTTAGTGTAGCCACCTTCATTAATTATCTTAGCTAGATCTTCTAGTTAACTTACTGCAGCTTCTTCATCAGAACTTGCTATTTCACCTTGCACTATTATGTTATGGAGATGGCTTCTTTCCTTAAACCTCATAAGCCAACCTGTGCTAGCTTCAAACTCATCTTCAGCTTTGTCACCTCTTTCAGCCTTCATAGGATTGAATCCATAGAAGCTCTGGATTAGGCTTTGGTTTAAGGGAATGTTGTGAATGGTTTGATTGTCTATCCAGACCACTCAAACTTTCTCCATGCCAGCAATAAGACTCTTTCGCTTTCTTATTATTTGTGTGTTCACTAGAGGAGCGTTTTAAATTTCCTTCACGAATGTTTCCTTTGCAATCACAACTTGGCTAACTGTTTGGCATAAGAGGCCTAGCTTCCATTGCATCTCAGCTTTTGACATGACTTCCTCACTAAGCTTAAAGCATTTCTAGCATTTTAAAGTGAAAGACATGCAACTCTTCATTTCACTTGAACACTAAGAAGCCATTGTAGGATGACTAATTGGCCTAATTTTAATATTATTGTGTCTTAAATAATAATGAGTCCCGGGGAGAGAGACGGGGAAATGACCAGTTGGTGAAGCAGTCAGAACACACAACATTTATTAAGTTTGTCATCTTATGTAGGCATAGTTCATGGTGCCCCAAAACAATTCCAATAGTACCGTAAAAGAGCATTGATCACAGATCACCATAACATAAAATAATAATGAAAAGTTTGAAATATTACAAGAGTTACCAAAATGTGACACAGAGACAGGAAGTGAGCACATGCTTTCGGAAAAATAGTGCTGATAGACTTGCTTGACTCAGGGTTGCCACGAATCTTCAATTTGTAAAAATGCAGTATCTGCAATGCACAGTAAATTTAAGTGCAATATAACAAGGTGTACTTGTATACCTAAAATTGTGATTTATAGACAAACAGAAGAACTTTGTCATCACTTCCCATTATTCAGGCAGTATTAACAACAAGAAAGGCATGCACATGTTCTGTCTCCACTGTTGATTTGCCCAAGAAAGACTTTTTCCAGATCTGTAATATAGAGACACATATACCCCAGCCAATCACAAGATATGCTTCACTGTCTCTTCCTTTCTCTCTTCTAAAATGTTTCTATAGAGGAATTCAAGTACAAAGTTGTAATAGGCCTCAAGGAAAAACATGAAACAGGCAAAAATATCACAATAGGCAGAATTACAGGTGAGAAAAGGAGAAAAGTTCATGCAAATTTTCCCTGAATGATGGTGCATTTATGGACTAATTATGGGGAAATGAGCTTTGAATTTTTAAAATAATTCCTTGGGAATGTCTCTCTCTTTCTCTCTCTCTCTCCCCCTGCCTCTTTCTCATTTTAAACCATTATCTGCTGCGTGGGGCTGTCTTTCTAGACAGTAAGTGGGTCTGACAAAAGTGATGTTCATTTAAAACAATTGTGTACAAAATATTAATAGAAGTATTTTGGTTTCAATAAATCTGTTTTTTGGGGAGGGCTTCATTCTTCACATGAATATACTTGGAATTAAAACAATGCACCAATTTTTCTTGCCATACACATTTGGAATGTAGGCAGACCTTCTATTTGTGGGATGGTAGAAATTTAATTTGCAACAAATTTCTTTACCATAGCAGGAAACCGCTATTCACTCTCTGCTTAATGAAGTACAAGTTATCCTCATAATATACATCTATTGTGTATATTATGTGACACATCATGGATCACTCTCACTAGAAATAAATGTGGGGGTAGGTTCCCAATCTGGCGATGGGGGAGTAGCTCCTCTGGGACCAACTTTTCCACAGAAAACAACTTCAAATGCCAGATGAAATAGAAGAAACTACTTGGAGTCACTGGAGAGTAACTACAATCAGAGAGTAAAGGAGAGTCTACACTTGGAAGTAGGAAATGGAATGGGGTGAGTTTCTCCTTTTAAAGTTTTTTGCTCATTACAAGCTTCAGTCAATCCATGTAAGGTGGCTAAAACTGGGATGGAAAACATGAAGAGGGAGAAGAGAGGTTAAATGACCACAGCAGCTGGAAAGTAAGGGAAAAATATTGGAAAGAAGATATATAACAATGGGAATTCCAAATTCTGCATGTAAACCCTGGCTAAATCTCTCACTGACCTCTGAACTATGCATTGAAAAGACCATGCAACAAATGGCTGAGTCACACGCACTGCAAATTCTAGCTGCAGTGCTGAATCAAAATACAATTTTCTAGTTCAGAAACCAAAGAAATGTTGGGAAAATATAGGCTTTTTTTGTCTGTCACACCAAATGGCAACTTCAATTAGCAGTAATGCCACAATTAGCTGCTGAATTGACTGTAGAAGGTTAAACGTCTTTGAGCAATTACCCCACCCCAAGGTCTTTGTGGGCACATTTTATAAAGAGAATGCTAACATCTTGAAAACTAGCGTGGTGGTAAGGACAAGACCTAGATTTACCTATTTAATTTTAATAGTCTGTACTATCAGAGAAGACAGAAATGTATGCACCTGCATGGGAAATCAACACGTGAAACCCCCTGTAGTGATGACTTCAGTGCATCTTTTTGCTTTTTATTCAGGAAGGCCTTTGAAAGCCACTGCAGTACAAAGGTCAGTTATCCAAGCTTCACCCAGTGTGGTTAGAGATTGTCCTGCACTCACTCTCACACTACCTCAGACAGTTATCATCTCTCTAATTTAGTAAAACTTCATAGTTTTATGGATTACTCTACATCAAGGGCCAGATAGTAAATATTTTAGGATTTGTGGGCCACATACTCTCTCTGATGTATATTCTTGTTGGTTTTTATATTTTTTGCACCTCTTTAAAAATGTAAAAAACATCCTTAGCTCAAGGACTTAGCCACTGACTGGATTTGGCCCTCAAGCCATAGTTTGCCACCTCCCCTATTAAATAATTTAAAAAGTGGATGTGTGGGTGAAAAACATACATAGAGTTATGTTTATGATTTAGCACACACATATGCTTTCATACACATATTGGGTACATGAAATTGTTCTGTCTTTCCCATTAGAAAATAAATTCCTCCTGTGCAGATATTTCACTACTACTTTTTACAATTCTCCAAAACAGCAAGAAATGAATTCTACACAGTGGATCTAATAAATACGGGCTGACAGACTATTATGAAGAAAATAGTCTATGTTAAAAGACCATGGCCAGGGAAAATCTCAGTGCTCCTTTTTCCAATAGAAAAAAAGAAAAATGACAATTTTTTTTTCTACTTAACATCTAGGAATACACGATGTTTAAAATGCAAGCAAGTCGATGTGTAACTGGCAATGCTGTTATCATGATCAACAATGATATTATTTTAATGTCTTACATCATAAATCAGTGTTTCCAAAAAGCTTTCTATATGTTATCTCAAATTAGTATTGACATCAGTAATACTGTGCATTTCCACAGATGATAATATTTTCACATTAAAAGAAAAACAACAAACAGATTTCAGAAACTCCAGATTTCCTGATGCCCCCAATCAGCTAGAGTAATAGCTCAAAATCTAGCACACACGAAATCTACTATTAACCACAATAGAGAATTAACAAAACAAAAACTGAAATATATGTTTCTTTTTTCTGTACTGAAGTGTCTAATACTCTAATTTGGTTTCAGAAATGGACTGAAGATTTCAGAGGAGGAAATATATACTGGAATATGAGTCTCACTGTTAACCTTCTATTTTATGAATCTTTTTTTGGTCATATCTTGACTGCAGAATCTGGTTGGGCTTTTCTGCCTCTGGGCTTTATTTATTTATTTATCATCACTGCATTGAAGGGCCGTGTATTCTCATCATACATTTTTTAAAACTACGGCTGAGGCATTTTCACTTTCAGTACTATAATAAACATTTTATTATTGAACTCCAGGATGTTCTCCTTTCCTTTAAAGATACCTAAAGTTATGTATCACTAAGGATAAAAATATATTCTTCCTGGTTCAGAAAGTTTTTATTTACTATAGTTCAAAACGCCAGCATTATGAGATAAGCTATCATACAAGATGTTGATGACAAAACTCAATATGCGTCTATTTCTATCAGTTTGTGTTCCACAAGCTATTATTCACAGTGAGGACACGCAGTTATCATACACTTTCTTTCAAATAACCACCTTATTCCACTCACGGCTTCAAAAGCAATTTTCATGGTGGATAGATGAAAGGGATGAGACACAGTGAAATGGCAACTCTGTCTCATTGTCATTGCCTCTTTATGTTAATTCTTGGTCTTGTTCTGGTGCCAGATTCATCAGTGCATTTTTCTACCCAGTTCTATACTCAACAAGTTCATCTGTCTCTTTGTCCTTCCTTCTCTTCCCAAAGTTTTACAGGAATCATGTTTGCAGTATATATTACCCCTTTAACTAATTCACAACTAGAAGTTTTAAATTACTAAAATTACTTTCTAAAATTAATTCTTTTGTTGTTTGTTTGTTTGGTTGTTTGAGACGGAGTCTTGCTCTGTGGCCCAGGCTGGACTGCAGTGTCGTGATCTCCACTCACTGCAACCTCCACCTTTGGGGTTCAAGCGATTCTCCTGTCTCAGCCTCCCAAGTAGCTGGGATTACAAGGCACCCACCACCACCCCCGGCTAGTTTTTGTATTTTTAGTAGAGATGTGGTTTCGCCATGTTGGCCAGGCTGTTCTCGAACTCCTGACCTTAGGTGATCCACCCGCTCCGGCCTCCCAAAGCGCTGGGATTACAGGCGTGAGCTACCACACCCGACCTATTTCTAAAATTACTTCTAAACACCTGTTCCATGATTTCAAGGTTTTTCATGATTTGGTTTCTTTCTAGCTAATATATTTCTATGCCTAGATTTGGTAAATATTACACAGCTTGTAGGGAAAGTTCATTTCCAGAGTGTGAGTGTCACTATCAGCTGTGATAATGAATACACACTGAGTTCAGAATCTACTAGGAGATTAATAACAAAAAACAAACAAACAAAAGTCTTTTCCCCTGGAGTCACTCATTTAGTACATACCAAGCATACCTCAGATAAACATTCAGGAGGTCATTTTTTTCTCCATTCTCTCTTTTTCTTTCTAAAAGTGGCACAGATTCATCCAAGGAGCTGTATCTTCCGATTCTTCAGATATGAAACATTTTTCTCCACATGATGGGCAACTATCATAGCTTCTTTTTAATTTGTTGTTATGCAAAGTCTCTCTTTATTTTCTCTAACCAGTGAAAGATGAAAAACATCTTGCCACATTTATCTTAAAATAATGTTTCCACCTTGTTGGTATGGTCACTTCACTGATACTCTAAGACTCCAAGTGTACTCTGCATTCGCCAACTTGACTAATTTGTTTTTCTCTCCCAGAACCCCTCTTTTCCTGCATTTACTTCAGTTTTTCAAAATCCCACACTCGCCATGGAATCCTCTGTTCCAGTTATCTATCACTTCAGAACAATCCACTCACAACTTAGTTGCATCAGACAACAAACATTTTTATTATGCTCAATATCTTGAGTCAGGAGTTTGGGCAAGCCCCACCAAGGGATAGATCATTTTTGTTTTGCAATGACTGGAGTCTTAGCTGGGTGGTTCGAATGGCTAGAGATGCCTGGGATGGCTCAATTGAGGTCTTATATGTTAGGTCTCAGCTCTGGCTGCTGGCTGTGTTTCTTTTTCTTCTCCACATCACATCTGCTGGAAACAGAATGTCCAAGATGACTTCTTCATTCACATGTCTGGTGTCTGCACCGGGATGGCTGGAACACTGAGGCTGGCCAAGCATCTCTCCATGTAGCCTCTCTATGTGGCCAGTTTGGACTCCCTAACAACATGGAAGCCTTAGGACACTCAAACTTCCTTCATGGTGGCTAGCTTCCTCCAGAGCATTAAGAGGGTGAAAAGGCAAGCATATAGTAGTAGAATAGTATATTTCTAATACATATAACTGACAAAGGGTCTTATTCTGAATATATTTTGAAAACCACTACAAACGCCTAAGAAAAAGAGTGACAACCCAATAGAAAAATAAGTAAGAGAATTGAATGGCTATTTCACAAAACAAGGTTATATAATGGGCAATAAACATGTGAAAGACCTTCAGCCTCACTAATCATCAGGAGAATAAAATTGAAATGCAATATGATACCACCAGCCACACACCAGAATGGCTAAAATAAGACTGATTATACCAAGTGAAGTTGCATGTTTGCAGAAACAGGCATTCTCATATTCTGCTAGGGGTTAGTTGACCACCAGCACTGTGGAAAATAGTTTGGCATTATCTAGTAAATTAAAAGATGCACATTCCCTATGACCCAAAAATTCAATTCCTTGAAAATAAATAAACCACAGGTCCACACCCCAACATGGATAAATCTCATAGGCATAATGTTAAACACAAAAGAATATATATATATATATATATATATATATATATATATATGATTCTATTTACATAAAATTGAAAAAAAATCTCCACAACTATGCTATAGTGTTTAAGAATTCATGAGTAGATTGAAACATTATAATGAAGTGTAAGGACATAATTACCATACAAGTCAAGATAATGGTTACCTTTGAGGGAAAGAAGGATAGACAGAGAGAGAGAAGATAATGGTGATTCCTGGGGTCCAATCATATTCCATTTCTTGGACGGGGTGGTTGTTATGTGGATGTTTGTTTTATGGTAAATAATTGAGTGGTGCATTTATTTTGTGCATTTTTCAGTATGTATGTTATATTTGATAACTAAAAAGATTTAAAATAGAATTAAATGAATTATACTGCTCTTTTTCTTGTTTTTCTTACATTGTCTTTGTCTGGATGGATGTGGTACTTACTGTTTTGTAATTTTATTGTCTTATGGGTTCAGTTTTCCTGCCCAGTTAATTATAAGAGGTTCCTGTAAGTGGGGAGGGAACAGATAGCATTCTAGTTTAGCTGGTGTTCACTGTGCAGTCACCCTCAGTTGCCATAAAGCTAGGCTGCATCCTGATTCATGATTTTCATGTTTTCATGATTCTCCAGGTAGCCTCCACTCCCTTGCTTCTCTGAACTAACTGAATCTGGCAAGCAGCAGGGCCTAGGGAGCAGGTGGGGAGGAGGCTTGATCTATCACCTGGCTCTCCCTTATTTTGCATTCTATTTTATGTGGAAAAGTAGCTTTTGCCCCTCAGCATGTGTTCCTTACCTTCAATAAGTATGTATATTTTTTGTCTGTGATTTCAGAGACCTTCAGTATATTCAGCCATGTACATACTAGAACATACATCTTACACACAAAAAATAGACCTGTAGTAGATTTTTGTCTTAGCTGTTCTCAGCTGAGGTGTTTGTAATCCTTTTCACAAATCCTTTCCCAGCCACTGAAAACTTAACTGTTTTCTTTGGTTAATTCTTTTTCACAGAGAGAAATATTTAACTTAATAAATTTCCAAATAAAATATACTATACTTAGAACATTTGACTTTTCGAAGAAAAATATGTTATTTAAATCCTGATAATAGTAAAATATGATAGTACAAAAAAGGAAGAAAGCTAAATATTAACATCTTGCTCTGTGTGGAGATTCTCTAGTTGCACCTTATTGCCTGTTTAGTCTAATCTGTTCCTAGGTGTACCCTAAAATAGAAAGAACTTTCAATGTAAATGTCGGACTGGTGGACCATACCATCCCTTCGATTAGGAGACTCCAGGGTATAATGAGAAGAAGCTATTAGAGATGACTATTTCCACATCGCAATATTTTTCAGAACCAATGCTCTGTGAAAGAACAAACACCTACATGCTGGTATGAGTGGTAGTTTCTTAACAACGAAGCTGCGATGCTTCCACAAATGGCTTCAGCAAATGGTTTCTTTTGAACTTGTCTGTTTGAACTTTAACCAGTTCTACTACGCTAGGTAAATGAGATGTGGTTTTGCCCCTCCTGTTATATGAAGTTGGCTCAGATATGAGACTACAGACTTGAAAGTATGGGCTCTGAAATTAGAGCAACTTGGCTTAAATCTCAAGTCAGCCATTTGCTAGCTGTGTGATACATGGTAAGTTACTTTACCTCTGAACCTGTTTCCTCAACTATAAACTGGAGAAAAAAATACCTATAGTATGGACTGTTGAAAGTTTTTAAAGTAACAATACATGTATGCATATCTTTTAGTGTGATGTCTCACACATAGTATATGCTCAACAAATATTAACTATTGCTCTGTTTCCCGGTATGGTTATTATTATAAAATATTGAATTACTGTAATAGTCAGGCCAATATAACATAGTGAGACTAAAAAGTTATAGCAACTGAAGCCAACCTGGGTTGCTAGGCTAGAAGAAGGTCAACCACTATGAAGACTCTGAAATTGTACCATATTTGCAAGCTACCAACGTAGTTTGCCACAGTTTCGTGGACATTTGAAGAAGAAGTGAGACTCCTGAATCAGAGACAAAGGACTTTATTACTCACAGCACAGCACGCAGCATGAGCATCTTGTTTGTACTGAGTCCAGATGAATACTACACATGCAGTGGCTTTGTGTCATAATCAAAGAACTTTGTGCTTAGCAAATCTCAGGCTTTTAAAGAGGGTTGCTAGCAAACTTGCTCAACCTTCGTTCTGGAGGGAGACATTATCTTTATTACTCTTAATAGCAAATAGATATTCCTTATTTCCCAGAAGGAGACACCATCTCTATTGTCCAAGACTGTTTGCTATACAAACATCTTTGAAATGAGAGCACAGAATAAAAGGTGTCAATGCCTTTTATTGTGCATTTCATTTCATTTGGAAGATGTACAGAAATGTGAGAGAAACATAAATCACCTCCCCAGAAAAGAGAAACACAGGGTTTGGGGAGGAAATAAGTTAAGAAGAGAGGATTAAGAGAATAGTGCAAAACAAAATTTCTTTTCTCGTTTTAACTTTATATTGCTGTATAATATACACACGAGAAAGTGCAAGTATCATAATTATGTAGTTCAATCAACTTATAAAACTGAGCATAATCCTGTAAAGAGTTTCCAGGTCAACAAACAGCTCCCAGAAGACTTCCTTGTGCTTTCTTCCAGTCACTAACCACCCCCCGAGGGTAATGACCACTGAAGGGTGACCCCTAACAATGGATTAGTTTTGCCTGTTTTTTAACTTTAAATGAAACCATAGAATATGTACTTTTGTGGCTGGTTTTCTTTGTGATCGATTTCTTTTACTCAAAATTGTTTATGAGATTTATCCATGCTAACACGTGTATTTTTTGATTGTTCATTTTAATTGCTGTGTAATATTCCCTTATATGACAACATTACAAGTTACCCATTCTGCTGTTGATAGGCAATTGGATGTTTTAGCTTTGAATTGCTACTAATATTGCTTCTATAAAGTTTCTAATACATGTGTTTTGGTGAATATATATTTATGTTTCTGTTGTGTATTGCTACGGTCTGAATGTTTGTATCCCCCTAAAATTCATATGTTGACAACCTAACTCTCAAGGTGATGGTTTGGGAGGTGGGGCATTTGAGAGGTGATTACTTCCATTATATAACAGGCCTGAGAAAGATCACTTGCCCCTTCCACCATGTGATGTCACAGCAAGAAGGTGCCATCTATGAACCAGAACATGGGCCCTCAGCAGACACCAAATCTGCTGTCTCCTTGATCTTGAAATTCACAGCCTCCAGACCTGTGAGAAATAAAGTTCTGTGATTTTATATAAGCTACCCATTTTATGGTGCTTTATTGTAGCAGCCCAAATGGACTGAGACAAACTTGTATCTACAAGTAGAAATGCTGGGTTTGAAAAACAGTTTTGAAAGGGCTAAAATATGCTAATGCCAAATCTCACTTTAAAATAATAATTTCTCACGCTCACTTCGGCAGCACATATACTAAAATAATAATTTCTCCCGGTTCTTTATTATTAGCCTCCAAAGAGTATACCTGCAGCAGCTTTAAACAACATGCCACTCTACGGTCACAATTAAAATAATGGAGTTTTTAGAGCCAGCTAAATTAGACATTCTCATCAGCCTACACATGAAGTTTTAATTAAAACACATTCGCATTAGGACTACATCATTTCAGTGCTGCTATTCACTTTTTCTGCAAAACAAGCTAGTAGGCAAAGATAGACTTGAGGTATTTGCAACATACATACCCAAAAGTAGAATAGACAAAACAGAAATGAAAGCTAATGTAGAAAGAAAATACCTGTGACAGAAAGTCCCAGTCATGCTAGAAGAAAAACTTAAAAAGAAATTGGTATGAATATAATCCATATATTTGGAAAACTCAATTGGCTATGTAAGCAAATAAATGGTGTGAGAAGAGTCAGTTTACTGGTTAGATTCACTGAACCAGGGGAGAATATCAAGTAAAAGTATTAATCCACAGAAGCAATTCCCAAAAATAAGATTCCATCTGCCAGAATATAGAAACATCAGGAAGTGTAAGAGTTGTAGCCAAACCTAGCACTGCACAGAGATATGAAAGGCAAATGAGAAAACCGTAAAAGGTAGAAACCAGGCCAGGTCTCTAAGGAGATCTTTTCAAAAAAACTGAAACCACACACATTACTTTATAGGACAAATTTAAGAAACTAGACTCTGAGGCATGAAAGTAATGCTGCTTGCAAAAGGTACTGAAGAATTCTAAGAAGGCATTCTGCAGTTATACTAGTTATGAGGGGAATCAGGTCTCCCTTCCCCCCAAAAAGATAATAAAAGGAAGCTGATAAATGATCATTTAATGTCTACAGCAAATGGAAATGATCATTTTATATCCAGAACAAATGAATCATATTGATGGAATTGACTAGGGAATCCAATAAAACTATCTGTTTAGCTTTTTTTTTTAAGTTTTAATATTTTTTTGCTGCCTCACTATATTTTTTTTTGTTTCTCTTTTGAAAAGACTTAGACGTGATTCATAATAAGAAATACATATAATCAAGTGAGTGTCCATCAGTGGTAGATTGGATAAAGGAAATGTGCTACATATACACCATGGAATACCATCCAGCTATAAAAAAGAACAAAATTGGGCTGGGCGCGGTGGCTCACGCCTGTAATCCCAGCACTTTGGGAGGCCAAGGTGGGAGGATCACGTGGTCAAGAGTTCGAGACCAGGCTGGCCAACATGGTGAAACCCCGTCTCTACTAAGAATACAAAAATCAGCAGGGCACGGTGGCGCACGCCTGTAATCCCAGCTAATCGGGAGGCTGAGGCGGGAGAATTGCTTGAACCCAGGAGGTGGAGGTTGCAGTGAGCCGAGATCGTGCCACTGCACTCCAGCCTGGGTGACAGAGCAAGACTCCATCTCGGGGCGGGGAGCGAGGGAAGAACAAAATTATGTCCTTTGCGGCAACATGGATGTAGCTGGAGGCCATTGTCCTAAGCAAATTAATGCAGGAACAGAAAATCAAACGCTGCATGTTCTCACTTATAAGTGGGAGCTAAATGTTGAGTACACATGGGCATAAAGATAGGAGCAATAAACACTGGGGAATACTAAGAGGAGGGTGGAAGGGGGCAAGGGTTGAAAAACTGCTTATCAGATACTATGCTCACTACCTTGGTGACAGAATCATTCATACACCAAACCTCAGCAACACACAATTTACCCATGTGACAAATCTGTACACAAACTTCCTAAAGCTATAATAAAAGTTTGGGGAAAAAAAGAAAAATACTTAGGGAAGAAAATTTCAAAGAATAATGAAAAATAATAATTTCAGCAGAATGAATTTTAGTTTGTTACAAGAAGGCCCTTCTTTGATGGGGAAAGTTCGTTTTAGCTTATACATGGGCTGGTATAGAAGAGGGCAGAGGCATGGCACATGACCATTCTCTTGGCATCATATGAAAAATTGTTGCATTAGGGAATGGGGAGTTCTTCAGCGTAGAGTCAGTGAGAACTCAAAGAATCATAGACTTTTTAAAAACATTTTAATATTTGCCACTGCTTTAGAGCAAATCTGTATTACTTCTGGCAATACAGCAGTGTCAGCATCACCTGAGAATTAGAGAGAAATGCAAATTACTGGTTGGAGTCCAGCAGTCATAATTTTAACAAGATCTTGAAGTGATTTTGATTCATACGGTTTGAGAATCAATGTTCTAAAGCATTCAAAAAATTCTGGGGAATAAAAGTAAAAATGAAAGCCTCTGTTCAGCAATAGCCTTTTTTTCTGGAGGTAACCTTGTTACGTGATTTGGAATAATACTTCATAAGGCTTTTCTAGGCTTTACAAACATACGCATTTAAAGCAGGTTTAAATATAAATATATTATAACTAGATATATTAGCAGATCTTTTTTGTTATTGGTATCTCTAGTTCGTCCCACCCTTCCTTCAATTCTGCTAGATATATTATCTTCTAAATGGTAAGATTCTTTAAGAAGAAGAATCAGTTTTGTCCTTTGCATTTTGGAAGCCTAATTCTAGAATGAAATAGAGAAGATGATAACTCAGAGAAAAGCTTTGACTCAAGTCTAGATGAGACTCTTTGGGCTGAGGGAAGAGCAGATCCAGAGGGAAGGTAATGAGAGCTTACAGGCTGTTGAGTCCTGAGAAGAGGTTCTGAGCTCCCTGCTCCTGCCCCTTCTCTGACTCAAAGCCCTGACTCAGGTAGAGTAGTGCATAGAAACCCCTGTAGGTTTGGAGAGCTGAGAGCTAGAAGGCCTGCAAGAACATAAAAGCTGTGTCCATTTTGTGTCGATCCAATATGTTTGAGACAGTCTCACAGGACTTTCCACACCATTTTGTGGTGTCATTATGATGGAATAGGCACGTTTCTGAGTTTGATACGGAAGCTAATTGTCCCAGACCCTAAAGTAGTATAGGTTCTCAGAATGTTTCCCATGTTTATGAAAGTGGCAGAGACATTGTACAGAGAGTAAGCAGATGCAAAGAGACATTGTATTCAAACATGAGGCAGGATAAACAGACCTAAGTGGCCTGGAACATATCAACAAGCACAGGAAAGTGTGTAGTGAGGTGGATATCATATATTACAATGATGCTCTATGCAACTTGATATGGAGGCTCACCACTGAAATAATATCAATTATTTATTTATTTGTTTAAGGAGCCTCGCTCCGTCACCCAGGCTGGAGTGCAATGGCACCATCTCGGCTCGCTGCAATCTCCGCCTCCAGGGTTCAAGAGATTCTCCCTGCCTCAGCCTCCCAAGTAGCTGGGATTAAAAGCACCTGAAACCACGCCTGGCTAATTTTTGTATTTTTAGTAGAGACAAGGTTTCGCCATGTTGGCCAAGCTGGTCTTCAACTCCTGATCTCAGGTGATCTGCCCGACTTAGCCCCTCAAAGTGCTGGGATTACAGGTGTGAGCCACCACGCCTGGCCTAATATCAATTATTGAACAAAGAAAATTATTCAGTCCTGAATTTGGGGACTGAAATTACCAGTCATGACATAAAAAAGTAAGCATAAGGGTTTTAAGAAATACAAATGGAACAATAAAAGGTATACTATAGTAATAAGAATAGCTAACAATATTTAGAGGGTTTTTACTACATGGCAGACACTTACTAAGCAACTATTACATGGTGATTTTTTCCACCTTATGCTCACCACCTATGAAGGAGGTCTTATTTTAATCACCATTTCATGAACGATGAAGTTGGTTTGAAAGGTTGAGCAACTTGTAAAAGCTTACTCAGTTAGTGAGTGGTGGACCACACACTTCCCATATTGTTCCGCTGCTTGCTTTGGTCAATTAGAATTTTTTTCATAGAAGTCTTTCCACATTACTACGCATAAGTATATATTCAATACTGCAATAGGCTCACGAGTAAAAATGAAAAATTCAGTCCACTCATAATTTCACTCCTTATCCAATCCCTATCAAAGCTATAGTAAAAGAATCTTTGAAAACACTGACAGATGGGTTTCATGCACGTCCGTGTGAAGAGACCACCAAACAGGCTTTGTGTGAGCAACAAGGCTGTTTATTTCACCTGGGTGCAGGTGGGCTGAGTCCGAAAAGAGAGTCAGTGAAGGGAGATAGGGGTGGGGCTGTTTTACAGGATTTGGGTAGATAAAGGAAAATTACAGTCAAAGGGGTTGTTATCTGGCAGGCAGGAGTGGGGGTCACAAGGTGCTCAGTAGGGGAGCTTTTGATCCAGGATGAGCCAGGAGAAGGAATTTCACAAGAGAATGTCATCAGTTAAGGCAGGAACAGGCCATTTTCACTTCTTTTGTGGTGGAATGTCATCAGTTAAGGCAGGAACCAGCCATCTGGATGTGTATGTGCAGGTCACAGGGGATATGATGGCTTAGCTTGGGCTCAGAGGCCTGACATTCCTGTCTTCTTATATTAATGAGAAAAATAAAAAGAAATAGTGGTAAAGTGTTGGGGCGGCGAAAATTTTTGGGGGTGGTATGGAGAGAGAATGGGCGATGTTTCTCAAGGCTGCTTCAAGCGGGATTAGGGGAGGCGTGGGAACCTAGAGTGGGAGAGATTAAGCTGAAGGAAGATTTTGTGGTAAGGGGTGATATTGTGGGGTTGTTAGAAGAAACATTTGTTGTGTAGAATTATTGGTGATGGCCTGGATACAGTTTTGTATGAATTGAAAAACTAAACAGAACAAGAGAAGGAGAAAAACAGGTATTAAAGGACTAAGAATTGGGAGGACCTAGGACATCTAATTAGAGAGTGCCTAAGGAGGTTCAGCATAGCCTTGCCAGCAAAGATTATTTATTCACTTTAAGAGTGGCGGTTTGGGGATAGCACCAGGAGATATCAGCTGTGATAGATTGGAGAAACAGTGTAAACTGGCAGTGTAAACAAGAGCAGGGCATTTATGAGTAGTTGAAACTGGTGAATAGGAGTATGACTAGACAGAAAATAGTAGAGATGACAAGATTTTGGGGGCACAGTCTAAGTTGGTCTGGTGTCTGGGATGAGACTGGGGCCTAATAAAAAGGAGCGTCTATACGGGAGCTCAAATGGGCTGTACCTTCTAGCATTCTGAGGTCAGGCCTGAATTCTGAGAAGGGAAAGTGGTAAAAGTATCGTCCATTCCTTTTTAAGTTGGTGGCTGAGCTTGGTGAGGTGTGTTTTTAAAAGACCATTAGTCTGTTCTACTTTTCCTGAAAACTGAGGACTGTAAGGGATATAAACGTTTCACTGAATACCAAGAGCCTGAAAAACTGCTTGGCTGATTTGACTAATAAAGGCTGGTCTGTTATCAGACTGGATAGAGGTGGGAAGGCTGAACAGAGGAATTATGTCTGACAGAAGGGAAGAAATGACTGTGGTGGCCTCCTCAGACCCTGTAGGAAAGGCCTCTACCCATCCAGTGAAAATGTCTACTTAGACTAAGAGGTATTTTAGTTATCTGACTCGGGGCATGTTGAGTAAAGCCAATCTGCCAGTCCTGGATGGGGGCAAATCTCCGAGCTTGATGTGTAGGGAAGGAAGGGGGCCTGAATAATCCCTGAGGAGTAGTAGAATAGCAGATGGAACACTGAGAAGTTATTTCCTTGAGGATAGATTTCCACCATGGAAAGGAAATGAGAGGTTCTAAGAGGTGGGCTAGTGGCTTGTACTATAGCATAGCCTGCCTTTGCTGGTGTGTGGCGATTAGGCCTGGTGGAACTGCCATCAATAAACCAAGTGTGATCAGGGTGAGAAACAGGGAAGAAGGAAATATGGGGAAATGGGGTGAATGTCAGGTGGATCAGAGAGATAGAGTCATGGGGGTCAGGTGTGGTATCAGGAATAATGTGGGAGGCTGGATTGAAGTCCGGGCCAGGAACGATGGTAATTGTGGGAGACTTAACAAAGAGTGAGTACAGCTGAAGGAGCCGGGGAGCAGAAAGTATGTGTCAGGTGTGAGGAAGAAAATAGATTTTGGAAGTTATGAGAACTGCAGAGAGTGAGTTGAGCATAGTTTGTGATTTTAAGGGCCTCTAAAAGTATTAGGGCAGCGGCGGCCGCTGCACGCAGACTTGAGGGCTGGGCAAAACAGTAAGGTCAAGTTGTTTGGATAAAAAGGCTACAGGACATGATCCCGGTCCTTATGTAAGAATCCTGACTGCACAGCCCTGCACTTCAGCTGTGTGTAATGAAAAGGGTTGGGATAAATCAGGGAGAGCTAGGGTGGGGGCAGCCTCTAAAGCTGTCTTCAAGGAATGGAAAGAGGAGTGGGGAAAGGATTTAGGATCTATGGGGTCAGCTAGGTTTCTTTTTGTGAGTTTATATAATGGTTTTGTTAGGATGGCAAAACCAGCTATCTAAAGTCGAAAGTATCCAACCATGCCTAGGAAGGAAAGGAGTTGTTGTTTTGTAGTTCTCGGGGTTTGAGAGATCAGCTGAACATGATCAGCAGGGAGAGCACGTGTGTTTTTATGAGAATTACGCTGAGATAGGTAACAGATGAGGAAGAAATTTGGGCTTGACTGAAGTAATGGGGGCTGTCTGTGAAGACTTGAGGCAGTACAGCCCAGGTAATTTGCTGAGCCTGATGGGTGTCAGGGTCAGTCCAAGTGAAAGCGAAGACAGGCTGGGATGAAGGGTGCAAAGGAATAGTAAAGAAAGCATGTTTGAGATCCAGAACAGAATAATGGGTTGTGGAGGGAGGTATTGAGGATAGGAGAGTGTATGGGTTCGGCACCACGGGGTGGATAGGCAAAACAATTTGGTTGATAAGGCGCAGATCCTGAACTAACCTGTAAGGCTTGTCTGGTTCTAGGACAGGTAAAATGGGGGAATTGTAAGGAGAGTTTATAGGCTTTAAAAGGCCATGCTGTAGCAGGCGAGTGATAACAGGCTTTAATCCTTTTAAAGCGTGCTGTGGGATGGGATATTGGCATTGAGCGGGGTAAGGGTGATTAGGTTTTAATGAGATGGTAAGGGGTGCATGATCGGTCACCAAGGAGGGAGTAGAGGTATCCTATACTTGTGGGTTAAGGTGGGGGGATACAAGAGGAGGACACAAAGGAGGCTTTGGATTGGGAAGAAGGGCAGCAATGAGATGTAGCTATAGTCCAGGAATAGTCAGGGAAGCAGATCATTTAGTTAAAGTGTCTCGGCCTAATAAGGGAACTGGGCAGGTGGGGATAACTAAAAAGGAGTGCTTAAAAGAGTATTGTCTAAGTTGGCACCAGAGTTGGGGAGTTTTAAGAGGTTTAGAAGCCTGGCCGTCAATACCCACAACAGTTATGGAGGCAAGGGAAACAGGCCCTTGAAAAGAAGGTAACGTGGAGTGGGTAGCCTCCGTATTGATTAAGAAGGGGACGGACTTATCTTCCACTGTGAGAGTTACCTAAAGCTCGGTGTCCATCATGGTCTACGGGGCTTCTGAGGCGATCGGGCAGCATCAGTCTTCAGCCGCTAAGCCAAGAAGATCTGGGAAGGAGTCAGTCAGAGAGCCTTGGGCCAGAGTTCCAGGGGCTCTGGGAGTGGCTGCCAGGTGAGTTGAACAGTCCGATTTTCAGTGGGGTCCCACACAGATGGGACGCGGCTTAGGAGGAATCCTGGGCTGTGGACATTCCTTGGCCTGGTGGCCAGATTTCTGGCACTTGTAGCAAGCTCCTAGGGGAGGCAGGCCTGGAGGAATGCCTGGCCACTGTGGTTGAGGCATTTGGAAGTTCTTGTGTGCTGGAGATGTGGCTGGGGTTTGTCTCACGGTGGAGGCAAGGAATTGCAACTCAGAAATATGTTGCTACTTGGCTGCCTCTACTCTATTGTTGTACACCTTGAAGGCAAGGTTAATTAAGTCCTGTTGTGGGGTTTGAGGGCCGGAATTTAATTTTTGGAGTTTTATTAAATGTCGGGAGCAGATTGGGTAATAAAATGTATATTGAGAATAAGACGGCCTTTTGACCTTTTAGGATCTAGGGCTGTAAAGCATCTCAGGGTTGCTGCCATGAACTGGGCTGGGTTTTTATATTTGATGAGAAAGAGTCTAAATGCTATCTGATTTGGGATAAAGAAAAAGGAGCATTAACTTTGACTACGCCTTTAGCTCCAGCCACCTTTTTAAGAGTAAATTGCTGGGCAGGTGGGGGAGGGCTAGTCACAGAACAAAACTGTAAGCTGGACCGGGTGTGAGGAAGGGAGGTGATAAAATGATTATAGGGTGGAGGAGCGGAGGCTGAGGAAGAAGTGGGACCTAGCTCAGCCTGGCGAGGAGGGGAGAGGTCAGATGGGTCTGTAGAAAAGGAAGATTAGAAAGACTCAGCGACGCTTGGGGTTGGGACTGAGGGGACAGGCAGGAGGGAAAGAAGGAAGATTTGGGACGAGTTGTATTGGGAACAGAGACTAGGGAGGGACCGATGTGTAAAAGAATGCCTGGACGTCAGGCATTTCAGACCGTTTGCCCATTTTACGACAAGAATTATTTAGACCTTGTAGGATGGAATAATTGAAAGTGCCATTTTCTGGCTATTTGGAACCACTGTTGAGTTTGTATTGGGGTCAAGCAGCATTGCAGAAAAAAATAAGGCATTTAGGTTTCAGGTCAGGTGTGAGGTGAAGAGGTTTTAGGTTTTTAAGAACACAGGCTAAGGGAGAAGAAGGGGGAATGGAGGGTGGAAGGTTGCCCATAGTAAAGGAGGCAAGTTTAAAGAGAAGGATAGAGACACAGAGAAGGTGGTGGGGAGCAGCCCTGGGCTGCAACGTGGTTGAGCAGCCAAAGCAGGCGTCCCCGCAATTGACTTGCCACCAAGGGAACGTGGGTGAATGATCAAGGCAGGCGTCTCCGTGGAGATCAGACACCAGTGGAACGTGGGTGAATAATCAGAGAGGTGTCCCCACAATGATTAAACACCAAGGGAAGGCTGCCTTCCTGAGTCTGTGACTGGCGCCGGAGTTTTGGGTCCACGGAAAAAATGTGTCTCTTTTGTCTCTACCAGAAAATGAAAGGAATTGAAAATAAGAGATGGGAGAGATGGAAGTGTGGTGCCAAGATTGAAAGGAGAAAGAGGTTGAGGGATAGTGAGAGAGGGTGGAGAAGAGAGTAAAAAGAGGCCGCTTACTGGATTTGAAATTGGTGAGATGTTCCTTGGGCTGGTCGGTCTGAGGACCTGAGGTCATAGGTGGATCTTTCTCATGGAGCAAAGAGCAGGAGGACAGGGGATTGATCTCCCAAGGGAGGTCCCCTGATCTGAGTGACGGCACCAAATTTCATGCGCGACCATGTGAAGAGACCACCAAACAGGCTTTGTGTGAGCAACAAGGCTGTTTATTTCACCTGGGTGCAGGCGGGCTGAGTCCGAAAAGAGAGTCAGTGAAGGGAGATAGGGGTGGGGCCGTTTTATAGGATTTGGGTAGGTAAAGGAAAATTACAGTCAAAGGGGTTGTTCTCTGGCGGGCAGGGGTGGGGGTCACAAGGTGCTCAGTAAGGGAGCTTTTGACCCAGGAGAAGGAATTTCACAAGATAATGTCATCAGTTAAGGCAGGAACAGGCCATTTTCACTTCTTTTTTGGAGGAATGTCATCAGTTAAGGCAGTAACCGGCCATCTGGATGTGTATGTGCAGGTCACAGGGGATACGATGGCTTAGCTTGGGCTCAGAAGCCTGACAATGGGGAAAACATGATAACAGCAACACAATTTTGGAAGCTAGTATGAAATGAAAATAAATCTTAGGACCCCAGAATCATTAAGCCAAGATAGAAGTCATCTGGGAACTATGTTCAGGCAAATCTGCTCCCCATTTTATTCCTAAGTAAGATAGCTACAAAGATAAGAAGTTACATACCTCCCTCACAATTTGCCCACAGGAAATTCCTTGTGGACAAAGGACAGACAGGACTCAAAGTCATCCCTCTGAGGCTCACCAGAGACAAAGGCATATCTGATTGCTTCCTCTGCCCTGTTGTTTATGGTAAATGTAGATTCACTGAGCCAGACTAAATTGTGTATTCAATAGAAGGCTGATCAAGGAATCAAAAGAATGCCACCTTTTGTCTCTTATCTACTTCTAACCTGGAAACTCCCACTTCAAGTTGTCCCACCCTACCAGACGGAACCAGTGTACATCTTACACATATTGATTGGTGTGTCATATCTCCCTAAAATGTATACAAGCAAACTGTATGCCCAACCACCTTGGACACATGTCGTCAGGATTTCCTGAGGCTGTGTCATGGGCATGTCCTAAACCTTGGCAAAATAAACTTTCTAAACTGACTGAGGCCCATCTCAGACATTTTGGGTTAACACTAGAAAGCAGATGGTTAAGTGTAATCTGATTTAGTAAATCATAGATAGCCAAATTCTAAGATATCAGTGGACACACTAAGAACTAAAGCTATGTACATTACAGGCTCTCTAAATAGCTCCCAACTGATAGTCCCAGGCACCCCTGATCTGGGGCTGAAGGAAATGCTAAACTAAACAGGAATGGATAAAAGTTGTTTGAGATGCAGTTAGAGTCCAAAGTATTCTTCCCCACCCCATAAAATTATGAAGTTGTATTTTACAGAGAGAGTAAAAAAAATGGTATCTGGATAAGGAGAATATCATATATTGGTGAGAAAATGGGAAGATTAAGAAATTGTATCCATTTATTCATTCAACAAACATTTAGTGAATGCTTTCTACATTCCAGGCACCATTTTAGGTAACAATCTTGTGGAGATTATTAGGAGGAAGAAACGGAAATAAATAAATGGTACACACAATATATAAGTCAATACATAGTGTGTTCCATGGTGATAAGTGCTATAGAGAAAAAAATATGAAGTAGGATAAAGAGGATTAGGGCATGCTGGAGAAGGTGGCAGGTGATCAAGATTAGTTGCATTCAGAAGGTGCAAATTTGAGCAAATTTGCATTTGAGCAAAACTTGAAGGAGGTAAGGGAGTTAGCCACATAGACGTTTGTGGGAAAAGCATTCCAGGCATAGGAAAGAGAGTCAGTGCAAAGGTCTTAACAGGGAGCACGTCTGATGATCTCAAGGGCCAGCAGAGGCCAGTGGAGCTGGAGCAGGATGGCTAAGGAGGGTAGAGAAAGAAATAAGGCCACAGAGGCAATAGGAGACTAGACTGTAGGGGAGATAAAACCTTCTCTCAACCCTCTGAAGTTTCAATAATTGAGTCTATGAAATAAAATGATAATAGGCAGATTATAAGAGAAAAAACATTTTAATTACATCACATGCATATGCACAGAAGTCCCACAAAGTATGATAGTTGAAGAAGGGCCAGATGATTCAAGTTTTTACAACATTGGAATAGGGGCTTGGGGCTTCTGGAAGGACGTGACAACAAGCTATGGGAGGGTGGGGGAAGGAAATGTATGGTGAGCAAAATTTGTCTTGTTATGAAAATGAAGTTTATCTCAGGTAATAACAGTTGTCTCAAGGAGGAACTGTGAGAAGAATAAGTGCTAGCCTATGGCAAAGTCTGAAAGAGGTGTCCCCTTTCCTGTGAGTTAATCTTCCTTGTTTGTTGAGATTCCAGAAAGGGAACAAATGAATTTTTTTCAGATAAGGGAAGCCCAGAAAAGGCCTCTCCCTACATCTGCTCTTTCTCAAGTTCTCTCAGCATACAAAAGTAGCATATTTTGGGGTGATGTTTCTTGGACTTCTTCAAGACCATATGACTTGATGGCAAATCCACCTTCCTAGTATTTCATGCCCTAAACATTGAAGTCACCCTTGACTCCTTTCTTTCTCATACCCAGTGTCCAAAATTCCAGGAAATCCTATTGGATTTCCTACAATCAAAATATATTCAGAGTCTGACCAATTCTCACCATCTCTGTTGCTACCACTGTGATAGCATCTCTCACTTGGATTGTTGGAAGAATCCTCTAGTGGGCATTGTTGTTTCTACTTTTGCCTACTATAGTCCATTCTCACTTATGGTGCAACCAGAGAGATTCTTCAAAAACAGAAATCAGATCATGTCACTGCTCTGTTCAAAATATTGCAATGGCTATGTTATTCAAAACACTGCAAGGGAATCAGTGTAAAAACCAAAGTACTGCATGATCTGTCCTCTTGTCTTAGTCCATTTTCTCTTGCTATAACAAAATACCAAAGACAGGGTAATTTTTGAAGAAAAGAGGTTTATTAGGCTCATGGTTCGGGATGCTGCGAAGTTCAAGAGCATGACACTGCATCTGGTGAGGGTCATCCTATGGCAAAAGGGCAGAAGGTGAAAGCAAGCATATGAGACAGAGAGGGAAGTGTGCCAAGATTACCCTTTTTATCAGAAACCCACTCCTGGATAAATAACCTATTCTCATCACAATAGTATTAATTTATTTATAAGGGCAGAGGCCTCACAGACCAATCATCTTTTAAAGGCCCCATCTTCCACAACTGAATTTCAACACATGAACTTTTAGAGGACATATTCAAGCCATAGTACCATCCCATTGCACACTTGCCTTGTTTTTGAACCTCCTTTCCTATCATTCATCTAGTTGCTCACTCTGTTCCTGCCACATCAGTCTTTTCTATGTTCCTCAAGTACCACATGCTTTCTTCGTATATCTTTGGTTCTGCGTGGAATTCCCTCAAACCACATCTCTATACCCAATGCCTCACCTCCTTCAAGTCTATGGTCAAAATGGCATATCCTAATGAAGCCCACTTTATTGCCACCACCACTTCATACTCCTGAAGTCTCTTTATCCTGCTGTATTTTTCCCTTCTCCTTGTATTTTTCACTTGTTTGTTATTTTTATTTTTAATTGTCTGTCTATCCCTTAATTGTAAGTTCTAGGACAGTATAGATTTTAATCTGGTTTTGTTCAGTGATATATCCCGAGCACATAGCACATTGTCTAACAAATAGAAAAGATGTGGCAAATATTTTTTAGGTGGATAAAGAAAAGTACGACAGTGATTACTACATAGTCGGGTTACTCTTCAATCCTAAAAAGCACAAAAACTCAATCTATGCTCTATCTGTGGCATTGGTAATATTCTAATTCCTAACTTGAGTGGCAGGTGAGTGTTCAGTGTATTTTTTTATTCTTTAAGCTGTGTTTCTGTGCTTTTTTCTCTCCTGTGTATGTACACTAGAGTAGAAGCTCCAAGAGCAAGTACTTTTATTTTAATTTTAAAATTTATTTTGCAGAGGGTTTATTTTGTTGACTGCTGCATCTCCAGGGCCTAGGCACATGGTAGTTATTCACTTCTATAATGATAATAAATTGTACATTTCACAAGTTAAGATTTTTGAATCAAATAAACATATTATTGTGAATATTCATATAAATTATTTTTCATGAATAATACTGAGATTCCACACATTTTGTGTATAATTTATTCAAAGCTTATGCTCAATTGTACAGAGTTGGTTATTTTTTGCTTGGTTATTGTAAAAGGGTTTCTTTTTAATGTTATAGAAATTAATTCTGGATCTTGGGTTGCAAATTGTTTTTTAAAGTCTGTTGTCGGCCGGGCACGGTGGCTCAGGCCTGTAATCCCAGCACTTTGGGAGGCTGAGGTGGGTGGATCACCTGAGGTTGGGAGTTCGAGACCAGCCTGACCAACATGGAGAATCCCCGTCTCTACTAAAAATACAAATATTAGCTGGGCGTGGTGGCACATGCCTGTAATCCCAGCTACTCGGGAGGCTGAGGCAGGAGAATTGCTTGAACCCGGGAGGCAGAGGTTGTGGTGAGCCGAGATTGTGCCATTGCACTCCAGCCTGGGCAACAAGAGTGAAACTCTGTCTCAAAAAAATAAATAAATAAATAAATAAAGTCTATTGTCTGTCTTTACTTTTGTTCCTTTTACTGTTTTGCTAATGTTTTACATTTTTATATGGTTCTATCTATAAATCTTTGATTTTTATTTATTTATTTATTTTTTGAGATGGAGTCTTGCTCTGTTGCCCAGGCTGGAGTGCAGTGGCACGATCTCTGCTCACTGCAACCTCTGTCTCCCGGGTTCAAGCAATTCTCCTGCCTCAGCTTCCCAAGTAGCTGGGACTACAGGCACCCACCAACACGCCTGGCTAATTTTTGTATTTTTAGTAGAGACGGGGTTTCACCATGTTGGCCAGGATGGTCTCCATCCATCTCTTGACCTTGTGATCTGCCCGCCTCGGCCTCCCAAAGTGCTGGGATTACAGGCATGAGCCACCACGCCCAGCTTATAAATCATTTTAATATTTTGTATCTTTTTAGAGAAAGATGGTCTGAGATTCAGATATGAACCCTCCTGTTTTTTTGTTATAGGCTTATACAGGCTTACACATGTACTGCTTGTGCATGTGTGTGCATTTGTGTTTATACTTAAACCCTCTGTAATTTCCTTATGGGATGGTGGGAAGTAAAAATCTGATTTTTGTTTCCAAATGGATAACTCTCATAACATTTTATAGGTCAACTTTTTTGCAATGATTAAAAAGCTATGTTTATCACATACGAAAAGACCATGCTTTAGGATTGCACCACATTGTTTCAACACTGTAGTTGTAGAAGAACATTTTAGATCTGGTAAGGTAAATTCCTCCCTCATTTTTACTATTGGCTATTATCCTTTTACCTATTCAAAAAGTCATGAACTTCAACTTGTCATGCATTATTAAGCATCTTATTAAGATTTTGTGTGGTATTGAATTCATGAGTTAAGTTGATATCGTTTTAATATTCACTCTTAAATTCATGATCATAGTATGACTCTTATTTAGATCTTATTTTATGTCCTTCAGAATATTTGGCAAAAACATATCTCACATATTTCTTGCAAATCTTCTTAGGATATTAAAAAATAGTTGTTGCTATTGTGAGTGGGGGATTCTTTCTATGGCATTTTTGTTGTTTTTCATTTAAGAAATATGTATTGATAGGTGATGTGGGTTCAATGCATTTTTTAAAGTGGTTATTTCTATTGCATAGCAAATCTTTAAAGATTCAGGCATTGTGGTTGTATATTTGGTCACCTTTATAGGTTTCCTAATTAGTTTTACAGTTTTCTGGTTGGTTCTCTTGGATACTTATTGTCTGTAAATTGTCATCATTTTTCTGTTCCTCTTTAATATTTTTAGCTCTTCTTACATTTTAATGCCTATTACATTGACTAGGTTTCCTAGAACAATATTGTGATGTTAATGAGCATTCTTCCCTTATTTTTACCTATAATGAGAATGTTCAAGTTTCCATGTTAACTATGTTTACTACAGGTGTCTGGTGGTATTTTTTTTCTCAAGTTAAGAAAGTTACATTTTGCTAATTATTAAGAGTTTTTATTAGGAAAAGTTTCTTTTGATTTTGTCAAAATAATTCAGCTTTCAATAGAAGTAATATGATTTGCTCATCATTCTGTTAATGTGATGAATTGTATTAATATAGTTGTCAATGTGAATTATCCTTGCATTCCTGGAAAGAATCCTCGGTTGTTTTGTTGTTTCATTCTAGTAGTTTTTGGCTGAAATTGTATTTAGGGTGTCCACATTTATTTTCATAACTGAGATTGGCTTATAAGGTCTTATAAGATCTGGATATCAGGGTTTTGCTAACCCGGTAGACTGTATTGACAATATTTTATTTTTTTCTATGCTCTAAACATGTTTAAATAGAAAAGATATTTTCTTTTCTTGATGAGATTGGTGTAACTGACCCATGAAATTAACTGGGCTTGTTAATTTCAGAAGGGTGGATATTTTTATTATTTTCTTAATATTATAGAGCAATATATTCATTCAGACCATCTTCGTCTTCTTCAGTCAGGTTTGTAATGTACATTTTTTTAGGGAATAATCCATTTTACCTGAAAGAAGCCAGAAGCTGAGCTTAGTAGTCTCATGATTTCCAGAGTAAGAAAGAATTTTCCTGGGCCTAGAACACTGGAAAGTGTTTCACTCCTTAAGGAAACTAATTTTCTTCTTTCTTTCTTTCCTTCTTCTTTCCTTCTTTCCTTCTTCTTTCTTTCTTTCCTTCTTTCCTTCCTTCCTTCCTTTTTTCCTTCCTTCCTTCCTTTTCTTTCTTTCTTTCCTCTTCTTCATTTTTTTTTTTTTTGAGACAGAGTCTCTCTCTGTCGCCCAGGCTGGAGTGCAGTGGCATGATCTTGGCTCACTGCAACTTCCACCTTCCAGGTTCAAGCAATTCTCCTGTCTCAGCCCCCAAAGTAGCT
The DNA here is from genome assembly GCF_000001405.40 of Homo sapiens. NCBI lineage: Eukaryota > Metazoa > Chordata > Mammalia > Primates > Hominidae > Homo > Homo sapiens. The sequence continues at coordinate 30,097,096 of NC_000023.11, read as the reverse complement.
GGGATTACAGACGCCTGCCACCATGTCCAGTTATTTTATTTTATTTTATTTTATTTTTTTGTATTTTTAGCAGAGACAGGGTTTCACTATGTTGGCCAGGCTAATCTGGAACTCCTGACCTCAGGTGATCCGCCCACCTCAGCCTCCCAAAGTGCTGGAATTGCAGGCATGAACCACCGCACTGGGCCCCTTTTCTTCCTTCCTTTCTTTCCTTCCTTCCTTCCTTTTTTCCTTCCTTCATCTTTCTTTCTTTCTTTCTTTTCTTCCTTTATTTTCTTTCCACATTTCCCTTAGTTTCTTTTTGAGGTCAAGAGGATGCCAGGTTCTGCTGTTCTTTCTCCAACCAAAACTCAGTATCCCTCTCCTCAACTCTTTAGGATTGCAATTTCCTCTTCTTGTTCCTCTATCACCTTTGCTCTCTAGTTTCTATATTCCAAAAAGTCCTCCACATTTCTGGAGCACTTTTGTCATTCTTATTTGTTTGTTTTCCAGTACTGGAAACCAGCGCTTCTCAAACTTTAATGTGGATGAAATACCTTGAGGATCTTGTTAAAATGCAAATTCTGATTCAGTGGAGCTGGGGCAAACTTGAGATTCTGCATTTCTAACAACGCCCGGGTGATGCTTCTGGGCCTTGGATGACACTTTGAGCAGATAGGCGGTAAACTTGGAGCCTTGGGGATCATTTGGTGCAATTTTCTCCATTAAGAGTTGAACAAACAGATTTATAGGGTTTAAAAGCCAAGTCTCTCAGGGGTGGTTAATCCAGGTCCTACTTAATATATCACATTATTTTCTCCCAGGCTTCTTTGAAAATTTTAGTAGATACAGTTAGTTAAATAAAAGCATACCTCATTCAGATGTAAGGTTTTTAGTTCAACCATAGGATATATATATCTCAATAAAAGTGGCGGTTTTCTTACATCCAAAATCTCCAAAGAAAGCAGCAAGCTTCAACCATGTTGCTGTAAATGACAGGATTTCCTTCTTTTGATGGCTGAATAATATTCCATTTTGTATATGTACCACATTTTCTTTATCCATTCATTTTTTTGATGGACACTTTTGTTGATTCCCTATCTTGACTCTTGTGAATAATGCTGTCATGAGCATGGGAGCCCAGATATTTCTTCAACACACTAATTTCATTTCTTTTCAATATATACCAAGTAGTAGGATTACTGGATCAAATAGTGGTTCTATTTTCACTATTTTGAGGAACCTCCATACTATTTTCCATAATGATCGTATTAATTTACATTCTCTTTTGTTAAGGGAAATAAGCCCGGCACAGAAAGACAAATAGCACATGATCTCACTTACATGTGGAATCTAAAAAAAAAAGAAAAAGAAAAAAACTCATAGAAGCAGAGAATAGAATGGTTACCAGGGGCAACAAGGGCTGGGGGTGGGTGTTGAAGAGATATTGGTCAAAGGATAAAAAATTTCAGTTAGACAGAAATAAGTTTAAGAGGTCTATTGTACAACATTGTGACAATAGTTAATCATGATATATTCTTGAAAATTGCTAAGAGAGTAGATTTTAAGTGTTCTTATCACAAAAAGATGATAAGCGAAGTAATGCATATGTTAATTAGCCCAATTTAGCTATCCTACAATGCACACATATGTCAAAATATAATTTGTACACGATAAAGATATATAATTTTTATTTATTAATTTAAAAATTAGAAAAAGGGAGAATAGCAAGTTTGGTCTTTGTGCAAAATAAAGCAGCATAACTAGTGCTAAAAAGGCCAAAGACCACCATGATCATTCACCCACCTCCATCACCATCCTCATGGTAAATCATGCTTTTCCAACAAATATCTCAAATTGTTTCTATACTATATTACAGTAACGTCATCACCATATATCTATATACACTGAGTGCCTAGCAAATAATAGGGGCTAAATCAATATTTTTTGAAAACGTTAGGGTAAATTTTAAAAATTGGATTTTCTCTGTTGCCAGAAGGGAAAGAGACTTCCCCCGCCTCCCCCCGACCCACACCTTCTTAAGAGCATTTCCATGAGAAACCTAGTGTTTGTGAATCTTTCCTCTAAATCTTTGTAAAGGTTAGGTAAGCCCCTTTTACCTGCTTTACAACTCAGGAATGTTTTTCTTAAGGGTGTGAGAACCATCTTTTTGAAACGTAAATATCAAGGAAGATAGGGCCCTTATTCTTCTGTCACCTTGGGATTCTAACCTAGGCTCCTTTCTCTGAGCTGAAAACCATGTGCTTCTCATGGAGATAAGGGAAGATTTATTATTATTTTGGGTAAAAGCTGTAGCTAAAAAGTAGCTACCTCAATTACCAGATGAACTTTAGAGGGACTGACTATTAAAGAATGCAGAGCAAAGGGTACTATCGAGTCCTCTTATAAGAGACGGGTTACCGTTAATCTAGAGATTATGTATGTAATGGATTGTAACTGGCTGTATAAAATGGATGGATTTTCTTTCTATCTTTCTATTCTCTTATCTGATTTCCTATGATGCACATTGTAATCTGGTTTAATGCCTATTCAATTAGAAATCTGATTTCTTTCTTTTCTACATTTTGTTGAGATTATTAGGGTTGGCAGTATTTTTAATTTTCCCAAACAAAAGAGAAAAACAAAGGAAAGAAAGGAGGGGAACAAAATAAGTGGGAATAGGAAGTCACCAATGGAAAGAAAGAAAGGAGTGAGGGAGGAAGGGAGAGAAAAAAAGAAGGAAGGACAAAACTAGTTTTCTTCATAAGATTTTTCTTGGCAATGTAGAAATTCCAGAAAGTGGGCAAATGACTTATGGGCCCAAATTAGAATAGGCATTTTTCCTGTGAAACAGGGTACTGTCATTTGACCTTCAAAAATCAGTGATTAAATGAAGTGGTCTGCTCTATGTACCCTTATTACTCTCTATTTCTACGGGGAAGAAAGTCACTGAAATGCCTATTATATCATGTTTTAGAGCTTGTAAGATGCTATCTCACACAAGGTTAAAATGCAGCTTTCTGTGAACATTAAAATGCAGTGCAAAGTAAGAAATTGTTAGTATAGTTGATACAATGCCCATGTTAGACAAGTAACATGGTCAAATGAACACTGGAGCTACATTTTTCTTGGATATTAGCTGTTGGGGGAGAGAGGATAAGTAACAAATTTATCCAGTGGATTTAGACATACTCAGAGGTAGAGCATTTTTAGTGTTTTCCTTCAATTCCCTTCTAAACGGCAACTATTGAACATTAGAAAAAGCATAATGATGAGACCTCCATGCTAGAAGCTATTTTTAATGGAAAAAAAGAATTTTACTTCTGTTTCTTTTATGTGGTCTGAGCTCTACTATTTTAGTAACCTTCTTCATTTAGATTTGTTTTGAATTGGCCTATAAAACATTTAAAAATAATCTCCAATCTTCTGAAGCATAATAATATTAGTATTAACAATCCTTTTTCTCTAATTTTATTTTTTTTCCTTTTTTTCTTTTTCTTTTTGCATTATAATGCCTAAAAGCTTACTTACTTCATGTCCACCCCCCTTTCCACATCAGGAGCCCTTATTCCCCTTGACTTCCTTTGCATAGACAACTCAAGGCTTGCCCTCAGGAGGCATTCAAACTACTGTCGTTAGGAGCTACTCTTGAGCAAGGCAGCCCAATGAGGTCAACACCATGGGTGAGAATGGGGAAGTAAGACAATGCTCTTGGTATTGAGAGCCAAATTTAGTAGAAACCTCATGTACAGTTACTGAATTCTCTGCCTCTGTGATTCTACACAACTAGTCATGTGTGGTTTAACCATGAATATGTTGAGAAATGCGTCGATGGGCAATTGTGTTGTTCTGTGAAAGTCCTAGGCAAACCTAGATGCTATAACTTAGTGCACACCTAGGCTATATGGTATAGCCGATTGCTCCTAGGCTACAAACCTGTACAGCATGCTACTCTACTGAATACCGTAGGCAATTGTAATACAACGGTAAGTACACCTGTATCTAAATATACAAAAGGTACAGTAAAAATACAGTATTGTAATCTTATGGGACCATTGTAGTACATGCAATGTGTCATTGACTGAAGCATTGTTATGTGGCACATGACTGTAACTCTTATTTTGGTATTGATATGGCTCTGATGAGTGGAGGAGCACCAGGTTCTTCGTCTCGGGTCAAATTGGAAAAAACGACACAGACACACGTGGAGTGTTTTTAAGGAGCAGAGAGTTTAATAGGCAAGAAAGAAGAGAGAAGACAGAAGGAAGAAGCTCCCCTTTACAGAGGCTGAGGGAAGGGGGCTCCAAAGCCAAGAGAAGAGACCACAGGTGCAGTAGATACCAGCCAGGTATCTGCAGAGGTCGGAGGAGGCAGTGTTTGATTTGCATAGGGCTCAGGGGATTGGTTTCACTAGGCATATCATTCACGTAGCCCATCAAAAAGCTAGCCCTCCCACCCTAGCTTTTAATATGCAAATGCAGGGCACCATGATGTTCTACACACGTAGGGATATGTGGGGGCAGCCATGTTGCCAGGCACATGTGGGGCAAGGGCAAGAAGGCCTGGGGAATTGTCATGTTTGTGTGGACCCAGTTTCTAATGGACCTCATTTGCATATCAAAGGTTGCCAGCCGGGCTCTAAGAGCTGGGGCTTTCTAGCTAGACAAGAAACGTCTTAAAAAACGAAAACTTCGCAAAGATCCCTTTTCCTCTCTGCCTAAAATAATTTAATAACTCCTACAGCAGTATTTCTTAATTTTCCCCAAGCTTCCTAGATGATAATAATCTGGGTGTTTGTTGTTAAAAATACATATTCTTGGGTCTCAATTCAGACCCAATAAATTTCAAGCTGCATAAGAATAGCTTGGGAATTTGTTTGTGGTGAGGGGAACAACAAAAGGAATTTTCTTCTTTTTATATTTTAAATATTTTAAAGTAGCATTGTTTATAATATTTTAAAATATATTACATAATCATCGAAAGAACAAGGTGATTAGAGAGGTGGTCCAGCAGAGTAGTTGAGTGTGAGTTCTGAAGATTTCCTAGGTGGGTTCAATTGCAAGTGATGCCACTTAGCTTTTGATCTTCTGCAAGTTGCTAAACTTCACGGGGTCTGTTTCTGTCATTTGTCACCATACTTCATAGTTATTTTGAGCACTAAATAAATTAGATTATGGAAAACACTTTATGTGTTCCTGGTACATATGTGTCAGTTGCTATTAATATCTTCAGGTACAGAGATGGAAAGATTTACCTAAAAAATTATTAAGTGAAAAGAAGTTAGTTGCAGAATAACATATATATAATATGGCCATTTTATGTATTAAAAACTATATTTATTTGAATAAATTCTAAGATATAATCAGGAAAGATGCACAGTTCCTGTGGTAACCTGTTAGGAAAAATGGGAGATTGTGGGCAACCAGGGAGAAATGGGTGAAAGAAACTTTCTTTATTTTTCTATATGCTTCTTGCTACATTATTTCCATTTTTACAATGAGAATAAGATCACATATTTATTTTGTAATTTAAAAATGAAATTAGTGTTTATTTAATGTTGAAAGGAAAGCAACCAGATAGCTCTGATAATATGCACCCTTCTCCCAATTAAGAAACAAGGAGATAATACATACAAAAAGCCCAGAATATCATCTACAAGGCTATAGTTGCCCAACAAATATATATGCCCTGCCCTTCTCCTGATCTTCCACAAGGTACAGACATACACAAAACTAAACTTGTTCCCATTTCTCAGCTTGGTCATTGAGTAGTTCTACCTATTAGGAGAACACCAAAACCATGTTGTTGTTTTTCCATTTCAATGTCTGGCATTCATCAATGCTAGGAGGAAGGACCCTTCACTCCTGAATTTTCTCATTGACTTAGGCAAGAGGGGTCCATGGCTATTTCTTCATTTTTCTAATTTAAACTAAAATGATTGATAATCAAAAGGCACTAGCCATATTGGTGCTGTTCTTCTGGGAGTACATGATGATCACACCAGACATGTTCTTTTTTCAGGTAGTAAACAGTCAAGATTTGCAGAAGCCACAAAACAAAAATAAGTGATTAATTATAGCTAACATTAAAGTGCTTACTACATGCCATGCGTATGGCAATTGGCATACTCTATAATCACCCCTATTGTCTAGACTGAGACTGAGAGATCACATCACCACCCTAGGTAACACGGCTTGGGCAACACGGTAGTCTGAATCTAGAACTTAAGCTTCTGCCCATTACAGTGACTGCTCCCATAATATAAGGCATTTACTATTGATGCTAATTAATACAAGCAATGGCTTTCATTTGCAGACATTTATAATTTATAGTGCATTAACATATTAGTTCTTTTAATTCAACAGCCTCCCAAATTGAGTAGGCGAGTATTATTATATTCCTTTTTTTTATTCAAATGACAAAATGGAGACTGAGAGGTTGTTTGAAGTCACACAGATACACAGATAATAAGTAACAGGGCCATGACTTGGATCCACCTCTTTTGATTGAACAGATAGAATCTCATTGATAATTATGTTGACAATTAAGTTATACCCCTGGTTTGGAGAAAGGTAGGCACACTTTTTTTTCTTTTAATGAGAAAGATTCTAAAAATTAGAATGCTGCTGCATATTTTAATCTCTAAATAGCATGTACGTTCTAAAAATATTTTGTTTGTAAGAAAATATATTCAAACAAAGAAGATAAATGTAAAGGGAAATCACAATGAGATACCACTTCACACCTATTAGAATGGCTACCACAAAAGAAAAAGAAAATTAAAAAGTGTTGGCAAGGATATGGAGAAATTGGAGCCCCCCCCACAATGCTGATGGGAAAGTAAATTGGTACAGCTGCCATGGAAACAATACAGTGGCTCCTCAAAAAGTCAAAAATAGAACCACCACATGATCCAGCAAATCCAATCCTGGGCTTATCAAAAATTACTGAAAGCAGGGTACCAAAGAGGCACTTGTACTTCCATGTTCATAGTAGCATCACTCACAATAACCAAATGGTTGAAACAATCCAAATGTCCACCAATGGATGAATGAACAAAGAAAATGTGGTACATACATGCAATGGAATACTATGCAGCCTCAACAAGGAAGAAAATTCTGACACATGCCACAACATGAGTAAACTCTGAGAACACCATGCTAAGTGAAAAAGCTAGTCACAAAAAGGCAAACTGCATGATTCTATTCATATGAGGTAACCAGAGCAATTTTCTAATACTAGATATTTTATACATTGAAATTTGTCATATACAATTTGCATGTTATTAAACAGGTAACCAATGCAATGAGAGGTATTTAAACTATACATCTTTCATTTTTCACCATTCATTCTTTATGGCATCACGTAGACACCGTTAAAAACATGATGATAGGGAAGTTACCACTCCAACCTAACAACAAGTAAAAAGCTGAAGAAGCTGAAAAATTAACTATTCTTCTTAGATCTGAGAAAGAAGTGAGGTCACAGGGCAAACCATTGGAGAAAAAGACAGGTGGATACAGAGAATCACTACTTACCAGAGCAGAAACATCCACAGAAACAAGTGAGTGCCAATGTATGAAGAACTAAATGGTAATTTGAAAATTGCTAGAGCCTCAGTGTGAACAAGTCTCACAGTTAAAAACTCCAGGGAAGCCCATGCATAAGGAATCCCCTTACAATGTTGTGAGTTTTACCTCCAGGGGCCCTACCAGGTTCTCACAGCAAATATTGTAGAAAAATTCCCTCGTGCCTTTCACAGGGGAAGGAGAAAAATAATTATTTTAAAATATGATAAAGTATTACGTTCTTCTTAACAAGACCTCTCAGGAGAAACTATTTTACTAGAGCCTAAATTTCTGGGGTTTTAGCAGAGGCCAAACTACCTAGGAAAAGGGAAATCACCAATTCAAGCTTAGGTATTTCCTAAGTATGTCTCCCTGTGGCTCTCCTATCTCTCCTAAGAGGGTAGGGGAAGCTGATAAACACTTGTGAAGCTCACAGTCTCACAGCCTCACCAAAAGTCTGACTTATTTTTAGTTTTTTTTTTTTTTTTTTTTTTTTTTTTTTTTTTTGAGACGGGGCCTCACTCTGCCACCCAGGCTGGACGGCAGTGGCGTGATCTTGGCTCACTACAACCTCTCCCTCCCGGGCTCAAGAGATCCTCCTGCCTCAGCCTCCTGAGTAGCTGGGACCACAGGTGTGTGCCACCACTTCCAGCTAATTTTTGTATTTTTAGTAGAGACAGGGTTTCACCATGTTACCCAGGCCTGTCTGGAACTCCTGACCTCAAGTGATCTGCCCGCCTCAGCCTGCCAAAGTGCTGGGATTACAGGCATGAGCCACCATGGCCAGTCCTGAGACTTACAAAATTATAGAACACTTCTTTCTCCTCACACATTACCACTATGTCACTTAAAGTATATTTACCACAGCCTCTTTCACCCAGTACATCGTGTCCTCCTTTCAATGAAAAATTATCAGGCATACTAAAAAGAAGAAAAAACACAGTTTGAAGATATTGAACAAGCACCAGAGTCAGAGTCAGATGTGGCAGTAATGTTGGAATTATCTGATTAGAAATTTTAAAACATATGATTAATATGCTAAAGGCTTTAACAGAAATAGCAGACAACATGCAAAAATAAATAGATACTGTAAGCAGAAAGATGGAAATTCTAAGAAAGAATTAAAAAGAAATGCTAACAGTCAGAAACACGGTAAAAGAAATGAAGAATGCCTTTAATGAGCTCATCACAAGATTGGACATGATGGAGAAAAGAATTTCTGAGCCTGATAGTATAGGAATAGAAACTTCCCTAACTGAAAAACAAAGAGAAAAAAGACTGAAAAAGTCAAGCAGAGTAGTCAAGAACTGTTGGACAATTGCAAAAGGTATAAATATACATAATAGGAATAGAAAAAGGAGAAGACAGAGAGAAAGGAACAGAAGCAGAACCAAACCACAGATCCAGGAAATTCAGAGAACACCAAACAGGATACATGAAAAAAAAAAAAAAAGTCTAAAAATCAAAACAAAACCTGCACCACCTAGGCATATATATTCAAACTTTAGAAAATCAAAGAAAAAGAAAAAAATCTTGAAAGAAGCTGAGGTGTGGGGAACACCTTACCTATAGAGGAACAAAGATAAGAACTAACTCTGACTTCTCTTCAGAAACTATGTAAGTAAGAGGAGAGTGAAGTGAAATATTTAAAGTGTTGCAGAAAAAACTCACCAACCTGGACCTCTGTATTATGCAAATTGATACTTCACAATTCTGTACCTTGTAAAATTATCTTGAAGGAGAAATAAAGACTTTCCCAGACAAACAATAATTGAGGAAATTCTGTAGAACATGGTGCCTATAGTTAACAATACAGTATTGCGTACATTAAAATTTGTTAGGAAGGTACATGTCATGTTAAGTATTCTAACCACACACAATGAAACACAAGAAAAAAAGAAACAAAGAACAATAAGAAAATTCTGGGAAGGGTTGGCTATGTCTATTACCTTACTTTTGGTGATGTCATGGGACATTTGCATATGTCCAAACTCATTTAATTGTACGTTAAGTATTTGCAGTTTCTTTTATGTCAAATATATCCCAATAAAGCTGTTAAAAATAAAGTACTTCAGTGACAATGAAAATAATACATGTCAGAAACTCAGATATGCACAAAGACAAGTTTCAGAGAATATATAAGTAAAGGTAAAATAAAAAATGTAAAAAATCTAACATGAGTTTGTTCAAAATAATATCAACAATGTATTCTATTATGCATGCTCATATGTATATATATACATACATTTGCATATATATGGTTATATACAAGTGAAATAATACATTAATGACACAAGGGATGGGAAAGATGAATTGGAAATATTTTGTTGTTGTAAGGTATTTACCCTATCTGTGAAGCAGTACAGTGTTATTCGAAAGTGGACATGTGTTAGTTGTAAGAGAATATTGCAAACTTTATTACAACCACTTAAACCATGTATTATTAATATAACAAAAGAGTGAAAATGGAATTGTGTAAACTGCACAATGAAAACCATAAAAGGCAGAAAAAATGTGGAAGAAAAATATAAGAGCAAAGAACAAGGGCAACAAATAGAAAACAGTAACAAATACGATATATATTAATCAAACTATATGAAGAATTCCTTTAAATGTCCATGTTCTAAATACACCAATTAAAAGACAGATATTGTCACAGTATATTAAAAACAAGACTTCACTGTAGGTTGCCTACTGGAAGCCCATTTAATTTTTTTGGCATTGTGTTCATTTATTTATTTATTTATTTATTTATTTATTTATTTATGAGACAGAGTCTCACTCTGCTGCCCAGGCTGGAGTACAGTGATCTCAGCTCACTGCAACCTCCATCTCCTGGGTTCAAGCGATTCTCCTGCCTCAGCCTCCCCAGTAGCTGGGATTACAGGCACCCACCACCACGCCCAGCTATTTCTTTTGTATTTTTAGTAGAGATGAGGTTTCACCATGCTGTCCAGGCTGGTCTCGAACTCCTGACCTCAAATGGTCTGCCTGCCTTGGCCTCCCAAAGTGCTAGGATTACAGGTGTGAGACACCGCACCCAGCCTACTTATTTTTTATAATTACAACTTTTATTTTAGATTGAGAGGGGACATGTGCAGGTTTCTTACATGGTTATATTGCATGATACTGAGGTTTAAGGTACAAATGATCCTGTCACCCAGGTAAAGAGCATAGTACCCAATAGGTAGGTTTTTAGCTGTTGCCCCTCTCCCTTTCACCACCCTCTAGTAGTCCCCAGTGTGTATTGTTCCCATCTTTATGTCCATGTGTACCCATGTTTAGTTCTTATTTATAAGTGAGAACACATGGTATTTGGTTTTCTATTCCTGCATTAATTCTTTTAGGATAATGGCCTTCAGCTGCATCCATGTTGCTGCAAAGGTCATGATTATTAAAGTTAACAATAAAAAACACTGTAAAAGAAATGAAGAATGATTTCATTTTTTATGGCTGTGTAGTATTCCATGGTGTGTATATATCACATTTTCTTTGTCCAATCCACCATGTGTTCCTAGGTATTGATGGGCACCTCAGTTGATTCCATGTCTTTGCTATTGTCAGTAGTGCTGTGATGAACATGCAATTGCTTGTGTCTTTTTGGTAGAATTATTTATTTCTCTTTGGGCATATACCCAGGAATGGGATTGCTGGATTGAATGGTAGTCCTGTTTTAAGTTCATTGAGAAATCTCTAAACTGCTTTTCACGGTGTCTCAACTAATTTACATTCCAACTAACAGTGTATAAGCATTCCCTTCTCTCTGCAGCCTCACTGGCATCTGTTATTTTTTGACTTTTTAATAATAGGCATTCTGACTGGTGTGTGAGATGGTATCTCATTGTGGTTTTGACTTGCATTTCTCTGATGATGAGTGCTGTGGAGCATTTGTTCATGTTTGTTTATTGGCTCCCTGTATGTCTTCTTTTGAGAAGTGTCTGTTCATATCCTTTGCCTATTTGTTGTTTGTTATTGCTTGTTAAAAATAATAACTGCAATAACTTTTCAAGGCATAGATAGTACAATAAGATGGAAACAGCAAAAGGTTAGAAAGTAAGGGGACGAAGTTAAGATGTAGAGTCTTTATTAGTTTTTTTTTGCTTGTTTGTTTGTTTCTGCAAACAGTGTTGTTATCAGCTTAAAATCATGAGTTATAAGGTAGTATTTGCAAGCCTCATGGTTTCCTCAAATCAAAAAACATACAACAGATACAGAAAAATAAAAAGCAAGAAACTAAATCATATCACCAGAGAAAATTATTTCAACTAAAAGGAAGACATAAAGGAAAGAAAGAAGGAAGAGAAGACCAAAAAAACAACCAGAAAACAAAGAACAAAATGGCAGGAGTATGTTCTTACTTACCAATAATAACATTGAATGTAAATGGATTAAACTCTCCAATCAAAAGACATAAGCTGGGCGTAGAAGAAACGTATCTCAACATAATGAAAGCCATATACGACAGAACCACAGCTGGTATCATACTAAATGGGCAAAAGCTAAAAGCCTTTCCTCTAAGATCTGAAACATGACAAGGATGTCCACCTTCACCACTGTTATTCAACATAGTATTGGAAGTCCTAGCTAGAATAATCAGGCAAGAGAAAGAAATAAAGCATATCCAAATTGGAAAGGAAGAAGACGAATTATCCCTGTTTGCAGGTGATATAATCTTATACTTGGAAAAACCTAAAGACTCCACAAAAAAAACTATTAGAACTGATAAACAAATTCAGTAAAGTTGCAGGATACAAAATCAACGTACAAAAATCAGTAGCATTTCTTTATGACGACAGTGTACAATCAGAAAAAGAAATTTAAAAAGTAATCCTATTCAGAATAGCCACAAATAAAATTAAATACCTTGGAATTAACCAAAGAAGTGAAAGATCTCTATAATGAAAACTATAAAACACTGATAAAAGAAATTAAACAGCACACCAAAAAATGGAAAGATATTTCATGTTCATGGATTAGAAGCATCAATATTATTAAAATGTCCATACTACCCAAAGCGCTTGAAGGATTCAATGCAATCCCTATCAAAATATTAAATACATTCTTCACAAAAATATAAAATAATCCTAAATTGTATAAGGAACAACAAAAGACCCAGAATAGCCAAAGCTATTGTTATGGTTTGGGTCTGTGCCCCCAACCCAAATCTCATGTCAAATTGTAATCCCCAGTGTTGGAGGTGGGGCCTGGTGGGAAGTGATTGTATCATGGGGGCAGATTTCCCCCTTGGTACTGTTCTGGTGACAGTGAGAAAGTCCTTCTGAGATCTGATTGTTTAAAAGCATGTGGCCTCCTCGTTCTCTCTTGCTCCTGCTCTGGCCACGTAAGACATCCTGGCATCCTCTTTGCATTCTATCATAATTGTAAGTTTCCAGAAGCCTTCCCAGAAGCTGAGCAGATGTCAGCATTATGCTTCTTGTGTGTGGAACCACACAAGAATGAGCCAATTAAACCTCTTTTCTTCATAAATTACCCAGTCTCAGATATTTCTTTATGGCAGTGTAAGAATGGACTAATATAGCTATCCTGAGCAAAAAGAACAAAACTGGAAGAATTGCATTACCCGATTTCAAATTATACTACAGATCTATAATAACCCAGATAGCATGGTACTGGCATAAAAACAGACACATAGATCAATGGAACTGAAGAGAGAACCCAGAAACAAATCCACACACCTACAGCTAACTCATTTTTGACAAAGGTGCAAAGAACATAAACTGAGGAACAGACAGTTTCTTCAGTAAATGGTGTTGGGAAAACTAGATATCCACAAGTAGAAGAATGAAATGACCCTTATCTCTCATGATCTACAAGAGTAAAATGAAAATGGATTAAAGATTTAAATCTAAGACCTCAATGTATGAAACTATTATAAGGGCCGGGCGCGGTGGCTCACGCCTGTAATCCCAGCACTTTGGGAGGCCAAGACGGGCGGATCATGAGGTCAGGAGATCGAGACCATCCTGGCTAACATGGTGAAACCCCATCTCTACTAAAAATACAAAAAAAAAAATTAGCCGGGCGTGGTGGCGGGCGCCTGTAGTCCCAGCTACTCAAAAGGCTGAGGCAGGAGAATGGCGTGAACCCGGGAGGCAGAGCTTGCAGTGAGCCGAGATTGCGCCACCGCATTCCAGCCTGGGCGACAGAGCGAGACTCTGTCTCAAAAAAAAAAAAAAAAAAAGAAAGAAAGAAAAGAAAAGAAACTATTATAAGAAAATATTGGGGAATCTCTGCAGGACATTGGTCTGGGCAAAAAAAAAAAAAAAAAAAAAAAAAAAAAAAAAAAAAAAAAAAAAAATGTCTTGAGTAATACTCCACAAGCACAGGCAACCAAATCAAGAAATGGACAAATAGAATCACACCAAGTTAAAAAAACTTCTGCACAGCAAAGAAAACAACCAACAAAATGAAGAGGCAACCCAGAGAATGGGAGAAAATATTCACAAACTATCCATTTGATAAGGGATCAATCACCAGAATATATAAAATCTCAAACAACTCCATAGAAAACATCTAATAATCCAATTAAAAATGAACAAACGTTTTGACTAGACTTTTTTTAAAAAAGACATACAAATGGAAAGCAGGCATATGAAAAGGTGCTCAACATCACTGATCATCAGAGAAATGCAAATCAAAACTACAATGAGATATCATCCCACCCCAGTTAAAATGGTTCATATCCAAAAGCCAAGCAATAACAAATGCTAGCAAGGATGTAGAGAAAAAAGAATCCTCACACGGCATTGGTGGGAATGTAAATTAGTATAGCCACTATAGAGAATCATTTGGAGCTTCCTCAAAAAACTAAAAAGAGAGCTACCATATGATCCAGCAATCCCACTGCTGGGTATATACCCAAAAGAAAGGAAATCAGTATATCAAAGAGATACCTGCACTCCCATGTTTACTGCAACACTGTTCACAATAGCCAAAATTTGGAAGCAACCTAAGTGTCCACCAACAGATTAATGGATAATGAAAATGTGGTACTCCAATTGCGAAGATGTGGAACCAACTTAAGTATCCATTGACTAATGAGTGGATAAAGAAAATGTGGTATATATACATCATGAAATACTACTCAGCCATTAATAGGAACAAAATAATGTCTTTTGCAGCAATTTGGATGGAGCTGAAGGCCATTATTCTAAGTGAAGTAACACAGGAGTGGAAAACCAAAAACCGTATGTCCTCACTTATAAGTGGGAGGTAAGCTGCGAGTATGCAAAGGCATACAGAGTGATATTATGGACTTTAGAGACTCAGAATGGGGAGGCTGGGAGGGAGGATAGGGATAAAAAAACTACACATTAGGTACAATGTACACTACTCCGGTGATGGGCGCACTAAAATTTCAGAATTTACCACTGTATAATTCATCTATGTAACAAAAAAATACTTGTACCCCAAAAGCTATTGAAATAAAAAATTTTCCTTCCAATGAAATATAAATAAAACTGAAAAATATGAACGAAAAGTCTACACTTAGTTTAGTTATCATTCAGTAGACAAGACATAATAAAGACATTTTCAAACATTACAAAATATTCTATATATACACAACGGAATACTATTCAGCCATAAGAAGAATGAGCTCCTGTCATTTGCAATAACATGGATGGAATTGGAGATCATTATGCTAAGTGAAATAAGCCAGGTACAGAAAGACAAACATCGCATGTTCTCACTTATTTGTGGGATCTAAAAATCAAAATAATTGAACTCATGGATATAGAGAGTAGAAGGATGGTTACCAGAGGCTGAGAAGGGTAGGGGCAGCAGATTGGGAGGGGATGTGGGGATTGTTCATGTGTATCAAAAAAAATAGAAAGAATGAATAAGACCTAGTATTTGATAGCACAATAGGGTGACTATAGTCAATAATAACTTAATTGTACATTTAAAAATAACTAAAAGAGTATAATTTGATTGTTTATAACACAAAGGATAAATGCTTGAGGGGTTGAGTACCCCATTTTACGTGATGTGATTATTACGCATTACATGCCTGTATGAAAACATTTCATGCACCCCATAAATACCTGCATCTACTGTGTACCCACAAAAATCAAAATGAGAAATTAAGAAAAAAAAACCTTACAGCGTACTGGTGAGAGCCTATAAGCTTTCCTGTTAAAATCAGAAACAAGACAATAATGTTTCCTCTTACCACTTTTTAAAAAAGTGGTTATGCCTTTGCTGTTGTATCCACATGCAAAAACATGAATCTATGCACAGACCTTACACCCTTCATAAAAATGAACTCAAATGGGTCATAGAACTAAATTTAAAATGAAAAACTATAAAACTCCTGGAAGATGATATAAGAGAAAATCTCAATGACCTTGGGTATGGTGATAACTTTATAGATATACCAGGGGCATTACCCATACTTGACATCCTAGCTAATGTAACAAGACAAGAAAAGGAAATAAAAGGTTTACAGATTGGGAAGAAAGAAAGAAAAGTCTTTTTCACAGATGACATGATTATTTATGTAGAAAGTAAAAAAGGATTGGGAAAATAAATCCTCTCTTGAAATTACTAAATTATTATAGCAAGGTTGAAGAATAAAGGGTTAATACACAAAAGTCAACACTTTCCTATACACTAACAATAAACAAGTAGAATTTAAAATTACAAACAAAATACAATTTACATTAGTACCACCCAATATGCAGTATTTAGATACAACTCTAACAAAATATGCAAATACAAGATTTACATGAGAAAAACTGCAAAACTAGATGAAAAAATTCAAGGAAGAACTAAATAAATTGAGAGCTACTCTATGTTTATTGTTAAAAAGACCCAATATTTTCAAAATGTCAGTTCTTCCCAATATGATCTACAGATTCAAAAGAATCCCTATCAAAATACAACAAGCTATTTTTGTGGATATTGACAAACGACACAAAAATGTATAGGAAATGGCAAAAGACCCAGAATAGCAAAGACAATATTGAAGGAGAAGAACAGCTGGAGGACTGACCATAGCTGACTTCAAGACTTGTAATAAAGATACAGTAATCAGTACAGCATGGCACTGGTAAAAGAATAGACAAATAGATCAGTGGGACAGAATAGAGAGTCCAGAAATAGCCACACATAAATATATTTTACTGATATTTGACAAAAGAGCCAAAGAAATGTGATGGAGAAAAGATAGCATTTTCAAACGTTGCAGGAATAACTAAATATTCATATGCAAAAAAATAAAAAAACGAATCTATACACAGACCATACATTCTTCCTACAAATGAATCCAAAATAGATCATAGACCTAAATATAAAATGAAAAACAATAAAACTCCTAAAAGTTGACATAGGGGAAAATCTCAATGACCTTGGGTATAGTGATGACTTTTTAGAGACAACACTAAAGGCCTGACCCATAAAAGAAATAATTGATAAATTGGACTACATTAAAATTAAAAGCATATGCTCGTGAAAAATACTGTCAAGAGAATGAGAAAAAAGCCACAGACTGGGGAAAATATTTGTAAAGATACATTTGATAAAGGACTATTATCCAAATTACATAAAGAACTCCTAAAGCTCAAAAATAAGAAAAGGAACAATCCAATTAAAAATGGGCAAAAGATCTGAGTATATATCTCATCAAAGAAAATATACAAATATTAAGTAGGCATATTAAAATATGCTCAAACTTTTATGTCCTTAGGGAATTGCAAGTTAAAAGAACAATATATCACTACATATCTATTAGAATGGTCAAAATTCACTGACAACACCAAATGCTGAAGATGTAAAGGAACAAAAGCACTCATTCATTTCTGCTGGGGATGCGAAATGGTATAGCCATTTTGAAAGACAGTTCTGAAGCCTCTTAAAAATCTATAATTTTTCTTTCCACATGATCTCGCTATTCAATCATGCTCCTTGGCATCTGCTGAAATGAACTGAAAATTTATTTCCACAAAAAAACCTGTACACAAACGTTTATGGCAGCTTTATTCACAATTGCCAAAACTTGAAAGCAACCAAGATGTACCTCAGTAGGTGAATAAACTGTGGTATATCCAGACAATAGAATATTATTCAGTGCTAAAAAGAAATGAGCTATCAAGTCACAAAAAGACATAGAGAAAACATAGATGCATATTAGTAAATTTAAAAAGCCAATCTGAAAAGCTGCATACTGCATGATACCAACTATATGACATTCTGAAAAAAAAAATTATGGAGCCAGTCAAAAGATCAGTGGTTGCCAAAGTTTAGTGGAGAGGAAGGGATGAGTAGGCAGAATACAGAGGGTTTTTAGGACAGGGAAACTGTTCTGTATGATAATATAATGGTGAATACATGTCATTATATATTTGTCACTACCCATAGAATGTACAACACCAGGAGTAAACCCTAATGTTAACAATAGACTTTGAATGATAATGGTGTGTTAATGTAGTTTCATCAATTGTAACCAATGTTCCACTATGATGCAAGATGTCCATTGTAGGAGAAGTTGTATGTATGTAGGGAGAGGGAAACATGGAAAGTCTCTGAGCTTTCTATTTAGTTTTGTTGTGAACCTAAAACTTTTCTAAAAGTGAAGTTTATTACGTTAAAAAAAATTGACATATTTGAGCCACAAAAACTAATATGAAAAATGTTATAAACAATCCAGTGGAATAACTTTACCTACAAGTCAAAATGATGACAGATTTTTATTGCTATGTTTTCATTTTGTGTATTAATGAGGTAGGTGTGACAACACCACTGACATTTCTTGACAAGAGACAGTCTATCATGATACTGTAAATACCTATTTTAATGTTATGCAAAAAAAAAACCTTTGTAGTTTTTCTTTTTCTTGTCTCCAGGCACCAAGCAAGAATTGAATAGCCTGATAGATCATATTTGATGTTTACCTTGATTTCTTTAGTAAGGCATAAAAAGATAATGTATATTGTGCATGATTTTCAGTAAAATAAGGAAAAGTGGATTGTGAGCTGAAATATTCCTGCATGTCAGAGAATAGTCTGATGTTTGAGATACAGTTTCCAAAGATAACCTTATGACTTGAGGAATTTGAGAGAGAATCAGAAAGAATAATTTATGGTCGCTTATATTTTTTGTAGTGATAAACTAACTAGTAGTAGGTAGAAATATTTTTCATGTTTAAATAAAGTGTTAAATTATCACCCATATCTTTCATGTTTTCTACTAATTGACCTCTTAGTTGTAGAGAGGAAACTCTCTCTCTCTTGCGCATAAAAGGCAAATGGTCATCCATACTTTGCTTTTTGTGGAAGTACTGGAAGGAACACATCCTCTGTTCTTAATACCTCACACTTGGGCCTTTCTACTGGATCAGAAATCTGATTATAGAAATTGGGATAAAGACAGCAGCTTATAGTGAAAAAATATAATTTTAAGTGGCAATTTTTGAGGTGTGAATCTCACATCTTCCTCTTAAATCTAACCAGTTGGAATTAGGAGGCACCAAATAAGGTTCAGATCCCTGGTATATCTTATGTTCAACCATCCCCTTCATATTAACCAATGAGTGTTTTATAGATTCTGTCAGAGCTTACTCTCAGACTACCGAGTTCCCCTCTCTACTCTGCTCGAAACCAGCAAAAGGAGAGATTGCAAGATTCCCTTGGAAACTGTGCCTGGGCTGCACTGTCCTTGTCAGAGAGTCTGCTGCATATTTGAAGAATATATCAGATATCCTTTGATATTCGTGAGCTTCCTCCCAAGAAACACTAGCGTGTGCACACACTGTGTTATATTAGGTGACTTTGCTTTTTCTTCATGAGGAAGATGTATTTTGGGGCATAGATTCTGCAGCTAAAGGGAAAGAGGCTAACACTTCTCCACCTCACATGAACTTACTTGTCCTAGCTGGCAGTGCCATCAATAAAACCTAAGACTCCCCTACAAAAAGAAAGAGAAGTGGCACATACAAAAGGAATAAGCTATCACCCATACACTCTCTATGAAAAGCCACAAGCTTGATAGGTTTTAGAGACTGAGTAATGAGAAGGCTGGAAGAGCAAAGTGAAAAGAGAAGAGCTGTTGGAAGAATGTTCAATAATGCATTTGCACAGATCCACAGATGGAAGCTCTCAAACACTATGGTTCAAATTAAAGATATGCCAAGCAAAAGAAATCAATTATTAACAAAATCAAGGCAGCACAGGAATCACAAGATTAGTGACTTCAATTTTAAAGTGAAAAAATCACAAATAAACTGTATCCATAAAGTAAGGATAGGAGGCAGTGGTAATTTCACAGCTCCTACAATGCCACCCCACTGAGAACCCAAATTCCTCCAAATTGTCCTACTTTCCTCCAAAAAATCATACAGGTTTTGTTGTTATTATTACATAATAAGTTTTTAACAGCCATTTTTATTTTTGAGAGTTCAAGGAAAACTCTTTATTTGAACATAAAGTCCCTTATAATCCTATAACACATGAAAAGAACACATAAGATTTCAGTTTATAAAAGAAAAAAATTGCAACCTGATGTGGTTGAAATAAGAGTTGGGAGAACTAAAGCACAGACTCTATAGACAATACAATGGTCACAGTGAAATTTTTTGATGACCATGTAAAAAATGCACTATGTATGTCCTTGCCTTTATCAATATTACCACTTGACTCTTTTATATCGTGATGTGGCTGACCTGCAGCATTGTCCCGAACCTATTCTGCACTTTAGGACACAGTCACTTAAATTTTCCATGACACTTGTTATTTACCTGTTTTGCATAAATACAGGTGAAATGTGAAATGTGTAGTTAGTGTAACATTTCATGGCTATTGTTCTGCAAAACTGTATAATTGAACCAGGGGCCCCAATATGCTTTCTAGCTCTCAATGAAATTATCATCATTTTAAAATTAACATTCTTTGGCTTTTCTTCACATATGTGTCAGTTTTTATCCAGTTAGAAAAGTAAAATCCTAGCTGGGCGCGGTGGCTCACGCCTGTAATTCCAGTACTTTGGGAGGCCGAGGAGGGTGGATCGCCTGAGGTTGGTAGTTCAAGACCAGCCTGGCCAACATGGCGAAACCTCGTCTCTACTAAAAATACAAAAATTAGCCAGGCATGGTGGCAGGCACCTGTAATCCCAGTTACTTGGGAGGCTGAGGCAGGAGAATCGCTTGAACCCACGGGGCAGAGGTTGCAGTGAGCTGAGATTGCGCCACTTCACTCCAGCCTGGGCAAAAGAGCAACACTCCATTTCAATAAATAAATAAAAGTAAAATCCTTAGGGATAATGGGATAATTCATTAAAGAAAAGCTTATACTTGGAACTAATTACAAAGTATAGTTTGCAAAAGACTTGAAAAATCTAAACAGAATATGGGAGAGGGAATCTATGGATTAACAATGTAAGTCAGCTACCACCACTGCTGGTGGAGGGACTGATGGAAGAGGTGGTGGTATCAGGGCGCAGGAACTGGGGACTCTCAGTTGGAACTGAACCAAAAAGGAGGTGCGTGCACTGCCAAAGACTTTGCTTGAAGCAGAAAGAGAAGGAAAGGACTACCCTGGCTACCCCACCCCCACTTCCTTTGCCCTCCAATTTCCTGTCAATGCCTCCCACTGGCTGCCTCTAACCAGAAGCCATTAGGCCAGGAGTCCTCGGAAATGTAGTGTGTAGATATAAATGCCCTGAAATATAGACAAGCAAGGGAGGAGCAGGGGTTGGATCTGAGCAAACAAGCAAATGACTACAGGAAGAAAATTATAGTGGTATTGAAACACATTCATAAATTCTTTCATGCTCCTGTTATGAAAAGTGGACTCTAATTCTTCTTTGCTCTGAATATGGCTGGCCTTAGTGTCATTCTCCTAAGGAACAGAATATAGCAAAACGTGGCTGCATGAATTCATAAATGAGGACATAGCTTCTACCTTGTTATTATTTTTCCTCTCTGTGTCTCTCTCTTTCTGGTAGTTCATCCTTGCAACCCAAGTTCTTTGGGTTGTAATCTAACAGGGAATTTACTATAGGGAAATAATTGCAAATAATAACTTTTAATTTACCTGAAAAGTCAAACAGAGGGCGGTGAGGTAGCCCAGATATTAGCAACAGCCAAGCAGAGATCAGGAAGGGCCCATGTAGGTATTCTGGTCACAGTTCCAGCTAGTGTTCTAGCTGACAGCTGGCATCAAGGGCCAGACAAGGGAAGGGGTGAGGCTTAAGATAATTCCATACCTCAGCCTTTGAGCTACCCCTGCTGATGCTATATGGAGCAGAGACAAGCTGTCCCCATTGAGATTTGTCCAAATTGAAGACCCACGAGCAAAGTAAACATTGTCATTTTTTAAGCTGCTATGTGTCGTGGTAGATTGTTACGTAGCAGTAGAACCTGAATAGGATCTGAGAAAAAAAATCAGCCAATAACTCACCCAATATGATTCTCACTTTCTCATTTCTGATTTAGCTAACATTTGAACGTCCTAGTCAGAGCCTACCATACTCAAATATTATGGTTGTTTTAGATATGTATTGGTCAGTGTTACTGGCACCAAAAAACAATTTTTCAATGTATTAATTCTGATGATTCTTCTGAAGCATGAGCGATTGTTAATGGAAGATATGGTTTACACTTTCATTAGAAGCATTTTCACCTGAAGGTGTTGAACAGAGCTTGGTTTCTTCACGTGAAATATAAAACTTTGAAACTTTAATTACACATGTAAAATTCCATTTAATTTACTATTATTTATAATCTGAAAGTTCAACTCGTTCACTAAAGAAATACTTAACTTACCTTTGTGAAGAGGGTTGGCACATAAAAGATTGACTTGACCATTGACCATGGTGCTTATTTTTTAGGTAGCCCAATTATAAACATGGGAAAGAGAGAAAAAAGGGAGATAGATGAGCGGGAATGGAAATAAGGAACAGAGCGGGAGAATGAGGAAGAAGAAAAGAGGAAGGAAAAAGTGAAAGGTGAGGGCAAAAAAGAGACAGAAGCATACTGCTGAAGAAGAATATTGCTGGGACAGATCTACTTTCACAACCATGTTGATTGAATGGTCGTTTCACAGAATGGCAATGTTTTGTCAGTGGAAGAGAATAAAACAAATATAATCGGTACATTTCCCAGTTTATTTTTAAGACAATAAATTTGGGACAATTTGCTCAAAAACATACCAGATGGAGACTGGAGACCAGGCTGTGCCACTAACAAGCCATATGAAAATTAGTTAGGTCACTTACCGTCTTTGTGGCTAAATGTTTTTCATGTGTAAAATGCATGGAGTATACCAGATGATCTCCAAGATTTGTTAGTTCAGGCAATAAAATTCTAAGATTCTATTATTTATGGAACCTTTCCCCTTGCCTGAATGACTTTAGATTTTGAAGCTATGCTTAATCTGAGCGCAAAAGAAATGTTAGACCAATAAAACTGATATATAACGACTTGTTGCAGACTGATAACCTCTCAAATACCTCACTGTGAATTCCAGAGCAATAACTCTGACACCAGCTCCAAGCTACTGCATTTGTTCTATTTTGATTTGTATTCACATAAGAAGTGAAGGAAAACTGTGTTCCATATTTTTTGCCATGAATATTAAAAAACAAAGAGAAATAGCCTAACCACATCCTGTTTCTATCCTGTGCATTTCCTGACATTTACAACTCTTTTCTTTTGTAGATTATCCTGATATCATAGTATCAACATTGATGTGGTTTGGCTGTGTCCCCACCCAAATCTCAACTTGAATTGTATTACCCAGAATTCCCACGTGTTGTGGGAGAGATCCAGGGGGAGGTAATTGAATCATGGAGGCCGGCCTTTCCTGTGCTATTATCGTGATAGTGAATAAGTCTCACGAGATCTGATGGGTTTATCAGGGGTTTCTGCTTTTTCTTCTTCCTCATTTTTCTCTTGCTGCCACCATGTAAGTAGTGCTTTTTGCCTCCCACCATGATTCTGAGGCCTCCCCAGCCATGTAGAAATATAAGTCCAATTAAACCTCTTTGTGTTCCCAGTTTTAGGTATGTCTTTTTCAGCAGTGTGAAAACAAACTAATACAGTAAATTGGTACTAGTAGAGTGGGACGTTGCTGAAAAGATACCAAAAAATGTGTAAAAGTGACTCTGGAACTGGGTAACAGGCAGAGGTTGGAACAGTTTGGAGGGCTCAGAAGAAGACAAGAAAATGTGGAAAAGTTTGGAACTTCCTAGAGACTTGTTGAATGGCTTTGACAAAAATGCTGATAATGATATGAACAATAAGATCCAGGCTGAGGTGGTCTCAGATGGAGATAAGGAACTTCTTGGGAACTGGAGCAAAAGTGACTTTTGTTATGTTTTAGCAAAGAGACTAGTGGCATTTTGCCCCAGCCCTAGAGATGTGTGGAACTTTGAACTTGAGAAAAATAATTTAGGGTATCTGGCGGAAGAAATTTCTAAGCAGCAAAGCATTCAAAAGGTGACTTGGGTGCTGTTAAAAGCATTATGTTTTAAAGGGGAAACAGATCATAAAAGTTCAGAAAATTTGCAGCCTGATGATGCAGTAGAAAAGAAAAACCCATTTTATTGAGGAGAAATTCAAGCCAGCTGCAGAAATTTGCATAAGTAGCAAGGAGCCTAATATTAATCCTCAAGACCATGGGGAAAATGTCTCCAGGCCATGTCAGAGAACTTCATGGCAGCCCCTCCCATCACTGGCCCAGAGGGGCCTAATGTGGCCTAATGTGGCCTGAGCAGTGTTGAACCAATGTCATATATATAATATTTTATTTATGTAATACTTATTTTTTGACACAAGGTCTTGCTCTGTCGCCCAGGCTGGAGTGCAGTGGCGTGATCTCAGCTCACTGCAGCCTTGACTTCCTGGGCTCCAGCAATCCTCCAAATTCAGCCTCAGTGTTGGCAAATAATGTTGACCTCAGTGTTGTTGTGAAGGCAAAATAAGAATAAATAATTTGGGTAAAGCACCTATCTCAATCAGACTAATCTTTTTAATTTTATGAAGTTCTTTCATTCAACAAATCAGTAAGTGCTTGATTCACAGCAACTAGTGAATACAATTGTTGTTTATTTTTTATTTATTTGTATTCATATTTTAGAAACAGGGTCTTGCCATGTCACCCAGGCTAGAGTGCAGTGGTGTGATCCTGGCACATTGCAGCCTTGAACTCCTGTGCTCAAGAAATCTTCCTGTCTCAGCCTCCCGAGTAGCTGGGACTATAGGCACAGAGGCACACCACCGCTCCTGACTATTTTTATTTTAATTTATTGGAGAGAAAGGATCTTGCTATATTGCTCAGGCTGATCTTGAATTCCTGGCCTCAAGTGATCCTCCTGCCTTGGCCTCCCAATGTAATTGTTGTTTATATGTGAGACATATATTTCCTAGTGATTCTTTTTGTCCTGTGAGCCTTTCTCCAATTTCAAGAAGAATCTAAGACCTTCCTTAAATTTTTAATTTCAAAATGACTTTTCCTTTTTTGCCTACATTAGGTGGATTAATATTTTTTACCATTAATTCTATTTTGTTTAAACTCAGTTTTATTGAAATTTAATCTATTAATTGATTAAATTAAATTAAATCTATTAATTAAATAGATTAAATTAAATTAAATCTATTAATTAAATAGATTAAATTAAATTAAATCTATTAATTAAATAGAGTAAATTAAATTAAATCTATTAATTAAAAGATTACATTAAATTAAATCTATTAATTAAATAGATTAAATTAAACCTATTAATTAAAAGATTAAATTAAATTAAGTCTATTTAAATAGATTAAATTAAATCTATTAATTAAAAGATTAAATTAAATTAAGTCTATTTAAATAGATTAAATTAAATCTATTAATTTAATTTATATTAAATTTAACCTATGTGTGAACATCAAATAACAAATAAATGTACATGATGTGTTTTGGCAAATGTATGTAATGATAAAACAAAAACCTAAATCAGATAAAGAGTAGTTTTATTATCCCACAGTGTTCTTTCTTCACTCTTTCTTGTCAACCTCCTGGTAGAGGCAACAAACTACTTTTCTGATTTCTTTCCCTATAGATTACTTTTATCTGTTAATGTAAATACTTCTAATTTAATTTAATTATGAATTCAATTTCTTTAAGAGATATCCAGACACTCAAATTTGCTATTTCTTCTTGAGGCATTAGTCATGGTGAGGTGTGTTTATTAGAGAATTTGTCCATTTCATCTATCTTACTGAATTTGTTGACATAAAGTAGTTCATAATATTCTCTTATTAGTTTTTTGATATCTGTAGAATCTGTAGTGATGGTCCCATTCTCATTCATAATATTAATATTTTGTGTTCTTTTTTTCCCTCAATCTTTGTTTGAAAATATTGTTGAAATATTTAAGGAACTAAATTTTGTCTTTATCTATTCTATTGTTTGTCTGTTTTTTATTCATTTCCACTCTTATTTTTATTGTTTTCTATCTTCTACATACCTTAGGTTTGTTTTTCTTTTTTAACTTACAAAGTGGAAACTTCATTAATTTGAAAACATTCTTCTTTTTCTAATAAAGGCATTTAAAGTTATAAATTCCCAACTAAGAACTACTTTAGCTACAGTCTATAAATTTTGTAATATTTTGTTGTTGTTATCATTATATTTTAAATATTTTCTAAATTTTCTCATGGTTTCTACTTTGACTCTAGTGTTAATAGATTTTTCTGGTGATTCTTTCATTATTAATTCCCAATTTAATTCTTTTTTCTTTTTTTTTTTTTTTTTTTGAGATGGAGTCTCGCTGTGTCACCCAGGCTGGAGGGCAGTGGCACGATCTCAGTTCACTGCAACTTCTGCCTCCCGGGTTCAAGTGATTCTCTTGCCTCAGCCTCCTGAGTAACTGAGACTATAGGGATGCACCACCACGCCCGGCTAATTTTTGTACTTTTAGTAGAGACGGGGTTTCACCATGTTGTCCAGGATGGTCTCACTCTCTTGACCTTGTGATCTACCCACCTCGGCCTCCCAAAGTGCTGGGATTACAGGTGTGAGCCACCACGCCTGGTCCCCAATTTAATTCTTTTGCTGTAAAATAACATAATGACTTCTATTCAGGAAGATTTATTGAGAGTTGTCTTATGGCTCCACTATAGTCAATCTTTGTAAATGTTTCATGTGTACATATAAAGAATGTGTATTCTATTATCATTGTGGGAGTAGTGTTCTATATATGTCAGTTAGGCCATCTTTTCTAGGTTTCTAGTTTGTGAATATATACTTGTCATAATAGTCTTTGATGATCTTTTATATTTCTGTGGTATCCGTTTTAATGTCCCTTTTTCATTTCTGATTGTGTTTATTTGGTTCTTACCTCTTCTTAGTTAGTCTAGTTAATAGTTTATCAATTTTATCTTTTCAACAAACCAACATTTTGTTTAATCCTTCATATTTTTTGATGCTTATTTCATTTAGCTCTGTTCTGATCTTTGTTATTGCCTTTTTTCTGCTAAATCTGGGTTTGGTTTGTTCTTGTTTTTCTAGATCCTTGAGGTGCGATATTGGGTTATTTAATTGTAATCTTTCTACTTTTTTGATGTAGGCATTTAATGCTGTAAACTTCCCTCTTAGCACTGTCTTGCTGTATCCCACAGGTTTTAGTATGTTATGTGTTCATTTTTATTCATTTAAAATATTAGTTTTCATCTTAATTTCTTCATTGACCCAGTGATTATTCAGTAGCATGCTGTTTAATTTCCATGTATTTGTATAGTTTCTAAAGTTCCTCTTGGCATTGATTTCTAGCTTGGTATTGATTTCAGACCACTGTCGTCTGAAAAGGTATTTGAGAAAATTTTGATTTTATTAAACTTGTTAAGACTTGTTTTGTGGCTGAATGTGTGGTCTGTCTTGGAGAGTATTTCATGTGCTGATGAAAAGAATGTATAGTCTGTAGTTGTTGGGTTGAATGTTCTATAACTATCTGCTAAGTCCATTTAAGTCTAATTTAAGTCCAACATTTCTTTGATAATTTTTTGTCTTCATGATCTGTCTAGTCCTGTTAGTGGGATGTTAAAGTCCGCTACCTTTTTTTTTTTTTTTTCTTTGAGACAGAGTCTCTCGCTCTGTCGCCCAGGCTGGAGTACAGTGGCGCGATCTCCGCTCACTACAAACTCCGCCTCCCGGGTTCACGCCATTATCCTGCCTCAGCCTCCTGAGTAGCTGGGACCACAGGCGCCTGCCACCACACCCGACTAATTTTTTGTATTTTTTTTTTTTTTTAGTAGAGACGGGGTTTCACCGTGTTAGCCAGGATGGTCTCGATCTCCTGACCTCATGATCCACCCACCTCGGCCTCCCAAAGTGCTGGGATTACAGGCGTGAGCCACTGTGCCTGGCAGCTATCTCTTTCTTTAGGTCTAGTAATGTTTGTTTTGTGAATTTGGTTGCTCTGATGTTGGGTGCCTATATATTTAGGATTGTTATATCCTCTTGCTGAATCCCTTTATTATTATACAATGACTGTTTTGTTTTGTTTTGTTTTTTACTATTTTTGATTTAAAGTCAGCTTTATCTGATATAAGTATAGCTACTCTTGCTAGCTTTTGATTTCTGTTCGTGTGGATTATCTTTTTTTTTTTTTTTTTTTTTTTTTTTGAGATAGAGTCTCGCTCTGTCTCCCAGGCTGGAGTGCAGTGGCGCGATCTCGGCTCACTGCAAGTTCCACCTCCCGGGTTCACGCCATTCTCCTGCCTCAGCCTCCATAGTAGCTGGGACTACAGGCACCCGCCACCACGCCCTGCTAATTTTTTCTATTTTTTTTTTAAGTAGAGACGGGGTTTCACCATGTTAGCCAGGATGGTCTCTATCTCCTGACCTCGTGATCCACCCGCCTAGGCCTCCCAAAGTGCTGGGATTACAGGCTTGAGCCACCGCGTCCGGCCGACATGTGTGGAATATCTTTTCCCACCCCTTTGCTTTTAGTCTATTGTGTCTTTATGGAAAGGTGAGTTTCTTGCAGGCAGCATATATTTAATAGTTGGATTATGTTTTTTTAAATCCATTCTGACAATCTATCTTTTAAGCAGAGAATTTAAACCATTTACATTCAAGGTTAGTATTGATAAGGTGAGGCTTTGTTCCTGTCATATTGTTGATTATTTTCTAATTGTTTTATGAATTCTTTCTTTCATAAATTATTTGTTTCTGTTTCTCTTTTCTTCTTTGAGGTTTGGTGAAATTCTGTTATGTTGCTGTTTGATTCCTTTTTTGCCTCCTTTATGTGGTTGTTTTATATGAAGTCCGTGTTTTATACTCTCAAGTGTTTTTGTGATGGTGAATGTCAACCATCTATTTCCATATTTAAGGCCCCTTGGAGCAAACCACTTAGACCCAAGTAGTCTGTGTTGCTGTTGCTGGAACCTGTAATGGGCCGAGTAGACTCGTCCCTAACCCCACAGCCACCTGTAGCAGGGTGGTGAGTATTTTCCTAAGTGTGCTTAGAAAAGCTTGGTGTTCCTGTCCCTTCCCTAGCTGGATGGTGGCTGCAGCTGCATCTCCTCGAGCTCAGTTTGAGGGTGGGTCACATTCCAGCATTATATTCGCAAAATGGTACCAACTATGGGCTTGAGACCAGAGTGAGTGGGGCCTCTCTGAGGTAAGCAGTATGGGCAAAGCTGTGGAGAGTCTGGTATACCAAGTCTCAGTTTCACAGCAGCTTGTAGCAGGGCTTTAGGTATTGTTCTAGGTATGTGTAGGAGAGCCTGGCTTCCCTGTCTTTCCTTGACTGGGTAGCAGCTGCAGCCATATCAACTCGAACTTGGCCCAATGGCAGGGTGCAGCCCAGCATTAAACTCTCAAAATCGCACCTTGGGCCTGCCACCAGGGAGTGTGGGG
Source organism: Homo sapiens (assembly GCF_000001405.40). Taxonomy (NCBI): domain Eukaryota; kingdom Metazoa; phylum Chordata; class Mammalia; order Primates; family Hominidae; genus Homo; species Homo sapiens. The sequence continues at coordinate 30,067,689 of NC_000023.11, read as the reverse complement.
CCTCTCCTAGGCAAGCATCTTTGGCAAGAAGCTGTGAGGAGTGTTGTCCACTTGAGTCTCAGCTCAGTCTCACAGCAGCCCGTGGCAGGGTAGTTGGTATTGTCCTAAATACACATAGGATATCCCGGTTTCCTTGTCCCTCCTTGGGTGGGTGGCAGCTGCAATTGTGTCAGTCTGAGCTCAAGGTGCGCTGCATCTCAGCATTAAACTCTCAAAATGACACCTTGGGCCTAGGACCAGAGGTGGGGCACCTCCCAGGCAAGCAGCAGTGGCAATAAGCTGTGGGGAGTGTGATCTACTTATGGCTCAGTCTCAATAGTAGCCCATATCAGGGCAGCAGGAACCCTCCCAGGGGTAGTGGGAGTGCCTGGTCTCTCCTATTTCACTTTGGAGCAGTGCAGTGGCAGCAGCCATGTCAGCAAATCTCTGGTATCTAGGTCTCAAAATGGCCCCCAGCTGAGGCTGCTCCAAGTTCAAATGCCTGTGAGATTCTGTGTGCATTCTCTTTCTGGAGTAATGTCTCCATACAATCTTTAGGCAGCTCCATATATCAGGCCCAAGGCCCTCGTGGATCAAGGATTCCTCCCACAGCTAAGGTCATAAAAGCTCATTTCAGAGTTCTGGGGGTTTTCCCCATACTGTTTCCCCACAACCAGGAGCCTCTCTCAGCGATCAGTCAGTTCCTGGCTAGGCAAGCTACCTCAAGCCCTCTCCTTACTTACTTCTGGTGCTTCTTGTCTCTTATCTGGTGAATTATCTCCTATACGATCTGTTTGGAATGTACCTACTTACTATCCTGGTTCCTTTTCATGGAGGAGTCACATACTACCGTGTCTAGTCAGCTATCTTGTCTCCCTGGATCCAGAACTTTTCATTTCTTAGTGTAGAGATAAGTTTCCATATAGTATGATTTCTGTTAGAATGAAGATTTCCTTTAATATTTATTATAATGAAGATCTGCTGATTAATAATTATTTCAACCTTCATTTATTGAAAAAAGTCTTTAATTTTTTATTTTGAGAATATGTTCACTCAATGTAGAATTCTAAGGTGACTGTTCTTTTCTTTAGCACTTTAAGGGAGCCATTGTCTTATCTTGTGGCTTCCATTCTTCCTGATGACAAGTAAGTTATCATTCTTATCATTTTCCCCCTATATGTACTTTGTCTTTTTTCTTTCAGCTGCTCTTAAAGGGTTTTCTCTTTATCTTTTGTTTCTTGCAGTTTGTTTGTGGTTTTATTTGCATTTATCTTATGTGGAATTTACTGAGCTTCCTGAATTTGTGCATTGATGTTTTTCTTCAAATTTGGAAAATTTGGAAGCACTAATTTTTCAAATATTTTTTCTAACCCACTCATTCCTCTTCTTCTGAAAATTCAATTACATATATGTTAGTATATTTGATATCGTTCCTAATCACTGATGCTCTCTTTTCTCTGAGTGGTTCATTTTTGATAATTTGTCTGAAATTTTCTGTTCTTTTCTTCTACTGTGTTCAATTATTTCACTTCAAATATTTTGTTTTTCTAGTCCTAGAACTTTCCATTTTGTTATTTCTGGAGTTTTAATATCCCTCTTGCATTCCCCCATCTCTTCACCCATTCTTTCCATCTTTTCTTAGAAATTACTTAACATGTTTATTATAGTTGCTTTAAAGTACTTATGTACTAATTTCAAGATCCGTGACATCTGTGTTTCAGCTTCTATTGACTGTTGTTTTATATCTCCTCATTGTCGATTACATTTTCCTGCTTAAATTTTTTATTGCATGCCAAATTTTATATATTAAAAATACAGAAGTCTGAAGTATATTATTTTTGTTCAATTTCTTTTTGATTCTAAAAAGGAGAATTTGTTTCCTCTAAAAGGCAGCTGAGGCAAAAGACTTGTGTTACAGTTTAGACCAAAAATTGATGTGAGCTAAGGATAAAATGTAGCTTTAATTAATTTGGTTACCTATAGTTTCAAATGGAAATAGAGATTTCCCTTTTCTTTTCAGTCTAACTTGAGGGGTTAATCTCTTTGATCTTGTTAGGATTTGAGCTAGGAAGGTATTGGCTTGTAACGTGAGTTTTTTTTTTTTTTTAATTTATCTTTGAATTCAATGTCAGCAGGGCCTGAAAATCTGAACAACAGAGCTATACAAACTCTCTGCTTTCCAGCCTTACCTCCACTGCAAACTCTACAACTCTCTGCTGCTTACTCTGAAAAATATTTAAGGTATGAAACAGAAATTCTTAGATGTGACCAAGTGGTTTGTTTTTACATTTGGGGCTCTGCCAAATTCCAATCTATCCTGCCAGGCAACCATGTCACTAAAAACTCAGATATATTTTCCTAGTCCTACGAAGTCTCTTAATCTCTGTCAGGCCTGTTCCTCTTAAAACTCATATCCTTCAGAGGCACTTGCTTCCAATTATGTAAGTGTCTGTGGTTCTTTGCTCACCAAAGAAGAGTGCATCCCTCTCTGGAATTCAGTTAATTAAGACTTCTCACTTTGGGAGGCCGAGGCAGGCGGATCACAAGGTCAGGAGATCGAGGCCATCCTGGCTAACACGGTGAAACCCTGTCTCTACTAAAAATACAAAAAATTAGCTGGGCGTGGTGGCGGGCACCTGTAATCCCAGCTACTCGGGAGGCTGAGGCAGGAGAATGGTGGGACCCCGGGTGGGGGAGCTTGCAGTGAGCCGAGATCCGGCCACTGCACGCCAGCCTGGGCGACAGAGCCAGACTCCGTCTCAAAAAAAAAAAAAAAAAAGACTTCTCAGCATCTACTGTTATTCAATAGCTTCATAAATCTACGTATGTATGATTATTTTATTGTATGCAGTGTGTAATTGTTGTTCCCACTTGGTATTTCACATTTTTCTACATCCTGATGACGAATGGAATGTCAAAAAAATTGATGTTTGAACTTCCAGAAAAGACAGTAGGTTGAGTAAAAATGGTTGTGGGGGAGGGTCTCAAAATCTGAAAATAAAGTGCTTTGAGTACCAAAGTGAAAATATGTCCCGTAAACAGTAAATTTAATGAGAATGCATTATGATGATTAAAGAACCACTTTTCCTGCCTTAGATTTTATAAAGATTCTAGAGGCTGATGAGAGAGAGAAGAGTCAGAAAGGAAGCGATCAAGTTAAATTCTGAGCATGTCCTTGAAAGGAGTTTAAGTCAGCTCCAGCACAACTCTCAACAGAATCCCAGGTGAAATAGTAGACTCCCTAGGACACATGGGAATCTAAATACCAAGGAGACTAATGCATAGTTCTTGTGTAAAATTGCACAGAGATTTTTCAAAGGTCATTAATAGTGTAGTGTCCATAAAGAGTAAGTGGCAGCAAGCCATATCTAGTCAGGACCTAAGACAAGCCACATGAGTCTCCCCAACAGACCCCATGAGTTTCATTTCATTTTATTTCGTTTATTTATTTTGAGACAGAGTCTCACTTTGTCACCCAGGCTAGAGTGCAATGGCGTCATGATCTCATCTCACTGAAACCTCCACCTCCCAGGTTCAAGCGATTCTCCTGCCTCAGCCTCCCAAGTAGCTGGGACCACAGGTGCCCACCACCACGCCTGGCTAATTTTTGTATTTTTAATAGAGACGGGGTTTTGCGATGCTAGCCAGATGGGTCTTGAACTCCCAACCTCAAGTGGTCCACCCACCTTGGCCTCCCAAAGTGCTGGGATTACAGCGTGAGCCACAGCTGACCTGGCCCCCAAGAATTGAATTTTAAAAACGCAAGAGAACTTTTGAAAATTGTGGATACTCTGAGAGGGGTGTGGAAATTGAGACAAAGATATCACAAAATATATGAGATCATTTGTGGAAAAGCCTACTAGAATTTCACAATACTCATGTGCTCCTTTACCTATGCCAGACTCCTTTGCAGTTAGTTCGGCCATATGATTAGCTCTGGCAAGAAGATATGAACAGAAGTAACGTGTATCACTTCCCAACTAGGCGTCTAAATATGAGGGCAGTGCAAAAGTAATTGCGGTTTCTGCCATTACTTTTCATGGCGGAAACCGCAATTACTTTTGCAGCAACCTAATAGGTTTGTCTACCCACATTTGCCTTCTCGGGTGACATTAGACACTATGTTTTAAAGGCAGTAACACAAAGAAGGAAGGGAAATGGATCCTTCTGTCACTGTTTAGAAGAGAACTTCCCAGGAGAGTACAGACCAGGAATGATCATATTAGACTTTACATGAACAAAAAATAAACTTTTATTCCTATAAGGCACTGAGATTTCATGTCTTATTTGTTGTTTCAGCATAGCTTAGCATAGTATTAGTCAAAACATGGTCCACAGACTGGTTCTGCTCTGCAAACTCTTTGATGCCAACCTATGAAGAAATTAAGTACTGAAATTCAAATAAAGCTTCTAGAAAATTTTATGGCAATTTGAAAGAAATTTTATGTCTGTGGAATTTCATTTTTAAAATCCAGGTTTGTCTTTTGTTTTTGTTGGCTTTATTTTTTAATTTCATGCTTCTAGTAATTTATCATTATTGTATTTTACAAAAGTATTGGTCTGTGACAGATTGAAAATAATAAAAACTGTTTCTTAACCACTGAGAGTTTGATAAACACTGGCTATTCTACCTTGACTAATATACCAAAGCAAAATCAGGAATATCTTAGATGGATACCAAAATAAATTGAGATGGACTAGACACCAGATATTTTTCTCTGAAGGAAGAAAACGACATAGGCCCCTTGAAAGTCAGATGTTTCCTATGGAGAGGGAGGAAGAAAACAGCAGAAATGAACTATTTTAAATCCTGAAATAATTATGTACCTAGAATTGTCTAAGAATATATTTTCTACTTTACAATAAAGTACTAAAAATTAGAAAAATAAGTTCAGTTAGAGAAAGTCAATAAAATTACATATATTTTGCAGAATTGAGGATTACAGCTTGACCATCTTATACCTAATACAGGTGCATCATTATCTTTGAGATGTCCATGTCTCATCTTACCACTTGGCTTCGAGACAGGAACGCTAGTAGAGACAGTCAGATATGAATTTCCTGAAAATGCATTTCTCGATTAATACGTTATTCAACCTCCCTTTCTCCCTTTTCTCCTAAAAGGCACTTCTTTTTGTCTCAATGCAAGAAGGATGACAATGACCTTCCTCTGTTTGTCTTCCTGTTGATAAGTTCTTTTATGAGGCAGTTACAAGACTGTGTAATCTCATGAGATTTTAAGCTGCCCATCCTCATATTCACTTGTGATGAGGTAGTTATAACATTGTGATTTGCTTTGTGCTGGTTTGGTTGTAGTCAGCTTGGCATCACCACTCCCAGTCCCTCTTAAGGTTGGGGACTATGTTTCTCAAAACCACCTTCACTCTGTAGTTACAGGTTTGAGTTTACCAATGGGAGAAATTCTCAGTGAGCATTATTGCTCAATATATCATGACCATCAGATGGGTCAGGCATCTAGTTCCAGACCACTCTGCCAACTCCCACTTTGTAGATGAGAAGTTTCTTGGACTTCCTTAGGATCGGGGCTTCATCACCTACTCCAAGTCTTCAGATTGATGTCATGTTACTATTTTTCTGATCTTTAAGCTGCATTCTTTCAGACTCTTACTCCCCTTTCATATTAATCACTAATTGCTATATTAAAGCCCTTATTTCCTTAATTCTTTTTTAAATTTTTTTTTAGATGGAGTCTCACTCTGTCACTCAGGCTGGAGTGCAGTGGCACGATCTCAGCTCACTGCAACCTCTCCTTCCTGGGTTCAAGTGATTCTCCTGCCTCAGCCTCCCGAGCAGCTGAGACTACAGGCACACACCACCACGCCCGGCTAATTTTTTGTATTTTTAGTAGAGACAAGGTTTCACCATGTTGGCCAGGATGGTCTTGAACTTCTGACCTCAAGTGACTTATTTCCATAATTCTTATAGTGGCTTTCTTTTATTTCAAAACCAGACTGATATAGACATTCTCAGCTCTTATATTTTTATAGTTCTCAAGAAAAATGTATGCCAACCTAAGGAATTTTTGACAAAAGTTCTTGTAAAAAACATTTTGAACAGTGTTTCACTGATGATTGAGTCACCACAAATGTATTAAGATTCCAGCCATAGTTATTACAGTAGGTAGAAATACAAATGAGGCACACTGAGGAAGTGTCCTGACATTCCAAATGAGAGTTTGTTTCGGATCATGATCATCTGACAAGGGATGACATAGTAGAGGGTTTAACCATATGACATTGCTGATGTGTGACAATTTTGACCTATAGATTCAGTGATGTCTTATGGTTTAACCTAAGACTATGATAATCTTTTCATTTGAATGGATTTTTTTTAGTGGAAAGTATGCCATTTTTTCTTAATCTGGAAATGGGGCCTTGTCTTAACAGAATCTATATTCTATAAGCAGGCAGTATTTGCTGAGGATATGCATGAGGTTCTAACTCCTCGAATCCAGATGAGAAATCTGTGTATTTGAACTCAAAGCAGGCATGCCCTCAAAAACAGTTGATTTCATTTCTGAAATATATATTAGTGTTTATGGACTGATGCAGCTAGTAAAAGATATGCCACAAAAATCCTAAAATCCCATCAAATGCTCTTTTCCTAGGTCAGAGTTTCTCTGAGTTTCTCTACCTTGGCACCATTGACACTTTGGCCCAGATAATGCTTTGTTTGGTCCACATAGTGATGGATAGAAGGGACAGGGGTGGGAAGGGTGCAGCTCTATGCTTTGTAGGATGTTTAGCAGCACCCTTGGCCTCTACCCACTAGATGGCAATAGCATCTCCCAGTTGTGACGACCAAAAGAGTATCCTGGGGAGCAAAATCACCTGTGGTTTAAAATTATTCTCCTAGATAAAACAGAAACATGATGTTGGCAAGAGTTTAATGCCTCTTTAATATCAGTTTGTATTTCAACCTTCTACCTTACATTTGGTTTTCCTTCAAGATAGAGAAAAATTCACTCGACATCTCAGTAAGAAGATTGAATGGTATCAAACTGTGCAGGCTGTGCCAAAACAACCTATTTTAAGTGCATTGGCTATAAAGAATCCAAGGGGGAAGCCATGTTTAATTGCATATGAGTAGTAATTTAGAGTAAATTCACACTATATACTGCCAGTGATGTTTATTTTTCTTTTAAATTAGATATCACCTTCATCACCAGGAGATATTAAATTGGGTATCAAGAAAATAGACTACACAAGGGATGAGCATGTAATAAACAAAACATCCTTTTATTTTCAAAATCAGGTCTAAACTATTTCCATCTTAATTCACTGAAGCATAATTTGCAAAAATTCAAATTAAACAAAATGACTAATATTGAATCACTGTGCCCCCAAAACATAGCATAAACTTTAACTTCTTTATTCTCTCTCCTCTTCTCCTAAACTTGTTCTTATTTTATAAGGTATCCCAGGCTCACCACATAATACGTGCAGTACAAACTAGAGGCGAAAAGTAATAACTAACCTAGCAAATGGATAGCAACATATTCCTAAATGTACCCTCTTACATAGGGTAGTCCCCCTAATGGAGAGAAAGCAAGCTTGTAGCAGTCATGCTTATAATTCAGCTATCTTGACAATCAATACTCCTACTGCAATGGAACTAACTGTCAGTGATTCAGCTGGAATATATTTTCATCTTTAAATTTCACAAGGACCATATATATTGTCCTTAAAGCTATGAAATATATATTCTAATATTTTGTGTCTTGGATATATATCTTTCTAAAACACTATGAAAATATGAAGTGATACAAAAGTCTAGCAGATCTGGGAGTTCATATTGCCTTACATAAAGGATGTTATCCCTCTAATCATATAATTGCTCTAATTGCCCTGAGATCTAATCACTATTATGTAATGCCATTATCCTCATGGATTTGGCTCACCAAACTAGCTGATGAGGTTGAATGTCATTGGATTCATCAATAAAAACAGTCTCCTTTACATTCAAGCAAATCTATGGAAGGATGATTGCATGGATTTGGCTATTTTGCCTGCTCAGGAATTCAGTGACAGATATTTCCCTGGCCCTTTTCCTAAGACCTGAGAATATGATGCTGACTTTCCTTCAGACTCACAAATGAAAATCTTTCCTATGGGAATGTCTAGGTTAACGGGAGCTTTAGAGAAACTAGATGAACTTAGAGAGCCTTTGCCATAATATGGTCTGAGGAAACTTCTAAGTCAACAATAAGAGAACAATATTTCTATTTTGGAAAAGGAACTATTTAATGTCAAGATTTAGCAATAATGAAATCTGTGCAAAAGCCTTGTGAGACAGGGTGGAAGATATGATTTCCATTTTAAGAGTGAGAAAACTGAAGTTATGAATGTTGTGAATATGAACACAATCACATAGATAGTGAGTAGGTGGTGTAACTGGGGACAAAATTCTGGCAACTAGCCTAGTGCTATTTCCCCCAAGAAAGACTACCTCAAGGCATTTAATAATCAAACTCCCAAAAGTCAAGGATAAAGAAAGGATCCTAAAAGCAGCAAGAGAAAAGAAACAATATGCAATGAAGCTCCAATAGGTCTGGCAGTAGACTTTTCAGCGGAAACCTTACAGGCCAGGAGAGCGTGGCATGACTCATTTAAAGTGCTGAAGGCAAAAAAAAAAAAATCCCTAGAACACTAGATCCAGTGAAAATACCCTTCAAATATTAAGGAGAAATACAGGCTTTCCCAGACAAACAAAAGCTGATGGATTTCATTAACACCAGAACTATCCTATAAGAAATGCTAAAGGGAGTTCTTCACTCTGAAAGACAACGACATTAATGAGCAATAAGAAATCGTCTGAAGGGGCTGGGCACGGTGGCGCAAACCTGTAATCCCAGTACTTTGGGAGGCCAAGGTGGGCAGATTGCTTGAGGCCAGGAGCTTGAGACCAGCCTGGCCAACATGGTGAAACCACATCTCTACTAAAAATACAAAAATTAGCCAGGTGTCATGGTACACACCTGTAGTCCCAGCTACTCGGGAGGCTTGAGGCACGAGAATCACTTGAACCCGGCAGGCAGAAGTTGCAGTCAGCCGAGATGCCAAGATCACACTACTGCACTCCAGCCTGGGCAACAGAATGAAACTTTGTCTCAAAAAAAAAAAAAAAAAATCATCTGAAGGTACAAAACTCTCACTGGTTACAGTAAGTACACGGAAGAACAGAATATTAAACATTGTAAGTGTGGTGTGTAAACTACTCTTAAGTGGAAAGACTAAATGATGAACTAATCAAAAATAATAACCACAACAACTTTTCAAGACCAAGTCAGTACCATAAGATAAATAAAAACAACAAAAAGTTGAAAAGTAGAGGGAGATAAAGTATAGAGTTTTATTAGTTTTCTTCTTGATCGTTTGTTTGTTCATGCAAAGTGTTAAGTTTTTATCAGCTTAAAATAAAAAGTTATAAGATATTTGCAAGCCCATGATAATCTCAATTCAAAACACATACAGCAGATAAACAAAAAAATAAAAAGCAAGAAATTAAATCATACCACAAGAGAAAATCATCTTCACTTAAAGGAAGATGCAAAGGAAGGAAAGAAGGAAGAGAAGACACACAACAACCAGAAAACAAATAACAAAACGGCAGGAGTAAGTCCTCACTTATCAGTAATAACATTGAATGTAAATGGAATAAACTCTCCAACCCAAAGACACAGAATAGTTGAATGGATTAAAAAAACAAAACTCAATGATCTGTTGCCTATAAGAAACACACTTCACCTATAAAGACACAATAGACTGAAAGTAAAGGTTTGGGAAAAGATACTCCATGCCAGTGGAAACAAAGAAGAGCAGAAGTAGCTATACTTATATCAGACAAAATATATTTCAAGACAAAAACTGTAAGAAGAGACAAAAGAGGTCAATATATAATAGTAAAGGTGTCAATTCAGTAAGATGATACACCAATTGTAAATATACATGCACTCAACACTAGAGCACCCAGATATATGATGCAAATATTATTACAGTTAAAAAGAAACATAGACCCCAATATAGTAATAATGGAAACTTCAACACCACAGTTTCAGCATTGGTCAGATCTTCCAGACCAAAAATCAAGAAACATCAAACTTAATCTGCATTATAGAACAAATGGACCTGATACACATTTACAGAACATTTCATCCACAGCTGCAAAATACACATTATTTTCCTAAATATATGGATCATTCTCAAGCATAGACAATATGTTAGGTCACAAAACAAGTCTGAAAACATTCAAAAAATTGAAATCAATCCTCTTCTCTAACCACAGTGGAATAAAACCAGAAATGAATAACAGGAGGAAATTTAGAAATTATATAAACACATGGAAATTAAAGAATATGTTCCTGAATGAGCAGTGGGTCAATAAAGAAATTAAGAAGGAAATTGAAAAATTCCAGAAACAAGTGATAATGGAAACAAAACACATATCAGAACGTATGGGATACAGTGAAAGCAGTAATAAAAGGGAAGTTTGTAGTTACAAGTGCCTATTTCAAAAAAAAAAGAAAAAAGGAAAACTTCAAATAACCTCATGATGCATTTTAAAGAATTAGAAAAACAAGAGCAAACCAAACCCACAATTGGTAGAGGAAAAGAAATTATAAGCATCAAAGCAGAAATAAATGAATTTAAAATAAAGAAAATAATTGAAAAGGTCAACAAAACAAAAAGTTGGTTTTTGGGAAAGATAAAGAAAATTCACAAACCTTTAGCCAGACTAGGAAAAAAGAGAAGACCCATCCCAAATAAACAAAATCAGGGATGAAAAAGGAGACATTACAACTGATCCTGCAAAAATTCAAATGATCAGTAGTGGCTACTATGAGCATCTATATGCTAATAAATTGGAAAATGCAGAAGACATGGATAAATTCTCAGACACTTACAAACTCTCAAGATTGAACCATAAAGAAATCCAAAACCTGAACAGACTATTAACAAGTAATGAGTTTTAACTGTAATAAAAATTCTTCTGGCAAGAAAAAGCTTGAGACTTGGTAGCTTCACTGCTGAATTCCATTAAATGTTTAAAGAACTAATATGAATACTAATCAAACTATTTTAAAAAACAGGGGACGAGGGAGTACTTCCTATCTCACTTTATAAGACCAGTATTACCCTGATACCAAAACCAGACAAAGACACATCAAAAAAAGAGAAAACTATAGGCCAATATTCTGATGAGCATTGATGTAAAAATCCTCCACAAAATACTAGCAAACTGAATTCAATAACACAATAAAGAGATCATTCATCATGACAAAGTCAGATTTATTTCAGGGATGTAAGGATGGTTCAATATACACAAATCAATGTGGTACATCACATTAAACAGAATTAAGGACAAAAACCACACAGTCATTTCAATGGATGCTGACAACACACTTGCTAAAATTCAACATGCCTTCATGATAACTCAAAAAAACTGGATATAGAAGGAACATACCTCAACATAATAAAAGCCATAAATGACAGATCCATAGCTAATGTCATGCTGAAGGGAGAAAAGTTGAAAGCTTTTCCTCTAAGATAGGGAACACATCAAGGATGTCCACTTTCATCACTGTTTTTCAGCATCCTACTGGAAGTCCTAGTCAGAACAATCAGACAAGAGAAAAAAAGATTAAAGATATCCAAATTGAAAAGGAAGAAGTCAGATTATTTTTACTGGCAGATGATATGGTCTTATATTTTGGAAAAACCTTAAAAGTCCACCAAAAGCTATTAGAACTGATAAATAAATTCAGTAAATTTGCAGGATGCAAAGTCAACATACAAACATAAGAAGCATTGCTAGGTACCAGCAGCGAAAAATCAGAAAAAGAAATCAAGACAGCAATACCATTTACAATAGCTACAAATAAAATACCTAGGAATTAACCAAAGAAGTGAAAGGTCTCTACAATGAAAACTGTAAAATATTGATGCAAGAAATTGAAGAGGACATACATTAAAAAATGGAAAGATATTCTATGTTTTTGGATTGGAAGAATCAATATTGTTAAAATGTCAATACAATCCAAAGCAATCTATGGATTCCATGCAATCCCTATCAAAATGCCAATGACATTCTTCACAGAAACAGAAAAAACAATCCTAAATTTTTTTTGGAATTGCAAAACACCCAGAATAGTCAAAGCTATCCTAAGCAAAAACAACAAAACTGGAGAAATCACATTATGGGCTTTCAAATTATACTGCAGAGCTATAGTAACCAAAATAGCATGATATGGGCATAAAAACTGACACATAGACCTATGGAACATTAAAATAGAGAACCCAGAAATGAAACCGTACATCTACAGTGAATTCATTTTTGACAAAGGTGCCAGGAACATACACTGGGGAAAGGACAGTCTCTTGAAAAAAACGGTGCTGGGAAAACTGAATATCCATATGTAGAAGAATGAAACTAGACTTTTGTCTCTCACCATATACAAAATTCAAATCAAAATTGATTAAAGTGTTAAATCTAAGACCTCAAACAATGAAACTACCTCAATAAAGTATTGGGAAAACTCTCCAGGACATTGGACTAGGCAAAGATTTCTTAAGAAATACCTCACCCTCACAAGCACAGGCAACCAAAGCAAAAATGGACAAATGGGATCACATCGAACATAAAAGCTAATCGAATATAAAAGCTACTGCACAGCAAAGGAAACAATCCACAAAGTGAAGACACAACGTGCAGAATGGGAATGAACATTTGTAAACTACACATCTGACAAGGAATTAATAACCAGAATATGTAAGGAGCTCAAACAACTCTCTAGGAAAAAGTCTAATAATTGGATTAAAAATAAGCAAAAGATCTGAATAGACATTTCTGAAAAGAAGATATACAAATGGCAAACTGGTATATGAAAATTTGCTTGACATTAATCATCAGATAAATGCAAATCAAAATTGCAATGAGATACCATCTCACCCCAGTTAAAATGGCTTTTGTCCAAGAGTCAGGCAATAACAAATGCTGGCAAAGATGTGGAGTCAAGGGAACCCTTGTACACTGTTGGTGGGAATGTAAATTAGTATAATCACTATGGATAACAATTTGGAGTTTACTCAAAAAACTAAAAATAGAGATACTATACAATCCAGCAATCCCATTCCTAAGTATATTTCCAAAAGAATGGAAATCAGTATATCAAAGAGATATCTGCACGCCTATGTTTGTTGCAGCACTGTTCACAATAGCCAAGTTTTGGAAGCAACCTGTGTCCATCAACAGATGAATGGATAAAGAAAATGTAGTACATAGACACAATGGAGTACTACTCAGCCATAGAAAAGAATGAGCTCCTGTCATTTGCAACAACATGGATAGAACTGGAGGTCATTATGTTAAGTGAAATAAGCTAGACACAGAAAGACAAACTTTGTATGTTCTCACTTATTTGTGGGAGATAAAAATTAAAATAATTGAACTCATGGACATAGAAAGTAGAAGGATGGTTACCAGAAGCTAGGAAGGGTAGTGGATGGGGGAGAAGTAGAGACGGCTAACAGGTATAAAAAATAGTTAGAAAATATGAATAAGACCAAGTATTTGCTAGCACAACAGGGTGACTCTAGTCAAAAATAATTTACTTGTACATTTTTAAATAACTAAAAGAACATAATTGGATTGTTTGTAACACAAAGATAAATGCTTGGGGAGATGGATACCCCATTTACTCTGGTGTGATTATTATGCATTGCATGTCTGTATCAAAATATCTCATGTACCCCATGAATATATACACCTACTATATACCCACAAAAATTAAAAGTTAAAAATGAATGGAAAAGTGTGATGTTTTAAGTAATGACAGTATAACCTAGCAATAGTGCTCATACAGCTGTCTCACAACAAAATAAAGATAAATGTCTTGTTTGAATTTCCAAGGATCAATACCTACAAAAGAAAACATAAATTTAGCCCTGCTTTTGTGAAAAAGAAATCATTGCATTCACGTAAGTTTGTTCTTGAGAGTCTGACAGGGTATAAAGGGCATGAATAGACCCAAAAGTCAAAAACACTGGAGGGTGATAATTGAATGATTTGTACACACATGTATGGATTGGTATCCTTTTTCTATTCCATCTGAGAACAGAAAAAAATCATAGAATATTTTATTTTGGGAAGAAAATGCTGAAAACAAAAGCAACTTCTAATTAAATTTGTTGCTGCTCACTTTTGGAACATTCTAACAATCTAAACTCCAATAAACCTTTTGATCCATAATATTGTCTTCCTCTGTCAAAAGATGAAACCCTGGGCTGGGTGCGGTGGCTCATGCCTGTAATCCCAGCACTTTGGGAGGTGGAGGCAGGCGGATCATCTGAGGTCAGGAGTTCGAGACCAGCCTGACCAACATGGAGAAAACCAATCTCTACTAAAAATACAAAATTAGCTAGGCGTGGTGGTGCGTGCCTGTAATCCCAGCTACGTGGGAGGCTGAGGCAGGAGAATCGCTTGAACCCGGGAGGCAGAGGTTGCAGTGAGCCAAGATCATGCCATTGTACTTCAGCCTGGGAAACAAGAGCGAAACTCTATCTAAAAAAAAAAAAAGAGAGAGAGAGAGATGAAGATGAAACCCACAGGAAATAGAGACATAGGTAAGCATACAGTCCCATAGTCCTCCAAGAAAACATAAACTACCCGTTATCTGAGTGGGACCTCTCTTTCCAGAACAGTGAGATTCTTTAAAAACCCACATGAAACTGTATTTTTTTGTTTTGTTTGAGGTTTTATATCCACTCCTGAGTAATCTTCAGAAGTACTAAAAAGTCCTTTGTGTTTCTCATGCCAGCTTCTGAAACCTCCCAGAATGCCCTTCCCTCCTTCAACTGCTGCTGGAGTGTGATTGTTGCCACTACCTTCATGCCACGTATTCTGATGGCTATGCTTTATCACTCTTGCTCTGTGTTGCCTAGGTGATACAGAAACAAACTTCTTAAAGTACTTTTAAAATACTTTTTAAAACAAAAAATATGTTAACATAAGGTTTTATTCTACTACTCAGTGGCCTATTGGATCATCTGTGATCCTTTGTGAATTTGTCCCATTCAAGAAACTACAAAACGGAGCATCTGTGTGTCAAAAATGGATACCGCAACAGAGGAGAAGGGATTTTGATAAGGGGATTCATGGCAGAATGATAATATGTCTCAGAGCATGACTTTCCACCTGATGACTAGAAAAGTTACCCCAGATTACATGGATTGAGGGAAATGTCTATGGAAAGCACTGACTAAATAGTTATAATGGATTCTTCAGAAAAGCTAAACTTGAGCCTTGCACTTCCACTAAGCTCACCCTCATATTAAAGGTAGGGATTGAAGAGAAACTCAGATAGTTATGGGGATCAAAGAACATAGAAAACCTGGATTTCCTTTTCCAAGCAACTCTAGAAAGGGTGCAAGACTATACAGATTCAGAAATGGATGAACTGAGTATCTAGGCGAATAGGACCGAGAAAATCACAGAGTAAATTTGCACCAAAGAGTGGAAAAGAAAAAAAGATAAAGTCCATGCATCCATAAGTGGCATAGAAAGAACCAAACTGAAAGTGGTTTATAGTTGGGAGTAGGACTTGGCTATGACACGTGGGAATAGATGAACAAACGAGAACAAGGGCATGTTGGAAGATGACAACGTGCACAGATTACTCAAGACCACATCCCTTTCCTGTTCCTTGACAGTCTATAATCTCCCTGCAATGAAATTGAACCCTGAAGGAAAGTCAGAAATGAGAGAGAGATAGTGATTGGGTTAAGGTAAATTTCTAATATCACATAGAAATTAAATAAATAAATAATCAAGAGTTATTCATGTTTCCTTTCCAGCAAACATGAATATGTGGACTAGGAGTTTTACCAGCTACATATGCTCCATCACTAAACAGATTAGTTTAATACAAGAAGACTGCAAAGTTGCAAAATAATAATAATCAGCTTCACGTACATCTGTGTCCTTCTAAAGCAGAAAACAGGGTCTTCAGATTGGCATCAAACTAAGGAAACTTTAAGGAATAATTCTTTAGCTACAGTTTTGAAAGGTAAGAATTTTCTAGTTATGTCTGTGTATTAATAGTGCGTAAGTATACATAATTAATTTACAGTCTCCATCTGTAAAATTATTTCATAGCATATAATACAGATACACTTTATCTCTTTTGTTTCCCACTCACAGATTCAAATTTTCACAAAGCATGAGAACTTTTGCAGTAGCTAGTGTGGAAAGAGCTTTGCAGTTACAACACCAAATAATGGGGTTATTACAAAAGTTTTTAGCAGATATGATTAACTGAAAGACTGATTTAAGTAGGCCTTCATTCCAGTTTGGAGTAGGGTTTAGTGTAGCCATATTCCGTTCATTAAATTACCTCACTGACCCCCATTCTGGGTTAGCTTTCTTCATAATACATGTTCAATAGAACTGTGCTTCTTCTCATCAGAGTAATTATTTAATAAGAGTTTGCACCCCACACTAGGCTATAATTCCATCAGAGGAGGGAACTTGTCTACTTTTTCTCACCCCAGTAACTGCAAGCCTAGCATAGCAAATATTTGCTAGATGAATTAGTGCATGCCTCAACTGTTCATCTTACCAGTTTGCTTTTAAAATATAGTACTCGGAAAGAAATTCTTCTACCTCCTCTTCTTCCCCTATTCTGCACTATTTTGTTATCTTGGGGGAGAGATGTAATGATACCAAACTAATTACACGAGCTTTTTGTTTTCCTGACTTATATTCTACCTCTAAGCTAAGAAGTCAATATAATCAGAATAAGACAAATGTCTTGTGTCCCTGTCAATGCCAGTTATAAGTCTCTGGAAGCAGCCCCATATCTTATGGTTCTCTCAGGTGTCCTATTATGGTCATTTGGTGATGGCACCCATGAAGGAGTTCTGAATATTAATGGTCATCTCAAGGTTGTAGGGCAGAGTACAAACTCTACAGCTTGTCTTAGAAAAGGACAAGAGTTCCCCGAGGGTCCAGATCTGATATTCAGAATTACTCCTGTGTGGCTGGCTAATGAGCTAGGAACAGATTCATCCAACCCGATATTCTGTAACATCTTTATAGTAGTGTGTCTACAGAAATTGCTCCTAGAGTGATCCCCCTATAATAATGCAGTGGAAGAGGCTGTGACAGCTCTTATACAATGCTAAAAACAACCATTAGAAAGGCAAGAAACACACAGCAATATCCTGAAGAACCAAAGATTGCATTTGTCTGATTTCCTGAATCTAGTAAAAACATGGCACTGCCAGAGGAACTGGACTGAGTTGGTTCGTCAGTTCAGGCATAAAACAAAACGCAAAACCAATTTGACTGTTTTGCTTTTCCTACTAAATTGCCTCAATGCACCAGATGTTTAGGTGTCATATGAAAATGTATATTCTACAGGTTTTCAGTTGTATTCCAAGCCCTATGCCTCTGATTTCTTTTTTTAGTGGAGTTGCTCAGCTGTTTATTGGAATAACCAAAATGACTGACTAGGTGTTGTGTAAATGAATATATGTATAAATTTGTATATACCAATCTCTAGTTCTCTATATTTATATATGTCCCTATGTATGTATATCTATATATAATCTCTCCCCAAAACGAGTTGTGATTTAATTACTAGCCCTATGCCTTCCTTCCAATTACCTCCAGACTGCTAAAGATTCCATCAGGGATTTTTATGATTCCTGTGTGGACCATTTAGAGAATACCACTGTGGCCTTTTAAACATCTCGCTCCACTGCTCTCTAGCAACTTACCACGAGCATGGCAAAACTTTGAAAGGCAGCTGGGCAAAACTATCTACATTCCAACTGTTAATGTGGTATCTGCGTAATTTAGTCTTCTCATTCTAAATACCAAACCCCGTTTCCAGAAGTTAATTGGTTTTTCTTTCTTTTTTGTTTTTATTTTTTTAATTTAAATATATTAACAGATCTTAACGTGCATTTTGATTTTCTCAGTTTTGGCAAGGTCTACATTTCGATTATCATTATTTGGGCTCACCATGGGATTTATATATTTTAAAGATTACCTTAATTAGCTCTCAAGCAAAAAATAACTTTCATTCCTCATCAAAAGTATTATCAGCAAGCATATCCAAATGACTTTCAGAGAGTTTCAGGGCATTTGCAATTCAGAGTACAGCCAAGACCATTATGCTTTTTGTTAATTTACTCAATTTATAAGACCAAAGATAATTTAGATCTAAATATACAGACTTAAAATCTCTCTCTCTCTCTGTCTCTCTCTCTCTCTCTCAACATTGGGCTTAGCTCTAGAGTGGCTATAAGCCAATCTTTTGAGGCTAAACTGTCATTAAGACAAAAATGGGGTCACTCTAACCTCCTACCATAAAAAGCCACTTGAACTTTAGCTCTCTAAAAAGTCCTTTTCCTGACTTAATTATTTGGGGCTTCCTTGGGGATGTCTCAGGAACATTCCAGCATCAGTGTGGCAACATAGAAATATATCTCTTACCTGCGGTGATGCCAGCTGCTGAAACCTCCCAGAATGTCCTTCTCTCCCTCAACTGCTGCTACTGTGTGATTGTTCCTACTACCTTTCTGCTGCCAACGCTGATGGCCATGCCTTATAGCCCTTGCTCTGTGTTGCCTGGCTGTGGCATGTGCTAATGCTCCCCTAACCCTGAAGAAACACTGGTGACTGTGGATTCCAGGTAATGCTGAAGTGTAGCCCCTCTGCTGGCACAGCAGGGAATCATCTCAACCTGTAGCTTTGTGTCATGTTTCATTACCAAGTAGTGCTTCTTGTGCTGCTCCTGATGCCTCACTGAGATTTTTGTGAGAAAACTTCACTTTCAGGTTTTATCAGTTGAAATCTCTTGTATTAGTCCATTCTCGCACTGCTATACAGAAATACCTGGAACTGGGAAATTTTTAAAGAAAAGAGTTTAATTGACTCATGGTTCCGCAGGCTGTACAGGAAGCATAGCTGGGGAGGCCTCAGGAAACCTTCAATCATGGTGGAAAGAGAAGAACGCATGTCTTATATGGCAGGAACAAGAGGAAGAGAGAGAGGGGGGAGGTGCCACACACTTTCAAACAACCAGCTCTTGTGATACCTCACTTACTATCACGAGAAGAGCAAGAGGGAAATCTACCCCGATAATCCAATCACCTCCCACCAGGCCCCTCCTCCAACATTGAGGATTACAATTAGACATGAGATTTGAGTGGGGACACAAATCTAAACCATATCACCTCTCTTTGCTAGGGTTCAGATATATATTTAAGGGGAGCAATAGGCATTGTGATCCGACCCGAGCACCTTTCTCTCTAATGGTGGGAATATCTATGGCAAAGCAAGCCTGTGTCCCCAACTCTCTCTTTAATAGGATCTTCTGTTTTCCATGAAGCATCTCAGGTATTCATAGAGATACATCTTAAGCATTTTCCCCTGAGGATATACTTTAATATTGCATATGCCACTCCAGAACGGCAAAGCCAGCAGACCTAGGCTCAATATACAACCTGCTTTACATTGGAGAAATTATGGAATATTTAAACTACATTTCACTATCATGCATGTGTGTATATGCAACATATCAGCTTAAGAGGTATGTGTGTATGTTTGCAACATATCAGCTTAAGGGGTATGTGTGTATGTTTGCAACATATCAGCATGAGAGGTAGGCATAGCGTCGTAGCTCAAAGAATGGATTCTGGAGCCAGATTGCATGGGATCAAATCTTAGCTCTGTTACTTGCTAGCTCTGTGAACCTGAGCAAGTAACTTAGCCTGTTTGCACCCCATGATTCTTATCTTTCAAAGTGTAAATATTAATAGTGCCCTCCTCCCAGGGTTGTAAAGTGATTAGACAAACTAATCAATGAAAGTTGCTTTAAACAGTACCTTGCACATAATAAGTGCTATGTGAATGTTTGCTATGATGACAGTAATGGTTCTCTGAGCAGTGCAATTATTCATTCCAGCCATCTAGGTGGTAGGGACACAGATATGACTGAAGCAGACAAAGACCTTGACTTCACAGAGAGGTTATAACAGTAAACAAATAAATATATATAATTTAAGGAAGTAATAAACGCAGAGAAAGAAAATAATTAAAAGTGAGAAGGTAAAGAAAAAACAAAAAGGAACACAAAGATTTAAAGGGATAATTTTGAAGCTGTAGTCAACAACGTCATATTTTGTTTTCAAAGAAACAGTACATTTTTGTTGCATGTCATCACTTTTTAAAATTAGATGAGTTTGAAAGTACAGATAAAACCCAGCCAAAGAGTAGTTTTAACTTCTTCATTAGGTCATCCTGGAATATTACTGATCTGGCAATAAGATCATTGGGTTGTTTTTCCTTTTATGGTATAGTTCAGGTAGCACAGAAAAATCAATTTTATAGAAATATTTATAGTGTTTTTAGGAAGATCTGGGATTTTTATATGGCATTCTATATTTATTTCATCTTTTACCTATGTTTTTAAAACATATTTTTGCTTCTATTGAAGATTCAAAGCACAGTGCTGAAAACTAGAACCATCTGTCCATACACTTCTGTGCTGAGAACTGAAACCACTTCTCCCCACACAGCTTACTGTTTCCATTAGGAGTTGACAAACTACAGCCCATGGGCCAAATCTTGCTCACTGCCTGCTTTTCATAAATGAAGTTTGAAATCCAGCCACGCCCATTTGTTTTGGTATTATCTATGGCTCTTTTTGCACTACAATAGCAGAGCTGAATAGTTGCAACAGAGATCCAATAGCCTAAAAGCCTAAACATTTTTACTATCTGGCCCTGTATAGACTTCTTGTCTATACCAGGATTTCTTAGCTTTGGCACTATTGACATATTGGGCTGGATAATCGTGCAGGTTGTCCTCTGCTGGATAATTTTTTGTTGTGGAGGTTGTCCTCTGCATTGCATGGTTTAGCCACATCCCTGGCCGGCCTCTATCTACAAGATGCCAGTAGCACCCCACTCTCCAGGTTGTGACAATGGAAAATGGCTCCCAGCTTTGCCAAATGTCCTCTGGGAGGCAAAACAGTCACAGATGAGAACCACTGACGTGACTTTAACATTCAGTTGTCTACATTAGTATCACTTTATTATTCCAGGAGACTCTTTCCCAGGCAACTAATTGTATTATTCATTATAGGAACTTCCCTAAAGCCTCACCAACTCTTCAGTGAAAAACATTAACAGTCAGTTGATGTCCTCACCTTGCTGTATTTCCAATTTTAATTAATGTATCATGATCCTTATTTAATCAAGCCCCGCATTCAGAAAACATCTTAAACCAAATTTATAATTCTCAACAAAAATCCAACCTCATTCTTCCCCCTATGAGACAAGACCGAAACTTTGTCAAGGTGATGATCTCTCCTACTATGGTGAACAATAGATTTTGATGTGGCTTTCAAGAAGTTGTATTGGTAATATTTGGGGTGCCAGGATTTGTTAGTACATAGCAAGCACTAAAATTTCAATGCCTTATACATATAAAAGAGACTTTTCTTAAAGTAATTGATTTTTAAATTTCGTTTGTACAGACTTATGGGGTATGCGAAACATTTTGTTACATGTTTATAATATGTAGTGATCAAGTCAGGGTATTTAGGGCATTCATTTTTGATTCAGCCAATGATACTTGAAGCATTCGTTTCACTTACTAAACCCTGTGTTGAATCTAAACTATTTCTTTTATGTGTTAGGTTTGTAAGTACCTTTTGTATTATTGATTTTGGAAGATTTAGAATGAAACTGAGAAAAGTACAGATGCCATATTTCCAAATAAAACATTTTAATGTTATTGGGATTTGACCAACTACATATAATTAAACATATTTCAGAGTAAGTTATCTGTATATTGAATTGGCATACACCCTAACAAAGAGGGAATTATTGAGTTCTACTTGGGAAAATTGTCTTGCCATTGAGTATATAAAAGAGACAAAAAAATCTGGGCCAGGTGCAGTGGCTCACGCCTGTAATCCCAGCCCTTTGGGAGGCAAAGGCGGGTGGATGGCCTGAGGTCAGGAGTTCAAGACCAGCCTGGCCAACATAGTGAAACCCCGTCTTCTACTAAAAAGACAAAAAATTAACAGGGCGTGGTGGCGCATGCCTGTAATCCCAGCTACTCTGGACGCTGAGGTGGGAGAATCGCTTGAACCCCGGGAGGCGGAGGTTGCAGTGAGCCGAGGTTGTGCCATTACACTCCAGCCTGGGCAACAAGAGCGAAACTCCATTAAAAAATATATATATTTTCAGTGATTGGGAAAACACAATTAATTTGCCTCAGTAATACACAAAAAGTAATAACTCATGCTGTCTGCAGTGGGTAAAAATAACTGGATTTTTCATCCACCTGAAATCAAATAATCAGCATGTTTGTATTTCTCAGTTTTCTATTAGCTATTGTAAATGAAGCTTATGAAATTCATTCTGTGTTTTATTCACTGCTTAATCCTCAGAGCCGATAAAGAGTTTCTGGTACATAGTATATGCTCAATAAATATTTGTTAAATAAAATAACAAAGTAACTAATAGCCTCTATACATAAACCAGAATACATGAAACCATTTCTGAGAATTTGCCTATAGCTTACAGCGCTTATTTCAATTTCAAATGCACTGACATCTGAAAATCCTCAGACTCCCCATGGATGATGCCCTGTGATGATGGGTGTATCAGGCTGTTCTTGCATTGCTGTAAAGTAATGCCTGAGACTGAGCAATTTTTAAAGAAAAAAGGTTTAATTGGCTCATGGTTCTGCAGGCTTTATTGGAAGCACGGTGCTGACATCTGCTTGGCTTCTGGGGAGGCCTCAGGAAGCTTACAATCATGGCAGAAGGCAAAGGGGGAGCAGGCACATCACATGGCCAGAGGAGGAGTAAGCGAGAGAGAGTGGAGGTGGAGGAAGAGGTGCCACACACTTTTAAAAGACCAGATTTCACGTGAACTCAGAGCGAGAGCTTACTTATCACCAAGGGGATGACCCAGGCTATTCATGAGGGATCCATTCCCACGATCCAAACACCTCCCAGCAGGCCCCACCTCCAACACTGTGGATTACAATTCAACATGAAATTTAGGCAGGGACAAATATCCAAACTATATCAAAGGGATATATTCCTGATTACTGCCTGGGGAAAGCACTTGCTTTTCAGAATTTTTCTCAGGCAGAAGTTATCATATGCCTATGCAGATCCATCCTTTCCAGTTAACAATTTTCATCAACTGTCCTTAGTATTCAATTCCTATAACTCTTAGTTAGGGAGATGTGTTCAGTTTCTTTATAATGAAGAAACATTAACATTTCTGCTTCAGCTTTGGATTTTCATAGATTTTTCAGAAATCCATGAAAGAATATTGATCCT
Source organism: Homo sapiens (assembly GCF_000001405.40). Classification (NCBI taxonomy): domain Eukaryota; kingdom Metazoa; phylum Chordata; class Mammalia; order Primates; family Hominidae; genus Homo; species Homo sapiens. The sequence continues at coordinate 30,044,315 of NC_000023.11, read as the reverse complement.
ATTTTAACATGAGAAAATATGGATAATTGGAAAATTAAAAATTTTTAAGCCCCTTGGAAAGCTGAAGTTGCAAGACAATAACTGAATTCCAAAGCCCTTCTGAGGAAATTTAGGGACACTGGAGTTGTTTTACCTTTGTCAGAATATAGAAGGAAGAGGCATTAAAGCAGGTAAGAAAAAAATAAATGAAATTTTAATAAACTATTAAATGCCACAGATGTGTTAGCATGACAATTTTGAAACCTTAAGAATTACATACACAATACAAGTTTATTCCTACTTGCCAATTCTGTTTTGTGAACTTCCCCCAGTGCTCACCACAATGGTTCAGGTAAATCAGGAGATTTGAGATACCTTCTTAGTTGTATAGGCATGTAGAACCTGCCAGTGTTACAAGGTCAAGCAAAAGTACTGAAAGAATTTCATCTGTGCTCCAGGATTTACATGTGTATAAGGTGGTGAGCAGCCACTACTTAGCCACAGACACAAAACGTGAAAAACATACCTACACCAGGAACTCCTCTCTGATATGACACATAGGGGACTGGCCAATGGAGAATGGCAAGAAATTAATTCATAAGGTGATATCCTAACCCCCAAGTGATGGATTTAGGAGATGGGGCCTGTGGGAGGTCATTAGGTCATGGGGGAGGAGTCCTCATGAATAGGATTAGTGACCTTATTAAAAAAAGGCTAAAGAGCTGGGTGCAGTGGCTCACACCTGTAATCCTAGCACTTTGGGAGACTAAGGTGGGGCGGATCACCTGAGGTCAGCAGTTCAAGACTAGCCTGGCCAACATGGTGAAACCCCGTCTCTACTAAAAATACAAAAATTAGCCGGGCATGGTGGTATGCACCTGTAATCCCAACTACTTGGGAGGCTGAGGCGGGAGTATCACTTGATTCTGGGAGGCTGAGGTTGCAGTGAGCTGAGATCGTGCCACTGTACTCCAGCCTGCGTGACACAGTGAGACTCCATCTAAAAAAACAATAAGCCAGAGAGAGACCTTTTGCCCCTTCCACCATGTGAGGACACAGTGAGAAGGCATTGTCTATGAGGAATGTGCTCAGACATCAAATTCGCCAGCACTTTGATCTTGGACTTCCCAGCATCCAGAACTGAGAGAAATTTCTGTTGTTTATAAGGCACCCCGTCTGTGGTATTCTGTTATAGTAGCAAAAATGGACTAAGACAAGATACCAGCCATGTTTCCCACATCCCTCTAGTTCTGCGGATTGATCCTTGAATCTACTCTTGTTCTTAGGTCCATTGATCTTAATTTTAGTACTGGAATCTTACTCCTTCTTCCTTTTAGGGACTTTTGGTCTTTCTCTGCTCAAGGATTATTCTTTTCCAAAGATTACCATGATCTCATCTTCCTTTCCACTCCCCACATCTCATCTAACCCCACACATACTCATCCCATGGAACTGACCATTCAAAGCAACTGGAAATATGGCACAGTAGCTAGTATTTCATGGTTAATGGGTCTAGTAGAAAACAGGTACTCATTTAATATTGAAGATTCAAGGTTGCTAATAATAATAATAACTAACTTGGTTGGAGAACATATTTTCCAAAGAAAGAGGATGTCGAAGTTTAGAGGACATATGAGTAGCTAAGAAATTCATTTCCCAAATGATTAGCATGGTGACTTAGCTCAAATCTATTAACTGTTTGAGATCACAAGAAATTAATACATAAGGCACACTTACTTATCTCTGGGATATGGTACTATTTGGGACTGATTTCTGCCTGTTAGAAATGATCAGTAATTATGAAGACAATGCAAAATCAAATAAAGAAACTTTAAAAAATTGCCCTAAAGGGGCATATGTAAGAGACATAATTAATTTTTTTAGTATAAATGAAAGCCCATGTGGCAGAAAGTTGCCATTAAATATATTATGTAAATTTTATATTCTTGATATTCTAGTATCTACCTTTTATTTTTAATATCTCAAAATATGCTTAAACCAGCCCTTCCCCATATAGCCTATTTGTATTCCTTATTCTGATCTTATTCTATCCTCCATACCATTACTGCTGTGATCTTTCTAAGTGTAAGTCTGATTATGTCACTCTACTCTTTAAATTCTCCTTTCACGAGTTCCTATAACTTTCAAAAAAGTAAAATGTTTTAGCTTAGTACATAATGATGCTCATGATCTGTCTCTTAAATAGGCTCATCTCCCATTGTTCCCACCCCTTTCACTCTCTAAACATGCAAAGCTACTCCATTTATTTATGCCTTAATTACATAGTGATATATTGAATACATACCATGTGCCAGGCACTGCGCTAGGCAACAGTGATCACGATAGGCCCGGGACCTGCTATCCCAGAAGTTACAGACTAGTAAAGGATCTTGTCAAATAAATAGATGGATAGAAAACATTCCTAATCCATACACAGGAGGAGAAGACAGTCAAGGAAGTTGCATTAGTTACCTACCGCTAAATAATAAACCATCCCAAAACAGGAGTTTAAAGCAATTGCAGGCATTTAATATTATTACCTCTCATGGCTCTGAGTATGAGCTGCCGCAGCTAGGTAGTTCTCATTCAGGATTTTGCAAGAAGTTTCAGTTATTTCAGTGCCTATGGTGAGATATCACTCACACGTTGGGGCTTGGAAGTCCTGAGCAGCTGGGAGCTGGAACAATGGGCTCCTCATTCCTCTCTGCCATTTCTATGTGTTTGCTTCATCACAGAAGCTTTAAGTAGGCTGATCTTCTTACATGGTGGTTCAGGACTCTGAAAACATGTTTCAAAGGGGAAATGGAGTAAGCTGTGTCACTTTTCATGATCTAGCCTCAGAAGTCACATAGTGTCAGGTCTGCCATTCTTTATTAATGAGACAGTCGTTAAAGCCTGCTTGGATTCAACAGGAGAGAACACAGACTGCACCTCTCATGAATGAAGGAATGGTAAAGTTCTGAAAAGCATGTGGGTGTGGAAACACTGTGGCAGGTATTTTTAAAAATACCATCTTCCATAGTAGTCTTTCTGGAAGAAGCATCTTGTTGCTTCACACTCCCATACTTTCACAAATGCTGTTCAAACTTCCTCAACTGTCTCTTTTCCTCTTCTTGATTTAACTTACTGATACTCATTTGGTTAAACTTATCTCAAGTCTCCTTCATTTAAAAAGACTTATTTGAACACTCTTCCTCATGTCATTAGACATTCATTATCACCCCATACTCCTCCTCATACCCTGCTTCCTTTACGTGTTGTGCATAATCCTAAGCCTCTTATCACAGTGTGTTGTGGTAGATGATTTCTTGACTCTGTCACTGAGCCCTAAACTTCTTGAAGGCATAAATCTCAGTTCAGTTTTCCATCCTCATGAGCTGGCATAGTACTTGTTACATGGCAGGTACTTAAATGAACTAATGTGAAGGCAAATCACATTGCTTAGGAGAATCTATAGCTATGTATAGGAAAGTTTGTTATACTTTTTTTGCTATGATTTAAGGAGATCTAGATATATCGTGGGAATAATAAATATAAAGAGAGAAAAGAAGAAGGAAGGAAAGAAGGAAATAAGGGGTCTAGCCTCCTATGCCAAAATTAAATGTACTTATTCTGAATTATAAGAATATCATTTTACATAAAATCTGTGGCTAGAATAAACGAACATGTATTGGTAAGCTGTTAAATATTTTCTAGCCAAAAGGAGAAGAAAAGGAACTTTAGTGAGCTCTATCATGTGTGAGGTACTTAATGTAAGCACGTTCACAACAAAGATAAGAGTATTTCCTGTCTTTTGCAGATGAGGAATCTAAGACTCACAGCTTTCACGTAACTGTTCTAAAACACCATAGGTACTCGATTAATGCTAATTATCATAGCCCTACTATTTATAAATGATGGAACCAGAATTGCCTGAGTATAAAGCTCTTACTTTCTCCCATATCATGCGTTGAGTAAGTTTCCATAGCTATTAACATCTATTCTCAAACGTTGCTAGATTTCCATGATGCCAGTGTTTACCTATTTGTGGATATCCTTACAGAGCTTGTAACTTTTACAAGAAAATAATTGCCATAGACGTATAGACTGTAATAGACTATCTCATGTGTTATTGTTTGTTTCTTACTCATCTCTTAGATTTTTAGGTGCTGGAGTAGAAGAAAAAATGCCTGAGTGGAAATATGAAAATATTCTATAACCCTAATTACAGATTTAAAATCTCTGGCAATACAATCACTTAGGCAATTCTGTCATTTTTCTTAAGTGTTACCACAGGCATTCTAGTCTAGCATCACTGTCTTTCAATGATTTCAAATATCTGGTGCCTTTCAACAGGAATTACAAGCATGCCTCAGAAATATTTCAGGTTCAGTTCTTGACAACTGCAATAAAGCAAGTATTGCAATAAAGTGAGTCACATGAATTTTTCGGTCTCCTGATGCATGTTAAAGTTATGTTTATAATATACTGTCGTCTATTAAGTGTGTGATAGCATTATATCTAAAAACAATGTACATACCTTAATTTAAAATACTTTATTGCCTAAAAATGATAATAATTGTCTGAGTTTTCAATGAGTCATAATCTTTTTGCTCATGGAGTTTCTTGCCTCAGTGTCAATAGCCACCAACTGATCAGGGTGGTGGTTGCTGAAAGCTGGGGTGGCTGTGGCAATTTCTGAATATAAGACCACAGTGAAGTTTGTCACACAGATTGGCTCCTCCTTTCATGAAAGATTTATCTGTAGGCAGTGATGCTGCTTGATAACATTTTACACACAGTAGAACTTGTCTCAAAATTGGAGTCAATCTTCTGCTCCTAATGCTTTATCCACTAAGTTTATAGAATGTTCTAAATCCTTTGCTTTCATTTGAACGATGTTCACAGCATCTTCACCAGAAGTAGATTTCATCTCAAGAAAGTCTTGAACCCCTCAAATTCATTCATGAGAGTTGGAATCAACTTTTTTCCAAATGCCTGTTAATGTTGATATTTTGAGCTCTTCCCATAAATCACAGATATTCTTAATGGCATCTAGAATGATAAATCCTTTCCAGAAGGTTTTCAATTTCCTTTGCCTAAATCCGTCAGCAAAATCACTATATAGGGCAGTTATAGCCCTTTAAAATGTATTTCTTAAATAATAAGATTTGAAAGTCACAATTATTCCTTGATCCATGGGTTACAGAATGGATGTTGTGTTGGCAGACATGAAAACAACATAAATTTCTTTGTATGTTTTTATCCATGCTCTTGGGTGACCAGGTACATTGCCAATAAGCAGCAATATTTTGAAAGGAATCTTTTTTTCTGAGCAGTAGTTCTCAACAGTGGGCTTAAAATATTCCCTAAATCATACTGCGAACAGATATGCTGTCATTCAGGCTTTGTTGTTCTATTTAGAGAGCATATGCAGAGTAGAATTAGCATATTTCTTAAAGGTCCTTGCATTTTCAAGATGGCAAATGAGCATTGGCTTCAACTTAAAGTCACCAGTTGCATTCACTCCTAACAATAGAGACAGCCTCTCCTTTGAAACTTTGAACCCAGGCACTGACTCCTTCTCTCTAGTTACGAAAGTCTTAGATGGCATCTTCTTCTAGTAGAAGGGTAGTTAATATAGTTGACCTCTAAACAATGTGGCAGTTGGGGCACTAACACCCCAGGCAGTCAAAAATTCACATATAACTTTTGATTTCCTGAAAGCTTAACTCTAATTGCCTAGTGTTGGCTGGAAGCCTTACTGGTGTCATGAGCAGTTAATTAACACATATTTTGTATGGTGTATGCATTGTATACAGCATTCTTACAATAAAATAAGCTAAAGAAAATGTTAAAATTATAAGAAAGATAAAATATATTTACTATTTATTAAGTGGGAGTGGATCATCATAAAGGTCTTCATTCTTATCATCTTCACATTAAGGAGGCCGAAGAGGAGTGGCTCTTGCTATCTCAGGGGTGGCAGAGGAGGAAGAAAATCCACATATAAATGTATCTGCATAATTCAAGCATGTGTTGATCAAGGGTCAACTCTACATTCAAAACCTATTGTTTAATATAGCCACTTTCATCAATTGTCTTAGCTAGATCTTCTGGATAATTTGCTGCAGCTTCTCCATCAGCACTTGCTGCTTTACTTTGTACCTTTATGTTACGGAGATGACTTTGTTTCTTTAAACTCATGAACCAACTTCTGCTAGTCTTAAACTTTTCTTCTGTAGCTTCCTTACCTCTCAGCCTGCATGGGGTTAAAGAGGGTTAGAATCTTGCTATAAATTAGTCTTTGGCCTCAGGGAATGTTGTGGCTGGTTTGATCTTCTATCCAGACCACTAAAACTTTCTCCATATTATCAATAAGGCTGTTTTACTTTCTTATCATTCATATTTTCACTAGAGTGGCACTTTTAATTTCCTTCAAGGACTTTCATTTGCATTTACAACTTGGCCACATGTTTCGTGTAAAAGACCTAGACTTCAGCCTATTTCAGCTTTTGGCATGCCTTCCCCACTAAGCTTAATGATGTCTAGCTTTTGATTTAAAGTGAGACACATGTAACTCTTCCTTCCACTCGAACACTCGGAAGCTATTGGAGGGTTATTAATAGGCCTAATTTCAATATTGTTTAAGGGATATGAAGGCCCAAGGAGAGGGAGAGAGACAGGGCAATAGCTGATCAGTGGCACAGTCAGAACACACACAACATTCATCATTCATCAATAAAGTTCACCAACATATATGGGTGTGGTTCATGATACCCCAAAACAATTACGATAGTAAAATTAAAGATAACTGATCACAGATCGTCATAACAGATATAATGATGATGAAAAGGTTTAAAATGTTGTGATAAGTACCACAATGTGACACAAAGATATGAAGTGAGTACATGCTGTTGGAGAAAGGGTACCAATAGACTTGCTCAACATAGGCTTGCCACAAACCTTCAATTTGTAAAAAAAATGTAGTATCTGCAGTTCAGTAATCATCCTCCCCTGCCCCCACAGCAACACCAAATTGAACAACTATCCACACAGAAAAGAGCACCTCCATAAGAACCAAAAATCAGGTGAGCGATCACAGTACCAGGTCTTAACATCATATTAAAGACAGAGGCACTGAAAAGCATAGGGAAGACAATCTTGCAGCACTTACGCCACCCCTCCCTCATCCCTGGCAGTGACTGTGTGGTGCAGAAAAATAATCTGTGTGCTTGGAGGAGGGAGAGCTCAGTGATTGTGAGGCTTTGCATTGGAACTCAGTGCTGCCCTGTCACAGTGGAAAGCCGCATGGGGCAGAATTCAGCCAGCATCCACAGAGAAGGCATTTAGACCAGCCCTAGTCGAGGTGAATCCTCCATACCAACAGTCTAGGCCACAATGACTGCAATTCCTAGGTAAGTCCTGGTGCTATGCTGGGCTGAAAGCCAGTGAATTTGGGGTGCACATGACCTAGTGAGACACGTGCTAGAGAGGCCAAGAGAGTGCTTGTGTCACCCCTTCCCAACCCCAGGCAGCGCAGCTCACAGCTCTAGGAGAGACACTTTCCCTCTGCAGAAGGAGAAGAGAGGAAAGAGGAAAGAGGACTTTGTCTTGCAACTTGGATACTAGCTCAGCTACAGTAGGACAGGGTAATAGGCAGAGTCTATAAGGACTGAAATACGCCCTGGTCTCCTGCAGTACCCTCAGGCTTACTAGGATTAGGAAATTCCAGCCTGGAAAATTCTAGTCAGACTGGTTGTCTGCTCTGGAACCCTGTTTCCTGTTAAGATGTTTATCAAGACAATGCGTGCACAGCGGGACACAGACATTCATCAGTCATTCTAATCTTGCCTTTGCCTTGTGATCTTTATAGCCCTTTGAAGCATGTGATCCTTGTGATCTACTCCCTGTTCGTACACCCCCTCCCCTTTTAAAATCCCTAATAAAAACTTGCTGGTTTTGTGGCTCGGAGTCGCCATCATGGTCCTACCAATATGTGATGACACCCCTGGAGGCCCAGCTGTAAAATTTCTCTCTTTGTACTCTTTCTGTTTATTTCTCAGACCAGCCGACACTTAGGGAAAATATAAAGAACCTACATTGAAATATTGGGGGCTGTTTCCCCTGATAATAGACCAAGGGAACCAATAGAGAACTAAGAAAATAAACCCATGCATCTACAATGAATTCATTTTTGACAACAGTGCCAAGAACATACACTGGGGAAAAGATGGTCTCCTCAATAAATGGTGCTGGGAAAACTGGTCCATATGCAGAAGAATGAAAATAGTCTTTTGTCTCTCACTGTGTACAAAAATCAAGTCAAAATTGCTTTAAAAAAAAACTTAAGGCTGGGCGCGGTGGCTCACACCTGTAATCCCAACACTTTGGGAGCCCAAGGTAGGTGGATCACCGGAGGTCGGGAGTTTGAGATCAGCCTGGCCAACATGGAGAAACCCTGTGTCTACTAAAAATACAAAAAAATTAGCTGGGCGTGGTGGCTCTTGCCTGTAATCTCAGCTACGTGGGAGGCTGAGGCAGGAGAATCACTTGAAACCGGGAGGCAGAAGTTGTGGTGAGCCGAGATCGCACCATTGCACTCCAGCCTGGGCAACAAGAGTGAAACTCCATCTCAAAAAGACAAACAAACAAAAAACAAACAAAACACTTAAATCTAAAGCCTCAACCTGGGAATCTACTAAAATAAAACATTGGAAAAACCTCCCCAGGACATTGGACTTGAGCAATAGCCCACAAGCACAGGCAACTAAAGCAAAAGTGGACAAACGGGGTCACGTCAAGTTAAAAAGCTTCTGCACAGCAAGGGAAACAGTCAACAAAGTGAAGAGACAACTCATGGAATGGGAGAAAATATTTGCAAACTACCTCTCTGAGAAGGGATTAATAACCAGAAGATATAAGGAAGTCAAACAACTCTATAGAAAAAAATCTAATAATCCAATTTAAAATGGGCAAAAGATCTGAATAGACATTTTTCAAAAGATATACAAATGGAAAACAGGTATAGGAAAAGGTACTATATATTATTAATTATCAGAGAACTGCAAATCCAAACTGCAATGAGACATTATCTCACCCCAGTTAAAATGGCTTCTATCCAAAAAACAGGCAAAAAAATGCTGGCAAAGGTGTGGAGTAAAGTGAACCCTTGCACGCTCTCATTGGACATGTAAGTTAGTACAACCACTATGAAGAACAGTTTGGAGGTTCCTCAAAGCCCAAAAATAAAGCTACCATATAATTCAGCAATCCCACTGCTAGGTATATACTCAAAAGAAAGGAAGTCAGTATATTGAGAAGATATCTGCATTGCCATGTTTGCTGCAGCACTATTCACATTAGGTCAGATCTGGAAGCAACCTAAGTGTCTGTCAACTGATGAATGGATAAAGACAATGTGTTACATATACACAATGGAGTACTATTTAGCCATAAAAAAGAATGAGATCCTGCCATTTGCCACAATATGGATGGAACTGGAAGTTATTTTGTTGTGAAATAAGACAGGCACAGAAAGACAAAGATCACATGTTCTCACTTATCTGTTGGAGCTAAACATTAAAACAATTGAACTCGTTGAAATAGAGAATAGAAACATCATTACCAGAGCCTGGGGATGGTAGTGGGAGTGTGGGGGAGAAATGGGGATGGTTAATGTGTACGAAAATATAATTAGGTAGAATAAGATCTAGTATTTGATAACGCAATAGGGTGACTACAATCAACAATAATTTATTGTGCATTTAAAAATAACTAAAATATTATAATTGGATTGTTTGTAACATAAAGAAAGGATAAATGTTTGAGATGATGGCTACCCCATTTATCCTGATGTAATTATTACACTTCGTATCCCTGTATCAAAATATCTCATATACCCCATGAATATATACACCTATTATGTACCAACCAAAATTAAAGAAAAAACACACAGTATCTGCAAAATGCAATAAAGTGAAATGCGATAAAATGAAGTGTGCCTGTGTAATAACAGAGATCAGGCACTGTTATCTTGGCTTTGACTGATCGTTTTAAGGTAATAGTACTAGGACATTAAATAATACTTTTGCAGGTAAAATGATATCGAATTTATCTGTAGGATGCCACTACCTGCCTATATGTGAAATTTAGTCTGTTACCTTCTCCTTTCCAACTTTTATTTTTTCTAAATTCTGTAAATTGAGACCACAAAACAATGGAAGATTGGAATAGCTCAAGATATTTTATAATAATTATAATCAAAATATTAAATGGCAAATCCAGGCTGGTGTCTTTAAATTGTTAACATAGCTTATTGTGAATTTCTACATTTGGAAGAAAATGTGGAAAAGGACATCTTAAAATCTTTTTCCTCTTCATTTGCTAAAACATATGAAATTTTTAAATATTGAAATATTTATACAAGTCAAATCAAACATGTATAGTTGATGCAAAAGATCATATACATTATTCTTAAATTGAAAAAATATGCTTTTATTATTAACTATTTGGGGTAATCTTTGTATTTACTTCTATGCACTAACAAAGATAATTGAAATTGAATATATTAAACCTCTTTCATCTTGCTATATTATCTTCTTTTCCTGGTGGAGGGATTATACTTAATTGCGATATTCCCGTAATTATTTCAAGACCATGAGATCTCATGACCTCTCAGCATATTCTATGTACTTTGTTGAAGAAGGACAACAAATGTATTCCAAAATTGTTGAGGTAATATGAGGTTTGACTTTTAGAAATTAGAACCATACTCAATAGTTAGCGTAGAAGAATTTGGTGGTCATCCATTGATAACATAAAGGGTCTTTTAAAATGTGAATAACCACTTCCTATTTTTATTATTGTTTTTAAGTACAGGTTTTGCTGTTCTGAATTTTCCTAAATCAGGGACTTGCCATTCCTTTAAAGAGAGCACCAATGTGTTTTATTAAACAGCATGTAGAATTCAATCTGCCCCATAAATAAATTGCTTAAATTTCTTTCCTATTGTGTTTATATTATTTATTTGTTTCTTAATGACAACCATGAAATCAGTACACTAATTACCTTTCCAATACCCTTGCCTCTGAATTTTGTTCCACAAATGTAGCTACATGAAATGACCAGAACAACCAGTCAATGAACTGATTACTGTTGAGTGCCACACTTCTAGCTACTTGATAATAATTTAATGTCGCTCAAATAAAAAGAAATGTTTTTGATGGAAAGCATGATCCTTGACCCCACAATTTCCATTCTATTACTATATTTACATAGTAAGATCCCTTTAGGTTACTTTGCAATCATTTAAAAATGAACAAAATTATTGAGAAACCCCAATTAAACTGAGTGTCTAGTAAAAGACTTATTTGGATGTAGTCCCAGATAATGTCCCTGGTAATGGAAGGAAGGAAAATTAAGCACTCTGATTTCCAGTAAATATAATTCGGTCCTGTAAAGTGCTCGCAGCCAAAAATCTTCACTGAATATATGGTGACCCAAGGCTATCTCCAGTTGCTCTTGTTAAAAAACGCACATATAGGGGGACTATGGCCTAACTGTGTTCATCAATTTCATGTGTTGGAAACTTAATCCCCAATGCGATAGTATTAAGTGGTGGGACCTTTAAGAGGTGATTAGGCCATGAAGGCTCTGCCCTCATGAGTGGATTAATGCCTTTCTTATGGGAGTGCGTTCCTAACAAACTGAGGAGTTCCATCTCCTCTTGATCTCTCTCACCCTCTTTTCGTTCTTCCACTATAGAATAACATAGCTAGAAGGCCCTCACCAGATGCAATCCCCCAATCTCAGACTTCCCAGCCTCCAAAACCATGAGCCAATACATTTGTTTATTATAAATTACCCAGTCTGTAATACTCTGTTATACAGCAGCACAATACAGACTAAGACGAGGGTGTGTATGTGTGTGTGTGTGTGTGTGTGTGTGTGTGTGTGTGTGTGTGAAAGTAATATCTTACTATTCTTTTAAAAATGAAACCTTCATGGGTACTGGGGAAAAGTGATTGAATTTAAGGCTATCTCTACGAGATGTTAAATTGGAATGGGTCTATCATTGTGCTTGAGCCCAGTGACCAGTATATTAACTAGGAGGGAGATTACGTACATAAAAATTTACTCTTTAGAGATTTCTGTAGCCTGCAGTGCCAAATTAAGATGATCTGGAATGTGTGCAGAGCCAGCAAGAAGTCTTTCTCAAGATATTTCTTCTAGTGCCTATTATAGTTAATCTATTTTAAAATGCTTTCCAGGTTTTGAGTCTTCTAATTTGATGCAAAGTAAGAGAAGTTTGCAACTCAAATGGAATAGGATATAGGATAGGTGCCTCAGGGAGCACCATAGATAATAAAGAAAAGCTGAAGGGGAAAAAGTCAGATGACCAAGATATCAGACTTTCCCGAATAAGGGAAATCTGCTGTGAACTCCCTATTTCTTTTGAAAGCAACATTTCCCTCTTCATACCCACTGTTTCATCTCTCCTTTTAGTCTCAGAGGAAGATGTGTCCCTTCTGGCTTCAAAGATTTTGTGGTCTTGTTCACTGTCTTTTCCTTCCTAAAGTCTATCTTGCCTTCTTTTTCAACAACTTTCCTACTGCATTAAATATGCTCAATTATAAGATCTATCTTATGCATGTTTTAAATATGTATGTAAATGGCCACAATGATTGCCTTCCCTGTTATTGGCTTGGGCCTTGGGCAGTCCACTTCACTGGCTCTAGACCTAACTGTAGTTCTTGTTCTGCTCAGTGGAATGATAGAAAATATGATGCAAACAGACACTTGAAAAGGGCTTCGGGCCGGGCGCGGTGGCTCACACCTGTAATCCCAGCACTTTGGGAGGCCAAGGCAGGTGGATCACGAGGTCAGGAGTTCAAGACCAGCCTGGCCGACATGGTGAAATCCCATCTCTACTAAAAATACAAAAATTAGCCAGGCGTGGTGGTGCATGCCTGTAATCCCAGCTACTTGGGAGGCTGAGGCAGGAGAATTGCTGGAACCCAGGAGGCGGAGGTTGCAGTGAGCCGAGACTGCGCCACTGCACTCCAGCCTGGCAACAGAGCAAGACTCCATCTCAAAAAAAAAAGGGGGGGGGCTTCGATATTGGGCTTTGCCTCATCTTGGTGATCTTGGGGAACCCTGTGACCACCACCATGCTATCTAAGCTCAGGCTATCCTGCTGAAGGATGAAAGACACATGGCCCAGATACCCACTTTGCCTTGCTGAGAAACAACTAACCATTAGATATGTGAGTGAGTACATGGATCATCAGCTTACCACAGATTCATTAGTAAACCCAGAAAACACTACATGATGCAGAGCTGTTCCATCCAGCTGACTTCACAGAATAATTAACACATGTATGGACATGTATGGTGATTTGTTAGATAACAGAAACTCTTAACTTACTGTACCATGGTTCTAGCTACTGTTCTAATTATTTTCTTCCATTTATTGTCAAGTATTCTATTTCCTTAAAAATATTCCGTTATCATATAATAATTACATAATGATATAAGCTAGCTATATGATAGGGACTATGTTGAACAATTATACAAAGCATAATAAGCAATAACAGACATGGGGACTACCTTTATGGAACATAGAAAATAATAGTAAGTAAAATGCATTGGCAGCTTTATATGTACCATCTACCATACAAATCTTACAATATATATTAGCTCGTCACAACAACCTTATTATTGACCCATTTTACACCTAAGGAAATTGAGACGTAGAGCATTTTAACAGATTTTCTTAAAGTCACAGTAAGTGGTAGAATTAGCTCTTTCTTCAGAGACTGTGCTCTGAACCATTATATTGTATTTTCAGGACAGATATCAAGAAACCTTCAGATTTAGTCTTTCTTAATTCTGCCAGGAACTTCTGCATCAATGAGGAGAAGACAATTTCACCTTTTTTTAATCTTTAGGGGCCCATATAGCTTCCCTTTACTCTATTACAAAATAGTCTTTAACCTGACACTAATCACTAGCTATTTGCACGCTGTTTAATACCTTGCCCATCAGTATCTGTCCTCCTGTATGTAGAACCTGAATTCTTGAAGGTCATTATGTCTTCTTTGCAAAATCTACTAGCAATATTAAGCTCATTTATTCTGAATTCTCTGCTTATTTGAACATAATTGGTAATTCCTTTATATTTAATTATCTCTTTCACTTAAAAAAAAATACAGTCCTTACCTCTCAAATTTTTTAGTTTTCAAATTGAGCTCCACGTAAGCCAAATTTATAGATTGGTTGTACTGGTTGGAGGCAAATGTGCATTTAGAGTGGTCTATATTTTAATCAAATTCTTAAAGGGTCTATAACCTAAGATAGGTCCACGCATTCATTCGTTTGCATTTGCCAAGAATGCTCTGTGTGCCAGGCCCTGTTCTAGGCACTGGGGAGTGAGCAATGATCAAAACAGATAACATCTTTGACCTCATGGAGATTGGCTGTAATTGAGGAGGTAGAAAATAATAACATAAGCAAGTATATGCCATATTATCTGATAGAAAAAAGTGCTATAGGCCGGGTGCGGTGGCTCACACCTGTAATCCCAGCACTTTGGGAGGCTGAGGTGGGTGGATCATGAGGTCAGGAGTTCAAGACCAGCCTGGCCAATATGGTGAAACCTGTCTCTACCAAAAATATGAAAATTAGCCAGGCATGGTGGTGTGTGCCTGTAGTCCCAGCTACTTGGGAGGGTGAGGCAGGAGAATCACTTGAACCTGGGAGGCGGAGGTTTCAGTGAGCTGAGAATGCACTACTGCACTACAGCTTGGGCGATGTCAGGCCTCTGAGCCCAAGCTAAGCCATCATATCCCCTGTGACCAGCACGTATACATCCAGATGGCCTGAAGCAACTGAAGAATCACAAAAGAAGTGAAAATGGCTGGTTCCTGCCTTAACTGCAGACATTACCTTGTGAAATTTCTTCTCCTGGCTCAGAAGCTCCCCCACTGAGCACCTTGTGACCCCCGCCCCTGTCCGCCAGAGAACAACCCCTTTGACTGTAATTTTCCGTTACCTACCCAAATCCTTTAAAACTGCCCCACCACTATCTTCCTTCGCTGACTCTCTTTTCGGACTCAGCCCGCCTGCACCCAGGTGATTAAAAAGCTTTATTGCTCACAGGCTCACACAAAGCCTGTTTGGTGGTCTCTTCACATGGATGCGCGTGACAGGTGACAGAGTGAGACCCTGTCTCAAAAGAAAAAAAAAGAAAAAGAAAAAAGTGCTATGGAGCAAAATAAAGCAAAGTAAAAAAGATGGAGAATGGAAGAAATCCTTATTTTAGATGGGGCAGTAAGGCAGAATTTCATGGGGATGAGTATTTAAACAGAAGCCTTAATGAAATGAGAAAGTAAACCGCAAAGATATCCTGGGAATGTGCATTTCTGGAAGGGATGATGAGAGTAATTACCTAAGGTAGGAATATGCTCTGTGTCTTCATGCAATACCCATGATCCATTTTGTCTGACCAGAGTGAATGAGAGGTGAGTATTGGGAGACCAGGTTAAAGTACCCATAGGCCAGGTTAGGCCTTTGGGAGCATCAAGACAATTTTCTTTCCCTCTCTGATTCTCAGTACAGAAACACTGTCAGTCTATTTTAGTGGGATGAGATTGGGCTTTAGAGTACACATGTCTGAGTAACTGTTGTTGAGATCTTGAGTAAATTATTGGTTCCAATTGTAGAACATTTAGAAAATTACTTTGCCTTTTTGAGTTCCAATTATCTGATCCTTACAATTGGTATTCAATTGCCTAGCTAATAGGACTGTTAGGATGTTTTAAGGTAACACAGCATATGAATGCACCCACTTCAGTCCTGGCACAAAGCATGCTTAGTAATTGTTCATTTTCACACCTCTTTACATACCTTCACTAAGAGAATATTGAGGAAATTGACTTCAGTTACGCCCTCTGTGGATCGACTCTCAGATCTGGGTCTCAGATTCTATCACCCACTTTCAACACACATCTGTGTATATGTCCAAACTCATTACATTACATATATTAAATAAGTACAGTTTATTGTATGTTGATTATACTGCAACAAAGCTGTGTTTAAAATGTGTCTTCTTTTGTCAGTTTCATACGCCTACTTAGATGTTCCAATAACATTTCAAACTAAAAATCATCACCTTTTCACTAAAATAGGGATCAAAATCTCAACTTGCTCAAGGGTAACACAAATGGATAAAAAGACTTGATCTGCTAGGAATCGCTCCTTATGAATTCCCTGATCACTCTGTGTCCAGCGTTGCAGAACTTTACTCTATATACAAGTACAGTACTCAGCTGCAGGCTCAGGGGAACCCCCAAGGTAGTTTTCCAGAGCTCTTTCTCTGTGTACCTCCCTTCTTTCTGCTATTCTGTTTCAAAATCCTAGCCTCCCCAAATTCCCGTTCAACTCAGAGAAACCACCATGCTCTGCTTTTGTTCTCCCTCTAAGCACCAAATTCCAGAAAGTGCCTCGGGACAGAAAGGTGAGGTCATTCCAGGGCTTGCTTCATTTGTTTTCCTGTTCTTGGGGATCTCCCTAATACACTGTCTATTGTCCAATGTCTGAAAGCTGCCATTTCATATATTTTGTCCAGTAGGAAGTCAATTTATTCCCAGTAACTGTGTCAAGGACAGAAGCCCATTGCTACTAATTTAGTAGAACCCCCTGGCAATATATACAACATTCAAATATTTTACAGAGAGCTTTTTTGCATGGTTCTCAAAAGAACAATTTTGTGTTTGGGGATAGGACCTCAGAAGAAGCAGTTTGTTCTATCCTCAGGCCAGCCTTGCAGAGATTTTTACATTCTATCCTGACAAATTTGCTTGTCTGCCCCTTATGCCCACTTCTTGTCCTTCCAGCACTGAGATACGCAGAAGGTGCATAAAGGTATTTTTTTTTTAATTCCACTTATTTGTCTCTCCTTTTTCTTTTCTTTACTGTCTTTCTTCAAGCCTATGAAAAAGCATGCACCACTATATGACATTTTCCACCTTTGGAATTTCCTGTTATTTATGTCTTTCATTCATTTCCTTGTATTTCTTATAGTATAATTATTAAATTAAGGCTATTGTTTTTATCAAGGTGGATAATACTTATTCAAGCCTTCCTATAATTTTGAACGGTAAGTTTGATTTTTAAAAAATCCTACACAATTTTAGTCACCCACCTTAATTTACCTGTATGACCAAGAATGCAGCTCCTATGTATGGACATTTTGCAGGCTTAGATAAGAAAGCATGGGTGATGGGTGAGTCCATGTTTTATATTCACAATGTCAAGATGCCTACATCTTTAGAATTGGTTTATTCTCTTCACATTGCTGCATATAGTCCAGTGCTTGACAAATATGCTTCAAAAGCTCATTTCTCGTATTATTTTGTAGGTCTTAAATCAGTTCTACCAGTCTATGAAAAGGAAAAGAACTGTGCCTGCAATAGACTTAGGCAGTGATTTTCACATTGTTCACAGACTGCTGATATTAGAATTCCTTCAAATTCCACATCGAGACATAGTCATCATGAACAATAGCTCAGAAGAAGACTCTTTACTGCTAATGCAATTGTTAAGCGTATTGTTTTGAAAATGAAAATTTATGATTTTCGCAAAGTTCTCCAATCTGCACTCATGCCACTTTTGAATTGCATAAAATAACAGAAAAATGATAGCATGAGAAGTTTTATGGGAAGTTGTTATTTTCCTTTCTAGAATGCAATATGTGTATCTTTTTATTCACACTGAAGTGCCTCATTCAAAACAGAGGCAATTGTACAATAATTCTCCCTGAGAATGAGGTTTCTTACAATTGAGTAATATCTCTACTTCTCAGCACGAAGTTAATTTATGTAATTTGTTACACTCTAAGGTAAAAGAATGTCTGCACATATCTACCATATCCACACTCTTTTTAAAAACAAAATTTTAATCATTGTTAGGACAATGTCCAATCACTTCGATTTCACAGGGATACATATGCTTTCGCTGCAGTCTCGTGAGCACAGACAGTGGCTTCCTGCAGTGCAGCTCAGACAAGAGACAGCAGTCCTGTCCTTTTTATCCTTGGAAATTGTCAGACACTTTTAAAGTGTAGTTTACAGACATATAAAGGAGAGAAAGGAAATAAATTCAAAGTCAAATAATACACCTAATGCTTTCACTTTTTTTATTTCTTTCTATAATCTGTATAGATACCTTGGACCAAGGGAAATTATTTCTTTTCTGTTTTGCTGGAATAATCCTAAAAGGTGATATTTCACTAGATCAAATAAGAAAATATAACTTGTTTAAAGTTATTCATAAAACCCTTTTCAACAACCACAAAGGCATACCTCATTTAGACAAACATGATTTTCTATTTCTGGCAAGACTTTGAAGATTATAGGTCTATTTGAAATTTTCTTATGAACATTTGAACAACCAGCCTTTATTTTTATAAATTTATTTAGCGTTGTTTACAATTTAACAATTTAATGTTTTTTAAAAGACAATAATTTACTTCATCAGGCCTCTCATATACATCTTTACTATTTTGTTTTCTGTTCTCTCTGTTTTCTGTAATCTTCTGGAAAGATTTTAAAAACCAAGACATGACATTACTTTAACTTGAAATCTCAAATTTGAAATTTTTAATTTTTTTTTAGAAACAGTGTATTAGTCTGTGCTCATGCTGCTAAAAAAGACATACCTGAGACTGGGTAATCTATAAAGGAAAGAGGTTTAACTGACTCACAGTTCCACATGGCTGGGGAGGCCTCACAATCTTGGCAGAAGGCGAATGAGGAGCAAAGTCACATCTTACATGGCAGCAGACAAGAGAGTGTGTGCAGGGGAACTCCCCTTTATAAAACCTTCAGATCTCATGAGACTTATTCACTATCATGAGAATAGCATGGGAAAGACCCGCCCCTCGTGATTCAATTACCTGCCACCAGGTCCCTCCCACAACACATGGGAATTGTGGGAGCTACAATTCAAGATGGGATTTGGGTGAGGACACAGCCAAACCACATCAGACAGGGTCTCACTCTGTTGCCCAGGCTGGAGTGCAATAGTGCAATCATGGCTCACTGCCGCCTTGAATTTTTGGGCTCAAGGATTCTCCCACCTCAGCACCCCAAGTGCTGGTACTACAGGCACACACCACCATGCCTGGTTAATTTTTTCAAAAATTATTTTTTGTAGAGATGGAGGTCTCACTATGTTGCCCAAGCTGGTCTCAAACTCCTGGCCTTGAGTGATCCTCCTCCCTCAGCCTCCCAAAGCACTGGAATTACAGGTGCGAGCCACCATGCCCAACACAAACAACATCAACTGAGCAGTAATAATCTTTCCCAAAAGACCACTTTTAAAAACAATGTGCACTTTGGGAGACTGAGGTGGGTGGATCACGAGGTCGGGAGATCAAGACCATCCTGGCCAACATGGTGAAACCCCGTCTCTACTAAAAATACAGAAATTAGCTGCGCGTGGTGCCTATAATCCTGGCTACTCAGGAGACTGAGACAGGAGAAACGCTTGAACCCAAGAGGCAGAGGTGGCAGTGAGCCGAGATTGCGCCACTGCACTCCAGCCTGGCAACAGAGCTAGACTCCGTCTCAAAAAAAAAAAAAAAAAAAAGTGATTTTTTTTTAAACTTCATTTATCAATGCAGTGCCTGACAAATACGCTTTTGTCTCGTGCCATTCATTCATATTTTTATCCTGCCTGAAAGAACTCTTGAATGTTATTTCTTCACAGATTTATTTCTGCATCCCTGAAATAATATGGTGCTTATCACACTATATTATAAGTAATTGTTTGACTGGCTAATTTTCTTCTAAATAATGAGCTTACTGAAGTTAGGGACAATGTCTTACTCATCACTGTAAACAGATCCTGAATCACAGGACCTTTGACACAATGAAGCATTCCCAAGCATTTGTTAAATAAATGGATATTTCCTAATAAAATCCATATACGATTCTTCCTGCCTTTTTAATGAATTCTCCCATCTCTCTTAAGGTAGGAAAAAAGCTCCATTCCTTCCTACCCATCTTAGAAATTCTGTGATTCTTTTGAAGTTTTCTTTGAAAAGTCCTTGCTAATATTTTTCCTGTAAAGCGAAAAGACAACCTGAAAAGATGTCACTTTTCTGGAACATTGAAAATAGTGAAGGAATGGTCGGGCACGGTGGCTCATGCCTGTAATCCCAGCACTTTGGGAGGCCGAGGTGGGCAGATGACGAGGTCAGGAGATCAAGACCATCCTGGCTAACACAGTGAAACCCCGTCGCTACTAAAAAATACAAAAAATTAGCTGGGTGTGGTGGTGGGCGCCTGTAGTCCCAGGTACTCAGGAGGCTGAGGCAGGAGAATGGCATGAACCCGGGAGGCAGAGCTTGCAGTGAGCCGAGATCGTTTCACTCCACTCCAGCCTGGGCGATAGAGCGAAGACTCATTCTCACAAAAAAAAAAAAAAAAAAAAAAAAAAGAATAAAAGAAAATAGTGAAGGACTGATTTAATTATAGTTTCCTACTTCTTTAGTCTCATACTGTAGCTTTCTATAAGCTGAAGAGCTACAAAAAAAATGCAAGAGAGAAACTGTATGAGACCTGATGTTTTAAAACCCCTTTCTGAGGAAGATGCATCATCGTTACTCACATCACAGGAGTATTAATCATATTACTCTGAGGAACCATGAAGTCTAAGTAATTATCTTGAAAGCCACTGCCTGCTATGAGGAAATACATCACGGAGGGAGTTACATTCAATTGGAAGTTAGGAAGCTAAGGCAGTAATACTCACCCACCCCCGTCTTCCCACATATCTCCCACTCTCTTCACTCTACCTTTTGACTCCACAGTGGAAACCAGAAGTAGTCCAGTGGAAAGTAGGATTTTAAAAACGGCTACCAAAAATTAACATCCTCTCAATGATATCTACCAAAAAAATATGACTCACTGTTTCCCATCAACTTTGAGTTCGGTGTATTTGGGTTCTCAAGAGAAACAGAACCAATAGAATGCATATATAGAGAAAAAATTATTTTAAGAAATTGGCTCACACGATTATGGATGCTGGCAAGTCCAGAATCTGCAGGGAAAGCCACAAAAATAAAGACCTAGAGAAAAGTCGATGTTGCAGTTCGAGTTCAAAGGCTGCCTGCTGACAGAATTCTCTACCTTTTGTTCTATTCCAGCCTTCAGCTGATTAGATGAAGCCCACTCACATTATGGAGGGCAATCTGCTTTACTCAAAGTCCACCAATTTCAATGTTAATCTCATCCAAAAAACATCTTCTCCAAAATATCCAGAATAATGTTTGACCAGCTATCTGGTCACTGTGGCCTACCTAGCAAAATTGATACATAAAATTAACCGTCACACCATGTAATATTTATTGTGTCTTTGGCCTCTGACTCTTCTCTCCTGTAAGTATGTGCATGCTCCTGGCTTGCAGAAATCACAGGCTGACATGCAGCTGGTCTAAGCAGACCCGCAAGATATTTGATTTGCAAGACTATACTAAGCTGGCCTGATGCCTCCGGCTCTGCAGTTTATAACTCTGTTCACTTGTTCTACTTACAAAATAAAATTCCATGTTGGTTCAGACCCCCTACCTTCTTCCACTTGTAATAAAAAAATAGAATAATGAATTGTACACAAAAATATTGAAGGTCAAAAATCATTGGATTAGACAATCTCTAAGATTCCTCAAAGACCTAAAATTCTATGAGGGAGACAGAAAATATAAAGCTACACTTGTCTTTCTCTAAAATCTGTGTTTGGAGGTATTAGTTCTTGTGATGGTGCTTGGAAATTGACTATGCTTGTGGACGTGGGGCAGTGGGCAGGTAGAGATGGGGAGAAGGCAAAAACAAAGTCAAAATAGAGATTTCCAGGGGTTTGGAGGCAAGGAGGGAGGTTGGAAGGCTGGAATGCAGGGGACTTTTAGGTCAGTGAAACTGTTTTTTATGATAGCTAATATCTGATATATTATGCATTTTTCAAAATCCATAGAAATGTATGTATCACACAGTGAACTCTAATGTAACCTATGGACGAAGTTTATCATAATGTATGAATACTGGTTCATCAAGTGTAACAAATATACCACATTGATACAAGATATTAATAGTAGAAAAAACTGGAAGGAGGGAAGAGAGTGTCTATGGGAATCTTCTGTATTTTGCTAAGTTTTTCTGTCAACCTAAATCTTCTCTAAAAAATGAAATCTAAAGTTTTTAAAATTAGGAATTATTTAAATGATCTGAAGCAGAGAAATAATTAAATGATATATAGCTACAAGATGGAATATTATGCAATAATACCAAAATGATGTTTATGGTAAAAAAAAAAAAATTCCCCAGCCTAACCCTGAAGGAATGCATTCAGGAAGAAGAAGGGGACAACATCCACAACTAGCTTCTCTGTAAGGAGATCTACTCATTCAAAAGAGAAAATAGTCTAAGCAAAGAGCTAATCAAGTGATTCTTGCCGTTGTCCAATTAGAGGTGAACTTGTGCCAGGTTAGTGTCAGTGAATTGGAAATAATTAAACAGATCCAAATATTGTGAAGGTAGAATGGACCCGAGTTGGTGATAAATTAGATTTAATAGAAATGTATCAGTCTGTCTATAGATAGATGATAGATAGATAGATAGATAGATAGATAGATAGATAGATCATCAAGAAAGAAAAGAATGTAAACTAAAGTTATTCCTATCTCAGTTCTTGAAAGAGAGGTTGGAAATCAAGAGTTCTGGGCAGGGCGTGGTGGCTCATGCCTGTAATTCCAGCACTTTGGGAGGCCGAGGCGGGCAGATCACAAGGTCAGGAGATAGAGACCATCCTGGCCAACACGGTGAAACCCCATCTCTACTAAAAATACAAAAAATTAGATGGGTGTGGTGGCGGGTGCCTGTAGTCCCAGCTACTCAGGAGGCTGAGGCAGGAGAATGGCATGAACCCGGGAGGCAGAGCTTGCAGTGAGCTGAGATGGTGCCACTGCACTCCAGCCTGGGCGACAGAGTAAGACTCCGTTTCAAAAAAGAGTTCTGTTTTAACAGCATAATTGTGAACTGCCTATGAGGCTCTGATGTAGGAATTTCAAATATACTTATAAAATAATATAAAAAGTGGCCTGAACTAGAGATAAAAATTCCAGGCTGGGTGCAGTGGCTCACGCCTGTAATCTCAACACTTTGGGAGGCTGGGGTGGGAGGATTGCTTGAGTTCAGGAGTTCAAGATCAGACTGGCAATATAGGGAGATCCCATCTCTACAAAAGAAATTTTAAAATTAGCCAGATGTGGTGGTGATGCACACCTGTAGTCCCAGCTACTCAGGAGGCTGAGGTGGGAGAATCACTTGAGCCTGGGAAATCAAGGCTGCAGTGAGCCATGATCACACCACTCCAGCCTGGGCGACAGAGAGAGACTGTCTCAAAAAAAAAAAAAATTCCAGTGAAACTGTAGGAGTGGATGAGAATATCTACAAAGAGAGTGAAATGGTGACAAGAGATACAATAAGGTCATTGTTTTGTGAGGGGCACAGAAGTAGGTAAAGGAAACTAGGAATGAGTGGCAAAGTAAGATGAAGACCTCAACATTGTGGTGTCATAGGAAACTAAGAGTATTTCAAAGAGGGGGAGGTCAGTCATGCCAAATGTTACACGGAGGTCTGGTAATAGAGGGCTGTAGTGGACTATTTATGAGTCCTGGTTCTAGAATTTGGCTAGAACCAGCCTGGCGACAGAGCAAGACTCTGGGGAAAAAAAACAAAAACTCGGAATTTTGTTTTATTCACTGTCGAAATTCTAAAACCTAAAACAGTGCCTCGACATAGCTGGAACTCAACAAAAATTATATATCAACCGTAGTCTATTATATAATATATATAATATATTATATATATATCATATATAACATATTATACATAACATATAACATATATAATATATTATATATAACATATAACATATATAAATTATATATAACATATAACATATATAATATATATAACATATATAATATATTATATATAACATATAACCTATATAATATATTATATATAACATATAACATATATAATATAACATATAGCATATAACATATATAATATATTATATATAACATATAACATATATAATATATATAACATATAACATATATAATATATTATATATAACATATAACATATAATATATAATATATTATATATAACATATAATATATTATATATAATATATAACATATATAATATATTATATATAACATATAACATATATAATATATTAAATATATAACATATATAATATATGTCACATATATAA
This sequence comes from Homo sapiens, assembly GCF_000001405.40. Classification (NCBI taxonomy): domain Eukaryota; kingdom Metazoa; phylum Chordata; class Mammalia; order Primates; family Hominidae; genus Homo; species Homo sapiens. The sequence continues at coordinate 30,020,009 of NC_000023.11, read as the reverse complement.
TATATAATATGTAATATACATCATATATATCATATATCATATATAATATATAACATATATCATATATAATATATAACATATATCATATATAATATGTAACATATATAATATATTATATAATATATTATATATGATATATTATACATAATATATAACATATATAATATATTATATATAATATATAACATATATAATATAATATATATAACATATATAATATATTAAATATATAACATATATAATATATGTAACATATATAATATATAATATGTAATATATATCATATATTATATAACATATATCATATATAATATATATCATATATTATATAACATATATCATATATAATATATAACATATATCATATATAATATATAACATATATCATATATAATATATAACATATATCATATATAATATATAACATATATCATACATAATATATAACATATATATCATACATAATATATGTTATATATTATATATTATATATATGTTATATATATGTTATATATTACAATTATATATATTATATATATGTTACATATTATATATAATTATATATATTATATAATATATATAATTACATATAATTATATATAATATATTATATGATATATATAATTCTATATAATTATATAATATATACGATATAATTCTATATAATTATAAAATATATATTATATATAGAATATATATCATATATATTCTATATATAGTATATACTTATATATAATATATATAAGTATATATTCTATATATAATATGTAACATATATAATAATATAGAATATATAATATGTAACATATATATTATATATAATAGATAACATATATATTATATATAATAGATAACATATATAATATAATATATAATATATAACATATATAATGCATAATATATAACATATATAATATATAATATATAACATATATAATATATAATATATAACATATGTAACATATATAACATACTATATATAACGTATAATATATAACATATAATATATGTTATATAACATATAATATATGTTATATAATATATGTTATATAACATATAATATATGTTATATATTATATAACATATATTATATTATATAACATATACAATATGTAACATATGTATTATGTTATAATATGTAACACATGTGTTATGTGTTATAATATGTAACACATGTGTTACGTGTTATAATATGTAACATATGTGTTATGTTATAATATGTAACATATGTGTTATGTGTTATAATATGTAACATATGTGTTGTGTTATAATATGTAACATGTGTGTTCTGTGTTATAATATGTAACATATATTATATCTAATATGTAACATATATAATATGTAACATATATTATATATAACATATTATATTTAATATATAACATATATAATATATAACATATATAATATATAACATATATAACATATATAATATATAACATATATAACATATAACATATATAATATATAATATATAACATATATAATATATAACATATAATATATATCATATATAACATATATAATATATAATATATATCATATATAATATATAATATATAATATATATCATATATAATATATAATATATAACTATATATATGATATATAATATATATGATATATAATACGTATTATATATAATATATAACATATATAATTATATATAACATATATAACATATATATAACATATATAATTATATATATAACATATATATAACATATATAACAAATATAATATATATATTATATATATAACATATATATTATATATATAACATATATATTATATATATAACATATATTATATATTATATATATAACATATATTATATATTATATATATAACATATATCAACTGCAGTCTATTATATTATAATCTAGATTATATATCAACTGTAGTCTATTAGTTATGGGACCTTAAGAAAATAATTTATCCTCATTTTGCCTCAGATTCTACATTTGTAAAATTAGACGAGAATATTACTTACTTTATAGGTTTCTTGGAGGCATTAAATACAACACGTAGAAAGATCAGGGCAGGGAGTCATACCTGATGTCAGAAGGCCGCAGTGTCCTTTTCCTTTTGCAGGTGAGAGAGTCAGATAGCCACCCAAGAAAACACAATGAAGGACACTGATATCAAGAGACTATTGTATAATCATCTTTTATGCATGTTTTCAATTAGCCTGATCATCTTCATTCCATCATTCTTTTTGGAGAACTTCTCAATATTGGAAGCACACTTAATACGGTTGTGCATCTGTTGTGTTTTTCTAACTGCTGTCAATCAAGTATTATATTTAGTAGTGAAGCCAAATGCATCCTCTAAAAGAAGTTTATTATCACACAAGGTGACCGGATTTTTGGAATGCTGTATTAATTTCTTATGCCTTGTTTCTTGCATGTAATTCATGTAATTTTTGTTCTATATGGAGAGCCACCATTAGAGTTGAAGATGGAAACATTTTTATTTGTGGTTATTTTGTCTGCTTTTACTACTCTACCAAGTTTATTTTTGTTAGGACCAAATCTCAAAGCATGGATAAGAGTTTTCACTGGAAAGGGAGTTATATTCACTTGGGAGAATAGTATCCAGATCAGTACAATTTCTAGTTTTGTGGGAACATGTCTTGGAGTACTTTCTATACCACTGGATTGAAAAAGACCATGGCAGATAAGGAAACTAACACCTAGAGGATATGTAACATTCTCGATGTCAGTGAGCTCGTACATATGGCCCATCTCCTCCTATATGCTTGGAGCAAACTTTGGCAACATGGCTGGCCTTGTTATTTCACCACTCTGGATACACTGGAATAAAAAGCAACTTACATATAACAATTAACTGGAACAAAGGTAGAAGATATTTCTTTGTGCAGATACCATAAAGACTATGAAGAAATATATATAGTCAAAGCCAAACAGTTCCATTTACAGCATTGTTTTTTAAACGTTATAATTGAAAAAAACTTAAAAATGTATTTACAACATGATGTAATTGTAGCTTTTTCAACTATGAAACCCCTTAAGAAATTGTACTTTCTTGTTTAAATAAAGTATCAGTAATAGGAAAAAATGCAACAACTAAATTGTATAGAATAATACCTGGTAAACACTATGCATTCAATAAACATTAGCTGTTAACATCACAAAAAGTATTTTTAAAAAATTTTTTCAGTATGGAGACAGACACATAGTAAAAGCAAGGTTAGCAGAACAGTGGAGGCAGAATGCAGGTCGGAGTGAATTAAAGGGTAATTGCTCTATTGATAAAACTGTTCTCATAGCGTTTGAACACATTCATTGACAAGAAGACACTCATTGCCACCAGAAGCCACAATTCAATTGGATATGTTTATACATGTAACAACAATCTGGTCCCCACACTTATCACCCCATTGATGACTGTACTTGGATTTTCAGCTTTTCACTGGTCTTCTCAAATCTAACTGTGAGAGGGTTCCTCTTTGTGCTGAGCCAGAATCTGTCTTCCAAGACCTTCAATTCAGCTGCATTCTGTCATCTGGGGCCAAAGTACTATATTATTCTAAACAGTAATTAACTTTTTGTTCCTTGAACATCCTTCTTTCAGACGTTTATTTACATAAACTGTAGGCCTCCTTCAAGTCATCTAGTTTGAGGGTTCACAAAACTGACTGGCCATCAGAATCCCTTGGGAGTAAAAAAATAGATTCTGGATCTTAGACATCAATCCAGAATCTCCAAGAAGTAGAGCCAAAAAATTTCTAAGTTAAATGTTTCTTTGGCAAATTTGATGTACAGGCAAGTAAAGGAAACACTGCTCTAGTGTCTATGTGACAAAAACACCTTCAAGGATCCTTTTTTTGCAGAGTTTCCAAAGTTACCAATGTCACTTTTACTGGCACCATTACTTTAGCATTTAGCATTTCACAATTACAAACATATTACACTTTTTAGAGCTATCAGTTACTCCCAATCACTTAACAGTTAAGTGGAATGAACAAGTTTTTGGCATTTAGATGTCATGCAACTGTGTCCCCTTGGCTTCAAAACTTTTCCAGTTACTGCATTTTTCTGCCAGATGGAAGCTTCGTTTGGTTGGTATTGCAAAGTGCACAAGTAGTGTCCACTGTGCTTTGGAAATGTATATGAAGTTTTTTTGTAAAACTCTTTTCACCCACTCCCACTACCACCAACTCAGAGTTCTTTGAATCAGCTGTCCTCAGCTCTTTCTCACCAATAGCAAGGGGTGGTAGAAGTTAGGCAGTTAGCTGAAAACCAAAGACCAGGTTGAATTCATACTTTGAAATTGGCTTCATGCGTCTGTTTAGATAAGCAGAGAACTGCGGTGGTACCTCAGTCCTGTTGTTGCTGCTCTGGATATTTTCTTCATGGGTATTCTGACAGCTTGGACATGATCCCTGGCACCACAAAATAAGACTGGAGGCAAAAGGAAACCAACTCATTTCTCCTCATATTGTGACTGGTTTCTCCTTTTATTTAGGATTGGACTCTGTTGTCACTGGCGCTTGCATTTTTATTTCACCTTGCCAAAATGAGCATTAAGGGCCAAATTGTTTCTGTATTTGTACACCCTCCTATTTTGCAGAAAAGCCTTTCCACTTAGCTACTGTTGGTTTGGCTCCAATATTTGCTTGTATGTTGCATCTTCAATACATTCTTTTTACCAGACTCAGCATCTAGAAATCAGTTTTTTCAGTATCCTCTCACTGGAACAATATTCACATCTGCAATCTCATACATGGCTCTAGAAAACATCTGGAGATGATCCAAAACCTGCCAGACTTTATCAGCAAGAAGGTCCCTTATGTATTGAAGCAAATAAAACTAGCATACCACAACAGCCCTCAGGTAAAGCACTTCTTAATACTGCCCAAATTAGTGGTCTCTTTACAACTCTCAGCCTCTGGGAAAGGTTAACCTTTAAACGACCACCCTTTTTTTTTTTAATTATTATTATACTTTAAGTTTTAGGGTACATGTGCACAACATGCAGGTTTGTCACATATGTATACATGTGCCATGTTGGTGTGCTGCACCCATTAACTCGTCATTTAGCATTAGGTATATCTCCTAATGCTATCCCTCCCCCCTCCCCCAACCCCACAACAGGCCCCGGTGTGTGATGTTCCCCTTCCTGTGTCCATGTGTTCTCATTGTTCAACTCCCACCTATGAGTGAGAACATGAGGTGTTTGGTTTTTTGTCCTTGCGATAGTTTGCTGAGAATGATGGTTTCCAGCTTCATCCATGTCCCTACAAAGGACATGAACTCATCATTTTTTATGGCTGCATAATATTCCATGGTGTATATGGGCCACATTTTCTTAATCCAGTCTATCATTGTTGGACATTTGGGTTGGTTCCAAGTCTTTGCTATTGTGAATAGTGCCACAATAAACATGCGTGTGCATGTGTCTTTATAGCAGCATGATTTATAATCCTTTGGGTATATACCCAGTAATGGGATGGCTGGGTCAAATGGTATTTCTAGTTCTAGATCCCTGAGGAATCGCCACACCGACTTCCACAATGGTTGAACTAGTTTACAGTCCCACCAACAGTGTAAAAGTGTTCCTATTTCTCCACATCCTCTCCAGCACCTGTTGTTTCCTGACTTTTGAATGATCACCATTCTAACTGGTGTGAGATGGTATCTCATTGTGGTTTTGATTTGCATTTCTCTGATGGCCAGTGATGATGAGTATTTTTTCATGTGTTTTTTGGCTGCATAAATGTCTCCTTTTGTGAAGTGTCTGTTCATATCCTTGGCCCACTTTTTGATGGGGTTGTTTGTTTTTTTCTTGTAAATTTGTTTGAGTTCATTGTAGATTCTGGATATTAGCCCTTTGTCAGATGAGTAGGTTGCAAAAATTTTCTCCCATTTTGTAGGTTGCCTGTTCACTCTGATGGTGGTTTCTTTCGCTGTGCAGAAGCTCTTTAGTTTAATTAGATCCCATTTGTCAATTTTGGCTTCTGTTGCCATTGCTTTTGGTGTTTTAGACATGAAGTCCTTGCCCATGCCTATGTCCTGAATGGTATTGCCTAGGTTTTCTTCTAGGGTTTTTATGGTTTTAGATCTAACATGTAAGTCTTTAACCCATCTTGAATTAATTTTTGTTTAAGGTGTAAGGAAGAGATCCAGTTTCAGCTTTCTACATATGGCTAGCCAGTTTTCCCAGCACCATTTATTAAATAGGGAATCCTTTCCCCATTGCTTGTTTTTCTCAGGTTTGTCAAAGATCAGCTAGTTGTAGATATGCAGCATTATTTCTGAGGGTTCTGTTCTGTTCCATTGGTCTATATCTCTGTTTTGGTACCAGTACCATGCTGTTTTGGTTACTGTAGCCTTGTAGTATAGTTTGAAGTCAGGTAGCGTGATGCCTCCAGCTTTGTTCTTCTGGCTTAGGATTGACTTGGCGATGCGGGCTCTTTTTTGGTTCCATACGAACTTTAAAGTAGTTTTTTCCAATTCTGTGAAGAAAGTCATTGGTAGCTTGACGGGGATGGCAATGAATCTATAAATTACCTTGGGCAGTATGGACATTTTCATGATATTGATTCTTCCTACCCATGAGCATGAAATATTCTTCCATTTGTTTGTATCCTCTTTTATTTCATTGAGCAGTAGTTTGTAGTTCTCCTTGAAGAGGTCCTTCACATCCCTTGTAAGTTGGATTCCTAGGTATTTTATTCTCTTTGAAGCAATTGTGAATGGGAGTTCACTCATGATCTAGCTCTCTGTCTGTTATTGGTGTATAAGAATGCTTGTGATTTTTGCACATTGATTTTGTATCCTGAGACTTTGCTGAAGTTGCTTATCAGCTTAAGGAGATTTTGGGCTGAGACAATGGGGTTTTCTAGATATACAATCATGTCATCTGCAAACAGGGACAATTTGACTTCCTCTTTTCCTAATTGAATACCATTTATTTCCTTCTCCTGCCTGATTGCCCTGGCCAGAACTTCCAACACTATGTTGAATAGGAGTGGTGAGAGAGGGCATCCCTGTCTTGTGCCAGTTTTCAAAGGGAATGCTTCCAGTTTTTGTCCATTCAGTATGATATTGGCTGTAGGTTTGTCATAGATAGCTCTTATTGAGATACATCCCATCAATACCTAATTTATTGAGAGTTTTTAGCATGAAGGTTGTTGAATTTTGTCAAAGGCCTTTTCTGCATCTATTGAGATAATCACGTGGTTTTTGTCTTTGGTTCTGTTTATATGCTGGATTACGTTTATTGATTTTCATATGTTGAACCAGCCTTGCATCCGAGGGATGAAGCCCACTTGATCATGGTGGATAAGCTTTTTGATGTGTTGCTGGATTCGGTTTGCCAGTATTTTATTGAGGATTTTTGCATCAATGTTCATCAAGGATATTGGTCTAAAATTCTCTTTTTTTGTTGTGTCTCTGCCAGGCTTTGGTATCAGGATGATGCTGGCCTCATAAAATGAGTTAGGGAGGATCCCCTCTTTTTCTATTGATTGGAATAGTTTCAGAAGGAAGGGTACCAGGTCCTCCTTGTACCTCTGGTAGAATTCGGCTGTGAATCCGTCTGGTCCTGGACATTTTTGGTCGGTAAGCTATTAATTATTGCCTCAATTTCAGAGCCTGTTATTGGTCTATTCAGAGATTCAACTTCTTCCTGGTTTAGTCTTGGGAGAGTGTATGTGTCGAGGAATTTATCCATTTCTTCTAGATTTTCTAGTTTATTTGCGTAGAGGTGTTTATAGTATTCTCTGATGGTAGTTTGTATTTCTGTGGGATCAGTGGTATCTCCTTTGTCATTTTTTATTGCGTCTATTTCATTCTTCTCTCTTATGAGCACCCTTGAAATGATTTATTTTTTTATCTTTGCCTTGATATAATTTTAATTTTTGAAGTGTTTGCCTTGTCTCAACCACTAACTCCAAGTGCCTCTGTTTTAATTTGTGCTTTCTACAGAATTTGGAGAAAATTTCTGATATCTTCTTTAAGTTGCTCCAAATTGTGTTTTATTCCAAAATGTCTTATTTTTTGCTCCAAAACCTTCATTCTCAGGCTTTAGCTTTTGTACTTTCCTAGCAAACTCTTTCTTTCACAGCTGAAACTATTCAGGGTAGAATTTTTGTTGTCCCCCAAGCAATTTGCATCATCTTTGACACATGGTAGATGTTTGTTTGTTCATTCATTCAACAAATTTTTGTTGAGTTCCAGCTATGTCGAGGCACTGTTTTAGGTTTTAGGATTTCAACAGTGAATAAAACAAAGTTCCGGGTTTTTGTTTTTGTTTTTTTTTTCCCAGAGTCTTGCTCTGTCACCAGGCTGGAGTGCAGTGGCACGATCTTGGCTCACTGCAACTTCCACCTCCGGGTTCAGGTGATTCTCCTGCCTCAGCTTCCCAAGTAGCTGGGATTACAGGTGCCCACCATCACGCCCGGCTAATTTTTGTCTTTTTAGTAGAGACGTGGTTTCACCATGTTGGGCAGGATGGTCTCGATCTCTTGACCTCGTGATCCACTTGCCTTGGCCTCCCAAAGTGCTGGGATTACAGGCATGAGCCACCGTGCCCGGCCAGTTCCTGCTCTTATAGAGCTTACACTGTGGTGGGAGAGACAGCCAATAAAGGCAGTGTGAAATATATGTATCGAATGTTTATAAGAGCTATTAAAAATAAAACAAGGGGGATAGTGAATGCTGGGGTCCAAGATTGGCTATTTTAGATAGAATGGTCTAGGGGCTCCCTTGCTGATGAGGTGATATCTGCCAACATAAAGGAAGGCAGAGATTGAGCTTTGCAAATTTCTGGGCAAAAGTGTCTAAGGTAGAGAAAAAAGTAAATGTCAAGGTCTTGAGGAAGGAGCATGCTTAGAGAATAAATGGGTGGGTAGATGGATGGATGATTGGATATTCAATACTGAATAAATTAAGGAATAGAGACTGTGGGGGACAAACCCCAAGGTGACCCCAATGTTCACACCTTGTGTGATCTTTTCCCCTTGAGTGTTGGCAGAACCTATTACTTGCTTCTAACAAATAAGGCATGGCAGAGGTGATGGGATGTGCCTCCCATGATTATGTTATATACATAGCTCTACCTTGCTAGCATGCTCTAGGGGGACTCTCCTCCTGGCCTTGGAGAAGCAAGCTACTGTGATGTAAACTGTCTGTGAAGAGCACCATGTGACAGGGAACTGCAGGTGACCTCTAGGAGCTGAGGGTCACGGTACCACGACAAGGAACTACATTCTTTGAACAACCATGTCAGGAAGGAAGAGGACTCTAAGCTTGTTGACACCTTGATTCCAGCTTTACAAGACTCTGAGCAGATAACCCAGTTAAGTTGTGACCAGACTTCTGACTCATGGCAGTTGTGAGGTAATAAATGTGTGTTATTTTCAGCCATTAAGTTCATAGTGATCTTTTACGATGTATGGAAAATAAACACACAGCTAACACATCTGAGCTAAGTAGCAGATATAAAACCTCAAGTTACTGAATCATCTTACTCATTGTCTACCTCAAACTTAAGAGTAACTTATGTGTTGCATAGTCAGTTTTCTGTCTTCCCTCTTTCTCTACACCTAGACCTACTTTACCCTCATGTCCAGGCTCAGCTTTAGCTCTATACCTACAACACATTTTACCTTGGGTACTATTCCAGTTGCAATTTACTGCGCAACAAACCATATACCTTAGTAGTTTGAAAAAGCAGTATGTTATTGGTTTTCATTTCTAGACTCATCTAGGCAATTTTCATGTGGTTTCAGTTATATGTTGGCTGAAGCTAGAGTCATCTAAAGGTTCAACTTAGATGTCCAAGACAACCCACTCAATTGCAGTTGACTCTGGCTGTCAGCAGGGAACTGTAAAGGCTCAGACGTCCAAGACAACCCACTCAGTTGCAGTTGACACTGGCTATCAGCAGGTAACTCAGCTGGAAGAGTACATTGGAGCAGCTACATGTGACCTTACCCATCTCTCTTAGGTTTCTTATAACATGGTGGATGTGTTCTGAGATGCAGCATCCCAAGAACATCAACTAAGGGATGAACTCGTAACTGGGACCGTATCACATTTGCTATAATCTACATCAGTTTTGAAGGAGTGAAGAAATAGATTCCACCTCATTGTGGAGGAGTGGCAAAGTCACGTTGCAGCAGACTATATGGAATAGGAGATAATGTTGCAGCCATCTTTAAAAATACCCTTGGTCCCTGCAAGGATCAAAGGAAACCAAGGGCAATTCCATGCTTACCAATGAATTGCAATTGAAATCAAAGATCCTTGAGTTCAATTCATGGTGCTATTCTTTACTAGCTATGTGATTATAGTAATTTAACTCCTGGGGCCCAATCTCTTCATCTCTTAAATTAGACAATAACACCTACCTCAATAGTGGTTGTAAGCATTAAAGGAAAAAAATATTTAAAAGGCAAAGCAGAGTGCTAGACCCCTGGTAATATGTCTATAAGTGATAGTACATTAGTCTGTCTTCACATGGCTATAAAGAACTACCTGAGACTGAGTAATTTATAAAGAAAAGAGGTTTAATTGATTCACAGTTCCGCATGGCCGGGGAGGCCTCAGGAAACTTATAATTATGGCTGAAGGCGAAAGGAAAACAAGGCACGTCTTACATGGTGTCAGGAGAGAGAGAAGGGGGTACTGCCACACACTTTAAAACCATCAGCTCTCATGAGCACTCACTATCACCAGAACAGCATGGGGGAAACCGCCCCCATGTAATTCAATCTTGGCTTTTTTCCTGATTATCATAACTAAAAGTTTTCTTTATTTTCAGGCTATTTTGTACCCTTCCAGTAGTAATTGAATTACATTATGAGTTTCTGAATCAATAACCTTCCCTGTGCCATAACCCTGTAGGCGTGACTTTCTACCTGGTTATGCCTGCCTCATCTTCCCAGAGATTATAATCTTAGTCTGAACCCCAGCCAAAAGATTGGAGTGCTGTTTTCTACTAGCATATTACTTTGGTAGGGTCAGCTACATACTTCTGTGGATTTCTACATATGGCTCTTCTGTGATTCTCCACTATATTTTTGCTTCATTCATCAGGACACCCCCAGAGGTTTGAATTCTACCCTCTGGAGGCCCACTGTCCAGCTTCAAGTCTGGACTTGGTTTCAGAGCTTGCATATAGCCAATCCTATAAAGTAATCCAGTTTTAGATCCAGAATTCTTTTCATTTGTCTCATCCTGCTGGAGGCAGTATGATAGGTTTGCTAAGGACTAATATGTGGCTTTCAGGATTTTAATTCTTCATATGCAGATGCTTTTTAGCATTTTACTCAGTTCCTCTAAGCATATTGTTTTCCGCACCCATCAACTCCTTCTTGCTTGCTCTCTTGCTCTCTCACTGTCCCCTTCCCTCCCTTTCTCTCCAGCCCCTACCATGAACCACAACCACACGTCTTTTGCAGGAACTCTTAGAGTCCATTCCCCAAACCTACAACGATCAGTCAGTTAGGTAGCCCAGAATGTTTAACCCCCATCTCCATCAAAATGCATCACTGTATCTCCTCTCATAGTTACACATGGGGATTACTGGGCCTTCATTTATTCTTGATAAGGTGAGCATAGAGCAAGAATTCATCCTCATTTAATGGCCATTTAGTTCCATGAGGACAGACACAGCCCTTGATTCACAATGACTTTCCTAGAAGAGTTTTTTCACTTTAGCATCTATAGGAAAAGACAATGCTCTAGCAAGTGTGGAAGGCTGATTTATAGCAAATTTAATGTGAAAGGGTGACCTACAGAGAAACAGCATTGTGTTCCCGCTGCTGCTGGAGATTCATTGTGAAAGAATGAAAACTGCCTTTTACCCCACCAGGAGGCCAGCCAGGCTTTTATCTTCCTAAGGTTTGGGGTCCCGTTTCCTCTACTGGAGGCTAATCAGCTTTTGAGTTTCAATGCTCTGAAGGAGATATTTTTTCATGTGAGTGGCAACAGAAGTCTACCTTAAAACAGACTTTTGTGTTGAGAAGGCTTAGAGGCCCAATTAAGCTTTATCATCTAAAAGGCAGTCAGAATAAATCTTCGTGCTCTAAAATTTAACAAAAAATTATATTAAATGTAACTCCAAGATTTGGATATAAAGGAAACAATGGAGTGTTTCCATCACTGGAGGGTAGGTGTGGAGTGCTATCAGAGTGCCTTCTGGTGTGGTAGGCAATGATGGAAACTATATTAATAAAGGTGGAGTATAACTCCACAGCCTGGGGTCTTGCAAGATGGGCCAATTTCCAAGCTTAGCAGGGAGTGAGTTCAGAATTAGTGTCCTAATTGAAATGATCTTGCTCACCGGGGAAGGGAGCTGGGCCAAGGTTTCCAGGCATGGAGAAAAATGGGCATGTAAATGGAGGAGGCTTTCTGCAGCTAGAAATGGTAGCCATAACAATACATAATAGTCACAAAAAAGTCATAGACTAAGAACCCATATCCTACCATGATGAGAACCAAAAATATGGGTGACTGTCTTCTTGGGGCCATTTTTGCTCCTCAGTGTTGTAATACTGTGTCAGATGTGGTCTATGCTAATTCTGTGTCATTTCTACCCTTCCAAGTGTGCCCAGGAGAAGAAAGGATAGAAATACATTTTCAGGATCCCCTCGCCAGAAGTTCTCCTGCTTAGTTGAAGCTACAGAAAGGGACTTGTGTGAGATTTGGAAAATGTAATGAAAGGAAAAACCATTATTCTTCATAAGTTGCAGGCAAGGGCTGGGCTGAAGTAGGCAGGGTTATGACAACTTCTAAGCATCCTCTAGGAGTCTCCCATATTGATCCTGCAGACAACTGAGGTCCTCAGTTGTTGTCCCCTCTGATCCCTGCATTTTTTGTTTCTCTGATGCCAGCGGCCCCACAAATGTTGTGGAAGCCTCTTTTTTTTTTTTTTCCTGTATTAAAGCTTTTCTGGCTAGAATGGTCTAGAATGATTTCCGTTTTCCTGGTTTAACCATGATTTTATAGGGGATGTGAAGGGATATCCCCCAAAATGGAAATTATTGACCTTACAAATGAAGATGAAAACTGATTTTAGTCAACTTGAGAAAATAATTAAATGTGACATTATTTGATCTCATATTCTGTGGAGCAATTCACAATTGTTACATAATCAAAGTGATATCCAAAGGAAATGTATTAAAGCAACTCAACTGTTTGAAATATGTGATAATCCACCATGGTGCCTCCCAATGTTAAAAATCTCTTAAAATGTCTTCCCATTACACAATAAATATTCATAACTTTGGGGCTTGTGCCCTAAGTGGAAATTCAGAGCTGTCTGAGGCCAATAAACAGCAGAAACAACAGTGAAGTAAAATCGTGTATGCCACCATCTTAGTTGCAACCGCCTCATGATTTAAAGAGAGCATTTAAATGTAGGGAATAACCAGAGATGTAATCTTTGAAGTGATCAAACTTCACATTATTCATCTTTTGACATGTATTTTTTTTCACCTTTTTCCAGCTGAAATAGAATCCAGCTTAGCTCTCAGAACACCAAGTAGATAATGATTTCAGAAACAATTGTGCCACTGTGTTTAAAATGAGTATTCCCTGTCATAACCCATTTTAACCTTGCTTATTACACTTTGTCATGGCAAGGGCAAATGGGAAAGTGTGGAGAAATGGACACAAACATATCTTTTTCAACCACGAGAAACATACAAAGCCAGTGTCTCAACTTGTTAAAAGAAGCAAATATTCCATTTAATGCATTTGCATTAAAAATAAAGAATGATGTGAAAAACCTATAATGTTTAATACATACCAGGACATATCCTGGTGACATTAACTTTTTAGTACAGAAATGTTATATTAAAACATGTATAAGTGAAAAAACCAGCACAGTCAATTAAAATCCTTCCAGTTCTCCTACTAAGAAAGACAAATGTTTTCTGGTATACTTCAGGCACCTGTGAGCTTTCAATCTGTCGAATATAATCTAGCTGAAGTCAGCAACCTGCACTGTGGCTGCAGCTGCCCAGAGAGATTTTCCCAAGGGAAGCATGTCATCCCCACTGGAGGAAGTATCTGTCATGGTAGACTAGCCATTATGAATGCTCTTTGTGAACTAGAAAATCAAGTAAAAATTGATTCTTCAAATTAGTCTTTTAGTCACTAAAATGCAACTTGACCTAAAATGTCACCCAAGTATTTACTGTCTTTTATCCAAGTCCTTGAGCATATAATACTGTGTTGAATTGAATTGAATAAACATTTCCAGAATTATATGAATATATAAATGAATGAGAGTATCTTCACATTGATGAATATGTGAAGCTATTTTGTGAATATATTGAAGTATTTCAAACTTTAGAAATAGAAGGATAGATTTCATCCAGTAACACTGGGAAGACTATATAATATGTGGTTTCCAAAACTACTTTTTTGGTGGCAAATGTTAAGTCAAAACAGGTGTCAAATGGCCCTGCTTCAGGCAAACCGAGACATACAGTATTCCTAAGCATCTTGCTCATCCTCTTTAAATCCATTGCTAAAATGCCAAGCATGAAGGTAAAAGAAAGCAGAATCACTCTAACATGATCTCATTTGTTAAAAGATTATTGATCTGCAACAGACCTTATAGCATGTGTCGACGTGTTGTTTGGGTTCATGAAGAAGCAGACTTTGAAATAGAGTTAGGAGTACAAGGGGTTTGTGGAGGAGAGAGGGGGATAATGTTAGTGAAAGATGAAGGGGGGAGGAGGGGAGAATGAGCAGGGAAAGCTCCCAGACTGCATTTCAGTTCTGCGACCTATAAAAGGAAGGGAGAGGAAATAACATTGGGCATGAAGAGACCATGATGCATCTCTGACAAAGTCTTAGCCAATCTAACGGGGAGCTCTGGAGCAAAGATTGCCTATTAAAGGAGAACTGTGTTGAACAGAAATGGCAGGCTGTAGTACCCCTGCCATGCTCAGTCACTGGCTGGGGCTGCTGGAGATTTGCTGGCCTCAGATCAAAAGCTGAGGGAGATGGGAAGAACTGCACTCTTTGTAGCTGAATGGCGAGTTTTGTCTTGATGGATAATCTGAGTGGTGCACTTCCAGTGGCTGCCTCACGGCATATCAAAACCAACCTTCTTTGATAAATGAAGACACTGAAGTTCACAGGGATCTTTAAGGCACACATCAGGTAGTACAACTTCAGTCTCTTGACTTCAGAGCTACTGTACCATCATACTGATACTTTGAAACTTTGGGATCACAGGACTTTCTGAGACCTCAAAATAGTAAAACAATATAGCAAGCAAAAGACAGAGCTTAGAGGTGGACCTTGGTCTAACTAACTCTAAAGCCAATAATTTTACCACTAAGCGGGAAAGGGAGATAGAGAGGGGAACTTATTTGAGAAAATAAAGCCTCTCAAAGATAATATTGAGACCTTAAATCCAGTAAGATGCCACTCACCTCTTCTTACTCTCTCAGTTCAGACTACTTTAGGGAAGGAGTGGTGAAAATATGCTTTGGGTTGTAGGAAAGTAGAATTACAAACTTTTGATATAAATGCCATTTCTAATATAAAATGACTTATACCCCCAAAGAGAGGGTTGTGTACCCTTAGTCAGCCTCTGAGTATTATAAACTAGTGAAGTTCTCTCTAGAATCTGGTTTTTGGCGACCCTCCAACACCTCCACATCCACCAGTATTTGTTTTTTCAGAATTGCTAGACTGTGGGTAGAGGATGTTCTATCAAAACTAATTCTGCCTGTGTGAGAGGAACAGTTGAGATTTTAAGAGCTGACTCTGTAATTCCCTATTTTAACTTCTGCAGAACTCACAGCTTGTTCACCTGAGTGGGTAGTCAGAGAACATCAGTATTTAATATAGGACAAGTAATGTGTGTGAGAGAAAGACATACAATCATGTGTGTGTGATTGTGCATGTGAATAGAATGACTCCCATAGAGATTGTAAATAGACTGCATTTTGAGTACAAACTTCAATTTATACTGATAGTGAATTTCTTGAGTTTTATATTGAGAACTCTGATACTGAATTCAGGGTTAGTAGGAAACAGTGCTGAATTTGATTAGTCATGTTTGCAGGAGGACAGAAGGTGGGGTGGCAACATATATGTCACATATTAGCATTGCTCTGAGTATTATGGTGGTGGGGACAGGGAGGAGGGTGAACAGTATCATCAAAATTAACAAAGATCATTTAAGGGAAATTTGAATTATTTCAGAATACTTCCGTTAGTTTTAGCTTGGTCCAAGCTAGGTAGAGTTCTGAACACCCTACCCCCAATTTAAGCAGAAAAGCCTACTTTTATCTATTTTAAGTCATTGGCCCTGCAAACAGTTTCATTTGAAAATTTTAAAGGGAGTTTTACTCCTTTACAATGAACATAATAGAAATTTTGAAAATGGCTGAATTAGAAGATCCTGTATATTTTCTGACTCTTAACACACCAGTACATACGGCATTCTACCTATGAACCTGGGGAGAAATGCCCCTTCTTTTTGCACCTGATTCATTCAATATGAGAAACTAATTTTGTAATTTGAGGGATTTGCAGGTAGGTATGAAGGTAAAAGAAGCATGAAGGTAAAAGAAGGCAGAATCACTCTAACATGATCTCATTTGTTAAAAGATTATTGATCTGCAACAGACCTTATAACAACCTTATTGATGTGTTGTTTGGGTTCATGAAGAAGCAGACTTTGAAATAGAGTTAGGAGTGCAAGGGGTTTGTGGAGGAGAAAGGGGGATAATGTTAGTGAAAGATGAAGGGGGAAGGAGGGGAGAATGAGCAGGGAAAGCTCTCAGAGTGCATTTCAGTTCTGCGACCTATAAAAGGAAGGGAGAGGAAATAACATTGGGCAGGAAGAGACCATGATGCAGGTCATAGGGCCTAAGCCCCATATTATAGCAGGTAAAGAGCTGCTGGCTTTCTTTATGAGTGAAGTCAGGTCTGGGAGGACACAGAAAAGAATTGAAGGTGCATTTGGTGTGTGAGACCGTGAAGAATGTGGCAGCTGCTGCAGGAGCTCTGTGGGATAATTGAGTAGAACTGTTCAGCTGAACTACAGCCTATTTTTCCCTTTATTTTTCAAGTGCTGATATTGGGATATCGAATTTTGGTTGTCTAAATAAATGAACTTTTATACTAACATGATTAAACATGAAGGTTTGATACATGATTTTTTAAAAGATGAAATGACTGTTCTATTCATTTATAAATAGCAATCTTCTCAGCATAGTACCTGGCATACAGTAGGCAATAAATATTTTTGAGTGAAAGAGAATGAAAGATAACCATGTTAATTGTCATGCAGTACATCTCAGTAGAAATCACATTTATTCTTTAAGGACCAGCCATTTCAGTTTGGAAGCTAAACAGATTAGAAAGGTTAAAATAAAGAGAGAGAGAGATTGGATTCAAACCAGAAAACATAGGTTGATGTTCCAAGTGGTAGATATTACTAGGCCCATGTCTAAACCCCTTCCTTCCTATAGATTCTGAATTCTGGAGTTTGAATATATAATATGCTTTGGCCAATGGGATGTTATCAGAGGCTTGGCAAAACACTTGTGTATTTCTGCTCATTGTCTTGTTCTTCTGCCATTGCCCAGAGAAGATGCCCAAGCTCGTGAATTGGAAGATAAAAGACATTGATACCATAGTCCTAAGTCTCTCCAGCCACTCTAGCCAAGGTCATCCTAGATCAGCCATGAGTCAGTCAAACTTTAGACATATGAGTGGACTTAGCTGAGATCCAGAGAGCTGCTGATAGATGGTCAGCATATATCTGGGACCACCCCAGATATATGGCCAAAAAATGTTTGTTTTTGTATGCTACTGAAATGCGGTGGTTGGTTGTTACAAAGTATTAGTATGGCAATAGATTTCTAATATATTCCAACTTCAACATTGTGAGATATTGGGCAAGCCTTTTTACCTTCCCTTTTTGCCTCATCAAATTATTGCTGTGTAGATTAAATTAAAGAACATACTATCTGTGGAAATTCATTTCAAAAAGTTAAAAATATGCTTCAAATTTAGTTTATTATCTTTTATTTTATTATATAGAAGTGGCCATGTAGTCCTATCTCCCTTTTTATCCAGAGTTGATCAAAAGCTTCTCTTAATACTTTGTATACAAACAGGACATTTCCCTTTCTCTTATCTGACAGGTGGCAAATTATGGGTGAAACTATACTCTTTCAGCAGAAGCAAACCACAGCTGTGGAGTATTCCCATCTTCTGAGAGTGGAGGATGTTTTACCATATGTTGGAATTGTTGCCAATGTCAGGCTTTGAGTAATGATCTGCTCACTAGGCATTGGTATTGTTGC
Organism: Homo sapiens; assembly: GCF_000001405.40. Classification (NCBI taxonomy): domain Eukaryota; kingdom Metazoa; phylum Chordata; class Mammalia; order Primates; family Hominidae; genus Homo; species Homo sapiens. The sequence continues at coordinate 30,001,690 of NC_000023.11, read as the reverse complement.
AGTAATTCCATCTGGATCAATTTTGACCAGTAGTTTCCAAACTTTATTTCATAAAGGTCCCCTTTTATTATCTTTGGATGTCAAAGAATGACCAATGCCAGTCAGAGCTTCTGGTCTGCATGAGAATATTCTATCTCTGAATTAGTAAGATTTCAGTACCAAACAAAAAATATTACTCTTTCATGCACTCCCTTGAATAGAGGTGTCATTTTAATTAGATTTTAAAATAGTGAAATAATTGAAATACTTTTTAAAAATATATATATAAATGTAGGCTCTTCATTGCTACATACACATAATTCCTTGGGTGTTCAGAGTTTGAATCCAAAGCTGTAAATGCAATTTTCACCGCCCATTTTTGAGATTACACAGGACTGTTCTTATATATAAGAAAAGTAAAATAGAATCATTGAATTTTAGACCTACAGAAAATTTTAGAGAACCCTCTCTATGCACATAAAGGGCTAAGTCCCTAAGTTATTGCATGACATTGGAAAGTTTATAAAATTAGCGAGAGAACCAGTAAGAATTATAATGCAGGCCCTCTATTTCTTTACACTATTTTATGCTACTTTCCAAGGTACCTAGAGAGGGGTTTTGAGACTCTTTCTAAAAAACCTCTGTTAGCTGTTAGCTGGTATCCCACCACTTTTGAGATTTGTTTACTAAATTCTAACCTCCAGTACCTGAAAATGTGAAAACAAAGAAAAAATCATTTTGTCCATAAACGATATATCACTTTAGATTCTCAGCCATCATTTCCCTTTGGAATGAACAAAAGATCTGACTTTTATAACTCTAAAAACATCCTAAGTTTCCATATTTTCTGGTTCTTTTCTTTGAATAAGTTAGTTTTTCTTCCTGCATTCTGATAAGCCACCTTCTACTCCTGTCTATCCCCACCACCACCACCACACACACCAGCCTCTGCCCTACGTTCGATGATTCAGCTGTGCATTTTTCTTTGAAAAGCCCATTAATTTCTATGCTCCCCAACCCTCCTTTACCTAAGGAAATTTTCACAGATAGCCCCACCCCTTTCCCCTGGGTTAGTACTATCTCCCGAAATTCATTTGTGCATTTCCAACAATCTGCGAAACACTGACAGCTGGAATTCTGTGGACACTTCCAGTTCAGCCGATTTACAACCAACATAGTCACTACGCTGTTTTTCTGACAAAGAAATCTTCATTTCCTGATGTCTCTGGTTTAAATCTTACCTGTAAGTTTCAGTAGTCGCTGTCTCTCGCCCCATAGATTGGATCTGTTGAGAAATTTTTCTTCGGGCCCACCCCGGACCATATGGTCACTTCCTCAAACCCAACTAATGAAAAATTCGTACCTAGTTTGTTATCTCTGATCTCTCCTTCCTGCACCTTGTCTAAAACATTTCTTCCATATTAATCTTACTGAAGCATTACAATGTCACTTAAGCCCTCACTGACACACAAATTGAGATCTTACCTTTCTCTCTCTGTCTGAGTAGAGGAGTTAACTAATGTTATACATTTCCTGGTCCCAAACTCTTTTCTATCTTATTTACCACTGATTCAAAACAGCAATTTGTTGCTTCAGTTATTCTGTGCTAGGCGTCAGCAGACTATGACTCTCGGGTCAAATTCAACCTGCCAAGCCAATTGTTTTTGTATGGTCTACAAAGTGGTTTTTATATGACTAAATGATTGAAACTATATCAAAGGAAAAATAATATTTTTGACATTAAAAAATTATAGGAAATTCAAATTTCAGTATCTATAAAAAACTTTTATAGGAACACAATTGTACTCATTTGTTTACCTGTTGTCTATGGCTGCTTTTGCACTTCAATGGCAGAGATAAGTAGCTACAACCGAGATCATATAGCCCCCAAAGTCCAAAATATTTACTAACTGGCCCTTTACAGAAAAAATATTTGCCAACTCTTTCTCTATGTGCTATTTTCTGAAAACGTACCTCTGTGCCCTTGTTCATGCCATTTATCCTTGCTAAGAAAAAGTATCCAAAACTTACAGATTAGACAAAAGAATGACCACATGTCATTTAGATGTCATAGTAAAGCATTGCCTGACAGGCCCACTCAAGGATTATATAATTCCCTGGAGGATTGTGCATTTGTTTGATTTACTGTTTACTACTGATCAGGGTCCAGGCTCTGAAGTTACATGTTAACTTGTAAATTTCTATTTAGGAGGAAAGACTAGTCTGAAGGACACAGTTTTATTGCCCTGAAGTATATTAACTTTTTATGTATTAGTAAGTTCATTTCAGCATTTCATTGGACTTAACTGACTGACTATATAAATCTATTTTTTAAACTCTCCTTTGAAGCATTTTTACCATCCTGATGAGTTTCTCATTAATGAGTTAACATTAACTCATTAACATTAACATTAATTAACTCATTAATTAACATTAACATCTTTAACACATGCTCATTTCATATTTGTAGGGCATCATGTTTTTACCATTTTCAAAACTATCCTTTGACACACTGTTTGTAATTACCTGTGAATATCTCAAATCTTGGCCTCCAAGTGCTGTCTCAAATGACCCTTAATGCTGCCTGTGTTGATCACACTAGCTTAAATTGATCACTTTCATGGACTATATCTTGTTAGTGGTCATATAATTTCTCTCATAGGCCCTAACGTCTTTAAAGTCAGTTAGTATATTTTTTATAAGACCGGATTCTCAAAATGCCTTGGTCATTGTAAAAATTCGACAATGTTTCTTGAATAAATGAGCTCAAAATGGATTTTAAAAAGAGGTTGAAGGAAAAAGAATGACAACAAATCAAACAAAAAAAAAACCACACCAAAACATCATTCTTTATGTTAAAAGGGAAAGAGTAGAGAAGATAGTACAGTACAACAATACAGAGCATTTTAAGTGTTTGGCATAAGCAGAAAATGAGATAAAGGAGTACTTCTAGGTAGCAGTAAGCCAAGACAATGATAGATTGCCTGCATTTAGGGTATGTGGATCTCTCCTCTTAAATGTTAGCAAGAATCTTGTACATGATAAGGCAGGTCTCATCCATGTAAATATAATTACCATCTTCTTGTATACTGAATATTGATGGAGCTGATTCCCAATGTGCATTCAGCATTAAGGAGTGAATTTGCCCTGTCCTCATTTCCTCTTCTTAGAACAATTTTACAGCAATTAACTTCTGAATAAAGGAGAATTAACGCTCCGTCAAATCCATGGCTCAATATACTTTCTACTCAATAGTGCAGGTTTAGGTCTAATAGATTCTAATATTTACTTAAATACCTAATATATTCTAAATGATATACTGAGTGCTTTGCATTTTTAAAATTAATCACAGATTTGATTTTGGAAAAATGTTAAGGCATTGAGAAATATGAGGAGAAGAAAAATTACCCATAATCCCACCTATAAAACTATTCTCAGTTAATCTTCACTGACAAGTCTTTGTAGTAGGCATTAACATCCTTATTTCATCAATTTTTCTTAAAAAAGGTTTATTTTCAATTTTGTGGGTACGCAGTAGGTGTATATATTTATGGGGTACATGAGATATTTTGATACAGGTATGCAATGTGAAATAATCACATCACAGAGGATGGGGTATCCATGCCTTCAAGCATTTATTCTTTGAGTTACAAACCATCCAATTACATGCTTTAAGTGACTTTAAAATGTACAATTAAGTTATTATTGACTATAGTCACTGTTATTTTGTCAATGTTGAAATTGAGATTTCTAGAAGCTCTAGATTTCATTGAGTTTATGTTCTAATAAATTCAAGATTGTGGTGTAGAATTATAATATTTGATAAATCATTTGAGCCAAGTACCAACAAAGACAAGATACGTGATTTTAGTGAAGTTTGCTATCAGGTCCTCCATTCTCCTTACTCTATATTCAACCACTTTGTGGCATGCAGCTTTCCAAGATATCCCTCAATTATCCCCAGCTTCTGGTATTCACACTCTTGTGTGTAGGCAGGACACAATGACCTGCTTCTAATGAATAAAGTATAGCAAAGACAATGGATTATCACTTCCATGATTAGGTTTCAGAGGGCAATGCCTTCCTCATTTCTGGCAATCTCTGTCTCTGTCTCTGTCTCTGTCTCTCTCTCTCTCTCTCTTACCATCCCAGCTACCTTGCTTTGAGTAAACAAACTGCAATGTTGGAAAGACCCATGTGGCAAGAAACCTCTATTCAACAGCCAATGAGGAAATGAGGCACGAAATATAATCACACAAGGAACTCAAGGAACTGAAACTGGCCGGCAACCATGTGAGTAAGCTCAGAAGCATATTCTTTCCCAGCTGAATCTTCAGATAAGACTGTAGCCCCAGTCAACACCTTGATATAATTCTGTGATAGACCCTGAAACACAGGACCCCATTGAGCTCTGACTAGATGCTGCAGAAACTATGAAATAATAAATGAATGTTTTTTTAAGCCTCTAAGTCTTGGGATAACTTGTTATGCAGCAGTAGATAGCTAATACACCCTCCTCATGCACAAACTTGGTGATACTCCTATTTCTCTATTCAATACAGTTGGCATTCAGGTTCACCTCCTTCTTCTAGTAAGCTATTTCATAAAACAATTGGATAATTCACTTAAATCAAGGTTTTAATAAATGATAGAAACCACCCTTACTTCATTCAAGTTATTTTTATTTCAGTTGAACATGGGCTTTTAGATTAAGAAATTGAATCTCCAGAGTTGGAATTTTAGGCATTACAAAAGCCAACAGAGCAATGGGTTTTTATCCTTTCCTGTCTGAGGGTTGATTTGTAGTGGGGTAGCTAGGGCCTCAAAGTGGTTTGTTTCTTCTAAAAGATAAAGGGTTGATTGCTCTAATACCATAGAGAATGTCATAGAACTCCCTCTCAGTCTCTATGTTTGGGGTAACCTGGACTGGTTACACTGGAAACACTGAAGACTATGAGCCAAGTTTAGGCTGAAGGTCAGAGAATGATTTCTGTGTCAAAATTGAAGTGAGCATTTATGGAAGAAACATGCATTCCTTGGAAACCCTCAGTGATGTCTTTGAAATCCCCTAATGATGTCAAAGTACAAATCTCAGTGAAAGATCATATCTCCTTTGTCAACCCAATTTTGAAGGCTTCTATAATAGATACCTCTCAGTTCATGCTATACATGCATCCATAGGCTTGAATCCAAGTAATGTATTTTTAGTAGGAACAATTGCAATATTATATGTTTGGTTTCAAAGAATATCGCCCCTTAAAAATGTAAAATGTAGTTCACCCATAATTTATGTTAGAAGACAGAAATTAATTCAAATCTATTTTGTATTTTCTTGTATTATAGTAACAAGCCTCTAATGTTGACTTTATATTTTATATATATCAAAAAAGTATGTTAAAGAATTTAAAATTTTCATGTATATTACTTACCTAAAAGGGACACTGTAATGACTCAAAGCCAAATATACATTTTACTGAGTCCATGCATATTTGGGTATATTTTTAAAATATGAATATATTTAATAAACCTTAAAAACTCATGAATTGGGAAATATATGTAATTCTACACATGGTGAAAATAATGAACATAATGAGTAAATCTGATTCTAAGAAATAACATTGGGCTGGGCGTGGTGGCTCACGTCTGTAATCCCAGCACTTTGGGAGGACAAGAAGGGCAGATTGCTTGTACTCAGGAAGTTGGAGACCAGCCTGGCCAACATGGTGAAACCCTGTCTCTGCTAAAATACAAAAAATTAGCCAGGTGTGGTGGCGCATGCCTGTAATCCCAGCTACTCGGGAGGCTGAGGCAGGAGAATTGCTTGAACCGGGAGGCAGAGGTTGCGGTGATCCGAGATCACGCCACTGCACTCCAGCCTGGTGACAGAGCGAGACTCCATCTCAAAAAAAAAAAAAAAAAAAAAAAAAAAGAAATAACATTAATTTTTTATAAGGCATATTATATAGCTTATTGTAAAAATGTGGTCACTCTTTAGAAATCACGTCTGACATCAGAAAAATATGTTTTATCTCTGTTGGAGATTGCCACCAAACATTAATATTCTCTTTTCCATGGTGTAAAGGTATCAAGGAGAGGGAGCTGCCTGAGCGAGAAAACATTTCCTATGCCCTTCAGTAACCCGTGTCACATTAGAATCAGTTATGATATAAGTTGTGATGTACTGCTCAGATCTCCTTTTCAGTTCTAAAGTATTTACTTCCCCAGCTTCTAGAAGGACTGCCAGATGAAAGCTCTCAACTGTATCACCCTCAGAAAACTGCCCTGAGCTGGAGCAAGCTGTCTTGCTCAATTTCACACCTCCTCTCCAAAGGCAGCCTGCATCCAATGATTTGTCTATACAGACTGGCACCCTTGTTGCAATATGAGACAGCTGTAAAGGACCGTTTTACCTTCCCAACTGCCCATGAATATTGGCTGAGATCTTTTTTGGAAATGCATCACAGCCCAATTTCTTCCTTTGCCCAATCCTGCTTTCTTCCCTTCCCTTCCAGAAATGTTGATTCCAAAAGCACTCCCTAATAATATTGCTTCATGTTAATCTCCATCTACATCCTTCAGCGCCTAAACTACCATATATATTATCTAATAGAACATGAACAGAAGGGATGAATGGCACTCCTGGGTCCATACTTTTAAGAAGAAGGAGGGTATTTATTCTACAAACTCTTTCCCTCCATTTGTTAACTGGATGCCAAGAAAACTCTGAGGCCTTAGAAGGTAGTGGAACCACAAGATAGAAAGAGCCCTTCATTAGTGCAAAGTAGTTAGGGATGATCAGGGACATAGCATTAGATTTTTAAGAGAGAGAGGGAGAAATAAACTTCTATTGGGTTAAACCACTGACTTTTGGGGATTTATTTATTACACCATTTAGCATGGTCTATATTACTTTAAAAATACAGAAATTGATTCCTTGAAGTTAGGTTCTACTGGCAGTCTAATTATATCCCTGACTTAGCAGGCATTTGGAGAGTGATGTGGAAACTGATATCAAAGGTTAGAAAGCTGGAGTCACACATATAATGCAGTGGTAAAACACTAGGTGAAAGTGTTACCTGTGATATCTGAAAAGGAAGATTAGGTTCCTACTGAGCCAGTGGCCCAAAGGGAGGTGGTGGGAAAACATAATATTAGTGTATGTTGGCTATAACTTGCTGTGTTTAACAGTTATTACACACACAAAATTGAACTCATGCAAGAACTGGCTTGGGAGCAGATATAAAAGGGAATAGAAAGACTCCAGAAATTTAGATCCCTACATGGCTAGAAAAACAAATTGCTTATGGAGCTAAAAAGCAGAAGATAAAACTCATGAAGGTTTGAGCAATGAATGCCTGTTTGGACTTCTTATTATAAGAGAAGGAATCTACCCTGCAGCAAAGGCCAGATTATGAATGTATCCTTCTACCCAAGCCTTTTATTTCAGATGATCTCAAGGTAGTTGAGACACTGACAAGAGGATAAGGAAACAAAGAGATAGATTAAGTATGAGAATTCTGTCTGGAAAAGAACTTTGAATACGGTTACAAGCAAATTAGACAGATTAACAGCTAATCAATCAAAAGCCAGTAAAGTAGTTGAAGGAATTGTACTGCCAAAAAGACTATCAGTCCATGCAAGGGTCAAAGCCTTTGACTAATCAAAAATTAAAACTACTCACAGACCCCTAAAATTGCATAAGCATAAAAACAGTAATGAAATGTGTGCAACCCCCAAGGACGGCCTACTTAGTGCCTATGTTACATGAGTCCATTGAGGAAAATGAATAACAAAGATCCCCACAAAGGGTGGACCCACTGGACATATAAAGCAATGGATAATGGAGTTCTATACAAAAAGAGAAAGTCTAGTCAAGAATTCTACTCACTTCTAGAGCGGAAGCCTGGAATTGTTATAAAGCTTGCCTGCCAATATTTCCAAATTTCTATAAATCAGTAACCTTTCTGTATTTCCCATTCTTCCCTTTACAAAATGTAATTTTAAAAGATTGATGTTTTCCTGTCCTTGCTCTACCATTGTGTTCTGGGGTTGAGGGTGAGGCATAAAGTTCATATTTTATTTCATAGGTATCTAGACAAGGAGAAGCTACACCTACACCCGACAAAAAGGATAAATCTTTAGTCTTCCATCTAAGACTGAGCTAAATGCAGAGATCGGATGGGAATTTAAGTTGCCACCTATGTAGGCAGGTAAGCACTTTCTACCCGTGGGGAGATGGGCATACAGGGATATGTGGAGATCAGATAGGCTGACTATGATGGATGGATGGTTATTCATCAAAAATTGGGACTTCTATATTGCTGAGTTGTTGCTGGAGGCGGTCCAACCCCAGTCTGTACCTTTCCAAACTTTCTGGCACACTCAGTTTAGGTGTTACCAAACGACTAATTCTGACGTACTGGAGAATGAATGGAAGTGATATGTCATTTCCATATGGACTCATATGGATTGCTAAAAGCAATCAAGTGGGGGTGGGCTTCTGAAAACTCATACCCTGAGGCCCAGGGAATGGTAAAACTGCAAATAGAAAAATCCCAACACCTAGGATTATGTGTTGGCTGATTAGAATACCTCAACTGTAGCGATAAAATTTGAGTAAGTTAGGCCATTGAATATTTTCTAAATTGTTGAAGCAGCTAGCATTACATAACCCACTTAGATGCCATCTGTGTGTCATATCAATATATAGAAATGTAATATTCATAACATGCTATGGGGTATTATTATCTCTCTTTTATAGATGAAAAATCTGAGGTTCAAATACATTAACTCGGCAAAGGTCCATAACAAGTTGAGAAGCCAGGAATAAAAATTGTTTTCCCAGCTTCAAAGCTTGTATTATTTTCTTTATATCATGCCAGTTTTTAATAAAAATGTGGAAATTGGAGGTGGAGCGATGTGGCTGAATAGAAGCCTCCACTGATTATCCTCCCCATAGGAAGAACACATTTAACAACCGTCTACACAAAAAAGAAACTTCATACGAACCAAAAATCAGGTGAGTGATCATAGTACCAAGTTTTAACTTAATATCACTGAAAGAAACTCTAAAGAAGGTAGAAAAGACAATCTTGATCTGCTGGCACCATCTTTTCCACATCCCCTGGCAGTGGCCTCATGGCATGGAGAGAGAATCTGTGGACTTGCGGGAGGGAGGGCATAGTAATTGTGGGACTTTACATTGGAACTCAGTGTTGCCCTGTCATAGCTGAAAGCAACACTGGACAGAACTCAACCACTGTTGACAAAGGGAGCATGTAGACCAGCCCTAGGCAGAGGGGAATTGGCCATCCCAGTAGTTGGAACTTGAGATCCAGCAAGCCTCACCACTGCAGGCCAAAGTGCTCTGAGATTCTAAATAAACTTGAAAGGTAGTCTATACCACAATGACCGCAACTTCTAGGCAAGTCCTGGTGCTGTGCTGGGCTCAGAGCCAGTAGACTTGGTGAGGGGGCACGTGATCTAGTGAGACACCACCCTGGCCAAGAAAGCGCTTGTGCCACACCTCCTCCAATCCCAGAGTTAGAATAGGCAGAGTTGTCAGGCCCCTTTCCAGGCCCTAGATCCCAGATAACATTTCTAGACACACTCTGGGCCTTCTGGAAACCTGCTGCCTTGAAGGGAGGGACTGAGTCCTGGCAGGACTAAACACTTGCTGAATCAGGAGCCCGTGAGCCCTGAATAATCAACAGCGGTAGCCAGGTACTATACGCCATGGGCTTTGGGTGAGACTCTGAGATGTGCTGGCTTCAAATGTGACTCAGCACATTCCCAGCTGTGGAGGCTATGGGGCAAAACTCCTTCTACTTGAGAAAAGCAGAAGGAAGAGTAGATGGGACTTTGACTTGCAGCTTAGGTACCAGCCTGGCCAGAATGGGGTAGATCACCAAGTAGATTCCTGGGGTCCCCAATTCCAGGCCTTGCCTCTTGGATGGCATTTCTGGACCTGCCCTGGACCACAGGGAGCCCACTGTGGGCTCTGAATATTCAGCCCTGAAGGGAGAGTTCCAAGCCTGGCAGCATTAACCAGAAGCTGACTGAAGAGCCTGTGGGCCTAAAGTGAACACTTGGAAGTACTTCCCACAAGCCTGAGGTTGTGGTGGCTACTGGGAGAGACTCTTGGCCTGTGCAAAAGGGAGGGAAGAGTGAAAAGGACTTTTCTTGTAGTTTGGATGCCAACTAAGCCTTAAGAGAATAGAGCAACAAGTAGATTTCCAAGGTTTCCAACTCCAGGACCTGGCTCCCAGATGGCATCTCTGGAACTTCCCAGAGCCCACCCTAAAGAGAAGAACATAAGCCTGTCTGAATTTGCCACCTGCTGATTATGGAGCCCTAGGGCCATAGGTGAATATAGGTGGTAGCCAGGGAGTGGTTATAGTGGGCCTTGGGTGAGACCCAGTGCCCTATCAGTGGTGGTGGCAATAAGGGTGCTTGTGTCACCCTTCCCCTAGCCCCAGGCAGTTTAGCACAGAGACAGACTCTGTTGATTTGGGAGAAAGTAAGCGAAGAGAACAAGAGTCTCTGCCTAGTTATCGAGAAAATTCTTCTGGATCTTATTCAGGACCACCAAAGTGATACTTCTGTGAGTCTGCAAGAACCACAGCATTATTGGGCTTGGAGTGTCCCCTAATGCAGATATAGCTGCAGTGACCATTAAGTGAGCGCAATAACCAAGTCCCTTCAAATACCTGGAAAGACTTCCCAAGAAGGATGGGTACAAACAAGCCCAGACTACAAAGACTACAATAAATACTTAGCTCTTCAGTGCCCAGACACTAATGAACACCCATAAGCATCAAGACCATCCAGGAAAACATGACCTGACCAAATGGACTAAATAAGACACCAGTGACCAATCATGGAGAGACAGAGATATGTGACCTTTCAGACAGAAAATTCAAAATAGCTGTTTTGAGGAAACGCGAAGAAATGCAAGATAACACAGCGAAGGAATTCAGAATCCTACCAGATAAAATTAACAAAGAGATTGAAATAGAAATGAAACTAGAAATGAATAACGAGGAATTGTGGAACTATACAAACATATGGAAATTAAACAATATGCTCCTGAACAACCAGTGAGTCAATGAAGAAATTAAGGAGGAAATTTAAAAATTATTGAAAGAAATGATAATGGAAACACAACATTTCACAACATATGGGATACAGTGAAAGCAGTACAAAGAGAGAAGTTTATTGCTCTAAGTGTCTACATAAGAAATGTAGAAAAATAGAAAAATAAACAACCTAATGATGCATCTTAAACAATTAGAAAAGGGAGAGCAAACCAAATCCAAAATTAGTAGAAGAAATAATAAATATCACAGCAGAAATAAATAAAACTGAAAAAAAGAAAACAATACAAAAGATAAATGAAATGAAAAGTTATTTTTTTTAAAAAAGACAAAATTCCACAACCATTAGCCAAACTAATTAAGAAAAAAAAGTGACCCAAACAAATAAAATCAGAAGTGAAAAAGGAGACATTACAATTGATCCTGCATAAATTCAAAAGATCATTAGTGGCTACTATGAGCAACTGTATGCTGATAAATTTAAAAATCTAGAAGAAATGAATAAATTCCTAAACGTATACAGCCTACCAAGATTGAACCACAATGAAATCCAAAACCTGAACAGACCAATAACAAGTAATGAGATTGGAGCTGTAATAAAAACTTTCCCAGCAAGAAAAATCTTAGGACCCAGTGGCTTCACTGCTGAATTCTACAAAACATTTAAAGAAGAACCAATATTGATACTACTCAAAGGATTCCAAACAATAGAGGACAAGGTGATACTTTTAAACTCATTATACAAGGCCAGTATGACTGTGATACCAAAACCAAACAAAGATACATCAAAAAAGTCAACCATAGGCTAATATTCCTGATGAACACTTATGCAAAAAATCCTTCACCAAATACTAGTAACCGAATTCAGTAACACAATAAAAAGATCATTCATCATGGCCAACTGGGATTTATTCCAGGAATGCCAGGATGGCTTAACACATGCAAATCAATCAATGTGAAACATCATATTAACAGAATGAGAGATTAAAACCATATGGGCCAGGTGCAGTGGCTCATGCCTGTAATCCCAGCAATTTGGGAGGCCGAGATGGGAGGATCACCTGAGGTCAGGGGTTCGAGACCAGCCTGGCTAACATGGTGAAACCCTGTTTCTACTGAAAATACAAAAATTAGCTGGGCATGGTGGCAGGCACCTGTAATTCCAGCTACTTGGAAGGCTGAGGCAGGAGAATCGCTTGAACCAGGAGGCGGAGTTTGCAGTGAGCCAAGATAGTGCCACTGCACTCCAGCCTTGGTAACAAGAGCGAAACTCTGTCTCAAAAACAAAACAAAACAAAATAAAAAACCATATGAACATTTCCCCAGCACTTGGGGAGGCCAAGGCGGGTGGATTACTTGAGGTCGGGAGTTTGCGACCAGCCTAGGCAACAATGGTAAAACCCCATCTCTATTAAAAATACAAAAAATTAGCCAGACGTGGTGGCACACGCTTGTAATCCCAGCTACTTGGAAGGCTGAGACAGGAGAATTGCTTGAACCCAGGAGGCAGAGGTTGCAGTGAGCCAAGACCGGGCCATTGTACTCCAGCCTGGGTGACAGAGCGAGACTTTGTCACAAAAAAAAAAAAACAAAACAAAAAAACCAAAAAAAAAATGAACATTTCAATGGAAGTTGAAAAAGCATTTGATAAAATACAACATCTCTTCACGATAAAAACTCTCAAAAAACTGGGGATGTTAGAACATACCAAAAGACAGTAAAAGCCATATATGGCAGACCCACAGGTAGTATCATACTGAAGGAGAAAAATTGAAAGCATTTCCTCTAAGATCTGGAACATGATAAGGAAGACCACTTTCACCACTGTTATTCAAATAGTACTGGAAGTCCTAGCTACAGCGACCAGACAAGAGAAATAAATTAAAGGCATAAAAAATGCAAAGGAAGAAGTGAAATTATTCTTGCTTGCAGATGATATGATTTTATATTTGGAAAAAAACCCAAAGACTCCACCAAAAAAACTATTAGAACTGATAAATTCAGTAAAGTTGCAGGATATGAAATCAACATACAATAATGGGTAGCAGTTTTATATGTCAACAGCGAACAATCTGAAAAAGAAATCAAAAAGTAATCCTGTTTACAATATCTGCAAATAAAATTAAATACCTAGGAATTAAGCAAATAAGTGAAAGATCTTTACAATGAAAACTGTGAAACATTAATGCAAGAAGTTGAAGAGAACACAAAAAATGGAAATATATTCCATGTTCTTGGATTGGAAAAATCAATATGGTTAAAATGTCTGTATTGCCCAAAGCAATCTTCAGATTCATTGCAATCCCTATAAAAATACCAAAAACATTCTTCATAGAAATAGAAAAAACAATTCTAAAATTTATACCGAACCACAAAAGAACCAGAATAGCCATAGCTATAGTGAGCAACAATGACAAAACTGGAGGAATCATATTACATGCATTCAAATGATACTACAGAGGTGTAGCAACCAAAACAGCATGGTGCTAGCATAGAAACAGATACGTAGACCAATGGAACTCAATAGAGAACCCAGAAACATATCCATACATTTACAGTGAACTCATTTTTGACAAAGGCACCAAGAACATGCACTAGGTAAAGACAGTGTCTTCAATAAAGAAATGGTGCTCAGAAAACTGGATATCCATATGCAGAAGAATGAAACTAGACTTCTATCTGTCAGCATATACAAAAATCGAGTCAAAATTGATTTTAAAAACTTAAATAGGGGGAGGAGCCAAGATGGCCGAATAGGAACAGCTCCGGTCTACAGCTCCCAGCGTGAGCGACGCAGAAGACAGGTGATTGCTGCATTTCCATCTGAGGTACCGGGTTCATCTCACTAGGGAGTGCCAGACAGTGGGCGCAGGACAGTGGGTGCAGCACACTGTGTGCCAGCCGAAGCAGGGCAAGGCATTGCCTCACTTGGGAAGTGCAAGGGGTCAGGGAGTTCCCTTTCCTGGTCAAGGAAAGGGGTGACAGACGGCACCTGGGAAATCAGGCCACTCCCACCCGAATACTGCGCTTTTCCGAAGGGCTTAGGAAACGGCGCACCAGGAGGTTATATCTCGCACCTGGCTCAGAGGGTCCTACGCCCACGGAGTCTCGCTGATTGGCAGCACAGCAGTCTGAGATCAAACTGCAAGGTGGCAGCGAGGCTGGGGGGGGGGCGCCCGCCATTGCCCAGGCTCGCTTAGGTAAACAAAGCAGCCGGGAAGCTCGAACTGGGTGGAGCCCACCGCAGCTCAAGGAGGCCTGCCTGCCTCTGTAGGCTCCACCTCTGGGGGCAGGGCACAGACAAACAAAAAGACAGCAGTAACCTCTACAGACTTAAATGTCCCTGTCTGACAGCTTTGAGGAGAGCAGTGGTTCTCTCAGCACACAGCTGAGATCTGAGGACGGGCAGACTGTCTCCTCAAGTGGGCCCCTGACCCCTGACCCCTGAGCAGCCTAACTGGGAGGCACCCCCAAGTAGGGGCAGACTGACACCTCACACAGCCGGGTACTCCTCTGATACAAAACTTCCAGAGGAACGATTAGACAGCAGCATTCGCGGATCACGAAAATCCACGGTTCTGCAGACACCGCTGCTGATACCCAGGCAAACAGGGTCTGGAGTGGACCTCTAGCAAACTCCAACAGACCTGCAGCTGAGGGTCCTGTCTGTTAGAAGGAAAACTAACAAACAGAAAGGACATCCACACCAAAGACCCATCTGTACATCACCATCATCAAAGACCAAAAGTAGATAAAACCACAAAGATGGGGAAAAAACAGAGCAGAAAAACTGGAAACTCTAAAAAGCAGAGCGCCTGTCCTCCTCCAAAGGAATGCAGTTCCTCACCAGCAACGGAACAAAGCTGGATGGAGAATGACTTTGACGAGTTGAGAGAAGAAGGCTTCAGAAGATCAAACTACTCCGAGCTACAGGAGGAAATTCAAACCAAAGGCAAAGAAGTCGAAAACTTTGAAAAAAATTTAGACAAATGTATAACTAGAATAACCAATACAGAGAAGTGCTTAAAGGAGCTGATGGAGCTGAAAGCCAAGGCTCAAGAACTACGTGAAGAATGCAGAAGCCTCAGGAGCCGATGCGATCAACTGGAAGAAAGGGTATCAGTGATGGAAGATGAAATGAATGAAATGAAGCGAGAAGGGAAGTTTAGAGAAAAAAGAATAAAAAGAAACAAACAAAGCCTCCAAGAAATATGGGACTATGTGAAAAGACCAAATCTATGTCTGATTGGTGTACCTGAAAATGACGGGGAGAATGGAACCAAGTTGGAAAACACTCTGCAGGATATTATCCAGGAGAACTTCCCCAATCTAGCAAGGCAGGCCAACATTCAGATTCAGGAAATACAGAGAACGCCACAAAGATACTCCTCGAGAAGAGCAACTCCAAGACACATAATTGTCAGATTCACCAAAGTTGAAATGAAGGAAAAAATGTTAAGGGCAGCCAGAGAGAAAGGTCGGGTTACCCACAAAGGGAAGCCCATCAGACTAACAGTGGATCTCTCGGCAGAAACCCTACAAGCCAGAAGAGAGTGGGGGCCAATATTCAACATTCTTAAAGAAAAGAATTTTCAACCCAGAATTTCATATCCAGCCAAACTAAGCTTCATAAGTGAAGGAGAAATAAAATACTTAACAGACAAGCAAATGCTGAGAGATTTTGTCACCACCAGGCCTGCCCTAAAAGAGCTCCTGAAGGAAGCACTAAACATGGAAAGGCACAACCGGTACCAGCCACTGCAAAATCATGCCAAAATGTAAAGACCATCGAGACTAGGAAGAAACTGCATCAACTAACGAGCAAAATAACCAGCTAACATCATAATGACAGGATCAAATTCACACATAACAATATTAACTTTAAATGGACTAAATGCTCCAATTAAAAGACACAGACTGGCAAATTGGATAAAGAGTCAAGACCCATCAGTGTGCTGTATTCAGGAAACCCGTCTCACGTGCACAGACACACATAGGCTCAAAATAAAAGGATGGAGGAAGATCTACCAAGCAAACGGAAAACAAAAAAAGGCAGGGGTTGCAATCCTAGTCTCTGATAAAACAGACTTTAAACCAACAAAGATCAAAAGAGACAAAGAAGGCCATTACATAATGGTAAAGGGATCAATTCAACAAGAAGAGCTAACTATCCTAAATATATATGTACCCAATACAGGAGCACCCAGATTCATAAAGCAAGTCCTGAGTGACCTACAAAGAGACTTAGATTCCCACACCATAAGAATGGGAGACTTTAACACCCCACTGTCAACATTAGACAGATCAATGAGACAGAAAGTTAACAAGGATATCCAGGAACTGAACTCAGCTCTGCACCAAGCAGACCTAATAGACATCTACAGAACTCTCCACCGCAAATCAACAGAATATACATTTTTTTCAGCACCACACCACACCTATTCCAAAATTGACCACATAGTTGGAAGTAAAGCCCTCCTCAGCAAATGTAAAAGAACAGATATTATAACAAACTGTCTCTCAGAACACAGTGCAATCAAACTAGAACTCAGGATTAAGAAACTCACTCAAAACCACTCAACTACATGGAAACTGAACAACCTGCTCCTGAATGACTATTGGGTACATAACGAAATGAAGGCAGAAATAAAGATGTTCTTTGAAACCAATGAGAACAAAGACACAACATACCAGAATCTCTGGGACACATTTAAAGCAGTGTGTAGAGGGAAATTTATAGCACTAAATGCCCACAAGAGAAAGCAGGAAAGATCCAAAATTGACACCCTAACATCACAATTAAAAGAACTAGAAAAGCAAGAGCAAACACATTCAAAAGCTAGCAGAAGGCAAGAAATAACTAAAATCAGAGCAGAACTGAAGGAAATAGAGACACAAAAAACCCTTCAAAAAATTAATGAATCCAGGAGCTGGTTTTTTGAAAGGATCAACAAAATTGATAGACCGCTAGCAAAACTAATAAAGAAAAAAAGAGAGAAGAATCAAATAGATGCAATAAAAAATGATAAAGGGGATATCACCACCGATCCCACAGAAATACAAACTACCATCAGAGAATACTACAAACACCTCTACGCAAATAAACTAGACAATCTAGAAGAAATGGATAAATTCCTGGACACATACACTCCCCCAAGACTAAACCAGGAAGAAGTTGAATCTCTGAATAGACCAATAACAGGATCTGAAATTGTGGCAATAATCAATAGCTTACCAACCAAAAAGAGTCCAGGACCAGATGGATTCACAGCCGAATTCTACCAGAGGTACAAGGAGGAACTGGTACCATTCCTTCTGAAACTATTCCAATCAATAGAAAAAGAGGGAATCCTCCCTAACTCATTTTATGAGGCCAGCATCATCCTGATACCAAAGCCTGGCAGAGACAAAACCAAAAAAGAGAATTTTAGACCAATATCCTTGATGAACATTGATGCAAAAATCCTCAATAAAATACTGGCAAACCGAATTCAGCAACACATCAAAAAGCTTATCCACCATGATCAAGTGGGCTTCATCCCTGGGATGCAAGGCTGGTTCAATATATGCAAATCAATAAATGTAATCCAGCATATAAACAGAACCAAAGACAAAAACCACATGATTATCTCAACAGATGCAGAAAAGGCCTTTGACAAAATTCAACAACCTTCATGCTAAAAACTCTCAATAAATTAGGTATTGATGGGATGTATCTCAAAATAATAAGAGCTATCTATGACAAACCTACAGCCAATATCATACTGAATGGGCAAAAACTGGAAGCATTCCCTTTGAAAACTGGCACAAGACAGGGATGCCCTCTCTCACCACTCCTATTCAACATAGTGTTGGAAGTTCTGGCCAGGGCAATTAGGCAGGAGAAGGAAATAAATGGTATTCAATTAGGAAAAGAGGAAGTCAAATTGTCCCTGTTTGCAGACAACATGATTGTATATCTAGAAAACCCCACTGTCTCAGCCCAAAATCTCCTTAAGCTGGTAAGCAACTTCAGCAAAGTCTCAGGATACAAAATCAATGTACAAACATCACAAGCATTCTTATACACCAATAACAGACAAACAGAGAGCCAAATCATGAGTGAACTCCCATTCACAATTGCTACAAAGAGAATAAAATACCTAGGAATCCAACTTACAAGGGACGTGAAGGACCTCTTCAAGGAGAACTACAAACTACTGCTGAATGAAATAAAAGAGGATACAATCAAATGGAAGAACATTCCATGCTCATGTGTAGGAAGAATCAATATCGTGAAAATGGCCATACTGCCCAAGGTAATTTATAGATTCAATGCCATCCCCATCAAGCTACCAATGACTTTCTTCACAGAATTGGAAAAAACTACTTTAAAGTTCATATGGAACCAAAAAAGAGCCCGTGTCACCAAGTCAATCCTAAGCCAAAAGAACAAAGCTGGAGGCATCACGCTACCTGACTTCAAACTATACTACAAGGCTACAGTAACCAAAACAGCATGGTACTGGTACCAAAACAGAGATATAGACCAATGGAACAGAACAGAGCCCTCAGAAATAATGCCGCATACCTACAACTATCTGATCTTTGACAAACCTGAGAAAAACAAGCAATGGGGAAAGGATTCCCTATTTAATAAATGGTGCTGGGAAAACTGGCTAGCCATATGTAGAAAGCTGAAACTGAATCCCTTCCTTACACCTTATACAAAAATTAATTCAAGATGGATTAAAGACTTAAACGTTAGACCTACAACCATAAAAACCCTAGAAGGAAACCTAGGTATTACCATTCAGGACATAGGCATGGGCAAGGACTTCATGTCTAAAACACCAAAAGCAATGGCAACAAAAGCCAAAATTGACAAATGGGATCTAATTAAACTAAAGAGCTTCTGCACAGCAAAAGAAACTACCATCAGAGTGAATAGGCAACCTACAAAATGGGAGAAAATTTTTGCAACCTACTCATCTGACAAAGGGCTAGTATCCAGAATCTACAATGAACTCAAACAAATTTACAAGAAAAAAACAAACAACCCCATCAAAAAGTGGGCAAAGGATATGAACAGACACTTCTCAAAAGAAGACATTTATGCAGCCAAAAGACACATGAAAAAATGCTCATCATCACTGGCCATCAGAGAAATGCAAATCAAAACCACAATGAGATACCATCTCACACGAGTTGGAATGGCAGTCATTCAAAAGTCAGGAAACAACAGGTGCTAGACAGGATGTGGAGAAATAGGAACACTTTTACACTATTGGTGGGACTGTAAACTAGTTCAACCATTGTGGAAGTCGGTGTGGCGATTCCTCAGGGATCTAGAACTAGAAATACCATTTGATCCAGCCATCCCATTACTGGGTATATACCCAAAGGAATATAAATCATGCTGCTATAAAGACACATGCACACCTATGTTTATTGCGACACTATTCACAATAGCAAAGACTTGGAACCAACCCAAATGTCCAACAATGATAGACTGGATTAAGAAAATGTGGCCCATATACACCATGGAATATTATGCAGCCATAAAAAATGATGAGTTCATGTCTTTTGTAGGGACATGGATGAAATTGGAAATCATTATTCTCAGTAGACTGTTGCAAGGACAAAGAACCAAACACTCCATGTTCTCACTCATAGATGGGAATTGAACAATGAGAACACATGGACACAGGGAGGGGAACATCACACTCTGGGGACTGTTGTGGGGTGGGGGGAGGGGGGGAGGGATAGCATTAGGAAATATACCTAATGCTAAATGACAAGTTAATGGGTGCAGCACACCAGCATGGCACATGTATACATATGTAACTAACCGGCACATTGTGCACATGTACCCTAAAACTTAAAGTATAATAATAAAAAAAAAACTTAAATATAAGACCTCCAACTATGACACTGTGAAATAAAACATTGAGGAAACTCTCCAGAACATTGGATTGGGCACACATTTCTTGAGTAATACCCCACAGTACAGGCAACCAAAGCAAAAATGGACAAATGGAATTATATCAAGTTAAAAAGCTTTTGCACAGCAAAGGATACAATGAACAAGTGTAACAACAACCCACAGAATGGAAGAAAATATTTGCTATATATGTCTGACAATGGAATAATAACCAGAATATATAAGGAGCTCAAACAACTCTATAGGAAAAAATCTAATAACCTATTTAAAAATGGGCCAAAGATCTGAATAGACATTTCTCAAAAAAATACATACAAATGGCAAAGAGGTATATGAAAAGGTGCTGAATATCATTGATCATGAGAGAAATGCAAATCCAAACTGTGATGAAACATCATCTCACTCTGGCTACAATAGTTTTTATTCAAAAGAGAGGCAATAACTTTCACTCCCGTCCGTGTTAAGACACCACCAAACAGGCTTTGTGTGAGCAACAAGGCTGTTTATTTCACCTGGGTGCAGGTGGGCTGAGTCCGAAAAGAGACTCAGCGAAGGGAGATAAGGGTGGGGCCGTTTTATAAGATTTGGGTAGGTAAAGGAAAATTACAGTCAAAGGGGGTTGTTCTCTAGTGGGCAGGAGTGGGGGTCACAAGGTGCTCTGTAGGGGAGCTTTTGAGCCAGGATGAGCCAGGAGAAGGAATTTCACAAGACAATGTCATCAGTTAAGGAGGAACAGGCCATTTTCATTTCTTTTGTGGTGGAATGTCATCAGTTAAGGCAGGAACTGGCCATCTGGATGTGTACGTGCAGGTCACAGGGGATATGATGGCTTAGCTTGGGCTCAGAGGCCTGAGATTCCTGTCTTCTTATATTAATAAGAAAAATAAAATGAAATAATGGTAAAGTGTTGGGACGGCGAAAATTTTTGGGGGTGGTATGGAGAGAGAATGGGTGATGTTTCTCAGGGCTGCTTCCAGCGGGATTAGGGGTGGCGTGGGAACCTAGAGTGGGAGAGATTAAGCTGAAGGAAGATTTTGTGGTAAGGGGTGGTATTGTGGGGTTGTTAGAAGAAACATTTGTCATGTAGAATTATTGGTGATGGCCTGGATATGGTTTTGTATGAATTGAAAAACTAAATGGAATAAGAGAAAGAGAAAAACAGGTATTAAAGGTCTAAGAATTGGGATGACCCAGGACATCCAATTAGAGAGTGCCTAAGGAGATTCAGCATAGTCCTGCCAGCAAAGATTATTTATTTACTTTAAGAGTTAAGAGTGGCAGTTTGGGGATAGCACCAGGAGATATCCGCTGTGATGGCTTGGAGAAACAGTGTAAACTGGCAGTGTAAACAAGAGCAGGGCGTCTACGAGTAGTTGAGAATGGTGAATAGGAGTATGATTAGAGAGAAAGTAGTAGGGATGACAAGTTTTTTGGGGCACAGTCCAAGTTGTCTGGTGTCTAGAATGAGACTGGGGCCTAATAAAAAGGAGCATCTATACGGGAGCTCAAATGGGCTGTACCCTGTAGCATTCCGAGGACAGGCCTGAATTCTGAGAAGGGAAAGTGGTAAAAGTATCGTCCATTCCTTTTTAAGTTGGTGGCTGAGCTTGGTGAGGTGTGTTTTTAAAAGACTATTAGTCCGTCCTACTTTTCCTGAAGACTGAGGACTGTAAGGGATATAAAGGTTTCACTGAATACTAAGAGCCTGAAAAACTGCTTGGCTGATTTGACTAATAAAGGCTGGTCCGTTATCAGACTGGATAGAGGTGGGAAGGCTAAACAGAGGAATTATGTCTGACAAAAGGGAAGAAATGACTGCGGTGACCTTCTCAGACCCTGTAGGAAAGGCCTCTACCTATCCAGTGAAATTGTCTAACCAGACTAAGAGGTATTTTAGTTTTCTGACTCGGGGCATGTTGAGTAAAGCCAATTGTCAGTCCTGGGTGGGGACAAATCCCCGAGCTTGATGTGTAGGGAAGGAAGGGGGCCTGAATAATCCCTGAGGAGTAGTAGAATAGCAGATGGAACACTGAGAAGTTATTTCCTTGAGGATAGATTTCCACAATGGAAAGGAAATGAGAGGTTCTAAGAGGTGGGCTAGTGGCTTGTACTATAGCATAGCCTGCCTTTGCTGGTGTGTGGCCATTAGGCCTGGTGGAACTGCCATCAATAAACCAAGTGTGATCAGGGTGAGGAACAGGAAAGAAGGAAATATGGGGAAATGGGGTGAATGTCAGGTGGATCAGAGAGATAGAGTCATGGGGGTCAGGTGTGGTATCAGGAATAATGTGGGAGGCCAGATTGAAGTCCGGGCCAGGAACGATGGTAATTGTGGGAGACTCAACAAAGAGTGAGTACAGCTGAAGGAGCCGGGGAGCAGAAAGTGTATGTGTCAGGTGTGAGGAAGAAAATAGATTTTGGAAGTTATGAGAACTGTAGAGAGTGAGTTGAGCATAGTTTGTGATTTTAAGGGCCTCTAAAAGTATTAGGGCGGCAGCCGCGGCTGCTGCACGCAGACTCGAGGGCTGGGCAAAACAGTAAGGTCAAGTTGTTTGGATAAAAAGGCTACAGGGCACGGTCCCGGTTCTTGTGTAAGAATTCCGATTGCATAGCCCTGCACTTCGGCTGTGGGTAATGAAAAGAGATGAGTCGGGGGAGCTAGGGTGGGGCCAGTCTCTAAAACTGTCTTCAAGGAATGGAAAGAGGAGTGGGGAAAGGATTTAGGATCTATGGGGTCAGCTAGGTTTCTTTTTGTGAGTTTATATAATGGTTTTGTTAGGATGGCAAAACCAGGTATCTAAAGTCGAAAGTATCCAACCTAGGAAGGAAAGGAGTTGTTGTTTTGTAGTTCTTGGGGTTTGAGAGATCAGCTGAACACGATTGGCAGGGAGAGCACGTGTGTTTTTATGAGAATTACGCCGAGATAGGTAACAGATGAGGAAGAAATTTGGGCTTGACTGAAGTAATAGGGGCTGTCTGTGAAGCCTTGAGGCAGTACAGCCCAGGTAATTTGCTGAGCCTGATGGGTGTCAGGGTCAGTCCAAGTGAAAGTGAAGAGAGGCTGGGGTGAAGGGTGCAAAGGAATAGTAAAAAAAAAAAGCACGTTTGAGATCTAGAACAGAATAATGGGTTGTGGAGGGAGGTATTGAGGATAGGAGAGTATATGGGTTCGGCACCACGGGGTGGATAGGGAAAGCAATTTGGTTGATAAGGCGCAGATCCTGAACTAACCTGTAAGGCTTGTCTGGTTCTAGGACAGGTAAAATGGGGGAATTGTAAGGAGAGTTTATAGGCTTTAAAAGGCCATGCTGTAACAGGCGAGTGATAACAGGCTTTAATACTTTTAAAGCGTGCTGTGGGATGGGATATTGGCATTGAGCGGGGTAAGGGTGATTAGGTTTTAATGAGATGGTAAGGGGTGCATGATCCGTCGCCAAGGAGGGAGTAGAGGTATCCTATACTTTTGGGTTAAGGTGGGGGGATACAAGAGGAGGATGTGAAGGAGGCTTTGGACTGGGAAGAAGGGCGGCAATGAGGTGCAGCTGTAGCCTAGGAATAGTCAGGGAAGCAGATAATTTAGTTAAAATGTCTTGGCCTAATAAGGGAACTGGGCAGGTGGGGATAACTAAAAAAGAGTGCTTAAAAGAATGTCTCGGCCTAATAAGGGAACTGGGCAGGTGGGGATAACTAAAAAGGAGTGCTTAAAAGAGTATTGTCTAAGTTAGCACCAGGGTTGGGGAGTTTTAAGAGGTTTAGAAGCCTGGCTGTCAATACCCACAACAGTTATGGAGGCAAGGGAAACAGGCCCTTGAAAAGAAGGTAACGTGGAGTGGGTAGCCTCCGTATTGATTAAGAAGGGGACGGACTTAAACACTCCACTGTGAGAGTTACCTAAAGCTTGGCGTCTGTGATGGTCTACGGGGCTTCCGAGGCGATTGGGCAGCGTCAGTCTTCAGCCGCTAAGCCAAGAAGATCTGGGAAGGAGTCAGAGAGCCTTGGGTCAGAGTTCCAGGGGCTCTGGGAGTGGCGGCCAGGTGAGTTGAACAGTCCGATTTTCAGTGGGGTCCCGCACAGATGGGACGCAGCTTAGGAGGAATCCCGGGCTGTGGACATTCCTTGGCCTGTTGGCCAGTCTGGCACTTGTAGCAAGCTCCTAGGGGAGGCAGGCGTGGAAGAACGCCTGGCCACTGCGGTTTAGGCATTTGGAAGTTCTTGTGTGCTGGAGATATGGCTGGGGTTTGTCTCACGGTGGAGGCAAGGAATTGCAACTCAGAAATATGTTGCTACTTGGCTGCCTCTACATTATTGTACACCTTGAAGGCGACGTTAATTAACTCCTGTTGTGGGGTTTGAGGGCCGGAATTTAATTTTTGGAGATTAATGTTGGGAGCAGATTGGGTAATAAAATGTATATTGAGAATAAGACGGCCTTTGGACCTTTTAGGGTCTAGGGCTGTAAAGCATCTCAGGGTTGCTGCCAAACGAGCCATGAACTGGGCTGGGTTTTTATATTTGTTGAAAAAGAGCCTAAACGCTATCTGATTTGGGATAAAGACAAAGGAATATTAACCTTGACTATGCCTTTAGCTCCAGCCACCTTTTTAAGAGTAAATTGCTGGGCAGGTGGGGGAGGGCTAGTCACGGAACAAAACTGTAAGCTGGACCAGATGTGAGGAGGGGAGGTGATAAAAGGATTATAGGGTGGAGGAGCGGAGGCTGAGGAAGAAGTGGGACCTAGCTCAGCCTGGCGAGGAGGGGGAGAGGTCAGATGGGTCTGTAGAAAAGGAAGATTAGAAAGACTCAGCGATGCTTGGGTTTGGGACTGAGGGGACAAGCGGGAGGGAAAGAGGGAAGATTTGAGACGAGTTGCACTGGGAACAGAGACTAGGGAGGGACCAATGTGTAAAAGAATGCCCGGACGTCAGGCACCTCAGACCGTTTGCCCATTTTAGGACAATAATTATTTAGATCTTGTAGGATGGAAAAATTGAAAGTGCCATTTTCTGGCTATTTGGAACCACTGTCAAGTTTGTATTGGGGTCAAGCAGCATTGCAGAAGAAAATAAGGCATTTAGGTTTTAGGTCAGGTGTGAGTTCAAGAGGTTTTAGGTTTTTAAGAACACAGGCTAAGGGAGAAGAAGGGGGAATGGAGGGTGGAAGTTGCCTCCCATAGTGAAGGTGGCAAGTTTAAAGAGAAGGATAGAGACACAGAGAAGGTGGTGGGGAGCAGCCCTGGGCTGCAACGTGGTTGAGCAGCCAAGGCAGGCGTCCCCGCAATTGACTTGCCACCAAGGGAACGTGGGTGAATGATTAAGGCAGGCGTCCCTGCGGAGATCAGACACCAATGGAACATGGGTGAATAATCAGAGGTGTCCCTGCAGTGATTAAATACCAAAGGAAGGCTGCCTTCCTGAGTCCGTGACCGGCGCCAGAGTTTTGGGTCCCCGGATAAAATGTGTCTCTTGTCTCTACCAGAAAATGAAAGGAATTGAAATTAAGAGAAGGGAGAGATTGAAGTGTGGCGCCAAGATTGAAAGGAGAAAGAAGTTGAGGGATAGTGAGAGAGGTTGGAGAAGAGAGTAAAAAGAGGCCGCTTACTGGATTTGAAATTGGTGAGATGTTCCTCGGGCTGGTGGGTCTGAGGACCTGAGGTCGTAGGTGGATCTTTCTCATGGAGCAAAGAGCAGGAGGACAGGGGATTGATCTCCCAAGGGAGGTCCCCTGATCTGAGTGACGGCACCAAATTTCATGCGCGTCCGTGTGAAGAGACCACCAAACAGGCTTTGTGTGAGCAACAAGGCTGTTTATTTCACCTGGGTGCAGGCGGGCTGAGTCCGAAAAGAGAGTCAGTGAAGGGAGATAGGGGTGGGGCTGTTTTATAGGATTTGGGTAGATAAAGGAAAATTACAGTCAAAGGGGGTTGTTCTCTGGCGGGCAGGGGTGGGGGTCACAAGGTGCTCAGTAAGGGAGCTTTTGAGCCAGGAGAAGGAATTTCACAAGATAATGACATCAGTTAAGGCAGGAACAGGCCATTTTCACTTCTTCTGTGGTGGAATGTCATCAGTTAAGGCAGGAACTGGCCATCTGGATGTGTATGTGCAGGTCACAGGGGATGTGATGGCTTAACTTGGGCTCAGAGGCCTGACAATAACAAATGCTATTGAGGATGTGGAGTAAAGGGAACCCTTGTACACTCTCATTGGAAATGTAAATTAGTGCAACCATTATGGAGAACAGTTTGGAGATTCATCAAAACCTAAAAATAGAGCTACCATATGATCCAGCAATCCCACTCCTAGGTATATTCCCAAAGCAAGGAAATCAATGTATTGCAGAGATGTCTGCACTCTCATGTCTATTGTAGCACTGTTCACAATAGCCAAGATTTGGAAGCAACCTAAGTGTCTATCAAAAGACGAATGGATAAAGATAATGTGGTAAATATACACAATGGAGTACTATTTAGCCATAAAAAAGAATGAGATCCTGTCATTTGAACAACATGGATGGAATTGGAGGTCATTATGTTAAGTGAAATAAGCTAGTCACAGAAGGACAAACGTCACATCTTTTCAGTTATTTGTGGGAACTGAAAATTAAAACAACTGAACTCATGGCAATAGAGAGTAGAAGGATGGTTTCCAGAGGCTGGGAAGGTTAGTGGGGGAGTGGGAAGTGGGGAGAGTTAATGGGTACAAAAAACAATTAGATAGAGTTAATAAGATCTAGTATTTTATAACACAACAAGGTGACTATAGTCAATAATAATTTAATTGTACATTTTTAAGTAAGAGTATAATTGGATTGTTTATAACACAAAGGATAAGTGCTTGAGGTGATGGATACCCCATTTACCTGGATATGATTTTTATGCTTGTATGCCTGTATCAAAATATCTCATGCACTCCATAAATGTATACACCTACTATGTACCCACAAAATTTTAAAATAAATAATAAAAAAATTTAACAAAAAGAGAAGGAGGAGAGAGGAATGTAATTAGGAGGTGGCAGAGTTAGAATAAGGGAGTTTGGTTCTGTGTGTGAAGACGCCAAATTAAAATGCATACTTCCAGTCTTATGGTGTTCTAGACACTGTGGATAAGGCTCTCAATGGAATGTTCAGTAGACAGTAGTAGGTTAGTGAACAGATTTTAAAGAGAAGAAAAGCTTCAGGTAGGTGAAAATTGACACCATCTTTTCACTCTAAAAAGACCATTGTACCAATTTACCCTTCAGCCTGTAGTTAATAAGCATGCTCATTTCCTCATCTCCTCATGACTTCACCAACACTTGGTGCATCACTTAATTGGCATGTGTAGACTTATTTGCATTTGTTAATATTTTTGAAAAAAAAGTCAACATCTTAGTAAATGTCACTCTTTCTTGAATTGGGCAGTTTCCTCTAGATAAGGTACCCTGGAAGGTTTACTCCTACAGGCCTCTACTTTCATCAGTTCATATTGGTCATCCATATTTACTTTAAAAATCATCCACAGATGAAAGGACTGAGCCCAGTTTCAAATAAAACTTTGTATTTGATCTATATGAACACAGATTTGGGCCACTTTCCTTAATAGGTATCTCAATTTAACTGTAATTGTATTCCATTTGGAATCTCTCTTGGGCACATGTGGCATTTTGCTAAGACTTCTGGCAGCATAGCCACTTAGAGTTCAGTTGATAACATATACTTCTTGATTGAGGAGTTCAGAGAGACTCTATTTAATTGTACTTTCCAGTGCTCGGTGCTGTGTACAAAAGAGCCAAGTAGAGAAGGTTCATCTTTTCCTCTCTGTGGTGCTAATTTGCATATTTAAACATTCTGCGGATGCTCTCCCAGTTGCAGCTCAGTGGCTAATGTTTAAGCACATATTTGCATTTGAAAAAAAAGTTGTGAAAAGGAGGAAAACATACATTTGATCAAAGAAATGCTAATGAGAATTTAATATAGCTTCAGCTTCTTCATTCTTGTTCAAAAGGTTATTATGACCTCTTGGCTAGGAAACTGTATCTGTGCTTTGTACCCAGTTTTGAGGACTTAAGATAAAAAAGTAATTTATGTGCCTCTGAATTTTTATTTATATAAGAAGTCATCCCTGGGGTCTTTGCTTATGGAGGTTTAGCATTAGTTCAATACCAGCAAAACTGAACCTCAATATAAAATCTCCCCCAAATACCTGGCTGTCTATTCTTCTGTAAGCAGAGCGATAAAGTTTTGACTAAAACAAGAAAGAACCCTTATAAATAAAAAGGGGAAGAGGAAAGAAGAGAGAATTTTTCTGCTTGTGTACTTTAAGAAAATTTTGGTGTTAATAATGAGCATTTGAGATTAGACAGTTTTTCCTAGATGCTGATGGCAGCTGTTGATCTTCTGCCTCTCAAAGACCAACCATACCATGGTTTCGTGAGGTGAGACAGTACACTGGGCTCTACATGGAAGCATCAGCCCCACACATCCTTTTTTTCTCACTGATTCTGTGGTAGCCAGTCTTGAAAGATGACTCCTATGAACCACATATTTCTGAATGTATGCCCTAATGTGGCCCCCTCCCGCAGTGAATCTAGGGTAGGCTTCTGACTTGACTCGTTGAAACTGATGTAATGTGGTGAAGGTCATGGTAAACTTTAAGCAGGCCTAGCTGCCTCCACTTTTGCACTTTTGAAAAACTCGAACTTCCATGTGAGAAGTCTAGTAGCCTCCTGGAGGGAGCAGGTAGAGAGGGGCCAAGTGGAAAACAGAGGCCCTGAACTATATGGAGAGGAAGAGAGGTGCAGTCATCTTAGCATCCCAGTTTAGCTTCCACATGACTCTATCCCCATCTCCAATATGACCACAACTGCAGGAGAGGCCCTAAATGAGACCAGTGGAAGAACCACCCAGCTGATTCCAGCTGATACCAGTCAGTTCTCACGAGGGATAATAAAATGCTTGTTTTAAGCCATTGGCTTTTGGGGTGGTTTGTTATAGACCAACAGAGAACTAAATCAATACATTTCTCCCAGGCATCTTTGCACCTGTCTTCCTTCCCAGCTCTTTTTTTGCAAATCTTGGAGAAGTGAGAGGAGACTATTGCATTGGTTCAAACACAGGCATTTCATGCCCATCTTTAATCTGCTACCCCTACCCCCCAAAACCATATAGACCTTGAGTAGCCCATTGCTCTGATACAGCATATCAGGTCCTTAAACTGAGTGTAGATTTTGGTTTGGTTTAGCTTTTCTTACAGCTGATTTGATGAAATACTTAGAGAAGTAAAGATAAATGCTCTTAATTGCAACCTATTAAAGACGTCCTGGAGATCAGTGATAAACTCCAAATCAAATATATTTTGAAAAAAGAAAAAAAGGTGGCCGGACACGGTGGCTCACGCCTGTAATCCCAGCACTTTGGGAGGCTGAGATGGGCGGATCACGAGGTCAGGAGATCGAGAGCATCCGGGCTAACACGGTGAAACCCCGTCTCTACTAAAAATACAAAAAAAATTAGCCAGGCGCGGTGGCGGGCGTCTGTAGGCCCAGCTACTCAGGAGGCTGAGGCAGGAGAATGACTTGAACCCTGGAGGCAGAGCTTGTAGTGAGCCGAGATTGCGCCATGGCACTCCAGCCTGGGCGACAGAGGGAGACTCTGTCTTAAAAAAAAAAAAAAAAAAAAAAGGTGGAATCAAAAGATACTACACATATTTTCATTTAACATTAAAACAAGCAAAATTTTTAATCTGATCCCCAACCTGCCTTCAGTAATATTACCTACTCTTTCAGCATTTAGTACTTACTATGTGCTATGTTATATACACACACACACACACACACACACACATATATATTTACAGTTTATATATACATATAAATTTTAAGCCTGTATTCACAATGTCCCAACAATAATGGCCTTCCTTTTCTTTTCTTTTTTTTGAGATGGAGTCTCACTCTGTCCCCCAGGCTGGAGTGCAATGGCGTGATCTCAGCTCACTGCAACCTCCGCCTCCCTAATAGTTCAAGCGATTCTCCTGCCTCACCCTCCTGAGTAGCTGGGATTACAGGTGCGTGCCACCATGCCTGGCTAATTTTTATATTTTTAGTAGAGACGGGGTTTCACCATGTTGGTCAGGCTGGTCTCGAATTCCTGACCTCATGATCCAACCACCTCAGCCTCCTAAAGTGCTGGGATTACAGGCGTGAGCCACCGTGCCCAGCCAATGGCCTTCCTTTTCTTCCTGAAATACATCCACCTCATTTTTGACTCAAAGTCTTTAAGGCCACATTCCTGGCCTCAAGATCAGTTCTTTGGATGGAATGGCAATTAATGCCAGATCTTTCCCTGGTTGTCCGCTTCTCTTGATTCTACGTCCAGCCATAATTTCACCTCTTGGAAGTAGCTTTCAGTAATAACTATGCAAAATTAACTTCCCCAGGTAGTTATTTCCTATCACATCTTCCTATTTTATACTGTCATTGCATGTATCACTGTCTGAAATTTTCTCACTGATTAAGGGACTTGCCTTTTTTCTCATACTCTACCAGAAAGTAAGACCCCATGGATCAGGAATATTGACTATGTGATTCTCCAATATGTTCCCAGCACCTGGAACAAGGCCTGGCATTAATGAGTGAATGAAGTAAGGAAGGAAGGAACTTTTACAGTTTACCTTCATGAAAGGTATTACTGTCTACTTTTATTTTTTTTTATATAAATGTGGAATTTGAGGGTAAAAGAGATAACATAACATGCTCAAGGTCTCTCAACTTAATGTAAGTGACTTCTCTGCTCTTTACGCTATCCTGCTGTCCCAGCTATGGCTTCCATGTGGTTAAGTTAGCTGATGAAAACTTCTGGCAAATGTAATCTTAAAGGGAGGTCTACTAAAGATCAAAACAGATAAACTGAGTAAACAGCTGCTCTCCTCTGCCAGACCCTTAAAACAAGCCCTGGGAATATTTATCTGGTGCTCTTTCTCCCTACATTTTAAAAGAATAATGAGGTTGACAATGGGTACTTCAATTATTAAACATTATCAGCTCAAATCAATAGGTCTTAATTGTGTATTGAGCTCATTTCACCAAAAGCAACATTTGACCCCAAAGTTGAAGATTTAGGTTATCTTAGACAAAGTGCTCAAGAAGATCAGCTATTCAAAGCAGAGATTTACAAATGAATGCCTGAGAAGTTAATACCCATATTCCAGGCAGAGAGAATCAGGCGTGGCTATATTGTTATATCTGAAGCTATACTATTTAATAAGAGGGTTGGGGCATCTATGAGTCCAGACTAAGAAAACATGAGTAGTCAGAATTTGTCTCTATCTTTCTAGCTCTGTGTAAGGAAGAAAATAACCAGAAAAGAGACAGAATAGCAATTATTTCTCAGTGGTGGAGACAAATCCATCAAGACAATTGACATTAAGTACTTTCTGTTCATTTTCTTCTTTATCATTCCACATTTCTCAAGTTTCTGATTATGACTTGGCTTTCTAACAAGGCAGTGAGAACATTCTGGTCTTTTTGACCACAATTAGTAATTCTCATTTTTTTGAAGACAGAATCTTAAATACCTGGTTAGCATGAGTCTGTCCAAGGGAGAGTGGTCATTCCTAGCTCTGTTAACAGATGTAGACTTTGACAACTCAAGATCAGACTTTTGCACCTTCAACCTTGGCGGCCCACCCAACTGCTACCTTGCTGATCTGTTCTTCACCTGACTCCTTGCTTCTGTTGACACCATCACAGAAAGATTGTATTCTATAATCACAATACAGACCTGGAGCAAGGAAGCACGGAACATTGGAGAAAAGAGAAAAAATCCACTCTGTGGGTGTGTGTTTGTGGTGGGGGTCCTTCCTTTTTCTGTTTTAAGACAGAGATTAGAGAGATGGGTCAAAAAGAAGGATTCTACATTGTTAGTTTGGTCAAATTCTTAGATGAATTATAAGAAAAACAATTAGCATATGCCAATATTTTTGATTCACTCATATTCTACTGAGACAATTGGGGGTGGGTGAAAAAGTAACACCTAAGGGTCAATTCATATGGGTTAATGTTCCATTGTTATTTTGACTGATCTAAATGCTCTTTTACTTTTCCAAATAAATGCCTGTAATACTACTTTGAGCAACTGCATCCACCCACTCTTGATTTTGGCGTTTCCTCGGGGCATGACCTAATACAGTAATAACTGCAAACTTTTACACAGATGTTCAAAATATAGAATAATTGTGCATCATTAAGAAGCAGTAATACGTACCATGGGTATAGAAACATCTGTGATATAACAGAAATTAGGTTTTCATTTTAATGCCTTTGGCCTCTTGGAAGAAATGTTTTCCAAACTTAAAAAAAAAGTCTATATTATTAGTTTATTACTTTTTCACACCTCATTGTGCATCATGTACAATGCATCATGTCTAAAACATGTGATTCTTTTTCTGGTTTTCTTGTCACAAATCTCGTCCCCAGTTAAGAATGCTGTTTTTCAGTTTCTCTATTTTTTCTTAATTAGGAGTTTATAGAACTAACTTAAAACCACTTATTGGATAATACATAGAAAAACATATATAAAAAATCCCCTCATCTTATCTGGAATGATTACCTTCTTAAATGATCTAGCCTCTCATGTTAATCTTCAAGGGACATTTTCTTTTTTTTTTTTTGAGACTGAGTCTCGCTCTGTCGCTCCGGCTGGAGTGCAGTGGTGCAATCTGGGCTCACTGCAAGCTCCACCTCCCGGGTTCAGGCCATTCTCCTGCCTCAGCCTCCTGAGTAGCTGGGACCACAGGCGCCTGCAACCACGCCCGGCTAATTTTTTGTATTTTTAGTAGAGACAGGGTTTCACCATGTTGGCCAGGATGGTCTTGATCTCCTGACCTTGTCATCCGCCCGCCTCGGCCTCCCAAAGTGCTGGGATTACAGGCGTGAGCCACTGTGCCCATCCCTCTTTAAGGGACATTTTCATCTTTGTAGCTACTACTTGATTCCCCAAACCAACTCATAATTACATTTATAGATTTCAATGCTGGGTATCTAAACTAAATATAACTAAATTATAAGGAATATATATGTATATATACAGTAGATATATATATACATGTATATATTTATATCAGAGAGAGAGATATACATAATAAATATTGACCAGGATGCTATTTTCCTAAATATATTTGTTCTCGTAACTTTTCTAATATGTTTACCCCAAGACCTATATTCGCAAACAGGTATACATAGAATTCAAGAACTATCTTCATATATAATATTAATTTTGATGT
Source organism: Homo sapiens (assembly GCF_000001405.40). NCBI lineage: Eukaryota > Metazoa > Chordata > Mammalia > Primates > Hominidae > Homo > Homo sapiens. Next base: position 29,968,437 of record NC_000023.11, on the reverse strand, counting down.
CATAAATATTTAATAAGAATTATGGGGTGCTATTAACTTATTGTTTTTAATATTAGAAAATCAATATAATTTTAGACTGAAGAATGAAGAATAAAAATGTTTCCAAAGAGAAAACTTTTAAATGTTTTTTAGAATGGATATGGATATATGTTTATGCATCAAATGGTCAACCTCGTTGATAATTATTACTAGCATTATTTTCACAAAAATGGATCTCCTTTTTTGTTTTCAGGATCTACTAACATTGATTAAAAGAAGTTTGCATACGCAACTTATTCACATTGCTTTATTTTTTGTTATTGGTGGTGGTATTGTTCAATTCACACAAAAATGTATTTCAAGTCATCACATCCTTGCATTTAACCAGAGAAAGCGTAATCTTGAAAGAAAACATTTTACAAACTGGACACATACCCTGTTTATTTTCTCTGAAAGTTGCACTCCATAAAGCAAGTCCATCTTTTAAACCTTTCCCAATATTATACAAAAATATTCTTATGCAAGTAATAAATTTATCTTTAAACATCCAACTTTTTGAAATTGAAAGCAGTCACACCAAAAGTTATCATGGTTAATTTTTAATCTAAACATAGAACACCTGTGCTTATACAAACTGCTGTTATGTGCTCATATACTCTTGACATGGATCTGGCAAATATACTCTGCCGTTATGCATTAAATTATGTAAAAAAGGATAATCAGCGCAGAACTTGCCTATTTCTAAACAATGTTCTTTAACCATCCTCATCTTATTTGTTTATATATATAATTTCTTTTTGGAAAAAGATTTAAGGCAAGTGCAATTAAAGTTACAAAATCACTATCTCTATTGCTAACATATGCAGCATTCATATTTAGTGACTGATCTCCTTCCCTCTTAAACATGAAAGTACAAATGCTAAGTATGTTATACTTGCTACAGTCAGCTATATAGTCTTATCTATAAGCCGAAGTTAAAATCTTTAGAGCTATCAACACAAAATTACACTTCTCCAGCACTACACCAGTAGAAATCTCTGCTATCTCCTTCCTGTGATTTCTCAACCATGTCCAGTTTTCTCATAAAGATACACAGTCATTCAGATGCCCATTTTGAAGATGACTATGAATACAAGGTCACCTCATGGTGCAGAATACTTAAGGTGCAGTACTCCAAAATCACCAGTTGTACATTTACTTAATTCTATTGTGTTTCTATTTCACGTCAGTGATGGCACAGATTCTGTAAAGAGGAAACTAAAAATAAATCTTATCAGTAGCTGTATTTCTAAAGTTAGGCTTTGCTGAGGACATGTTATTTGCTGAGGATGTAATTTAAATGGAATCTGAAAAAAAATGTCATTTCACAGCCCTGGAAAAATAAAATTGTCCAAAAGATAGGAAATCCATGGTAATAGCTTTGGTGCTTTCACAGGCTTTTCTTATGGTAGTTGCTGAGTGCAATACCTCCTCAATTCTTTATAAATAAATTATTCAGGGCTACCATGTAATGGAAAAAGTAGAAAATAGAGACAATCATAGAATTTTTATGGGAGAAGTAAGAATGAGCTGACTCTTTTCTTTAAGATAAAATGCATGTCCTTAAAGAAAAGTTAGTTGAACAGAAACCTGGGTATTTATTTTTAGCCTATGCAAAAAGGATTCACTGGGTAATTTCCTGATGGAGTGCATTGCCTTGGGAACTCATAGCTATTTATTTAATGTAGCACATATACTGATTAGGCTTATTTAAAGATATTGATGATGTGCATTTTTCATTTCACAGTACATACACATTACACATGTATGCACACATGTATACCAATTTAGCGCACTAAATGCTTCTCGTTGTCACAGTTGATGATTCTGAACTGTTGTTGTCCAGAATACATTCTGAAAATAAATCAAGCTAAATTGGTATATTTTTCAGTTTAGTGTAGAAATATCAAAGGCTATGCTTCACCCAATAAAATTTACTGTTGAATATTATTTTTTGCATGTTCTAGTGTTATAAAGGCCCAGATGGTAAGAAGGCCTACAGTGACTGTGGAAGTCACTAGGTTATGAGTGGGATCTTTAGAAACTTAAAGCCAACTCTCCAGAAACTCTTTGATGTGGCTACTCTGTGAAGGATGTATAAGAATATTTTTCTTTCAACTAACAACAATCATGTCCTTGAAATATGTATTAATACTTAGAATCAGTGACATGATTGGTTCATGAGAATCTTACATCAAATAATACATTCTCCTTAAGAAACATAAGCTAACAACCTCAACTCTGGTAGTCATTTCAGGCAAAACAAGGAGTCTAGAGATCAAAATTAGCCCAGTAAAATAAACATACGTGGCTGGAACTGTATTGTCAGAGTAAGCGATTGAAGGATAAAATAAAGAACCAACTGGTTTGTCATCGTTGCGTAGGTTGTCATTTTGCTGAAAAAATGCAAGATAATGCGTTTAAATGATCATCTCATGTAGAATTAACTACATTTATTGGCACTGTAAGAAGATAGCCTTGTAGTTTATGACATTTACTAGAATAATGCTCCCCAAATTACATGATTGTAAAAATTTCCTGGAGTTCAATTGTTTTGGAATGTGAGCCAGGAACTCATTCAAGCTTTTAACAAATGCTGTAAGTGATTCTTATGCTAAGCAACATTTGAAAACCCTTCATTGGTGTTAATCTTTTGATGAATTGGTTGTTAACTTGAGTAAACATAATTGTTAATTAAGTCCAACTAATTTAACTAATTTAATATTTGTATATTTATTTTCACAACAAATGTCTTTGGCATTCCTGTCAAATTTTGCTATTTTTAAAAAATAGAAGCTACAGTAGACTTGTATTCTCTCAGAAGGGAGATGTATTGTTATTTAACACTTAACTGTTAATTACTTTTTTTTTTTTTTTTTTGCTAAATGATACAATTACTTTTTTTGAAGCCACATATTCCATGGCAAAGCTGAACTCAGCTTTCTTAACTAATTTTTTATTTTCCTCTTCATGAGGAATTCTCAAAGTGTAATTTTCTATAGTTCAGGTTTTTTAAATCAAGACTTCATCATGAGTTCTGATTAGCAATTTGGGAGGAATTATTTAAAAAGGAAGACCTAGTTTATGGTGATATGTGTCTGCTGGAATCTTCAATTTTGCATTCCACAGAGTGGCGGCATTTTTAATTACAGAAACAACGAATCCTGCACCTGTGTTTTTCAGAGTGGTCTGTGGGCCTCCACATTAGAATCACCTAGAAAGTTTGTTAAGTAAATATATTTTGTGCCCCACTTCAGTCCCATTGAGGCTCAATCTGCATGTGCACTTTTAACAAGCTTTCCAGGCACTTCTTCTGGTGCCTAAAATTGGAGACCTGCATCATTGAATAGTTTTCAACTCTGGTTGTTCTGTGGAATCATGTGAAGAGCTTACTTAAAAAATGCTCACATTAGGTACAAACACAAGACTGCTTGGTTATGTCTGAATATTTGGGACTCCGGGACTTTTTAAACCTTCCCAGGTGATTCTAAGTGAATCTAGGACTTCAAATTCTTGTTAATAGATCCCTTGGAAGGATGCTATGAACTATTTCACCCCTCACCAAATCTTTATGTCACAGTATCAAGCATGCCAAAGTTATTATCTCTATCCATACATTATAATATTTCGTAATACAATTTCTATTTCATTTAGGAAAAGTATACTGAGAAATGGATCTTAGTTCAGCCTGAGACCACCTAAGAAATGACTTGCGTTCTGAGCCCAGTTTTCTTTTCAAGTTCATAATTGTTCTTTATTGCCAAGAACAATATTGTTCCTTTTTATTTTTTATTTTTGTTTTTTTGCTAAGTGGCAGTACAATTACTTTTTAGAAGTCACATATTCCATGGCAAAGCTGGATTTAGCTTTCTTAACTAAATTTATAAAGAGCAATATTGTTCTTTATTGCCAAGAACTATAGAAGTAGGATATTTCTTTGCTTAATTTAAACCAGCTATTGATTTTCATAAACTTATAGTGCTATCATTTATGCTGGCTTTTGTGTGCTTTTCTTTTCTGTTTTTTGAGACGTTTTACCTTTTATTAGTAATTGTTTGTCTATTTGTTTATTTATTCAAGAGGTTAGAAAATTGGCCTCAATTTTTCCATAAACCAGTCATTCACAGTCTGGATGACTTTTGCCATATGTCACCTTTCCTAGAATATTATTTACCTATGTCTTAATTTAAATAACGGTGTATATATATTATTCTACTGTGTAAGCAAAACTATTAAGAGTATCCATAAAGTCTTGAGTTTAATGTAATGTACTAAAGTTTTTTAAAAATACTGGCGATTTTTAAATCAAATACAGAGCTACTCAAATAATAATCTCCCTCTGTGTACCACCAAAACCCAACTGACATATCACTGAGGATAAAAGTATCTAATTTAGTCAAACAACAGTTAGCTAAATTATTGGTCAAATTGAGATGTTCTCTATCCTTCAGAATCTTACTAAACCCTTCACCACATACTCATCTGGGTTCTGCAGTACCTACATTGCCTTAGAATGGTGACACCAGGCATTAAACCTTGATAGAAAATGCAATCTTAAGGAATTTGTTTTAATTACTCTTACAGGCCATATATAAATGCTGAAAATCCCACAGCAATTAAGTGATTGGGTCACCACTATTATGATTTTCTTATTTTTTTCTCATTCTCTGTTTCTATTTTGCCCATATAGAGCTGATATTAATTAGGAATCTTCTGAAGATATCTCATTAATATCAGTTTATCTTTTTTTTCTTTCTTTTTCTTTTTTTTTTTTTTTTTTGAGAAGGAGTCTCGCTCTGTCACCTAGGCTGGAGTGCAGTGGCATGATACTAGCTCACTGAAACCTCCACCTCCCTAATAGTTCAAGTGATTCTCCTGCCTCAGCCTCCTGAATAGCTGGGATTACAGGTGTGCACCACCACACCCGGCTAATTTTTGTATTTTTAGTAGAGATGGGGTTTCACCATGTTGGCCAGGCTGGCCTTGAACTCCTGACCTCATGATCCACCCACCTCGGCCTCCCAAAGTGCTGGGATTACAGGCGTGAGCCACCGCGCCCAGCCAATGGCCTTCCTTTTCTTCCTCAAATACATCCACCTCATTCTTGTCTCAAAGTCTTTGAGGCCACGTTCCTGGCCTCAGCCAGCCTCAGTCTCCCAAAATGCTGGGATTACATGCGTAAGCCACCGCGCCCAGCCCATATCAGTCTTTTAACCACTTGTCAATAGTATGAATGTAATTAAAATTCCTGAGAATTTATGTGTGTGTCTGAAGTGCACAAACAATCCCAAACTTTCTTCAACTATAGAGGTCTCTCCTGATATTTTGAATAATGGGTCATATGCTATAATATGATTCACAATTTAAAATGTACTATGCAAATTATACACTGATTTATGATCCTTATAACATTTTATTTTTTCAATAGTTTATTTTCTCACATTTAAAAATCCTACTGAGGTAGAAATGGCTTTAAGAAAGTTTAAATATGCTAATTACTTTGAAATCCAATCTAAAATAACCTTACGGGGCCTTTTGTAACTATTACTTTAAATTTTCATAATGATTCATGTCTGCTTCATCTTTGATAAGTGTTTCTTAAAAGGCTGTTTCTTTAAGATATGCATTCTGCTTAAACAGCTCATTCATTCTAAGACGCTTATGGTTGTTCACTTGTTATGCTTATGATGGAAAGATTTACCACCATTCTCCTCCTCCCAAATAAATAATAAGGTTATTTATCTTAAACTTAAGAAGTAAGGCCAAAAACATTTCCCTTTAGGATTGACTGTGCACTTCAAGTAGATGCGAACAGAGCAGAAAAACAAGATGATTAAAGATCTTGGTCACTTTAAAATGTTACCTGAGGGGACTTTATTTTAAGGTCATTATGTGAGTAGTACCTTAAAAAGAAAGGAATAAAATACCTGGGGAGCAAGAAGTAAGGAAAGGAAACAGCAAAGAAGGACTCACATGTTATCATTCCTTTCATTTCTGTTTCTCAAATAATTTTATAAAATAAAGGGACAAATGTGGAATTTAACCTTGAGAAAACCATTAATGTGATAATGACTTTTAAGTTACTGAGTTACTGATTCAAACCTCTCCTTAATCCAGTAGTGAAGAAAAAAAAGGGATTGTAAATGGGCTTGATTTTTAAAGAAGGTTTTTCTTTTCTTTTCTTTTTTTCCAGCCAACTGGGCATTCTTAAGTCTCTTTCTTCACCATCACAATAGGAATTAGGCCTAAGAATTATAAGTTTATACAGACATAAAAAGAGGGAAGGAAAAGTTTAACAAGAGTTATCAAATTAACAAACGTACTTACATATGTTCCAACGACACATTATTTAATTTATTTTCATTTATGATCAGGTAGAAACCAGAAGAAACATTTGTAGCTTAATAAATAATTTAATTTCTTGAATTTCTATGTAACATATAAATTTATTTTTACAGGATATATAGAGAGCATACTCATAGAGAGCAACAGACTTATGAAACGACTATAAAACACAAATTATAATTTGAGTTTAAAATTTCTCATTTTTACACTTGTATTTGTCTATTTTCCTATTGCTAGTCAAAGCAAAACCAAATATATAATTGTAAGTATTCTAAGAAAAAAAGCGCCTCCATCACCTACGCATGAGTTACATACATTCTAGATTGTACAAAATCAAGAGGGTAGGCAAAACTAAAGGGAAACACTATGTAAAAATGCACTTTTTACTGACTGTTGAACAGATCTGAGAGTGTCTGAGTTTCAAATCTGACTTGAACACCAGCAGAGGAAAATGACTCCATCAATTTTCCTATTTGGGTTCCCTCAAACTCTGAAACTGTAAAAGTTTTTGCAGTTCAATAGCAGATTATGTGAACATACCTCCACTACTTTGGTGGAAAGAATACACTAAGGATTCTAGTTAAGAGGAGCATATACTGCAAGGAATATGGACAACCACCCATGTATCCTAACATTAAGATGTCTTCATCCCAGTTGAGAATTAACCTAAACGGTCACATCTGATCTCCCCAAATTTAATCTCTCATTGACTAGTAAAGATAGATCCAAATTACTTTGCCACATTTTCATGCACTATGTAATAATGTCATTTCACATTAAATCTTTTTTTAATGACACAGCATGCCCTTTGAAACTTAATGTTATCTGGATTATGAAGGTTAAAATTTACACATCAATATTACATGTAATACTCTCAAGTTCATGTGCAGTTTTTCCGATTCTGTTCATTTAGTAGTGGAGAGAACATAGTGTAATGATTTTTTAAGAGTGATTGCCCTTGTTAAAAAGAGAATATGCTAAACACTTATGGACCACGGGGAATGCATCAATGAAGATAGTGAATGGTAGAAGAAACAATAGTACTTTACTTACTTTAACGAAGAATTCAGAAACATGAGTTTGTCAGTGGACCCAGAGGCTATTTAGAGAAAAATTTTCAAATGAGCAAGAGAAATACATACATACACACACACACACACACACACACACACACAGGCATGTTTTATGTTCTGAGCCTAGAAGGAAGAAATGATACTTGATAGAAGATTGGAATTGAGCTCCAATTTTTTTACATCCAAAATTATATCCATTTTCTATGGATGTGATGGAAATTTGATGATGACAAGGCACATTCATTTAGGATTAGGATTAACTCATCATCATATCATCCTTCTCTTGCTTTATTCAAATTTGGTTAGATCTTAAAGCTCCTTGTGACAGTATCTCAATTTATTAACATAGAATAACCTTTCACCTTGCTACCAATCGCAAGTAAGAGTAAAACTTTAAATAACCACTACCTAACTTTATTCTCAAAATTCTTCATATTCCTCCAAAGTCATATCATAAGTTATGAAACTGGCAAAATCATAATTGTTGAAAATCAAATATATAGCCACTTCTAAATCTTTGCCTAAAAAAAAACTTGGTGGGATTTTCTTTTTTTTTTTTTAGAAAAACATGTCAAATGTTTGTTTCTTCTTTTCCTGTACTGGATGAATTCTTAGTTATGTTGTAGGAAAAATAATTAAACATAAATCATAAATAAATTTACTGAAATAAGGCATCATTGCCAAATGACATAATTTCACACACCCCAAACTATTTTTAGAATGGGTGAAGACATGAGTAAGATTATCACAACAATGATAGCCAATTAGTTTTTATCTGAGCATGAATTATTTGTCATCATACAAAATTTTTGTTTACAGTATGCTGGGTCTCCCACAAAGCCAGGCCATTTTGGAAGGAGACTTGTCTCTAGTAGAACAATAATTATCTCCAGAGTTTTTATGAATGAAGGTAGACAGTGGTAGACAAAACAATGCCTGTAAGTTATGTGGGTTTATCTGAATATCAGTTTCTGAGAATATCTTCTAAATCCAAACATCAGTAGCTTTTTAGGTGCTAGATGTCTTGAGACTCACACCCAGACGAACACCGTTTTACGCACATTAACAATTTTGTCTGGAATTTCAAGGGCTTTGTTATTTTATTCCTTTTTATAGACACAAGGTATCCTTGAACCCAAGATTAAGATCTACTATTAAGGATAATCAAACTTTGATTATTGGTTACCTTCTTTGTTCAGAACAATAAAGAAGTGTAAAGGATTCATGATAAGGCAAGGAATAGCCTCTGTTTCCATTGATAAGCTTCTCCTTTTAGGGATTCTAGTTGCATCACCATCTTTTGGTAATAACTGTATATACTGTTAGAAAAGTTCCTCAGCAATAGGGAATGTGTGTCTGTCTGTAGATGGGATTTCTAACCTATTTAATAATATTTCACCTCTATTAATCAGCTATGTCAATAATGAGATTAATGACCAAGCAAGTTCAGATCAGAGACAGGAAGGGATTTTCCTCTTCTATGTCTGTGTATTCTCTTACTTCCAGTCAGTCATTTCATTTGTATGCTGATGCTATCCTTTAAATTTCAATATGCTTTCTTCTGGGACTAATGTTACAAACTTAACCTAATAAATAAAGAAATTAATCACAAGATTAAAAAAATACTCCTTACAAAAAAGAGAACTAGGGCATCATTCCAGAATCCAAAAATAATTCACAAATGTATGAATCAATGTTTTCCTAGAAATGGTGATCTTAATTTATATAAATGATATCTGAAAAGTTAATGACTATTCTAGGATAAACAAGACTTACAGTTTAAGGGTTGGCTCTCAGTTAATATTCTTGTTATAAAATGCTAGATAGCAATGAAATATGGAAGAAACCAGCATCTATATTTTAAGATTAAGTTGATAGGGTCCAAATACATATACTATGAAGAAAGTTATAATCACAAAGTGGTTTACTGTTTGAGCAATCGAGTGTTTTTAGCTATAGAAATATAGTAGATTCAGGTCTCTTAACTCATGTCTCAGATTTGTTTCATAGAATTGATCTAAACTTAAATCAGCTGTCTACATGAGATACAAATGTCTTCTCTGCCCACAGGAGACCTAAGGAATGCAGTACAAATTAAATAAGCAAAAGTTTTGAGCACCCAAATAAGGGGTAGGATGCTCATAAGCAGCAAGTAGAGGTTACACTAAAGAACCGGATGATCTTTTGAATCCACAATGTGTCGTTCAGAGCTCGAGCGGCAATTGATGAAAAACAGGCAATACCAAACATCACGTATGTCCAAGTCTGGAAGTCCATTCTCTCCCCCAGCTTGGCTAACATATTCACACTTTCAACTGTGTTTTTACAACTAGAATATTCTTATCCCCCACAGCCCCCACTGAAAAAAGCGAAGGATGAAACCTAAGCACTAGGGGACATTGATTTTTTTCTCTTTTTATTGTGAGTTCTAACAGAACTTTTGTTAAACATAGAGCACGTGAACACATGACAGTTTCCTTCATTTCTTCTCACATGGAGCTGATAGAGGAATACTTGGGAGGAATGTTTCTAAAGCTATAGATAGCTTCTTTTGCATTTATTTCATTTTTTAAATATGACAAAGCATTAGAGGAAAAAGAAGTTTCATAAGTTGTGAGAATATCAAATATTACCCATCAATCCCTGAATCATGCTATTCAAAGTGCTTAAATCTACACTAAAAATAGAACAAAAAATGCACTCCCAATGCAGCTAAATTAACACCTATGGATGCCTAAAATATGACTGTGGTCTGATTACTTCCTCTACATTTATTCCACACTTCCATCGTGCACTGAAAAGAAAAATTAAAAAACAAAGAGATAAATCAGGCCATTGCCACGTTTACAGTTTTCTGAGCACTGGGGGAGTTTGGAATCCAGTCCAGTGAGGTACACTGCCACCAGTCCCTGACAGCTGTCCATAGTACAAAGTAAACAATGGCCTTCTCAGATTCTGAAAATAACCCAATGTGCAAAGCTGACCTTAAAGTTTTATGTGTCCTTGCAGCTTCAGTTCTGGTTTGTGAAAATGTGACACAGATCCAAGGGGAGAGCACGGGAATAAAGAACAGATTATAGAGAAGGACACAGGCGAGTTGTCAGGGAAATAAACAATTTTTAAGCAAATAATAATCAATGCACATCCCAAGGCTCCTTTACCTTGTCACACAGATACTGAGACCTTTTCATTGTTACAAATGCTTACACTTCTTCTTCATATATTTGCAAATTAACCTCACCCTCCCCAATGAACCCTATTGCAGTTTACACGTGTGTGTGTGTGTGTGTGTGTGTGTGGCCACCTTACTATTGTGACCAAAAGTGTAGAATTGTTTTCTCACTAAATGGTGGTAGGAATAAACCAAACGTACGATAGTCACTACACAGGCCCACAGATGATGACTGGGATGGGAGTTCCTACAATGAATCACTAAATTAATGTATAAGTTCTATTATCAGTGTTTTTATCACATTGATTTTTTTTAAAAACTAAAAGCTACATAGGTAATATTTCCTTTTAACAACTCTGCCCTCTGCAGATTCCTTTGTGATTGATTTTGCATCAACCTTCACATGAATATGAATTAGCTGCTTATGTCATTGATTTCAAACATAAAGCTAAATGGTAAGGGATGAACTTCTTGGGAGCATCAGCTTTCTGTTTTCTGAAAGATAGAATTACATAGCTAAAATAAAGCAAATTCTTTATACAGTAAAATTAATTATTTTAAATACTTTCTGATCTAATTTAAAAACTATTTTGTATAAATAATGTTTATTTTGAAAATACTGATCTCTGTTGGTATTCATATGTTTGACCTCCTGAGTTCTTAAACACCTTGATATTAATAAGTGTTGCTTATGTCCACAAACTGAAACCACTTAATTCTTAATGTAGTGTTGAAAATTAAATACAAGGGAGTTAACATTTAATTACAAGGGGGCCGCACAATAAGTTTCACAGATTTTCTCTGACTCTTTAGAAAATAACATTTTGTATAATACAAGGTGACAAAACATATTTGATGACACATCCTGTCCTTCCCTTTGGTTTGGAAGCCTTCAGTGTAAATTTCATTTTGACTTGCGTTGATTCACTCTTTTGAATTAACTTGCCTGGCATTTGCACAGAATCTCATTTGCAGAGAAATTATAGAGGGAAAAGAGGAAGTAGAAGATTAAACAAAAACAGCCACAAACACATTCATGCCTTTCCAGGAAGTGATCAAATATAGGGCTTGATTTTTTTTTTTTTTTGTTTTTGTTTTTTGTTTTTTTTTCTTTTTTTGTTTTGTTTTGTTGTTTTTATATATATTTATATTTATATATATATGTATATATATATAAGGGTACATCAACTCATTTAAAAAACGGAAATAACACTCTTCCCCAATTTCATGCCCTTGATCTTCTCTTCTTAGTACTCTGTAGTGGTCACTGTGAAGTGATTAGCACACCTTTGGGTCTAGAGTGTATTCTGAAGAGCAGTGACTTGAATGTTAAGACAGTTAGACCCGCCCCCACCCCTGCACAGAGTTTACACATCATGCCGCCATTAGAAAGGTAGAGGTGGGGAATGAGGTGGGACAAGGAAGAGATTCAGGGCTCTGACTGGTGGGGCCCTCCTATGAACAAGTGTTCTTCTCATCTTTTTTTTTTTTTTTTTTTTTTCCCCCGAATGGCAATGCTGGCATTTGTTGCACTGTTCTCTGAAGGCCGACGTGGCCCAGTTGATGCTAGGCAGAACCCGAGAAAGAATCCGGTGCTCCTTGTCCCATCGGATAGATTTGTCCAAGCACCCCAAGGAAATGTTAAAAGCAAAGTAAAATTTTAAAAAAGGAAATAAAATAAAAACCCATTCTAAAACTAAACTAATGAAGCAAAAAAAGGGTTTTCTATCTACACATCAGTCTCTTCTTTAAAAAAAATGTAAATTTACAAATTCCAACGACATATAAAACAAAGTCAAAAAATGTAATGGTAAAAGACATGGTAAAACAGGAGGACACTGATGCTACAAAGAAATTCCAAAAAACATATGTACAAGACCCTGTTTTTCCTCGTGTTCTAGAGATTCTAATGCATGTTTTTTAACAGCAGCAGTCGAGGATTTAGTTCCAGGCACTGGACTGCAGATTCCACTCAACCTCCCAGGGACGGGATGTCCCTTGCTTTTCTGTCACCATATCACACTGGATATACTGGTCTCCCTTGGCAACAGCGGCAGGATGGCACTGTTTGTGTGGGCCTCATCTGGATTCTGCTCCCTGCTCGATTTTGTCTGTGGCCGCTGCCCGTTGATGAGTGTCATAGGGATGTTACAGTAGGTATGCTGATTGCCTATGGAGGTAAGAGGCAGGGTGCCGGTAGGAGGTACGTCGTACTCATAGCTTCGGTAGTAGTGTTTCTGACGCATTTGTGAATGGTACGTGTTGTGAAAGGTAGAACGGAGATCTGGATGGGCAGTGGCTAGAGCTGTGGAGGTGGCCGCGGCCATGGAAATGGCCGAGACAGTCTGCAGCTCCCCAAAAGGCCCTTGCTCACTGACATCTAAAGCCTGCTCATGTGTAATGGGTTCTATCCTCTTAAAAGGCATTTCATACTGTAAACGTTTCCAGAACTTGGAGTTCAACTTGTTGCATTTTGGTCCATGCCATTTAATGACCGTCAGGAGCTTGATGGTGTGCTTCAGGGCCTCCACCTCCTGGTAGTTCATAATTCCTCTCAGTTCACTGCATTCAATTAGAATCACTTTAATTTCTCCAGTCACAAGCATATTTCGAAGTCTGGTTTCCAGCTCAAAGATGCTCCAGCCCCTTCTAACTACGTAATTTGGGGTCATGACAATAATCAGCCGCTTGCTTTGATCTACACATCTTGCCACATCTTCAATGTATGCTACAAAAGATAAAAGAGTGCATCAAAATGAGTGAATGGAAAATTTGGTCCAGAAAGTCCTAGTAGATTCTCTTTCAGAAATTAAATGAAACTAGTTCACTGAATAGAGTTTGGGACTTGCTTCTCCTAATGTCAGCAATATTTTTTTTTCCCGGTACAAATCTCTCATTTGGTTTCTTTCAATGTCAAGGCTCACAAAATGAGATGCTTTATACAGTAATGGAGTATCTTTTCTCTGAGCTAGCAAAAATTAAATTTCATGTGAACACACAAAGACGTTTCTTTCTAGGGAAACTAACAGATACAAATTTTGAAGTAAAGAACCAAACATTAAAATTCCATGAAAAAGTGATGACTACACAGACACTCACATGAATATGCACACTCTCAAATGAAAACATTAACTTACTTCCAGTTGGGATTAAATCTCTATCTGGTATAAACAACTTATATCCATAATGCTTTTCAAGCATATCAGGTAGGATTTCAAGGGCAAAACGTTCTTCTTCCCCAGTCTCTTGATTCCACTGGTCAGGATCCACTTTGGTGTATGATAAGTATGCATCATAATCTTTATTGTCTGTCAAAAAATTCCAAAGAAAAGTCGAAGTCACTACTCTACAAAGATAACAATAGGACATGAAAACATGCACTTTTTTTCATAAACGTCTCCAAATGTCCCATTTCTGAAAGACCGAAAAATGAAGCCTTCATTAAGTTTCATTGAGTTCAATGATTCTAAAACTAGTTTGGAGGTACAAAGGGTTGAATTTTGATTTGTTGTTGTGAAAAAAGTAGGAGAAAAATCAATGAAAAGAGTAATGAAATGCAGACTTCCTTTTTTTTTTTTTTTTTTTTTTTTTTTTGGGACACAGTCTTGCTCAGTTGTCCAGGCTGGAGTGCAGTGGCGTGATCTTGGCTCACTGCAACCTCCACCTCCCAGGCTCAAGCCATTCTCCTGCCTCAACCTCCCGAGTAGCTGGGATTATAGGTGCACGTCACCACACCCAGCTAATTTTTGTATTTTTAGTAGAGATGGGGTTTCACCATGTTGGCCAGGCTGGTCTTGAGCTCCTGACCTCAGGCGATCCACCCTCCTCAGCCTCCCAAAGTGCTGGGATTACAGGCGTGAGCCACCGCACCCAGCAGAATTTCACCATTTTTGATGCACAGATCACAGAGAATCTTGACTGCTTGTAAAAGCCATATGTTTGGATATCAGTATGCTCTTACGTTCAACTGATTCTACCCTTGGCCATTTTACCCAGTTGAAAAAAGAGAGAGAAAACGGCAACTGACTTAATTGTGAATGAATGATTTTTTAGATTATGTGTGCTGTGTTGATTTTCTGTTGGGGAGAAAATAAAACCAAACTTGTGAGAATTAATTTTTTACTAGGAGTCAGTTCTTGCATATTGGGATGGAGAATATTATTAAAATGAATGATTATAGAAAGACATTATTTTTCTGGTCTCCACTCATCTTACACATAAAATATTGCCAAGTTATTTTTCATCATGCTAATCAGTTTGTTCATAAGAATCAAGAAGTAGAATGTAAGTAAAAGAAACTTAGTTCTAAAATCTCATTTCTCTCCTTACTCTTCCCCCTTTTTACATGAGAAAATTTTAAATATTTGAGGACTACTATCAATCATTTGTTATCTTTATCTTAATTTTTCTAATATACCATCTCAGATTTCTCACTTGTTGTTTCTAAGAATAAGAAATCATTTATCTTCCGGATAGTCTTTCTTTGGTCAATTTCCTTTTTCGACTAAGATATCAAGATTCATAGTTCACTTAAATTTTAAATACTGTTGATATGCTGAGTCTACCAATATCAATGTCTTTAGCTCTCTATTGCACTTCCCTGATGATAGGCAGTGTATTACTTGATGATTAGATCAAGTTAAATTGAAACACTCATAAATTTCAGAATAAAATGAACTCTGCATTAAGCATAGAACTTAAAATATTTGGGCTATGAAACATCAACGATAGAGGGACATTCTTCACCATTGTTCTGGGTGGCTTTGGGACAATCCTTTTGACTTCAAGGACACTAAAATTCACTTCCTGAGATATATACATGTGTGTTAATTCTAGTAGTCTGATAATTTTGAGCCATCTAGAAATCATTCTATGATTATAACTTTTCAGGGCAAACTCAGAAAAGTGTTTGCTACATGTAAAGTTAACACAGGTATATAAGGCACTAACAACTTCACTATAGGATACTTGGAATAAAAACTTCAGCTATAGAAGAGTTTTTTAAACAGCAGCTTTTAGGGCAAAAAAGTTTAAGAAAAACAATCATACCAAATGTGTCATATTTTGGCATTTCCTTTATTCTTTAGCCAGCATATAGTTGTACATTTTAAAAAACAAAATCTAGTTTTCTCCAAAAATAATTATTATATTTGCTATAGAAAAGCTATATGCCCATAGGCCAGTACAATCTATAATTGTACCACTCATTGATGTAAACACTTTAGTTGAGTAAGAAATCATGAAAGCACACAATAAAGTCAGTACATAATATCGGTTAATAATTAATTAAAATATTCATTAACTATTCACATGCATTACCTATGAGATATTAAACTTTCTTTACAATATTGGTCATTAGTTTCTAGCCTAGCAGGAGATGCAGACAAATAAATAGTACATTCCTAAGAGATAAATGTATTACTAAGGGTAGTTCAGGAGTCACAGGCTAATAATGGAAGGACTCCTCAGGCCAGATTGTGGATTGTAGTATTATTTTGGGCATATGCTATTTTCTTTCTGGTAATCTGTTCTTTTCCAGTTTGCCACAAAGTAGTGCAAAGTGTTGAAACTCCCCTCAACTGGGGTTGTGTAATAATTAGATCCTCATTCATTGCCTCATATCTTCTCTAGGCTTAAGATTATTTTAAAGCCATATCAACATATGAACACCAGTAAGAACGGAGCATTCAGAAATCAGACGAGATGTAAACAACTGGTCCACCCATACTGGTAAATTTCAGATAAATATCGCCTTTGCTTATATAACATTATGTCTCTGATTCCCCTGCTTCTTTCATGGAAACCTCTCTTCCAACCCATAAATACCGTCTTTCTGCAAGATGTTTTCTGCGGTCCACTTCATTTTTCTTTCAGCCCACTTTCCCTTAAAAATATCCTTTCCTTCCATAACATCAACTTCCATAACATCACTTCTGTGTAGATGCCTCCTCAATTTGGATGCATGATCCTGTTCTATTTCTCCTGAATTATGACAGTCCCCCACTCCTACCTGTAACCTGAACACTTTAATTTGCATCTTCATCATGCACCTCACACTTCACATGCTCACAACGTAACAAGCTTCCCATCTCAAGCTGTGTTCTTCATCTTTTATTTCATTTTAATTTTAGTAACATAAAAATCTCATTTCTTTAATGTCAAAACTTCAGATGCGCGTTCCACCTATCCCTTATCTTTACTAATAATCTCATCGCCATTCATTGGTACAAATCTATTGGATTCTATTTCCATTCTAGGTTAGGCCCTACTCATATCTCAGCTGTTATAATTATATTTGAGTGGTCTTCCCTTTCCATTTCCTTCTCCTTCTGGAGAAGAGAGTCACCAAATTTACCTTCCCAGACCTTACCACTGATCATGTGTTATGGTGGCTTAAAAAATATCTGTGGCTACTTATTGTCTAAATAATCAGCAGCTGCATTTTTAGCTTGTTTTCCTTGAAGGTTAGCCTGATTTCCCTCAGTTGGAAGTGATGATTTTTCCCATGTATTATATGATTTTGCTTATATCTTATCTTCTCTCTTAGACTATGAGATCCTTAGCTCAGGTATGTGACTGGGGCTTAGTAGATGCTCAAGTTTATCAGTTGATGAAATGAACGAATGGCCTTTCATTTTGGTATCACATGACTCACACCCGATAGCTAATTTTGAGATTTTTCTCAAGACTCGGATCATTTCTCAGGAGAGACTGCTTTGGAGATGTAGACTCCATGCTGCTCTGACTTCTCAAGGAATTACTAGGAGCTGTGGTTCAGAGTTTAGCAAGGCTCCTTTGGAATACTCTTGAACTGTAGCTTCTTACTGTGATTCATGAAAAGACATTAGGGTTGGCCAGGTGTGGTGGCTCACGCCTGTAATCCCAGGACTTTGGGAGGCCGAGGCAGGCAGATCACAAGGTCAGGAGATCGAGACCATCCTGGCTAACACGGTGAAACCTCGTCTCTACTAAAAATACAAAAAAATTTAGCCAGGCGTGGTTGCGGGCGCCTGTAGTCCCAGCTACTCGGGAGGCTGAGGCAGGAGAATGGCGTGAACCCGGGAGGCGGAGCTTGCAGTGAGCCGAGACTGCACCACTGCACTCCAGCCTGGGTGACAGAGCGAGACTCTGTCTCAAAAAAAAAGAAAAAAAAAAAAAAGGCCTTAGGATCTGTGTAAATGCCTCTAGGAAAGTGGTTTTCAGACTTGAGCATGAATGACCATCATTTGGAGGGCTGAGCCCCACCTCTAGAGTTTCTCATTCAGTAGGTGAAGAGTAGGTTCCTAGAATTTATATTTATAGCAAACTCTCAAGAGATGCTGCTGCTGATTGAGGGACCACACTTCAATAAACTCTGTTCTAGAACAGGATATAGGCATGCAGAGGTCTCAATGACACCAAACAACTGCAGTTATCTGCCAGGTATTTGACCACAACATCATAAAAACTAAACCTTGCCCCCTCGGCTCCATGATAGATCGTCCTAATACTTAGAGGAGATATACTCCCAATAAAATAGCTAAGAATTCATGTTTTTATCAAAAAGGGGATAAATTTTTGCCTAGACTAATATATGAAATAACCATATTAATCTTAAATGAAATTTAGGAATTGGTGCTATGACATCAGTTAGTTTTCTATCTCCTTATGTCATCTGGATGTATTTATAGTACTTAAGTTAGTATCTCCCAGTTATAATGGAGTTGTTTCCAAGTAGATTATACTGGTAGAAAGCCTCTTTCAAGCATCTGCAGCACCATCCTCAAACCAATGGGACACTTGAGTGATATCTAATTTCTCTCTTTCTCCAGAGTCTGCATCAGTGCAGTAATGGGTTAGGCATTTATTTACCATCAGAAGCAAACCCATGATTTGAAAAGTTGTCAGACCGGAAGCAGAGTGCCAGATGCCATACTAAATTCAGCAATGTTTTTTGACTCAAAATCATATGGATTCTAAGGTGTCTTCCCTTTTTCAATTACCAACTGTATATGCATCTTGGATAGTACATCTTAGATTGTTTTGATATAAGAAAGAACATAAATTGACATAGTTTAATGTGTATGAACTTCATGTGACTGGTGAAACTTTGAAAAGCTGACATCTTTATAACCATGAAAAACAAAATTATGCTAATATTTTTAAAGGATAGGGCTAGGATAATTTAAATTCAACTTTCATTTATAAACAGCTTAAAAGTAGTTATAGGTTGGTACAAGAGTCTATTTCTTATTCTGAGCTTTATTCTCAAAATCCTCTGCAATTTAAGCATCAACTATAATTCTGTTCACAGCAGAGATGAAAAACAGCTGGTATACACACTCTTTGTAGTAATTCTTTATAATCTGCAATGTAGTCATTAAGTTACTCTTTCTTATGACTTTCAAAAGACCCCGGCAGATATGCTCCACCAAACAAACAAAAAACAAGATCCAATCATTCAACTAGTTGTTTGGTTACTTGAAGTCAATCAACAAGTCCAGCAGATATTTCTTCTTAAATTGAATTAACTAAAAGCTTTGATGTTTTATAAAAACATTTTTGAGAGGAAAGAAGGAAGTTTGGACTCTGTGGCGTTAACAAATAAAAAATATGAATTTAAAATATTAAGAACTCTTGATGAAGAAGGAAAAAATGGCATTATGTTCAGGAATGAAAAGAGGGTTTGGAAAGGTTATAGATAAATGCACCTTTCTCTTTAACATATGAGAGGATAATACCCTCAATGTTCTTTAAAATGACTGAGGAAGCAAGGAATCTGCGGGATTATTTTAGAATAACACAGCTTTTAAGAAAATGTAGGTTGAAGACTCACTTTTCAAGTTGAAGGTAGTGGCTGTATTGGATTTGGCTAGAAAAAAGATTTACTGACAGTAGAAATGTTTTAAGTATGACATCCGGTTTGGGGGAGTTTTTAACCTCTAAACACTTACTGAATAGTTGTCAAATGTTTTTGGCAGCTGGCCATTCCTTTTTTTTTTTTCTTTTTTTTTTTGTTCTCAAGTATATATGAATCACATAAGTGAAATTGACTAGTGGCAGAGGCTGTCATTCAGTAAATGGATTCCTAAAATGAAACTGGAGGAGGGTTCAAAGATAAATTGTATAGTTCATCTTTTTTTAATCCTAAAAGTTGATTTTGTATGTTTAAGTGTGGCATATCATCACAGAAAACTGTGATAATTAAAAATTTGCATTGATAAAATTTGAATAAATTATAGTTTTCAAAAAGTAAGTCACATTTCTTCTTATGTCTCAGATTTGCCATCATATGCTTTCTCAAGTTTTCAAGATATGATTTTTCAAATAAAATTATCTTCAGAGATCATATATCTTTGAATGAATAAACATTAGATATATAAAACCTTAATGGTTTGATTTTATGATTATTGAATGTCATTGTCTTAATAAATTTTGCTTTTCAATTCTGCTATGACAACCTCTGGCAATTGTTGTAAAATAAATTTGCTTGACTTGTACAGTTTGAAGTATTTACAGTACTGTTCTAATTCACATGTTGTGCCATTTGGTACTTTTCTGGATTATTTGAATCTATAAGTTCTCAAACACTTAAATTTGATACTAGTTAAAATATCTGTGGTATAAAGTAGTGAAAAAAACACCCAGAAGCTTAGCTCAAATCTTGATTGCCATAACTTTTTATATAACTCATTTGGGACTATATTTCCTGATCTATAAAATAGCACCTTCCTGAAGATGTCTAAAATTAAATGAGACCCCATCATATAGCAAAATGCCTGGTCCAAAGGAGTCATTCTATAGATATTTATTTCCTTCTCTTGTATCCCTAAGAGGGCAGCAGGCAACATAGATTCAGAAGTCTTAAGGGGATTAAAAAGTAGCAGAATAGCAAAGGGAGCACAAGATTTGGGATAAGAAGCCTCGGTTCCTACCATTTAACAGTTAATGATTTGAGGCAAGTCATATACCCAGAACAACTCTACATCTCTCCTTCTGGGATCCAAAAACTTGTTCTAGCTTCTAAAGATTATTCCTGTGTATGTAAATGGTCTAACTACCACCACCACCCACCCCCCCACCAAAAAAAAAAAAAAACACCAAAAAAAATCCCTATAAGGTTTTTAAATGATTTGCAGAGGTACTATGTTTCACTGATGGACATGAGGACAATAATTCCTGAAACTATGAATAGTGAGTGACCTTGTCATTGAAAGAGAAAGAAAAAGAAATTCTATGGCCTAAGATTTCATAGATGCCAATGTGCTTAATATGCCTGAAATGGAACAGATGTTCACATTTTCTGAGATGGAGGTGGAGATTATAAAAAATTGCTCTAACTAATTTTGTTCAATGCCTGTAATAACTCCCAACGTAGGACTAGGAGATCTCTTTCTTCATCTTTAAAATAGGATTCGTGTTAGTGATTACAGTGTTCTTATAAGCTTGCCCTGGCGTCATTATGAGTAAGCATGCCCCACATACTTCATAGTCAGAGAAGGAAAAAAAGCTGAAAACAACAACAAAAACCATTTTACACTCTGAAAAAAATATATAAAGTAGGATTATAACTTTAAACAAAACTTGAAGGGACACTCCATTCAGAGACATGGAGGAGCAAAGGAGTCTAACACTGTTGTGATGTCTGTATTGTTTTTTAAAATCTTTCCAGCATAAATGGTGGTGGTACTTTGTTAGTATAAGTTCTACTCTAAAGACAGTAGCTTGCCCTTATTAGGATGGTCAGCAAGCATTTAACTAAAATGAGGCAACACTCCAGAGGCGGTCACTACAAGCACTTAAACTATATTTCTGATCAAAAGTAGATGCTTCATCAATTAACACAATGGATATTAGAAATCAAGTTTCATTGCTAAAGATAGTGGCTTTTTACTGTGTACAATGGGTCTTGGAAATGGTATTTCCATGGTAAAATCAGTGTTAATCAAGACATATGAATTACTTAACACAATTTAGAAACACATTCCCACCCTTACAAAAATCTAGCAGGGCCAGTGGTCTGCCCCCTTGGAGAAGATCTTCTAGGCTTAATTCCAAAATGGTCTTGATGAAAATTATTCTTGGATGTCAACAGAAGGTGAGTTCAATCCTACCACTGGAGTATTGCCACATTTGCCTTGGGAGAAAATTTCTTGCAAGGTTTCTGAAAAGCATGCACACATGCAGATTCATACATGCACACAAACACACACATATACAACAGAATTGGAACTTCTTCTGATTTATAAGTTGAGTGATAAGGCTGTCTGCTAATAAATATTTTTCTGGCAGAATTTATCCAAACTTTCTTTCCTTTTATTGTGGAATCAAAGTGGTAGGGGGATAGCGTATCTTCTCCTCCCCTTAACCATTGTGGTTACTTCATTTTCCCCAAAAACCTCAGAGAATTATGCAAGATTACATTGTCTTAGGTTCATTCTCAATAGCTGTGTTATTACAAAGACTAACATCTTATTCTAACTAGAACTCTGCATGTTGAGATCCCATGGGGGTGGCAATGCTACAAAAGTAAGGTGGGTCACCCTTTGATGGCAATTGCTTTCTGAGCTAAGTCTAGACTGTTCTAGCAGGCAAAATGGAGGCATTTTAAAAAATGGAACAGTAAATTTGTACTTAGATAATTCTGTTAGAATGTGAAGGATAAGATAGAGAAGTAGAGAATGAAAACAAGAGGGTGGTGTAGGAGGCTTGGACAAAGCAGTTGCAATTAAGGGTAAGGAAAATATCTATTTTTGAGAGGTGCAATTGACTGATATTGATGACTAATTAGAAATGGCATATGAGGGGAAAGTGTGGCCAATGAGATAGAAGGTGATACCAGGAACTGAGGTGTAAAATGGAGGATGACAAAGAATGAGTATGGGCGGGGAGTGTTGTGGAATTGGAAATGCTAAGGACTGAATGCAGGGGAGATAATAAAATGTAAGGTTATATAGAGGGGAACAAGGAGTGATGTGAACGAACTGAGAGAGAAAAGCATCAATATGTTCTATCTTTAAAAAATATTAGAATCCTTCTATATCAATCATAATCCTTCTGATAAAGAACTGATATAGCCAGGTAATGCCTTTTGTAATGACTCCAAAGGAACTGAGTGAATGTGTCCCTGATGCCAGAAACTCCATCTGCAAGTCTGATAAAATGGCTGTATATCTTGGAATTTAGAGCCATTTAGACCGGAGCTTAAATTCTGTCTTTCTAATTGTGTGATTCTCTGATTATTGATAAAGTAGTCAACACATCACTTGTTATTCAATAAATGGCCATTGAATCTATTATTATCATATTGCTATAGTAGGATATTATTAAACATTTTTCCCTGGTTATTTTTCACACTTTTTGCCTTATCTTACTTTCAAAAGTATTTTATAAATTACCCCTTCAGGGAAGGTAAATATGATAGCCATGAATAAAGAAGGCAATACTCAGGTTTGACTCTAAATTACATTTTTTAAAAGACAAGAATTTACAAAGCCTTGGGTTTTGTTGAATAGCCATCTCTTCTTTGGAAGAGGAAAAAGCTTGCAGAGCTAGGAAGCATGGGGATTTGATGATGTCAGAGAAGTTTTTCACTATTGGAAGAGTAGACCATTCTTTGACCATAAAAGCATGTATAGGAGGCTCTAAGGGGCTGTGACTAAGGTTTACAGCCTGCATGGGTTTCTGAGAAGGGGGCCCTCAGGGCCACAGAGAGGAGAAGAGGATAACAGAACTTCATATGGTTTGAGGCAGAATCTGAGAAGGGCGAGGATTTGTGTCAAGTTTCCCAGGGAAAATCTTGGGAAACTGTAAACTTCATAGAGAAATCCTGCACTCAATGTGGAAACCGTATATGAAAGAGGCAAAGGATGAAGAAGATGATTACTTTTTTTTTTTTAATGGGAAGGTGGGTATGCGTGTAGCCGAGTTTATGGGACTAGAAACACAGGTAAGAATGTCTGAAATTCCCAAGGGAGAAACATCTGGGCAAGTGTGTGAAACTTGTGACTGGAGGCCATGACAAGGATCTACGCCTTCAGAAGTCAGTGCTCAACATGTCCAAAGACCAGGTGGTAGTATCTCAAGTGAGGAAGGGATGGCATATGCACCAGGTGACTTTTTCCTTTACCAGAAAGCTACATATGAGTTCCCTGGAAACAGGTTTAAACAAGAGTAAAAGAGAAGAAGGGAAATGGAATATTCCAATTTTCAACTGAGTGTTAACCCACAAGAAGCTGAATTCCAAACCAGAAGTGACGGAGTAATCTTGGAGAAGCAAGGTTATGAGTTTTTTCTCAGTAGAAATGGGAACTTGAGAGCCAAGCTGAATGGTTTTAGAGCACTAGAGAATTAAAGAAAGTTGCAATTATACACTTCTAACTTTTGTTAAGATATAGATTTTAAACTTGCTATATAATTATTAGTACTGCTGTATGGTTCTGATAAAACAGTGTCTGGAAGTTCTAGAGGTTAGGTGTGATGCAGCGGGAGATACGAGTTAAGAGTGGGGCCCTGACCACCATTTCAGCAGGAACGGGTCTGCTTTAATATAGGGAGGCTGAACATGTGATTGCGGTTCTAGTAATAATTTCTTCCCATAAAACCATTTGAACAATCACTGCCTTGACAGTCTTTGCTTCCCCCTGCCCCCCGCTTTTTAGGGGAATAACTTGTACATTAACATATTCCAGATGACAGTTAAGTTTGTTATCTTGGTTTTCTTTGGGTCTAATTCATTTTCAGTGGCATTTCAAGAAAAGCCCTAATAGTTAGACCCTCGATTGTGCTTAAGATGGCCTCAGAGACAGAGTTCTAAGAATCGCTAAAGGATTTATTAACTAAATTGCTTTCCAAGAGAACCTTCTCATCTGTTAGAATACTGTTTGTTAGTGTCTGTCTGCTTTGTTTTCTTACTTAAAACATTTTTTAAAAAACTGAGAACCCAGCAGCTTCAGAACAGCAATGAAATATGGTAAGGCTACCCAAGTCAGTCACTGAAGTGTTTACAATTAGCAGGACCCACTAAACGAAACTTCGAATCACTGAAAGTTCCACTGCGTATGATTAATTCATTTTCATTATATTCCAGAATTTTCTACATTCAGAAAATGACAGATTACTGCCCTAGAAATTGATAGTTTGGTAAAATGATTCATCTCATTCAGAACACAAAATAAACATATTCAAAACAGGGTTAATAGAAAAGGGGAGACTTGTTTAGGTAATGTGCTTTTTCAAATACCATGTACTGTGCTAATTGTGCAAACAACAGTAGATCTTTAGATGATACTGAACATACTAAATTTAAAAAAAATACAAATAATAGAGAGTATCCGATAAGATAAAGGCTTTGGGAATAGACTTATTTTCAAATCCCATCTTGGACACTTACAGTATTTGTGTTATCTTCTTGAGTAAGTTATTTAACCTCTGAAAGTCTCAGTTGCCTTATCAGTAAAATGGAGATTACAATATTGACCTCAGGATGTTTGTGAGGGTTAGCAAGAATGACTCTAAGAATGCCTAGCACTATGCTTGGTGCTCATTCAACAGTAGTTCCGACAATGGCAAAGTCCTTATATTTCTTTAAAACAGCAGCAATAGTAATAATAATAATTTGCATCAATAGGCAAGAAAGTTAGAAACAAATAGGCAAATCAGCAATTAAAAACTTAAGAAAAAGAAAGGGTTTTGCTGCAGCTCAGGCTTCACCCTAATGGGAAGGAGAGAAGGGTAAACCAAGAGGAGTGTTAGGCATTCTGAATAAACCACTTCTCTTTACAAACCTGCAAAACTAGTTTTGCTTGTGGATTTATTATTCCAGAGGACCCTGGAAACGTGGCAACATAGGCAATTGCCTCATTTTCCTTGGTACCATTTACTGCAAAACTGAAAATCACTGAAAAAAAAACAGTATATAAATATGATGAGACCGGGTGCAGTAGCTCGTGCCTGTAATCCCAGCACTTTGGGAGGCCGAGATGGGGGGATCACCTGAGGTCAGGGGTTCAAGACCAGCCTGACCAACATGGTGAAACCCTGTCTCTATTAAAAATACAAAAAATTAGCTGGGTGTGATGACGGGCGCCTGTAATCCCAGCTACTCGGGAGGTTGAAGCAGGAGGATCGCTTGAACCCGGGAGGCGGAGGTTGCAGTGAGCTGAGATCGCGCCATTGCACTCCAGCTTGGGCAACAAGAGTGAAACTCCACCTCACTAAAAAAAAAAAAAATGATGAAGAAAGCTTTGTCATCTGTACTATTCATTGTCAGTTTGCATATGCTTCCCATCTTGCTGGTTTATCTTAGTTTATTTTCCTTTTTGTTATTTTTTAAAAACATAAGTCTAATGTGCAGTTTAGGGAGCTGAATTTTAAGGACTCCATTTTCCTCTTAGATTGTACACATATTCATTGGTGACCAGAAGCAAATACTAATTATGATTTCCACAAAACAATATTTATTTGTCTACGTACAGTAAAAATATGAGATGCATTACTATGAAATTAATGTGCTTGTGCATTTTTCTGTTGGTCCACACTTGGAATAAAAATTAGGCTATCTAAATATAGCTAAATAAACAAGATTGAAAAGACTGCTGGATGAATTTAAAATACTCAGTACAGTTTATTATAACGGATCAGTCTAAACAGGAGCAAATTGAGATTCGCTTCAAACTACTGGGCTAGAAAACACAATTAAAAGAGACACTCCTTACCTAAAAAAAAGTAAAACTGGCCTTTCAGTCCTGATTACAAGGTGAGAGAAAAGGAACACTCTGATGGCATTGCAATCAGTGTTTGTAATTTGTAAGTGTTTGGAATACAATTCTAAAATGGATAGGTGTTGCTTTACAACTTTCAGAGGAAAATACCTACAGTATTGGCTATAAAGCATCACACATTTCCTTACAAAAGAGAAATTTACAAACTGAGCACTGAAAGAATATACGAGCTGCTGCCATTGATTATGCACGTAATTTTTTTCCCCTTAATAAAACAAAGACAAGAAAGAAATTAGAACATTCAGAAAGAACAATAAAAGAGGTAACATCCTACCTCCATCGAGCTCTTCAGCTCCAAAATGATTCCTGTAGAAGAGCATGATTTCTATCTTGTAACACTTGTAGATGGTCACCAAACATACAAGCAGCAAGAGTATAGCACCAAGGCCTCCAGCAAGTTCCACTGTGTACATTAGCTCTAGAAAGAAAAAACCACAATGGGGAATTATATGGTATTCACATCCAAAATCATAAATTAAACTCAGTTTGATTTCACATTTTCCTGGATGAGATCAGATGTGGGTTAACGGGTTGACACAACCCCTTTCCTTTTTGCATGAGAATTTGACCTTTTGATAACTTTCTAGCTCTGTTTCCTTGGTAACTAGATAAGGTGGTATGTGACAACCATGTTGCTAAGCAACATTGCTTGTGGTAAAAATGAACCTTGGTTGGTAGCTTGCATTTGGATTAAGAGAATTGTAAATATCTGATTGGAAACTATAATATTGGGTTTAACAGAGTACCATAACTCTCTTATATAAATGTATCACTTGTGGAGATCCCGGAAGCTATGCTTATGGGGTTGATAAAATAAATACTGATTCCTGTGGATATGAAGCTTTTAAGCCAGGATGACTTTTGGCCTCTCCCAATGAGAATCTTGATCCCTCTCACTTGAGCTGTCACCTGTGGGTTGGGGGCCAAAGAAAGGTGAGAGGTCAAACAACACAGTTTCAGGAGAGCACTGTGGATTGTTGCATAGAATGTTGGGAAGACTATCTAATGAATGCTGTCTGCTGACTCCTGCCAGGAGCAATAGCTCCTCTGCTGTATCTTCCTGAATACAGTGATACCAAGGTGGTCTACCATAATCTTGGAGGCTGAATGCTTTTTGGGTGTAAGAAGTAGGCCTCCTAGTGGATGGGACAGTATATGAATATGTTGGTGGTGTTTTATTTTCATTCAACCGTTTACTTTTTAAGATTTTTGCTTCCCCTTTTACCAGGCATGTTACTACGTTCTATCCAAAAAAGGAATTTTCTTGACACTCACTGTATACAAATTCTCCTTTTTCTACTGAATATCTACCTTAGATCAAAACTTATCAGGAAAACTTGGAGATAAAATTTTTTGTTATTTTTTCCTTCTTTAGAACCATGGACATTGTAACAAAAATAAGGATATTGGTATTTAAATAGTAAGCCATCATGCATAGATTTTTGAAACTCACTTTAAGCGTTGTCGGTAATCATCACAGCCCAAATGTTGTTACTGATGGGTAGCCATTGTTCCCTGCAGTTGACAACTACCTTGAAAAGTACTAGTTTCCTTAACTACAATTAAATATAAACATTTCTGAAATTAAAGCTGTAAAATAATGTTATTCTTGATTCTGTAATTCAGAATCCACCAGTAAGTTATCTAATTTCATAACACAGTCAATGTAAGCTTAGACTGAGAACTTTAAAATGATCCACGGTTTTGCTGGTAACAAGTACCCTCAGGTTATCAGATCAGTCCTGAGTTCTCACAAATGGGGTGAAATCATGATGGGACTGGTGTAATATGAGTGACAAATAATCTGAAAAGCACGGCCATCATTTTCTTACAAGAACATTGTGTATGTGTGTGTGTGCAGGTGATGTCACTTTTCCTGTAATAATTACAGGAAAAAAAGTCCTCAGACTGGGCACGGTGGCTCACACATGTAATCCCAGCACTTTGGGAGGCCAAGGCGGGCAGATCACCTGAGGTCAGGAGTTTGAGACCAGCCTGGCCAACGTGGCGAAACCCTGTCTCTACTAAAAATACAAAAATTAGCTGGGGATGGTGGCAGGCACCTGTAATCCCAGCTACTTGGGAGGCTGAGACAGGAGAATCGCTTGAACCCAGGAGGTGGAGGTTGCAGTGAGCTGAGATCGCGCCACTACACTCCAGCCTGGGCGACAGAACGAGACTCCGTCTCAAAAAAAAAAAAAAAAAAATCCTCATTCATATTTCCTATTACCTAGCCCTTGATTTCTAATTCTACAGTTTAATAAACAACACATTAACTGCTGTTTAATCAAGTGTGTTTTTCTGTAATTATTAAAATTAAATGGGAAATTGAAGAAAATCTTATTTAAAACGATTGAACTGTATGCATCTAAGAAAAAATAAAGTGAGATCAACTCTTTTAGAGTCTAAGTAAATTAATATGAAGTGTAAAACACTGAAAAATACCTCCAGCAGCTTATCTGATTAACATTGTGGGGAACCACACAAGACAGTACTACAAAAATACCAGGAACAAAATACAAAAAGCTCTTCAGTATAATGTTTTCCCCCTATTATATGAACAGAAAGGGTGAGCGGCTAATCCTGTGGGGATACATTGGGTCTTGTTCACTCAAGATAATAAACTCCACCATACACAGAAGCCTGTGTAAAATTCTAACTTATGCCCACAGGGTGATTTATACATCAGGAAGATATGATTTAAAATACATTGGATATAATGTGAGAAATAAGCATTTTGACTATGGCTTCTTTTAAGATTTTCTAATTTAGTATATTAAACACTAGGAATTTACCACTCAAAAATTTCTTGTACAAAAAAAGAAATGGAAAAAGAATCAAGAACACTTAGCTTCCACTCCCAAACATTGCTAGTGAGAGTACCCAGTGATATTACCACATTGTAAACTTTGGGGTAATTTCTAATAAAATTAAATAAAAATCTACCATATCAATAGCAGTTCCACTCCTAGGTATTTGTCCAAGAGAAATATAAGCAGATATCTGCAAGAAGAGTTGTATGAGAATGCTCAGAATAGTCTTATTTATTCACAGCAGCCACAAATAGAGACAACTTAAATGTCCATTAACAGGAAATGATGAACAAACTATTGTATGTTCATATGATAGAATATACTCAGCAATAAAAGTAGTAAACTACTGATACGCAAAACATGCATGACTCTCACAAAATTATGTTAGAAAAAGGAAGCCAGACAAGAAATAATACCTACTGTATGATTCTATTTAAATTACACTCAAGAACAGACCAACATGATCCATAGTGACATAAATCAGAAAATAGATTCATTGATGATGAGTGAAGGGAAACTTGTTGGAATGGAGCAAGAGGAAACTTTCTGGGGTAAAGGAAATAGGTTTATGGTGTGGATACACAAGTGTTTATATTTGTCGGAACTCATTTAGCCAAACACTTAGAGCTACACGCTTTATATTATGTGAATCATATTTCAATTCTTTAACATTTTGATTTTTCTTTTTTTAAGAAAAACGTAAGTTCTAACCAAAGGCCTATGTGGGGAGAAGTGTGGGAAGAAAGCTGGGAGTCAGGAAAGCTGCTCTGCTGTAGATAAGGGCCCAGGCAGGGAATGATTCTTTTACGGTGCCCCCAAGCACATTCTTTATATCTGGAGGCACTACACAGGGGCTGGGCATGTGGCATGCCTTAAGTGCCCATAGATAGTCGAGGAGCTTTGGAAATAATAAAAAATATTTGCCTGAAATATAATCTGATCAATCTAATAAACAGAACTCTCATTTTCTCCAGATGGTATTTATAATACTGGTCTCTACATACTTTTTTAATTTTGAGAAATTGAATACAGGTAAATTAGAGAAAAATTGTATGAAAATAAGTCCTTCTTATTTTTAGCAAAGTAATTACCCAGATAGGAGTTACTCCCATTGCTACATGTCACGAGCCATTTAAGAAATGATATACATTACTTAGAATACTCTACATAGCCAATCAATAGTGTTGTTTAAAATATAATAAGAAAAAGAGAGCAGGGTTGATGTAGCTTAGCAGTTACAGAAACAGTCTTGTGTCACATGAAAAACTCCTTTAGGGTACAAACATATGAAAAGTTATATATGCTTAGAGAATGAGCAATAAGCAAGAATAATTCTTCTGGGCCATAGATAGTCATTTACTAATAATAGGAATACCAAAAACAAGTCTAAAGAAACAGAATTTACAAGGAGCTAATTTATCCTGAGATCCTGAGAGCATCACAGACTTTCCCCCAGAGACTTCTGTAGTATTACATTGCAGAAGCATAGTGTTCTTATAATGTCCTTATAAAGAGGTCAGGAACAAAATGGAAATGTGTCTTTCCCCATGGTGCACAGTGCCTGCCCCTCAGTTATTACAATATTTCTATGCAGGAGTGTAATATACAAGCCTACACATTATACATGTATGCAAGTTAAATTTTTTTTCTATTTAAGTCACACTGGTTTATATAGCATATGAAAACCCTTTCAAAGAAAATTGTGCATTAGATTTAGCCTCTGTATTCTTTTGCTCCAAGCCAGACAGATTCATTAATACATGCGCTACCTATTATTGCTTATCCTTTGGGTTATACAAAATTACTAAGGATTAAATTCTGTCACAGTTAAGAGAAATCATTTGGGCCCACTGCTGTATTTTATCTTTACATTACAATGTAAATGGTGTTGCCCCAGCAAATGTCATTTTCCCTTTGAAATGGGATCTACTTTTCAGCTCTAGTTCAAGTTGCCTGGAGTGGCAGCATTTAAAAAATAAAAAGATATCATTTCAGCACAATTCAACATCTGAGGACAGAAGGAGAAATGCAGACCTTTTAAAATCTGTTTAGCCTTTGTGTATTTTGTTAAAATGATAGACTCTGCCCCCTTTAAGGGACTGAGACTGAATATTGAAAATTGTAAAGCAAAATTGCTAGGCAAAACCTAGGGAAAACTGGCATTTGGTTAAAAACAACAAATGAACAAGTGCCAAAGAGTTGCATTTAAGGGCCCCAGCGATCATTTAGTTACAGGCAATTAACAATAGTCCTAGGAAAGCTCCAGTACAGGCTAAGGGAAAACACATTGATTATTGCTGCAGTAGTAGACTGCTTTGGAATAAATTGTTTCAATTTAAAACTAGATTTGCTACAAGCATTTTGAGCAATGACTACAATTTTTTCTTATCAAGACAGTGGGAGCAAGCAACCCCTTAAAAGAAACAGCTAATTAAAATAAAGTGCGTGCCATCTCTTAGTATATTGAATTACATTGCAAATAATAAATGCATTTGGTTTCCACTGATCTTGCTGCAATTACCTAGTATACTATGGGAAACTATGTTCTTTTCTTGGCCTGTACCTGGTGTTATTGTTTGCAAACATTTTCTGCTAGAAATCTTCGAAAAGGTAAAGCTTTTAACAAAGTAAGTAAAAGTTCATATGTATTTTTGAACTCTTGACTTGCAGTTTTTAGTCAGTATCTCTATTTGATCTGTGTGTGTGTGTGTGTGTGTGTGTGTGTGTGTGTGTGTGTTCCTATATATATAGAATTTTGCCAGAAGGTATAACTGAAGATTTTAGATGGCTTACTTTTGTGTAGTTTATCCTAAAGTTGGTTCGTTCATTATAAAAAGTCTTTTGAAGTGTTCTTCCCTCATTTATATGCAGTAAAATGCAAGTTTGTGGGGAAAATGCATGACAGACATTATAATGATCCCAGTTTATTCATTAGCCTCACCAGGTACATTTCTTTTTCTCTCATTGTGTTATAAAGAGCTAAAGTTTATAAGAATTTATCCATCCACATAAATTCATATGCATATTTATTTCTCTGGAGCAGTATAACTTATTTGTTCCTGGCAGGAGGATAATTATGCTCAGCCTACAAAGATACTCAACTCAGTTCTACAATACATCAGTGTAATTTAAAAGCAGTTATTTTTGCGGGGGGTGGGGGAAACACATTAACAAATCAAGCTGCTATTCACATAAAGGAAGAAAATGTTTTGGGAAAGTACAAACCAGTATGTAAGAATAACAGTTTTGATCTTGCAAAAGTCCTTTTTGGGAAGTCAGGGTATAAACCCCCAAAATTATAATAATAAAAATAAAAATGATCCCTGAATGGAGCGGCTTAATCTGTATGACCAAACATTTGGGCAAAAGATTACCTCCAAAGTAGTATATTTTGCCATTTGGAAAGAGGTTTTTAGACGAAGCACCAAATTAACTTCTACTTACTGCCAATCAAAATGCAAATATGGTTGTTGGCTAGGACCCATCATTAGAGCCCAGTTAGACTAAGGTCCCACAGGTCCTTGGAACTTCATTGTTATGTGTTAATGAACTATTCAAAGTGAAAAATAAAATGAAAGGCTAGAAGAAAAAGTGTAACATTCTCTTCACAGCATGCTAGAGCCTACCCTTGGAATGTGCTTTTTTTCTCTTTCAACTAGGCAAGAAGGGTGTTAAGCTGGTTTTTCTCTCTGTGAATTAAGAAGTATTCATAGGTGGTATGTTTTAAAAGATGAGTTAAAATGAATAATGGCAGTAACTGAATAAAGCACAAATCCATGTGTTCATATTAGTTACAAATAAACCAACAAGAAGGGAAAGCTCTCCCTAAGAGCAGAATGTCAACCGGTAAATATGAAATGAACGATATAGTTAGAAATGACCATTTTTCAGCCATCATAATAATAATTGATTCAGGCAAAAATTATCAATAGACGTTAAAATTATTGGTTGAAAGATTGGTGAGGCAGGATATTCACACCGTCTCATAGTACCTCCTCACTGGGGAAAAATGGACATCATTTTAAGGAAGTGACCAAATTTAACATCACCAATAACGGGACAACTTGATATCATCCCCCCCACCCCCGGTGTACTGCAATAAGAGGGCACAATATCATTTAAGTAGTATT
This sequence comes from Homo sapiens, assembly GCF_000001405.40. Taxonomy (NCBI): domain Eukaryota; kingdom Metazoa; phylum Chordata; class Mammalia; order Primates; family Hominidae; genus Homo; species Homo sapiens. The sequence goes on along the minus strand of NC_000023.11, from coordinate 29,935,125 downwards.
ATAGCCAGAAACACATAAACATCCAAAAAAAATAAGGAAATGTCCAGCCAATCCAAACTGAGGGACAACTATAAAAAATAAAACCATCTAGCTTCTACTCTTCGAAATGTCAGTGTTATCAAAGACGAAGAAAAGCTGAGGAACCATACCAGATTAAAGGAGACTAAAGAGAATTGGCAGTTAAATGCAGTGCATTATCCTAGATGGTAAATATGGTGTAAAGGGTATGTACTGGGACAATTTTTGAAATTTGAATATAGACTATATCATAGGCAATGGCATTTTGTAATTTTGAATTTTCCTGAATTTGATAAATGTATCCTGGTTACATAAAAAATTCTTGTTTTTAGGGGATTCACATTGAAGAATTTAGTTTCAGTGTCTGCAATGTGCTCTCATGGGGTTTAGCAATGATATGTTGTGTGTGTGTGTGTATATGTAGTGCAGCTCTTTTTACCTACCTATATGTAGGAAGAGAGATAAGGTAAATGTGGCAAATCTATTAATTGGTAAATCTAGGTGGAGAAGATATATGAAAATTTATTGCACTGTTCTTGTAATTTTCTATAATATCTGCAGTTTTTGTATTCCAAAATAGAAAGTTAAAAAATAAAAGGTCAAATTGTAAGATAATAATTGCAAGTGTTATTGTAATTAGAGTGTACTTCAGGTTGATTACCTTTGTATTAAAATTCTGTTATTTACAGCTATTGTACACGAATCTGCACAAAGCCTTCAATTTCATCTTCCCAGATCATGTCTTCACCCTGGAATTTTCTGCAGGATCTCTTAGCTGATTTACATTGCCCATGGAACAAAGTCTAAACCCCTTATGTGGGCATTTAAGTTTCTTTATTCCTTTAATTGAAGCAGCTAACTAACCTTTAGCCATAATCATCCTTCTAATGTAAATTAAATTTGACATGAGTTTTTTGTTCCAAACCAGAAGTTCTTCATTTACCAAAACCCAACCAGTCCTTCAAGGAAAGGTTAGGATCTTGCACTTCCAATATAACTTTTCCAACTAAACGTGATTTTTTTCCTCTTTAGAACATGTATTTCCTGTTCCTTTTTTTTTTCATTTACCATATTGAATTATATCAGAGTTAGTTTTGTTTATTGTTTTACATTGTAAGCAATGACTTTATCTTAGGACCTTTGCTCTGGCTTCCCTCTGACTAGAGAGTATTTCCCCTAGATTTCTACATGCCTCTCTCTTTGCTTCTTCAAGTCTCTGCTCATACGGCACCTTCTCAATTGGATACACTGACCACTCGTTCCAAGTCACAAACCTGTGGCTGCATTTTGCATCTACTTGTCTTTATTTTTTATAGTATTCATCACTATATAACATAATATTTCATTTGCTTATCAATAAATGTATTATTGTTTATTATTTGTCTTCCACTGGGATTTAAATTCCATCAGGACAAGTTTTTTGTCTTCTCTCTCTTTTTTTTTTTTTTTTGTCTATTTTGTCTATATCTTTCACTACTTATCCCAAATACCTTGCTAACTATCTGACACATTAAAGATATTCAGTGAAAATGAATGACTGATTAGATGATTAAGAACAAACCCAATTTTGAATAAAAAGCTAGGTTTTATGTGTTTCTATTCTAAAATTCCAAGAATATGTCTGTGTATCTAGTCAATGTATCCTAAGGTTCAAGCAACTGATAAGGTATAATTATAGCATTAATATTCAGTCCATTAAGTTAGGAATAAACTTTTAATATATAGAAAAATGATCAACTTCATAGTATAGATTTAAAAATTATTGTTCCATTTTCTTTTATTATAAGTTCTGGGGTACATGTGCAGAACGCGCAGGTTTGTTACATAGGTATACACGTGGCATGGTGGTTTGCTGCACCCATCAACCTGTCATCTACATGAGGTATTTCTCCTAATGCTATCCCTCCCCTAGGCCCCCACCCTGAGACAGGCCCCGGTGTGTGATGTTCCCCTCCCTGTGTCCCTGTGTTCTCATTGTTCTACTCCCACTTATGAGTGAGAACATGTGGTGTTTGGTTTCTGTTCTTTTTTTCATTCACAAAGCTAATGACAATACAGTCTTGTATAGACTTACAGAACTAAGAATGTTTGTATTCACTTGACATTTGGAAATCAATCATGTACTGCTTCACATCTTTGATACTGCTATTCAAATTTTCTTACTAATACATACATTTTCTATTTGTTTTATAAGTGCCTTCTCTGTACCAGGTACAGTGCTTTTGAGTTCTAGTGATAAAGTGAAAGTGATGGATGAAATATGTTTTTGCGTTAAAGGTGCTCATGTCTAGTTTCAGAGTCAGACATGTAAGCAGATAATAATAAATAATAATAATAAGAGCTGATATTTATTGAGCACTTAAGTGTCACTGTGCTAGACCCCTTTTATATAAGAAATGCTACATTATAAGTATCACAATTATAAGCCAGATGAGAAATTCAGTTGGGGTATTTGTATGTGTGTGTGTTTCTGTAGGAGTATTTTAGAGACAGGGGTCAGACACAGAATGACACAATGCAAAGGTAGCTGCAAAGGATTTTGGCAAGTAGTTTGGTCTGGAGCACTGGGAAAATGAATGTGTGATGTGATAGGTGAAGGTAGGCAAACTCATGCTTTGATTTCTCAGCTAGAATATGTTATCTTTTTTTATTTTCAAAGCAAATAGCATGTACCTTTTCAATAAATATTTGTTTGCGGATTCATGGAACCCATTAAACCAGGTTTCGCAAAGTTAGGTCAGTACAATAGGACAATGATTCTCCCTTGGGAAAAATTGCCATATATTTTCAAAATGTATACTGTGAAGTTACTAACACAGACAGAGCTTTATTGCAGAAAACCTTTCCCCTTTAGATTATAAAGGCAGTGTTTGAAATATTTCTATCTAAAGACTATAATGTGAGATGTACACAGACCATTATGTGTGTTTGCACACACATACAGGTACAAAGTATTCAGATGGGGCTTCCTTTATCTCAGATCTCATAAGATTAAGTATGATGGGGAGAAGACAGACAAAGAAGGAAGATACTGTTATAATAACAAACAAAAAGGGCCTCAGGTGACCAGCTTAGAAGACAGGGCTATTGTATATCAAGGTGTCAAACTTCACTGATGCCTAAAAGAAAATACCTTAGAAAAGTATTGCTTTCCCTCTACTAGGAATTTCCTTCTTAACATGTCATACAAACAGACAGGCACAGATGGAATGTTACAAAACATCTCTTGAGAGAAAACTGTCAGAGTGAAGGTGGCATTGCCATTTTACTCCTTGTTAAGGGATGTGATGTTTATCCTGAAAGCAATTTTCCTCAAGAGGGTATATTGTCATAGTTAGAACAATTTGGTCTTCCATTGGGAATGCTTTGGATTGGCCAAAGAACCCAGAACATCTGGACTGCCTAGATAACCAATAGAAGAAGCCATGTTTTCTACAGAAATATTGAACTCTTCTAAACAAATATAGTATGATGATTTATAGTATATTTAATTGATGGAACTACATTTAGAAAATATTGTACACACATATAAACTGATTGTATTGCAATATACAAATGGGATACATTAATAAACTTCAGAATTTTATGTTATTATTTTAATATTGTTTCTTTAGGGGTTTAATGGATTTCTGACTTACTGAAAGCATTAGAAGAAAATGTGTGTGGCAAAATTTGTTGGTAATAGTTTATCTCTTGAGACAAGTTTCATGCAAAATCTTGGTGATTCCAGAGTTACAAAGCATTAAAGCAAAAATCATATGTTGGTTCATTTCCCCCAGTGGGAATAACAGAAAAATATATTTATTCTCTATGTTGAATGTTTATGAACACTTCTGAATTCATAAACATGCTGAGGAAAATAGTGGTAAATTTGCCTTTCTTTCTCATTTTGTAAAGAGATGCTTTCAAGACTCTGTTAACCTTTAAAAAAAAAATCCCCCCTCCCCATTAACAATCTATGAAAAAATGAGCATGTTTTGGGAGCTACCAATAGGAGACCCTACCATTACTTGCCTCATCCAAAGGGAGCAGTAAATGGTTCCTTAAACCATGACAAACTTGAGAAGAAGTCTGTGGCTCACATAGTTTAGTGGCCTCTGTACTGGTATACATGAAGGGCTTGTCCTCAATAATGAATTATCTTTTACCAAAATAGCATAACATAGCTCTGCTTCACAAAGAATAGAGCATTACCTTATCATCCCACTGTATGTATTGATTTTCAGCATATGAAAACTAGCAGTGGCTTGAGAAAATAATGTAGAAGTAAGGTGTCCCCTAAAATGTTTTTTTATAAAATAGACAAAGTGGGAGCAAGAGTACATATTCAAGCAAATAGATTTCAATATACTTGAAAAATGTGTAAATAACTTGATTTTATAGCAGAGAGTAATGATAGGTTTCCTATAAGCATTTTCAAAAATATTCAGTAGCTATACCAAAATAGATTTATTTTCTCACTTTTCTTCTGACTCTATAAAACATGCTTTTAGTAAAGAATTTGAAAAATGCATAAGGATGATAAGAAATTAAAGATCACATGGAATCATGCCACCTCGAGGTAACCACTGTTAATACTTCACTAAATTATTTAATGCATCTCTTTCTAATGTATTAGGTTTTCATGTAGCCTTAACATAGGTAATTGATCTATGGCTTTAAATACTAGTACTACAAAATAGCTTATATTTTGCCTTTTATTCTGGACAGTTTGGAATGGAATTTGTCCAGTGTGGTTTGCAAGCTATGTTCTGCTAAGAGTTCTCTTGGTAACCACTTTAGCCTAATTATTTATTTATTTGCCTATCTGTTTATGCAACTATCATTTAAAGATGCCTGGTTCAGCAATGCAAGTCTAACAGGAATTTTTTAAACACCACTGTGGAGCTTTTCTCTTCATAAATAATAATCAGTTTTGGCAACAGTTTATGAATATTCACATAAAACGTGGAGTCAATCATCTGATTTTAGAGGAGGTAAAAATTTCAAATTTCATTTTGACTAATTGCATTGTTTTTCAGATGAAGAAACTAAACTAGTATGTGAACAGCCCACAGAAGAAAATGTATTTTAATACTGCCAACTTTTATGTGACTGCTGAATTGCCAGTGGTAGCAGTCTACCGAAGAAGCCTAACTAAATAGAATTTTATTGCGGTATCTTTAATGTATTTCTTTAAGTTGCTTTCAACATTAAGGTATTTAAATGTTACAGACATATTTGTTTGGGGAGAATTAGAAATGGACCCAAGCAGTTGTGAGTCATTACCTTGAAATTGTGAGGTGGTATAAATAAATTTTTAAGTCAAATTCATTTTACATCACATACAGAGTAGAATTATAATTCTAAGCTGATTTAAGTCAGGTAATTTATATTTAATACTTTCAGGCTTTGAAAATGGCCTCTTCCACTTTAGTTTGCATGAATTTGGCAACCATTGTAAGTCGGTACTTTGAACTGCAGTTGCATGTCGTAAGGAATTGTAATTTCTACTTTGCAGTTACAGAAACTTGCCATCTAAAGATCTGAGTCAACTTTTCAAACACTTAAGGCATAAGAAAATCCCTAGGAAGAGCAACCACCATATCTCACTTTCAAAATTGGCAAAATTGAGGCACAATGTGTAAAAACTCAGAGAATCTGTAAAATCTGACAAATGGTCTAATGTATATTATTAGTCACCCAGTATCATATATGCTCTTTCAAGATTCCCACAGTGCGGCTAGGGGCAATTAGTTTACAAATGATAAAACTGAAGAACAATGACACAAAGAGATTGGCTCTAGGTCACACAAAGCTAAAGAGTCAAAAGCAAAATACTCTCAGGTAACTGTCCATTTTTTTTTATCACAGTTCAGAATTTCTCACTTTTTAGTCAATTCTCATTCATATCAAATTTCGCTTAATGGTAACAATTTTGAGGTGGTTTTAAAAATGACCTTTGTGTGCTTTCCTAAATGTACTACTGGATTTTCTTTTTGAATTAAAAATAAATTCTATTTTTATAGCATTTTAATATCCACTTTTAATTTATCCAAATTGGCCTCCCAATTTATTATTTTTCATAGAACACATGCTAAAAATAGAACACATGCCCTAAAATTAGATACAAAAAGATAATATATTTCCCACAGATGGCAAATGTAATTCTCAACACTAAAATCTATACAAGTTACCATGGTAATTTACTGGAAATCAACACGTTTTCTCCCTACTATATGACCCGAGATAGTAGTTAGCATTTTTGTATGCGTCATGTCTAATTTCTCACTTTACTGACCTGGTTGTCAAAAGTTCAACGTACAGGAACTACTTATTAAAAGTTATACCTTGCATTTTATGACCCAGTTGTGCCATTTCTCTACCAAATGCAGGAATTTGCAGCCATAAAAATGCACAGCTATCTCCCTCTTCCCAAAAATGCTGTTTTAATGCTCCAGGATGGTGGTAGATATCCTTCTGGCAGCGGTCAGTCAGTCCACTAGTAAGGATGCCTAACCCAGTGCTTTGCCCATAGCTGGCACTCAATACATATTTGTTGAATTAGAATGATTTGTCGCTTTTTCAAACAACAGCATTATATGAATTATCTCTTTTAAGCAGCCTGCAGTGAAGTGAGATTTGTAGTGGGATTATGAAGTATTGTCAATCAACAGGTTGTTTTGACCCAGAAATAATGAAAATATGAAGGTGGTTCTGAGAAGGAGGAGTGAGGGGTTGGTTGTTGGTAGGTGGTGGCTAGGAATATACTATCTTGTTTGGAATCTCTGATTACACAAGTGGAATTTTGCTGTGTGCTAGATAATTTCTGTGGGCTTCCTGCAAATGTTTTAAACTTAATTATTTTTTCTACACTGCCTGTTTATCATTTTCTAATACATCGATATGAGTTCCAGTGGATTCCTTCTGCCCTCACTTGAGTAGACTGCTGCCACTGGCAGCTCAGTGGTCACATAAAAATTGGCAGTATTCAAATACATTGTGTACTGTTGACTATACACACACTAGTTTAGTTGCTTCAGCTGTAAAAATACTTGTGTTTTATAGCCTCTGTTAGATGCTAGACAGATGCCTTTTAAAATGAATTAAACTTTTGAACTCGGAGAGATGGTTTTAACCAGTCTGTGTTGCTATGGTCTATGGTCTTTCCTTCTTTCCTCTCCTTCCTTCCCTCCCTTCCCTTCTCTTCCCTTCTCTCCCTCCCTCCCTCCCTCCCTCCTGCTTTTGAAGCATATCATTGACCAATAATATGTGGCAGTTCAATTTCCATACCATTTCCATCCTTTCTTACCACACTTAATTGAGAGTTAGCTGAATACAAGTAAGTGTTCAAAACAGAAAATCAGCAGTATTTCGTGTTCACCATACATCGTGTTCCTCCATATGTTATTTGCATAGGCTGAGATTCAACCTATTTGCATAGGCTAAAACATATGTGTATATCCATATATATGTCGTTGAGACATTCCTAAGTTTATTTCCTTTTTAAAAAATGAGATAAATAGGAAATGGGTCCAACAGTGAGGGCCCTCTTCATTTAAGAGGTTAATTATTTGAATACTTGAAGAAAATGCCCTGTCAGACATCTCTCTGAGTAGCAAGTATGTTATATAGCACAATTCATTGAATAGGTGAAACAAGTAACCTCATTAAGAGTAGAGTGTGAGGGCAATGAACCACTGTTCAAATAGGTTCAAAGGTGTTGACCATGTAAAAAGAATGAGGCAATTAATTAAAAACAGTCCTACTGACTGGCTCTACTCAGCTTTGGTTCCTTTCTCATGGAGACAGTGAGCTCAAGATAACTAGTTTCTCTTTACCTATTAGAGGCTACCAAGCTAATTAGAAAGATCTATTGTCTAGGCAAGGGCTTTGGTATGCCAGCTGCGGTCCACAGACCAATAGTGGCAACACCAATAAGGAACTCGATTGAAATTGGAATCTTGAGTCCTACCCCAGGCTAATGAATTGCTTTTTAACAAAGTTCCCAGGTGATTTGTGCATACTGTAAAGTTTGTGAAGCACTGGTCTAGGGGCTTTTAGCTGACTCTCTAAGCATGGAAATAGAAGAAACCTAACTTTTGTCAATTCCTATGGTGTAAGAACAGCCATTCTGTTGACCTTCTAGTCACATTTGGTATAATCTTGGAAGGTTTTCAAGATTAAAATACTTGTCCTTCTATTTTGAATTTCCCTACATTGAGCAGCTTAAGTGTTGAAATCATTTCCAGGAAGACTGAGTTTTTTATATCTATACTGTAGAGCAGTGCTTGTCACCAGGAGCAATTTTGACCCCTGGGGACATCTGGCAATGTCTGGAGACATTTCTGATTTTCATAACTGAGGAAGGTTGTATTGACATGTAGTGGGCAGAGGCTAGGAGTACTGCTAAACGGTCTACAATGCACAGGACAGCCCCCACAACGACAAAGAATTATCAAGCCCAAAATGTCAGTAGTGACAAGATTGAGAAATCCTGCTATAGACAAAGTTTAGATCACTCAGAATACACTTAATCAGCCCATTCATCACATTTACTAAGTGGGTTTGGTACTTTGAAGCATGTAAGAGAGAAATACTAGTTAAAGATCTGTATCAAGAATTGAACATTTAGTTAAGAAAACAAGTGTAAAACTCAATAAAGCAAAAAAGGACTTCCAGTGACTATAACCATGTATAATTAAATATTTAAGAGCTTTGGCCCACATGAATGATCAACAGGCATGATTAAAGACTAAAGAGTTTATTATTCTTGGCCCTCGACATTGGTTTTGTCCAGGATCACCCTCTTGTCATTTATTAATTGAGAAAAAAGTTAATCATCAGCAGACAATGGTCCTTTTCTTTTCTAACAATGATGCTACTTGGTTATTCTCATTCATAGAGAAGAAAACTGTGTGACCAAAATGGCTAAGAGGCCAAACAATGTTACATGACATACTTCCATATTAAAACTGATTAGCAAAAACTAGGATCAAAAGGCCTTCAACAGAATTGCTTGAACTCAGGAGGTGGAGGTTGCAGTGAGCTGAGATCACACCACTGCACTCCAGCCTGTGCGATAGAGCGAGACTCCGTCTCAAAAAAAAAAAAAAGCCTTCAAAACATTTCACGGTTGAGGCAAAAAAATAACTAACTTGGGATTAATCTCATTTAAATAATATATTCTAAGTCTAAGGAAATAGCTCAAGTGGTTAATAGTCATGTCTGCAACTTTGGTGGCAATCAATAGCCTTGTTGGAATATCCGTATCAAGAAGCACACAGGGAGTTGGGCACAGTGGCTCATGCCTGTAATCCCACCACTTTGGGAGACTGAGACAGGAGGATCGCTTAAGCCGAGGAGTTCAAGACCAGCCTGGGAAACATAGGGAGACCCTGTCTCTACAATTTTTTTTTTTTAAATAGCCAGGTGTAGTGGCATGCACCTGTAGTCCTAGCCACAAGGGAGGCTGAGGCCAGAGGATTGCTTGAACCCAGGAATTCGAGGTTGCGGTGAGCCATGATTACACCACTGCACTCTAGCCTGGGCAACAGAATGAGGCCTTGTCTGTAAAAATAAACATAAATAATAAAAGAAGTGCAGAGGTACAAAATCATTAGTATTGGATAATTTGTGCTATTAGACGTCTTATACAAATGAGCAGAGAAGCCCCCCCCAGCAAAAAAAAAAAAAAAAAAAAAAAAAAAAAAAAACAGTTACGGGACAGAAGAAAATTTTGACTATAAAATGTCAAATCTTATCCAAGGAGAGAATTTGTTAAACTTGTTGACTTTTATTTGGAGATGCTGCAGCAACATTACTAAAATTCCTTAATATTTTGGCACTGCATAAGCTAAGACTCAGTAAAAGTATCCATTTCATTGACATTAGCTCAGCTTTTAATGGGTCATTGTCTTTCTAGGGAAATGCTGCCATAAAGAGAGGTAGGAGGTTTTGATTTCTGAACGAAGTTTGGCTTTAACATATTCTGAAATCAATGGTCAAAGACGTCAAATGGCCAGCCCCAAAAGAAGTTTGCACCGTTTTATGACCTTACTGTAACTCTCAGTAAATAAATTCACTAGGCAAATACTAACAAGGATGGGGCACATATTACAAGGATGATTCGTTACAAGAAGGGTTAAAGGAGTCCACTGGGTTTAAATTCATCTGGCTTTAAAACAATGCATCCTAAATGATGTGCACTTAATTACATTACTAAAGATACTTTTAGGTCTAGGGAGTTTATTGAGCAGGTCTAATTTCTATCGATTACATTCTTTGAAGGGATAAAGAGAGTGCACACAAGAAGTAAAATGGGTTAGATGGGAAATAAAGAAAACCTAGATGTTTATCATTATTAACTAGTGCTGAGTCTCTCAGATAGATACTTTGCCAGTTCCCAAACTAAATTTTGATTAATGAATTGCCATATTTTTGTAATCCATATAAGGAAACATAACCCTTCAGAGTAAGATTGCTAATGAACATCCCCAATGTGACAGTTTCAAAGTGAAACATTCACTAGGAAGCACAATCATACATTAGGAATGTTTAATATCACTGTAATTTAAAAAGTAGTGGATGGCATTCCAAATTATATTAGTCCTTATTTCCTGTTCATTTAATTTTAATTTTCATGCCTGTAACTTTGGCCAGCACAAATGCCAGGCACATAGTAGGTTCTTAGTCATCATTAAATGCATGAATAAATAAACAAAATTATCCTTTAGGACAGTACATTCAAACCACAGTATATCTATTATAAAGTCAAATTCAGAATTGACAGAACAAAATTGCTGGAGCTAAAGCTGATGATTTTAATGAAAGATGAATTAGAATTCAGGGAATTTTTAATGGAACACACAATTGCTGCATCCTTCATTAGCCAGAGTATCACATAGTTAGAGCAAGGAAATCTTGTAATAGCTTAACATTTTTTGGGTGCTAAGTATGTGTCAGACACTGTGATAAGTATTTACACATACGAGTTCATTGAATCCTCACAGCTGCTCTATGTGAGAGGTCTTATTATTATTCCCATTTTATAGAAGAGAAATTTGAGGCTCAAAGTGATTAAGTAATTTGCCCCAGATAGCACAGCTAGTAAGAACAGAGTTGGGTTTTGAACACAGCCAGCCCTACTCCTAAGTCCATGCTCTTAACCATTAAGATAATAAACATGTCTACACTGTGAGGTCATTCAAAATGAGAGTATAGACAGAAGGCACAGAGAGTGAAGAAGGAATCTGAGACAGCTTGATGGGTACAAGAGTGTCTAGGCCTGAGGTCAGAGCACAATACTTCTAGGTATCTACCTGGACTATTGTTTGTGTCAGAGAAATGGAAAATGTAAAAAATGGAGAGAATAGGACAGATCAGAGCTTTGGAGGAGAACTGAAGGTCAGTGTTCAGTGTGTGTTGGACAGGCAGTAGCAAGTGTATCTGGGTAAAAGATTCAAAGACTCAGATGTGGAATTCAATCAAGTATGAGCAATAACAAGAACAAGAAGTAACCCAATATCTAATTTGTCAGCGCTTTACTTTGATTATTATTTTTGAAGCCAGGATCTAATGCTCAAGCTTGCCAGGCCAGAGTCTGGCAAAGAGGATTGAATAGAAGCTTCTGGCAGGAGTGAAGAGTAAGGAGCAGGGCAGTCATAAACCAATATGGCCCATGGGCCTTGCCGTTTCATTCTCTGTCTTTCTCTTGCTGCATATTCTAGTGCTCTGTATAGTAAGTGAAATATATCTATATTGCATGTCTGATGAGATTCTGATGAACCTAATACCTTTTCTGGCTGCAGGAATTGGCAACTTTGGATATTCTCGAGCAAGATTTTTCTATGGTCAAATTTCTTGGTAGATTTTCTGCAGGCTTTCATGGAATTATGATTCTTTTACGCAGATAAAAGGCTGACCCAGAACATAGCCTAGCTCAAATGTAGCTGAATTATTTATTATAGTATCCCCTTGGCATTAAGGAAGACACATTTGATACAAGGAAGCAATGTTTCAAAGAATCCATACCACCCATTGGAGGGCTCTGAAATCATTTTATTATGTCAATGATAATGAACAAAAGGTAACAGTGAAGGAAAAATTGCTTAGATAATTTTGGCAAAGGAATGTCCTGGAAGGTTTACCTGTCAGAAGCAATGACAGCTTGTGGTATACAAGATCAGTATTCAACAAATGTTTGAACATGTCTCTCTAGGGAGGTTTTAAAAGGGAAGACTGTGAAGGCTTATAAGTTAAGGAATTTATGAGTAAGTGGCAGAAAAATACAATTAATAGTGAAAGCTTCCAGTTCCTTATCTAAGCCTTAGTATTCTGAGTAATATAGCAACTCACCTGATAATTACATAATTGTTAGCATGACAGACATTTGACTTTTTAGAGACTCAATGATCAAAGACCCAAACCTATAATTTCATATATGCTGTGTGCTGTTCTCCTGAACCTTGCAGGGCTGGTAAAGTTCAGGTCATGTCATATGTGAACGAAAGTCCTTTTTATCCCCCCAAGATGGGTGGGATAGATCATTCCATATAATCATGAGTCCCTCAAGAGCAGGAAATTGCATCCATTGGTGTCTTTGTGAATTGATGACTCATTTGCTGCAGCTCCCTTAAAAGGAAGGCATACATTCACTTTAAGAGGGACTTTTGGAGTACATGTCTTGGAAGGACCTTTTTTTGGCTTGTTAATGCTTTTATTTATCAAGAATAAAATGCCGTTGGTATAAACGCATATTTGAAAAACATACTAAAAGACTTAAGTACTGAAGAATACTCTAACATTGACCACATTTTTTTCATGTTTAGGAAATCAAATATTACTGGAAAAAATTTCAAATAATTTTCTTCATTCTTCATTTATTTTTCTAGAAATGGAAGGTTTCATAGCTTTGGGCAACTTAGCCTGGAGGTTTTTTGACCCCTTCTTGGCTGTGTGCCTCTCTGTAAAAACAGAGCTTTAATAGCTTTATCCTTAGATATAATTCATTTTCCTCCCCTTCTCCTTTGATTCCTACTTAACTGTCACCCCTCCCTTGTCCCCCCCCAAAATATGTTGTTCAAGTCAACACATTTTTATGTGCCCTATATCTTCTCTCCCCTAACTCCATTTTTGAGGACTAATTCAAACTCTTTAATTAAAGCAGATTCAAGAGAGTGACCAGAATGGTAAAAGTATTTCGCTAATACAAATGAAGAATGAGTAAAAGAAGCTAAAGAGGCTGAATCTAGTGAAGTAAAGGTTCAGAGACTCATGGTGACTGTCATCAAACACTTGAAGGGCTGTCTTGGGGAAGAGTGATTAAAAGTACAGAACTAGGGCCAATGGATAGACAGTGAAAGTGAAATGCTTTCTAACGGATTTTTCCAAAGATAAAATGGACTTCCTTGAGAAGGGAATGTGATCCAGTATAAGCTGATAGATCACTTCAGAAGATGTTATGGCAGGATAAGAAGTTCAATTACACAACACTTAAGTTGCTTTTAACTATGAGAAGCTACTTCTGTCCTTGTATATGTATGATATTTCTACTAAAATCTCTTCCTTGATTGGCTATATACTAAACTATAGAAAGATACAATCATATTGTTAGCTGCTGCATACCTTTCTCCTTGACTCACATCCCTAAAAGGTAGACTATTTTAGTACCATAGTCACCTTGACAACAGAGGTGTCTATTTTAACAGCATTCAGTAATATTATTCAAAGGGAATCTATTGCCCAATAAAGAAGGGGGAACAGCCTTCAATGTTCTCTTTCTTTTCAAACCTCAAAGAGTCTAGGATTAAACACGGGCTTTGAAATTAAAATCGTTGTAAATTTGCTGAGTAAGAGAACATCAAGTGTGCTTGTTCCAAAGAGTAGAAAGTTTTAACTTAGCATAATGTAGAAAAATTATTTTTCTCTTGTAATATACACAAACAATTTTACTAACAGGAATGGCTCACATTTTACAGTTGTCACTTATTTCAAACAATTCAATATACATTTAAATGCACTTAACCCTATGCAAAAGGTGATGGGGTGCTGTAGAGGCAGAGTTAGCACAACAGACATTGCACTTAACCACAGCTTATCTTACTTAAAAATGCATTATTATTCATCATTGGAGACTATTGTACAAATGAAAGTTATCCAAGGCAGAAACAATATGTCAAAAAATACTGCAGTGGGGAATTCACCAGACAGTTCTTACACTAAAGGAGCAATCTTCCAGTAAGAAATACAATCTTTGACTTAAAACCATTTAGTTGTTTTTTTTTTTTCTCTTTTCTTTCTTTTCTTTTCTTTTTTTTTTTTTTTTTTTTTTTTGAGACAGGGTCTCACTCTGTCACCCAGGCTGGAGTGCAATGGCGCAATCTCGCCTAACCGCAACCTCCACCTCCCAGGCTCAAGTGATTCTCCTGCCTCAGCCTCTCAAATAGCTGGGATTACAGACTTGCACCACTACCGCCAGCTAATTTTTGTATTTTTAGTAGAGACAGGGTTTCACAATGTTGGCCAGGCTGGTCTTGAACTCCTGACCTCAAGTGATCCACCTGCCTTGGCCTCCCACAGTGCTGGGATTACAGGTGTGAGCCACTGCACCCGGCCCCTAATATCTATTTCTAATAATAATAAATAGCATTTAACGACTTTCCTTGTATAGGCTCTGTCAAGCCCTTCACATTTTTTTGTCTTATTTTATTCTGACAACATACTGAAGGGTTGATACTATTATTTTCCCCATTCTATTTATCAGATAACTAAAGCTTAGGGAAGTTAAATGTTTTGCCCAAAGTTACACAGTTGGTATTAAAGAAAAGCAAGGATTTCAAATTTGATTTTAGAGACTGAGTTACTCACCCATCTACTGTGCTGTTTGCCTCGGTGGCTCTAATGCAAATATGATTATTTTATTTAGGAGAACTTTGTGGAGAAAAACAAAACTAAATTTGTTTCTTGGTTCCCAATGATTTTTTCTCCCATCATACATTCAGTTGACCACCGAAGCTTAGAAGGTTACACTCACCTCGTTTATGAAGGAGAACGCTGGCGTGTCGACGTCCATTTCCATTTTCAACATAACAGGAGTAATTTCCCAAGTCACCTTCTTCCACAGAGTCCACAATTAATGAGATGGAAACTTCCTGTTCCCCAAGATGCTCCTTAAGAATTCTAAAATGTAAAGCAACAAAACAAAAATCCACACAAACAGACACATACACAAACAAGAAAGAAATGTAGATGAATCCGAATCTGATGTAAAACTACCTACAAAATCTGTGCTTCTAATTTGGCTATGAATTGATGCTGTGTTAATTAAGTTATGCCCTTTTCTTCTTCACTTGTAATGAGGAAGCTTGTCTTTGTAGATGCTAATGAAGTTGCAGTTAATTATCTCCCTTAGCAGGACAATCACACTGTCATAATAAAGAGGTGAGAAAGACCTTGAAGAAAAAGTTTACAAATTGCTTTCCCTTTAAGAAGAAATATTATGTAAGTTGAGATAAAAATTCTAATGTCTCAGGCTGAAGGCCTAATTACATGTCAGGTTAATTTTTTAAAAAAGAAAAGAAAATTTCTGAGCTATTTTGACATTTCAGTTGAAATGTTCAGTCTGACTTTTGTTAATGATACTAACAAATTGCCTGTTTTTGAAGGAACGTGAAACTATAAACCTGTAGACTAAAAGTTCTGGTGAAGTATTTAACTCTGACATTAAAATTAATGGTAAATGCTCACTAACCTCGTTGTCATCTCTGTTCAACATTTTTAAATGCAGAATTAAACTACCTTTCTAGAAACTTCCCTGAACACACACAAAGCCAGAGGGGGTAAAAGTTAGGAGGTTAATTGTCCTTCATTTATTTTAGCATTTCATAGACCATGGGTAAAAGATAAGAGTGAAGTTTTAAATACGAAAATCAGCAGAAAAATGTTTTAGTACATATTAGACAATTGTCCATCTAGCCTTCTGGAATCCCACTGGGGCATTCTAGAGTACAATATTCTTATGTATTTGTTGCCAGAAAGAAGGTCCCAATAGAAAATGTGTTATTTTTCTATTGAAAATCATTTTCTTTTTTACCTTTGATAAAGTTTTAAAAGTCTTGACATTTAGAATGGGGGACCATGATTAAAATGTTTGTATATACCCAGAAGATGCAATCTTTAGATGGGAGTATGTTTAGAAGTAATCATCATTTTGATGTGGTTGTAACTTACTTATTATTATTAACGTTCTTGCATATTTACATTATGAATAAAAATAAGTATCTATGCCAAAGCATAATTACAGCTAGCATTGAATGAATTATAATTGATACTTAAATGAATAAATAAGTAAACACATTGAACAAAAAAGGGGCTTAGGCATTATGCCTTCAAATATTTTCATGTTATCATTCCCACTATACAAATATTTCGACCTTAAAGTCAGACTAAGAAAGGCGATAAACACATTTTGTGTATCCTTATCACTACCATCAAAAGCTTATATTCCACTTGGTGGCTCAAATATGTAAAAATACGTAGCAGGAAATGACAGAGATTGTGTTTGCTTGAGTCCCTGTACCTTGTTAATGTTTCCTGTGAAAATTTTTTTTTTTTTTTTTTTTTGAGACAGAGTTTCGCTCTTGTTGCCCAGGCTGCAGTGCAATGGTGCGATCTCGGCTCACTGCAACCTCCACCTCCCAGGTTCAGGTGATTCTCCTGCCTCAGCCTCCCGAGTAGCTGGGACTACAGGCGCCCACCACCATGCCCGGCTAATTTTGTATTTTCAGTAGAGACGGGGTTCACCATGTTGGCCAGGCTGGTCTCAAACTCTTGACCTCAGGTGATCCGCCCACCTCGGCCTCCCAAAGAACATTTTTTTTTTTTTTTTTTAAAAAAAAGGTCTCATATACAAAAAGTACACTAACATTTTCTATATTTTATGGTATTTTGATCTCACTATATATATATATATATATATATATATTTTTTTTTTTTTTTTTTTTTTGGAGACAGAGTCTCACTCTGTTGTTCAGGCTGGAGTGCAGTGGCAGAATCTTGGCTCACTGCAGCCTCTGCCTCCCAGGTTCAAGTGATTCTCATGCCTCAGCCTCCCGAGTAGCCCGGACAATAGGCACGCACCACCATGCCTGGCTAATTTTTGTATTTTTAGTAGAGACAACGTTTCTCCATGTTGGCCAAGCTAGTCTCAAACTCTTGGCCTCAAGCAATCCGCCCAATCTGACCTCCCAAAGTGCTGGGATTACAGGCGAGAGCCACCACCCCCAGCCGCACTCAGTATGTGGCTTAATGAACAATCTTCGTTATTTTTCTTAAATTCTTTGCAAATGGCATTCATGTTTTGCAATTCCATAGTAAGTCTGTTAACAGTGTTTTGCTTCTTTATCATTAAATATTGTAGTATTTTTATTATGATACTAGTAAAACAAAAAAAAATCCTTTCAGCTTACTTTCTATTCACTAATGGAGTAAATGTTAATCTTGACTATACAGGTTAAAAGGAAAAAAAATTACCTAATGTCACTTTCCCAAACTCGATTTTCATCCAGATCTTCAATAAATTTTTCTCCTTTCATCCAGTAAATTAAAGGACTGACATCTCCGCTGTACCCAAAGAAAGCTCTGCAGGTTAGATTAGCAGAGTCACCTGCAGAGAGAAGTGATGGAAAAGTGTTATAAAACTATTTGTTCACACTTATTTTAGGCAAACTGACAGGTAACATTTTGATCACTTTTCATTGATTTAATAAAATATCTTTCTAAAAGAATAATTTTTCAGGGATTTTCAATCTTTGTCAAATTGATAGAATGTGTGCTTTCGACAACATGGCTTGTTTAATGGAATGTGAGTTACTTGTAAAATTTCCAAGAGGACTGGTCGGCTATTGTACAGAACATTTTTCCCGTTCGGTTTGCCTGATGTTTTCTCATGATTAGATTGAGGTCATGAATGATTGCGAAGGATACCACAGAGGTGATATGCCCTTCTCGAAGCATGATATCAAAGGGTACATAACGTTGCTGATTATAAGATTTTATAGGGCAGATAGAAGGTGTTTCTCAGTCTCGAATGTGGGAGATAGAAAATCTTTGGCTGCAAAGAAAAAGGAACCATAAACGCAAGATCCTAAGAGAATGCTATTAAAATATTTTTAATTCATAGAGAATAACATTCGAATTAAAGAAGCTAACACATAGGTAGAAAAACACATTAAAAAACAAAAATCGTGACAATAAATATTTGGGATTTTCATCACAGATAAAATCAGTTATACTACTGTAAAGATTAGCTTATTTCAATACGCTACTTAGAATGTTTTAGTGGTGAATACAGATTGGTCAGTTATTTAATAAGGTAAATTGAAGTCTCTTTCTAAAAGGTGGAAGTAAATTTAATGCCCGTAGAAAGTAAAGTTTATTTCTGGATATTTCATGCCACTTTACAAGCACCTGGTTTACTCAAGCTTCAGTCAGCATTACAGAACTGACATATTCCAGTAGATACTAGTTTTAAGATCTTGCTACCGCTAAATGGAACCAGAAATTGAGGGATAAGATGGGGTCTTGTAAGTCTGGATTGGGGCAAAGGAACTCTCAGGGATGGGCACCACGTGAGGGGCTGAAAATGAAAAAGCAACACCTTTGCTGGCATTTGAAGTAAGCAAACTCTCAATTTGTGGTAGCCATAGATACTTAAGAATATTACCAGTCCCACCAACAGTGTAAAAGTGTTCCTATTTCTCCACATCCTCTCCAGCACCTGTTGTTTCCTTTGTGGAAGTCAGTGTGGCGATTCCTCAGGGATCTAGAACTAGAAATACCATTTGACCCAGCTATCCCATTACTGGGTATATACCCAAATGACTATAAATCATGCTGCTATAAAGACACATGCACACGTATGTTTATTGCGGCATTATTCACAATAGCAAAGACTTGGAACCAACCCAAATGTCCAACAATGATAGACTGGATTAAGAAAATGTGGCACATATACACCATGGAATACTATGCAGCCATAAAAAATGATGAGTTCATGTCCTTTGTAGGGACATGGATGAAACTGGAAACCATCATTCTCAGTAAACTATCGCAAGAACAAAAAACCAAACACCACATATTCTCACTCATACGTGGGAATTGAACAATGAGATCACATGGACACAGGAAGGGGAATATCACACTCTGGGGACTGTGGTGGGGTGGGGGGAGGGGGGAGGGATAGCATTGGGAGATATACCTAATGCTAGATGACGAGTTAGTGGGTGCAGCGCACCAGCATGGCACATGTATACATATGTAACTAACCTGCACAATGTGCACATGTACCCTAAAACTTAAAGTATAATAAAAATAATAAAAATAAAAATTAAATGCAAAAAAAAAAAAAAAAAAAGAATATTACCAGAGGGCCCTGAGAACTCTGCGATCCTAAGGAGCAAGGAAGGAGGTTTCTTAAGTACTGGAAGCCTCAGGGCTAAGCTATGAGTTGATAGTACGTATTTCTTGAAATTTTGCTTATGAGAGATTCTACAGCATAAACACAGAGAAAAGCAGAATGCACTTACATGTAATCTTTCTAAACTAGGGCATGAGTATCTGTAACTTAATTCTACAAGTTCCACAATGACAACATTTTTATAGGATAAAATCGTATTCTCTTATGTTCGTTGTTTAAGAATAATTCATGAAAATTATTGCTCTTCTAATATTTCTAATATGGCATGATATAGCCTTCTCTATTTTAGCTTATGTCTGCATGTTCTCCAAGAGATTCCTCACAGACTTGGATTCCTCCCCCGCCCCTAAACCCAGAGACAGAGTCTTCCTCTGTCGCCCAGGCTAAGATGCAGGGATGCGATCTTGGCTCACTGCAGCCTCTGCCTCCCGGGTTTAAGCAATTCTCCTGCTCAGCCTCTGGAGTAGCTGGGATTACAGGCACGTGCCACCACGCCCGACTAATTTATTTTTGTGTTTTTAGTAGAGACGGGGTTTCACCATGTTGGCCAGGCCGGTCTTGAACTACTGACCTCGTGATCTGCCCGCCTTGGCCTCCCAAAGTGCTAGGATTACAGGCGTGAGCCACCACGTCCAGCCGGATTTTTTATGTGATAGTCATCACTGATGACCAGATAAGGCAAGTCCAGAAAATATCTACAAACTTTTAAGAGGCAAACTGAGGCTCCAAGGAGGTTTCTTTATTATTAATCTTTGTACAGAAATATTTTAGTATAAAATTCCCTCTCCTTTAGAGAATATTTACATTACAAAATGAATAAATGTCAATTCCATTGATTGGAAATCAATTGCAGATTTCTACGGCAAGTGTCAACCAACATTACAAAACAGTTTCAAATCAAATATTCTTTGTGTTTACATTTTTATAAGAGCACTGTTTTTGTTTTTGTTTTTGTTTTTTTTTGTACCAGGACTATCTGTTATAGTGCCAAGGTAGTCACGAATTCAATAATAAGTCTCAAAATACTACCTAGTATGATGATTAACATTATATGCCAATGGAATCAAGATGTATTACAGTTTTAAAAATGTATATATTAATAATTTATACTGTCTTTTATAAGACCAAGTTTAAGTTTTTAGGTGGGACTTAATGCCTGGAACTCATAAATAGAAATCTCCAGGTGTTGCCTAATTTTCCATTACAATTTTAGTAAATATGGGACCTTAAAAATCATAAATAAGGAATCTGACATTCCTTAGCAGAGAGGCCGATTGACCTCCTCATTGGAACCTGAATTACTGTCTCACATCACCCTCCTTTCTTTCCGACATCAACTGTGAAATTCATTTTTATTCACTTTTATTTTTCATAATTTTATAATTCATTTCTTTTCTTTTACCTGCAGGCCTTGTGCTGCCACACCTAAAAAATGGCTCCTGCACCCATGTAAGAAGCAATCTGCTTTCTCAGCCATCTTGGCTCACCTGTTCTTTGACTACCCCACCCTGCCTGGGGCTCCAGTACTGAGTGTATCTACAGTGCTATGGGGACACCTAGGAGAACTCTAACCAGTCTTGAGATGGGCTTGCTGTGGGTAAGACAGTGAAATTCAAGGAAGGAATAGAAGACGGTGGAGAGAAGAATAGAAAAACACTCTGGACAGAGAGGAAAGAGCATGAGTGAGAAAAAGCCTGGGAGCTTTGGGGAAAATAAAATAGTTTTGAAGGGGCTGAAGCTAAAGTGTAGACGAGGGGCAAGTAGAGGGAAGATTAGGAGACGAATGGACCCTGATGACGCAAGAGCAGGAGCAGCGCTGTTCTATGTATGGCATGTGGAAAATGTGAGACTTCCATTTCAGGGCAATGGGAAGTTGAGGGAAGATTTCAAATAGGAGACTGACGCAATCACATCTCTATTCTAAAGAGAACAATCTTACTGTATTTTCAAACCTGAGATTGGATCAGACAGAATCAAGGATTGAGAATGTTACAATACTCTGGGATCACATAAGGAATAAGCACTGCAAAGATCAGATTATTTCCACATAATTTCTTAAAGTGATAAAGCATAGGTGGTAGCAGTAATTACAGAACACTCTGCTTTTTATCAATGTGATAATAGGGAACCTCTTAAACCAGACATTAAGTAGGAATCCTGTTAAGGCAGAAAATATATATATTTTTCTCTCTATATATATGTATATATATGTGTGTTTATATATGTATACATATATGTGTATATATGTGTGTGTGTGTATCACTGTGTCACCCACACAGAGAAAGAGATCTGGGAACTGCCAGTTGCTTCTCAATATAGGCAGAACAGAAAGTCAATTTGAGCAGTGCTTTGTTCTGTGAAGAGGCTTTTCAGTGGTTTCTCTTAATTGTACAAATTTGTGCGGCTAAGCAAAGTTACCACTTCACTTCTTATGCATTGCTCTGCTCACAGCCTAGACACTAGGAGTCCAATGGAGTCAATTCTGAGAGCAGGCCAGGTGAGGTCAAGCTCACACCTGAGTCTCTAACCAGGGGCCTTAGTGTTGTGGAGAAAAGCTGGATTCACCAGGTACTATTTATTGGGAAAAAGTAATTAATCACACCTGTGTCAGAGAGCTGTGACGTTGGAACCCAACTGTATTACCTTGTGTTTGAAAGTGGGAATGAAGGACTATTATCCTTTCCTCTGAATCTCAATAAGAACCAGGACTTGATAGAAATTCATGGAGCAGGGTGGAGCTTAGGAATAAGTGATGTATGTCCACCAAATAAGGGCAAATAAGGATTAAAAAGGATAAATAGTAGTTATGAAAGTAATAAATGATGGGACTGTGTTTGTACCTTTGGCCAATGAACTAGGATATGCCAATTACACAACAGGTTTTTAGCATCTGAATTTTGGGAGTCACCCATTCATATTCCATTTTATAGTCTCTTGATTTTATTTAAGCCTATATTCTTTGCTTTAAATTCTCATTTTCACCTAATACACGCTTCATCCATTAAATCCAATTCAAATGAAACTTCTTCCAAAATGCAGGCCTGCGCTTTCAAAAAATACTCATTTAATTTTTCTTCCTCCTTCTCTTCTCCTTTCTCCATAGACTTTGGAACATATTTCTGTTTTATCATAATATAGTCCTTTCAGTATCTGCTTTGCTCACATATCTAGCCCAGCAACTTGACTATGCATTCCCCAAAGGCAGAAATTATATCTTTATTTACCTTCGTATTACCAGGACCCATTACAGCATCTTGAATATATTAAGAACTCAATACATAATCTCAAATTAATGAATAACCTGCTTAATATCCTTTGAACTTTCATTTTACCTTGTTTCCCTTTTTTTAAAGCTTCATTAATTAAAGGCTACATGTCTACATGTCTCCACAGCCCAAATTTATCGTGTAAACTAGGCTTCACATTGTAAGTAAGTACAGAGCCTCCTCATTCAGGTATTATTTCAGTGGTATTATTCCACACCAGCTTGCAAAAGTCAGTTACCACATTTTCAGAAATTCTGTGAGCAGGCTGTTAAGCACAGTCATTGAAAATTAAATTATAGAAATACAAAAAAAATTAAAAACAAAAATAATAGATACTCAAAACTTCCAAATTATTTTGCTACATTTTACCATTCATTCACTCATCTTTTGAGATTGTTTACAGCTATAGTATCCGTATGGTGGAAATACTATACAATAGTGTACTACTGCACATCTCTTCTCAACTATATGTTTAATGACATTATGTTGGTAGCTTGAAAAAGACGATAGGGGGAGTATTTACTCCATACATTGGCAAATGCTACAAATCAGGCTATGATTTATTGTTTTGTTGACTGACTGTACTTAAAATGTGACAGGGAAAATGTTAATAATGCAGGTTAAATTAAAAGTATGTCGTGTCTATAGCTGCCATATTGGGAATAGCACAAACATCAAGAAAATATTCTCCTACTAAAATATGATTCCGCAAAGAACTCATTTACATCACTGATGAGTGAGTAAAGTTCTGATATGCACCTCCATTGTTTTATTAGCTAATGTAAACAAAAATATGAACTGTATTCTTGGCAGAACTACATTTAGAGCCAAGTGTTAAACATTTACCAGATGCTACTGTCTATAAAATTATTTTTTACATACATAGTATGCATATTTTAATAGCTTTACTGAGATACAATTCACATAGCATGAATTTGTACAATTCCATGGTTTTCTGTATATGCACAGAATTGTACAATCAGAACCACAATCAATTTTAGGACACTTTTATCACCCCAAAAAGGAACCCTGTACCAAGTGGCAGCCACTCCCCATTTTAGCCCCTAGCAACTACGAATCTACTTCTACTTTCTGTCTCTATGGACATCTGGTATAAATGTAGTCATACAATATTATTGCCTTTTATGTCTGGTTTCTTTTGCTTAGTTTAATGTTTTCAAGGTTTATTCATGTTATATAGCATGTATCAGTAATATCCCATTGTGTGAATATATCCCATATGTTGATTTTGTTTATCCATTCATCAGCTGATGAACATTTGGGTTGTTTCCACTTTTTGGCTATTGTGAATACTGCTGCTAAGTTTTTGTGTGGACATTATGTTTTCATTTTTCTTGGGTACATACCTAGGAGTGATGTTGCTAGGCCATAAGAGAATCTTATGTTTAAATATTTGAAGAAATAACAAATTGGTTTTCAAAGTGGCTGTGCCATTTTACATTCCTGCCAGCAATGTATGAGGGTTCCAGTTTCTCCACAGGCTTGTCAACACTTCTTAGCATCTGTCGCTTTGATTATAGCCATCCTAGTGAGAGTGAAGTAGGATCTCTTTGTGGTCCCTAACATTCATATTAAACCAAAATTTTATTATTAAATATAGCTATTTTGCTAATCACCAGTACTGTTCAAAATTATGAAAACATCAAGATAAAAAGGCTTCTCATTGGATCGTAGCATGCAATTGTCAACATCATATCTAAAATGCTTTTTATTTACCTACTTTTGTGTTATAAACACTATAATGAATTTATAAAATGATTTATAAAATGTATGATTATAAAATCAGACTATATTTTTACTTGGCAAGTTTTAGGAACTAAATAAATTATTGTAGGCTTGCTTTATTAAGAAATACTGAAAATATTCCATTCCAAATATTTAAAAGTAAACATATGTTAAACAAGAATATACAATGGGACTCACAGTATCATCTCCTTTAAATTCAATAGAAATATGCCTACAAGCATTATTTTTTTTTTTAAATTTTTACTTTCAGGGGTACATGTGCAGGTTTGTTATATAGGTAAATTATATGTCACAGGGGTTTGGTGTACAGATTATTTCATCACCCAGGTTATAAGCATGGTATCTGGTAGGTAGTTTTTCCGTTCTCAGCCTCCTCTCACCCTCTACCCTCCACCCTCAAGTATACCTGTATTGTGTACTCAATGTTTAGCTTCCACTTATAAGTGAGAACATGTGGTATTTGGTTTTCTTTCCCTTCATTTACAATAATGGTCTCTCGCTCCATCCATGTTGCTGCAAAGGACATGATATCATTCTTTTTGATGGCTGCATAGTATTCCATGGTGTATATAAACCATGTTTTCTTTATCTAGTCTACCATTGATGTGCATCTAGGTTGATTCCATGTCTGCTATTGTGAATAGTGCTGCAATGAACGTACGCATGCATGTGTCTTTATGGTAAAAACAAATTTATATTCCTTTGGGTATATACCCAAAAATGGGATGCTGGGTCCAATGGTAGCTCTAAGTTCTTTGAGAAATCAAACTGCTTTCCACAGTGGCTGAACTAATTTACATTCCCACCAGCAGTATATAAGCGTTCCCTTTTCTTCACAACCTTGCCAGCATCTGTTATGTTTTGACTTTTTAATCATAGCACTGAAACTTTAAACTGTTTTGGGCAGTATGGCCATTTTAACAATATTGATTATTTTTATCTATGAGTGTGGAATGTTTTTCCATTTGTTTGTGTCATCACTGATTTCTTTCAGCAGTGTTTTGTAATTTTTATTGTAGAGATATTTCACCCTCCTGGCTAGCTGTATTTCTAGGCATTTTATTTTATTTTTTGTGGCTATTGTGAATGGGATTGCATTCTTGATTTGGCACTCAGCTTGGATGTTGTTGGTATATAGAAATGTGCCTACTAGCATTCTTTTCAGTTTTTTGTTTGTTTGTTTGTTTTGAGATAGGGTCTCACTCTGTTGCTCAGGCTGGAGTGCAGTGAAACAATCACGGTTCACTGCAGCTTCAACCTCCCGAGCTCAAGCAATCCTCTCACCTCATCCTCCTGGGTAGCTGGAACTATAGGCATGTGTAACCATGCCTGGCTAATTTTTTGAGACAGGGTCTAGCTTTGTCACCCAGGTTGGTGTGCCTAGCTAATTTTTTATTTTATTTTTAAATAGAGACAGGGTCTCCCTATGTTGCCCAGGCTAGTCTCAAACTTCTGGGCTTAAGTAATCCTCCCACCTTGGCCTCCCAAAGTGCTGGGATTACAGGCATGAGCCACTGCACCTGGCCAGCATTCTTTTAATATGATAATGTTTTAGAAGTTTTACTAATACAATAGGATATAACAAAGCAATGAGATGTTTTAAAAAGCTGATAAAAGCATCATTATTATTATTATTGTTAAAGTTTATAGGAGTGTATGAACATAAAATGTGTACAACTGTTTAATGGAATATTGTTAAGCAGATTAACTAGCTAACATTTGGAAAGTGCATAAAGATGAAAATTGCCAAATAAAGGCTTCATATATTGAACCAATTTCAATAAAAACATTGTTTGAAGATAACCTGATTGCATACTTAACCAATTAAAAAGCCCTATATTTTGACTTTTTAAAAAGTTATTTTAAATATTCAAATCTAAGACATATATTGTAATCACTTACTAGCAAAATTTAAAAATTTGTCCTTTTGATATAACATTCTTTTGTATTGGTATTCCAAAATATAAAATTCTCTATAGTTTGAGTTATTTTAAACAAAATATAATCACGTAAAAATAAGACTCACTATCCTATAGATCAAATGGAGTCTATGTGGTAATTCTCAAAGGAGGGGCTACCCATTTTTTTCAATATATTT
The DNA here is from genome assembly GCF_000001405.40 of Homo sapiens. Lineage (NCBI taxonomy): Eukaryota > Metazoa > Chordata > Mammalia > Primates > Hominidae > Homo > Homo sapiens. The sequence continues at coordinate 29,908,520 of NC_000023.11, read as the reverse complement.
GGATAGAACTTTAGGTCCAGACAAAAATACCCTTAAGAAACTCAAAAGAGAATATGCAAAATAAAACCAAGAGAGAATGTGGGTCTTAAGAGCATAGATTCTAAAATTATTAAAAAAGTTTGCTTATATATATATATATATATATTTTTGAAATGGGGTCTTGCTATGTTACCCAGCCTGGTCTTGAACTCCTGGGCTCAAGCGGTCTTCCCCTCTCCTGAGTAGCTGTGATTACAGGCACAAGGCTTGAAATTTAAAAATGAAACACTATCTGCCTAATATGAAATATTAGATACTCCATAAGAGCATCTACCTCAGCCTATTGCAACCCTGCAGCAATAAATAATTGATGAAGGCAATTCAGAAGAAAGCCAGTTTTCCATAGTGGGGTAAGTTTGTAAATCTGGCAAATTTGAGGGGTTTTTTTTAAACTACATGATTTGTAGCAATAAATTTAATGTACTTACAGTTTAGCTATAGTTAATGTGATTTAAATTTTTTTAATCTTATTCTCTAAGAGACACTGATTTTTATCATAGTTTTGCCAGCCTTAAGAAGAAACTCTGTAGTTAGTTATGGTCTATGATATTTAGAAATCATTATCATCCATGATTTCTACAGTTACTAATTAGAAAATAGAAGAGATCCTATTTATACTAGCAATAAACAATTAAACAAATCCATTCCCAAGTTACATTTTAGATGTAATGCTAATGCTAATAAAAGTCCAATAAGATGTAGAACTCAACAAAATCTATATTTATTTAGAAATTTAAGTAGGTAGATATTGTCAACAACTATCCTAAAGAAGTGTAATGATGATAGATCTGGACATTACGTTGTTGGTCTAAACAAAGAGCAAAATGTATTTTAAAACAATTATAAAAAAACAACATCATGTTTATCCCGCAGGCAGTGGTACAACTCTTTGAAATCAATTGTAGTGCTCAGATATGGTACCAGATTTAACTCCAGGCAATGAGTTATCAGAATTGCATTATTTTCTAAAAACAAAAATTAGTTTCATATAATATAGAAAAATAAATGTGGGATTTATTAGAGTTAAATATTACTATGAAATAAATATACTATATAGGAGAAAGTATATATTTTATAAATATGTGGAGGAAAAATAATTTCTTAAAATTGAAGTCTAGAAATAACAAAAAAGTGCAAGATTAAAAGATTTAAATTTATAATTAGTAAAATTCAGTAGAATGGAAAGTGATACAAAGAAAAAACAGAATGATTATGAATTTTTATTTTTTGTGTTTATTTAATGTGTGTCTGGGTATGCTTTCAATTAAAAAGGAAAAATAATTTTAAAACTCACTTAGCATAGCATCTAGAATGGACATTAAAAAATTAATAGATTGACATTCCAGATATTCAACTTGAAAATAATTAGTGCTAGATAGATTGTGATAGGAACTTTAGGGAAAGTTATTACTAGCAATTACTAATGCTACCATTAACTTTGCTTTTTCTTGCATATTTCCACTAACTTTCATATCAGTTTTTATTTTATACTCCCATATATTCTACAATGTCATTTAGCTTAGAGTCATATGGCTTAGATGTTACATTTTTTTCTTATTTTACTTAAGTCAGTGAGTTCCAAATTTATTGTCAAAAAATTTACCTCCACCCCCCACCAGATTTAGATTCAGCAAGTCAAGTCTGGAGAGTTCCAGGGATTTGAATTTTTAACAAGCACCCTCAGGTGATTTTTTCATGCAAGTGATTACAGTTAACTGTCCAGAACAATTTGTTTTTACCTTGGAATTTGTTTAAAGTGGAACTGGGGCTCAGAAAAGCAACAAAATTGAAAAATATTAGGGCAGGTCCTGTAAGCAGGAAGCAAGGACAGGGAGGCTGGAGAAGAGGAAAGAGAAAGAGGGTTCACAATAATGGCAGTTGTAGGTAGAGAAGTAGCTGGTGTAGACAAGAAAGTAGGATATAAAACTGGGTCACTGGCAACCCAACCAGGCTACAGAAATATATATATATATATATATATATATATATATATATATATATATATATATATATATATATATTTACAAAGTTATGTAGAAAGAAATATCTTTCATTGGAAAACTACTCATTGGTCTATGGCACACCCTTCCAGATTATTGGATTCCTGCTTTTTTATGTTTTTTTTTTTGTTGTTTGTTTGTTTTTTTGAGACAGAGTCTCGCTCTATCACCCAGGCTGGAGTGCAGTGGCGCGATCTGGGCTCACTGCAAGCTCCGCCTCCCGGGTTCACGCCATTCTCCTGTCTCAGCCTCCCGAGTAGCTGGGACTACAGGAGCCCGCCACGACGCCCGGCTGATTGTTTGTATTTTAGTAGAGATGGGGTTTCACCGTGTTAGCCAGGATGGTCTCGATCTCCTGACCTCGTGATCCACCTGCCTCGGCCTCCCAAAGGCTTTTTTACTGTCTTTGAACTATATTTTGACTCTGTAAAATGTAGGACACTGATAGGGGTACAAATTCTCTCCTGTCTGATAGTGATTTAATTGACTCACCTCTCCTATCCCCCCTATAACCTGGGGAAAAAAACAATTTTGTCTCCATTTACAATTCATCTCAACATTTCTTTAATCTGTGTAAATCTGCTGCTTTGATATTTCCTTTGAACTGGTCATAACATCTGCTTGGTCCCCTCATATCACATCAGCAAAAAATTTTTTAACATGTATTCATTCTTCCATCTGTGTGGGAGTCACGACTATACATGTTTCTGAAAATTATCTATAAAAGGGAATATATTTGCCTTATTGTTCATTATGGCTCTGACATTTGTTGGATTACTGAAGGATTTTATGAACACTCTCCTTATCCCCCTTTTTTTCAAATATAAGAATCAGCAACAAGCAATGGGGAAAGGATTCCCTGTTCAATAAATGGTGCTAGGAAAACTGGCTAGCCATATGCAGAAAACTGAATCTGGACCCCTTCCTTACACCTTTATACAAAAATCAACTCAAGACGGATTAAAGAAAGACTTAAATGTTAGACCTAAAACCATAAAAACCCTAAAAGAAAACCTAGGCAATACCATTCAGGACATAGGCATGGGCAAAGACTTCATGACTAAAACACCAAAGCAATTGCAAAAAAAGCCAAAATTGACAAATGGGATCTAATTAAACTAAAGAGCTTCTGCACAACAAAAGAAACTAGTATTAGAGTGAACAGGCAACCTACAGAATGGGAGAAAGTTCAATCTACCCATCTGACAAAGGTCTAATATCCAGAATCTACAAGGAACTTAAACAAATTTACAAGAAAAAAAAAACCCCATCAAAAAGTGGGCAAAGGATATGAACAGACACTTCTCAAAAGAAGACATTTATGCAGTCAACAAACATATGAAAAAAGCTCATTATCACTGATCATTAGAGAAATGCAAATCAAAACCACAATGAGATACCATCTCACACCATTCAGAATGGCGATTATTAAGTAGTCAGGAAACAATAGATGCTGGCTAGGCTGTGGAGAAATAGGAATGCTTTCACTCTGTTGGTGGGAGTGTAAATTAGTTCAACCATTGTGGAAGACAGTGTGGCGATTCCTCAAGGATCTAGAACCAGAAATACCGCTTGACCCAGCAATCCCATTACTGGGTATACACCCAAAGGATTATAAATCATTCTACTATAAAGATGCATGCACACGTATGTGTATTGCAGCACTATTTACAATAGCAAAGACTTGGAAGCAACCCAAATGCCCATCAATGATAGACTGGAAAAAGAAAATGTGGCACAGATACACCATGGAATACTATGCAGCCATAAAAAAGGAATGAGATCATGTCCTTTGCAGGGACATGGATGAAGCTGGAAGCCATCATCCTCAGCAAACTAACACAGGAACAGAAAACCAAACACTGCATGTTCTCACTGATAAGTGTGAGCTGAAAAATGAGAACACATGGAATAGGGAGGGGAACATCACACACTGGGGCCTGTCGGGGTTGGGGGCAAAGGGAGGGAGAGCATTAGGATAAATACCTAATGCATGCGGGGCTTAAAACCTAGATGACGGGTTGATGGGTGCAGCAAACCACCATGGCACATGTATACCTATGTAACAAACCTGCACATTCTGCACATGTATCCCAGAACTTAAAAAATTAAAATTAAAAAAAGAATCAGCAATAAAATTTTTATCTTTATTTAAGTCCAAGCTATTTAGCTTGTTATCAAGAGCAACTATCGTTCTTTTCTTTCAGTCTCTAATTTGCTGTAATAAGCAATTTCTGATAAGGCAATTCTAGTATGTGATTCAGAGAGCCAACCACCACAGCTCTTCCGTACCCTCTTCCATTTAGATATCGAAAAAACTCCTCCACCTCTCATCTCTGATACACAAGTGATAGAGCTAAGACTGCTTAGCACATTTAACCAGAAATACAGGAAATTAGCATTAGAATTCGACAAGTTAAGGAGAAGAGAGACCTTTATTTAATTTGTCTCTCAATTTTGTTTCTTTGTTTTCCTTCAAATAATAAAAGAAACAAATTTAAGCTATGGCCTAGGGATCTGCACACATCAAATATATCAGTCAGCCAGGTCTGCAGTCCTGAAGACAATGGTATTCTTGCTGCCTCCAGTTGATACCTGTAAAAGCCACAGTAAATTGCACTAAATGCTTCTGCCTCCTTTTTGGCAGAAAGGTGCACAGTCAGCTCAACCTCAACAGGTTCAGAAGGAAGCATGCTAAAATTGATCATAAAAAATCATTCCTATCTAAAATGAGAACAATGCTTGTCACACTGCAGCCTTTTAACTAGGCCATGATTTGAGGGGTCTTAGAGGAAAAACAATACTTTTTCCCTTCAACCAGTAGATTCCAATCAGCTAAGTGGAGCACAGTTCTAACTGGGTATCATATAGCCATTTCTAAAACTATGAGATCAGAGTCTCTCTCCACTAGAGGACACTCTCTAACTTACTGAAAAATAAAAAAGCTCTCTTTTTTTAATTAAAAAGAAAATTCTCCTCTAATTAAAAAGCATCAACATCCAGACATTTTACTCTTTGCAATTAGGAAACAGTGAGCATTTTGTTCTTAACTAAGATGTTGAATAGTAGGGGGATTTTAATTTCATTTGCACCATTAATCATGTATATTAAAATTACTCTACGGTCATGGTAAAGATAAATGTTTTGCCGAAGACTCCCCATTTAAGATAAAAGCAAAGTGGTTTACAAAACATATTTATCTTTTGTCATTAGTTACACTGAATGGCTCTTCTAGAAAGCTTTATTCAGAAATGAAAAAAGAGAAGAATTTCTTTGTCTCTCTCTCTCTCTCTCTCTCACACACACACACACACACACACACGGAGACAAATGAAGTTCGTTGGAACTTCATTAAGATCTTTTACCTAAATAAGTACTAGGACCTACAGCAGATAATAGTTGCCAATATCAAAGCACAGATAGTTCTTTGGAAATCAGAGATTTATCTAAGAATTCTAAAAGAAAGGAAAAGTAATGAAAGGGGTACGTTATATTAAGCTCATAGTTGAGGATGTGATTGCTGAAAGATATAACAACATCTGCTCAAATTTCAAGGAGACAAAATCACAAGAGGAAAACAAGGTATGAATTTTAAATTTGCTAACCATAATTCAGCTGTAGTGTCAGATTTCTTTATGAAAATAGATTTTATACTACATTACTATATATTTTTGTAGCTTTTAGGAACAAAGCAACTCAATTGTTTGATCAATAGATTATAAGAGAATTTAAGTAACAACAAATAACTTGGAGTTAATTAAGTTAATATAAATTTATAGTACCCATGGTGAGTGCTCACTCACTGTTAGCAATTATTATTATTATTAGTAGTAGTATTACTATTATGGGACAAACATTACTGTAAGTGATGATATATAGTATATATATCAAGTTAGGCCAAATTATGCCTTTCAGGAATCAGAGGGCTGCGCAGTGAACTTGGAATAAGCTGCTGGGGGATTTCCCACAGTAATCAAATGAAGAGAGGCAGTAGCATGGCTCCTCTAGAATAGAGAGGAAATCTTATTCACTTGAAGGAAAAGGGCCTGAGAAGTGGGAATATTATTACCACATTGTGCTGGGTAGTAAAAAGATTCTTGTAAGGGCTCAAATTTTAGCTCTTGATGGCTGTTTTCTACCTGCATGAAACAAAAGTTCATGGTGTCTAGAACAATCGGTGGACACCAGCCAGAAGAGGGGGTGTCCCTCTTGTTAACATCAAACATTTAACACCCAGATGCCCTTGATGACCTCACCCCTGGGAAGGTGTGATGTTGCACCTGAGTGTTGAGAAGATGGGTCTTAGATAAATGATGCGGGAAAATGATGACTATACAGTAGAAATTACTCACCTGCCAGGAAATTGATTTGCTCTAAAAGGCTACTCAGAAACTCCTGGTGATGATGAAGGGCAGAAAGTACAGCCATTGTTACCCTTGAGTTGAGTGGATGGAAGAAGTACCTCGTGATTTGCTTTCTGACAAAAACATCAGATCTGCTTATAATTGTACTCATTTCGAAAGTTTTTCAAGTCATCCACAAAGTGAACATTTTTTGTAATGCAGATATCTTTAGGTTTTAATACAGAGGTCTTTTTATCCTCCAATATTTGTGATTACATCTTGATAAGGCACATCCTTTATTTCTGCTCTTTTAATTACATAGTCACTATTCCAAATCCTTTCTTGATTTATTTAACTCTTACAGTGCTTTCTCATCTTTCCAGAGTCCTACACATTTAAAGCAAATTATTGCATTTTTAGCCTCCAAGTATATTTAAATCAGCCATTAAAAATGCATAAAGAAAGCATACATCTGTGCTCATTACTCAGTAAATTCTTTAGACCTCAGTATCATGAGCAGTTGAAACAAAAAGGAAAAATATGGGGGGAAAATTGGAATATGAAAAGGAGGAGCAAGACGGAAAGAAAAATGAAAGGAGGAGGAAAGTAAAGAATATTAGTGGTGGTGAAAGTGAAATACCCCTAGCAGTTTATTCAAATGTCAGTGACCACTAGGGGTCTGTTCAAGAGAATCACAACTTACATGTAACCCTGTCCAAACACTGCCTTATCTTTTTTGTGCTGAATACGTCATCTCCAAACCCTGGCTGATACCTCTTGAGGCAGAGACCACTAAATGTGTCCCAGTGTCTATTAGTCCTTTCTTCCTTTTAGTAGTATAGTCCCTAGAATTTTAGGTAAGCACGTGGCTACCCAGTTGTAGACCACATTTCTTAGCTTCTCTTGCAGCTACATGTGGCCATGTGCCTGAGACCGGGTCAACGAGATGTATGAAGAAGTGATGTGTGCAATTTCCTGGTCATTTCCTTTATGATAAAGCTGCATGCCCTGGAGTTTATTTTTCCCTTTCCTGCAGACTGGAAAGCAGATGTATCAGTGAACTGGCTTCCACCAGAAATACGAGGAAAAAAATGGGGAGCAACAACATATAAGGGACTTGAGTCCCTGAATGACTTAATTGAATGGAATCACCTGACTGGTCTGGGGCTGCTAGCTATTGGTTTATTTATCGAGAGAAATAATATACTTCAATTTGATCAAAGACATTACATTTTGGGGTATCCTTGTTACCCAGCTTAGCCTGTATCCATCAGTGCCTCTAGAATCTACTTTTTCCACCTTGTCTCACAGGTCATAGTGTGGCAGAATAAAATCATGGCCATATACCCACTAATTTGATCCACTTAGTGGTGAAGACAAAAACCACGTTTATCTCCTGCTAATCCCCTAATACTTTCCCACAATACTCATGTTCAAAGTGCAGAAACAGAAAAATATAAGCTCCCTCTTCGAGAAGAAAAATATGAATTAGAACGAGTTTCCTTTTAAGAAAGAACTTAGCTTAACTAGAGAAAAGCTAGAAACCATTTACTTAGACCTTGGTTTATTTAGGGGTAATATAGTAAATAGTATCTGTTCTAAAACACATACAGCAGCTTGTGACTTAGAATGATTTGTTTTGCTGGTTTTTACATGGATAGGTTGGGCCAAAATGGAAGGTTCAATTCAAATTGAATTTTATGATTCGCTGTACACTTTAATGAGTTATCCTCTCTAAACTTTCTTGACACTCAAGGTCTTAGGCACAAACCTGCTTTTCTTATGTTTTTAAAAATATAAATTGTAATCATTAGATTTATTAGTTTTCAAAGCTAATGAAATATTTTTAGGAAGCTTTATAAGCTTATAACGTGGCAAGTGCAGGAAATCATGATGGCTAATGCATGTTGTTTATTATTTAAGATGTAACAGTGAACTCACTGTTTTGTGTTTTCTCCTTTTCTGCCTAGAAGGATTTTTGTTAGTCGCCATTATATTAGAAGTACTCAGTGTTAACTGCTTGTTTTTCAGGCAGAAGTTTGCTCTGCTTGTCTCTTCTCCATACTGGCTCAGTAAAATGCTTCTGACAGCTTCTGAGCCTAAAATATACCATGAAGCCTGGCTTTGTTGTCCCCATTTGATAGAGGGAGACATAGCAGTTTGAACTGCCATGGAAGCAGTTTGAACAACTGAAGCTCAAAATGAGAGGGAATTTTCTGTGCTGAGTTAATCAGGAAGAGTTTCAGAATTTGGTAGCATTCATAGATATTTTCAGTATTTAAAAAATTCACTGTTGGCCGGGTGTGGTGGCTCACGCCTGTAATCCCAGCGCTTTGGGAGGTTGAGGTGGGTGGATCACTTGAGGTCAGGAGTTCGAGACCAACCTGGCCAACATGGAGAAACCCTGTCTCTACTAAAAATACAAAAATTAGCCAGGCGTGGTGGCAGGCGCCTGTAATCCCAGCAACTCGGGAGGCTGAGGTGGGAGAATCATTTGAACCCAGGAGGGGGAGGCTGCAGTGAGCCGAGATCGCGCCACTGCACTCCAGCCTGGGCGACAGAGTGAGACTCCATCTCAAAAAAAAAAAAAAAATTATTCACTGTTATTCTCATTTCTAGTCTATGACCAAAGCTACGTCTCTCAGAGTTCTTTTCATTCTTGAGGAAGACTTGTTATTTATTTCTCTTTGCAACCTGTATCTCCTGTCTCAGTCCATTCTAATATTGGTGTCTTTAAAATCACTTGAAACTAATCCTGGTATTCTGACTTTGATCCCCCATTCTGATCATGAAACTAAAGGCTCAGTAGATTTTTTTGTTATTATTGTTTAAAAGTATTTGAATTGTCTCTAAACGTGTGATCTCTTGAGAAGCTCTGACAACCCTCAAAATTCTTTCTTTCTTTTTGGAGTTCCCAATCTGACTTTCCATGCCTTTACCCTCCCTCATGGTGTTACCTTTACTCCTGGCCTGTATACTTAAGCAGTATCCCATTAAAACACACACACACACACACACCCTAATAAATACTAAGACAGACTGATTACTCTTCTGTGAGCTATTGGGAAGTTTTTCACTTGGTTTTTAATCACAACAGCCTTATGCAAGGATTATAAGGCACTGATCTAGGTTTATAGTCCTCAAGATTCGTTCAATAAAAGAGATTGTCAAGGAGCATTTCAGACTTGCCAGCATCTAATAAAAGGTTATCACTTGAGAATAGCTTTACTGCTTTCCTACCTAAAGAAAGTGTATCATTTTCTGAAGTCCATTTTCTGACTATCACTCTTAATCTTCATGGCAGTGATATTTTATTTATTTTTTAATACTAGCAACTCTCTAAGTGGGAAGTTGTGGAAGTCAATTAAAATAACTGTCTTCTTGTCTTTAGGAAAATGACCACTTTATATATTTCATTGCATAAAGATGAATACTTTCCCTAAAATACTTACGGAATCATTCACACTATTCGTATTCTATCTGTAGTTACATGAATAAACTTGCCTTTTACCCAACACTTACTTGACTGTTACGGGGAATGCCCTTTAGTATATTTAATCTATATAAGCATATCTAACTCTTTTCCAGGAAACCCTGACAACTTCCACACAGCCCAAGATACAGGAAGGAGTAAAGCCATTTGTTCAGTTCTGGATGATGTTTCATATCGTTAACTCCTTGGTGCTAACTAACTGTTGGAATTCCTCACATTTAATGGTCGATGGCAAGTGTTGCTGATACGATGCGCATTCTGAATCAAACACCATCTTGGATTAATGAAAATATTCCTCATTGATGTGATCAACCTGGTCAGTCTGATAGCTTACATTTGCCGTGGCCATGCCCACGGCAGCTATAGCAAATATTAAGACAAAATGAATAAAGTTAGTAAACATAACTACGATTCTTGTGAGCAGAACAGCAAATCATTTCAAAACTGCAATTCTGAAATGTCACTTAATTAGTATTTTTTATATCACTGTTTAGTCAAACGATATGCTTCCTGACTTTCTCATCTGAAGTAGGAGAGAGCCTCTTAAGATTCCACGGATGAAGCTTTAAAGAACTTGTGACATATCTCAGTTACTTCTTTGTTATCTTTTTTATATGAGTCTTTATTTCCCAACATTTAAATTTTTATAATATAAAAATATTGCTTTTATAATTTAGGCAAAAGTAAACATATAGCCTTAAAATATCACCATATATTCTACTTCATGGTAGCGCAGCAGATCATGCGCCATCTTCCTTCACTACCTGTTTTCTCCAACAATCTGTAGTCACAGAAAAGCTCTTGGAGAAACACCTTTCCCTAAGTCAGGTTCAGGTCTGTGACTCTAAACATCCTTTGAAAAGTGTAGTTGTATAGATTAGATTATAGATTAGCGATCATCTTTGGGAGTACAGCATTAACAGCACATAAGCAAGTATTAGAAGAGACACCTTTCTCATCGATATTTAAAGACCGTGAGCTTCCCCAACACAAATGAAAATGTTAAATCAGTTTGGTTGAACTGATGTTTGATTTTAAACTAGCTCCACTATTTCCATTGGCATCTTACTCCAAAAACAGGGATTTGGTACAGGATGAAGGTCCTGTCACTTGCTGGATAAGTTTTACTGGTTTACATAACAATAAATAAGGCTACATTCTATAGCTCTTTTAGTACAGCTAAAGAAGTGTGAATAGTATTTATGTTCTCTTCTTTAAGCCAACACTGTAACTTCCACTTGTACAACTGTTTTCAGAACATTCTGAGAGATCATTTTATTTTCACTGTAATAATCAAGATCATTCATCTTATAAAAATATTGCCTGAAAAAAAAATAAATAGAAACTGGTCATTTCTTTTTATTATTAAGAATGGTGGAAGTAGTAGAGAGGCAAATTGAATCAGTTATTTCCTAATCCCCTTGTTAACAGGGATGGCAGCAATGCCCTTAGAACAACTGAGAGGATAAACAAGCTGATCTTCATGGTCCCACCCTCAGATTTCTACATAACTTCCTTCACTTATCTACCAAGTGACAGGACCTTCATGAAGCACAATGATTACCCAGAACCCCTACTCTAGTAGCCTCTAAGGCTTGCCATCTCTGAAAGTACGCATTGTATTGGCTCTGTAATGTGCCAACTTGCTAGGTCAAACTACATTTACCAGAATTCCATTTTCTTGCATGTGTCCAGTTAGGGTAGGCTACACGATAAATTCTTTCACACTAGTTGGAGGATGTTAGGAAGGCAGTTGCCATTTTGCAGTATGTGTGTATGTGCATGCATATGTGTGTGCACACATGCATACTGCTGCTGGTATGCTGACTTGCCTCATTGACATAAAGCATCATTTGGACCTGGGATTGCTCTCTTCCCCCCTGGATCTTCCTTCAGTGTCTGATTTCTGGGCCAGAGGTATGTGTGCTCATTCTTACTGCCGTGGTCAGAGGCAACAACAACTAACAACAAAAAACACAGGTTTCAGTCTATCCTAGTGGAATTCAAGCCTGCTTGTGATCTTCCCACCTGACTGCCTGCCTGTGAACTTCAGGCTCTGATATTAGATGAAGAGACAGCTTTGTGGAGACTGCTTAGCCAGATCTATAATGGTGTAAACCGATTCTCTGTAAAATATATGTGTATCTATCTATATGTATGTGTATACACACAAACTCCACACATGCACACACCTAATAGGATACATATATAATACCCTACTGCTCTACTTCTCTGGTTGAACTCTGAATGATACACGTTATGCCAAAGTTATCACTGTCTTCTCCCCTGGTTAAGTATCCCATTCTCTCAGTGGATTGTCTTCTGGGATTAGGAGGAAAATGATTTTATTATTTCCCAGTTAAAGCCATTAACTTGGTATTTATAAAATATCACATACCAGGTGCTAAGTAATGAGGTCCTTTCTGACTTTATCTCCCAATCAATCATTTCCTTAAACATACAGCACACTGAAAGTCGTTTCCCATCTACTAACTGCAGTCTGACGTCCACTGATAGCCTTCCACTAAAATTGATTCCCAGTTTGAATGGTTATGTCTTTATTTTACTAGATCTTTCTACATTCTTGGTATAGCTTACTCTTCCCTCATTTTGGAAGTCTTTCTCTGCTGGCTTTTTTTACAACCACTTTCCAGCCTCTCTGGAAGGTACTCCCTCCACGCACCTAGGGAATGTTGGCTGTTTCTCTCATTCATCCTCTACTCACACTATACATGCAAGAATGGGCTTACCTACATCAAACACTTTAATGACTTTACCACCCATATTTACTGACCTTCAAATCTAAGTCTTTGGCTTGGACCTCTGCCCTCCATGGACATCTCCATTTGGATATCCCACAAGCATCTCACACTCAATGTGTCAGCAATTTGATTAGTCATATTTCTCCCCAGATTGCTCAACCTTCTGAGTTCCTATCTTGGTAAACAATATCTAGCATTCATTAAGCACTCAATAAATGCTTATCAGAAAGTGAATGGATAAATAAGCATGATTAGAAAAGACATTTCTTCACTATTAAATACTGAGAATAAATAATAGCAGCCCAATTCGTATACAATAGCTTTTTTTCTTTGAGACGGAGTCTCGCTCGGTAGCCCAGGCTGCAGTGCAGTGGTGCAGTGGTGCGATCTTGCTCACTGCAACCTCCACCTCCAAGCAATTCTCCTGCCTCAGCCTCCCAAGTAGCTGGGATTACAGGCATGTGCCACCACACCCCGGCTAATTTTTGTATTTTTAGTATAGATGAGGTTTCACCATGTTGGCCAGGCTGGTCTTGAACTCCTGACCTAAAGTGATCCACCCGCCTCAGCCTCCCAAAGTGTTGGGATTACAGGCATGAGCCACTGTGCCCAGCTTCATACACAATAGCTCTTATTTAAATTATGTGAAAGGGACTCTTCAGTGAACAAGACTTATCCTCCCCAAAACCTCTAATTTTCTTCCTCCAAATCTGACTTAAAATTTTTTAGTTACAAACGCTCTTAAAGAACAGATGAATGGGGCCGGGCGCGGTGGCTCACTCCTGTAATCCCAGCACTTTGGGAGGCCGAGGTGGGTGGATCACCTGAGGTCAGGAGTTCGAGACCAGCCTGGCCAATATGGTGAAACCCCGTCTCTACTGAAAATACAAAAATTAGCCGGGCATTGTGGGTGCCTGTAGTCCTAGCTACTCAGGAGGCTGACAGGAGAATTGCTTGAACCTGGGAGGCAGAGGTTGCAGTGAGCTGAGATCATGCCACTGCACTCCAGCCTGGGTGGTAGAGCAAGACTCCGTCTCAAAAATAAAAAAAAGAACAGATGAATGGTAGAGCCCTTGTCCCCCTTCCCCACCCCATGAAAATATTTTTTGTGTGTACAATTTTAAGGCCATTTAAAATTAATTTGTAGATCCAAGAATCCTGGGTTAAGAATCTCTGATCTGGTTAAAATATGATACTAGAAAATGTTAATTACTTTTATACACAAGTTATAATCTCGTAAAAAGGTGCTGGGGATTTCGTGCTGCTTTCAAGTGTCTTCTTTTTGTCTATTTAAATTAATAGAAATAAAAACCTTCTAGAGTTTGTCAAAACAAACATGATTGTTCTACTGGGATTTTTGAAAAAGTAAGTAAAACGTTGATGATTTATCTAGTGAAAATAAAGTAGTAAAGGGCATAAATGAAATAAGCTATTTTACTTAAGAAATTAAAATATTTGTGAGGTTTTCTTACGATAATGTTCAGATGGAATTTAGCAAACACATTTTACAATTTTTTCTATGTGCTAAAAATATGAAAACTGTCTCTTCTGTATTAAAACCACTGGTCATCTCATCTGAATTTTCAACGTTCTTTCTCCAGTTAATATCTTTATTATAGGCTTTTAAGAAAATGAAATAATTTTATAAACACTTGTTGAATACTAACTGGCTTACCACCTCGTAGGAAACACAAAGATAAATTTTGTTTTTAAGCCACTGTTCTTTCAAAATGCCCTTACTGCGAAGTATTATATTAACTATTTTGTGTAAAACAAAATGAAGTTCCGTAATGGAGAATAACATAAAATAAAAGCAAAAATCATCACAATCGAGCATGAATGAAAAATTATCACCGTAACTGGAAATACATATTTGAATAAGAAATTTGACATTGAATTAACTGTGATTATGGTTTCCCCCACATTCCAGAGTACGTAGGACCATTGGGACATATTTACAACCTCTTTCTTAAATGTCTCTCTGTCAACAAATTCACACTTATGTTGATGCAGTAATGAGCAATTAATTGGTTGGTAGAGGCATACGGATGAGGATTACAGAAGGGAATCCCTCTGGCTGTGTCTATTCATGGAAAATAGGATCTGAAATCAGTATAGAATTAATTTTTGGAAACTTGTCACCTCAATATTGCAAAACCAATGTCCCTGGCTTCTTTACGAATATTGTAATATTTCTCCCAAATGTTTCTGTTTGTATATCTCAGTACAAACAATTGAACTGTCTTTAAATAACTGTTGTGCTAGTTTATTTTATACATATATATGATATATATTTTGATAAAGTAGGGAGAAATATTATTCAACCTGTAACCTTAAATGAAAAACTGAAATCTTAAACGTCAAGATGATTTAAAACAATGATGCACGGTGACTCCAGTTAACACTCCCCTCCATAAAAATGCACATTCAGATTGTCTGAAAACATAGTATGTAGAATCAGTAAAGCAGGTCCCCAGGCTGATTTTGGTGCTCCAGTCAACAATTTGCAATCGCTATTCTAAAACATAAATGCGGTGGCTCGAATTTAGGCCCCTGAGACAGCTAAATCTATGTCAAAATAGAAGCCTATCTTTTATTATCTCCTTGACCTTAAGAAAGTTATGTCACTTATTCTGATATTTTAATTTTCTCATTTGCAAAACTGGGTGTGAAAAATTTCACTCCTAGGTTCGTTATAGGGATTAACTGTATGAATACAGTATATAAAGCTCTTAGCACACTGTAAGTTAGCACAGAGCAACAGCTCAGTAAACGGTGGATGTGCATACTAGTAAAAATGGTATGTGAGTCAACATACACAGCCATGATTAAGATAAGATCTACTAGGTGACAAGCTGAAACCTATCTCTTAATGAAACAGAACTAGTCTTCTACAAATGAGAGTCACCATAATGACTGTTAGCACCATCATGTTATATTTCCACATACCCAATGTTTCTAGGCTTCTTTACTTAACAGATTGTGTCTTGTTTCCCTTCATTCTCTAGCAGTCTCCATAAGCATTGCTAAACTCAAGGTTAATCTATGTAAAGGGAGAAAGAGCAAGTGCTGTCCAATGAAGTGAAGGCTCTTCACTGCTTTGCTCTGCTCTGGTGAATCTCATCTTGAGACATACCCTCTTTTGCCATCCTCACATTGTTTCCCATTTCCAATCCTCGCTCTAAGCTGTCATCTAACCTGCCATTCCATGGCTGGACAGTATTTTGGAATTTAGACTTGATCCAGTCCATGCAGAAAGATTTCCTCAAGTATTTCTGTCCTTTTCTCCAATCATCTTCCCAAGTTGCCAAACAGACCCTTGATATATCCCCCAGATACATTCTAAATTCTATCCATTTATTCAAGTTTATTATACCTATAGTTTATCTTTTTGCCTCTTTATCAGATTGCAAAGTTATTTGCAAACAATGAGTGCATCTAAATAAAAATGTGTAAATTGTATATCTTGTTATTTTAGCTTCAAGGACTCCTGGGACATCATTAGTGATGATGGAAAATTTTCAGAGATTAAATCCATAAAGAAATACCTGATATTTTTTCTTGTCCTCTGAGGGTTCACTTTATGCTCGTTCACACACAAGTAAACAAGGTAACAAATAAAAAAAATTCAATGCCAGAGAACTATGAAATGCTTTCTTTAGGAACCTCTTATCATAACATATTCTTCTTAACATTGAAAAAGTAATTGTACATTTGAGTGACAGTTTCTAAGGCAGGTAAATTTGAAACCAAATCTAGGCAATCATGTTAAAACTTCATTTGAGCGGGAAAGGAAAACGTGATATGTAATCAAAACCACAATGTTATATTTAACTTTTGGAAATGTATATATTAACTTTTGGAACCTATGAGCAACTATGCCTACATCAATATATAAGTTCATAATTTTGCCTGATAGACTATCTCCCAGTGTTAGGTTTTAAATCTGTGAGAGTATGGGGTACATGGAAAATTATTTAACAAAGCCTTTCTAGGTCTAGCAAAATCTTTGAGATGGTATTAATAGTCAATCATAATTAATGAAGAATTTCACAAATCTTTAGTACAGGTTAAAGTCTTTTAAGATGAATTACATTGGTATTGTTCTCATCTCCTTTATACTTAAAAAAATCATAACTGTAAGATAACCTAGGAAGATTTCTTTTCCTAGGTGTTGCAATTCATCAAGCCATCCAACTCAAACTGTTAAGCAAAGATTTTTATTTTAATCTGCTCCTCTTATTCTTTTCCAAGAGTGTGTATCATAATCTTTCAGGTAGCTCTCAGTGGACAGCATCTTTCTTGCTAAAACCTACATGAATATAACCATATCCATCCATGTCATTATCCCTGTGAATGAAACCTATTAGAGGAGGCTCATAGAATCCTGTGCCTCAGTGCCTGTGAGGAGAACTCTGGGCTCAATAGCCATGTCTCCAAGTTTGGACTAAAAAGCCTGTCAGTGAAGACTAATAGTGACCACCATTAGTCCCTGCTGATGGCCATTTGGAAAAGCAGAACACTCATCTTGAATCAAGGGAAAGTCCAGAAGCATAGGCCTTCATCAGGAAACAGAGGAACAAGGAAATCTGACCTAAAGCAAAGGTGTGCCTTATTCTACTGGTGCTGGCATCATTGATGTTATTCTTAATTATTTGATTTGAATAGTTCATAAAAACGAAACTGGGAGTTAAAAAATAGAAGGCAGCTTGTGCCTAAGAAGGCTGGTTACAGATGACAGAGTGCAGAGTGTAGAGACCCCTTTGTCAGGAGGAGGCCAGAGGTGAGGCAGCACTGGTGGTGCTCCAGCATGCAGGACCCAGAAGCAGTGAACTGGAAGAAAGGATAGCAAGCCTTGCCGTGTATTAGTGTAGCTGAGAAACCAAGAATCTATTTCACAAACTTTCCTCATGACTCAGATGCACAGCAGGTTTGGGAACCTCTGGGTTTTATCTGCTGAGACAAAAAGCAAATTTAGGACACTAGAGGTAGGGTTTAGAGGAGGGTTAACTTGAGTGATCACAATGCCTGACCTCAGCTGGAACCTGACCTATCTTGAATAGCTCACAGGAACTGTGTGGGTTTGAAGACCCAGATGCCGTGAGAGTGTGTTCTAGACACTAAAAGGCAGGTAGAGCCTATGGGAAAGCTGTGGACTGAAATCTTAGGATGGTTAAAACAAAGTAAAGTTGAGATAAGCTTTGAATTCTCAGTAGTAGGAGTTGCTAGGAGGCACAGTATAATTTAGTGATCTGCATTTTGGAAAGCAGGCATTTTCTCCGGAGGCTATTGAAATGCTGTTAGCATAATTAAAATCAAATCATCATCTTTTTCCTTGGGCAGAATGAATTTGATGGAAATAGTAGGAACTGTTCCCTCATTTTAGTTACAATCAGGTTCTTCGTTAGTCCTTCCAGAGTAAGAATTGCCTTATTCAAAAAGTTCTTCACTCTCCATACCCCAACCACTGCAGCCTGGCGGCACATGGTTAAGAAACAATTAGGGAGTAATTAGAAAGGAGAGGGATTAGGCTAGGACTCCATTTTGCAACCATTGTTAATTTCTGGTATTTTGTTTCCTTGGATGCCGATTTAACTAAAGCTATGGCCTCCCTCTTAGTTACAAGTTTTCCCAGCTGTAAATAGAGAAGCTGCTGCCCTTAACTTTGAGGTGATGTGGCAACTAGTTCCAAACTATGTCCGTGAGTCATTTTTAGTGGGAATGAATTTAAGTGATGAAGGGAATAGACAGTGAGAGAATAGAAAGAAAAAGCAGAATTTAAATACTACAAACAAAGTTATTTGGGCCTTGAGGTTTTCCTTCACTTTTAACATTCTTATCTTTAGTTATAAAAAATCTTCTTTGAAGATAGCTACTACATTGTATATAGATACATATATAATGTAATATATATATGATATAAATGTACACAACATGTATGAATGTATATCATATGTATGTGTATATATATATAACAAATTTCATACTAAATCAAATGGTCATAGTAAAAAAAAAATTGAAACAGTTAAAAAGGATAGATGATGAAGAGTAAAGAGCTCCTACCCACATTCTGTGCTTTGGTTTCACTCCCCAGAGCTCAGAGGTAACCATGGAAACAGTTTTTTCTGTATGTTTCTTGGCTAATACTACATATATAAACAACACGTGTGTATAATAATAGACAAACATGACAAACATATGCATATGTACATGAATATATAGAAATACGCACATATACAGTATACACACATGTATGTATGGACGCACATACACATATATCTTCTAAAAAGCACAAAATTCTATCAGTACAAGTAACTCTATTTTTTTCATTCCCGTAGCTACAGAGTATTATATGGATTATATTTATTTAATCAATCCATATTATTGGACACTTCTTTTCATACTTATTACAAAGAGGGTATTACCAAACCCCTTTGAGTACATATATTTACAGTAAAGGATAATTAATATATCATATTTTGAAATGGGTCATGAATAAAAATAGGAAGTTTGAAGTGCAAATTTCAAACTGGTGGAAATATGCAAGATAAATTAGAAGGGAATATCACAAATGATGAAAGTTTGTGTCAGATATTAAACTCGATACCAAAAGTATTCCAATCAGCAGTAAACTGCAGTGAATCTAAACCTTATAGGCTGTATTTAGTTTATTTCAAACATGAGTTTCAATTTAATAATATAAAGGAGCCTCAATTTTAGTGTCTGGCACACAAAAAAACATGAACCTATATGCCATGAGGCCATCGTTTTTGCAATGACATTTTAAAATCAATCATATGCATATAGAAAAAATTATAAGCATTTTTCTTTTACAATTAAAAAATTTTCAGCTAGTCATAAAAAGGAAACAAGTTGAACTTTAAAGTTTAGTTTTGAAGGGTTAATTATAGATAAGAGAAAATTTGATTAAAAACTGGATAGTAGAATCTGATTTGAGCCAAAAAGAGGTAGCTAAGCTGAAAAACATAGACACCTTTATTTACTAACACTAACAAGAAGCGTCTTTTAAAAACACTGTGGAACAACCAGTCACTCGATTCAGATTACCTCTGTTATTTTTCTTATGGTTTTATTATAGCATAATGAATTGGTTGTTTCATTTGCCTTGGAGTCTCAGTATTTAAAATAACGCTCCCTGTGAAGACCTATGAAAAACTGTTTGATGGAAAATAGTTGGCGAGGAATTTTTCAACAAGATATGCATTTTTTTCTTGGGTGAGCCAAGAAATTGACTGAAAATATAACCAGATGAATATGTACACTGAAAGGGTCATGAAAGGCAGAGCTGAAGAATGATAGCCTTCATTAGGACTATTTTGACCTCAAATTCTTCAGTTGTGGCCAGACATGGTGGCTTACATCTGTAACCCCAGCACTTTGGGAGGCTGAGGCGGGAGAATCACCTGAGGTCAGGAGTTTGAGACCAGCCTAACCAACAAAGTGAAACCACATCTCTACTAAAAATACAAAAATTAGCCAAGTGTGGTGGCGGGCACCTGTAATCCTAGCTACTCAGGAAGCTGAGGCAGGAGAATTGCTTGAACCCGGGAGGCAGAGGTTGCGGTGAGCCGAGATCATGCCACTGCACTCCAGCCTGGGCAACAGAGCAAGACTCTGTCTCAAAAAAAAAAAAAAATTCCTCAGTTGCAATGTTATTCACAAAGGCTACCTCACCTCAAAAAGTTTACCTTTAATTTTTTCAAGGAGCTCAACATGGTGGTAAAAAAAAAATCCTAACTTCTGTAAACAACAGTGGTTGAAATTCTCATCCAAAATTGAGCCATCTTATTGACAAATACAAGAAAAAACTATGAACACTTTGTATTGCGACAGAATTATTACAGTGAAAATGAAGATCGGGTGTTAGGAGTTTATGGGGGTTATAAATTGTTTGGTACTATTAGTTGATTATTAAATTCAAATTATACTATTGTGTATATAGAGCTCCATCAGTCATTTTTCTTCACGATAAAGCCCTTTTCTCCTTCTCTGAGACAATAAGGAAGACTAACCAGTGGATCCAAGCCCCTTTCCATCCAACACTAGACACAGGTGACTAGACCTCTCAAAAGAGGACGAACTTATTAAACTATCTACCAATAGCCTGAAAAATTTGCTGTTTTCTATGTCTTAGCATTGTTTTAGCGTGTGTATGCTTAGAAATCATTCTGACCTAGCTCAAAACAATTTACAAAAAAAAAAATGAAAATAAACTTTTGCTATTGTATCCACATAGTTATACAAAGTCTGTTAAATCAAAATACTGTGACACCTCATCAGAGAAGTCCTGAAATATGTGACAGCCTCATTTTTTTAAATGGAGAGATTTGACATAGCTGAATCTCACTCACCACCACCAATGCAACAATAATCTTCCAATGGTAGATTTGTCTAAAAATAACTTTAATGTTGAAATATACATAAAGAGACCAAATTGGCCCCACTGTTACTGTGCTGATGTGAAAAGTTGAAGCAACACAGCTCTAAGGCATCTTCCACACCAGAAATTATCATGCAAATAGTTCAAACCACAAAATTGCTTCTTAACGTTAAATGTTCTATACAAAACAGTTGAACAATGTTAAAAATAAATTTTGCTGAAAGTTTCCAATTTTCATGTTCCTATGATTTGAGGAGACAATCTGTGGCGATTTTACTCTAATATTTTTTCTGCTTTTACAAGTGGAATTTGAGAGACTTTATTAGGCTGTTTTCTTAATATTTTAAGAATTAATCATTCCTTCTTTGTGCTGAAGAAGTATTTTCTTGTACAAGTGAAACATAGGTTATGGGATAGCAATGATATTTATTGCAGAATGGAAATTCTTATTCATTGGTTGGGATTAGTAACATACAGGGGATTTCAAGTACTCTAATAAGAAATATGTTTTCATAAATTTGCTTAGGGCTCAACTAAGGGCTAAAGTTGTGAAATTAGAAATGTAAATCATCAAAACAAGGGTATAAAAACAGCTTTAGTAAGAAGTTCATAAAAATTTTATTTCATGGTTTATATTTTGTATGATAGGCTTCTGCAACACAATTACTTTAGGAACTATAATTTTCAAATTAACCCTGATGTCTAGGTCCTATTAGAGCTACTCCGTATTGCATTTAACTCTTGCTCTTATTTCTATCTAAATTGTATTCTGTGAATGGTAATTATGAAAAATTACTATAGTCATCTGAGTCAGGAGTTGTCATCTACATCTATTTTATCTTTTTCAAAGCCTTTAACATATTCAATTGTCATTAAGTTATTAGCGGTGACTCCGCAATCATTATTCCTAAAGATTTTCAATGATCTAATATGAAATTCTGAATGAGTATCAATAATAGCTTTTCCTCACTTGATTATAATTCAATGCCTAAGGGGAACTTCTACTTTTCCCCAAAGTTACTACTGATTTTTGCCCTCTACTCATCTTTATTAAGTGAAACTTGATATGATCAAAACCTCTGGAGTGAAATAGAGGGGCAAAACATATGCACAAAGCAAGAGGTTCTATAAGCCACAGATGAAAAGGAATAAGTTATTGCTTATTGCTTACTTCTAGTAAGCATGCATAGCTAAAAATTTATGGTGCTTAAAGAAGAAATAACAACATCCAAAGATTTGGAGAAAAATGTAAAACGCTTGCTTTTGGTACCAATGAATCAAATGGTTTTGAAACACTGAGTTAAATCTACGACTGACCTTAACTGTTTTGGACATTTTCTTAGCTAAATCATGAGGATGCAATTGCTTTACATGCTTAATTTTCCATGTGCAAATTTTATTTAGAACTCTGTGGCAATGACTGGAACTATTACTTCTCTAAAATATTACTTCTGTAATATAGGAAGCCACCATCCTTCTTGTATCATGCAAAATCAATCTTTTAAAATGTTAATAAGAATAATTTAAAACAAATGTTACTTGTAAAAAATCTCCTTCAAATTAAACATCTTTAATAAACCATTCAGTTTTGCACTATATTGTGACTGCTTGAATTTTCATAGTTATAATTTAATTTTCTTCAATGATTACATATGCGTTTTTTTGAGACAGGGTCTTGCTCTGTCACCTAGGCTGGAGTGCAGTGGTGAACTCATAGTTCCCTGCATCCTCGAACACCTGGGCTCAAGTGAACCTCCCGCCTCAGCTTCCCGAGTAGCTCGGACTACGGGTGCATGCCACCACACTCAGCTGATTTTTTTATTTTTTCATTTTTTGTAGAGACAGGGTCTCACTATGTTGTCCATGCTGGTCTTGAAGTCCTGGCCTCAAGAGATTCTCCTGCCTCAGCCTCCTAAAGTTCTGGGATTACAGGCATGAGCCACCATGCCCGTCTGATTGTATATGCTTTTAATAGTTCTGATGTTCACTGAGTTACTTCTATGTGCCAGGCACTACTCTCAGTGCTTGGGATGTACGAAAGAACAAAGCAAAACTTTCCGCCCCCATGGGACTTGCATCCTAATGTGGTGGGCAAATGATAAGGGGTAGACAGACAGACAAAAGTTAGATAATCTGTTCAAAGGTGATAAGATATATGGGGAAAGGAGAAAAGGTAGACCTCAGAAATGCTGGCAGTAGAATAGGTTTGCAATTTTAAATAGAAATCGAAATAGGACTCACTGAAATGGTGACATTTGAGAAAAAACTTGGAGGTGAGGGAGTTAGCCAGGAGGATGTGTTATTGCAGGCATTCATTGCAGGCAGTGAGTACAAAGGTCTAAGAAGGAAGTGTGCTTGGCATGTCAGAAGAACAGCAAGAAGGCCAGTGGGGCTGTTGTGGCATAAGAAAGTCAGAGAGGAGGAGACATGCTAAGACGGGGGGATGAAGAATTCACCCAGATTGGGCCTTGTAGATCATTGTAAGGACTGTTGCTGACAATGTAAAACAGAGAGCTTTGGAGCAACAAACTGTGGTAAGTGCCTTATACCAGGTTGATAAGAGTTGGAGAAGTGATAAGTGGTTAGATGCTGGATAAATTTCAAGTGAGAGGCATGAAAATTTCCTGACAGATTGGATGTAAAGAGTGAGAGAATAAAAAGTCAAGGATTATTTCTAAGATTCTGGCCTCAGCAACTGACAACTGGAGTTACCGTCCCTGAGACAGAGAAGGCTGTGGGTGGTGCAGGTCCGCAGGAAAAGATCAGGAACTCGATTTTGAACATATGGAGTTTGGAGTGTCTATTCCAGCAGAGACGGATAGACAGTTAGGTATGCAAGATTTGAGAAATGTCAGGGCAGAGTATATACATTAAGGAGGCACTGGCATATAGATAGGATGAGCTCATCAGTGGAATGAGAGTAGGGAGAGTAGAGAAGATGACCAAGGATTAAGCCCTGGGGCACTGCAATATTAGGAGACTAGGGGGAAGAGGACTAACCAGCAAAAAAGAGTGAGAGGGAGTGACCAGAATGGTGGGAGGGAAACTAAGAGAATGTGGTGTCCTGGGAGCCATGGGAAGATGAGTATCATGGAGAAATGGTGTGTACTTTGTCCAGTGCAGCTCTCGGGGCAAGTAAGATGAGGATGGCACATTAACTATTAAATTGAACACCATGGTGGTCACTGGAAATCACATATTATACGCTACCTATTGTGTATTACATGATACATGTTATACATCACATATTCCATGGAGAAAATAAGGTGAAAGGGAATAAAAATAGGGTTTGTCTCGAATGAATAGAATGAACTGGAATTAGGTATTAAATGGGTAGACTACTACTCTCGTCAATCATGAGATCAGGTATCATTTTTAGTATCCTTGAGCATTTTTGAGAAATGTGTGTCTACCAAATTCCTGCAGTTAGGTGAGTGGCTAATAATATTTCTGAAAAGCAGAGGTGACAACTGAGGAAAGAAAGGGATGGTTATCAACCAAGCTCTCAACCCTGTGAGCCATCTTGTTTATTTAAATAAAGACAGAACAATCTCATCATAGTTGCAGAGTACAATGCGATTGAGTTCACAATGCAGTATTTAATTAGAAAATGTTAATTAAGTTTCCTTAATTCAATCTCACGTCAAAGAAAAGTCTTTGCACACAAGCCAGTTCTTAAAACTCAATCATAAAACATGAAGCCTGATGCAGGTCATACCCTGTGTTGCTGCATTATGGCAGAAAATTTATTCTAATTAATTTTGAATTCATAAAAGGCTGGAAAATCTTTTTCCCATTGACAAATAGAGACTCAAGCTGCTCTGTTCCAATCTTAAATGTAACCTTAAGGGAACTTGTCGTAAAGTCACCTGGCACTGGAAATCCGTAAGATTCCTTCATGGATACATGGAAAACGAAGGGGGCAGATATGAATGCAATCTTAAATTACGTCAGAACAGAAAAGGATGCAGAGCAAGTTCACTACACTAATTTGTATGTTTTTTTATAATGGTCTAATGTACTTCTCTCTCTGTGTTAAAAATGTAATAAAATTCTCTCTTGGATCTGGACTTCATATATCAAGTTTCTGCCTGCAGCTAATTTTTATGACTGAATTGCAGGCCCCTGAAAGCAGCATTTAGGCTGAAAATGCTGACAGCTCCATAGCTGGAGTGGTGCTAATGATAAGAACATGAACATAAGGTTGTGCTCGGTGGTCAATGGATTTCCCAATCCTAATAGGATGAACATTATCAAACACGGAATATAATCAGCTTCATTATATCAGGAAGTCAAGGAACAGGAATATAATGTTACAGGAACAGCACATTAGGCTTCTACCAGTTGTATATGTTTAGCAAAATCTAGGAAGGAAATTATAGTGAAAGGATAACTACTTTGAAGAATGAATAAATGTGTGACCCTACGTTACTGAAGATTTCATTAAGTCACTTTTGTTTCATTTTTATAGCATCGTTCATCTATTTAGTTGATAAGAAGGTACTGCAAACTATTTACTGATTATTATGTCCCTCTCACCAGATCACCAGATGCTACTGCAGAATTTCTCACAAACAAATCTTCAAACCATGGTAGTTTCCTTTAGGATATAGTAATTTTAGTTTCTGGAGAAATACAGTATGGCCTGTATGATTGTGACATATTCTTGAATAATGGCATACGTTGAAATGTATGCCACAGAACTAATAACATTTAATTTACATTAATTAAAATTAATGTTTAGAACTGTGTTAAGCATTAATATAGACCAGAGGTTTGCCAACTAGGGCCAGTGGGCTAAATCAGTCTTCCTGCCTGTTTTTGTAAATAAAGTTTTATTGAAACACAGCCATGCCCACTTGTTTATGTATTGTATAGGTCCACCTTTATACTATAAAGGCACAGTTGAGTAGTTGTGAAAGACACTATATTATATGGCCTGTAAAACCTAAAATATTTGCTGTCTGGTCTGTTACAGAAAATGACTGTTGACATTTGATGTAGATTATTCTCTTCACAACCCTGGATGTCAGTACTAGTATTATTCCAGTTTATGGAAGATGAGGAATTGAAACTGAGAGCAATTAAATAATTTATCCAGGATTATAAGCTGGATAGTAGCCAACCCAAAATTTGAATCCAGGACTAGTACCCGAACTTATACTATTAACTACTATACAAAATGCCTCCTGATAATATCTGAAGCTCGTCATGTTAGCAGCAGTAATGTGAGTGTCATAGTGCAGAGAAAACTTGTGTTTAGAAAAATGGGATGACCCTGGATATACTTGGCAACATTTTATTTCTCAACTTCAAATAAAGGTGGTGAATACAGGAAGGCTGTTTCTTGGTGAGAATTTTCAGCTGCTTAGAGAAAATAAATTGAGTCCACCTGTCATTAATGCTATATAATTGAAATAATCTACCATCAGTTCTACTATACACACACACATACACACATACATTTGATATATCAGTAGAGCACATGTAACTTTTGCAAGGGTTTCCCTCTATAGAACCAATTGTCTCTTACAATGTAGTTTCCAAAGATTTCAGAGCTTGGATCATGAGGTTCCAACTACCTAAGTTGCCAAGTAGCTTGTGGGAGAGTAAATATTTGAACTCAGCCCTCTTCCCACCCAATCACTACTGTACATATAAGAAAAGAATAAATTATTCAAATGTTAAATTCTGATCAATAAATATTATTAAGTCTCTGATAATATGAACCAGAGATTTCTGAGGTAAAAAATAACTTAAAATACCTTTAAGAGTGTAATCGAGTTGTTTGTTTGTAACTCACAGGATAAATGTTTGAGGGGATGGATACCCCATTCTCCATGATGTGCTTATTTCACATTGCATGCCTGTATCAAAACATCTCATGTACCCCTCAAATATATATACCTACTATGTCACCACAAAAATTAAAATTTACAAAATTAAAAATAAAGAGAAGGAGAATAGTAAAGGGTCATGAGGGGGGTGCGGGGATGACATTTTAGCAAAAGGTAAGGTAAAACAACTGCCAAAAGTCATGTTGCAATGAAATCAGTTTCCTTATTTTCTTCTAAAAGCCCATCCCATATCCTGACAGAGCAGAATTCCAGAATTTTCTTTTCTTAGCCCTCAGCTGATGACTCCAAAATAAGGCGACCTCCTTTTGGCTCCACACATCCTCCACTTTTAAAATTTGATCAATTCAGTGTCCTGCTCCCTGACAGCTTGGTGGTGTCAGCTATATTTATGATCAATCAACCCTCACTTCTGTTTTGCCTTAGACTGCGTGCTGTCATGAGTATTGAAAAAGTAGAACCGAATATTGGAAGTGCTTCAAGAAACACTCCAGGTCATAGGTACCTGACCTCAAAGAGTATCACCATCTGTGAAAAGAAAAGGAGCTCAGATGTGAGGAGGACCACAAGGGAGGGGGAAAGGGAATATTTGGAAGAAAAAAAGGAAGGTGATCTTTCAAATAAAATGTAACTGGAACACACACAAATATCTATTTTTGAATGTGGTTGGCGAACATTTCTCAGGTCTCCCATACATAATGACTCTGTTTGTGATCATGATTCATAATGAAACATTAGTCACATAATTTTAATAGTAGATTCCAGTATAAAATTGGCCTCTTAATAAAGGTAGCTTCCAAGCAAGAAAATAATTATTGTGGTATCTCTTTAAAAACTCCTTCAGCAAAGAGGACATGTGGTGCTCTTTTATTATTCTTTTGAATGCAGTTTAAAGAAAAAAAGAATCAGACACAGAATTTCCTGTCAAAAGGGAAGTTTGATGGAAAAAAAAATGTTGATTGAATACTTCAGTTCTTGCATAAAACTGCTAAGTCAACTGATTTTACCAAGAGAGGAAATTTTTTATTCCAGCTAAAGCTTAACTTTTGACATAAAATGGAAACACAAAATATTTGGATGTTGCCATAAAACGAACATAATTCATTTACCTCTCAGTATCTACTTGAATACCTCGTTTTATTGTTTTTACTTTGACTTGCACACTTCATGATCATTTTAAAGATTTCTCAATGAAAAAAGCAACAGCAACAAACTTGTGTTACACTATGTGCAAAACACAGAAAGAAACTTACTCTGGAATAAAAGACAAGCATTAATTATATGGGCTATTTAATTTTCTGTTGCTGACATTCTAACATAAGCAAAGGTAGCCATATTCTGAAATTAAAGTATAGAGCAAGTTCCTTTTTCTCTTTCTTTTACATATACACACGTTAGCATATGGAATATCATATCATGCCCTCGTTTTTAAGGCATAAGGGAATAAATGTAGCAAAGGAAAAAATATTGATAGTATCTATCTTTCCATCTTCTCCATTATCAAAATTATAACTGAAATACCTGTGAGTGGATGGAGTTTTGAAAACTTCACTGCAGTAATAACTTAATTTTCTAAATTTATTATAGGCATACCAACCATCCAAGCTTTGCAACTGAATGGAATAAAGTGAGCTTTCTGAAGAAGTGAATTATAATACAAAATAAGCATGAGAACAGTGTACTAATCTCATATGCAAAGAGAGGCTCTTAGGCACGAAACTATTAATTTCATTTATTTTTTTACACTTACGGAACTTGTCATCTCTGTTTTCAAGCTTGGCAGAAGTAATATAACACTCACCATATACAAATACTGTTAATACTGCCAGAAAAAATACTGTATAAAAATAATCAGTAATAATTTGAGTATTTTTATTAACCAAAAGCTACAAGAAAATGAGCGTTTTTAGAAAAGCACCTTTACCAATTCTAAACAAAAGACTTCACGATATTTTTAAAACGGAAATAGCTTTTTTTTCCAAAGACAAAAGAAATAGATTCTTATTTTGAAGTCCCTCCACACAGATGATAACGTTTCTTGAGTACCCTTCCAGCTTTTTCTCTATGCTTATAGATTTATAAGGAACAATATGATATTTTTGATATATTTTAAATTTTACTTTTAAAATTTTCATACTGGGAAATTACCTTTTTTTCTCTTGGTATACAGTTGTATATATGTTCAAATACATGCAGATACACATGTACACAAATATTATATATATATATATACACACACACACACACACACACACACACACACACACACATATATAAAACTACCACCCCAACACCCCAATCAGGTTACAGAACAGTTTCATCACCCCCAAAGTCTTAATCCTATTATTCCTTTGAAGTGGCATTCTCTCCCTACTCCTAATCCCAGGCAACCACTGTTCTGTTCTCTATTACTATAGTTTTATCTTTTCCTGAATGTCATATAAATGGAATTATACAGTGTGTAACCTTTTCAGACCAGATCGTTTCACTCATCCTAATGTCTTTGAGATCTATCCATGTTGTGTGCATATCAAGAGTCTGCTTTGGTGTTTACTGCTGTGTACTATTCCATTGTATGTCTGTATCGCAGTTGGTTTTTATCCATTCACCCAATGAACTCTATGTAGGCTGCTTTTTTAAGTTATTTGGCAATCATGAATAAGGCTGCTATAAACATTCATGTGCAGGTTTTTGTGTGAGCATAGATTTTCATTTCTCTTTGGTAAATGCCCAGAAGTAAGGTTGCTGGGTCATATGGTAAGTGTATAGTTAACTATCTAAGAGATACAATATATTTTAATCATTAAACCAAACACTAAAAAATACCAAAAAGGACAAATAAAAGCCCTCTTATGTAACTGATATACCTTCATGCCATTTCTTAGAAGTAAAATTATAGACAGTGACAGAAAAACAGCACAATTGCCCTTCATTCAGAGAGAACAAGAGAAAAATATTTCCTTTTGTTATTTAGCAAATATAAAGAATTATATCTGTAGATAATACAAAACCTCAGATGATTATTTCATTGCTTTTGTCTTGACCACATCTGAATAATCCTAAGTAAGTCCTCACTAAGAATCAGAAAATCTGATGAATAGACTTCAGAAAAGTATGTAAATACAAATAATTGGCTCCATTTTTGTTCATGGCAATGTCTCAAATTCTGTTTTGCATCTACCACGCAAATGAGGTTACAAGAAGAATAACCATAATAATCTAAAATGCATATAAACCCAAAGGGGGAGAATTGAAGGTAACTAGTTCCCAATAAAGAAAGCAAAGGGCCAGGAAAATGGGAAGGAGAGTCCCCTGAGTTGCATCTGGAAAGCAATAGAGGGTAGAAGACGCTAGAGAAATGACAGAGATGGCTGTCCTAATTTTCCAGTTAGTTTAAGCTTAAGTTTGTGCAGAGCTCTTTATAAGACAGGGCATCCCTGAGACCTCTTAACCCACACCTCCCATAAGCTAGCATTCAGTACCATATCTTCCTATTGTTATTACTTCCCAAGAAAGAGGCCCATGTCCACTATCAAACTTGACCAATGATTACAATTCTGGCAGAGAAACTGTAATGAAACAGGTAAGTATTATTTATTTGTTTATTTTGTGAATATTTGCTAATAACCCTACAGTGTACCAGATACTCTTGTAAACACTGTGGGTACATTGATGATTAAAAATTGACAAAAATGTCTGTCTTCTTGGAGCTGACATTCTAATACAAGTCAAAGTGATTCAGCACTAGACACACATTTTTTCCATGATGATTTTGGTCTAAGCCTTAAACCAAAATTCTAAAGCATGGGAATGCTTTCAAAAATTATTAAAACAGTTTTGATTCCTGTTTAAATAATTTTGAAAATCACAGGTACCAGGGACTCACATTAGACATTTCTCACTGCAAGAACTCACCAATTAGCTAACATCTTACTCGTTCTATCGGTTAATGGATCATGTTCCTGAGCTAAGAGTACGTGTGTATTAACATGCAAACACCTACTTATTTAAATGTGCCTAATGTCTTCTTAGTGATTATATACTGATTATGTTCTTTTTCTAGGTTAACATAATAATAATTTGTTAATCACCCTTTTCGGTAGAATATTTTTGAAAATGTAGTGATTAAAAACATTACTGCTGTAGTTATTTGTATATTGTATTTATATTTTGACCCTTCTACAAACTTGTTCATATCGATGCTAATTTGGCCATAATTTGTCATCTTCCCTAGAAATAAATATGATGGGATGCTGATGCCTCAGTGATGCTGCTTACCAAGTAGTTCCATGCAATTAGTGGTAGAGCCAGGGCTCATCTGAGATCCCCAATTTTAAAAGGCAGGTATAAGAGTCATTCACCACTCATTTTGCCCAAACTAAGAATGAAAGGCAGATGCAGGCAATACCTCCAGCCACTATGGAGTCCCAATCAAGCTAATGGAGATTTACAGGGGAGAATATATACATAGTTGTACGTGTGGCATTGATTTTGCAGGCCTGTTTCGTTTCTGGGATATGACAACACCAACCAAATAAAACAAAACCCCTGCCTATGAAAAATGAAAAATTATAATACTATGGATAGTAGAGGTGTGAGAAACCTTCCAGCATTGTTTGAGAACAAAGCTGGTGCTCTGGTTGTTGAAATGATTAAAAGTCTCCCTCTGTGGTGATTCAGAAAGGCATCTGAGGCGCGTGGAGCAGGTTGCTTTGTGCTTTGCAAAAGAGATGGGCGTGCAATTATTTACTGTGGTAATCTGTGGACTGGGATCTCTTTGAGCAATCAAACTATATTTATTTTTAACAAGAAGTATGAGGCTTTTTCTTCACAGCTTAAGTACATTGATATAAGCTTAATTTTTTCTGATTAGCTACCCATTAACTGTGCCAAATTTGTGGAGGCTTCCTCCTAGTCTGTAAAACACTAGAAGGCAGAGATGGGGCCTTGTTTATTGCTGGGTCACTCTACTACATCGCACTGTTCTTGGGGGTTACTAATAGATATTTGGGCTGATCTATTTGGTAGTTGTTATTGGCAGATTCTGGTTCACAAATCAGGAGTCAAAACTTGAGTACATTTCTCATGTGTTGTCATTCAATTTAGTTTCTCTGTGCTCCACTTATTTTATTAGTCTCTTATCCTATTTGCTCTGTTTTACTGCAATTTTCCAGGCCTCTTCACTCTTTGCTATTTTCTCCTTCCTTAAAGCGAAAGTAAGGACTAGAGGAGACTATAACCCTATTTCGCTTTCTCAGAGACTCTTCTCTGTACAGCTAACTCCTTAGATGCAGTCTTCATTTACATGACTGGATACTTGGGAACCTTTAAGAGGAGACCCACTCTGAGGTTGGCATATACTACACTGTAGCTGCTGTTTGATAAAGCATATTGGTGGTAATTTTCTGAACTGTATAGAGGACTACATTTTTTTTGGCATACAAACTGTATCTCTATATGACCCAGAGACAAAGCTGGATGACACATTAGACTCTATCAACAGATCTCCTTCAGAGTTTAGAAGCTTCCCTCTTGGGTAGTAGTGGTAGAAAACAAGAAAGGTAACTAATACACGGGGGCCTACTATCTGTCTACTATCTTGGTGGACACATTATATCAGTCATTTAATTCTCACAACATCACTAATATACACATACTGTCATTCACATTTTGACTATCAAGGTCATGTAACTTGCCCAAGTCACACAGTTGCACAGCCCAAGAGGGCAGAAACAAACGTGAACTGGGGCTGGTCAGTACCTGCTTTCCCTATTGTTCCTCTGTTCTCTGAGATATTAAAAGTGTCAGATTATACTCATATTCATACTATCTGCTCACCATGCTTACGTTTCAATGGTTTTTCCATAATTACTTCCTGCCCTTTTTCCCGGGATAATACATTTAGTGGAAATTAAACTGAAATTTATAGATTCTGAGTCAGGGATGGAAATATAGGATTTTCGTAGATAGCATGTTGTTGTGATTGCCTCTTGTAGAACTCTAGACTGATGCAAGCTGAATTTCTAATGGCTCTGAGGGACAATGGTTCTCCAACCTTAGTGTGCACGAAAATCACTGGAGCAAACTCCCTTCTCTGGGTGCACAGAGACTCTGGTTTGTTAAATCTGTAGCGGGCTCAGGAAAGTACTTTGATAGCAAGCATTCCAAGGGAAGCTGATGAAGGAGGCCCTCAGATCACTTGATGATAAGGACTGTCTAATGCTAGATAGCATGGATAAATATGGCTGTATTTGCAATACTCAACCATATCCAATGTGCAGTGAGAAGCTGAGGTGTTTTAAAGTCTGCACAACTCCCTCAATGTAGGCTTTTACAAGGCAATTTGCTCATGTTTCTGAAACCATGAGTTTTTAAAATATGTTATCATTATGAAATAATGATTCTATTATAGATGGACTTCCAGAAATCTCTGAGGAGCCAATAAAAGGAATAGAAGAACTGACTCGCATCACTGACAGGCAGTAGTGTCCAAGGCATTTACATCATATAAACAATAATTTGATCAAAGATAATTTTTTAAAGAATTGGGAATGTTAAAACTGTGTGTATATATGTATGTGTTAGAGAAGTGTATGTGTGGGGGTGGTAACTGTTGTATCCACCGCTCCAATTTACAAAAACAGAAAACCTTAAAATTGCATTCTTTGTAACAGAAACAATGGAAAGGAATGCATTTTATCAAAACTGCCAGTTATATTTAAAATTGAACACCATAAGTCAAAGATATGTGCTAAGATGAAATTTTTTTTGGTGGAAATTTGTATCCAGAAGATACATATAGCACCTACCTCAGTATCTCTTTTACTGTTGATGCTGCAGGAAGCGTCTTTGCAAAATACTTTTGTCGAAATGTATCAATCACCTACTGTGAATGAAGTCACGGACTCTACTGTTTAGTAAAAGCTAGAGATAAAATATGTGGGCATTGGTTTTTGATCTGAATCTGTAAATGCAGGGCAAGGGATCATTCCTCATATATAAGTGCCTTTATCTTATAATTTCTGTTGACACTGTGATTTTCCAAAGATCTGAACTCCAGAATCCCAGGAATGGTAATATAATTTGATGTGGACCTCATAATGGAATAAATAAAGCATGAACTTGCAGGAGAAAATCTGGAAGTTCCACATCATCACTTTGGGTAGCTGAAGAGAAGAGAGTGGGAGGGGCAATAGCTTAGAGTACTCCATTAATTCCCCAGTAAAGAAGATGACTATATACATGTTTAAAATATAGAATACTTTTCTTATTTTGAAGAATAGCTTTAAGCTGCCTTAGAGCATTTTTTTTCCATAAAACCCCAAATATTTATGAAACACTTCATTGCCCTGTTGAAAATGTTAGGAAGAACAAAGGTCTATAGATGGCCTGTGTGGGGGTGGGGTTCCACAGGGTTAAAGTTTGGAATGGGGAATAGTCATCTAGGCAGCAGAACAGAAAGGAATAACCAAGGTTTTATTAGCCAAGGGGGAATTCCCAAAATCCACCAAAATGAAGCAATCCAAAGGGAAATATGAGGGCCAAGAACCCAAGACATGAGAGATGCTAGAAAACACATTGAATCGCAAGCAAATTAGTGGGAAGAGGAAAATAATGGTGCAGAGCAATAGCATTTTAAAACTGCAATTTGTGTTTTGCTTTTATAAGATGTCTGGGTCATGGTACACAGGAAGACTACTGTAAAATCAAGAGTTGATTGAACAGGCACTAACAGATAACCTCGTAATATTTATCTCTACTACCCTTATCTATACTGATCTGTGAAAAGGAGACCTGCGGTAATAGGAGAGGCAAAGAATGGATCCATTGTTGGCATTGCTGTACTCATTAACGCTAAATTGGCAAAATACTTAGGCACATGCACATACACAGACTCTAGAAACATCATCACTTGTGTTGGTCCATTTAAGTTGTTATAACAAAAAATACCACAAAGTCGGTGGCTTATAAAGAACAAAAATTTATATCTCATAGTTCTGGAGGCTAGGAAGTCCAAGATTAATGTGACAGCAGATTCAATGTCTGGCGTGAGCTCTCTGCTTCACGGATTACACTTTTTGCTGTGTCATCACAGGGCGGAAGTGGGGGGTCTAACAAACTCCCTTGGGCCTCTTTTACGCAGGCATCAATCCCATTCATGAGGGCAGAGCCTAATCAACTCCTAAAGGTCTCACTTTTTAATATTATTGCATTAGGGATTAGCTTTCAACATATAATTGGGGGGGGGGCACAAACATCCACAGCACCACTGGATCCCACTAATTGTGGATTTTGGGGCACACCACCTGAAGACCAAGTTGAACCACACAATGAAAAGGCAGTAAATTCCTTCTGGCAACCACAGATGCTGAAGAAGAATCACCTGATATTTACATGTTACATTTTTTTTTTTATTTGCTACATAAAAGAGAGACAGCCTATTTAAAGGGTACTGTCTGGTGGGTTATGTCAGTCAATGACATGGAGTGGGAGACCTGCTATGTTTTATTCAAATGGTTGAGCTCATTTTGCCTTCTTGGTTGCACAGCCTGTCAACTGCTCATTTCCCCTCCAGTGACATCACATCAACAAAGGGAACCACTTGTGATTGTGTGGGCTGTGACCAAAGGGCTTTGTTGTTATCTGTTTTAATTAGTAAGAAAAAGAGAGGAAGCAGAAACAAGTCGAGACGCTGCTCATGTTCCATATTATTACTTTTCCATTCTTTCTCTCACCTTTTATTTTAAACTAAACTTATTCTTATATCAGTCAATATGTGATAGAACTAGAATTCTGATTTTGATATTAACATCCAGCAGAGATGAGCATTTTGTAATGAAGAGCCTGAATCTACTCTGATCTAATTCTAGTGTATGAAACAATTATGTTCTGTGTAGGCAAATGGGAGAAAGCAGCTCATTGAGGCAAAAAGAAGAGATTGTTAGCTGAATCTGACAATTAGTCAGAAAGACTAATTATAGTGAAAGACACTTTACAGGTAAGACATCTTAAGTGCTAGCTAACAGCAGATAGCCCAGCACTTGTTGGAAACTCCCTTGGGCCTCTTTTATACATGCATCAATCCCAGTCATGAGGGTAGAGCCTAATCACCTCCTAAAGGTCTCACCTCTTAATATTATTGCATTAGGAATTAGCTTTCAACATATGAATTTTGGGGGAGACACAAACATCCACAAAGCAGACTTATTGAGTAATTGTCTGATTCAGCTAAAAATCTCCCCTTTTTGCCTCAATGAGCTGCTTTCTCAGGATTGACTCCCATGTGCCTACACAGGCAGGATATTTATAGGCTTAGTGCTGAAAAGCTACCTGACATGATATTCCTTCTGAGGAATATTCTGCTCTGATGAAGTTTAGGATACACCAAATTGATGTCATGGATAATCAGGTCAAGTGGATAACCTGTTAATCTGCAAGAGGACTAGAAGACACCACCAATACTAATTCTCTGATAGACCCAACGGATAGAAGGTTTGGTGAATGGTATGTATTCTTCTTCTTGCAGATGGTTCTTCAAATGGGAACAAATTTGCAAGGAGGGAAAAATGTAAAATTTTATAACTAACTTAGAAAAAGGTCTAGATTGGGCCGGGCACAGTGGCTCACATTTGTAATCACAGCACTTTGGGAGGCTGAGGCGGGCGGATCACAAGGTCAGGAGTTCAAGTCAGCCTGGCCAACATGGCGAAACCACATCTCTACTAAAAATATGAAAATTAGCCCGGCGTGGTGGTGGGCACCTCTAATCCCAGCTACTTGGGAGGCTGAGGCAGGAGAATCGCTTGAACCTGGGAGGCGGAGGTTGCAGTGAGCAGAGATAGCGCCACTGCACTCCAGCCTGGGTGACAGAGCAAGACTCCATCTCAAAAAAAAGAAAAGAAAAAGGTCTAGATTTCAAATTACCACACAATCATAAGGCTATGGAAGGAACAACAGGAAATGACAGAAATCCATTCACTCCAATTAAATAGGAATCATAAATAGGAAAGCTTCCCTTCTAATGTCTAGATGGGCTAAATAGGAATGTGTGGGAATATCTAGCAAGGTGTGGGAAACTTTGTCACTTTCAGGTCAGACACTACGCAGGTAAAACCTATAGAATTAAAGATGAAGAGTATCACAGTCTACACTATCTCTGAGGACTTCCTTGTCAATTGGGTTGCTGTGTTGCATATCAAAATGGCTCTTGTTAGTGGATATGAGACTCTCATCTGTTCTCAATGGTTTAGAAAATATCTTTGTGGAAGGCAGAATAATGGTCCCCCAAGGATGTCTACATCTGAACCTCAGAAATTGTACATATGTTACCTTCCATGAGAAAAGAGACTTTGCAGGCATGATTAACATTATAGACTTTGAGATGGGAGACTTTCCTGGTGGGTCCAATCTAATCACATTGGTCCTTTAAAGCAGAAAATCTGTCCCGCTGTGATCAGAGATACAGCATGGAAAAAAGGGCCAGAGAGATTAGACGTTGCCGGTTTTGAAGATGGAAAAAGGGGGCCACACACTGAGGAATGTGGGCAGCCTCTAAAATTTAGAAAAGGCAAGGAAATGGACTCTTCCTAGAGCTTCAGAAAGGAATTCAGCCCTGTTGAGTTCAGCCTCACCTTGAGTTTGTTCTAGTAAGACCCATGTCAGACTTCTAACCTACTGAACCGTAAGACGAGAACTTTGTGTTGTTTTAGGCCACTAAACTTGTGGTAATTTATTACAGCAGCAATAGAAATCTAATACCATCTGCAAATAGACAAGTTTCCAGTCCATATTTTTAACACTGTGGTTGCAACCACTTTCTCATCTCACTTCCTTCTTGCTTATGGAATACCAAGATATGGGTATATCTTAGTGACTTTAAAAATAAAACAATATAACTGTCTTGAGTCTGAGATATGAGTCCTCGGCATTGAGAAATGGTTAGAATAGAAAGTGAGGTAGTGTGTCCTGACCAGGCAAGTGAGACAGAGTACTCAAAAAACTATGCTATGATTCCTGGAGAACCAGGTAAGCAGTGAGTTGTAATTAGGAGGGTAATCTATAAGATAGCATCAAAATCAGAACGCAAGGAAAAGTGGAAGCTCTGGCTACAGGGAATTATGACTAATACAAGCTAGGATAACTGCCTATCGGAGCTGTGATTTGGGAAGCCTTGGGAGAGAGAATAGATTTGTCAGTTCAGCACCTGGATCTCATGTCTCATAATTAATGTTAAGCCTTCCTCTGAATGGGAAGTGCCACTGCTGTGATTGAGCCTAGGTATCCTCAGCCTCAATCAGGACCCTCTAGGTGAAACTATCTTTGCCCCTGGCTGCAGGCAGCTAGGGAGATTCCAAAGCAGAAGAACTAATGCAGAAACTAAAGATAATCATTTAATTTTTTTCTTATTTTCTTCCCCATACCTTCCCTTTTATTCTTTCATTTCTCTGTCTTTGGCAATAGCCAGATTCATTGACTCTGAATGATGTTTTATAACATCTATCTTTTGCTCTCATTGTCAAATCAACCACTAAGTCAGACCCATTCAATATGCCTAATAGCTTCCGCCAGTCATTTTCCAGAATTGATCCTTTCTGGCTGCCTTCTGAGGCAGTTTTCCTGAGTGGCTGTCATCTTGTCAGTCACTTCTTATATATGTTACCACTGTCTTTGAATCTCACAATAGTTGTCTCTCACATTTCCACAATCAAGCCAAAGAAGCCATACTAATGTACTGTGACCCCATTCATGATGCTCCAACTCTTCTGCTTGCCCCCTCTGCTGTACTCAGAGAACCCCATCCATCATCCTCCACCTTAATTTCCCATTTTTCCTATGCAGTCTCTTCTAGACTATGCCAAAGAGGGCCACTTGTTTATTTTTTCAAGTTCAACTAAATTAACAATTTTCAAGTAGTACATGGTAATTGGCAGACAATGTATAGAGCTTACCCTGATTATCCATGGAATGGCAGTTATTATTTACACCTCCTTGTAGTCAAGGACATTTTATAATAAAGAGATAACTGTGGCAAGAAGTTCATGTCATTACCTTAATTCTTGCTTGAAATAGTCTGAGTCTAGGTGAGAGTTATATGATGAGACTCTTAGCTTTTGTTGAAGCCCATAGTTCACAAGGTTTGGCCCAGCACTATTTGTCTCACCTTATCTTATGGAGAGATGCTTCTGGTGACCACTATTTTTCTGCTAGGGGGAGCATTACGTATCACCAGGCTTTCTTCCCAGAAGTGTAGAGACAGTGCCTACCTTTCGTAAAGTCTCCCTTTAATAAGAAGTGGGAATGTGGGCCCTTTAATGTCTTAACCTGCAATAAGCAAGCCTTTGACAATCCACAACGCTAAAATACCAAGGATATTATTGGTTGCAAATTAATCTCTCAGTTATCACATAATGGGCACTGATGTATTCTGTGTGTGTTTTAAAACGTTGAAATGTATCTTATGACTTAACATTGTTTTGTCACACTACAATTATTACTTTAAAATTCCAGGAGATATAAACTCTTGTGTGTTAGTGCATAGATTAAGAAATTATTATTTCAAAAGAAGGCTTTCAGTAGCTTCCCTTTCCTGTCTATCCTCTCCCTAAGACAGTACTCATATCATGCTTTCCAAATATGAAAGTATAAAGAGGAAATAGAGAGGACGTAGTCCAAAACCTGAAATTCCAACCGGTTGAGTGGAAATCTAACCCAAATTGTACACTCTCAGATGTGGGGTATTGAAATGATGCAAAAAACATATGCAAGCCCCTCTCCACACTGCCTATCCCATGAGTTTGCCCAGTGAGAACCTAAAATTGCCAGTTAAGCATTCCTTTGGTTTAATGTTTGTGAAAAGTCAGAGTAAGATATAAAAATATTTCCAGGATATTTAAGTCATTAAGCATTTGCTGCTGTATCTATATGCAGTATTTTGTCCACTTGGTTCTCCGGTCTTGAATTGCACTTCAAACAAATGAGAGAAAGTAGAAGGTCAACATTCTGCTGTCTGTTTGTTAGCTGATTTGTATATTCATTAATTCGTTGAGTTCGTGATTCAGACAACTAACACCAAATGAGTGCTAACCATGTGCCACGCATTGTGTTAAGCATTAGAGCAGGGGGCCTAGCCAGAGAGAATGGTGGTTGGAATTTATTATTTTAAGTCCATCCATCCATAGGAATGTCCTGCTGGGTGCCTCACAGTGTAAAAGGCACAATAAGAAGAAAGAGATGCCAAAATATCTGGGGGCATAAAATTAGCATTAGCATTTGTGACCAATTTTTAAACAATTTCACAATGTCTCTTGGGAATGATTACTGGGTAGAGTAGTTAAAAGACGCTTAACGTCGAGAATTGGAGATTATGTTGCCTTTTCATGATCCAGCTCACTTAAGGTCAAATTAAATAAGATGAAAATTAAACTTCCATGTAACATCATAGTTCAGCTTGGAAGACAGTGACTAGCTCATTCAAGCCAAAAGTAATAGGATTATGCGTTGAGGAACCTCACTAGAAAAGAAAAACAGTAGGTCACTGGGGAATTTGCTTTGTAATAAATTTGCTACTTAATTGTCTCTCTATTCATGGCCAACTACAAGCTACCCTGAATGATAATTTGAAAGCAGTTTCTATTATTTGTGCCACCAGAGGTCATTCCACTAAATAAAGTTCAATAATCAAATAAGCTGTCTTAGGTATTCAGTTTCTCAAACAGCAACTAAATTATAAAATCTCCACGTTCTGAATTGGCCTTAATGATGACTTAGAATTGTATGAATGATTCTATTTGGAAGTTTGATCATGACCTACAGCACCATGCACTATCGACAGATGAGGGATAAAACATGGAATTGAGGGGAGGCTGCATGGTTTCAAAAGTTAAAGTAAATTGTTTACTCTCTCAGTGCTTCGAATTCTAGGAATTGCTATCTTCAGGAAGTTTTGGGTGTGCAAATGTGTTCTCCAAGAGTTTATTTTATGTTTATTTGGTATTTGTCTTAGTCTGTGTTGCTATAGGGGCTGGGAAATTTATAAACGAGAATTTATTTCTCAAAGTTCTGAAGGCTGGGAAGTGCAAGATCAAGGTATCAGCAGGTTCAGTATCTGGTAAGGGACTGGTCTCTGCCAAGATGGTGCCTTGAATGCTGTGTCCTCAAGTGGTGGAATGGCAAAAAAGGGCCTAGGCCACTCTCTTCGATCTCTTTTTTAAGGTTGATAATCCCATTCATGAAGGTTCTATCTTTATGACTTAATCACCTCCAAAAGGCCCCGTTTCTTAATACCATCACACTAGGGATTTTCAAAATAGGAATTCTAGGGGATACTTTCAGACCACAGAAGTATTTAAAACACATTTTTCATTAAAAAACAAAGAGCACACAGAAGTCTGGGTTCCAAATCAGGGCAAAAGTTTAGTTGTCTATTTCATAATGTTAACTGAAACATATAAAAGTTTAAGAGTCTTGTAATTTTATTTTTTTTTTACCAATATATATTTTATTATGAATGTGGTCAATAGGCCATGGGCATTGTTTTCACTCTGCTCCAGGCTTCCATCCCAGGTCTGATTACAAAGTTGCCCGGGTGATCCTGAACAAGTTATTTGACAACATCTTAAGAATATCTACCTTATAGGATTGTTGGGAGAACTAACAGCAATAGAAAATATAAAGCACTATGCACATTGTATGATGCATACAGAGGAATCAGTAATTGATGGTGATGGGTGATATCATTTTTAATAGTTATTATCATACACATTTTCTCTATCAATAATCCTAGGAGCACAAACTATTGCAATGATCATATTAATGATCTCACTAAAGCAGTGGTGAGAGCTCGAGTTCTGTTGCAGCAATGTTAACAAGACTGGTCCCTTTGTTAAGTGGCATTTGATTTATGAGGCTTTTTATTAGTTAGGAATTCTTTCCTCAGGTTTGTCTACCAAATATGCACACGAGATAGGTGTTTCTGAAAATACATCAACATCAGTGATAATATGGTAATGGTAATCACAATGAAATAGATTTTTTTTTGCTTCATACCTAACACCACGTCAAATATTTCACAATCTATTTGTGTATGCTTTATCTCATTTTGTCCCGTGCACAGAAGACCACTTCGTCTTTGCAAACCTCCATTTATCAGAAAGGCTGTGCCTGATTCTTAATAAAAGAGCGTCTTTATAATTCTCCCTGTTCCCTTACTCTGATTTATTTCTCATCATGGTGCTCATTATCCCAAGATATTCTACTACGTACTTTCTGGTGGTCTTTCCTGTCTTGTGCAACCAGATGTGGGCTCCATGAGAGCAGCTAATGCATTAATTTACTCCTGGCCCCCAGTCCTGGAGCAG
This sequence comes from Homo sapiens, assembly GCF_000001405.40. Lineage (NCBI taxonomy): Eukaryota > Metazoa > Chordata > Mammalia > Primates > Hominidae > Homo > Homo sapiens. The sequence continues at coordinate 29,866,271 of NC_000023.11, read as the reverse complement.
CACCTGTCACATCTGGACATTCATTAAATGTTTGTTGAATGAATGAATGACGTATTAGGTAAGATTTAATCAGTCACATTTTGGGAGAATCAAGCTGAAACTCCAAAAAATTATTAAATGTTCCAAGGTATCCTTCCCATGACTGAGCTGGTAAATGATATGGCCAAAAACTGAACCCAAAGCTAATCCCAAAGCAGAGTGCTCTATATTAATTCTGGCTAAAAATGGCATTCCTATAGATCAGGGTCATTGTGTCATCAAAATATCTTTTTAAAAATATATTCTAAGCCATGTAATAAGTTGAAATTAAAACAGCATATGTGGCCGGGCACAGTGGCTCACGCCTGTAATCCCAGCACTTTGGGAGGCCGAGGCGGGTGGATCACTTGAGGTCAGGAGTTCGAGACCAGTCTGACCAACATGGTGAGACCCCTTCTTTACTAAAAATACAAAAAAAAAAAAAAAAAATTAGCCAGGCGTGGTGGCGTGCACCTGTAATCCCAGCCACTCAAGAGGCTGAGGCAGGAGAATTGCTTGAATGTGGGAGGTGCAGGTTGCAGTGAGTGGAGATCGCACTACTGCACTCCAGCCTATTTGACAGAGGAAGACTCTGTCAAAAAAAAAAAAAAAAAAAAGAAAAGAAAAGAAAAAAACAGCACATGAACAGAAATGAGCCCAATGCAACCACAGGCATTTATTGAGCATCTATTTTGTGAGCAACATTATTCTGGGGATGAGACTTCTTAATTTCACTCAATATTAATATGTACTTGTGAGCATCTTGCTCTCAACTACACAAAATGAGAACAGACAAAAAGGCTATCATTGAATTTTCCAGTATCATTCACGTACACAACTTTTTAGGCAAAGTGTTTTTGCCTATTCTAGAGCACTTATTTTTTAGACAATATACAACGTATATCACACCAGGTAAGGCAAATTGACTATTTCTCTGAAGTTATTATTTCCCTAGGAAATTGCTACCAAGAACATAAACATGAAGTCATTGCCTCTTCTCCACTTGTTTGTTTCTCTGTGATTCTTGTATTCCCATTTTGCTTTTCATGGAATTTTCACAGAGTGCAATAGAGATGTCACAGACCAGTTTACTAATGCTGCTTGGTTTCCTGTGACATCGGTCTTTTTTGTTCTGAGAAGTTAAAAATAATCACACAGCATTTTCGCAAGTGTTTTTGAATAACACTGGATGCATGAAATCCTTTGAAAACAAGGACTCAAACAAGTATTGGAGTGGGGAGCAGGGGCAGTGTTTTAATCTGACTTCAGGCAATCTCATCTTGCACAACTTATTATGCTCTTTTCTGATAAGTATCTATAATTGCCACTGGTTAGAAGTGGCAGAGGGTTAACCTCTCGCTCTAGGAATTTTGCTTCTAGATTGTAATGTGAGCAAATTTCACAGCAAATTTTTCTTTAGACATTTACGAACAAGCTAGCTCAAAACAGTCGACTCTATGAAGTCACACATTTCTTTAAAGTGGTCCAAATGTCATTTTACATGAAAATTTCATATGAGGTAAACATGATAAGATCAGAGAAATAATTCAGCTAATTAGGCTATCAGGAGCCAGGCAATCAAGAAACTTCCAAAAATGGTAATCAAATGTACAGTACCATTTCTCACATTAAAGGGTGAAACCTTACTAGATTTGTATACCCTCTTCATACAAGAGTAGGGAATGTCTCTACAATATTTTGGCCAGTACACACATGGGGAAACCACAAATTACACCAATGGAAACTCATTTCTGACATTCTTCTGTTAATGCTAAAAAACAAAGCATTCTAACAACCCATTCTAAGAACACTATGTGAAATAGCAAAACCTCTGTTTGTAGCTCCGAGATAAAGAGAGCCAAAACATTTGTAAGGGCCACCCCCTTCAGGAGCAATGCAGTCTATCCTTCTTGGAGATTTCCAAAGCATATTAACATTCAAAGGTTTTGAGGTATCACACAAAAAACAAACTTGCTTAACTTTGTTCAACATTGAAAGTTCCAAACTTATTTGATCACAAAACAATACTTCGGCCTAACACTATTAATATTCTAAGTCAGTAGTTCTCAAAGTGTGGTCTCTCAACCAATGTCACCAAGATCATCTGGAAACTTGTTAGAAATGTAAATTCTCGAGTCCCACATTTACTGAATTAGAAGCTGTATGTGCAGCTGGGCACGGTGGCTCACGCCTGTAATCCCAGCACTTTGGGAGGCCGAGGCAGGCAGATCACGAGGTCAGGAGTTTGAAACCATCCTGACCAACATGGTGAAACCCTGTCTCTACTAAAAATACAAAAATTAGCTGGGTATGGTGGCACACGCCTGTAATCCCAGCTACTTGGGAGGCTGAGGCAGGGGAATCGCTTGAATACGCTAGGCGGAGGTTACAGTGAGCTGAGATTGTGCCACTGCACTCTAGCCTGAGCGACAGAGTGAGACTCTGTCTCAAAAAAAGAAAAAAAAAAAAGTTGTATGTGTGGAGCCCAGAAACAAGTCCTTCAGGTAATTCTCTTGCATGCATACTAAAGTAATAGAGTCACTGGACAAAGGAACCAACATCCTGAATACAATTTAGGGAACTTACTCTATAGGCTTGATCTGGAAAAGTATCTTTTTTATTTATCCACATAAACTTTTCTCCCATGAGAGAACCCTTTTTTATTTATCCACATAAACTTTTCTCTCATGAGAGAACCCTTCTATAGCCTATGAAGTCCCCATCTGACTTGCAAGTCCCAATGTTATTCCTTATAATGTTATTTCTATTTAAACAGTCTGATTTTGGGGGGCTATAGTCATGTAGGTCAGGGGATTTGCAATTTACTCCTGGCCTGTAGTCCAAGACAGTAAGACAGGAAAAGAGGTCACAGTCTAATTAACTTTCTAATTAAAGGAACATGGTCGCTTTCTAATTACACTCACAAAGAATAAAATGTAGCTCATAATTAGAAAGTTACTCTGCTCTATTTAAAATTTGCATTGTGTCAGCTATTCCATCATCATTATTATTGTTTAATATTTATTCTGAAATGCAGAATCTATTTTCAAAGTACCTTAGAAGAGGTTTGATTTATCTCTCACATTGCAATTGCAAAATAGGTCAGTATTTCACAGGATGATATAATGAGATACAGAAAGTTTATGGCATTCACATTATATATCATTAACAGAGTTGGGATTTGAGTTCATGGTCTTTTGTGACTACATTTTTCACCCTCAGTTCAGTGGGTAAAAAATGTCTCTACTATTTTTTTCTCTAGCCTTTTTTTTTTTTTTTTTTTTAAGTATGCCAAGACTCTTTTCGGTATCCGGTATCCATAGGTAACCACGGCAATCACCTGGCTAAACATCTGCCTTAAAGAACACTAAGCTTCTAGAATCAGTTTTCGGGAGAGTCTATCAGAACACAATGAGTCTGTCACAGCACTCCGGGTTTCTCATTTTCATCCCACCAAACACGTACAAACATGCAGCCAGTAATAAATGTCTACCGATAGATATTGTTTTGAACATGCTCTATTGTTCCTACTTCTTAAGAAGCCATTTGTATTTCCAATAAGATGCAAAGATGCTTTACGAAAAGAAAAAAAATAATAATAAAATGAAAATTAGGCTGCGTTTTTGTTTTACAACACAAAGTTGAAATTAAATGTGTCATTTTTTCCCACAATATTGTTTCCCATTACTGAAGAGAAGTGATGGGCCTGAGGGTCTCATGCATTATAAATCTCATGTGCTTTGGATAGCTAGTAAATCACACGTTTTTGCCTATAGTACTTTCTGCCGAGCTCAGCATTTATTGCTTACAGCTGAATACAGCCACCTAAATCATCCGTCACGTTTTTATAACCAACTGCAGCTTTCCTTTTCATCCACCAAGGAAGTGAAAGACTTTCAGAATGAGAATAAGTGAGAGGTACCTTTACACACCCCAAAATACCATGCATGAATTCTGTAAGAGGGGAATATATTTACTGATATTAAGAAATAAGAGCTTTTGAAATTATTCACCCACATGCTGACCTCACACCTGACTTTCCATATTATCATCTTCTCAAATGCTGAGATTATTCTTATTTTTTTTTTTTTTTTGAGACAGGGTCTTGCTCTGTCGCCCAGGCTGGACTGCAGTTGGTGTGATCATGGCTCACTGCAGCCTCAACTTCATGCTCTACCACACAAGGTTAATTTTTTTTTATTTTTTAATTTTTTGTAGAGACAGGTTCTTGCTACATTGCTCAAGCTGGTCTCGAACTTCTGGGCTCAAGCAATCCTCCCATCTTGGCCTCCCAATGTGCTGGGATTACAGGCATGAGCCATGGCCCTCACCCTGCTTAGATTCTTTACTGTGTGTTTCAGTGAGTGTGTTTATTATTGGACCAAGACTGAACATTTTAGATTCAGATTAAAAGAAGAAATATCACATCACGGATTTAACAGCTAGGGAAATTTTATTTTTTCTCACTAATTTTTTTTTTAAATTTAGGGTTTGGGTATTTTGCACCTCTGAGAAATGCAGTTTATTATTTCATTATTTTTATTTTATTTTTTATTTCCATAGGTTTTTGGGGGAACAGGTGGTATTTTGGTTACATGAGGAAGTTCTTTAGCGGTGAGTTGTGAGATTTTGATGCACCCGTCACCTAAGCAGTATACACTGAACCCAATTTGTAGTCTTTTATCCCTTGCTTATTTTGGATGCTATATTTCTACCAGTCTTACCAGGATCAGCTAGTTAGGTGACAGTAGCTGAGGGTGATGTATATTCCTCCTCTCAAATTCTTCATTAAAGCATTACTTGGCTTCTGCCTTTTAGATCTGTTGTAGCAGTGGTTCTCAACTGTGACTACATATCACAATTGCCTGGGAAGTTTATTAAAATACTGACACCTGAGTTTTATCCTTAGAGATTTGGATTGCATTTCTCTGGGGGTAGAGCTCAGGAATAGGGGTTTTGAAAAGCTCCCATGGATGATTCAAATATTGATATCCTATTCCTAAGATGAAGAAGAAAAGAGGCAACAAAGTCTTCTCTTTAGAGCATTTCTTGTCCTTGTTTTCTCCTCAATTCCTCTATATTTGACCATAACATTGATTTTCATTCACTCAAAGGAATACATTTTTTGCACTCTTCAAGAAAAAAGAGTGCTTTCCAAAAGCAATTCCCATCCATTATTGCCTAAAAAGTACAGCATTAACTCCTGAGCTCTTTAGAAACTTTTGATAAGTGCTTTTCTGAAAAAGCTTTAATCTTTAACCACAGTTCATTACTTTCTCCTCCTCTTACTCCTATTCTTTATCTCCCTCCTCCTTTTATAATATTTTGTGGGCAGGAATTTAGAAAGGGTTTTCAACAGAATTTTCCAAAGGCAAACAAAAAGAAAGAGGTGCTAAGGTGACAGAGTGATTTTGTGCAAGACACATGCACATGCATGTTTATTGTGGCACTGTTCACAATAGCAAAGACTTGGAGCCAACCCAAATGCCCATCAATGATAGACTGGATAAAGAAAATGTGGCACATATACACCAGGGAATACTATGCAGCCATAGAAACCGATGAGTTCATGTCCTTTGCAGGGACATGGATGAAGCTGGAAACCATCATTCTCAGCAAACTAACACAGGAACAGAAAATCAAACACCTCATGGTCTCACTCGTAAGTGGAAGCTGAACAATGAGAACACATGGACACAGAGAGGGGGAACATCACACACGGGCCTGTCAGGGGGTGGAGGGATAGGGGAGGGATAGCATTAGGAGAAATACCTAAGGTAGATGACAGGTTGATGGGTGCAGCAAACCACCACAGCACGTGTATACCTATGTAATAAACCTGCACGTTCTGCACATGTATCCCAGAACTTCAAGTATAATAAAAAAAAATTTAATTCTAACTTAAAAAGTCACATCAGTTAACTCTGTGACTGGCTTTTACAAGCCGCATCATATGCTACTAGAGTATTATAGTTATTTATATGGTTTATTGACACACTAAATTATAAGCTAATTTGGAATAAAAACAATGCATTGTTCCTTGTATTATTTTTCACATCACTCTTCCTAGCAGGTTCTTAAGCAATACCTATCGGGAGGGTGATTTGACATAGAATGACATGCTTACTAGCCTTTGTGAAGTATCCTTGGTCATAATTGATAAACAGTTCTCAATGTATTAGAATAATTATACATTTCAAAAACTCAAAGTTTTTCAATTTTCTTTGTTAGAAATAGAGTTTATAAAGTAACATCAATTTCAGGATTTCCTATCTTGAATTGTTTTTCAGTCCTCACCACTCTTGTACTAATCGTCTTATGCTCATTTATAAGAAAGGTCTTTTATTCAATGCCCAAATAAGTTAAAAGCATATCAATGTATTTTATCTTTAAATGTAACTTCTAGAAGACATTCAATGGCACTTTAATGTCTTTTTAAGGACCCTTTCTGTGTAAGTATTTATTAGATTCCAACATTAGGATTTTATCAATAATGTCTTATGGTAAAAACCAACGACAATTGAACTCATTTTGTATAGAATATCTATAACTCTTCTAGAAATATTGTTCATAAATTGGTTCAAAGTAGAAGTATTTTATTTCAGTAATTTTTAACACATTTCATAAAAAAGTAATATAGAAATTTTTATGTGGAAATTATTTACATACAAAGGTGTATGAAAATAATTCATGCTATCACAGCATCAGTTTCTAGATGGTTCTTATGCTGGTCTCAGGTGAAAAGGGAAAAATCACATTCAGAGGTGTTATCTGAGGAGGGCTTTGGGTAACTTTTGGTGATCTCCATTACAAGTGCAGAAGGTATGGGGAGGAAAAACACAGTTTTAAGAAGGCTTTAGGGAAAAAAGAAAGAAAATACTTGGTGGTAGATTGGCTATGGAGAGCCATCAGAGGTAAATTCCAAAGTCTTAATTTAGGTGACTGGATGGTGTTACCAACTGTAAAAGAAAAAACCTGAAGAGGATAAATAGTTGAGCCTATGACCTTTGTGATACCTCCAGGTTGAGATGGCAGTTGAGAATAGAAGTTTCAACTAGAGATGGGGTTTACAAAGCTATCATCATGTAGTTAGCAGTTGAAGCCATTCCAGAATGAGATTGCCCAGAGAAAATTTAAAATGAAAAGAAGAGAGGGGACCAGGCCTTGGGTAGATTCAAAAGGTAAGTGGTAATTGTGGGATTAGAGAAGTACAGATGTACAGAGAAGCAAGGCAGCTGCTTCATGATTGCTAACAGAGGAAAGAGCTTTGGTAAGGATAGAGTGACTCACAGTGCCCAATGCTGCAGAGGAGGTAATATGATTAGGGTGAAAAATACCCACTTAGGAGTGAGAACATTTCAGTGGAATTTGGATGGCTGAATTCAGACAGCTCAGGGTTGATGATCAAGTGTGATGCCATGCAGGACTAGGACTAAAATGAGGCAAATAAAGAGCCTAGGGAACAAAATTTAAAAAAAAACAAAACACTCTCTCTCAGGGATGTGCAAGTCTGGAGGGAAAAGAAAACTGACACAAGGCCTATTAGCCAGATGTCCAGCCAGGTAATATCCAAGCTCCAGGGTAAACAATTATCACTGGGAAGATCTTGAGATACACAGATTTTAGGAACAAATTCATGGTGCGGGTAGGAGGTGGCTGTTGCTCTAATACAAAAAGTCCAAGATTGAGGTTAGAAGATGAATAAAAGAGTAACTGACCTAGGGTAACATATTCTAGAACAATTCTTATGCCACAATGAACCATAAAAAATGGCTGGCATTGGGCTTTTTCAGGCTTACAGAGTGGCACTTCCATATATTTTAATGTAAAAGTCTCTTTTGCACTCCCCAGAGTATATGTGGTCCTAGGAACTGCAGAGAGACTAAATTGAAAAATAAAAGGTCAGAGGTACTGTGAAAGTGAACGTTCTATAATCAAGCAACGGATATGTATTGAGTTTTTATGATGTGCAAAACACTTTACGGTGTATTGTGTGTTGTGTGCTGTATTGATCCATACCACCCTAGTGTCATCTTTTCTAAATAGACTGTAAATTCTTCTCATAGAAGGGTGTTTCTGGTACTTCTGTTAGATTCCTTCAAGGCACAAAGCAAAATTTGGAACACCAGGAGGTTGAAGGGTGGCACAATTTGCTACCCTCAACTATGCCACTTTGGCATAAGGATTATGTTGAGCTAAAGGCACTTGGAAAACAGCAAGTACAAGAAGAACATTCTGATCTCCCCCTTTTCTTCCTGAAAGCAAGCGATGAAACTCCCAAGTGAAAGATGTCTTTCCTATACCAGAAGAAAATAAACATTCTCATCACCAGAGATGGAGAGTCAAAGCCTAGAGATTCTGTACAAACAGACCTTGTGAAAATAACTCTTTGTCTCCCATACTCTTTGCCTCTTCATACAACTTAGTCAGTCACTTTTCCAGAATTGCCTCCCTTTGTCCAATCTAGTGTAAAACCATTTAGGTTTTACCACTTGTTTGGTTCTTCATTTTCTTACAAGGGCTCCTGTGTCAAATAAAATTCATATTAAATTTGTATGCTTTTCCCCTCTCAATCTGTCTTATATCAATTTAGTTCTCAGGCCAGCTGAAGACCCTAAAAGGGTGAAGATAAAGTTTTGCCTCCCTTGCAAGGTATTCAATTTATTCTAGATAGATGGGAGATGAAGGAGGCATAAGAAGGTGTCATTCTTCATATCTAAATGTCAGATTTTCTTTGAAAGGAAGGGAGAAGCAGTCTTCAGCATTTTTACATTGATAGCACTTTATTTTAGCAGTGACTTGAAGACAATATGATAGTTAGAAATATGGACATAGACATAGAAATTTGGTTTACTTTGTTTTATTATTATTTGGCAGTTCCTTGAATGTTTTCAGTAGGTTTTAAACTTCTGTGGAAGTTTTTTCCTCTTGCACTATTTGAAATCTAAAAGATAGTTTAAATTTAGGGGTTTTATTATTATGTTTTATTATTATTTGGCAGTTCCTTTAATGTTCTCAGTACGTTTTAAACTTCTGTGGAAGTTTTTCTCTTGTGCTATTTGAAATCTAAAAGATAGTTTAAATTTAGACGTACTTATTTTATTAAAATTAATTGCTTTTCTTATCAGTGAACTCGTGTTATGCAATTTTCAGGCAAAATTATTTCAAGTGAAGCTGAGAGGGGCTCCAGATTCAAGTATGGTACTCAATCCATTTTCTGTTTCTATGAAACTATGCCATTGCAGACAGTTTTCTAATTTCCAGCTATAATTTTCAAATCTTTTCTTAATGATTTATATGTCCTTATTGGGCTAGGCAAGCAATATATACTAGTTTAAGTAGAGCTACTTGGATGCATTGCTGAATACTGCTAAAAGAAGAATTATACAGACTAATACATGTAATGCAATATACACTTATGCATATATATTACTTTATATGCATGTAGTCTGTGTGTAATTCATAAATTTATAAACTATCCATCTTGGCAAACTACAAGATATCTAAGGCTGATTGTAGTATACAATTTATAACCCTTTAGGTATAGTCGAGAAATATAAAGGGATGTGAGTTTTATAGTGATTCCCTGGATACATGAATTCAGCTACAGATCCACAAATCCTTATTTGCAATTCTGAATTTCTAAAAGCTCTGATAACTGAAAGTTGTTTTTATGGTAATGTTACTCATTTGGTAGCAAAAGAAACTACTGTGAGGCTATCTACAGTCCTTATTACACTTAATATGAATATTCACATGTTTTGATGAAGAAATATTAATCTGTTTCGTTATGTGATGCTGCCACTGAACTCTCTTGGATGCTATGTAATACATGATGCATATATAAACTGTCTCATCTTAGTACATTCTGAATAATTTTAAATTCTGAATTGCATCTTGTACCAGCTCCCAGGAGGTACTGACGGATTTAAGTAATCTTAGTCTGTCTGAAGAGTTTCCAGAGCATCAAGGATTCCAGGCTTTACCTCAAGACCCAAGAGAAAAGATTCAAGGAAGTAGTTTGGAGTATGTTCACCAGTATTTTCTAAAATCAAATATAAGTCACTTGGAATGTATCCTTAAAAGATGAAAGAGCAGTTTCTCAACTCGTGCTGGAGCTCTTAGACTGGTGTACCAAAACTCTCAATTCATGGAATAGGTGAATCTCCTAAACTATGTATGGAAATGGTGCATGGTATATGCATGTAGGTATACGCACTTTTCTTTAATAGAGGATACATAGCTTTCATCAAATTCCCCAAGGGGTTTTTGATGTAGAAAAGATTGAAAATTACCATTTGAGAGCTAATGGTAATAAGAAAATAACACTGATGGTGGATAACTGAGAGACTCAGGTACTGTCTGAGACAGTAAGAGTAGCTACCACTTTCTGAGCAGTTAACATGAGACAGACATTGTCCTGCTTGCTTTAACCCTCCACAACAAATTCACAAGCAGGCATAGGTGAATATGGTAGATGTAGAAATATTCAACATTTTAACATATGGATATTGAAACATGTTGAAAAAAAAAACCCAAAATTGGGGCTAAGGGGTATTATTGCTTTTAAAAGTCAACTCCTACCCTACCTCTGCCACTCGTGCAGTTCCAGCATTAGCTGCCCTCGTGAAAAAAAGGAATCTTATAACCTCACATCTTAAGACTTTATCTTCTCTCTAATATGCTGGTTCAAATAACTTATTCAAACCAGAATGTTGGTAGATGGGCTTAAAACTCCAGGATCTTTATCTAGAGCCTTGAGATAATTATATACACCAAAAATAACCCTAAAATAACTCTCAAATTCCCACTCAGTGAGTGTGATCTCAGTAAAAATGGCATATATTTAAAGATAAAAGAATTAGTCAACAAATTTCTCTCCCGTTCTGTGTGCACGCATGCGCATATGAGCGTACATGTGAGTTTCTGTACTTGTGTTTATGCACATACACAAACATGTTTCCATAGATGAATTCCAGTAGATGCCTACCATTTGTCTCATTAAGAAATTAATGGGTAATGAATTTCCTCCTACACTGATATGAAAAGACACTCTTTCTACTGAGAGAAATTCACTATCTGGGGTAATAAACACAAATCCTTTTATCAATCAATTCTGTCTTAATGATTCAATGGCTTGGATACTAATCCCCCAAATTCCTCTCTTTCTGTTTCTTCACTGGGCATGGTGAAGGGTCTGCTTAAGTTGTCTTTCAGTGACAGCCATGGGTGTTCTATAATTTACGAAGACAGATAGAACATAAAGAGGTATACAAATGCCTGCCCAGAACAATTAAATAGGTGTTATAGAGAAATAATACCTCCCGTTAATTTTGTGTGTGTGTGTGTGTGTGTGTGCTATTTGGTCAGGCTGGTTTTGAACTCCTGACCTTAAGTGATCCTCCCGCCTTGGCCCCCACAAAATGTGATTATATGGGTGAACCGTTGTGCCTGGCCCCATTTTTTATAATAGTTGCCATTTATTGCTTGATTTACTCTGTGCCTCGCTTTGTACTGATGTCTTATATATACCATATAATTCAATCATTACTCTAAACCAGGAAAGTATTATTAATATTTCCATTGAATAAGAGAAAAAATTAACTTAAGGGTATAAAATTAAGTCACTTGCCCAAAAAGTCACAGTTAGTGAAAAGGGGAAGTTGGGATTCAAATGTAGCCATCTGATTCCAGAACCAGACCAGCCCCCAATCCTGACCTTGGGTGGCTTGTCAATTCTGACGACTAGGTGGAATAGCATTCATCTGATATTTCTCTACTTTTAGCTGAACCAGAAATTAATAAAAATAAAATATCATATGAATGATTTATTCCTTCAGTGGCTTTTATCTCATCAATACCTTTCCTGTGTCATCTTAGAAAGCCCTGTCTCCGTAAGTTAAATTCACCCAGGTCAGGCCACTCCTTCTCCATGCTGCTCAGTGTTTAGGTACCAGTATATATTATTGGAAGACAGCATAAAGTGAAAGCCACAAGAAAGTCTTTGATAACGTTACATTTTTCTCTCTTTTGTAAGCTGCTCAAGCCAGTAAAAAGAGCCTTAACGGTGTGTGAATAAAGTCTTTCTCCTGGAAGTAAGTAGAAGACAGCTGTCACTAACTACAGAAATGTTTCAGGGGCAATTTATGTGAAGTCAGAAAGTCATCCTTCGTACCTCGAAAATTTGGAAGGAGAATGAGAGAGGGGTTTGGGGAAAAAAGTTAGATACAGCGAGATTCCCTTCTATTGTTTACATGTCACGGATGAAAACAAAATACGTTAGTCACTTTTAATCAGTTAAAAACATTGAATCAAAACAATCTTGTTGCTCAGTTCAAACTATCTTCTTATCGATTATTGGTTTTCCTCTAATTATAACACCACAAAAAATAGCTCCTCTGAGTGAAATCATATAATAGAAAATGACAGATAATCAGTCACCCAAAGCGTAAAGGGATTGCCAAAATTCAGAAATTAAAGAACTTATATTAATTTTGCATGTTTTCTTTTACACCATCAGGAATAGATGGTTATATATGGAACAGCGATTGATGACTGAATTCTACTGAAAAAAGATTTATAATCAAGTTGCTTCTAAATCGATTTAATAAATGTTATGCTTATTGCCTTAATAATTAACTTTTAATTGCCATTCTTTTCTTTTTCAAATACAAGTGTTACCCATAAAAGTAAAAAAAGAAAAAAAAAGCATCAGATAACTTGATCTGTTGTGGTTCTAAGGAGAGACAGGGCTTTTGTTTTTTGTTTTGTTGTGTCTTAGATTTTGTTTTTTTATGAGACAGGGTCTTGTTCTTTTGCCCAGGCTGGAGTGCGTTTGTGCAATCACGGCTTACTAAAGCCTCCTCCTCTTGAGCTCAAGTGATCTATGATGCCTGGCTAATTTTTTTTTCTTTTTTTCTTTTTTTCGAGACTGGGTTCCACTTTGTTGCACAGGCTGGTCATGAATTCCTAGGCTCAAGGGACCTCCCACCTCAGCCTCCCAAGTGTTGGGATTATAGGTGTGAGCCACTGCACCTGGCCGTGTTTTTTTTTTTTTTTTTTAAAGCCATAATAGAATTGGCAGATCAGTTTTTACATGTACTCCTTGCAGTCTTCAAATAGGGTCCATCCCATTATTTTCTCTGAATGTGTCTGGGGCTTTTCTCTCTAAATGCTGTGTCTCACCAAGGTCTCTTCAACTGCATGAAACAGTTTCTTATCTCTCTTGGTAAAACCCCATGTGCCCTAGAAGGTCCAAGTCAAAAGCCACAGGATTCTCACAGTCAGCTGTGTGATTGCCTCATTTTCTGGAACAGACTCTCTTACATGATTTCTTAATTCTGTGCCATAATTATTTGTGCTCATTATTATTGTTGTTATTGCTCAAATCTGACTGTAAACTTCATAAAGGATTGCCTTGCTCATTTTTGTTTCCTCTGGAGACTTTTCTTGCTCTTGAGGAGCTCAGTAAGTAGCTGCTAAATTGAATGAGGAAAATAGTCACCTCTTGAAAATTGAAGCTAATAAGCATTAAGCTGAAACAGACATGGTTATTCATCTGTTGAAAAAACTGACTATAAAAAAATGGTTTATATAGATAGTTGCTGATGAGTTTAAGGTACTTCCCAAATCTCTTTACTGGATTCTGTAGTTTATCTCCTAAAGGTACAGGAGACTAACTGTCATGAATACAAAATAAACTCTGACCTAAATTTGTGTAACAATGTTAGGGCTTTGTTGTCCCAAAAAAAGTTTGGTGGTATGAATGAAGAAGAGATCAAAGTTAGATGAAAGGCAAGAACTGCCCAAGAGTGACATCATTCCAGTGTCTGCTGCCAGATTCGTAGACTGAAAGACTTCCAAAATGGGGAGGAACAAATTGAGTAAACTGAGTTTAAGGGAATGCCCCTTAACACTTTTTTTTTCTCTTCTAATTCCCTGTACCAAAAATCCTTCTGATCTGCAATTTAGTTTCTTCAATGAGCTTATTCATTAAGAGGGAGTACCCTGTTCAAATGATTGATGCCGGTTATCTTACCAGATTCATCTCCCATTTCATTTAATGAATCAGCATTCTGGTTTATAAATCAGTTTCTGGCAAGTTGGCTTAACATTCACCACTTCTGCACAGCTTGGTCTCCCTTAAGTGAGCAGATTCATTTACGTTTTCATTGCTGTAAATCCGAGGAGTGGCCCCTGGGCCTATGGGAAAATTTCCAAGAGCAGTCTCTGTGTGACTTTGAATCAAAGCAGACAGCTCAATTCAAAGCTAAAACACTTTAAGAGCATCACTATGTTTTAAGAATAACTTGCTATTCTGATTGCTGCAGTCCATAATATTCAGTAGGCAATCTATATATATTTGTTAAAGTAAATGGAATCTTTTGCTTACCAATGAGCCACAACAAAGAACAGCTTCTTGTTTTTACTATTATTTTTCTTTTTCTTTGATAGAATTATGGGCATGGTAGTGGGGAAGGGAAAAGGAGATAGAACCCACAAGAAAAGCCATCAGAACAGAAAAGGACCTACAGCTCCCCCAGGTCTATGCATGTCTGAGAGTGACCTATGTACAGATAAGCCAAGACAGAGCATCACTGCACAGAAACGAAGGAAGTGAACTCAAAGGGGTAGGCATGACAGAAAAGGCAAGATGTTTTGGTTACTGCCTTAAACAGGACAATTTTGAGAAACCAATAAATGTCTAGAAGGATTCTTGAAAATAATTTCAGTATGATAAACCAGTTGAAATCCCCTATAGAAATTCTCCTTCAGGGCTCTACATTATTTCAGTGGCCTTCTGGAAATTGAGTTATTCAATTTGTTCTTGTTTGCATGGGTGCATTACCAGCCTTTTGAGGGGAAGTACTATATAATCGGGCGATATTTGGGACTACTTTTTCAGAATTGTGTCCCAAAGGTATCCAGCCACAACTTGGATAAAAAGCTGAGCTTATTGTATATTTTCATCATGGCTGACATAACTCCAGGATTTAAGAGATAAAGGGGCATGATAAATCAGACAGGAGCCTTGGTGGTTTTAAAAATACAACCAGAGAGATACAGAAATATGGGTCAAGATGATTTTAAAGTTAGAAGTACTGAGACTGTATATATGAGGGTCTTCAAGATTTTTGTTTATGCCACTGCCCCACCTTTTCCATTAGAAACGAATCAAAATGCAGTTTTGAAGGCATATTTTCTTACTGACTTAAAGGTGAACATGGCAATCTGGACAGATACTGGGATTCAGATGTCAAATTCCTAACTTTACCTCCTCAAAGGAAAGGGAGAAAGTTCTTGGTATTATTTACATAAAGAATAGGAAGAACTCTCATCAAGGTCTATCCAGGATGAAACAAAACACTGAATTTGGAAGGCTCGAAGTTCGAGATGAAGTTATTGTGGGAACAACTAATAGCCAAATATTATTGAATAATCTTAGACTGCGTTTAGTGGAAGAATATAGGCTGCATTGTTACTGTCTGTGAAGCTGCTCAAGACTGAAAAATAAAAACTGGCTGAAGGGTGAACTGAGGCACAGCTGCCTGAAGCCAAAGCATACCAGCTAACACTGTCCCCACGAGCAGCAATAAGGTGAATTCCTTCTGGAAGGCAATGTATTCCTGCCCTGCTTTCCACAGTCGCCACCCACACCGAGCCTTACGGGCTCCAGCAGGGGAGAGGGTGGTCTGCACCACCTCAATTGTGGCAGCCGTGAACCATGAGGCTTTTCATCCGGGAATCACATGTTCTTGCTCTTTGGAAAGGCCTTAGAGGTCCTGAAGGGTCCTTAAGGTCCCAATTAAGCCTCAACAAGATTTGGCACAGGCAGTTCTTTCTGTCCTGGGTCCTGGAACTGGTGGACTGCATTTTGAAACACATGGCTATGCCTAACCTGGAAACATCTCCAGAGGTCCTTGAGAAAATCTGAAGGAGCAGGGTCATGGGGCTATGACAAGAAAGTGCTACTGGATGCACAAATAAACACTGATCCCCTTGACAGATGACTGCTAAGGTTTAAGTAAGTAGGTAGATGGTGGGCAGAAAGGAAGAATTTCACTCACCAGAATTTTCTTCTTTGAAGAATGTGATGACCTTATTTGAAGAAGAAGAAAATCTACTTTCCCAAGGGACTACACTCAGGTGCCCTTAAATGCCAAAGAAGATGTTAAAAGGAAAAGCAGTGCATCGGGTTCACTCTTGTTGAGAGAGACAGAGAAAGAGATTAAGATTTTAGCCACTCAAGAGTGGGAAAGTTTGAGGAGAGGAAGAGAAATCTGTAAAAGATTTGGGGCCAAGTTCTCTGGGTAATACTCTGAGGACACCCTCCCCAACTCAATTCTGTCATGTTGAGGTCATTTTAACAATCTGCTTATTTTTCCAATGACTTCTCTTTTTATTGAGAATAAAATAAAAACTCCTTTTCACGGTTTGCAAGATCTTGTCTGATCTAGCCCCTGGCAGCCTCTTCGACCTGATCCAAAGCTCTCTTCCCCCTTCATTTCTGTCCAGGCCAGTAAGCCTCAAGTTCCTCCATCTTGTCACGCTTCTTCAGGCTTCAAGAGCCTTATGTCCTGTTGTTCCCTCTGCCTGGAATGTTTGTCTCTAAAGCTTTCGATAGCTCAGTTGTTCTCAGTATTCAGGTTTCAGGTCTTATGTCACCATCTCAGACAGGTCTTCTCTTACCAATCTTCATGAAAGTGTCCCCCCTCCTCTGACACTTTCTATTCAGTTAGCTGGCTTTACTTTTCTTTACAGCACTAATCAATACCTGAGAAAATATTTGCTTGTTTCATTGTATAGGGCCTGTCTATTTCATAGAATACAAACTTGTAGGGGAACTGGGTTATCTTGGTCACCAGGTATCCCAGCACCTAAAAGAGTCTCTTCCTTATAATACATTTCAGACTATACAGTCTATAGAATTAGGACTGTATTTCAGGTTTCAGGTATCAGAGTCAGGCTTCAAGACAGACTATCAATATTTATTTACATGTTTACATGTAATGGTTTAATGTAAGTCAGAACATAAGGGAGAATTTGATAATATACCAAAAATAGAAAACTACATTTCTTCTTAAAAATAAAAGATTTTTTTGGTAGCTTACCCATTTTTTTTTCTTGCTGTTATTCCCATGAGGTTGGTAAGAGCAAATCTTGCTGTTCTTATTTTAAAAACATGGAGACAGGGTGTGGTGGCTCATGCCTGTAACCCCCGCACTTTGGGAGTCTGAGGTGGGTGGATCACTTAAGGGTAGGAGTTCGAGACTAGCCTGGCCAACGTGGTGAAACCCCATCTCTACTGAAAACACAAAAATTTGCCAGGTATGGTGGTGCACACCTGTAGTCCCAGCTATTCGGGGGGCTAAGGCAGGAAAATTGCTTGAAACCCGGAAGGCATAGGTTGCAGTGAGCCGAGATCGCACCACTGCACTCCAACCTGGGTGACAGAGTGAGACTCTGTCTCAAAATAAAATAAAAACATGGAAACTAGAGGCACATACTAAGTCAGTGACAGAGTCCAGACCAGAGCTCAGCTCTCTTGACAGTAGTCCAGTCTGCATTCCATCATAATTTCTATCACACTTGATTGCTTCCCTTTGAAAAAATATGACTAACGCATCCACAACAAAATAATATTAAATACAAACAAAAACCATAACTATTTAGTTGCTTTGGCCTTTCATAGAAAGTCCTTATCACCTGCATCCAATGAGTTACTATTTGAAATCCCTGTGGGATAAGCTGCTCTGCACAAGTCTGAAAAGGACTACTGCTTTTGGAATGAAATAATAGGATGTTTTTTTTTTTTTGCTATATTTTGGAAAAGAAAAAAAATATGTGGTGCTGTTTGCTTTTTTTCTACTAAGCAAATAGTAAGAAAGATTAGCTTTAGCCACGTAAGATTAGGGAAGAATCAGTAGCATGTATTTGTTTCAATAAAAGTCTATGACAGAAAACAATTAAACTGGAAATAAAAGGGGAGAAAAATCATTCTACACAGATCTTTTAAGTTTCTAGGCTGAGTCCACAATTTGCATTTATGATTGTGATAACAAATGTTCTTTCTCTTTGTATCTTGTAAAGGTACACACTCTCCTACAAAAGAAACTGTCATCATCTAAAAATGTGTGATTTTTAAGTTTCACTTTTTTAAAGGAAATATACTTCTGATCATCTGTAAAGAGTTGAACTCTTCTATTTGAGAATTGTATCTACTGATACAATTCTCAAGCAAAAACTTTTTTTTATTACATCAGATCATTTTTTAATGAAAATATGTAGTATTTTAAAAGAATAAGCAGAATGGATCATATTTCCAGAATAAAACTTCAAAATGTACAAATTTGGCAATATTTTCTAAAACATTTTAATTTGTATATTAAACCAAAACAAAATGAAAAAGCACGGGGAAGTAACCAAAAAAGATATTTAGATCTCATGTTTTTGTATTTCTGGGCACAGGATAAAAACCTTCATTATGTCAAATCAAAGATAAAGCACATTAAGAAAGAAAATTACAACTGGAAGGACAGGCTTGTATTTTTCTTAAAGGTATTTAACTTTCTTCAGCGATGGAATTTACTGCTATGGCTAATCTGTTCACATTCAAAATGAGGAACATAAGTAGTGTATGTAGTCTATCTATGCCATCTATATAGATAAATTACTTAGATCCCTTGTCTGGATATATGATTTTGATAACATTGGTGATATTTAAAAATGATATATTTTCTACCTTTTATGCAGCTTAAAATGATGCTGTATTTTGTTTTTTAAAATTTTTACACAACTCAGTGTAAATATAAAGAACTTGAATTACAGTGAAATTAAATGACCTGCATGAGATCAGTTATCTCACTAATAATAAAAGCAGAAGCAGAATTCAGGCCTTCTGATGTCAAGCTTGGTCACTAAACCAATGTGTGGTGACCACCTCTCTGATGATAATTTAGTAGGCCATGGGTAGATTCCTTCTGAATTAAAATAGTCCTGATTTAAGCAATGTTTTCTATAAGCATATTTCAAAGCTGTTGGCTACAAAAAACATTGACCATTCCTCTGCTCGTGGTCTTATTTCTAGATTATCCTTATCTACTCGAATTACAGAGATTTCTACATTTGACTCAAATGAATTTAGCAGGTGCTCCCTTGAAAGGGGTGTGAAATGTTCTATTTTTAGTAACCCTTAGGATTTCAAAATCAAGATTCAGTCCACATTTTATGCTTAATTTCCCACAACTGAGATTTTCTTTTGTCATTTAGAACATTTTAATTTGCATGTGAGATGATACACAAAATGAAGGAGCATGGGAAAATGAGCAGAGATGAATTATTATATGCATCTTTTGTTCTCTTCCCTGCCCATAGGGACATAAGCTAAAATTCACTGTGTATATATGCATACAGAGTACATATACATATATACGTGTGTGTGTGTGTGTGTGTATATACATATATATACATATATACATATATATGTATATATATATATATAGACTGTGGTTAGTTTTACTTTGATTAATGGCTATACAATGTGAAATATTTATATTTGACATAGTAGGGAGAGGAACCAATGCTAAAAGAAATAAAGTATCTCCTAAGAAACTTCCATTGATTATGTATCAGTGCATTACTGATCTTCTAGAGACAATCCTACCCATTACGTGGTTTCAACGCCATTAAAAAGTAGCCCTTCATTTCCTAGGACTTGACCTTTATCTCTTAACATAGAGACATCATGTTAGAAAAATAACATCCTATCTCATTACAATGTCCTTATTTCTAACACAGTTCTAGCAATTATTGGCACACATATTGCAAGTTTTAATAAGCAACTTTTGAGTCTATTTCTTCCGTCCTCTTTGGCTAAAATGTTATGGCTTTTAAGAGTCAGAGTTAGCAGGGACCAGCAAGGGGACGGGAAACAAATCCATTCATTTTACTACTGGTTCACACCTTTGGTGAACAAGTAAGGTTTCTGTATTTTGTGTAGGATCCTCATTCTGCAGTACTGGCCTCAATTCTCATTGATGGGTAGGGTTATCTTGTGGGAGTATCAGAGTGTAACAGCGATACTAATAACACATGAAACAGTGTTGCACGGAAAGCCAAACCTAACAGATTTTATATATGCAGACACAAAAAGAAATAAGTAGTTGATTAGTTTGGATGTGCGTCCCTGCCCAAATCTCACGTGAAATGTAATCCCCAGTGCTGGAAGTGGGGACTGGTGGGAGGTGATTGGTTCATGGGGGTGGGTTTCTCATGAACGGTATAGCACCATGCCCTTGGTGCTGTCCTCATGATACTAAGTGAGTTCTCAAAAGATCTGGTTGTTTAAAAGTGTGGCACCTCCCCCCTTGCTCTCTTGCTGCTGTTTCTGCCAAGTTACGCGCCTGCTCACCTTTTGCCTTTCTGCATGATTGTAAGTTTCCTGAGGCCTCCCCAGAAGCCGAGTAGATGCCACCATGCTTCCTATACAGCCTGCAGAACTGTGGGCCAATTAAACGTCTTTTCACTACCCACTCTCAGGTATTTCTTTATAGCAATGTGATAATGGCCTAATACAGTAGTTGCGTGTTGGGGGTGGAGGAACCAATATATTTTGTTATTCAGGCCAGGACCAACATTATTAAAAATGTGATAGTTAAGTTACTGGGAACACAATGGAGCTCACCAGAATTCAACCTTCATGTTTTGTGTTAATATTCAGTTGTGTCACGATTATTTGCTTCTGGCAGTTAAAACTGTCATGCCCAGAAACACTACATTTCAGTAAATCATAATTATTCTAGCTTATATATAATAAACAGAATTAAATTCAAAGTCCTTACCATGGCCCACAAAACCCTCCCTACCCGACCTGGTTAGCACTATAGTTCTGGAATCATCTTCAAACACTCTTCCCCCTGGCTTTCTGGGTTCTAGTCACACTGTCTCCCATTGTTGTTATTTGAATACCACAGAGAGTCTCCCACTTATTGTGTCTTCTGCCTATACTGCTTTTCCTTTCAGTATCTGTATGGCTTGTTTTCTTATTTCAAATAGGTATTTGCTCAAACATTGCCTGTATTAGTATCCTTGCGCTGCTGCAACAAATTACACATACTAGGTGGCTTAAAACAACAGAAATGTATTCTGTCACAGTTCTGGAGGCCAGAACTCTGAAATCAAGCTGTCTATAGGATTCGTTACTTCTGGAGGCTCAGAGAAAGAACCCTTTCCATGTCTCTCTCCTAGCTTCTGGTGGTTGCCCACAATCCTTGGCATTTGTTGGCATGTAAATGCACCACATGGCTTTCCTCTTTGTGTGTCTCTGTGGCTTCTCCTGTTCTGTCTCTTATAAGGACACTTATAATTCAATTTAGCTCCACCCAAATCCAGAATAATCTCATCTCAAGATTCTTAACTGAATTACATCTGCAAAGATCTTACAATACAGTTGTTCCTTGTATCCAAGAAGGATTGGTTTTGGACTCGCTGTGGATATCAAAATCCAAGGATGCTCAAGTCCCCGATATAAAATTATGTAGTTTGCACATAACCTATGCACATTCTCCTGTATACTTTAAATCATCTCTAGATTATTTATAATACCTATTACAATGTAAATACTATGTAAATAGTTGTTATATTGCATTGTTTTTATTTGTATGTTTTTATTGTTTTGTTTTTTCTTAGAATATTTTTGATCCACAGTTGGCTAAATCCATGGATTCAAAACCTGTGGATACTGAAGGTCGACTGTATTTCCATATAAGATCACATTTACAGGTACCGGGGGTTAAGACTTGGACCTATATTTTGGGGGCCACTATTCAACATATCACATTGCTTCTTCAGAGAGGACATCATTGACCATACTTAGTGATAAAATGGCACCCCTCATCATACATATACTAACACAGTATGCCATCTAATCCTGCCTTATTTTTTGTTATAGACCAAATATTCAGGACATATCCAATATTAATTTATATGTGTTCCCTTCTAGAATGCAACCTCCATGAGAACAAAGACTTTGTCTCCTTTGTTAATTACTGCACCTCAGCATCTAGAACATTGCCTGACATATATTAGGTTCTCAATACATATTTACTGAATGGATGGATAGACAGACATGGTCAAAATCTGATTGAATACCATGTATTGGTGCTGAATAATTCACAGTATTTATAACACAAAATAGAGTTATTGGGGTTGTAGGAGACAAAATAATGATCCCCAAAACATGTCCACGTCCTAATCTCAATCTCTGGAACCTGTAACTATGTTACCTGACAAAACAAAAGAGACTTTGCAGATGTGATTAAGGATCTTGAAATGGAGAGACAAGCCTGGAATATCTGGGTGGGTCCAGTCATAAGGATCTTTATAAGATGGAGGCAGGCAGAATGGTCCGAGTCAGGGAAGGAGATGTGATGATGGAAGTAGAGATGAGAGAGAGAGACACACAGAGAGAGAGAGAGAGAGAGAATTGAAGAGAGAGAGAGAAGTGAGAAAGAGAGAGAATTGAATTGCTATGCTGCTGGCTTTGAAGATGGAGTAAACAGTCATGTGTCAAGGAATACAGGCAGCCTCTAGAAGCTGAAAAAGACAAGGAAACAAATTACCTTCTAGAGTCCCCAGAAAAGACCAAGCCCTGCCTACGCCTTGATTTTAGCCCTGTAAAACTGATTTTGGACTGACTTCCACAACTATAAGATAAAAAAATTGTGTTGTTTTAAGCCTCTAAGTCTGTGGCAATTTCTTATAGCAGTCACAGGAAGCTAATAATCACAAAATGTAACCATCTGTTTTTATACTGACTTTTTAGTTCTAAAATTCACTCATAATGTCCTAAGAGTAATTAACAAATCAGAAGATAAGACAAATGTATATATTTTCCAATAGATTTCCAAACCACAGCAGAGATATTATTTGTACAATATTTCATATCTATTTTATACTACTAAGGCCCATGCATGTTACAGTGGTCATGTACCTTACCAGCTAAATCTCTAAAATGGAGGCCCAGTTCTTTTGAGTACATTGCACCAGTTGCATTAATAAGGCTAACATTCCATCTTGTCTATCAGTGAATGTACGGAACTCATAATTCAGTACACGCCATAATATTTATCGAAATAGAGGTTGTTCTCAAGCCCTCAGTAGAGAGTTATTAGCATTTCATAGCAGCTGAATTCAACAGTGAGCAGCGAATATACAGCAATCTGTAGTGAAATATTTATAAGCTTAACAGTTTTCATTTTTCTCCTAGTGAAATACAGGGATAGTTCTGTTTTGGGTTGTACAAGTGTAGGATCTGAAAGGCACTGAAGCATGTCAATCTGGCTGGGGGGAAAACAAAAGCACAACTCCACAGCTTATAGTTAATGCCACAAGTACTAGTGACAAAAATGACATTTTGTGTCGATCACTTGTATGAATGTACTATGCTCTGAAATGTCGTCTTTGAAAGTACATACTCTCCTCCAGGAAACTGAAGTCTCCGTTGCACTGTAACAGGGACCTTTGAACTATACAACTTCAAAGGTGTTATGGTCAGAAACTTTATATACTGTGACAACAAAACACTGAACTAAAACAAATATCTGGATATTCTAAATTAGAATCACATCTTCACATGAATGAAGTACACAACAGAGGCCAAATGTTTCGAATTAACACAATTGCCATTTTAATCCT
Source organism: Homo sapiens (assembly GCF_000001405.40). Classification (NCBI taxonomy): domain Eukaryota; kingdom Metazoa; phylum Chordata; class Mammalia; order Primates; family Hominidae; genus Homo; species Homo sapiens. The sequence goes on along the minus strand of NC_000023.11, from coordinate 29,842,559 downwards.
CTTTACAAGATGGGGCCTGTTCAGGGAACCTGAAATCATGTCAGGCCTCAGGAGTGTGAACTTGACACTCCAAATAGTCCCAGAAACACTTAAGATTAAACATCTCACTGAATGAAATGTTTTGAACGGTTTTCCACACATCCGAGCCCTTTCTTGAAATTTCCACAGCCTGAATTCATTTCTCCACCAACTATATCTGGACAGATCTATTCACCTGTGCAGAAAAGAGTTAATCTAACAGGCCTGAGGCTGCTGTCCTTAGAAAGGACTGCTTGCAAGGTTAGCATTCAGCTGGAATCCTAAAATGGAGGCCCAGTTCTTTTGAGTACATTGCCATAATATTTATGCTTCTGAAAACTTAGATATCAGAAAGGTTCCCAGCATTTTCTGATAACAAATGGGTTTACTATGCCTAAACTGTTTGTGCAGACAGTATGGTTTAGGGCGTTTACATGAACAACCCCCAGTAAAATCTCTGGGCACTGAGTCTGTAATGAATTTCCTTACTAGAAAACATTTCACACATGTTGTCACAACTTCCTGCTGAAGGCATTAAGTGCATTCTGTGTGACTCCCCTGGGAAAGGACTCTTAAAAGCGTGGGCCTGGTTTCCTCTGGTAGTCATCTCACACATACCTTCTCCCTTTGTTGATCTTGTTCCGTATCCTTTTGCTGTAATAAATTATAGCCATAGTATGCTATCTGCTGAGTCCTGTTAGTCCTCTTAGTGAATCACTGAACCTGGGGGTAACCTTGGAAAGCCCTGTTACATCATTCTGCATTCTCAGCTCCTTCTATGTGAAGCCACTTCCATTCCTCCTGCGCCAGAAGAATCCCTCACTCGATTGTTCTGAGTAACCCAATTCATACTGCTTGTATAGTTCTTACATACCGTATTACAGTTGCTATGTATACGTCCATCTTTTCTGAGGACAGGGATCATGGTTTATCATCTTTGTATCACTATATTCTAGTATAGTGACTATAAACTAAATAGTTGCTCAATGAATGCTCGTTCAGTTTAACTGTCATCAAGGGTATAGCTTGCAAAAAGAAAATCAAATGCAGTCTATTCAAGTATAGCCAAAACCCCGAATTTTGGCCTTTTTACATGCTCAGCTTTTTTAAAATGAAGATAATATTTTTACTTAAACAAACTAGCACATAAACAGACGATAGATTATAAAGCAAAACATGACAACATAATAAATATGGATCATATCTTGGCTGTATGAATATATTTAAATTTTGAATTTACTTCCTATAATATTCTTTGTCATGATGTGTAATTATCAAATAAACATTTTGTAACTAACATTTTATTTTCCTATATACTTGAGCTTCTATGATTAAATATACATGTACTCTGTAAAGCATTGTTATCTGTCACCCCAGATTTTCCCTTCAATTGAGTAGTTCAAATAACTGTATATTTGAAGAATGACTTTGGCTATAGAGACCATGACTGGAGTTACCAAACAAACATAAAATTAATATAGGGCACACCTCAGACACCTTGTGGTGTTTATGTAGTATTTTAAGACATAACAGCAAATTCATGGATAGCTTTATTTTAAAATTCTTCTTCTTTAATAAATGTTCACAAAACGGTAATCACCCTATTAATGTTGCTATTAGGAATTCATTGGTTATTGGATTATTCATTGGAATGATAGAGAATATTGTGATATAATCAATATTATTTTTACAGGCATGTTTCACCTTGTTCCTTATTAACATTTGATCCCAATGAAGTCTTCAAAATCTTTCCCTTCCCTGCACCATAAAACTACCAAGTATCAAAGGGCTGTCAGGTATTATTATAATTCTATCTATCTCTGAGCCTGTGTTAACCAAATGTTCTCTTTCTTTTTGGCTAAAAAGTCAGCAAACATCAGAGAGGTTCTGTCAGTCATGAAAGACCCTGGCCATATATATAAGATCTCTTTGCACATTATATTAATCCTTGTATGTTCTGCACTGTTTTAATAATCTATAAAATAATAGAGGTAGAAGTGTATTTTGGTGAAATATATTTTTTATTTCATGCAGTAGATATGACAAGTACAGTGATTTCCTGGGATTTTTTAAAATGGGTTTTCATTTCTATCGTCTTCAGGTCAAGGCAGTTTAGTATTACATTTACTGACCAATTTTGAATTAGGCAGACTGTATTTAAATGCTGCAGGGGAGCCAATAGAATGATCTATTATCCACAGATCAATGGGGAAAAGCATGTGTTCACTTGAAAATTATGGAGGCTCATCTACTCTATTGTGTCAGTGGCCCTGATCCAAATTAAAGATGTGAACATCCGTCCGTTAATATCAGAGCCAGCTTTTAAGACAATCAGGCCAAAGTAGAATTCAATTTACGGGCTTTTCTGATTATTTGATTGTAATGTCAAGCCGACTTTAAGATGACTCAGCCTCTTCAATGGCCATAATCGACACTTTGGAAATTTTAAACCGTTATGACCTCTTCTAGCCTGCGACCCCCCAGTGCAACATATAGGCTTTATTAACACAGATTTGCCTCTGATTGTACATTGTAAGGAAGTTTTAAAAATAGCTAAATCAATGGCTCAATAAAAGTTTAGTTTTTGTTTTGTTTTCATTTGTTTGTTTTGTTTCTGAGACAGAGGCTCACTCTGCCACCCAGGTTAGAGTGCAGTGGTGCGGCGTGATCACAACTCACTGCAACCTTGAACTTCTGGGCTCAAGTGATCCTCCTGCCTCAGCCCCCTGAGTAGGTGGAACTACAGGCAGCACCGCCATGTTTGGCTAATTTTTAAAAAAAATATTTTTGTAGAGACAAATTCTCCCTGTGTTGGCCAGGTTGGTCTTGAACCCCTGGCCTCAAGTGATCCTCTCCCAAAGTGCTGGAATTACAGGCGTGAGCCTCCCAAAGTGCTAGAATTACAGGTGTGAGCCACTGTGCCCAGCCAAGTTTCAGCTTTTATGGAAGTATATTATGCAAACATACATGCATAATACGTAATTTTAGGAATATACTTCTGTGCAGAAGTTGATCCTCCAGGTTAATGCATAGCTTCAGCAGATTAATATGAAATTGTTAAGGAAGGAGACACTAACCTCACTAGCCGGATAACTGAATAACTATAGAGGTCAGTGGGATGACATATCATTAACAGGTTGTTCTCATATTAGAATATTTGCTTTGTATAACCAATAAATGGGAGTGCATAAATATCTGTCAGAGAAAAGAGGGCCAACATTTATTATGTGTCTCCAATGTGCCAGGTGATTGACCCATTGGTTTACATATATGAGTTAATTTTAATCTCCACAACAACTCTATGAGATGAGCAGCAACTGGGCCTGAGGGATTAAGAAACTGGCTCATAGTTTCTTATACATATATGTAGTTGATTGTTGTAATAATGGCCCCCGATTTTTTCATGGGTTTTAGTATCACTATTATTTCTTGACAGTACCCTTCAGTCTGTCTCTGGGCTTGGCCATTTTGCCAATGGAACAATAGCAGAGACTTGCATATTTGGATTTACCTTCTCTTACTGATCACTGCCACACCATCATTTGGAAAAGCTCAGGCTGCAATGCTGGAAAATGGAAGATACAGGAAGCAGAGGCAAGCCATGCCAGCTGAAGCCTCCATAGATCAGCCTACCTACCCAATCTGGCAGTCACCTGCAGGTGTATAATTGAGCCCCAGCTGAGACCAAATGAGCCTGGCCTAAACCAGAAGAACCACCTGGCTGAGCCCACCCCAAATTGTCTTCCTGTAGAATGATAATCTAAATAAAGGGTTAGTGTTTTAAAGCAAGTTTTAAGGTTCTTTGTTATCTGGTATGAGCTAACTAACACAAGGTGTTAGTAAGAAGTGGGGCTGGATTCTATACCTATGCCTATCTGAGTCCAAGGGCCATGTTCATATCATAAGTAAAAACAAGAAGAGAAATTAGAGTATAAGTCATGGCAGTTTGTTCCCTGTGATCAGAATAGCTAAAAAGATGTGCACAAATCTCAAACAAAGCTCTTCTCTGTGAAAATGAACAGTGGCAAACTAGACTGCCTGAATGTTATGATTTTAATCCAATAGGCTTATGAGATATGGATCCAAATTTACACACATAAATATTTTCTTTTCAGCTCCCAAGTATCTCTAAAACAATGCTCTTGATACTTGAGGAGATTCCAAGTTGGAAGGGATTAATAGCAGCCTCACTTTATGTGTTACTGGCCTGGTAAAGTTTTTCCATGCTGATCATCTCATTGTGTTATGTGAATTATTCAGAATATAAATTTGCTTTCATTGTTAACCTAGGAGACAATAAACTTGACAATGGAAATGGAAGTATGAATCATACTGGAGACTTCATGAATATTCAAGTTAAATCAGATTTGGTTCTGAACCCCACACTTCTGCTCACAGTGTAAATCACTGTGTATATTACTCAAGAGGTCACCCCAAACAGACTTTAGGAACGCTTCTTCCCTGGAAAATGCAATTAATTACTATTGTTGGCCCCTAAGGATTTCACTTTCAAATTGTTTATTTTCTGGTGTCACTGATGAGCTGACTGAGAAAATGAAACACTTCAGTTTAATTACCAGCTGCAATTACAGCTCATGTAAAGGTACTTCATCTTACACTCTTTTTATAATTGTCTATTCTTATGATATAATATGCAGCTATATTTTCTGCCTTTCAAAGTGCTAACAATGCCACTCAATTTGCAAAAATAATATAAATAAATAAATAACACGAGATGACGCTAAAGTGTTTTGAATGTGGCTTAAAGCTGTTGTAAACACAGTGCTATGTTCTGTTTCATCCAAAGACCTTTAGCTTCTTGTACTTTCAATACATAAATATCATGGAAGTGAGAAAATAGGTAAGTCAATTTAGTCAACCACTTTATTAAGGTTAGGTTCTGTTTTAGAATAGAGATGATATAAATACAGAAAGTCTAGTCTAGTTCAGATGCAAGTAGATAGGAGTTTATATCCAGCTTTTTCCCTTACCAGGGGTGTAACTAATGTCTTCTTACTTTCCTAATTTTATTGCTTGTTTGCTTAACCTTATGAGTTGTATTTACAAAATGGGGTAATGTTGGTTTCTAACAAATAAAGCTGTTGTGAAGACTAAGTAAGATTATTGATGTTAATTGCCTGTCATAATTCCTGATACATACTAGGGGCTTAAGAAACTTTAGTAATTTACTCAACTCTTCACCTTCTCTCCGTCTATATATGTGTGTGTGTGTGTGTGTGTATATATATATATATATATATATATATATTTTTTTTTTTTTTTGAGATGCAGTCTCTATCGCTGAGGCTGGAGTGCAGTGGCGCGAACTCGGCTCAATGCAAGCTCCCCATCCCGGGTTCACGCGATTCTTCCACCTCAGCCTCCTGAGTAGCTGGGACTACAGGTGCCCGCCACCACGCCTGGCTAATTTTGTTTTTGTATTTTTAGTAGAGATGGGGTTTCACCGTGTTAGCCAGGATGGTCTCCATCTCCTGACCTCGTGATCTGCCTGCCTCGGCCTCCCAAAGTGCTGGGATTACAGGCATGAGCCACCGCACCTGGCCCACCTTCATTATAATTTTTATGTACAGGGCAGCATGATATGTTGATAACAATAGGCACTAAAACCTGACTTCCTGGGTTCAAATTCTGACTATACTCTTACAAATTTTGAATCTTGGCCACATTATTTAACCTCTATGAGCTTCAATTTTTCTCACTGGTGACGGGGAGTAATAATATAATCTACCTAATAGGGTCATTGCAAAACTTAAACAATAGTGCAGAAATAGGTGCCCAGCACATAGAAAGCTAGAAAAAAAAATCTATCAATGTGCTGACAAAATCATTATATTTTTGCTTTAAAAGTATTAGAATGAAGTATCGTTTATGACCACAATAGTAGAAAACTAGAAATCCATAACAGGAGGAACTTTGGAAACCTGAAAAATACATGGAAATCAAACCATATGCTCCCAAATAACAAATGGATCAATGAAGACATTAAAAGAAAAATTTAAAAATGTCTTGAGACAAATTAAAATGGAAACACGGGCCAGGCACGGTGGCTCATGCCTGTAATCCCAGCACTTTGGGAGGCCAAGGCGGGCGGATGACAAGGTCAGGAGATCGAGACCATACTGGCCAACATGGTGAAACCTAGTCTCTACTAAAAATACAAAAATTAGCTGGGTGTGGTGGCGCACACCTGTAATCCCAGCTACTCGGGAGGCTGGGGCAGGAGAATGGCTTGAACCCGGGAGATGGAGGTTGTGGTGAGCCAAGATCATGCCACTGCACTCCAGCCTGGCGACAAAGTGAGACTCCGTCTCAGAAAAAAAAAAAAAAAAAAAGAAAAATGAAAACACAACATACCAAAATCTATGGGCTACAGCAAAAGCAGTTATAAAAGTTTTTAGCAATAAATGCTGACATTGAAAAAGAACAACAACCTAACAATGGACCTCAAGGAACCAGAAGAAAAGAAAGAAAAAACTCAACCCAAAATTAAGGAAGGGAATGATAAAGATCAGAGCAGAAATAAATAAAGACTAGAATACAATACAAAAGATCCATGAAATGAAGACTGGCTATTTTGATAAGAGAAGCAAAATCAACAACCCTTTACCTAGACTAACTAACTAAAAAAAAAAAAAAAAAAAAAGAAGACTCAAATAAAATCAAAGATAAAAGGAGACATTACAATTGATACCACAGAAATACAACGTATTATAAGAGACTATTATAAATAATTATACACCAAAGCGTTGGATAGCCTAGAAGAACTGGATAAATTCCCAGATAACCAAGATTGAATTATGAAGAAAGAGAAAACCTAAACTGACCAATAATAAGAAAGGAAATTGAATCAGTAGTAAAATGTCTCCCGTCAGAGAAAAGCCCAGGACTTGATGGGTTCACTGTTGAATTCTACCAAACATTTAGAGAATAATTAATACTAATTTGTCTCAAGCTATACCAAAAAATGTAAGAGGATGGAACACTTCCAAGTTCATTCTATGATGCCACCATTATCCTGATATCAAAACCAGACAAAACACACATTAAAAGAAAACTACACGCAATTATCTTCAAGAAACATAGGTGCAAAAATCGTCAACAACAAAATACTAGCAAACCAAATTCAACAGCACAATTAAAAGATCACTCACCATGATCAAGTGGGATTCATCCCAGGGATGTAAGAATGGTTCAACAAGATTTAACCATGCTACATTGTATATATACTTCAAAACATCATGTTGTACATGATAAATACATGTAATTTTCTATGTCAGTTTTTTTTTAAAGTAAGAGAACCCTCTAAAGGCTCTTATTTCACCTTCAGTAATATTTAGAATTTGGGGAATGAAGTGCTTTAGCACTAAAAACAGGATACAAAATGAAAAGTAAATTGTAGAAAAGCATTGTGCATTCTTGTATCTGATAATGTGTGCTTGAAATAATAGACACAGCATCTGGATTTTGTTTCTGGAATGTTATTTACTGGGAACTACAATGTTTTTGAATGTTTGGCCAAGGGGATGTGAAATAAGCATGAAATCCATATTAGTGTCAAAACAGATCTGTGTTGTGTTATTATGTTTGCCACTTTGATATACAGCTCTGAGACATGGACTTGGTGCAGCTGTCATAATAGGAAACATGAACAGTTTTATATACATTGTTGATACAAGATAACCCAGCATATAAAATGAAAAGCTAGAATCATAAATATACCAGAAATTCAAAACTAAAATGTGAGTGGAATTGTCTGTCATGATGTCAGCACAGTTTTGCTTAACCAGTCATGTAGCATGAATGGAGGATATTCAAAATTGAAATCATTTTACATTGATGTATTTGTAATTCAAAGTATAATATTTGATGTTCTATTTATTGAAGCAGGGCTATCCTGGAAGTACATTATATGAGGGCACATGGAATTTGGTCTCAAGTAGAACCAAAAGTGGTAACATATTCCACTTTGTCCCACTAGCTCTTAAAAGAGCATCACCCAAAATTCCAAAAAAAAAAAAAAAAAAAAAATCCTTTTTCTTTCACAGCCTCTTGGCAAGGGGTAGCGTTGAGAGGTTGTGCTGTGATATTTCTATGACTGGATTTCCATTTTAAAAATGTAAGCAGTTTTTGTGTGTGTGTCAACTGTGCTGTTGCACTCACTACTAGAGTCATCGGTATATCCTTAACTATGTCCACAGAGACATAGAAAGATACAAAATCTTCAAGGTAGAACCAGACCATGGAGTTGACTTTTAGCAATGCCCTTTAAAAGCAGAATAAAAAATAAGAATGCATTGTTAAGCTGTTTTTGATGTTTATGGCAAGCTCTCTTAGCAGTCAAATGACAAGATAACGTTTTGCTTTCAGTACACTTAATTGCACATACATATGAGCTCAGAGGAACTTTTAAGAAGTATTCAAGCTTCACTTGTGATCCTGAAATAAAGATTTTTCTATGGAATTACTGCAAACATAGATTAGATTAGCTCTGTGCTTTATGGTGGAGGCGATGGCTACAAGGATATTCATAGGACAAGCTACATCATGCCAAAGGCTACAGAGAATGCCAGCCCATGTGTTGTGAGGTAGCTGAAAAGAGTTCAGATTTGGGTAGAATACATTCCTTAGATGAAACATGGATCCTATTTGCACATGTTTAAGGGAGTTTTATGGGAAAGAAGAAATAGACTCAAAACTTGGCTAGTCCTACACCCTGCCCATAGCAGGCATCACTAATGGATCACAGCAGCTCTTTTTCCTGATGAGATTGAAAACACCTTGGAATTGTTCCTAACACTCTAGTCAGTCACTATTAACCAGAATTTTCTCAAGAGATGGATTTGAAATATAAATCATACTGGAGACTTCATGATTTGTCATTTTTGAAAAACATACCATTTCTGAAGTGAGCCCTAGGTAGAATAAACCCAGGTGTTCTAGAGGTAGATTTAGGCCCATGTAAATAAGTTTCTATGTTTTAAATGTGCTCAGAGTAGCATGGGCTGCCTATAATTCTCCCAGAAGTGTTCAGGGACTCCTTGGGAAAGTGCCTTATAGGGGATTAATGTAATAAGGTGTGGAACAGTAAGATCACTTAGAGAATTTTCAACACCGTGGTTAAAAATATGAATGTGGGTCAAAATATCCAGAACCCCCCAAGTTAAAAAAAAATACATACTAAATACGATTTATATTATATGACAGCCACTTGAATGCAGCAAGGTAGAGAGAAGAATATCTATCTACCCATCTATCATCTATTGATACCTACTACATACATGCATGTGCATGTGTGCATATGTGTATATATGTGTCATCTGAATATTACATTATTTTATTCATAAGGTACTTCTGGAAGAATTTGTGAAGTTGGAATTTTAAAATCAACACCACCATAATGCTTATAGTGCTTGTTTTATATCTGAAGAATTGTAATAGACCAAATACTTCAAATATACACATTTTTTACTGATATTTGTACCTTAGCAGGGGGGTAGTTGTGGGTATTTACCTTCTTGTGTTCTACTTCATCAGAAACAATGACATTTATTAGTCTTTGAGTTTTTCCCCCACCATTTATTAATGATCAACATTTTGTTCAATGTCACATACAGGAGCAGCGTGTACCAAATATTTGTGAATTTGTTTTATCCCTGACAGTGAACATCAAAGCCAACAGATATTTATTACAGGTAAAGGGAGGTGGGGGGCTTTAAACCATGAATAGATCTGGGAGGAAACTCTCTGCATAACATTGTGTGTGTCAGTGTGTTCAGTGTGTGTGTGTCCCTTTGCATGCCAAAAAAAAAAAAAAACAAAAACAAAAAAACAGCATTTACAGAGGAAATAAGGAGGAAAAAAAGCTTGTGGACATTGAGAAGTGAGTCTTGACCCATTTGAGCACAATTCCCTTTTACTAGCCAGTCAGCAGTGGGTGATATTTTCCACTCCTTTGATAAGATCTTAGGCTGCCTAACAAGTCACATTTTGTTTCATGCAAGATGTGTTCCATTTCCTTTGGCACAGAAAGATATATTCATAAAGCTTTTCTGTTACATCCCTTGCCTTTTCTGCCTCTAATTCCCGACTCACACCCCCAAATTTTGCCAGCAACTATATCTTCTTTCTCCAAACTGAAAACAGAGTTTATATTTGATAATTTGAATGTGATGGTTGGGAAAGGAATGATTATGTAGGGACTTCTTTCTTTATATAAGGATGCTAGATATTTTGGAAGAGAGAAATAATATGCACACTTTTAAGTCAGGTAGAGCACGGATTTAATTTCATTCTCTATAATCTTATTTTTCTTCATGGCACATGTTCATTAAATCATTTGCACCAAGGATACCTAGAATCCAAAGTATTTATCAGTCCTTGAGAATAATCTAATAGAAGTAGAATAGCATTTCTTTTCATCTCATGACCAGCTCCTTCTGCTACTTTAAGGTCACATACAAACTTAGTTGTGATGTTGGTTCTTGAAAAAGAATGTCATCAGGTGTCCCACGGGTTGACAGCATTATGGAAAAAATCATATAAGCAATACCTAAAACTGAACTACCATAAATTTAGTTCTCTTTGTATATTAACTACAATCATAAATACATAAGAGGTTATTAATAAACTTATATAATAAAACTAGAGGGGATGCATATTGGGACATAATGGCCCTAGAGGCTGATATAAAATATATTTTAACTAAATACTGTTGGGGTGGTAGGGGAAAAGTTTCTGTTTTATCACTGCTTCTGACTATATATATTTGTTTCTCTCCTCCTTAGACAAGGCTCTCCACTTTCAGGACTTAAGTATGCTCTTTTAGGTCAGTATTATACTTTTGCTAACAAGCTAAACTTTCCTGTAACATGATTAACATATCTGGGCTATAGTTTCATGTCAATATCCTAGAATTAACTATTTGAAGCTTAGTCTTAACCAAGCCCAAATTTCTTAGCACAACAACGAAAACCCTTATAGTCTGATTCATGTCTATTTCCCCAGTGTCATTTCTCATGATCCTCATATTAAACTGCGAGAGATTTTCCAAACAAACCATCCTTTTATACAGCTCCAAGACTTTGCACATACTTTTGCTTTGCTTCTGCCTGGGATTCCATTCCTGTCTCATCTTCAGGTCACTTTATAAGCATCCTCTGAGATCCTTCTCTCCCACACAATATGAGTAGTGATTTGTTGAAACTGAGTTCCATGGGGGGACTTAATTGCCTTTTACTGGAGGGTAAGAGCCACACTTTATATACCTGTTTTTGATACCAGGATCTTGTTCTTTCTTTCCTGAGCCCTTTCATTGTGTCTGGTTTGCTCACACAATACCTTAGCAGAAGCATGTAATAAACACAATTGGTAAACGGTGTTTTGCCAGCCAAGAAATATTTATGTTCTAAGCACTATTCACAGAGAATACAGCTGTGAACAAGACAGAGTCCCTAGTCTCTAGAGACATTGTCTCTAATTTTCCTTTTAAATTCAAATTTGGAACCATTATACTTTACTCCATTCTTTCCTAGCTCTTAGGGCCATTTCCAAAACGCATCTCCTAAATCTCATTTCATGTTGCTTTGAGAACCTATTTGGATAAGCCAATTTTTCTAGCCTTGAGGCCTGAAACTCCTTTAAACACAATTTTGTCTCTCTATCCCCATATAACTAGAGACATGGACACAAGGTACTCCCAAATTTTGCCCTTGGGGATCTGCACTGGTTGGTTCAGTCCCATTCAGCTATCTTTTTTAAAGAGTCTGAGAGGCCGGGCACGGTGGCTCACACCTATAATCCCAGCACTTTGGGAGGCCGAGATGGGTGGATCACTTGAGGCCAGGAGTTCGAGACAAGGCTGGCCAACATGGTGAAACCCCGTCTGTACTAACAAATACAAAAAAATCAGCCAGGCGTGGTGGCGGGTGCCTGTAATCCCAGCTACTTGGGAGGCTGAGGCAGGAGAATCGCTTGAACCCAGGAGGCGGAGGTTGCAGTGAGCTGAGATTGCCCCATTGCACTCCAGCCTGGGCAACAAGAATGAAACTCTTGTCTCAAAAAAAAAAAAAAAAGAGTCAGAATTGGTAAATGATGAATCTATACTTGGTAAATGACAGAAAAATAAGAAAATATATTTAAAGAACAAATATTACTTAAAATATTAGCACAATTAAAGTGTTAAAGTATATGAAAATTCATATATGCTCCCTCAATAGAATTGCTCACCCAATGAGATTCATGATGACTCAGTGAAACTTTTATCAATGTCATTTTTTTCTCATCATTTGTTGTTTAAATGTGCCAACTATTCTAGTTTAGCTTAAGGCAGGGAAGAGGATTATTTCTTTTTCTAATTTTGGCTAATGTATAAGAGGTTATGAAAAATATGCAAGGGTACAGGGACATATTATCCGCAAAATGTATTCAATGATTTAAGACACCTTAAATTCAGAATAATTGAATTGAAATGTCAAACTCAAAATCAAATATCAGAGGACATTTGCAGCAAGCCTTTTTATACTTGGTTATTTTCTACATATGAATCTCAAAAGAGAGCTAATTCAGCCTACAAAGAGAATCATATTTTAATGAGAGTTGATGTTAAGTGATCAAACCATTGTAATTTATATTGAGGAAATGTAATTTTTGAAAATCCATTTTACATCCTCTATGAAAAGTGTTTGGAAACTATAGCAAGGTATGTTATTCTCAGATTAAGCAGTAGACACTATCAATCAAAATTTTTCTAGATTAGATCAAAATATTAATATAATTTTTGGTACTTTGTAGATCATGTTTTTCTGTATATTATCTTATCCAATCCTAAGTATAACACTGTAAAATAGAAAAAATACCACTAATTCCATTTTATAAGTAATGCTCAGATAATTAGTGACTTGTCAAATTAATAAAGCCAAAAATTGGTGGACTTGGAACTTGTAGTCATGTGTTTTGACTACACTGTCCAGTATTAAGCTGTTATGGATAGTCAGTGCCTAATGAGTATAAGATCCCTTCTAAACAAAAATAAAATACCCAAAAGAAAGACCTCATTCTTGTACAGATTATTGTAACTTTCATTCATGTAACATCTTTAGCACCTACCATAGTCAAGCATAGGGGCAGGCAGTAGTTTATGAAGATGAGGAAACATGTCCTCAAGTCCTTACAGTCAGAGAACACAATAATTTTACTAATATTGCTAGCATTATCTACTAGTTAGATAATACAGTTTAAATGGAAACCTTCCATGTCATGTAACATAAAAAGGACAGAACCATCATAGTTCCATGGAGGGTGTAATAACATTGTGTGTGTGTGTGTGTGTGTGTGTGTGTGTGTGTGTGTGTGTGTGTGTGTGTGTGTAGGTTTTTGTCCATGGTTCCTGGCTCATAACTCTTGTCATTTCCTAAGTGTTTAAAACAATAAGCATACCTTTTGTTAAAATATTTGGCCATTTGCCCTTGGTTCCTGAAGCAGCTTTGGAAGTGCTTCAGAGCAATAAAGATAAAAGACCATCTTTGGTTATAATGTTGGGGTGCTGCAGGCCTCAGAAGCAGACTTCAGAAAAAATCTCTCCTTCTGACCTTCTCGTACCCTCTTTTCACCTCCTCTTTTTTTCCCCCCGGCAGGACTCTAATCTCTCCCCACCTTCCTGTCTTGGAGCTGGCCATAAAGAAATTCTCTGACCTACCTTGTCTGATTTTCCATAAAAGTCATCTGTGTTATAGCACCAAAAGTCCATATGGTACATTCTGCATAGAATTTTATGATGGGCATATAACTATAAAATAGTCTAACTGTAGAGATTCCAAAAAATGTCCATCAGGGCTATATATCATAGAAATAAAATAGAATCTTACAGATAAAATAGGCATCTCAAAACTAACATGTTCAACATCAAACTCTTAATTTCCACTGCACATGTACATCCAGTCCTGATCCTCACTTGTCAGTTCCTCAGACACCAAATCTTTCAATCATCCTTAACAGTTCTCTCAATCCCACATATGATTCATCAACAAGTTCTGTCTGTTCCATTATCAAAATATATACATAAACTATCAATATCGTACCATCTCTACCTTAGTCCTTGGTACCATTATCTCATCTGTAGATTACTGCTTCTCCATGAGTTTTCCACCTTCTAATTTTGCCTTCTTAATCATCTAGTCTCTAAAGGTCAGCCAAAATGATCCTATTAAAATGCAAAGCAGTTCATGACTCTCTTCTCAGAACTCTCCAGTGTCTCCTAATCTAATTCACAATTACAAAGTATTTTACCAAGACCTGCTCTATGCCTACGATTCCCATCCCCCAAGTACTGTCCCTTTTGGTCTCACCTTATCCTCTCCCTTTGTGCCTCCCTGACTTTTGTCCAGTTACAATGTCTTCCTGATGTTCTCCCAGCCTTTGGGCCTTTACACTCCTGCTCCCTTTGTCTGGAATCATTTATCCCAGAGATGAATAAATAGCAGTTAATATCAGGTACAGGTCTAGGCTATGTAGGGCCTACAGCTTAGACAACTTGGAGGCTCTCTTTCTAGAAAAGAATATGGTACTTTGTATACAATATTTAATAGAAGGCCACAGAAGAGGCCCATGTAAGTGAGAGGGACTAAAGTTTTAGCTTTCTTAGCCTCATATATATCCGCGTCTTATGTAACACTATGTGCCACACATCTCTCTAAATGCTTTACATATACTACCTCATTTAATCTTCATAACAATCCTATGAGGGAAATACTATTATTCCCATTGAATAGATTAGGAATCTGAGACACAGAGTGGTTAAGTAATTTGTTTTAGGTCAAAGGACGAGTGGAGGGCCAGCCCTAAGTATTGAGCTTGGCCTGGTCCCAAAGACTGTGCTTTTACCTTCTTGTGCATTAAATCTGCAGGTCTTGCTTTCTCACTGCCTCCAAATCCCTGATCAAACAACACCTCATCAGAGAGGCCTTCTCTGGTCACCTTACCTTTCCCCACTGTCCCCTCTCTAGAGCCACACCCTCTCTCATTTTTGTTCATAGCATGTATCACCACTTGAAAGGTTAGGTGCTCACTTATCATCTATTGTCTATCTTCACGCACCTGAATGTAAACTCTCACTTTGTATCTGTTGTTAAAAAATTTATTTCCTGATGCCTATAACAGTGCCTTGCACTTTTCAGGTTCTCGATAAATCTTGTGGAATAAGTTCTTCCTTTATATTCAATGTCTAAAGTACAGCTCCATAATGACTATGATTACAAAAACAATTATACACAGCATATTCTATTTGCTAGGAGTAAGTGGTAATTTTTAGATCAGTGGTTCTCAAAGTGTGGTCCAGGAACAAGTAGCATCAGCATCTCCTGGGAGCTTGTTACAAATACAGATTCTCAACCAACCCGCAAAACTACGTTCAACATCAGTAGTCATTAAGGACATGCGAATCAAAACCACAGTGAGTTGCTATTCCATACCCACTAGAATGACAGTAGTCAAAAAGACAGACAATAACAAGTGTTGACGAGAATGTGGAAAAATTGGAACTCATACAGTGTTGATGGGAATGTAAGATAATGCAGCTGGTTTTGGAAAACAGTTTGGCAGTTCCTCAAAAAGTTGAACATAGAGATACCGTATGACTCAGCAACTTCACTCCTAGGTAGATAGCCAAAGGAATTGAAAACATGTTCATGGAGACATTATTCACAAAAACCAAACCACTGAAATAACACAAATATTCATCAATTAATGAATGAATAAACAAAATGTAGTATATCCATACAATGGAACATTAGTCATCCATAAAAAGGAATGAGGTACTGATGCATACTAAAATGAGAATAATCTTGAAAACCTTATGCTAAGTGAAGGAAGCTAGACACAAAAAACCACATGTACGATACCTTTTCTATGAAGTGTTCAGGGTAGTCAAATCTATAGACATAAAAAGTCAATCAGTGGTTGCCAGGGGCTGGAGGTGGGGAGGGGAGAATAGGAAGTGACCACAAATAGGTACAGGGTTTCCTTGTGTGGCGATACAAATGTTCTGGAATTAGATAATAATGGATGATGCTTGCACAACTCTATAAATAATTGAACACTTTAAATAGTAAACTTTATGGTGTGTGAATTTTATCTAACTTTAAAAAATGAAAAGCAAATTTTTGGCCCCCACCCCAAAACCACTGAATTAGAAATTCTTGGGGTTATGTCCAGCAGCTGATGGTTTAACAAGCCCTCCTTCTGTTACACTCTTGAGTCCTGATGTTTTGGATAAATTTTTTTTCCAAAGGACAGCTTTTATAGAAATGGCCACCTCAATGGAATTTGGTTGGTTTGGAGATTTGAACTGTGTCAGTCAGGCATAGATATAACACTAGCATGAAGTGTGTTATGGAGGTAAGAACACAGGATTGGACGCATGACAATGTAGGATTAGGTTCCAGAAACACAGGTTATTAGTTCTCTTTCTTTGGGCAAGACAGTCACATTTTCCAAGTCTCAACTTCCACATTTATAAAATGGCAGCGGTATTAACTTTCTCACAAGACTGTGGGGGAGAATTAGATGAGATGATAGGTAGGGACACCGTGAAAACAAAAAACTCTCAACCCGAGTCGGCGAACTACATTCAGCAGTCCAAATCTGGCCTGTTTTGTTTCTGTACAGCTTGTGAGACAAAAATTATTTTTAGATTTTAAAATGATTTTTAAAATCTTAAGAAGGATAATAGTTTATGGCATGTGAAAATTATATGAAATGATTCTAAGGTCTACAAAGAAAAGTTTTATTTGAATAAGTTACACATATATTTGCTTAAGTATTGTCTGGTACCATTGAATAGTTGTGATCAAAACCACATGGTCCACAAAGCCTAAACTACTTATTATCCAGTTCTTTACAGGAAAACTGTGCTGATCCCTGCTACATACAAAGCAACTATTGTTGTTATGCTTATTTCACCAGAGCATCCGCTGTTGAGCTGCGGCAGCCAATAAGAATTTAGCTTTTTGGAGGTGGTTTTGGTGGAGATATATCTGGAAAGCATGATGGAACTGGAAGAAATCTAGAGAAAGGAAACTAGGGACATCAAAGAGAGGAACTGGTTGCCAAAGGAGGAGAGGCAAAAGGGATTAGAGCTTCCAGTTTGGAGTAGGAGGTCTCATAAAGATTCATATTGAAGTTTATGAAATCATTAATAGACCAAATAAGATGGGCAGGGAAGACATTTTTGCCAACAAGGTATTTCTGATGGACACCGATAGACAGCAAACTGAAGAAAGGCAAGAATGGCTATGGTGGCCACACTATGAAGTGAGGAAAGAGTACCTCACTTCAGGGTACCCGGCTCACTAATGTTGATAGTCCTGAGATACTTCTTTGTAAGATTGCTTAACTTGGAAATATTTTCTGATGACAAAAATGACACAAAAACAGCAAATAAAATTTCAGCTGAGAAAGTTCCTTCCAAAGAGAACTGAACAAAGAAAAACCTAAAGATGGAATTTTACTGTTTTAGTGGATGAGAAAACACTCCATTATTTTTTTTCCCCTACAAGTGTTTTTATTTACTCCTTTATTGTGTAGATCTTCACCTTCTCCCTCCTGGCTTAAAAAAAAAAAAAACATGTTCTGGTGATTGTGTTTGGCTAATTTCTTCCTACCTTTTTCTCCCTCCAGCCCCCAACTTCCTCATATTAAAAGGAACACAACTGGTAAATTAGCCCTATCTCATAGGAAAGATGGATTTTTGTACAAGATGGAAAAACACAAGTGATTCAAACATCCTTTCTAGGTCATGCGTTTAACCCTCTCATTTAATTTCCCCTTCACTGAGACACTTCCTTTTTTAAGATTGCAAACATAACTTGCACCTGCAATTACTTGTTAGAAAAATTAGTCTTGTGCTTTCCCCCTTAGGAACAAAGAAGCTTTCAAATGTTTAGCTGACTAAACGCCAGCCTTTGTAGACATGGCTTCGAATTGGATTGGAACTCAAGTGTAATTAAACACATAAAACATTCTACCCTCGGACACAAGCTTTCTTTAGAAATATCTCAGCACATACTATAAATTAGATCATTTACCCTGCTGTAAAACATCTCAGGATTGAGAGCATGAAACTGCAGCTCTCAATGTGGGATGACGCTACTACCGATCAGACTCTAGTAAGGCAACACACCCTATTTCAGGCTCTTTCAGTAGAGGAGATTTTCTAGACATCCACATTGTTTGACTTTATTCATTAATTAAATTAAATAATAACTGCTACTTAAAGTCAGGAACATGACATCTGATGCAAGTAAGGCAGAGAGAGCTTAAGTTACAGCCACTTAAGGTATGATCTCTGGAAGTCATGCATTAGAATTGCCTAGTGGAGCTTATCAAAACAGTCTCAGGCTTCCCCATGCCTATGGAATCTGAATCTCCAGGGACTGTAGGGCTAGGAACATATAGTTTAAATAATTGTTTCTGGTGATATTTATGTACTTTAAAGTTTGAGAACCAGTGGCAGGCATAAGGACATGGGTATCCGGGGATGTGAGAAAGGGAGATTGGCTACACATAGACACACATACAGCACATTTTGACGATATCAAAATTTTCAGTGGAACTAGCTATCCCAAAGGAAGAAATATTGGCTGTACTTTAGAGCAGCTGTTCTTCAGAGCAAAATTTAAACAGACATAGGGAGCTTAAATAACAGCAAATGAAATCAAATTCCTTCATTTTTAAATCTCAAATTACATGTTAAGTTATACACAAGGAGAGACAATGTTTCCATAAATATGAAATTATGACACCTCAATATTCATCATTATTTAAGAATTAGTTCTACCCTGGAAATATGTCTTTCAGAAAGCTAAAATGTACTTCTAAGAATTGACCCTTTAGAAACTAATTATTTTATAGAAAGTCTTATACATGAATTGCCTAACTTCAGTTTTCACTCTTCAAGGCACTGGTGCTGGCAATGAAACAAAAACAAGATATACATGCTTTCAGTTTCCGCAAAGTGAATAGTCTAGTCTTCTCAACAAGAAGTTCAGATTTGTATCTGTGTTCCAGTGTTTTAACACTTTTGGATGCCTGATTTCCAGAAAAGTGAGGTAGCTTTGCATAATGTTATTTTAGAGTAACACTGATTATTTCACACTTGAGACTTCTGGAAATATCTCACAGTTTGAAGCATCTTGGAAAAACGAGGTCAGTCTCAAATACAGGAACACTATCTGGCTGCTCAGGCTATTATTTATTACCTTCCATGTGACCAATTAAATTCATCTCATAGTGGATTTCCCCATTTTTATCTCCCATTGTGACAACCCATCTTACACACTGCGGCTAGATTAATCTTCAGGAAGGACCTTTAATCTTATCATGCATATGCCCAAAAGCCTCCAGTGCCTCCCAAACAAAGATCAAACTTCCCTAGTCCACATTCAAGAACATGCACAATCTTCCCAAGTTTATTTCCTTTACATTGGAGACTATGTCCAATTAAATTGATTTACACTTTATTCTTCACATATGGCTACTTTATTCTTTTCTGAAGCTGTGCCTTTGGCCACACCATTTCCTATTATCATATCAAATTCCTCATCTTTCTCCTCTGTGGAAACTTTCCATTCCTTCCACTATAAGTTCTTCTGAGCTATATAAATATAGGAACCATCCTTCTACTGTAGTATCACATTGTTATTACCTGCATATTTAATTCTCCAAAGTCGAGGACCTTTCTTTTTTCATTATTTCAACAAGTATTTACAGAATACCAACAGCTTTTAAAGCAATGTTTTAAACACTATAGAGGCTGCCACGTTGAATAAAACCCAATCCTTGCCTTCTCACTGTCTGGCACCATGTCAGCATCCTGTTGGTACTGAACAAATATATGTCGATTCCATGAGTGAGTGGCCCATCTCACTTACAAAAACATACATTCTTATTTAAAACATTATACTGTAATTTAAATTAATAAAATATCCTACTCAGGCAGAAGACTTTACTAGACTACCTTCAGCATATCTAAATGCTGCCTATGTAGACCAAAACATGCAAAAAAAAAAAGTGTATATCTGTAAACACACAAAAAAGAAGTTCAAAAAAATGTTTAAAGTCTTTTATATAAAAATTACAGATACATATTATTTTAATAACCTCATTATCTGCTTCTATAATTTATGCCTAGTAAATCTTCACCGTTAGTTCCATTAGTTCTTTAATATTACAATGCCACATACTTGTTAAATGCACTTTTCTGCAAATATTCACCACATGTGTTTTAAACTAGATTTATTTAGAGGCGGTAATAATTAAATGTATTTTCTTCACAATATAGGCTTTGTTTGTTTACATGATTTCAAACAAACTGATTGAAATTTAAAAAAAAAACTAGATTAAGTATCCAGATTGTTATTCTAAATGATGCTAAATACAAGATCAATTGGAAAATTAAATCTTTGACTGTATTTTCTGGCTTCCATATGAATGGTTTATAAGCTAGAAGTCAGAAGGTCACCAAGATAACTTCGCTTCATTTTGATACTTAAATGTTGCACTCCCACATTGTGGAAGACTGGGTGGCATATTCAACAAATGTACAAAATACTTCAGATCTGTGTCAACTTGCTCTCTCCAAGAGACGAAAGTTTGTCCAGAGCCATGTTATCTTTCACTAAAATTCAATAGAAAGCTGAAGCACTAAGAATAAAATGATTAAGGTTCAGGATTATGCCTGTCCCAGTTTGGAAATCAATGTCTTTGGATCTTAAAGCTTTCCCTTTTGAAGTAGAAAATCATCAATGCTATATAAAATAGTCTTGATACATTAAAGTTAAATTAATTTTCTAAATAGATACAGTTCTAGCCATGTGAATAAAAACAGCCTAAATCTAGACCCTTAAATCCCAGGATAATGACATAGGTCATGCCATAATTGAAATTCATTATGAGTAAGTGGTTTCTTGTAAGTGACCTGAAGAAAATAAAACAAAGTTTTCAGTAAGGATGTAACTTCAAAATCTGTTTCCTTTTTGTTGTTGTTGTTTTATTTTATTTTTATTTTATTTTTTATTTTTGAGACAGAGTCTCGCTCTGTCACCCAGGCTGGAGGGCAGTGGTGTGATCTTGGCTCACTGCAAGCTCCACCTCCTGGGGTCACGCCATTCTCCTGCCTCAGCCTCCCGAGTAGCTGGGACTACAGGTGCCCACCACCACACCCGGCTAATTTTTTGTATTTTTTAGTAGAGACGGGGTTTCACCATGTTAGCCAGGGTAGTCTCAATCTCCTGACCTCGTGATCCGCCTGCCTCGGCCTCCCAAAATGCTGGGATTACAGGCGATAGTTCCCAAGTCAGAGAGAAATGATCAATTACTAATGGGCAATACCAGATTAGTCACATTATTATTCACCTGCATAAATAAGAGTTGATTCTTTTCAACGTCAGCTATTACTGAACTTTCTGAGCCATCTCACAAAACTTCAATATGTCATATAATCTCCACCAAAGACACATCAAAGCTTTGTACTTTTCTCATCTATGTTGTCATAATTAAGTGACAATATGGAGCTCTACAGGTTCAACCTTACATTTTAAAGGGAGAGATTACCCAAGACAAAGAATTCAAAACATTCAGCAGAGAAAACTTAATTAGTTGGCTGAGAATGCCACTAGTGTATCAGTGGAAAACTACATAAAAATTAGTTAAAAGTATGAGTTTTATAGTCATATCTGGGTCCAAGCCTTGACTCTAATACTTACTTGAAAAATTACTCAAACTCCAAGTAATCAGAGCTGGAACTTCTAATTAGAAAATTCCAAGGACTTCTAATACATCTCCTTTATACAAATAATCAGATGTCCTAGGAGGATGGGAGGGCCAGCATGAAATGTAGTTTGGAGCTCAGAATCCTTCCCATTTTCCTCTTAACAATTCTTGGTCACTTAAAATGTCCCCAGAGGGGGGCTAAAATAGGTATAATTATTAGGACATAGGAGAAAACACTTAGGTCCCAAGTCTCTTTGAGACCCTATAAAGGATTCTAATGTTTCTGAGAAGCTCCCCATGGCTGAATAGTCAGCTCTGCTTCAACCCGCAGCTGTTTTTATCTTTGTTCTACATTGGACTGCCTTGTAACCTGTGGCTTAAAGAAAATATTCCACTGCTAAAAACAGTAATATAAAAAATGTTAGCATTATTGTCTTTGATTTTTGACTACATCTATTAGTGACAAATACCTCTGTATATTATTGAATCCTAACCATATCATCTCTTTCATATGATATACTACAAAGTTAATGGTTGGTGTTACTTAGGAGAATAAACTGTATACCATGTATATGGTTTATATTATATTTATACATGCAGTATATTATACATGTAGTAGCTTATACTATATTTATATAAGTATATATAAATTTATATAAGTGTTGATATATATTTATAAGTATATATCATATAAATATAAAATACTTATATAACACTTAGATTATAAAGCTGTTAGAAGATAAAATGAAAATAATGTTTATATAATATACTTATATAATATTGTATTTATACATGTAGCAGCTTATATTCTTTTAACTGTATTAGTGGACACATTTGAAAGCCCTTTTGTACTCATCCAGTTCAGTTCTTGTATTTCTGTTGTACATGCAGGCAACTAGATAATTATGAGGTATTTTGATGGAAACCCACTCTTAAATATAGTAGAGCCTGATGTTTAACATAAATATTTTGGTAAACTATCTCACAGATATATCTTTATCTCAACTTTAATTAAGAGTATATTTATACTGGAAAAGTTTTCTTGAGTCTTAATTATAATGGCTTTTTTTTCATTTCGGAAATATAAGTTTATCTCAATGAGTAGATAGTTGGTATGTGCGTTGTATGTGGTAACATACTGAATTCTTAATATTAGCAATAATTACATACTGACAATTTGAATGTCTTTTGAAAAATGATTGTTGGTTTTGTTTTTCTAAGGTAATGGAAACACTGATACTTGTTAATAAACTATAGCAGAAGCCCCAGCAGGAATAGTTGAGAGGCAAATGGAATGAAGCTGTGGTATTAAAGCAGTTGAGGATTTTGTAATTCTCAACTAATTTCCCCCCCACCATGGTACATTTTAAGTTAGTTTCTATTTATGGGTATGAAACAAATTTCCCTCTAGTTAACGTCTTTTTTCATCTGGTTGTATGTAGTCAAAAGTTATATTTTTAAAGCAGTCTGTGCTTTTTTTTCATCAAATAAATGAAGAAAGTACTCTCTACTTCCTACTTGACTTTTAGCAGTTCAAATGTTATATTAAATTTGCTGCTAAATAAAGTGTCTTTAATATAATTTTCAATGTCATTGCTGTAATACAGCCCCATTCATGCATGTGAATATTTTCAGGCCAATTTAAAGGTCAGTTTACATAAGGTATAACACACCGTCCTTTGTTACGTTGAATGTTATAATAAGGCTGACGTGGGGGCTCAAACTAGACTTCTGATTTATGAAACCTGCCTTGGTTCAGATATGAGTTGTGGATGTAACATTTATCCATATAAATGACGCCTTGAAGAATTAGCCACGGTTGTCTCTGCTAAGGCACTGGGAGTGTGATTAGGTGGATTCTGGGTTCGCACTAGTTAAGATATTTGTGATATATACTGTTTGAGAAGTTTTTCTGATTTGGCCTTTGGGAAACAATTAAAAGGCTAAGTTAATTGGAATATTATATGAGTAAACTTATGTAACTAACTTGAGCACTCTATATTTGATAGCATTGCTTTCAGCTACTGCTATAGTTTACGTCTTCTCACATGACCAGACCTTTGAGAGTATATAGTCCAAGACTCAAATGGCATCTCAGTGATGCCACTGAGAGCACAGCTTACTTCCTACTCCAACGTCCTTAATAAGTGACTTCTTATCTTCCTTATTTCAAGAAAGATATCGTGCTTCCAAATACAAATTTGACATTTATTCAGCAAATGCAGCCTGATAAATTTTTCCTAAATCTCATTGGCCAGCATTCTGCTTTTGATTAAGCCAAGCTGCAAGAGAGGCTGTGAAATCAAAAACTTTCCTTTCCAATCTCTATAGAAGAGGGATGAAAGGGGTGTTGAGTGGGCCAAACTACAGTATCTGCCCACTAAGGAATTCTATTCATTATTTTCGCCTCGGGCCAAAATATAGGCATTCTTATTGTCCTCTTCTTTTATCCTTCACCAGTGCTTTAGAAACCCATGCTGGTCACAGCCAGTGGGCCACAGGGGCTCTCACTGCCCTCTGCATTTTTTTCCACTGTTCAATGATGATGACACAACCTGGACATTGTTTCCCAACCAACATTCATTTCTTTACTTTTATTGTACTATTAGAACTCCAATTTTGATCAGATATCCTCCCAAGTCCAGATATCCATATGTCCCAGTAAAAACAGAACTCATCCCACTTTTATGGAGGGCCTGATCATTTTAAGAGGAATATTGCTCATGGTTTACTCTAGAACCAGCGTGTGACACTACTTTGACCTATAAAGCGTAATAAGAAGTCATCTTGGACTACAGGGACATCTCCTTGCTCATATGAGATATTCATAAGAAAAAATAGGTTACCTTTGTCTCCTGGATATAGATATGATGCCTGGGACTGCTGTAAGCCATCTTTCTACCACACATAGAATGATACTAAGAATTACAGAGCAGAGGAAGAGAAAAACACCTGGACCCTTG
This sequence comes from Homo sapiens, assembly GCF_000001405.40. NCBI lineage: Eukaryota > Metazoa > Chordata > Mammalia > Primates > Hominidae > Homo > Homo sapiens. The sequence continues at coordinate 29,817,795 of NC_000023.11, read as the reverse complement.
ATGACATTGCTAAATGAGCATTCCTTGAAGCCCATCCCATATCTGAACTTCCTGTCAAGTGAGACCATTCATCCCTTCTTATTTTAATCAATCGGAATCTGGGTTTCTATAACTTGCAGCCAGAATCATCTTAATTTTAATGAATTGTATGAGACCTTTGTCTCAAAGAGTACTGAGAGCTTTGCTGTTATCTTTGCTTATTGTAACTCAAGTTAAATGGGGTTTCCCAGAGAGACATCATTGCAGAAGTGTACTATATGCATCAGCACATTTAGAGCCAACTTAGTACCATCAATGTGCTAAGAAATCACATTGTACTTCATACACCTTTCAGCTGAGTTTTGCCAAAACCAAAAAAAAAATAAGCTACAGGTGCAATGCAGATCAATTGGGAAACATTTCCAGAAAATTGGTTAACGAGTAGAAATTCAACAGAAAAACTATACTTGGAAAACTGAGATAAATAATGCAAAATGCATTAAAATCTACAAGGCCAATAGGCTGTCAAAGTGTACCACCAAAGCAGCTAAATGGACCTTTGAAATTGAGCTGGATGTTGGGATAATTGTGCAGCAAGTAGAAGTAAACTCCCTCCAAGTCAAAAGCTATTGTACAAAAGTAGAAAGGAAGAAATAGACAATGCGTTATTATGCTCCCACAGTTCCCAAATTAGGCTTGAGATGGCATGTAGGAATTGAAATGTCTGATTAGAGTTTTAAGTTTCTCAAAGTAAAAGTTTGCCTGCTATATTGGGAATGAATATTGAAACCTAGAGCTAAAGGAGAGAGAGCAGAGGAGATATATATATATATATATACACACACATAAAGTAGAGGATATATATAACAGAGAGAGCTAAAAAGCACATCCATTATCTTGGTAATAAGACAGAGGGATAAACGATATTTACATAGAGGCTACTGCAGAACATCTTTTACAAAATTGTATTGTTTCCTAAGATACTTGCTCAGTGTTAGATGCAACAGGAATGATGAAATAGAAGCAAATTTCAGTGGGGGGGGAGGAAGGAAAATGAGGCACATTAAATATCATTTTTAAAGAGTGGTCATGGAGAATTAACTTTTTGATGTGCTGCTGGATTCAGTTTGCTTGTATTTTCTTGGATTTTTGCATCTATGTTCATCAGAGATATTGGCCTATAGTCTTCTTTTTTTGTTGTGTCTTCACCAGATTCTGGTGTCAGAATTATGCTGGTTTCATAGAATGAGTTAGGGAGAGTCCCTACTCCTCAATTTTTTTTTTTGGAATAGTTTCAGTAGAAATGGTAGCAGCTCTTCTTTGTACTTCTGGTAGAATTTGGCTGCAAATCCATTTGGCCCAGGGCTTTTTTTCATTGGTAGGTTTTTTATTACTGCTTCAATTCAGAACTCAATATTACTCTGTTTAGGGTTTTCATTTCTTCCTGGTTCAATCTTGGGAGATTGTGTGTTTCCAGGAATTTATGCATTTCCTCTAGATTTTCTAGTTTCTGTGCATAGAGGTGTTCATAATAGTCTCTGAGGATCTTTTGTATTTCTGTGGGATTTGTTATAATGTCACCTTTGTAATATCTGATTGGGCTTACTTGGATCTTCTCTCTGTTTTTCTTTGTTGATCTAACTAGTAGTCTATTTATCTTGTTTATCCGTTCAGACAATCATCTTTCATTTTGTTGATCTTTTGTATGAATTTTTGATTCCCTATCTTGTTCACTTCTGCTATGATTTTAATTATTTCTTTTCTTCTGCTACCTTTGGGGTTAGACTGTTTTTGTTTTTCTAGTCCCTCTAGGTGTGATGTTAGATCATTAATTTGAGATTTGTATAACCTCTTGATATAGGTATTTAGTAGGCTTTATTTCTGGAATGCAAGCTTGGTTCAACATACACAAATCAATCAATGCAATTTGCCACATAAACAAAATTAAAAACAAAAACTATATGATCATTTCAATAGACACAGAAAAGGCTTTTGCTGAAACCCAACATCCCTTATACAAAGGGATTTTATAAAATTATAAAAAGCCTCAACAAACTAGGCATCTAGGGAACATAACTAAAAATAAGAGCCATCTATGACAAACCCACAGCCAACACCATACTTAACAGGCAAAAGCTGGAAGCATATATCCTAAGAACAGGAACAAGACAAGAATGCCCACTCTCACCACCCTTATTCAACATAATACTGAATTCTCAGCCAGAACAATCAGGCAAGAGAAAGAAATAAGAGGCATCCAAATAGAAAAACAAGAAGTCACATTATCTCTCTTCACCAATAATACAATTCTATACCCAGAAAACCCTAGAGACTCTATCAAAAACCTTTTAGAACTGATAAATGATTTCATTAAAGTTTCAGGATACAAAATCAATATATAAAAATTAATAGCACTTCTATATACCAATAGCATTCAAGCTGAGAGCCATATCAAGAATGCAATCCCATTTACAATAGTCATACAAAAATAAAATATGTAGGAATACACCTAACCAAGGGGATGAAAGATCTCTACAAGGACAACTACAAAACACTGCTGAAATACATCATAAATCACACAAACACATGGAAAAACATTTCATGATCATGGATTGGAAGAATCAATACTGTTAAAATGGTTGTACTGCCCAAAGCAATTTATAGATTCAGCGTTATTCCTGCCAAACTATCAACATCATTTTTCACAGGATTAGGAAAAAAAAACTATTCTAAAATTTATACAGAACCAAAAATGAGCCCAAATAGCCAAAGCGGTTCTAAGCAAAAAGAACAAAGCTGGAGGTATCACATTACCCAACTTTAAACTATAAGGCTACAATAACAAAAATGGCACAGTACTGGTACGAGAACAGACACATAGACCAATGGAACAGAATGGATAACCCAGAAATAAAGCCACACACCCTACAACCATCTGATCTTCAACAAAGTCGACAAAATTAAACAATGAGGAAAGGCCTCCCTATTCAATAAATGGTGTTGGAATAACTGGCCATCCATACACAGAAGAATGAAACTGGATCCCTACTTTTCACCATATAGAAAAATTAACTGAAAAAGGATTAAATATTTAAATGTAAGTTCTCAAACCATTAGAGTCCCAGAAGAAAACCTAGGAAATAACCCTTTTCAACGTTGGCCTTGGCAAAGAATTTTTGGCTAAGTCCTCTAAAGCAATTGCAACAAAACCAAAAATTGACAAGTGGGATCTAATCAAACTAAGCTCCTGCACAGCATAAGAAACTATCAACAGAGTACTCAGACAACCTACAGAATGGGAAAAAATATCTGCAAACTATGCATCTGACAAAGGCCTAATATCCAGAATCTATAAGGAACTTAAACAATTGAATAGACACAAAACATATTACCCCATTAAAAACGGGCAAAAGATAAGAACAGACACTCTCAAAAGAAGACGTATGTGCAGCCAAGAAACAGGAAAAAATGCATCACAACACTAGTCATCAGAGAAATGCAAATCAAAACCACAAGGAGGTACCACTTCACACCAGTCAGATTGGCTTTATTAAAAAGTCAAAAAACAAAAGGTAAGGCTACAGAGACAAGGGAATGCTTATATACTGTTTGTGGGAAAGTAAATTAGGTCAGGTAATGTGGAAAGCAGTTTGGTGATTTGTCAAATAACTTAAGACAGAACTACCATTCAACCCAGAAATCTCATTACTGGGTATATGCCCAAAGGAAAATAAATCATTCTACCAAAAAGACTCCTGCACTTGTATGTTCATCACAGGACTATTAACAATGGTAAAGACATGGAATCAACCTAGCTTCCCATCAATGGGTGGATTGGATAAAGAAAATGTGGTGCATACACACCATGGAATACTACACAGCCATAAATAAGAACAAAATCATTCTTTGAAGCAACATGCATGTAGCTGGAGGCCATTATCCTAAGAAAATTAATACAGGAACAGAAAACCAAATACTGCATGATCTCACTTATAATTGGGAGCTAAAAATTGAGTACATATAGATATAAATATGAGAGCAACAGACACTGCAGATTACCAGATGCAGGGCGGGGGAAGGGGGGTAAAGTCTGAAAAACTACGTATTGGGTACTATGCTCACTACCTGGGTGATGGGTTCAATCATACCCCAAACCTCAGCATCATGCAGTATTCCCATGTAACACATCTGCACATGTACCCCCAAATCTAAAATAAAAGTTGAAATTATTTTAAAAATTAAAAAATAAAAAATGAAAGCAGCCAGCATTAAGAAAATGCATCATGGATGATTGAAACACAAATGAATTGGTAAAATGCTAGAAAATAATGATACAAATAAAGCCCCAAGCAAACTGATTTTTTTTTAGATTCTCTTACTTTGTTTCACAAGTTATTTACTCTCTTACATCAGAATCTTGGCATTTGGCTAGTAAGAAGATGACATCATTGTAAAAGAGGTATTGTAAGGTATTAAGGTATTTATTTAAAACAGAAGACATAGTGCCCATTTTTGATTAATTTTAGGGACCTTTTCTAGAGAGCTTTAGAGTAAAAGATAGTGTTGTTCTAAGCCTAATTCTAATTTTTCACACTATTTTGATAACCTACAAAGAGAAAGGTGTGAAATACATACATACATACATAATATTTCCCGGATATATATTTTCCTTTATTAATGAAACTTCCTCAGATTATCCAATTCTTGAGTAAAACATTGAGATGTTAACAATGAGAAACATATGTTTTTCACACATTTAATAGAAGATAAGTTTTAAGAAGGATTAATCAAAATGGTGGCACACAGGGCACGGGGAGTCTAGAGAAATTTAAATACAGGAAATGGCTCATCTCTTTCCTATTCAAACGCCTGTCAGGTTTCAAGGTTAAAGCCATATTTATGCTTTGAATTTTTTTTCACCTCACAATTGGTAAGGTTATATCTATGAATATTATACCACCTAATTTCAAAAATTTCAAATCGGTTAAAAGACTATTTATCATCAGCTTAAATTAGGATGTTAACAGCTTTACAGTTAAATTAGGCTATGAAAAATGGGTAAAGCTTGTCTATGGAAAAGAAGCTTTTTATGACAAAGATAATTGAACTCACAGAGAGGAAGGTATAACCTGAAATGATTTAGAAAATTCATCATAAAAGTGTGTCGTTATATTAATTTAGAGAGAAAATCACTTTTTTATTTACTCATCTCTAATGAATTCATCTCCATCCACTGAGACAGGCTAGGGACCAGCAGAACGTTAATGATGAACATGTCAAAACTTGGACTATAACCTTGTCACATTCACCATAAGACTCTCAGCCGTTCTGAACAATTTTCTTGACGTGCTTCAAATCCTCTATGAGAGGATTCTTTTAAAAGCCATTTCGTTGAAAGATAAAAGGAAAATTATTTGGGAGAGTTCCTTTTAGTCATTTTCAAAAAAATGTGATGAGAAAAGTAATGCATATTCATGGTAGAGAATTTGGAGTATGAAGAAAAGCATAAAAAAGGAAATAAAAATTATCCACAACTCTACTTTTCCAAAGTAACAGTCATTAATCATTTGGCTTACCTTATTTCATTCTCTTCGAATCTTTATGAAATTATTACCACAGTGTAAACAACTAAAAGTTTTGTGCTATTTTGTTGACTGAAACATTTTAAATCATAAAGTCCTCTCCAGATAATGTTGACTGTTTTATATTCTAGCATATATATTTCACAATCTGTCTATCAAACTTTTACTGTACAACATTTAAGTTGCTTCTAAGCGTTTCTTCTTATCACATTTTTCTTATCAATATTGTCATTTATAACTGTGTAGATGATCTATTGTTCATCTGGTGACTTGGTGAGAATAGATTCTGAAAAATGAAATTCCTGTGTTAAAGGGTGTGCTTTTACCAACATGCAGAAAAGTGAAAAAATGAAAGTGAAATTATAAATGAATTTTCCATGTAGAAGACTAACAATTATAAAGATTTTGGTTATCTATGTGTCCAATGTTTGAAAAACAAGTTTATTGAGGTATAATTAACATACAATTAACTGCATAAAGTGTATAATTTGGTAAGTTTTCAAATAGGTATACAGCTGTTAAACCATCATCATAATCAAGATCAGAAACATGCACATCACCTCCAAAAGTTTTCTTGTGCTCTTTGGTAATCCCATTGTGATGGTTAATACTGAGTGTCAACTTGATTGGACTGAAGGATGCGATATTGATCCTGAGTGTGTCTGTGAGGGTGTTGTCAAAGGAGATTAACATTTGAGTCAGTGGGCTAGGGAAGGCAGACCCACTCTTAATACCGGTGGGCACAATCTAATCAGCTGCCAGCAAATATAAAGCAGGCAGAAAAAAAAAAAAAACGTGAAAAGGCTAGACTGACTTAGTCTCCCAGCCCACATCCTTCTCCTGTGCTGGATGCTTCCTGCCCTCGAACATTGAACTCCAAGTTCTACTGGCTTCCTTGTTCCTCAGCTTGCAGATAGCCTACTGTGGGACCCTGTGATTGTGTGAGTTAATATTACTTAATAAACTCCCCTTTATATATTTACATCTATCCTATTAGTTCTGTCCCTCTAGAGAACTCTGCTAATATATCCACCCTTCTTTCTACTTCTCTCTGTTCCTCTTACCCCATACCTCATATAACAGGAGAATCACTGACCCCCCTCTTTTGTCACTATACGTTAGACTGTATTTCCTAACTGTGCAGCATACTACAAAGAAAGAGAGAAAGGAGAAAGGAGGGAAGGAAGGAAGCAAACAAGCAGGAGTGGGAACAAGTAGAGAATATAGACAGCAGATTCTAACAAAGTCTTGGGATATTTAAATCATTCGAAATTAATTATAAAGTAAGCATGTTTTAAAAGTACCTTTTATTTTTAAGAAGTAAAAGAAGGGGTTTATTATGTGACTAAGAAACAAAAGACTATGTAAAATTGTTAAGCAGACTTGGAAATAAAAAACTCTATAAGTCTTAGAAAGAAAAATATAATTATTGAATATAAGAACAAATGGCTATTTTAACAGCTGATTAGAAACACCTAAGAAACAATCAGTGATCTAAAGATATGGTCCACAATGCAGGAACAAATCAAAGAGAAGGAAAATATAGACTAGGGTTGGAGATATGGAGGATAGAATAAGAAAATATATCTTATTTCTAAGTGGAATTCCATGAGAAGAGGAGAAAGAGAATGAGGCTGACATAATATTGGAAACAATAATAGGCAAGAATTTTCCAGAACTAGTGAAAGACATTTCCAGATTCATGAACACTAATGAATCTGAAAAAGGATAAATAAAAGGAAATGTGGGCTGGGTACGGTGGCTCACCCCTGTAATCCCAGCACTTTGGGAGGCCGAGGTGATGGATCACGAGGTCAGGAGTTCGAGACCAGCCTGGCCAACATGGTGAAACCCCGTCTCTACTAAAAATACAAAAAATTAACCAGGCGTGGTGGTGGACACCTGTAATCCCAGCTACTCGGGAGGCTGAGGCAGAGAATTGCTTGAACCTGGGAGGTGGAGGGTGCAGTGAGCTGAGATCTCCCCACTGCACTCCAGCCTGGGTGACAGAGGGAGACACTGTCTCAAAATGAAATAAAATAAAATAAAAATAAATAAATAAATAATACATAAAAGGAAATGTGCTGCTATGTATGTATAGTGAAATCATATGTAATTAAACACAAAGAGAAAACTTTTAAAATAAGAGAGAAAAGACAGAGTACCTTCAAGAGCATAACAATAAAACTAACAACCAAATTCTTACAGGCAGCAATGAATGTAAAGATCTGTGGAATAATACTACACTCTGCTTAAAAAAATTTAGAACTAAATAACCATCAAAGTATTATTCAAGAATGAAAGCAAAATATGAACATTTCAGGCAACAAATAAACAGAGAGTATTTGGTACCAACACACCCTTACTGAAGGAAATTATAAACAATTACTTTTTAGGCAGAAGGAAAACTAACACAGAGGGATGCAGGAAGGTATGATGAGCAAAAAAAAAAAAAAAAGTTAACGACTTGGGTATATTTAATCAACCTATTTAATAATTATCTAGGCATAATAACTATGTGTAGGATCTGTTTTATGTGTTTGGAGTATAACATTGAACAACCACCACAATAAAAACTTCTTGCCTTCATGGGGCTTACATTAAACAAATATTGACTGCATAAAGAAATGATGATAACGTCCCGTTTGTGAATTAGAAAAAAAAAGATGACTAAAATACAGAGAAACAGGAATAAAGTCTCCTACGTACTTACATTGTTCTGAAGGCGAGTAAAGATATAGCTAAAAGTAGATTTCGTAAGTTAAGCATATGTGCAAATTTTCTGCAGGATCATGAAAAGAATAGAGATCAAGTATAAAAACGTTCAAACTCGGCCGGGCACGGTGGCTCACGCCTGTAATCCCAGCACTTTGGGAGGCTGAGGGCGGATCATGAGGTCAGGAGATCGAGACCATCCTGGCTAACATGGTGAAACCCCGTCTCCACTAAAAAAAAAAAAAAATGCAAAAAATTAGCTTGGCATGGTGGCGAGCGCCTGTAATCCCAGTTACTCAGGAGGCAAGGCTGGAGAATCGCTTGAACCCGGGAGGCAGAGGTTGCAGTGAGCTGAGATTTCAACATTGCACTCCAGCCTGGGTGACAAGAGAGAAACTGTATCCCCCCACCCCCCAAAAAAAAAGAAAAAAAAAAAAGCAGGAGCAGAATATGGTAGGCATGATTACAGACACTAGTCATTACAATTAAAAATTAACTAAAAGTTCCAGTTGAAAAGCAAAGACTGTCATACAGGAACAAAGCAAATATCAAATCCAGTTAAATGGATTTATAAGAGGCACACCTCAATTAAAACTATACAGGCTGGCATATAAAAATATTTATATATAGAAAATACAAACAAAGCTGGTTTAACCATATTAATAAAACATGAAATAGACTTTAAAGACTGAGTAGTATTGGAGATAGAGAGTCACCACATAATTGTAAGAGTTTCACTTTACCAGAAAGGTGTACTGAAGATATATTCCAAGAAAATGTAATCATTCACTTAAGAACATAATATATATGTTAAAATGTATAAATTAATATTTGACAGAATATGAAGAGAAATATACAAATAAACCACCTTAGTTGTAGCTTTTCAACACTCTTCTTACAAACTGATAGATAAAACAGGCAAAAAATTAAAATTAATAAGTACCATACATAAGATTTGAGAAACACAATGAAGAAACTTGATCTTATGTACCCAACAATTTCAGAATACAAAACCTTTCCAAGCACACATGGAGCGGTGATGGAAATTAATAACAAACATACTGAACCTTATTGCAACTCTATAAATTTTAAAACATTGGTATTATTGGAAACATTTACTTTAATACAATGTGGTTAGATGTGTTAGATTAAGATTATATGTAAGACCTTATTTAAAAGACAATCCAAATCCAAAAAACAGGATTAGTTCACTTACTTAAAAAAAATTACCATTAAGCATATTTTTAAGGGTTGCCAGTTTTTCATTGAATGGTCATAGATAACTACTTTACTGTTTATGATTTTGGTAAATTAATTTTTTTGCTACTATAAATATCAAAGTGATAAACCTCTTGTTATATAAATCTTTGTAAAAGTCTAATTATTTTCTTAAGGATGTACTCCCAGAATTTGAGTTGTTAGATCAAGATTACAAATTATTAAACCTAAGATTCCCTATAGCTATTACCAAACTGTCCTGCAAAAACAGTTTATTCTGACTAGCAGTGTATGAGGGTGACTATTTTACCTAATATTTTTGACAAAATTATCAGGTGAAAGATTGTATCTTATTACTTTAGCATTTCTTTGATTACCAATTACTCATGATGTTCAGTATGTTTTCATATGTTTCTTTGCTATTTTATGTGTTCTTATTATTTATTTAATTGCATAATCATGCGCTTTGCTACTTTATAAAAACTGACTTGAAGAATTCATGTATCAGAAATCAAATTGCATCACACCTGTTGAAGGTATTTTACCTAATTAGCCAATAATCTTTTTATCTTATTTATTTTGCTGTTGTTAAAAATGTTTTCTATTTAATGCATCAAAATCATCTTTCCTTTTGTAAGGATCCTCCCTTTCATTTTTTTTTTTTTTTTTTTTTTTTTTTTGTCTTGAGAGACAGAGTCTTGCTCTGTCGCCCAGGCTGGAGTGCAGTGGCGCAATCTTGGCTCATTGCAACCTCCACCTCCCGGGTTCAAGAGGCTCTTCTGCCTCAGCTTTCCAAGTAGCTGGGATTACAGGTGCATGCCACCATGCCCGGCTAATTTTTACTTTTTTAGGAGAGACGGGGTTTTACCATGTTCACCAGGCTGGTTTCAATCTCCTGACCTCAGGTGATTTGCCCGTCTCAGCCTCCCAAAGTGCTGGGATTACAGGCGTGAGCCACCATGCCCAGTGTTTCCCTTTCATTTTTAAATAAAAATTCTTGAAAAGTTCTGCTTTATCTAGAGATTTATTAACCAATAGCTTTCTCATTTGTCATGTTTCAATTTTAATATAAACTCTCTAGATTACGTGAAATTGAAAAATTATATATATATAATTTAATATATGTATTTAAATGGTTCTATACATATTTGAATGATTTTGTATATATTTAAATAGTTACATATTGTATTAGGCCATTCTTGCACTGCTATAAATACCGGAGACTGGGTAATTTATAAAGTAAAGAGGTTTAATTGGCTCACGGTCCTGAAGGCTATACAGTATGCATGACTGCTTCTGGGGAGGCCTCAGGAAACTTTCTATCATGGCAGAAGGCAAAGGGGAAGCAGGCACATCTTACATGGTCAGAGCAGGAGGAAGAGTAAGTGCAGGAGGAGGTGCCACACACTTGTAAACAACCAGATCTTGTGAGAACTCCACCCCCACGATCCAATCACCTCCCACCAGTCCCCACCTCCAACACTGGAGATTACGACTCCTCATGAAATTTGAGTGGAGACACATAGTCAAACCTATATATTTAATTGGTTATATATGTAAATGGCTAATAGATATATATTCTTTAGATGGTTATTTCCCTACTGGTTAATGATACTTTAAAAAATTAAATACTAGTCTTTTTATATGATAAAGTCAATTTCAGGGCCATCTGTTATGTCCCTTGGCTTGTCTGCTCACCTGAAGTTAGTACTATATTGTTTTAAAGACTATGATTGACCCATGACAATATTATCTGGTATGGCAAGTCCTCCTATATTACTTTAAAATTATAATCATATTCTTTGCTATATTTTTCAGATGCACTTAGGAATAACTTTGTCAAGTTTAGGAAGAAAATCATAATTGGATTTCATTGGAATTTAGTAAGGTTAAAATTTTTTAGATACATTTTATGCCTTACTTATGTTTTCAATTTATCCTCCCATTGAAGAATACACATATACCTCCATTTGAAATCTTTGCCTGTCACTCTGAATCAAGGTTGAAATTCCCTACATACTACAAATTCCCTACTTAACTACAAAGCCTTCAACTTTCTAAGTGTGTGTGTGTGCACGCGTGCACGCACGTGTGCCCGTGTGCTCACATGTACATAGAGCAAGAGCAACAGAAAAAGACTTATGTTTTTATCCTTATTACATATTTGTAATTATTTTATTCAAATATATTGCCCCCTCCCATTTTCTGGTTCCTTCAACTGAATCAGCTGTATTTCTGATCCCTATTCTCTGCCCTTCATCACATTCTCATTCTCTATTTCTCTCCCTCCCTCCCTGCCTCCATCCCTCTCTCTCTCTCTTCCTGTATATATTATATATAATCTATAGATTTTATATATATATAATTTTTCATCTATAAACATTTCTTCCTTACTTATATACAATTTTCTTCACCTTTTTCTGTCATATAAGACTATAATAGACTTCAATGCAGCTTTTATATCGCTAGCTGTACTTGAGTTTCCTTGTCTTCTTTTCTCATTTTGACAAATCCTTTTGTATCCTTGTCATTCATCTCCAAGGTTTCTTTCTAGGGCTCCCAGCTTTTAATCAATAATTATAATGTTTTCTTACTTCTTTTTGAGGACATGGAGATGTCTTCTAAACTTTTTATCTTTTGAAGTGGAAACATGCTTAAGGAATATGTTGCTACTCTGAACTTTCCGGAAAATATTTCCATTCTTTGGTAATATAGAATAATTTTAATAGATAGTATCTAGAAAAATTTAAATATAGATCGTTTTCCCAATGGTAAGAGACTCATTCAGGCCTGGCATATGCCCAAAGCAAGTGGAGTGCTTTTAACATCTTGCACTGTGGTCTTGGCTAGACAGATTCCAAACTGGAGTGTGTGTGTGTGTGCGTGCATGTGTGTGTGTGTGTGCGTGTGTAACTAATAGGAAGCTTGGAGAAGGTATACCAATCCCAACTCATCTGCTACAGTGTGACCCCAGGAATTCCCCATCTGATAAAATGTTTAATATTTCCTTTATCTGAGTGAAATGATGAGTGATATGTTACAGAAATAGAAGTACATGTGTCCCAGTGTAATGCTGCAATTAATGCTAAATAACTTTAACATGCTCCCAAATCCTTCACTAAGTACTATTTTATCATTTGAAGAATGATATTGTATGAAAAGTAGAAATAGTGAAAAAAACTGAAATCTACAAATGAAATATTTGCTATGAACTAATACTTGGCTTACCACAATGGTTAAGGGAAATAATTGTCAGTGTCATTCTTCCTAAGCTAGCAGGACATACAAAAGTTTAATATTATTTTTTCATCATGATTAATGTGTAGATGCTCAGTATTAAATAACTTTTCAAACAATAATAACATGTATTTAATTATTTTTTTAAGAAGAGATGTAAACACAATTTATACTGAAGTTTGGTCATGTTCCTCGGTGAGACCACCACTGATGAATCCAGTTCATGTTGAGCTTGAGCTTCCTTTTCTCTAAACTAGTATATTTAATTACAAAACACACAAGTTGGCCCATTGACATATAGGACCTTATTCTGCACTTTACATGTTTGTATCTGTATTAGTCTGTTCTCATGCTGCTAATAAAGACATACACAAGACTGGGTAATTTATAAAGGAAAGAGGTTTAATGGACTCACACTTCCACATGGCTGAGGAGGCCTCACAATCATGGTGGAAGGCAGAAAAAGAGCAAGGGTATGTCTTACAGGGCAGCAAGCAAGAGAACTTGTGCAGGGGAACTCCCATTTATAAAATCATCAGATTTCAAGAGACTTACTCACTACCACAAAAACAGAATGGAGGAAACTGCCCCCATGATTCAGTTATCTCCACCTGGCCCCACCCTTGACAGGTGAGGATTATTACAATTCAAGGTGGGATTTGGGTGGGGACACAGCCAAACTATATCAGTATCTCTTCCCTCAAAATAAACAGCATAAAACTTAAAAATAGAATATGGATCATACCCTGAATACATTTAATGTTTTCCCTGACCCACCTCTCCGGGCCCTAAGTAACAGTAAGCCTATAGCAGATCACGCCAGAAAAAATGCCAACTCTCCAAACTCATAGTCCAAGGGGATTTTATGCACATTCCATTTTTGGTTTCTGATTTAGCATTAAAATTTTTAATTATGCAAATAAAAGTGGTAGACACAGAGGAAAATGTTTCATAAACTGATTGAAAGAACAGTGTCAATCAAGGGTCTGATTTTATTCTTTTCTCACACATTGTAAAATGATAAAATCTGCTTTAAAATGAAAGATTTATATAAATCAATTCATTTCTGGTATGCATTCATCTTAAAACTATAATCAAGCATATTAAAGTAGAAATTAAAACACTCAGATCTAAAGCCCAATTTTCCCATTTAATAGAGAGGATTGTTCAAAGTATCATGTTCTTTCTTTAGCTTCCTCTGGTCTTTATTTATCAGACCCTGACATTTAAAGTAATGCTACTTGTTGTTGACTTCATTGTAAACATAAACACAAACTTGAGCACTTATGTTATGCAAGTGTACATTTTGGTCAGTCAAGTGATGCAGAATACACTTGTATGACTTTTTAAAAGTTATAATCAAAATAAAAACACACAATTCATGCACATAAATTGTGTGTGTGTATATATATACACGCGTGTATATATATACACATATATACATATATACACACGTGTATATATACACACACATATATGGATACATATATGTATACATATATACATATATACACACATATACATATATGTATACATATATACATATATACATATATACACATATGTATACATAGATGTATACATATATGTATACATATATACATATATACACACATATATACATAGATGTATACATATATACACATATACACATATACACATATATACATATGTGTATACATGTATACATATATACATATGTGTATACATGTATACATATATACATATGTGTATACATGTATACATATATACATGTGTGTATATGTATACATATATACATGTGTGTATATGTATACATATATACATGTGTGTATATGTATACATATATACATGTGTGTATATGTATACATATATACATGTGTGTATATGTATACATATATACATATATGTATGCATATGTGTATGCATGTATACACATATATACATATATGCATACATGTATACACATATATACATATATGTATACATGTATACATATACACATATATGTATACATGCATACATATATATGTACACATATATGTATATATGCATACATGTATATGTACACATATGTATATATGCATACATATATATGTACACATGTATGTATATATGTACACATGTATACATATATGCATACATATGTACACATATATGTATATATGTACACATATATACACATATATATGTATACATATATACATATATGTATACATATGTACACGTATATACACATATATGTATACATATATGTATACATATATATACACACATATATATATATATATATACACACACACATATATATATATATATATATATATATATATATATAATTTTTTCCTCAGAGACCTCATAGCTTGCTTAGGATACATCCAAACACAAAATTTAATGCACAGTGACATAGAGCAATTCTACTTAAAAAGCCTACAGAGCACAGCCAGTTAACAAATTCCTTTTGTTGTTCTACAATAAAAGTATAGAAACTGAGAGTGAACATTTAGTAAATTTCACAGCAATTTGATAATATCTGTTAAATGAAAAAAAATATTAAAAGCCCTGGCTTGTATTTTTGTATGTCTTTTTTTTGGTAACATCGTTGTTTCTAGTTATTGATATTTATGGTATTTTACCAAAGTATTGGTCCTTGAGAGATTGAAAATTAAAGCAAAATGAAATTTTTAAAAACCTGGTCTGCCACCTCAGATAATTTGAGAAGCACTGGTATATTTTATTGCTACTAATATTATAATTTCAAATGTTAAATCAAAATACTCTTTTACTTTCTCATCTAAAAATCAAGCTTGGAAAACATCAATCTGGCTTTTCAAATTCTCAGTTTCACCATCACAGTTTTCCTCTGATAATTCTACTAGAGGCTAGCTACCGAACGCTCCATGCCGATTTTTTTCCCCAATGATGCACATACTGAGCAAGCTGTTCAAATGAGTGGGATCAAACTTTGGCCAATGGCCCCCACCAAATCAAACACAGACATACACATGAACACGTAGACCTTTTGGATGCTATTCTTAAAGTTCCCAAATATTACTCGTGAATATTTAAGTGTTTAAAACTACGATGTATTAAAAACCATTCAATTCATTATATCAATAATAGAATTATATTTCCTGTAACTATAAATGATTTGTGAATTAAACATTTCCTGTAATTCCAAACAGCAATTTTAAAATATGGTATAAAAACTTTAACAGGATATAAAACTGAGTATATAACTTAAAACCACAACTAGAGAGTCCTTTTGTATCTCTCCAAAACCTTTGAGGAACACCACCA
Organism: Homo sapiens; assembly: GCF_000001405.40. Lineage (NCBI taxonomy): Eukaryota > Metazoa > Chordata > Mammalia > Primates > Hominidae > Homo > Homo sapiens. The sequence goes on along the minus strand of NC_000023.11, from coordinate 29,801,785 downwards.
CCATGCCACTTGTAAAACAGTCACCTACTGAACTTACTTTGATCGATCTTAGTTAAGGACTGACCAACATCACCTTCTCAATAGTTAAAACATTTCACAAACTAAATGCTAGCACTTAGTAACATTTTGCAAAGCTGATAAAACTTAGAAGGATTATTCGAAAGAACCTCACATCAACACACTATCATTTCTAAATGTCAGGGACTTCAAGCTCAGCTCATAAAAATGAAGATCACACTTAGAGACAATGCCCTTCTGAGATAAATCTCTCTCTTTTTAAGTCCTGTGGGTTGTGGGGGATGTAGTCTCAATCCTGATAAAATGACCTCCAAAAGCAGCAACGATTTTAAGGTTATGTGTACTTCCCTTTAAGCAGATGGCACAGAAGGGCTCAACAGGTGTCCAGGCATTGCTTGCAACTTGTGCTGGTTCTGCCCTAAAAATCATGCCCTCCAAACATCTGCCTCAAAAACCCATGTGATGTATTAAGGGAAGATTTTCAGAACAAAATTGTGTTAATAGTCCCTATCCTAACTTATTTTTCAATAATCTCTGTACATTTTAGATACATACAGTCCAACAGGAAAGGAGATCCAGTATTTGGGGCAATCATGAAGAGATATTTTGGAAATACATGCCTTGCTTGAATCTAGAAACGAAGCTGTTTTTGTGTCTTTAAATTATAAACTAACATTAAAAGATGAGTTTTTTTTTTTTTTTTTTTTTTTTTTTTTTTTTTTGAGACGGAGAGTTTTTTTTTTTTTTTTTTTTTTTTTTTTTTTTTTGAGACGGAGTTTCGCTCTTGTTGCCCAGGCTGGAGTGCAACGGTGCCATCTTGGCTCACCACAACCTCCGCCTCCCAGGTTCAAGCAATTCTCCTGCCTCAGCCTCCCGAGTAGCTGGGATTACAGGCATGCACCACCACGCCTGGCTAATTTTTTTTTTTTTTTTTTTTGTATTTTTAGTAGAGACGGGGTTTCTCCATGTTGGTCAGGCTGGTCTCGAACTCCTGACGTCAGGTGATCCGCCCACCTCGGTCTCCCAAAGTGCTGGGATTACAGGCGTGAGCCACTGCGCCTGGCCAAAGATGAGTTTTTTCTGACTAATGTAATCTTTATTGAATTAAATTTCAAATTAAAAGTCAGAATACCTTATGAAATTTATGCATAAATATTTTGAAACAAAACTATATTGCTAATTTGGCAGGAGAGATTTTATCATTGCTTTTCTGCATATATATAAATGTGTGTGTTTGTGTGTGTGTCTGCATGTGTGTGTGTGTGTGTGTGTATTTGGGATATGAGTCTCCTATAATACAGAAAGAAACAGAGATTTTAAAATGGGTAACTTTTGTTGAAGGAAGTCATATGGTAACTTAAGTTAGATAATTGAATCATGAGAAGCTTGTCAGTCTATGTTCAGGTTGGCTGGTCCTGGACCAGGGATAAGGAAGGAATTATGGGGAAAGGGGTTCTGTGTTGGTGTTGGTAGCATCTAGTTCAGGGAGTGGTTGAGGGTTCAGTGGTCATGTGATTTTACCACAAGGCACCTGAAACAGAGGGAGATCCTGGCCTACAGTTGTTCATCAGGACCCTACAATCTAGTACTAGACTGGGCCAGGAGTTACAAACTACTGTTCAAGTTCAAAGGTTGAAATCTGTGTAGTATCTCCTTGCCTCATATTACTTTGGTGCTTTTAGTAAAGATTCATTGGGTGTCCACTCTATGCACATAATTATTTCTTTGTGCTGTGGGGATAGTAGATAGAACAGAGGATACGGCCTACAAAACATTTATGACCTTGCTATGAAACTGAGATGTACAACATTTCCAGGCAACCAACTCCGATAGGAAATGAACAGGTTGTACACTTAGGCCTCCTCTTCTAGAGGGTCAGTTATTTTAAGAAAGACTCCATGTGTGGCATAATATTTCCTTATGAAACAGAATTCTTAAATTTATCCTGTAATGCCCCAGGGAACAATGCTTTTTAAAAATGTATTTCCTCACTAACTAGCCTATACAGCACTGCCTGCCCAACAAAACTTTCTGTGATGATAGTCATGTTCTGTATCTTCACTGTCCACTATGGTAGCCACTAGCCACGTGCACCTATTGAGTCTAGGAAATGTGCCTAGTGTGACTGAGGAAGTAAAATTGTAATATTCTTGACTTTTTATTATTTTAAATTTAAACTTAACTATCCACATTTTCTAAATGTATTATGCTCTTAGTCTAATTTCAAAATTAGAATGTTGAACTACTTGTAAAACAATGCTTTGCATATAGCACATTTCCAATATTCTCTGCGATAAATGGCCTAATTGGTTTTGCTAATCGTAATATTGGCATTCTGATGAATTAAGGAGACCCAGGAAAAGTTCTTAACACAAGACAGTAATAATCAATTTTTATATGTAAAGGAAATGTTACTTAGAAGTAAATTATATAGAAGAAGCTATAAAAGAAAGAGCTATGGATCAAATATGATTTTAAGAAAGCTCTTATGGCTATTCAATTCAAGAAAAGTATAACGAAACAGCTGCTTTTACACTTTATAAAACATCCATAAACTGAGAAAAACAAGTAGCTGTTTCATTTGTATTGACTTTTAATTGTTCTATTAAATAATTCAATTTGAAATTAAGCAGCCAAAATAAAACATTATCTTATATCAGAATGGATAGTTTCAATATTACACAGAGTAAGCTTTTTATTGTGAAAATAAACATTCTCCTTCCTGACATTTCAAATTTATCTTACGTCTAACAACAACTAAAAAAGCAAATATATAAAGAAGAACCTGAATAACTTCTACTTAACTATTTCTGAAAATGGAATCAATATTAAAGTAGAAATGAAAGTCTGGAGGCTTATAACAATTTTATCAAACAAGCTGTTCTGTGGCCTTATAAAGCAAAATCTCTTTTTAATCATTCTTTGTTTAATTAAGAAGTACATAACTGCATTCTAAGGAAGTCTGCCTCTCCTAGTCAACTTAGCTTCTTCAAGGAAGATGCGATCCAGCATCCTAGTAATTCTCCATTTGATCAATCAGGTTGTGAAACTTCCTTTTGTGCAGAGCATTATATTGTCATTCTTAGCGCAGTTAAATTAGGCTTTATGGTTTAAAATTGCCCTATTAACTTGGTGCTTCCTGCATTTTCATTAACTCAAAACATATTTGATGTCATGATAAGCTCTCCTGAAATGAAACTTCCCTTCTGGAATAAGTCATTCTATTATAGCAGATGCTTACTATGGAACTTGGTTTTGAACATTACACTGCTTTAATGTACTTCTCTATGAGTTGATGCTTTGGATGAGGCTATACAACACTAGCATTTAGAACCATATGCTGTGTTTTAGGCCAAGTCATTTCCCTTCTCTCCTACTATAAAACCGAGAGGCAAGCCATGTTTGAATTCCAAATTATATTTCTTTTCAGGATGAAAATCTACAAAGTACCTGGATAAACCTGAAGTTACCCTGCTCCCACACTGGGGCAATGACTCTAAACTTTGGAGCTCCATCAGCATCACTTAGTAGAAATTAAATAATACAGAGATCTCACTCACGGCAGACCGACTAAGAACTTGTAGCAGAGGGGCTCAGGCCTGATAAATTTTAAAAGCTTGGCAGGTAATCATAAGGTGCAATCAAGGTTGGCACTGTTGTCTTAGCATGGTAGTTCTCATATTTTAGCAAGAGCTTGTTCAAACAGGTTTAAAGTTTCTGATACTCCAAGTCAGGGCTGAGCCCCCCGATAATCTGTGTCTCTAACAAAGTTCTTTAGTTGTGTTGATGCTCCTGGCCCAGGGACCACACTTTGAGAACCACTGGCTTGGGGCGCTGAGATTTAATAAATCCCTTTCAGTCCTCTTTGGTTTTTGTTTTGTTTTGTTTTGTTTTTGAGATGGAGTCTCGCTGTGTTGCCCAGGCTGGAGTGCAGTGGCACGATTTCAGCTCCCCACAACCTCCGCTTCCCAGGTTCAAGTGATTCTCCTGCCTCAGCCTCCCAAGAAGCTGGGATTACAGGTGTGTGCCACCGCGACTGGCTAATTTTTGGGTTTTTGGTAGAGACAGGGTTTCACCATGTTGGCCAGGCTAGTCTCGAACTCCTGACCTCAAGTGATCTGCCCACCTTGGCCTCCCAAAGTGCTGGGATTACAGGTGTGAGCCACCGCACCCAGCCCCTTTTAATCCTCTTTGGAGATGATGCAAATTATCACAGGGCATCCTTGTCATTGAATGTGATGCCACCCATCTTCCTCCAGCATTGATTTAACAAACAGAAGGATGAGGGGGCCTGAGGAAATGAGAGATGCTGGGATTCATCCTAGTGGCCCCTTGGTGACTCTTTACATTCAGAGTTGAATTTAAATAACGTGGTTCAATTTCTGAGGCTCTCAGAACAGTTCTGCCAAGTCAGCAAGATACCAAGGACCTCAACCACTTTGGAAAAAGGTCACTTGGATTCTCCTTTTCTTGAAAGAATAACCTTACCAGGTAGGAATCTTAATTTCCTTATGAAACACATTGGGCTCCTGCCATGTGCCAAGGCAAGTAGAGTACAACGGAAGAGAAGCAAAATCTTTGACTTTAGGGAATTTACATTATAATTAGAGTAGAAGGACAGTAACCAAACAACTAAATAAACAAGAAACTTTTACTTAGTAAAAAATCCCCTGGAAAATAGAAGGTTGGTAAGGATGCAGAGAGTGCCTGCCTGGGGGCATTGCTGAGCTACTTAAGAAAAGGTGGTAAGGATGTTCTCACAGTAGTGTAAAAGTTGAGCTGAGACCTGGATATCAAGGAACCACACAGGTGACTCTCAGAGGCCAGAGTTTTCCAGGCAGAGGCAACAGTGAGTGCAAAGCTCCTAAGCCTGGGCTATGTCAATTTTCCATTTGAAACAAGAGGAAAGACTGTGTGGCCAGAGTGAACAGGAAATTGATGGGATGTGAGAAACTGAGATTGGAGATGCAGGATTTGCAGGGCATTAGTAGGGATTTTGATCCTTCCATGTTTAGACAGAAGCTAAAAGAGAGTTTTAAATAAGGAAGTGATATGATCCTTTCATTTTCTTTTAATTATCATTCATTTGCTGTGTTGACCAAAGAAACAGAGCTAGAGTAGAAAGAAAGGAGGCCTAAAATATAACAAATACAACATTCTAGGTGAGAGGTGATGGAGGCTTGCACTGGAAGAATAGCTGCAGAGGTAGAACTCACAAGAAATGATGATAGATTGGCTGTTGGGTATAAGGGCTGGAGAGAAATAGAGAATGACTCTTAGGTATCTGGCTTGAGTCACAGTGGGTGTGTTGCAAACATTAATTGAGATGGGGAAGAATGGGCTGGGCAAGAAACCATTATTTTTGCTTTGAATGTTGTGGTTGAATTGTCTGCTGGATTTTCAGGAGTAGATTTCTAGTAGGTATTTGGATATATAAGTCATTGTTCAGCAGAGTATGCATATGAAATAAAAATTTGTTTGTCATAGGCATGTAGGTAGCATGAGGCTCAGTGGTTCCACCTAAGGAGCATTTAATCTTAGGTAGATTTATTCTGAACCTTTCACCTTAAAAGAGATATTATGGAAAGTTCTGTTGATATCTAAAGCCTTCATACATAGCTGATTATAGGAAAACAGTTTATTCGGGAATATGAGTAGAGGTGGTTTCCCAGAGGGAAAATAAATAAATATGCCAGTTCAAAGCAAACCATTTGAGTTATTTACAAAGGGTAAACTGAGAGGTAGAAAGCACACCATTATCAGTGGTCATAATGTATCTCTCTAGCTGGATTGAAAAGGTTCCAAGAAACTTTACTTATTACTCTACTTCTAGACTTAACTTTTAGGCAAGCATCAGAACTATTCTTGATGTCTTTAAACTTTTCTCTTTTAGGGACTTCCCCTTTGGGCAGAGGCAGACACTTAATTTGTCCCTGTTTTCCTTTCAAAGCTTTCTAAGAACCCAGTTTGAGTTCAGACTTGGTCTTCTTCAACAACCAACACATTTCTTAAATATGAAAAAGTTATATGCAGTCAACAGAGTTAAAAGTTGAAAGAAGCCAGCCCCAGCGGCTCATGCCTAAAATCCCAGCACTCTGGGAGGCTGAGGCAGGTGGATCGCTTGAGTCCAGGAGTTCGAGACCAGCCTGGGCAACACAGCACAAACCCGTCTTTACTAAAAATACAAAAATTAGCTGGGTGTGGAGGCACGTGCCTGTAGTCTCAGTTACTCAGGAGGCTGAGGTGGGAGGATCACTTGAGCCCAGGAGGTTGAGTCTACAGTGAGCCGAGATTGTGCCACTACACTCCAGCCTGGGTGACAGAGTGAGACCCTGTCTCAAAAACAAAAAATGTTGGAAGCGATTACTCCAGATACCTGCAGAATTTGCATTATTTGAGTATCTGAGAGTTTATATGGTTGAAATTTAAGATTATTTAAATGACACAAACCAGGCCATTGGTTCAAATGATCTCATTTTCTGTGATTTCTACTCCTACAATGATATGTGTATAGAGATAGGTAAATAGGTGATAAATATGTAATAGATAGATATAGATGATTTAGATATAGATATATAACATGTATAGGATATCTATGAAGTATTACTTATTTCAATTAATATCTCCGTAATGTGGATGTAACATTATAGTTCAAACCTATCCGGAAAGCTATTGTGCAACAGATGTGCTAATTTACTTTAAAATACTTCACTGTAAGTTACGTATCTGTATATTAACTTTGATTCCTACTCCTAAGGTGGTTAGAATTTTATGTTCCCTAATCCAGAATCTGTACTCTAAAAATGCCACCCAAGAATTTCAAGTATCATTATCAAAATCTACAGAGAGGTTTCATTAATTCACAAAAGGCATGCTTGAAATCATTACTTGTTGATGAAATGAGTGGTGTTCAAAATGTTCAGTTGCTATATAGATTTTATGAGCCTTATCATGAATGAGGCATAAGACTCATCAAGGCTAGAAGTCTAATACCATCAGGTAAGTACACTAGGTCTAGGTCTAAACTCCCTTTGGTCTACCCTCTATTCGATTTAATGGAAGATTCTGTCCCTGATGTAACTCAGAAGGCTGGCTGATCTTCCTCATAATGAACCTCTCTTGGAAGGGTATTTGTGGAAGTTCCTACAGATTGAGACTGAGAACTTGAAGGCTTAAGTTCAATAACTGCTTTTGTGCCCTATTTGCGACTAAATGTTGGTACATTTGACAGAATTTGGTCTATTTAATCTCAGGCTTGCTTTAATTTTAGCATACCACCTGGTAGCAAGATTATGGAGAAAAGGTTGCCATGAATCATCCACCTGTCTCTAATTGTAGAATTCTACCAAACTTTGCTCTAATAACGTGATAATTGCTGAATATCCAAATTGGCCTAGGTTAATTTTTACAGCAGATGCTTAAAACATTTAAAACATCTATTTGGAGAAGTAATAGACTAAGTTAAGTATACTTCTAAAGTATCTTTTTTTTTAACGAAGTTGTGATAATTTATACTCAATATTTGAAAAATAATGCCGTTTTCCTTCATTTTCAAGTACAGTTTTGAATTTCATTCATAGATTGGGTTAGTTTACTCCAACTCCATAAAAGTAAAAAATGAATGCAAAAAAGCATGACCTGAACATATCATAATTCATAATTCACAGATGTATTACACTAAAAATAAAGTTGTCCCTGTGTTAAACTTACAATTATACTTGTAAAAGCAGAATGTTAATCCCCATTACTTCTTTTCTTCAATCATCAAAATACACACACACAGACAAACATCAGCCATATCCTCCCCTACTGTTAGCTAATCCACAGATTGGTGACGGTAATTTTAACAGGATACAGCAGGTCCTCCTGGAGCAATAGCTGCACATTATATGCATTTTAATGAGAAAAAGATTTAGTGCTACGGAAAATATATAACTGTTTCAGTGCACAAAGTCCAACCCTATGCTTCCTTCCCCCATGCTTTGTAATAAAGCATTTGGTTGAAATGTTGAGAGTATGTTTTAATTCCAATATTGCATTTATTCACTCATTGACTAAATATTTATTGAGTGCCTCCTGAGAGTTAGAATCAATGGATCATTTTTGTGATAATGATTATTGCAATAAATATGATAAGTAATAAATGTAGTAAGTGTAATAATGTGATAAGTATAATCATGACCTGCTTGAAAATAAAACATTATCACCAAAGCAGTTGTCTTTTACTGGTTTAGTGAAACAGCAATTGTTGACACTCTGTTAATAGATTAATTAGGTGAGTAAGTGAAAAGAAAAAGTAAATTACTTAAAAAACAGAATAGCCAAGAATGATTAATCTGAAAAGAGATTGAATTGAAGAAAAAGAATAGGTGGTCTCTTGATAACCTTCCCAACCTGCTATGGCTTTGTACATTCTTGCTTAACCTAATATTAATAAATACAATGAAATATAACAAAGAAAATCAGAAAATAGACACTATATAATAGAGAAGTACCTTCTGTTTCACTCTTGTCAGAGTTAGTGCCTTTGAATAAATAATGGTGCTGTAATTTCTCAGTGAAGGAGGTGATGTATATGTTGTTTGTGCATGCACATGCATTCAAGTTTGGGAATAGATGTGGAATGAAACACTGTGAGTATATGTGAAATTATAAATATATAAAATATGTGGTGAACTCGAGGTCTGTTGCTGTTTGGTCCCATGTTATTGTATTTGTAGAAATCATACTGGCTTTTTAAAATTATGTTTTAATTGTTTATAACATGATGTTTTGAAGTATATATACATTGTGCAAGGGTCAATCTAACTAGTTAACAAATGCCTTACCTCACATAGTTCTCATTTTTGTGGTGTGAACATTTAATTACATCTGCTTTCTAATATTTTCTAGCATCTGTGAGTAGTAGAAAGGGTTGATTGTGAATAAAATTATGGAGTATAGAATCACTGATCTAGAATTGTTTAGAGATCACCCAGCTAAATCTCTTAATTTTTTTTTGCATAATGATTAAATGGGATGTTTAAATTTACAGTAGGAGCCGAGCCAGAAAAGAACCAGAATGCTATAGGTTAGACTAACACCGGCCTTACAAGCAGATCAGGATTTCCGAATGGTCCCCACCCTCCAGGTGGCTCTTCTGCCTGTATTTTAGATTCCTGGTATTCTGACGTTTGCTCTTTTTTCCTTCCCAAAATACCTTTTAAGATCCTCAGACCTTACATCTAAGTGGCTGGACAAGTTTAAAGCATTAATCATTCCGAGAGTATTTCTATCTTAACATGAGTCAAAACTTAAATAAAATTCTAATGAGGACAGCAGTCAGAAGAAGCCAACCCTGCCAACACTGTGATCTTGAACTTCCAACCACCATAATTGTGAGAAAATAAATTTCTGTTGTTTAATTTAAAAAAAAGAAATTAAAACTCTAAATGTGGGATTTCAAGACTCAGTGAGGACCAGTAGTTGGAGGTAGATGCTTCCCAAAACCCTTGAAATCATAGCACATGGCCAGTCAGTTCCTTTGCTATTTGCAAGGCAGTTCAAGCATGATTTATGTATCTCTCCTGAACTGTTGAATATTTTACCAAAATTAAGTTTACTGGGAGGAAATGTGACTTGAATGAGCAGAAAAGCCTGAGACCATTGGGTTGGTTTTAAGGAAGAGGAGTACAAGAAGAGTGAGGTGATTTTCAGGAAACTTAAATAGCTTCACAAGATGAAAATGTTTGAGACATGGCTGGGCACGGTGGCTCACACCTGTAATCTCAGCACTTTGGGAGGCCGAGGAGGGCAAATCACTTGAGCCAGGAGTTCAAGACAAGCCTGGCCAACATGGTGAAACCCCATCTCTACAAAAAAATACAAAAATTAGCTGAGCGTATTGGTGCGTGCCTGTAGTCCCACCTACTTGGGAGGCTGAGGCAGAAGAACTGCTTGAACCTGGGAGGCAGAGGTTGCAGTGAGCTCAGATCACAACACTGCACTCCAGCCTGGGAGACAGAGCGAGACTCACCTCAAAAGAAAAAAAAAAAAAAAAAAGAAGGCTGGGCATGGTGGCTCACTCCTGTAATCCCAGCACTTTGGGAGGCCAAGGCGGGTGGATCACCTGAAGTCAGGAGGTCGAGACCAGCCTGACCAACATGGTGAAACCCCATATCTACTAAAAATACAAAAAATTAGCCAGGCATGGTGGTTCATGCCTGTAATCCCAGCTCCTCGGGAGGCTGAGGCAGGAGAATCACTTGAACTCTGAGCTAGAGGTTGCAGTGAGCCGAGATCACGCCATTGCACTCCAGCCTGGGCAACAAGAGCAAAACTCTATCTGAAAAAAAAAAAAAGATAAAAAGAAAAAAAAGAAAATGTTTGAGACTGAATGCTTCAATAAATTAATTTTTTGATACCTGCCATGAATCTTGACATATTAATATACTATCATTCAGTAAATCTGTAAACAGCATGAATTATACACCAGGATCCAACTTAGGATGTTGGATATTGCACTGAGTCAGATAGGAGCTCTTTTGAAACTTGTAATGGGGTTGGGGGAGGTGGAGAAGCAAACAAATAAATAAACAAGTAATTCAGATGGCGCTCCCTGGTATAAAATAAATAGAATAGAGAGATTTAAGAGAGATTGACTTGGGGCTACATCGGGCAAGATGGTTTCTTTAGGGAGGTGGCATCCGAGACCTTAGAGATGAGAAGGCAGAAACCATGATGCAGAGAAAGAGCTTTGGAGTAGAGAGAGATGACCAAGAGTCAAGGTTCCAAGATGAAAATGAGCTTGGTACGCGACCCGAAAGGGAAGTGGCAGGACATGAGATCAGAGAAAGAAGCAAGGTCCAGTTATATATACTGGCCTTAGGCGGCCATGATAAGGAGTTTGGACTTGATTCCAGGAAGTCATTGAGCAGTTTTAAGCAGAAGAATGATTCACACCATTTACTGTAAAGTAGTGGCTTTCGCTGCTGTGTGGAGAATGAATGAGAGACCAGTGGGGAAGCTTGCAATAAAGAGGCTGACAGAAGACTTATGGACAGAGACAGGGTCAATTTTGAGATAAAACTAATAGGAATTGATGGATTAGATATCAGAGGCAGTAGGAGAGGAAAAACCAAGGATAGCACCAAGGTTGTTGGCTTTAAAAATGTTCAATATCTAAAATCCGGTTTAATTTTATTAGATACATATAATGGACATATGTAACTTAAAAAGCTAAGTAATATAGTTTTATAAAGCCAGAAGTGTAACCATTGCTAAAAAGGCATATCATTATACAAGATGTTTAGGCATTTTGTTTTACCAGAGAGTTTTAAATTTAGTTACAGGCAAGATGTGTGATTAAACTATAAAGATTCAAGATGATTTTAAAAGGATAATGGCATTAAGCACATATTTTATAGTTCGCAATAAGAATCATGAATATTTGAGACTTAGGCTTTAAATAAGGGGAATTAAACAGAAATTAAAAGGACATAAACCTACACAAAAAACAGGGAAAGGGATGAAATATTTTCTAAGCAGCACTAAGTATATTGCTGTAATTCATGGTAAATCCTAGTGGTGATGTTTCCAAAGAAATTATATAAATTTACCAAAACATTAAAAAGCAACTTTATTTTCGTAAAGAAACAGAAAGGCACCGAGTAAATGGTCATGATAAAACGTTGACACTAATTTGCTTTAGCCTCATGAGTTATAAACCTGATAGAAAAATACCAGACAGAGAAAAATTCATCAGGAGGATTACACTTATGAATTTTAATTCAATGACTAAAGATATCATCATTCTGTCCAAAGTGACTAACGATCTTTCTTTTTATGATCAGAAAAGCTTGCATAATATTATTTTGGTCTTAAATATTGATTTTGATCTGAGAAGCTCAAATGCTTAATGGTATGTTTTCTGTTAGATTCTTATTATGAGCTAGATAGTCAACCCCCAATCTCTAAGAACACTTTGAGATAAAAAAAAAAAAAAAAAAGAAACTCATGAAGAAAGATGGAAAGTAAATGAAAGGAGATTTTTTTTTCACCAGTTTGTTGAAAGCCTAGACAAATTACAAGAATCACTTATCTGATATCAGATGCAAACTCTATTGCTCTGGAGAAAATAGGTTGTTTCAATGTGTTGAAAAGAAACTTGTTTTACTTCAAACTCTTGCCAGAAAAAAAACAAACAAATTGAATTTTTCCAAAGTTACTGATCACCCAGAACAGAATTATCCGATTTTTTTCTATTTTCCAGTGTACTTTGGAATAAAAGTGAGAGTCTAAACATAGAAAAAGCTGGTCAAAAGGAAGTCACATGTAATAGACACTAGCATAATATAGATTTTTTGGCTGAATGAGTTCAGGGTTCAAAACTGGGAATTTTGCCCATAGCTTAAGGGGACAACTGCACTAGGTTCACATTTCTAACAACTGTCATATTGGAGAACTTTGCTTAGTGACTTGGCATCATGAAACTTTCCTTCAGCAATTCCTCATGAGATTTAATAGAAAAGAAACTTTAAGGTGAATTAAATCTCATGTGAATGTATTTTTTCAAAGCTAACACACGCACTCAAAAGATAATTTCTTTTTGCATTCAAGACTAAAAGGAGGCATCTCTGTGGATTAAAACCCATGTGAATAGAATTTCTTAAAAAACGAACAATGCGCATTTATTTCCTTTGTGTTCCAGATTCAGTGCCTTAAGCATATGCAAATGTAGTAAGACAAATGATGCACCAATATATAGCTAGGATAAACATATCCTGAACTAGTTTATTATAAAATTATCTAAATTATTCTGTTTTGCTTTCTTTGTCATAAATACAGTTAATTATGACAAGTTTATCAATGAAATTTTAGGATCAGCCTATTACTCTAAATTTATTTAGTGATCCAAACTTTAACATACCAACCATGAAAGTACCAGTGATTTCTGATAAAGATTTTGGTTTGACCATTTAAGTATTGACGTATGGATAGGTAGAGGTTGATTAACAAATACAAATTTATAGCTATATAGTAAGAAAAAGTTCTACTGTTCTATAGCACTGTAGAATGAATATGATTACAAATAATTGAATGTATATTTTCAAAAAGCTAGAAGAGAATATTTTGAATGTTCATAACACAAAGAAGTGATAAATACTCAAGGTGATGGATGACACTGACTTGGTCATTACACATTTTATATGTGTATCAAAATATCACTCTGTACCCCATACATATGTACAATTATCACAAAATGAAAGGGAAAAAAGAATTGATGTATATGAAAACGGCAACAGCTTCCATTATGAATTCAAGGAGATCAGATTAGAGTGCAGATAATGTTGCTTCATGACCTTGATGAATATTGCTTCATTTTGTGCATGTTGTATTTTTTTCTTAGCATATATCACCTTCTAACATACTATGATTTATTTTTATTATATGTATTATTTGTTGTCTGTGTTTCCTTACTAGAATATTATATCTACAAGCACGAGAATCTAGGTCTCTTTTGTTCACTGACGTAGCACACGTCCCTAAAAGAGTGCCTGGTACATAGTAGTCACTCAATAAATCTTTGTGGAATCAATGAATGTTCTTTGTTTCTGAATAAATGCAGATTCTATTGCTTCACTGAATAATTTATACATTCACATACATACACACACACACACACAATTTAAATCATGGTTTCTTCCAATGCACTTACTGTCTGTCAGTAATCAATCAGTGCATAGCAACAGACAATAAAGTATCATTGAGCAACAAATACTGGGCAAGCATTAAATATCTGTTTTAAATGGGGGTATCACCAAAAATTAAAATCAGTGCTTTGACAATAGTGACTTCTGGCAAAACAAACTTTCTAAACAGTTTGTATTAGCCAATATGACCCTTGAATAGCTTGTATTATGAAACATAAGGATACTGTTTATGTTAGGCAATTCTAGCAAAATGTAGTAACAGAATGACATGTGGTAACTAAAAACATTAAGTTATACTGACAAACCTAGTAAAGACTTTAAGCATATGGAATAAAACCCGACTCTCTTATCTCAGCTCAAAATGTCAAAAACACCTAGGCAAGGTCTTAATGGTAAAGAAACGGATGCATTCTCCACTTCCATCTGTCTAGTACTCTCAAGATCTTCTATAACACTAAAGTTGTCTTCAGGTTTTGTGCATCTCATAATTTCTCTTTCCTTTTTTCCTGGTGGGTTATTTCTTAACTAAATAATGACTACTTACAAGGACACTTTTCAGGGGACTGGCTTCCTCTACTAGGTATTCAAAAAATAACACATTACTAATATAGAACTAGCAAAGCCTTCCAAATTAGTCTTCTTGGCAACAAAAGTTTCTATGTTGTTGCAAAATTTGTATGTTGTTGGCTGTAATTTAGATTGTTAGGAAAAGTTTACTGAACTTTTAAATTATACAGAATTCAGAATATGGGCATTGTGCCAGGTCTCTTGCTTTGCCCTTATAGTTTTACTCTCATTTGCTCTAAGTACTCCAGCCCCCTCATCCTCCATTTCCCACCACCCCTCATTCACCCTGTCTCTCCAGGTTCTGGTTGGGTTTGGTCAATGAGAATGTTCCCCAGCTATAAGAACAAAGGCTCCTCTCCCAGGTTTCTGTGGGCTTGCTGCGTTCCTCTACTGAAGACCTCATCTCCTAGGAGAAGGCTTCTCCGTACAAGTACCCTAATGGTTCATTTTCCTTGCTACTTATTTTCTAAGGATAGTAATGACCCCTCATTGGTACTTGCCTGGGAGTACATCACTATCACTGCTGTTCTCCTTATACACTTTCTGCACCTTTGTAAACAGTCTCTCTTCACCCGATCCCTGCCTTATACACCCAGACCTTGCCATCTTTGTAAATGGCAAGAATCTCAGGCAAGACCCATGGATCTCCTCGATTTGTCTGTTTCACTCATTCCTCCACATCTTATTTGTTAGTAAGTCCTTCCACGTCTACCTCCAAAATGTATTTTGAAACTGTCCACTTCCCTTTATCCCTACTGCCACCTCGATGAGTCAAGATACCCTGATTTGCTATCCAGCACATTGCAATAACTCCCTAACTTGCCTCCCTGCTTTCTTTTTATTAGACTTTACGAGCTTATTTGCTACTTCTTCTTCCTCTCTCCCTCCCTCAATCCACACATTAAACAAAAGAGATCTTTTTAAGGCACAGATAAATAATGCAACTCTCGAACTTGAAACTCCACAATAGCTTTCCATTTTATTTTGGTTAAAATGCAAACACCATATGGTAGCCTTCAAGCTCCAACAGAAACAGGCCTCTGTAGGCTTTCCACACTTATCATACAAATCTGAAGCAGAGTGAGCTCTCTGTCACCCTCTGTCACCCTCTGTCTTTTGCATTCACTCTTTCTTCTACCTGGTACACCCTTCCCCAGGGTTTCTCTAAAAATGGATCTGTGCCATCCTTCCTGTCTGGGTGCTCTTATTTCCTTTATATTACTGATCTGTGTTCATCATGTTTACTTGACATTGTGTACTGTATGTCTCAGCAACTAAGTAAGTGTACGTTCGATGAGGCCAGGTACTTCATCTGTACCCTCAATGCCTGGAACAGTCTGGCTCATCATTTGTACTCTAACAACTATTCGGTTGTTGACGGTATGAATGAATGCTTTTCCATTCATTCCTGTTTCTATTTTCACAAGAGACTTCTAGTCCTAACTTTCCAATGTTCCCACACTGTGGCCTCCCCCCACCCCCCCGCCCGCCTTTTTAAAAAAAATCTCTGAAGCCTGAATGCTTAGATTGTCTCATAATTCAAAATTAAACTTCTCCATGTTCAGGTTTGGGGCTCTATAACATTTCTTCTAAGCTACAAGGTATAAAATATTCCCCTTATCTCAGAAGATTCCCCCATGAGCAGACGATGACTGGTCTGTTTTCTGTCACCAGAGCTTGGTCTTCATATTAATGTGTATGTACTTCTATGTCTGGCCTTTTTGTTCAAGAGAATGGTTTGAAATTCATCCATAGTCTTATGTATATCTGTAGTTTGTTGCTTTTTATTGCTAAATTGTGTTCCGTTGTATGGTTGGACCACTATCCATTCACCTATTGATGCACGTTTTATTCATTTCGAGTTGGGGAATATTATGAATATAGCTGCCATGAATATTCACTAACAAGTCTTTTGTGTTGACATACATTTTTATTTCTCTGGGATACACATCTGGGATTACAATGTTGGCTATGGGTTATGGGTAAATAGATGTATAAAGCATCTGTAAAGCATACATCTATTTGTCCATGACCTATATTTTTAAAAACTATCAAACTTTATTAAAAAACTATCAAGCATTTTCTAATGTGATTATGCTATTTTTCATTTCCAACAGCAATGCTTATGTGTTCTACTTGCTCCATATCCTTACAACACTTGGTATGACCAGTCTTTCAGATTTTAGCCTTTCTAACATGTGTATAATAGTTTTTCATTGTGGTTTTAATTTACATTTCCCTGATGAAGAATGGTGCTGAGCATCTTTTCATGTGTTTATTATCTATTCTTATATCCTCATTTGGAAAGTATCTCCATTCATAATGAAAATAATTTCGTTGGAAGTTTGCTATAATTATTTGCAAAATGGTTAAACTCTCAAGTAGCAGCATATTTATTAACAAATTTCAGCTTCCATAAACTGATTTCTTGATTGCGTTGAAATCTAGTAGCATTTATAGTATTATGCATTTTAATGCAGGAACTTATTATCCTGTGTATAGACATGTTTTTCTATTTTGTCAAAAGAGGTAATGACAGTCTGACTACTGCAACGTATCAATGTCTTAGTATTGAACTAATTTTATTCTTTTAACTTAAAATTATAATCAAGATTAGAACATCTTATTCTTCCTAAGATGCATGTAATCTGAAATTGGCACAGCAAGAGTTTGCCACAAATGCAAGAGGAGATAGAGATGGTTCATTTGCTTTTAAAATGGATACGATGAATAGAGCACATGTAGGGAAGAATTAACTAACTGGAACAAAATGTTTTTCCAACCATTCCTCTCAGCTGGAAACCTCACTATCATGTTTTTTTTTTTTAAGATAATAAGAAAATCCATAAACTGAAAAGGCCTCTATTTTTATTTAAATCTTATTTTAATTCTGAATTTGACAAAATAGAGCAGCCATTCATGATACTATGTATCCACATATAGTCTTCAAAAGTACAATCTTATTTTTTGCTACTCCTACAATAAATAGGCCCCCAAATTAGCATGCTTATAACATACAAAATGCTATTACATTTCAAATATAAGACATATACCTGTGTATGAATAGCCAAGGCAATTTCAGAATGCATCATACTATGGTCAGTATCTTGCATTAGAAACTCACCTAATGGGAGGTATAGTGGGGTACCAAAGAACTGAATAATCCCAAGGTATGGTTGTATTTTAGTGATGGGATATCTAGTAGAGTTAAACACATAGGGTACTTAGTCACATAAAAGTGGAATTCCAAAGAAACTGGAATCATAAACCAGGAAGGCAAATAGTAACTATGTGATAAAATGAATAAAATCTCTATAAATAAAATTAAGTTTCTATGTTACATGAAAATGGTGACACAGATTTTAACCTAATTTGGAAAGCATGTTTGGGGTGGTCTGATGTAAATACAGCACATGTGAGGTATATAATTCGAGAGGGCCTCAGCCAACGTTTAAAAGAAATAGGCATTTATCCTCCAGAGCAGCTGTAGACTTCAACTGTATTCTGTAAATGGTTACTCTATGTAGTTGAAGTGTTCTCCAGGATAGCAATAGTTAGGACTTAAAAAAAAATTGGTTCATGATTCTTTAGAATAACAAAGAAAATCCAAGCAAAAATGAATCTGCATGTTTCTTGAATTAAATCGGAGTTTTGTTCTTACTTATTTTTGTTTAGTTTGGTTTCTATTTTAGCATTATTCCTAGTGTGCATATACAGCATGAGATTGCTCACATTTTCTAAATACTACTTCTCATAATATCAACAATAACAATAATAGCAGTGATCACAATTAATGCCAAATAACTTTTGGTTCAAATACTTAATTAACATTTGTGGGAGATAGTATTTTATGACAGAGAATTTATACATTACCCAGGGACTGTTATCCATGCTGCGGAAAATACTTCCCTTTCTAGACATTATGATTTTGATTTTGGCATGATTTCTTCACTTTTTCCCAGACTACCGACCTCCAACTCATCTCATCCTCTGAGTGCCCACATCCAATCCGGAAAGTTTCTTCATCAGTAATATCTTTCAGTTATTTATCTTCTGATTCCTTCCCATTGCCAATCACTTTCGTTCTTACTCACAGCCTCTCCCGCTGGCCAATTCCTAAAGCCTCCTAATAAACTCCCTGACTTCATTTGTTCCCTCCTCTAATCAGGACTCTGCTCTACAGCCAGAGTTGCCTTTTGGATCATTTCATAGCCTCCCGTAAAACCACTTTCTACTTCCTATTGTCTATAATAAAATGCCCAAGCTCTTTGAAAAGGAAAAGAAAGCTCTTTAAAATGTCACGATCGGCCGGGCGCGGTGGCTCACGCCTGTAATCCCAGCACTTTGGGAGGCCGAGGCGGGCGGATCACGAGGTCAGGAGATCGAGACCATCCCGGCTAAAACGGTGAAACCCCATCTCTACTAAAAATACAAAAAATTAGCCGGGCGTAGTGGCAGGCGCCTGTAGTCCCAGCTACTTGGGAGGCTGAGGCAGGAGAATGGCGTGAACCCGGGAGGCGGAGCTTGCAGTGAGCCGAGATCCCGCCACTGCACTCCAGCCTGGGCGACAGAGTGAGACTCCGTCTCAAAAAAAAAAAAAAAAAAAAAAAAAAAAAAAAAATGTCACGATCAACCCATTTTATCTTCCACATATATCTGCCTTCACTATCCCCCATTTCCAACAATATTCCTCAGTCAGAGATCTTTATAGATATAAAATCAACTTTCACATGTCAAGGTCTTTGCTTATGCCATTTCCTCTCATTATAATGCTTTTTCCTATATCCTTTGCTAGATAAATTACTACTTATTTTTCCAAGAATCAGCTAAATGACCACTTCTATGGGACCTTCCCAGACTATATGAGACAGAATTACTTCTGCCCAGTTTTTCCATATAGTATGTGTGTACCTGACTGTCTTATAGCCTTCATCCCCTTCCATTTTAATTAAGATTATATTTTTAATTTTTATCCACCAGACTCTGTAATGGATAGAGAACTAGGGAACACGTCATATTTATATCTTTAGTACAAAGTATAAAAGAGGAAGTGTATACTTCTGGTATAGATTAGATTCTTGATGGATGACTCTTCACTTAAACATGCAATATTTATACATTAAGGGCCACTAGGTTACGCAAAATGTATGTATATTTCTTCATTGCTTTCTACTCTCATAAGACATAGAACTTTACTTAGAAAAATATGTTCTGAATTATCCTTAAAATTGCTTCAACGCAGTCTTTACAATTGTACAATGGTAAATTGGTCCATTTTTTAAAAGTGTAACTTACACCATGATTTATGTTCCGCCTCTCTCTCTCTCCTCCCCTACCTATATAGGTAGGTAGGTAGGTAGGTACATAGATAGATAGATAGATAGATAGATAGATAGATAGATAGATAGACAGACAGACAGACAGACAGACAGATAGATATGGATCAACAACGAAACTGAAATGTTTCATTCAGCTCTTTCTAAAACAACCAATCAATCAGTGCATTGATCAAATTATAGGAATGCCATTTCTTCTACACTGAATGCCAATAGGTGCCAGATCTATTGTATTCAAGGAAGATAGAGGTTTACCAAGACCTGGGAGACTGGAAAGGAAAAATCCCTTCCAAAGGAGGTAGTGATACTTAGCTGGAACAGAACGTGGACCCAATACTGCTAGATCTTCAGTTTTTTAAAAGAAAAATGGATGCTTATGGGAGGTCTCCAAATGTTTGAATGTGGGTAGCCAATTGACACAGAACAAGAAACATTGTATATTCTCAACAAAATATATTTTCAAGTCACATACACCAGCAGCAGTCAGTTTTCAAGTGATTTTAAGGATGTTGAAGTTCGAAAGTAGTGACCTTTCAAGAGTTCTGAGTCACTCTGCAAGACAATCTGGGATTTGCTGGCATACTATATTATAACAACTATTTAATTTTAAAGTGCATTTGACGAAGAGTATAAAAATAATTTAGAAGTTCAGCATTCTACACACAAAAGTTACCACTGTTCAACTGTAGTCATATGATTTATTTAGGAATTATGGTTATTATTCAGGCACAAAGGCAGAAAAGGTTCCATACAAATCTGGCTTTTGGGCTGCCTATTCATTTCTTGACACATCTTGATATTCCCCTATTTGCACCTGGGGAGTCACTACTTTTCTGCCATTTCATCCTCTTTCCTTATTAACAAGATGCCCCTTCTCTGTGTCCTGATTTTGGCTTATACTTGGAACCAAAGAAAACAGATTAAACTAAATCACAACAAGTGAGAATTGCAGATAAAATGGCTTAATACATTATAGTTTCCATGCCTGTTGGAATGCGTATGCTGTTAAAAAGAGGATGATTAGCTCAAAGACAGAAATGTCTCATAGAAGTTATCGGTGTGATTGGCAGGTAAAGAACAGTGACAGAGGCCTGCTTGGCCTTCTTGAAAACTTACAGATAACCAGAATATTCTAGGTATCACCAAGCATTGTTATGAGTTTTGTGGGTTTTTTTAATTCATGGTAATCATTTCAATTTTCTGGGCATGCTGTGGATTATTTAATATACTCTTTGTTAAAATGCCAGCATCTGTTGTCAACTCTCAAAAGGAAATACTGTTTGTGATTTTATAGCAATTAATTATCATAGTCACTATGGAAACACATGGCATCACTGAAAATCAATGTCTCATGTAATATTAAAATAACACTCTTTAATATGATTATTATTTATAATGCTAGCCTTTTATAATCTGTGATATAAAATAATGTATGAGGAGGCATTCTGTAATCTGTGAGGCAATACTCAGGTGATATTAACAACAACAATAATATAACCGTTATAAGATCTTTAATGGTCTGAGCCTAATTAGCTCAGCTATTATGCTGCCTGATTTTCCCTTTATACTCCTCACATGATAGCAGCACTTTCTTACAACCTGTGTTGGAAGAAACGTCCATTTGTTGCTCTCATAACACTAATGTGGGTCAGGGAAATAGAAGGCTGAGGGTAGAATGGAGGTGAGAAGCTGATGATGAATTCTGCGCCTCATGAAAATACTGTTTTCATCCCATGAAAATCCAAAAAGTTCTATTAAGCTCCCATGGATATTTGTGGTCTCTGATTTGGTGACATAATCTAATTAAATCTTGAGACCAACAAAATGTTTCAAATATGATAAAACTGCCAATGTAATATAAAGTGTCTAATTTATGCAGATTAGATAATTTCAATTTTTAATTTTGTTTTACACCATAATGAGGAAAAATCATTCTTTTATCTTCTTTTAAGAATTTGTAACACTTGCACTTACATACACACATGCACAGTAAAAAGGAAGATGGTTTTGATAATAAAAAGGAAGATGGTTTCGATAATGTCAGTTGAGCTTACTTGACATTGGAGTTGAGGGGGATCCGTGTAGATTTTTTTTAAATTAAAAAATCAGTGTAGCTAAAAATACACCCTTCGTCAGCAAACGTAGTGATATTGATTTTGGGTACTTTTTTGTTGCTTTTTTCCCCTAAATTTTTTACTTAGTCGTCAAATCAAACTTTCTCCTAGGAACTAAACAAACTATTCCAACAAAGCTGTTCATCATCTAATATTCAGTAATGCCCGCTAAAAGGCATTCTAAATGTCTTTAGCATTATTTTCAATAGCTAATGAAGATAAATTATAATAAAATTAATATATGTTACCCACAAGAAATGCAACTCATGAGAAGCGAATGCATTACTTCCTTTCATTTTGACTGACTTTAGTGAAGCACTCAATATTAAGTGAAATTAAGTATATTTTATAGTACAACAACTTCCTAAGTGTTTTATTGAAGGAATTCTACTATAACTTCAATAGCCAAGAGGCAGCATGATCTGTTTTATTTTTTTATTATTTTTTCACTCCAACTTTTATTTTAGGTTCAGGGCGTACATGGGCAGGTTTGTTATATGGTTAAATTGCGTGTCACGGGAGTTGGGTGTACAGGTTATTTCATCACCTAGGTAATATGTATAGTAGCCTATAGGCAGTTTATTGATCCTCATTCTCCTCCCTCCCTCCCCTCTCAAATAGGTCCTGATGTTTATTGTTTCCTTCTTTATGTCCATGTGCATGATCTCTTTTAAAGAGCATGGGTCTGGGAATAAATAAACGTTGGTTCCAATTGGGTGCAGCATCAACATAGCTGTGGGTTCTTATGTAAGTCATTGAGTATCTTTGGGGTCCAGAATCCCAGTTTGTAAATTGAAGCAACAGATATCTCAGGTCCCTGCCATTCTACCACTACAAAGTTCTTACTCCAAGTATCTCTCCCATTTGGACATTTGTAGACATCTAAGTTTTTTCAGCAGGTTGATAAATGCCCATCGATTTTATCATGTATAGCTTCAAATCATGGCTGTTTTCAAACAAATAGTTTACAGTTGCTTAATATCGAGGTACTCAAAGTGTGGTCCATATATCAGCAGCATCAGCATCATCTGAGAGCTTATAAATGCAAATTCTCAGGATCCATTCTAGATCTACCAAATACAAATTTGCATTTTAAAAAGACCCCCAAGTGATTCATGTGAACCTTTAAGTTTGAGAAGCACTGGCTTAGTGCTACACTCTTTCCCCCAAATTATCTCTCCTGTACAATTTGAAGTTTTAATATTATCCTACAGTCTACATTTTATTATGAGAAATGTTATTTGGCTTAGTATTCTCACTTCTACATTTGTAAATATTTCTGGCTGAACCACATCTCAGTGTCTGAATTTTTGGCTTCTTTGCTGTTGGTAGTTAAGGCATGATAGCAAAGAGTCTAAAAAAGGTATGACAGTGAAGAACATGGGACATTCTCATTGGAGAGTTTTCTGGCATCAACTAATAAAATAGTAGCCCTGGGTGGCAGAGGATTGGAGCAAAGACATACCAGGATTAGGTGAAAGAAAAAGAGACAGGGTGTTCATTTATTCATTTAACAAAATATTTGTTGATCACTTATGTGCCAGGCAGGGACTGCGGTAGATTGGAGGATTCAGCTGTACCCAATACCTGCGCTCATGGAGCTAACATTGTAGAGGTGGAGACTCAAAATTAGTAATGTTGCCCTTATAAACCCCTCATCCAGGTAGAAATAGGTTTATAGTTTCAACTATAAACACAGAGAACACAGCCATCTTTTCAAAATGACGTATTTTCCCCCGGCACTCCCCTATTTTAGATATTTTGAAATTACAGTCTACATCCTAGTCTGGATATGTTGTGTTTGCCTCATATACTTTATAAAAGAAGACAGAAATGTGGACTCTTATATTGGCAAAATATTGGTAATATGTTCACATCTGTGTGTTTTCAAACTACAATGTAGATTAAGCGAAATGTGTAAGTGAGCCATAGCTTGTTAACCTCTGGAAAAATATCTGTTGCAATAGTGATATTGATATGTCTTCCAAAGAATATATATTGTATATTTCACTCATAAAATGCAATAGTATAAAAGAAAACTATTTATACAATATATATCGTATAAATGAATACTATTATTTATACAATAGTATAAATGAAAACTATTTATACAATAGTATAAATGAAAACAAGATTAATTTATAAAATCCCTCTAATAAACATTGAAAATGAAGCAAGAATTGGCATAATATAGATGACTGACATAGAAAGCATTTTTACCAAGTAAAAAAAGATTAAAATTAACAATACAATTTATTTATATCAATTTTATTGAATATCAAGAAAAACACTTTTTAGCAAAAACCTAACTCTCATTAGGATGTACTTCATTTGAAAAAAAAACTTCTTACCATTATTCTAATTGTTATCTCTATTAATCTGCCTATGTTTCAAACTTTGAGTGGGGGGAAAGAGGAAAAAGTTCAGGCTCTGTTAGCAATTTCCATGATGACAGATTCTTTATGGATTTGCTAGGCTAGTATGTCTGGATTTAAAGCTACTCAAAATAAAGAGAGAAAATCAGAATTGTCCAATTAGACATGTCCATGTGAGTTCATAAATAAAAATGACATTTTTTCAATCAACCTCATCCATGATTAAATATGATTAACTATTTTCAGTTAGTAATAGTTATCCAGTCTCACATCAACATAGACAATGACAAAGAAGCACACAAAATCTTCTCCCATTGAGATGAACATAAACCATTTTGCCCTTGCTTTCAAGGCACAGACCTTACACAATAATTGACTTAAATACAGTTCTGTTGTTTTTAAACAACAGATGGCTGCCATTTTGTGCACTTCCATTTTTATAAAAAATATTTTATTGTTGGCTGAAAAGTCCAAAAGGATTCTCATTTATTATTTTGCCAGTGTGTTTTTATTTGTACAAAGAGCCAGTTCAGGAAAAAACAAGAGCTTGAATGTAAAGGTTGAAAATCCGATAGCTCCTCATTGCAAGATTGACATGCGTGATTACTGCCAAAATTAGAGAAGGATTCAACAATAAAGACCAGTGAATTTATAAGACCCACTGCTTGAGCCTTAAGACTCAATTAGCAATGAATTAAAGCAAGTATGACCAAAGTGGAGAGCAAGTTTTAACTGTACCTGATCCCGGTGAGTCATCAACTGATATTTGTTGAATTGGTGAATTATATGCAATAACATTGGCTCTGTATCCAGCTATCTAGGAGCTTAAATGTCATTACTAAAAATGTCTATTGTTTAAAATGTGAGTATTTGGTCTCATATAGACTAAGTTTGAATCTCCTTATTTTGATAACTTCTGTCAAATCATTCTCAACAACCAATATTGTGAGGGCACCCACAGCTGATCAAAAAGAGACTATAAACCATAAAATAGTCTAAATTACTTTCTTCAGGTTTCTCCAAGTATCCTTTAACTTTCTTCTCTGCCCCAGCCTGCATTGCCTCAGTTCCAGGAAGCTGCTAAAAGTCTGACTATAAATTTTTATTTCCAACTGTGGAAAATGATAAAAGCATAAAATATAAAAATAAATAAGACAAATTCTTGGACCTCACTGAACTTAAACTCTAGTTAGAGCAATGATTTATGACACTACAATATAGGACAGAGTTATAAAGTAAATGCTGAAAAGGGGGAGAGGCAGGTAAAAGTAATACGATTACAAGGAAGGAGGCAAAATTAATTCTGAGTATGATAACTGGAAAGCAACAGGCTAGAGGATACAAATTGTGACTGATGATTAGGGAAGGGAGGGCACGCTGGCATGTTTAGAGACTCAGGGCCCTAAGTGCCTGCTATATTCAAGAGAACAAGGAGGTGCATGTGGCAAGAATACAGGGAAAGTGGTAGGAGATGAGGGGTCCAGATCATATCAAGAGAACATGTAAAGCTGACGCGTCTTATTCTACAGGCAGGGCTGTGTCACTGAATAGGTTTACACTGAAAATGTCATGATCAAATGCTTCTGAAAGTCAATTCTAGCGGAAGTGAGAAAGCTGTGAGTTCAGCAATACGTGGCTCAGACCTGAATTAAATTGAGGGTTGAGTGTAGGAGAAGAGATTTAGAGATAGAAAGAGAAAAAAATTATTGAGCAAAAGGATGTTATTAGAGTAAAGGTAACGGGGGTGCAAGGTGGCAGAGAAAGTAGGGTCAAAAATTACTGTCAGAGTCCTTGGCTTTGTAACTAGGAGGATGATTTTATCACACTAATAAGGAAAGACAAAAGGAAGAGTAGGTCCTAATTTATATTTATAAAATACAACACAAACTCCTCAGCTTAATATTTGCTAATTCCTCTGTCAGGAACTATTCCCATCTCTCGGCACATAAATTAACTCCCATTCAGCATTCAGGTGTCAGCTCAAACATTATTTTCTCAGAGAAGTGTTCCCTCAGATCTAGGACTATTATAATAAGTGCCCTTATCATGAGGTCTCATTCTGTGCTCTACCTCTTTTAGCACTTATGATATGTGCTTCTTTGGTCTATGCTTGTGATACCAGTAGACTGAAAGCTCCAGGAAGCTCTTGTTCACCAGTGACCTCCCTTCGCCTAATACACTGTGCTCTTACAATGTGTTCTGTTCAGTAAATAGTGAGTGAATGGATACCTGATGGGTTTCTTCCACAAAAGGATGAGCAATAGCATATGATCTATTGTCCCCTTTTGCTTCTCACAAGTAACTACTTCAACCCCAGGCACATTAACACACAAAAGCACACCATTCTCCCATCTCCCATCTTTTGTTTTTTTCCTTCTTTGCTCCTCTAATAACTCAGAGGAAATTTCTATTCTTTACCCAGCTCTTCAACTCACTTGTAAGCTCCCAAACAACCCCAATGATGATTAATAAGTGTAGGTGTAGCAAAAGTAACAACTAGGAAATGGAAAGTGAAATCGGATATAACGACTCTCTCAAGCTCATAGCCCTTGAAAATGCCCCAATTCTCTGCTCACAATTCCCACCAAAGTCTTTGTATCTGCCTCCTGTCTTTCCCTAATTAGATCTGCTTTCCTTAAGCAACATGCTCAAGACATGAAACAAAAATCCCACTCAGCAATTCTGTTTAGGTTTCAATTACTTTTATGGCACATTTTCTATTATTTTCATTGCCAAAGCACAGTACTTCATGTGTAGTACAACAAGGAAAAGTATGCTTAAACTGGAAATTTAACCATCAATTATAATGTTGATTTTCAAGCATTTTAAAATAAGAGAAACATTTTATTTCAAAGGAAACCATCAGTGGGGATCTAATTTAAAAATACATCCAAATGAAGCTACCCTGTGTAATGTTAGTTTGCAGACAGACCCCAACACAGCCTCTGTGTCTTCTCGACACAAACATCTCACTAGTACTTGGTAGAGAAGGTTTAACTACGCTATTTCGATGGGAATGCATTTCTAGTTTAAAGTTTCTGACACTGAAATTTATAACAAACAATTCTTTGTATATTGAAGAAATTTTACGTATAAAAATTATATTCACTGAAATATTATTTAAATTAGGATTTGAACTAGGGAAAGGTAGAAGTAGGGCAATTGATACGTTAACATGATATTCGTGTATATTTTAAAGTGTTCATTATTGTTGCTTTAATGTTGTTTATGCAAGCAAGTTATCCAAGTCTATATTAATTACTTCTTTGTCTAATTATATACAAAATGCACAAACACTCCTTAACTAACCTTTGAAACATTATATATGCTCTTGCTGCTGATGTTGTGATGGACATAATTACAAATGGAAATTTCCCACTGATAATGAAAAGCTTTATATGCATAGATCAGTCCCCCATAGCCGTGTAAGTACACTTCTTTCTGGGATAAAATCACCTTTATAAAGCCTATTTAAAAAAATAACAATTTTTAGTTATTTACCTGACTAAACCATTCCCTTTTTATGCGGGGGTGGGGAGGGGGGTGGCGGAGAGGAAGGAGGAAGAGAAGTAGGAGGAAGAGCAGGAAGAGGAGGCAAGAAAGATACTGCTGAAGGATTCCTATAAATAGTAGTTTCTCATATCTAAACACTTACATAACTACACTGTTATAAGTGTTACATGTATATTTGTATGTGTTGTGTGAATAGTGTTCCCTCTATATATGTATATAGAGTTACATGTGCATGAGGCATAAAATTGGGAGACCACAAATGTTCCTTCTCAAATTTCATCTACTTTATCATTTCAGATTAGGCTTTGTAAATATATTTATTTGACATTATTTTTATTTGTTCAGGCCTTAGCATAGCAAGACACATTCATGTGTATATGTCTGTGTATGCACATGAACACACACACACACACATACACACCCACCCAACACATTTACAGACAAACTGTAAAGATGTCTACGTCACCATTAGCCTGTGCCCTTTCTGAAGATTAGCTCAGACAGAAGTCAAGTCTGCGTTGTTATTTTGCTACAGCCTGCAATTCTGGAAAAGCACTGATGTCCAAGGTAATGACAAGGAAAAATTCAATGAGAGACAATTTAACAAGAACACATGAGTTGAGCTGTGCTGAATCAAAATATTAAATTTAAATTAAACTCTTTCGTATGTAGTTGGATTCATAATTAAGTTATAAGCCTTAATCTCTAAATCTAAATGCAGTTATGCTAAAGCTACCGCACAGTGACAGATAAAAGATCCTCACTATATAAACTCAAAGACAAATTTCCAAGCTACAGAAATATGTGGGTACAGGCAGAGTAGCAATGGAAGTTCAGCACAGCCAGTTCTTGAATAAGTAATGAAAGCCCATGACACTGCTGGAAACCAACAGGAAAAAAAGTGGTGAGAACAAGGTCGAAGCATCTTTATCTTTAGTGCCACCTCTACTTCTGTGTATGCAACTGATTCAGAAAAGAAACAATTACTTAGGTACTGAGGGAGAAATATTTGGTAGGAAACTCTTCATTCACTTTATGCAGCCTTGGAATATTTCCTCAGAATTTCAGTGAAGTTGTAGGTTAAGAGTTAATTGTATATTTACTTAAATTTCTCTCCACATCTATTATTTCAAATTCTCACATTTTGAGCAGGAAAATTGTCTTCTCCTTGTAATATTATCAACTCTCTTCCACATGATTTTTTTTTAACTAGAAATGATCATTATATAGGTGGCAAGGGGTAAAGCTACTCTGAGATTATAGCATTATTGCAGGATACCTTTAAAGGGATTCCTGAGGAAATAATAACAATGAACCACAGGGCTCCACAGCAAATGGAGAAGAGCACTGTATTATTTCTATGGTAAACGCTGTTGGAAATGAAAGTAGAAGGCGCTTACTTATCAAAGGCTAAAGCAAGAGGAGGGGAAACTAATCAGGACTCACTTTTACTGCTGATTCCTTTCCACCCTCTGCTCCAGTGAAAACTGGAAATTAGGTTCTACCCATTGTCTTGTACAAAATATAATGCAAATCTAAACGTGAATTAAAATAAATAAAGCAATATTGTTTGAATTTAGTATAAAGTACAGTAATGAAGTTAAGGGCTTTTATTGCCTTTCACCGCAGACCCTCAGAAGTTCAAATAAAAAGATGGGAAGAAGGACACTTATAGGACTTTGGCATCTGCAAATCTTGCCACGCACACAAACATACACATTTACAGATGTACACTCAAAGGAAAACTGAGAAATAATTTTTGATGGTGATATTATCACTAACGTACAATATTATTACATACTCCCTTTATGGCTGAACAGATACTCTTTGGTCAGATTCTATCATACTATAAATATCTCATCCTAATACTTACATAATAAAATTGAGAATGAATCTATTTGACTTTTTTTTTTTTTTTTAAGAAACAGGGTCTCACAATGTCACCCAGGCTAGAGTGCAGTGGTGCAATCAGGGCTCACTACAGCCTCGAGCTCCTGGACTCAATGGATCCTCCTGCCTCAGTCTCCCGAGTACAGGTGTGCGCCACTAATACGGTTTGGGTGTGTCTCCACCCAAATCTCGAATCGTAGCTCCCATAATTCCCCTGTGTTGTGGGAGGGACCTGGTGGGAGGCAACTGAATCATGGAGGCGGGTCTCTCCCATGCTGTTCTTGTGATAGTGAGTAAGTCTCATGAGATCTGATGGTTTTATAAAGGGGAGTTCCCCTGCACATACTCTCTCTTGCCTGCTGCCATGTAAGACGTCCTCTTGCTCCTCCTTGCCTTCAGCCACGATTGTGAGGCCTCCCCAGGCACGTGGAACTGTGAGTCAATTAAAGCTCTTTCCATTATAAATTACCCAGTCTTGGGTATGTCTTTATTAGCAGTGTGAGAACAAACTAACACAGCCACCATACCTGGTTCTTGACACTTTTTAAGGAAGAGTTGAGATTTCAAGGATGGGGAAAAATGGTACTTCAACATGGTCTATGTCAGAAATTCTGTGCTGCATTTTTCTCTTAAAGATATAGTGGGAATTGATGGTAGAAGAAAATAGATAAATAGCACAGGTTAAAGTGATTGACTCTCTACTACTTATTCAAGCCATCACAGTTTCTTAAGATTTTCCAAACAGTGACCCCAAACTACTGAAGAACATGTGAAAAATGAGACATTCATTTTATTTTTCTCATACTTTCCTTCCAGTAATGGGAATTCAGACAACAGAGAAGCCCTACCAAAAATTCTATCTACTGATTTCACGTGCAGATATTTTGGCAATGACAGGGCTTAAATCTACAAAACATGACAATTACTTTTTCCTCCCTTTTATTTAAGAAAACATCATTCACTGCAACCTTTTAAATCTAAAGTGACATGGCAACATTTTCCTTTGAAATATATGAGACATTGTTGAAAGGAAACTGAGTGAACGGAATACTATAATCTATGATACACAGTCATGCTCACCCACGTCAATCAAAGGGGGACATATTTTTCTGGACACAATTTTATCTCTGAAAACTTATAGAGTCTCCTGCTTCAAATATTTCAAACTCAGAGGTGACACTCATAGTAGTAAAGTTTGTAGAAACTACAAGGCCAGCATTATTTTTTCATGGAATGACATGACAGGCACATATAGTAACAGCCTGAAGAACATTCACAGGAAACAACAATTTGCTTGAACTATGGATATTGGAATGGAGTTAACACTTCCATAGGGCACTCAATACTGATTCCACCCTGTGGAAATTCTCACTGAATCCTGCTGTCCCACAAAATAAGATACAAATCAATCAAAACACCCTTTAGATAACAATGGTAGATCTGCAAATTTGAATCTGGAAGTTGTATGTTAGAGATATTTTACTGAAATTCTGCATAAAAATTACTATAGCATGTGAAGTTTCCAATGATTACATGAATGCATTTAAAGTTGCTAGTAGGATAATGGTGGTAACAGACGCTCTTTAGCAGCACAGAATGGCAGCTAAAACACAGATTCTGGAGCTAACCTGCCTAGGTTTGAACTCCACCTCTGTCATTTATTAGCTCTGACACTAAGCCTCTATGTGCCTTTATTTCCTCATCTGTACAATATGGAGAACAATAATACCAACCTCATAGCCTTGTGTTGTTAATCCTTGAAAGAGCTTATGATTGTGTCTGGCACATAGCGAGCATTCAAGAAATGTTATCTACTATACAGGTTTATACTTTAAAAAATGAGTCTCATGTCAGGTTTTCTCAGCTAGTATGTACTTTAGCTTTCACACTGTACCATTTTTTCCTTACACTGAAAAACAAGTTATTAAAAAAAAAGCATTTTGTTTGTTTTCTTTTATTTTGATATGGGAATGGAAGAAAGGAGGAGGAAATAGACATGCACCGAACTTGAGTTTCAACCTCAATATTGCAACTAATCTGCTATTTGGTTCCATTCTGGGCTTTGGAAGAATGAAATGCTACATGCTTCCATCAGTTTTATTCCTGTAATTCTACAAATTGTGCTTTGCCAATAATTATGTAGTTGTCATCTAGCATAATAATGTCAGTCATATAGAAAAGCAAGATATTATGTTTTATTGTTAAAAACAGAATATCTACTTTTAAATATAGCCAACCATTTCAGATGTAACTTGAAGTAAAAATTCCTATATGCTTTGTATGTTGAAATTTTATCAGTCAGTTCAAATATGAAAGCATATTTATTGGGAAGGTAAAATGTCCAGCCACTTTGAAAAACTGTTTGGCGGCCAGGCATGGTGTCTCACGCCTGTAATCCCAGCACTTTGGGAGGCCAAGACAGGCGGATCACGAGGTCAGGAGTTCGAGACCAGCCTGATCAACATGGTGAAACGCCGACTCTACTAAAAATACAAAAATTAGCTGGGCATGGTGGCCCGTGCCTCTAATCCCAGTTACTCAGGAGGCTGAGGAAGGAGAATTGGTTGAACCCGGGAGGTGCAGGTTGCAGTGAGCCGAGATCACGCCACTGCACTCCAGCCTGGATGACAGAGCAAGGCTCCATCTCAAAAAAAAAAAAAAAAAAAAAAAATTAGCCAGGCATGGTGGCGGGCGCCTATAATTCCAGCTACTCGGGAGGCTGAGGCAGGAGAATCGCTGGAACCCGGGAGGCAGAAGTTGCAGTGAGTCGAGATTGCACCACTACACTCCAGCCTGGGCAACAGAGTGAGACTCCATCACAAAAAAAAAAAAAAAAAAAAAAAAAAAAAAAAAACTGTTTGGCAGTCCCTCAAAAATATGACTCATCAATTCCACTTGTAGGTATATAACCAAGAACATTGAAAACATATCCATACAAAAACATGTACATGAATTTTCATAGCAGCATTATTCATAATAGCACCAAAGCAGAAACAACCCCACATGTTTATCAATTGGTAAATGGATAAATAAAATGTGGAATATAATGGAATATTATACAGTAATAAAAAGAAATAAAATAATTCCTACAATGTGGCTGAATCTTGAAAACATCAATGTGAAAGAAGTCAGGCACAAAAGGTCACATATGGTATGACTGCATTTCTATGAAATATATGGAATGGGCAAAGTTATAGACAGAAAACAGATTAGTGGTTTCTAGGGGCTGGGGCAATGAGGGAATGGGGGAGTTACTGCTGAGATATTTAGAGCTTCCTTTTCCTGTCCCAGCAGATAGATTGGAAGGAGGCCATATTGGACCTCATGTGTATTATAAAAGATGATGCGGCCTGAGCAGAAGTCCTGCAAGCTGATATGTAGACAAAAACATCCTCCACTAAATTTCATACACAAAAGAAATGTGCATGAGATTTTGCTCATGATTTCCTTCAAATTAACTCATATTTATAAAGCATCAAATGAGGTGTTTTAAACATACCAAGTGCTATGTATGGGGGCCTGTTAAATAACACAAATATAATGTATAGACTTTTTAAGAGAAAGCTTAAAACAGCAAGTAGAATACAATATACATTTTCTCTTATGTCTGGGAAAAAAATCTAAAGTGTACACATCACTGGGAAAATAAAACCGCGAAGTAAAAGTAGCTAGACACAGGAAGACAGACCACATTTTGTATTCCATGTACAGTTGATTAAAAACTCACCAGTTGTTTTGTTATTCCTCAGTAACGTACCAGGCACACACAATGGCCTGGCGGGCATTGTACAGAGGTGTACGTACCTCAGTGACCACCAACATCAAGTGTGCTATCTATCAGTCAATCAATACTAATTGCATAGCTAGAAAGGAGAGGGCACTGGGTTAATACACAGCCCTGAGCTGTGTACTGAACACTAAAGAGAGGACTGGGCTCATTGTGCATTCACTTTCATTTGAAAGTGCATAATAAAAAGCATTTCTCTGAGCAGTTTTAGTTTATATTCAGCAATTTTCTTTCTGCTTAAAATGCATTTGAGGAAGCTTATTAATCAGAAGATTCATGAAGTTAGAATCACTAACTCTAAAATAGTTTTTAATTCTTAGGTTATTGAATTCTAAAAGAAGATCTATCACAAAACTTGTCAATATACTATAAAGAAATAAGTATGATTTGTAAGGAGTTAAACATTGTATGCTATTTGGCTGGGGTCATGAAGTAGAAAAATATAATTTTTTTAAATGGTGTACAAATAAATACATAATTTAAAAATGGTGAATAAAAGCTTGGAAGACTTGATAAACATAATGGAGGATTTTTTTTTTAATTTACAACTGTTAAACTGAATAAACTTAGCACAGAGATTTGTCACATTTGTGATTATCGAATTCAAGATGAAGAACCATGCAAAGGTATGTTTTAAAGGCAGTCTTATTTGCCTTAATTCTCTTCTTAATTACCTTAATGTTGTGTAACAATTTACAAGATCAGATACCAGAAGTTTACTGCGCAGTTTTGATCAATGAAAAATATGCATATTTATGAGCCATCATTAGCTTATTGTCCTTGAAATCACATGTACGCTTATGTAAATGATTATTTCTAACATCAACATAATTCTTTTCCATTTTAGACAAGTGGTATTGCCTTATCCTTATGAAAATCAATAGCTATGTAAATTACAGATAATATAGACTTATGTTCTATATCACTTGGTTAGCAATTAATGCTAACCTGCCTTGTAACATATTCTGCATCTTTAAACTTTATTCAGCTGTATTGATTTTGCCCATGTTTCTATTTCCTTTCACCATTTAGATTATACTTTCCTTTGGAATACTAATAGCACTTTATACTTTTCTACATACTAGAAGATCTTCAATGACGGTATTATTAAGAACTAAGAGAATAGCTTGCCAGATACAAATGGAAACACCTTCCAAATGAGTCGGAGAAAATGTCTTGCAGTATTATGGGTAAAATAGCAAAGAGCTTGGGAATACAGTTTGCTAATATCAAGTCCTTAACAACGACCATTCTTCATTCAAGATTAGTTGTGTATAAATACATGCTTCTTCAGGAGTTGACTTAGAAAACAAGCAAACAAACAAACATCAGAAACTATTTACAACTGGGAGCAATCCTTGAAGAACATAAAGAATATAAATATCAACAAAGGCTGAAAACTCTTTTTTAGATTAAAGATCAAATGGACATGTCATCGGAATGTATTGTATGGCTCTTGATTAAATCCTGGAGCAAAGTGGAGAGTGAGGAACAACTGTAAAGAATGTGAATACGGACTGTGTATTAGATAACAGTACCATAAATTTCCTGGATGGGATAATTATGTTGTGACTATGTAAGAGAATATTTTGCCCTTAGAAGATATATGATGAAGCATTTAGAAGTAAAGTATCATGACATCTTGCAAATAACTTTCAAGTGATTCAGCCAGATATATAAAAATTATATATAACACATTATATAATTTATATTTATATAATTATAATACATTATATAATTTATACATTATAATTATATATTATGTAATTTGTTTATATCATATATTATATATTATATATTAATATATACTTTATATTTATATATTATATATTAATATATAATATATATAATGAGAAAGGGGATGGAGGGAGAGTGAGCAAGTGAGCAAATGTAAGAAATTGATAAATTTGGGTGGAGGACATATGGATGTTCTTTGTACTAGTCTTGCTTGAAATTTTTCAAAAGAAAGTTGGTGGAAAATGGAAATCTCATATATATATAAATATATATATATATTTGGATATATAAATATATATATATTTGGACATATAAATATATATATATTTGGATATATAAATATATATATATTTGGATATATATATAAAAATATCTATCTATCTATCTATCTATCTATATATATATATATATATATTTTTTTTTTTTTTTTGAGACGGAGTCTCACTCTGTCTCCCAGGCTGGAGTGCAAAGGCATGATATTGGCTCACTGCAACCTCCGCCTCCTGGGTTCAAGCAATTCTCCTGCCTCAGCCTCCCGAGTAGCTGGGATTACAGGTGTGTGCCACCATGCCCGGCTAATTTTTGTATTTTAGTAGAGACGGGGTTTCACCATGTTGGCCAGGATGGTCTCAATCTCTTGACCCCATGATCCGTCCACCTCGGCCTCCCAAAGTGCTGGGATTACAGTCGTGAGCCACCGCGCCCAGCCGGGAATCATTTTTAAAAATTTATATTTTTTTAGTTCGACAGCTTTTGAGGTACAGGTGGTTTCTGGTTTCACATGGATGAATGACACAGTGGCAAATTCTGAGATTTTAGTGCACCCATCACCCAAGTAGTGTACATTGTACTCAATATGTAGTATGAGTCGCCAGAGTCCATTACTCTATATGCGTTTGTGTACCCATAGCTTAGTTCCCACTTGTAAGTGAGAACATATGGTATTTGGTTTTCCACTCCTGAGGTATTTCACTTAGAATAATGGCCTCTGGCTCCATCCAAGTTCCTGCAAAGGACATTATTTGCCTGCAATAAGCAAAATGAACTTGTATTTGTCATAGCTGATCTTGTGCAAAGTATCATAGGAACACACTGTGTGTCTGTCATCAAACAGCTGTATCTTGATGACAGTGCATATTGCTAAGCCCATTCAGAAGGATGTCTTTGGATACTACTAAGCACAAAAAGACATTGTGCTGATCCCAAGTAATTTTCAGAATAGTTCTACATTAGCCAAATGGGTATTAAACATGTAATTAAAAATGTATGATTATTATTACTTTGCATTCAAGTTTACTATTACTGTACTGAAAATTTTAATAACTCCTCTCCCACAAATAGCACACAGAACCTTATTGCAAGCAAATTCATTTTAATTAGTCGTGTTATAAATTATACCAGTGGCAAAGCCCTGGCGGCCTGGCAGCTGGGAGAATGCAGTCTCTATAGTCACATGTAAATAACTGGGATGACAATTAACAAGCCATTGATTTAAAAAAAAAAAAAAAAAAAGCCTAGAACTACTGCTATTAACTTCAGAACTAAAAACAATTGAAAGCTGAGTTTTACCTGTTATAAAAGGAAATCCACTTTAAAGTCAAGGAAGAAAACTCTTCTTTCACCTGACTGTTTTATTTCGCTTGAGAACAAAGACTATAATGAATTAACCACACAAACTATTGCATGAAACAAAGGAAACACAAAGGATGATTTCCTTCACTTCACTGTCACTTTGAGTGAGTGGAGAACTGGTTTATTGTAAGAGTCATTTGAATTAGTTTCCAGTTGATATCAGCCATGAGCTTTTCAGCAGCGGCTCTTGTCCTAGTTTAGTATCTCATTCTCCAGTACGCTGGTGAGTTCTTTTCACAGGCATGAGCGGAGTTGGCCAGGAAGAGCAAATTCATGGTAGAAAACCCATAAAATGGACTTCCTCATCTTGACAGCCCTCTGAATGTTAAACAAAAATGTGCTCTGACCATTGGGTCCAGCTCAGAGCAGGGGCCTACCTGCCAAGACACAGTGTTTTTCCTATTATTTCAACACTACAGCTAAATATGGAATACAACATGTGACTTAGACAAAGAAAATGCATTTTTCAACCCAGACAAGATTTTTTTAAAGTGTGTCCAGTGCTTCCAACCTCCTTTTTTATGTCCTCCAGCTGTAACCCATGCTGAAGATTCATAGACTGTCTTATTGTTCCCCTATTGACTGATCCTTAAAAAGGACTCCTGATATGAACAATTCAAATTAAGTTAAGAAAGGTAGCATCTCATCCAGAGTCATTTGAATTTTATAACTTGCAACCTATTGCAACCCAGAGAGGCTGTCTCCTAATAAAAACAAGGCAAATGAGAGCCAGTAAAGGCCCTCCCTTAAAACTGCTTGGGTGTCCATCATTCAGAGATAAAGATAAAGCAATCGTCTGCATATCCAATTCTCCTTCACAGCTACACCCATATCTTATCTCCTCCAGACATAAAATGGAAGCAATGCTGGAAGACAGTAAGCCTTGGCGTCTTGTGCCTCTGGAGTATCATAGGTGGGCACAAGTTTCTCTCCAGTTTATGACTATCAATGAAAACCACTGAAACTTCAAGTAGAAAAAGAACAATGCAAAGATTATTTTAATAATAATAAAGATTAAAATTTAATTTGTTTCCTACTTTATTCATAGCACGCTTTAAGGGCTTTTTTGTTTTAAAACTGTAATTTACATCATTTGATGATATTAATTGCAGGAACTCATTTAAAGAATTTTTTTCCTTTTTCTCATGTATTCACAATGCACGCATATTAAGAAATTAATGTATTAAATACTGCCTTTGAGGATTAATGCTATTAAATATAGTAGTGAGCCTATCATTTTAAATATTTCTTCATTTTTATTCTAACATTTGTGTAAAGTATATAATATATAGTATTATATACTATTAATCTGAGGGAATGAAATAGGTGTCTTCTGTATCACTGCTTTCATTTTACAAAACTAGAAATTGTCTTGTCTTGAACCTATGCCCTGAGACAGATAAAAATGTAGCACAAAGTAGTTCCTCTTTGGTTCATTGTCTATGGTGAACAGATTAGAAATCTTATACTAAACTTACATTACTTTTATTAATACTAATAATAACATTAACTATCCTTTTAGTCCTCGTATCAATAGACAGAAGTCAGAAGTCATAGGTGGTAATTAAAATTTACTAGTGCCAATTCAAACAAACATTTAATGTTGCAATCCTTATAAATCACATTACATATATGTATGTTACTGTTACTATGAGTATTTTCATTCTGAGGACATCAGACTGTTCCTGAGCACATAGTTTCCTTTTATTATACAAACACACATTATATACGAATTAGTTTCTAAATTTCTGCTTCTCTCTAATGCCAATGAGAAAAATCACAAGATAAATTTTTAGCAATTTATTCACAATACTCTAGTTCTTAAAACAATGTTTACATTTATTACTTGCATAATTTATAATATTTTGCAAAAGATATTCAAGACTAATATAATATCCTTCAATGCCAAAAGAGAGTAAGAGGTACACTTGATACTATCGCACAAGAGCTAGGAGAGCAAATATCACTGAACTCCCATAAATAATTTATTTCATTAAAATGTTCCCTTATATTACCATGATGGACCAATTTAATCAGTTCAGAGACAAGACAGTTTTGCTCAAAAAAAAAAAAAACAAAAAACTTTTTCTTATCACTTTAGAGTATGGTCTTGAAGCTCTGAGCAATGACAAACAGGTTATTTTTCTCAGTGAGACACATTCCTTGTGACAGTTTTTGACAAACAACATCAGGATAAGTAGGTGTGCAGGAGCGACACTGAGGGATGATAGTGGGCTCAGTGTAGCCTTCTGAGCAATTACCTGATCCCAATTAAATTGTGCTGGCACTGAATATTCAAAACGACAGGATAGAAATTGACCTTCATTGTCCATCTTTATCTGGAAGTGAAACCCCTGCCACTCTGTTACATAATTACCATCAAAGCAAAATTCGCATCAGTTGCTAAGCTTCATAAATGGTTCCATTTCTTAGCGAAGAAAATCAGACAAAATTATTGCTTTGTTTTGTTTACCACCATATGACAATATAACAAAGTAGTGAATGAATGTTCATTTCCAAACTTAAATTACCTATGACTTTAATTATATATTTCTCTCTCTTTCTCTTTCTCCCTCTCTCCCTCTCTTCCTTTTGAGACTTATTTTTAAAAGAATCTTTGATTTGCAATGACATATTCTTCAAATATGCTTCTTGAACAGTAGTTTTCTTTTGTGCAGATAAATCATCTCAGCAGTTTGGCTTCTAAAGAATTCTTTAACTCAAATTCAAGGAGTAATTTTTCAAAAGAGGTACATTTCATGGAATGTTTTTGATAAGTTTTTCTCCCTTTTATAAAATACCAAACTATTTGTCCTAGAAGACAGCTACTGACAATAGAAAGAGACTTTTGTTTGCTTAAGGAGCAGGGTTAGCATTTACAATATCATGGGAGCCTGGTTTCTCTTTTGTATCTCTACCGCACACTGTCTCGCATTTCAATGAACGCTTAAATTCTAAGTAATTGTTTTGACCATTTGAAGAGTCCTTTTGTTCAAAGCTCTGAGAGATTTGGTCAATTTCAATTTGTTCTTCTAATTAATTATATATTTAGATTGCTCACGAATTTGCCATCAACAGAGTATTTTCTAACAAACAGAAGAAGAACAGAAACAAGGCTTCATGGAAGCAATGTCCTTTCTGCTCAAATATTACAGACAGGGGAATGCTACTCTATTCTCAAGAACGAATTCAGTGCCTGAAAAACTTTCTAAGTGAAATTACTGGAGACATACAGTTGAGGACATTTGACTCTAATTTCTTTGAAATGATTACAATAAAAATAAATTCAGGTTGTTAGATATTGTGCTTGCTACTGAACTAGATAAAACTAACAATCAGTGACAAAGATGTGGGAAAATGATGTGCATCAAGTGATATATACAAAATTGACAATCGGGGAAATAAGAACTAACTTTTGACTGTGTGTGGGTGGGATTGGGTGGGTGGACTGAGGAAATGCCAGGCAATGTTCTAAGTGTTTCACATACATTAGTGATTTAATAAATACTCACACTAAAGATTCCATTAGTATGCCTTATTAGTGTCTATTTCACAAATGAGAAGCAATTGCAGCACAAATGGGTTAAGTTATAACAATAGTTCTGATAATTACTTTTTTTTAGATTCAATAAAAATACAGCCAGATCAAGGCTGATCTTACACACAGCAGCTTTTCTATAATATGTTGTGTGATTGAAGAAATGCTGGCGAGAGGCTTTTCTCCCAAATTGTTTTCTTTACCTTTTGTATAAAGTTCTACAATTAAAGGTTTCTTTGGTGGGGGGGTGTCATATACTGTATAATAAAAACAGCCCCTGATATTGTATAATAGGTACTGGATTTCTGTTTGGAAAGATGGAGAAGTTTTAGAGATTGATGGTGGTGATGGTTGCACAGTGTGTGAAGGTATTTAATGTCACTGAACTGTACACTTCAAATAGTTAAAAAGGTAAACTTTATGTTATGTATATTTTACCATAAAGAAACAGTCGAAATCTGATTTCAGATTCAAAGTTTTTACTTCTAGATCCTTAGCAATGTACATAAAAC
Organism: Homo sapiens; assembly: GCF_000001405.40. Classification (NCBI taxonomy): domain Eukaryota; kingdom Metazoa; phylum Chordata; class Mammalia; order Primates; family Hominidae; genus Homo; species Homo sapiens. The sequence goes on along the minus strand of NC_000023.11, from coordinate 29,761,075 downwards.
AGCTTGTTTCAGTGTTTTCTTGTGCAAAGAGGGGAGAATAAAAGAACCTACATCAGGGTGGTTGTGAAGCTTAAATAAGAAATCCACGTACTATCAGAATGCCTGAGGTGATAGGCTTACAAATGTTATTCTTATACTCATTCTTAAAAGCAATGCTTAGAACTGTACCTGGCACATAATAGGTACTCAATAAAAAAATTGTTGAATGACTGAATAATTCATTATATATTATTTTTATGCATTAGTGTGCCTTAGTATCATCATAACACCTTGGTATATGAAATCCTATTTTTTTAAGACAAGTGTAGCAGGAATAGCAGAATACTGAATAGGGCAGGGAACTTAGTGTGCCAGTTTGCCTAATTCTCACTTACCTAGGACTGTCCAGGTGCCCAGTATTACTCAAAACCTAAACATGTAAGTAGCTAAATCAGTGTTTCAGCAAAATCACCTGGTGAGCTTGTTTAAAAATGTAGATTCCAGGACATACCCACAGGTATTCCGATTTGCTAGACCTGTGATGGGGCCCAAAAGTCTGCATCTTTTAAGAGTCACAAGTAAGTTTAATGGAGTTCACTGGCAGACTATTAACAAATAAGTTAAACTTTTTTATTTTGAAATAACTGTAGAATTGCATGCAGTTCTAGGAGATAATACAGACAGAGTCTATTCCACGTACCCTTTACCCAATTGTTTCTGGTGGTAACCTCTTGCAAAACCATACTACGATATCACAACCAGGATATTGCCATCGACAGAGTCCATCAATGTTAGGCTGTATTTTGAGAACCGATCTAATAATCACTAATGAAGTGGTTCTCAGCCCTGGATGCATATTAGAATCACCTTGAGAGCTTTATAAGAAATTGTCCACACCCCAGATCTGGACCAATCAAATCAGAGGCACTGACTGGGAAGCCTATCCACTCCCCATCTCGCAATGATTGTGCAGACGGATTAAGAGCTCCTGCTATATTGTGACACTTGGTTCTTCCTTGCTAGTTTCAGAGGAGAGGCCAGGTTTGTAAGCTGAAACTCACCCCATGTACTAAGGGTGAAGACAACCAAGTAAATCTTAGAAATTTATGCTTTGCCCCATTTTCAAGATTTAAGAAGTGCCCCTAACTAGAAGTCTAGAAACAGAGTCATTTAAGTTGTTACGGTGGTAAATAACTGGCCATTACCCCAAGGGAAATGATAGATTTCTCATCAAACACTATATAAAGACCATTGTCTCAATATAAAGGGCCTAGCAATAATTTTGGCATAGCCTCTTTTGTAATTATCTATCAATTATTCTACTGCTGGGTAGAAAATAACCCTTTTTGAAAATATTTAAATGTGATCATCAAATTCCTCAATCATTTTATATTTTAGGAAAGTAAGCTTTTATTCATTGTGCCACATACATTTCAAGCTGTGTGCATAATATAGTACCTAGCATTTGCAATCAAGACAATCAAGGCCTACAGTTAATAAAATATTATTTCTGCCATAACTTTTAGTAACAATACTGTTTTCCAAGTAGAAACTACTACAAGTGCTTTTCTTTTGGCATTTTGCAATATATCTACCATACATTACATACTGCTTAAATATGGTGGCAGTGTTGGTCTGATTAGATAATCCCAGTGATCTCCAAAAAAAAGAACTATGGTACAGATGAAGGTAGCTCTGTAGGCCATTTGAGTATTTGTACTATCAATAATAACCATTTTGAAAACGCAGTGTTGTCATTAACTGCAAAGGCCAACCTCAGATCTGGGAAATGTCATAATTATTTTTTCAAGCTACATGTCAAATATTAAAATCCCAACAGCTTAAAAGACCTTACAACAACCACGTGTATAACCATTAAATTACAGGACCAATTAAAATGCTAATGACAACAATTACACCTTTAATGTCTGAGGGTAATATGAATGAAGCTAGGTGGTTTTCTAAAATGCCACATCTTCAAAATAAGTTATGACTCATTGAATCCTAATTAATTAACTCTTCATGACATTACTGTCCAATGTAATTATATTTCTTTATTCTCCTTTAGTTTATCTCTGGTCTCTAGGGTTTAGTTGTTAAAATAACTCAAAGATGGACACTTTGTTCTTATTAACCCCAGAATACATTTCCATGGTGCAGGTAATTCTCAGGCTGTTTAACCTCTGCATTAGCCCAAGAGGAAGCATGGGTGGTTTGCACTCTCAATAATAACCAACAGTAACTACTTCAGAACAATGTGAAACACGGTGGGTATTTTTTGTTTGTTTGTTTTGTTTTTTTGTTTTGTTTTGTTTTTTACATTAGGAATAATGGCCAATACTTGACATTTGTGAAATGAATGAGAGAAAATTTGTATTATTATTATTATTTTTTTTTTTTTGAGAAGAGTTTTGCTCTTGTTGCACAGGCTGGAGTGCAATGGCGTGATCTCGGCTCACTGCAACCTCCGCCTCCAGGGCTCAAGCAATTCTCCTGCCTCAGCCTCCCAAGTAGCTCGGATTATGGGCACATACCACCATACTCGCATAATTTTTGTAATTTTTTAGTAGAGACGGGGGTTTCACCATGTTGGTCAGGCTGGTCTCAAATTCCTGACCGCAGGTGATCCACCTGCCTCAGCTTCCCAAAGTGCTGGGATTACAGGCGTGAGCCACTGCGTCTGGCCTGTATTTCCATTTTCAGTTTTCTTTCTTCTTTCTTCCTCCTTTCATTCCCTCTCCTTTCTTTCACCTCTTCTATTTTCTTTCCCCGTCTTGCCATATTTTGTAATGTAATTCTCATATGTTCATCAAAATCTCTTAAATTGGAAGACAGGAAAGTCTCTGGCCAGTATCAACCTTAAACAAGTTTAATTAATTTGGAAAGTTTCTTATGAACACAAGTATTTCTGCCAGAAGAAAGAATTAAACAATGGTAGATTAAAACTTCAGTGTTTCTTTGTGCCTTGGAGGGAATGTCTACTTGATGAATAGCTAGATATCTGTGAAAGAGATAGGCAAATAAAATAAATAATAATATAGGATCCATTATTGGGGTTACTGGTTCCACTGCTTTCTCCATTTGTTTTATTTATAAAAATGATTGATTGAATTTTTTCACTCCCTTCTGCCATCTTCCATGGCTATACATATTAAGACAAGAAAAAGTTCTTTGTTTTTGACCCTCTTCTTCCTCCGTCTATAAGATGCTAATTAAAAAAAATTAAAATTGGAAAGTTTCATCATTAAAGAAACATTTCTTTAGAAGCCCTGACCTTTCCCACATATATTGGTGTCAAACAGTTTGTCCATTTGATATGAGTTGTTAGTATTCAACAATTATGAATGTACATTCTTATATTTTTTTTCTAATTGACTCTACATTTTAATAACTTTGATGTAGTTAGGAAAAAACTCTCCATTAGTTTTATTGCTATAATATTTTAAACAGTTGAAGGACAGGCTAGAAACTAATTGACTTTTTGTTTTGTTTCTAATTACTTATCTAAAACACATATCACTTGAGTCACATACCGTAGTCAAATTGCTTTCTATTTCTCTTTAGATACATGCAGTCACAGCAGCCAATCAAATGTTGCTTAACCCTTGGATCACTTGCCTTCTTGATACGATTTGCATGATTGGAAATTGGATAGAAGAAATTTCATGGAGGAACAGAATAGAAAGAAATAGCTCCATATTATATTTCTTAGCACTTCCCATTAGTTTATGAACTGCTTGTCAAATATTTGGCTGGGATGTCAAAAACTAATAATTCTATTGGCATGGCCGGAGAGGTAAGAGTCAAAATGAACCTGAAGCTTCAACTTCAAGAGATTATAATTTTATGAGCTATGCAACTGCCTGTCTTTTCTCTTCTTTTTTGTATATACTTAAAAATATTAATTAATTTATTTTGGCTATCTGTTAGTTTTCTGGGCCTGCAGTAGCAAAGAACCACAAACTAAGTGGCTTAAAACAACAGACATGTATTGGCTCATAGTTCTGGAGGTTAGGAGTCCAAATCAAGGTGTTGGCGGAACCACGATCCCTTTGAAACATGTAGGGGAATCCTTCCTTGCCTCTTCTTAGCTTCTGGTGCTCTGTCAGCAATCCTTGGCATTCCTTGGCTTGCAGCTGCAGCACTCAATCACTGGCTTCATTACCCAGTGGTGTTCTCTCCTATGTGTCTAGATGTCTCTTCTTATAAGGACACTAATCATACTGAATTAGGGCCCACCCTACACCAGCATAACCTCACCTTAACTAATTATGTCTCTAATGTCCTTATTTCCAAAGAAAGTAACATTCTGGGGTTAGGATTTCAACATATCTTTTTGGACGAATATATCCAATCCATAACAGATTATAAAAGTGATATATGCGACCGGGCATGGTGGCTCATGCCTGTAATCCCGGCACTTTGGGAGGCCGAGATGGGTGGATCACCTGAGGTCGGGAGTTCGAGACCAGCCTGGCCAACATGGTGAAACCCCGTCTCTATTAAAACTACAAAAATAAGTCTGGCATGGTGGTGGGCGCCTGTAATCCCAGCTACTCGGGAGGCTGAGACAGGAGAATCGCTTGAACCTGGGAGGCAGAGGTTCCAGTGAGCCAAGATAGTACCACTGCACCCCAGTATGGGAGACAAGAGTGAAACTCCGTCTCAAAAAAAAGAGAAAGGTGATATATGCTTATTTAGAATAATTCAAATAATACAATAATCTGCAAAATAAAAAAATAAAGTTATCCACCCTCACCTCTTCCCTAATTCCTGGAAATAATCATTATTAAAAATCTGTGTATACTTCCCAATTTTCCCATATACAAACATATAGATGAATTAACTGTATATATCTATGTATATATTAAAGATAATTAACAACTTACATACATCTCTCCAAGTTTCATATTATGGACATCTTTCTATTTCAGTATACTAGGAGATAATAATGATTGACATTTACTGAGAGTCAAATACACACTAGGTCTTTATTAACTGCTTTCCATAAATAATTGTATTTAATCTTTATAACAGCCCTATGAGGTAGGTGCAATTTCAGACCCCATTTCACAGACCAGTAAAGAAAGGAACAGAGAGGTTAAAGTAACTTGTCCAAAACCATACAGTTAATAAGTGGTAGAAGTGGGATTTGATCCCATTGACTGATGCTAAAGCCAGTGATCTTAACCACTATACTATATTATCCACATCGCATTTCATTTTATAGTTGTTTCTCATTTGAAAGAATTTAAAAATAATAGAGACATCCGAATCTGTCACTTTGTGATGTCACTCACAAAAGATTACCATGTGTACTCTAACTAAAGTAAATGATACATTCAGATGTTAAGCACATCGTTAGCTGTCAATTATCCCTGGGGTAATTACCTGTTTCCAGATAATTTTATGTATTTAATATCTGTGGTTTTATTTACTTTAAACAATTATTATTCAACATTTAATGAGCACTTTCTTTGGACTGATCTTACCAGAGAGTAGAAAATAACACACTACATTTTTTGTTCTCAAAGTATTGACGGGAGAGAAAACTATGTAAACAATAATTGAAAAATAATATTGGAGGTGTACTGGGAGTATGAAGAAAGGAGTAACCAACTTCATGGTGGGTTTGTTGGGAAATATTGAAAAACTGAGGTCTTGGTAAGTCACATGAGTCTTCAATAATTTGAGCAGGTGTTGTCAGGTTGATGGGGGTAAAGGAAGGTGGGGTTGGTGGGTGTGGTCGATTCTGAAATGGCTCCTCATAATCCCAGCCTCCTAATAGTTGCATCTTTGTGTAATTCCAACTTGTTCAGAGTGGGCTAAACCTAGTTGCCTACAAAATAGAAAATGTCAAAGATGATGGAATATCACTGTAGTGATTAGGTTATGTAAGATTGTGAACTTCATCTTGCTAAAAGACTCTCTTCACTGTTGGCTTTGGTGAAGCAGCTGCCATACTTATGAGGCAGCTGCCTATAGAGAAGCCCTTGTAGTAAGGAACTGAAAAAGGCCTCTGGCCAACACCTAGTTAGGAATTAAGGCCTTGAGAAACTAAATTCTGCCAACAACCACTGAGTGAATATAGAAGCAGATCCTTCCCCGGTTGAGCCCTCAGATGAGACTGTAGTCCTGACTGACACCTTTATTGCCATCTATGAGACACTGTGAAGCAAAGGACCCAGCATGGCCATGCCCAGGTTTCTAACCTACAGAAATTGTGAAATAATAAATGTGTATTGTTTTAAGCCATTAAATGTGTGCTAATTTGTTACGTAACAATAGACAGCTGATGCAGTGTGTTTTATAAGCAGTGAGAATTGTGTAAAACATATGTGTCCATGCACATACACATCATGCTCATGCATATAGGTGTGAAACATCCTGCTATGCCTTGGTAGCATAGTATAGCTGAAACTTAGAGCACAAAGGTGACCAAGCTAAAGGAGGCTGGAAAGGAGGCTCAACATATGACCACAAAGGATACTTATGTCAAGTTAGTATGTTTGGACTTCAGGCAGTCTTGTATTGTTAAAGGCTGTTGCGGCTAATCGTTTCTGTGTATTAAAAAAACACACTTGGGAAGCTGGATTATAGATGTGCAAGAATTCAGGCAGAGAGTCTTTTGGAATGGTGATAATGGACAGGTAATGGGAACATGAGTCAGGGTAGTGGGGAAAGAAGACCCAGAATAGAGTTTTGAGTAGCATTTCAGTTCACTTATCAGATTTTAATGGATGGGACTGTGAGGGAGAATAACTCCCAGGAATTTTGCTACATGACTATAAGAATTTTGGAGCCATATATTATGAAAAGCCAGTTTTGAATGACAGATAATGAGATCAATTTATCCAGGATGAATCTGAGTTATCAGTGGGAGATTTCTCCTGGTGTGCTGATATGGGCCTGAAGGTCAAGAAAAAGATCTTGCCTAAAGAATATATGAAAAGCAGTAAACGCACTTGAAGGAGTAGAATTTTCCAGAACAGCACATAAAATGAAAAGCAAAGATAATGCATGACAAATCACAGGATTCAAATATGTAATGGAGGAACAAAATACAGAGAAACAGCCAAAGAGACAGCAAATGAATAGAGAAAAAGTTGAAGAACAGAGAGGGAAGTAGGTACAGCATCTCAAGAGGACAGTTGTCAAGAGTGTTAAATGCTTTTGAGAAGCCATACATGATTAGCACTGCATAGTGTTCACTAACTTCAGTGATAATTTAGCTACCTTCTTATACATTTCCTTAAAGTTGCACAATTATTTCAGCACTTTTGAAAATTCTAATGCCTTAGGATTGTGATAAGACTAATCATTCTAAATGGTTTCTCCCCTCCCACCCCCATGTCATAAATATTATTATTAAGGGTCAGTTCTGGTACCAATCATTGGACCTAGAATAAATAATGTCATTCCATGCTGGGAAGTGGCCTTATTCTTCTGATAGCTTGACAAGTTTTTAATCATCCTTACACCATGCAGAGCCAGAAATAATTATTTGATTTACATGAAGTCTATAAGTGATATTAGATAACAAATAATTCTCAGTGGGAGAGAAATATGGTAGGTCTTTTAGTAGCTAAATATTATAGGTTGTCACACAAAAGGCTGTCCTTTGTTGAAACAATACCACAAAAGTTAATTTTAGTAAATCAAATTCCAAACTGGTTATTTGAATAGAAAAGGAAGTCATTGAGATGGATTCAGGTCATTAAATGTTGGGTGAGTGTATGCCTACATCAGTTTTCCATGTCTCTGTAGGGTAGGCCATTTATTTTTAGATGACATGAACTCAAATATATGTTTATTAGGAATGATGACAAATAAACAATGAAGCAAGTGCCTCTGAGAAACACCTACTAGAGTGAGGTTGTAACAGTATTGAAATTATTTTATGTATTTTTGACTGATATAATTAAATTAACTTTCATGAGTCCCACCATTTTACTTACCAGTCATTTAACTTACACAGAATGTTTTGGACATGTTAAGCCAATCTACCCGCAATTACCTGATTTCAGTTAACTTATCAATATATTCTACTATGTCATAACGCACACACTTTGATTTAGACTAGGTATCTCTCTCTTTATGGAGTCTCATTTTATAAACTCCAACCTTACAAGGAATAGATTAATGATGCTAAGGACAAATATATTGGACACATTGATAGTTTTTATTATGTCTTTTAACTCATATGTTTGAGACCACAGGGTAAAGCTAACTGCTTGATTTTCAGTTCTTTTACTTACATAGGATAAAAGAATAAATGACTCACTTTTAGAGTGATTACTTTTACTAACTTTCCTCTGTACCATTTCTAAACCAATTGGAGGAAAAATTGCAATGAAGGTAGAATATCTGGGGATGCAAAATAAACTCTCAGATGTGGAAGGACCATATCACCAAGGTTACTCAGGAAAGCATTGATTCAGTATTCAAATAATACATGAACGCTCATCTCCTTTCATTCAAGTATTCTCAAAGGAATTAGCACCATCGAAGGAGAATCTTACCTATTTAAGGAAGTGGATTTGATGACTTCCCTCAGTTAACTTTCTAATGTCTATCAAGTCTTTTTTTTTTTTTTTTTTTGAGACAAAGTCTCGATTTGTCGCCCAGGCTGGAGTGCAGTGGCGCAATCTCGGCTCACTGCAACCTCCGCCTCCTGGGTTCAAGCGATTCTCCTGCCTCAGCCTCCTGAGTAGCTGGGACTACAGGCGCATGCCGCAACGCCTGACTAATTTTTGTATTTTTAGTAGAGACAGGGTTTCACCATGTTGGCCAGGATGTTCTCGATCTCCTGACCTTGTGACCCACCTGCCTCGGCCTCCCAAAGTGCTGGGATTACAGGTGTGAGCCCCTGCGCCCGGGCCATCAAGTCTTAATCAGCAATATTTTTGATATATAAATCCAGCAGTGTTTATTTACAATAAAAGTACATTAAAAATTTGTACATCTGTGGGACCTAATATATATATGTGTGTATATATATATATATATATATATACATACACACATATATATACATATATATATATAAAATAGATAGATATAGGTAGTTACATATTATCATATATATATGTGTGTGTATATATATACACACACATATATATGATATATAGATATAGGTAGTTACATTTTTTCATGTTTTTTTGAGAGACAAGGTCTCACTCTGTTGTCCAGGCTGGAGCACAGCTGTGTGATCACAGCTCACTACAACCTGAAATTCCTGGGTTCAAGTGATCCACCTGCCTTAGCCTCCCAGGTAGATAGGACTACAGGTGTGAACCACCACACCCAGCTAATTAAAAAATAATTTGGTAGAGATGGGGTCTCACTATGTTACCCAGGCTGGTCTCAAACTCCTGGCCTCAAGTGATCTTCCCACCTCGGCCTCCCAAAACACTGGGATTATAGGTTTGGGCCACCACACCCAGCGTCCATTTTTCCATATTTTTGAAGTTACGTGCCTAAAAGTAAAATCACTTGTTAGAAGGCTTAATTTTTATTTGAGAACACGTATTATATTTATGTTATTATAAAATATATGTTCTTCCTCAGGTATTATGGTAGATTGTCTTTTAAATGGATAAGAACAGATACTATACTTGATCTTAGCCAAAAGGCCAAGAAGCCATTAAATTGTCTTTTAAAGGATGACTACCATATTCAGTAGTAAATTTATACATATAGTTTTTCAAATTGTTTTTGCAAGAACATCAGAAATTCAGTAATGATAAGCAGTTATTTATTTTGGTTAGTACATGATAATTTATTTAATGGCTGTCTCCACTGTAGACTGAAAATTTTAGAAGGAATTATACCTAATTTATTCACAGCTGTATCAATATTTTGTGGCCACATAGGTTTTTAGCCCATATTTGCTGAAATATTAGCTAGAATCTAGTTTTAGATGATGACTTGCTCTGATATAATCCACATATTCATGTTATATTTCATATGTGTATATATATATGTATATATGTGTGTATATGTATATTAATTTCAGAACAAAGCAAGCATTTGACTTTTAATATAAAAATAAGCAGAGACTAGAGTTGAGGGGATCAACTACTTTAACTCTTCATGTATAGCTTTTAGCAAACACTGGATTTCTGCTGATTCAAAGTTATTGTTTGAGAACCAATTCTCAATTTATGGATGATGCTTAGTGACCTACTCTGGATCAGCTTTTCTCATCCTTTTTTTCAATGAGATACCTGAGATAAATGGCAGGCACATATGTTTCGTTCCATGGCTATAATTACATCAGCTAGACTGTGGCTCTAATTCTATCACTCTTCCTCATGAAAAATAGCATTGATCAGATTGTAAATATCTTAGGGTGATGTAATTATAGAATGTATCTAAGTAGATTCTAATTGGTTAAAAACTAAGTTGTTCACAAAAATGAACTTTAATTATTTTTACCAAATTATAAATGCCACGTCATTACACTTGTAGGCGTATCAATACCTAAGGAGGGAAAGACCTACTGACCTAATGAAATATGGTGTATTCCTTTGCAAGTTCAAAAAATGTATCCTATATGAGGCTCATAATCTTTGTTTCCTAGTGTGGCCATTAATAAATATTTGTAATGACTAAAAATGATTTTTTTTCTCAAAATTATACCATAGCAATTCATATTATAAATTTAACCTATAAAATTAAATATCTTCTGATATGCAACTCAATATAACCACTTACTCACAATTATTTGTTTCCCAAACATTGGTTCTTGATATGTAAAGTGAAAAACAGCTATGAATACAAAGTCACGGACTACTTTCTGAAGAAAAAGTGGAAAACAGGACAGAGGATACAAATACGAAGCATCTTATGTCTAATCAATTTACCATCTGCCTCTTAATGTTTCATGTTCTTACGTTACCCAGCTTTTCTTAAAATAGAAACGAAAAGTTTTCTAAGAAAGAAAAGATAATTTCAAAGGGAAAGTGACACATAAAGGAGGCTCTTTGGGTAAGGAGATGGAGAATTGAGGTGTCACAAGGAAAGAATGGAATGATTGCCTCCTCTGAGAAGATTCTGGATGTGCTCAGGAAGAAATGCAGTTACCAGAAAACTAAACCAAGCCACCAGTGAAGGGCAGAAAAGAGAAAGTCCAACACTCCAGAGTTAAGAAGAGGGTCCATATATCAGGAAATAAGAGTCAGGATAGAAGCCTAGTGGCTTTGGAGATTAGAAGATTCCACATACCCCCACATAAAACAGTTAGAAGGAACACTCACTATTCCCGAATAGCTTCCAAGAGACTGGAACACTGTAGGGTGTCAGCCACCACATAGAATTTTCCAAATTAATATTAGCACATGATGTTTTCTGTTAAACACGACACTTCCTAAACATTGTATTGAATGTTTTTGACAAAGAAAGTCTGGCTATCTGAGAGCTGCATAAAGTTTCAAACCAAGTGATCCCTTCTGATTGAAATTTTATTGGTGGTGGTGCTGATGTCTTGTTTTGTTTGTTTTCTTTTATCATGGACATTTACAACATAAAAGATTGTATATAGTATGCATGATTTGGAGGCTTCAGTAAGAGCATTTTCATTTTTAAAATTACTGAACTTTTTAACATAAAAATTGCTTATTTAACTCATACATCATTTCAAAGGGAGTTTATATAATTTATGTGAAAGGAATACATTTAGACCAATCATTATTCAAACAGCTTAAGAATATTTAGAATAGATGGTTTCTTTTGTCTATACAATGTTTATATAATGTTTCAGTTCCACACTACACTTTAAAAATGGTGACAAAAATTTAAAGCCAATATATTTCATTGGCAGCTTAAATTGTACTTTGACCTGGCTAGGGAGTCAGTATAATGTTAAGAGTGAGTATAACAATATCCCCTAAGGGATCCCACAGAACAGGCCCAAATCCTATTTCATGGCCTACAAGGTGACTCCTAGTCTGGGCTCCATCTCCCTTTACAATTTCATTCCCATGCTGCTTCCTGCATGCCCTCCAATTTAGCAACTCAAACTTTGGGCAACTTCCCATCAATTTATTCTCCCTTTCATTTCTTCCTCATTTTGCTCACTATATGTCCTTTGTTTAAATTCTCTTTCTATTCTTTCTTTAAATGATGAAGTCATCTTCATATTTTAGATTTTAACAAAAATATCAATCTGTCTCCAGACTTTTCTTAGATGACTTTTTTTTAGATGACTCTAAAACAGAAAGGCAGTATGGCCTGGGGGCCAAAAACCTAGGTTTTGGACCCATATTTCTTCCTAATTTTGCTCACTATATGTCCTTTGTTTAAATTCTCTTCCTACTCTTTCTTTAAATGATGAAGTCATCTTCATATTTTAGATTTTAACAAAAATATCAATTTGTCTCCAGACTTTTCTTAGATGACTCTAAAACAGAAAGGCAGTATGGCCTGGGGGCCAAAAACCTAGGTTTTGGACCCATATTTCCCGAGTTAAAATGTTAGCTCCACTGCCAACTAGCCCCATGGCTTTGGATAAGATGCATTATATCTTAGAGTCTAAAAACATGGAAATAATATCCATTCCCTCTCACTCTGTTAGTACATTTAAAGCACTTAAAGCAGAATGTGACCCACAGTAATTACTCAGTTAAGATTAGATGTTATAATTATTACCTCCCAAAGAAAAATTAATGGCATCATCAACTGTGTCTCCATATACTAATTGCATACCTCTATTATTGTACATTTTATTGGCTTAGAGTTCAATATGTTCACATCCAGCCTTCTTACTAGGTTTAAATTCTATTGTGTGTTTCCAGAAAGTTTTTGGTACCTGGAAAATGTTTGATGATCAAATGTGCTTTTTGAATGATCTGTCCATTATACTAGTTGCCATCAATGATGTCTTTTTATGGAAAAAAGGAAAAAGGATATCTTCATGAAGGTTGGAGGCATTCAGCACATACTCTGGAATATGCTCGGCATTATGAACAGTGAAACTAATGGCATGTAATCTACACATTCTGCTACAGTTGTTTCTGGCTTTATAAGCGTCCCAACGGCACATGACAGTAATGAAATCATGGAGGTAGCAGAGACAAGAATTAGTCTTTAGTAATCATATCTTAATATGTTAAATTGTAAAATCTAACATTAAAATATCCATGAAGTCTCTTTAAGATTGGGGGAGAAAAACAAGCTCTGTAGTACTAGCGTTGAAATGGCCTGATTTGTTTTGTAAGTTGCCGCATTTGCCAGTGAAGTCAAATGTGGAGATGAAGGCTTGCAATAAGATAACTAAGCACAATTACTTTTATAAATGTCTGTCTCCTGTATCATACAAAATAGCTTATGAATTAATTTAATTTGCTATTTTTTCTTAAAGCCACTTTTTCCTCTTTTTACAATTAGAGGTGATTAAGAAAGTATTTGGAAGACCAAAGCATTTCTATACTTTTCATCCATTTAGTTCCAATTTCCAAAAGATAACCTAGACCCCGGGACAGATGGCTCTCCAAAAATCTTTTTACATGGAATTTGTGTTGAAGTCATTTCAGGATGACTCCACTGTGACTTTAGTCTTCCTAATGAGCTGGCACACTGCACAAGGGAGATAACTGTTAGAAAGCTCAGGGTGTTCAATAAGAGCCCTCTTGATAAATAAACAAATATGCATTATTTATGCCATCATGGACAGGCCAATGGAATAATGGTATTTTCAATTTTATTGGCAAAGTATTTGGAATTTACTGTTAATTGGCATGAAATATTGTTGTATGAAACATTCATATTCACCATAGCAACATATTTATCATATCAGACTCACATCTAATTAAGGCTGTCCTGGCTTCAGAAATTCACAATGGAGTAAGAGCAAAGAGCACATAGCCATCCAAACAGCCCAGTAGCCAGAGCATCAAGCTGTTTGAGTCCCTTCATCACCTCTCAATTCTGAAACAGCTACATAATTAAAGCCAATATTATGTGCTTGATTATCCAGTGGGTTCTATCCTGAATTACCTCAACTCAGTTCAGCCTTTGTGTGTGAAGTCTGATCATATGGCTATTTCAACAATTATTTATTGAGGGCCTATTATGTTTCACTTGCTGGCATGGTGCTTTGGCTATATCACTGGAAAAGACCAGCCTAATAGTTTATTGTTTTGTTTTTTTTAATATAGGGTTTCATGATTAGTAAAGAATGAGCTTTCAGCTGGGTGCAGCGGATCACGCCTGTAATTCCAGCACTTTGGAAGGCCAAGACGGGTGGATCACTTGAGGCCAGTAGTTCAAGACCAGCCTGGCCAACAGGGCAAAACCCTGTCTCTACTAAAAATACAAAAATTAGCCAGGCATGGTGGCACATGCCTGTAATCCCTGCTACTTGGGAGGCTGAGGCATGAGAATCACTTGAACCCAGGAGTCAGAGGTTGCAGTGAGCTGAGATCGCGCCACTGCACTCCAGTCTGGGTGACAGAGTAAGAATTTGTCGCGAAGAAAAAAAAAAAAGAATGAGCTTTTTCCTGCACTGTCTGCTACTAAATGTTTCACAAAGAGAGTCATTCAATATGTTATCAAATATCTTATGAAACCTCAAAACACCCAGGAATATTTTTTGGTAATTCTTTGGCTTCCCTTCCTTACAAGTTTTGGATTCCTTTACAGAAACTTGCTCCACACATATGTAGAGAGAAAAATTCTTTTTATTGCAAAGAAATGACTCATTCAGAAAATTATTCATTAAATTATGCTTATTATCAAATTTCTAAGTTCTTTCCTTACAATAAAATTATTTCCCTAAATGATACATTTTGCTAATGTATTAATAATTCAACAGATTTTTCTGCACTTAGCCAAAAATTCTTAAAATTTATTATCATAATTTCTTAGCAAATTATTAGAGTTTGAAGAATAGAAGCATTTTAACAGTATGCTATTTAGGAATTTACATATTGCTAGTTAATTCCACAAGTGCCAAAATATGCCACCCTTATTAATATTTCTCTTATTTGGGGAACTCAGATTACAAAGAGAAAAAGTGAATTAAGAAATATAAAATTGTCTCTTGACAATTGCACTAATATGATGTAAAATAATAAGCTAGGAATTTTGATGTCTAAAAATAATGTTTATCTTAGCAATGACTGTGTATGCATAGAAAAAAATCATGAAGAACATGGCAGTTTTACTTGCTGAGAACGAAAATAACTTGATAGTGACCAAAACCTACATTGGTATGGTAGATAGCAGAGACTCGACTTTAAAGCACACATTTTAAATGAGGTATATTTTCCTCATCAGCAGTATACTTTTACATATAGGACTGTAGTAATGCTAGTGAAGGCCAAAGCTACTTAAAAATTAAAGAATAGGGCTGGGCATGTTGGCTCATGCCCGTAATCCTAGTACTTTGGGAGGCCGAGGTGGGTGGATCACCTGCGGTCAGGAGTTTGAGACCAGCCTGGCTAACATGGTGAAACCCCATCTCTACTAAAAATACAAAAATGAGCCGGGCATGTTGGCGGACGCCTATAATCCCAGCTACTTGAGAGGCTGGGACCGAAGAATTGCTTGAACCCAGGAGGTGGAGGTTGCAGTGAGCCAAGACCGCACCATTGCACTCCAGCCTGGGCAAGAAGAGCTAAACTGTATCTCACCAAAAAAAAAAAAAAAAAAAAAAAAAAAAACACAAAAAACTTAAGGAATAAAGAGAAGGGTCATTTTTGACCCTGCAAAGACTGGATAATTCTTGTCTTACCTTCCTGATTTTATTACTGTCAGGTACTCTTGAGACACTTCTAAACATGCTTACTCTCAGATGTCACACACAGAATTCCCTTTATGACAATGATTTTTAGAGAATAAGATGACTTACAGGGAATTGGACTTGGAGGAATTAATGTATTCCCAGCATTTAGCATGTGTGTTATTTAATGATAGCACCCTGTTTATCATGAGGAATTTTCTGCAGCCAAGAATCCATCACCAAATACTTACCCTATGCTGTTAAGATTTTTAAAAGGAAATGGATTCAAGATCATTGTCTATTTAGTCTCCTTCATATGAATGGTAGAGTCACGATGCTCTCGTCTTTAGTTCTATTTAAGAACTAGAATGACATCCCATGGTAATGCTAATGTGATAATTTCTGGCTTTCTTTTCCTACTAGAGATTTCCCTAATAACAGCTATATTTTTATAGTTACTTTGATTTCTGGGCAATAATTTCAAATTTCATGTTAACTTTATTCTGTTGCATTGGTTTGCACCTCAATGACCATTGTATTCCTCATTTTCAGTTTATTTCCATCACAAATTATTTCTTTCAAGAAATACTGTCAGATTTGAAAATTTTAAAAAACGACTCATTTTTAATCACTGAATATGCTGAGGCAAAGCAGCTTTTATTTATTATATAATTGAAATTACTTCTATGATTAAGCTTTGCTGGGATGAAGAAATCTGCATTGGCCAATTCAAACAGCCTGACCAGAAATGGTGAAAAACTAAACAGTTAATCACACATGTAGTTTTTTCTAGCTTCTTAGTTCAACTATGATTTTATAAATGATAATTACCCAGCAAATATAAATATGAATCAAGGAATATTTTCTAAATTTTATAGTTAAAACAAAGATCCTTAAGGTGTTCACTTTCAAAGTGGACCAGAATATAAAAACAATTGTAAATAGGGACAAAGGCTTAGAGGTATGCAGAGAGAGTAATGGCAGATATTTCTATTCTAAGTTGCTATTTTCATATCCATTCACACCTGGCCTTTGTAGTTCTTCTTCCTTCTAGAATGGATGCAAATTATTTAAAAGGTCTTTGGACTTTTTTGCATCATACTTAACAACATTGTCACAAGGGGGAAAAGAAACAATAGCACTCCTACAAAGCATCACCCTGAGTTTCGATAGAAAACGTACAAGAAGTGTTATTGCTTCCTTAAGCTAATACCCATACATTTTTTCTAATTAGTGAAGGTTATGCTCCAGTTCAGTTTATTGCAAACAAACTCGATTGTTGGAAAAATCAATAATGCTGAACAACAACAAAAAGTACTAAGGCAGTGATGGCGCTGCTTGATGAGAGAATGTATGCAACGTCTGTGCTTGCAATGTTGTTCATTCATTCATGTATTTGCAGTAATGAGAAAAGCTCTATTACGTTTCAGAAAAAGAACTTCAGCACTGGCTCCTTCCTCCTCAGTGTACTATTTGTATGTGTGTGCTTGTAGGCAATCTGCTCCAATAATGGAAAATTAATGCTAACCTAATATAACAGCATGAAGGCAAGCTAGGTATTGCAAACAAAGTTAAAAAGAGAAAGACCTTGGCCGGGTGCGGTGGCTCACGCCTGTAATCCTAGCACTTTGGGAGGCCAAGGCAGACAGATCACGAGGTCAGGAGATTGAGACCATTCTGGCCAACATGGTGAAACCCCGTCTGTACTAAAAATACAAAAGTTAGCTGGGCATGGTGGTGTGTGCCTGTAATCCCAGCTACTCGGGAGGCTGAGGAGGAGAATCGCTTGAACTAGAGAACTGGAGGTTGCAGTGAGCTGAGATCGTGCCACTGCACTCCAGCCTGGCAACAGAGCGAGGCTCTGTCTCAAAAAAATAAAAATGAAAAAAGAGAAAGACCTTTTATCTCATCAATTGCTTTTCCTAAAGTAAATTACATTAGAAGGCAGCAGCATTATATTTGCCCGTAGTTTAATATTGATTAAGAAGCTTTTCATTGTAAAGTTAACCGAAGACATAATAATGATTGCAGTACTCTTTTATGACCCCACATGACAAAGCATTGTGTGTATAGATATGATTTATATATAAATTTATTATATATAATATAGAAATTTATGATATATTAATAATTATATGTAAAAATTTTAATTATAAGATTTTCATATATAATTTAAACTAATATACATGTATTTATGTTAATATAAATACATTATATTAATATATAATTTGTAAATAGTATATAAACACATTATATCATATTAGTTTATATTAACTTCAATACTGTCATATTACATATGTATTACTTATATATGCCATATATAAACGTATTTATACAATTATCATGTATAAGTGCCATTTTAACACACTTTCAAGTGAAGGGATAGGATTCAGAGAGGTTAGCTGATTTTCTCAAGGTCACACAACTAAGAAAGGGCAGGGCCGCAACTAGAATCTAAATCCGAGGTTCTCTTAGACTTTTAATCTTCCTCCATGCCACAGCCACTCTTCCTGTCAAATCCGGAAAGACGGGAAAAATGCAGGTTGATTGTATATATTAGTAACCCAGCCTAAAGAGTCATATTTGAGTGTGATAATGGTATTTACTATTATTAATCATCAAAGAGCTAATAGTGTTGGTTTTTATTAAGATGACATCTGGTTGCAATGCTGAACCAACCCGTATGTTTCATTGGTTCAACTCATGATTTTGAGATTTTTTTTCCATTCTGTTTTATTTTATAGAAAGCTATTGTATTGCACAGGTGGTTGGATAGTTAGAGGTTTTTTTGTTTATTTGTTTGTTTTTAGTATCAGTTTTTTTTTTCCCACCATTTACTTTGCATCAGAAAAGAGTCAGCAGAAAACAGTCAGCAGATTGGTTTTAGGGTCATAGCCGTGTTTTTTCTTCAGCTCCCTAAGGAATCTAATTCTGACCTTAGCTCCATTTACATCATGGTTTGGCCATGAATTCTATTAGCTAATATGTTCTTTGTGAGTCTTAAAGTAAATGACCTGAAAAAAAAATGTCAATACTTATTCAAGTATACTCCTGTTTCATTTTCAGTAGTCATTACAAATTCATTTACCTGAGTTTTCATAACAATGCAGGTTTAAGAAACATCAAATAGAACGGTCAGAGGCACTGTCTTATCTTCTTAGCACCCATATGTGTTTTTCCTCTTCCCCAAATAATATTTACATAGCCTCTGTATGAGGGTAGCTTTCCTATCTGTTTCCTAATAATGCACAATAACCAGGACGTGAGTATACAAAGCTGCTTTGTCTATCAGTCTCTTGGGAAAGATAAAATCATTTCAGAATGATAAAAGGGAAGTTTTGTGAGATGGCTGAAATGCATCAATGCTGTGCTGGTTAAGAGATCGTATATGGTCAATGAAAAGACATGGGGCTTTTCTTTTTTTTTTTTTTTTTTTTCTTTTTTTTTTTTGACGGAGTCTCGCTCTATTGCCCAGGCTGGAGTGCAGTGGAGTGATCTCAGCCTACTGCAACCTTCATCTCCCAGGTTCAGGCGATTCTCCTGCCTCAGCCTCCCAAGTAGCTGGGATTACTTACAGGCACATACCACCATGCCCGGCTAATTTTTGTATTTTTAGTAGAGACGAGATTTCGCCACGTTGGCCAGGATGGTCTAGAACTCCTGACCTGAGATGATCCGCCCACCTCGACCTCCCAAAGTGCTGGGATTACAGGTGTGAGCCACCGCACCCAGCCAAAATATGAGGCTTTTCTCATTCAATCTATGACTGCAGACTGTCCCAAGAATGTAAGAAGCTTTCAGAGTCGCTCCTAGTTAAAAATCCCTCATTTGTAAGATTCATATGCCAGACCTTAGGTCTCTGCTTTACTCTCGTAATAGCTGAAGGGAAAATAAATCTGTTGATATAAACCTACCAAGCATTGTTTAAAATGATGGGAATAAGTTCCACAAGTGCCAAAATATGCCACCCTTATCCGTTCCACAGATATGCCACAGCTGTGTGCTCACACAGTATGTCTGCTGGACTCACAATCCTAGTTGGATCTGTCCTTAATTTTCAAATTAAAACTTTAAAAATGATTGTTGACTCAAATAGAACTAAGAAGACTCCTCTATGGCTAGAAATGGAATTTTAATTTTAATTTTGGAAAACTACACAGATTCTAAAAGAATAAAGTAACACAAATTGTTTACAATTGCCAAATGTCATAAATTAAAACTAATATCTAATCTCCACAGTCTTATTTCAAGCAAAACTGATATAATGGCAATGTAACACAGATATAAGACTAATGTTTAGAATATTTATATTTTTCTTCCTTTAGACTATTTTTGTATATTTCTTTTCCTTAAAAGAGCCACAGAAATACTTGGGATTTAGGGTTGTCCTGCCATTACTCATCCAGAATAACAACAGAAATCTAGGTGCTTTCAATTTACAAGTCATAAGTGAGGAACTAGAACAGAAATGAGAACAGCGTGTGGGCAAGAAATGTGGTTCACCTCACATCATGTTGGCAAGTAATGTATATACTGGAGTGATTGTTTTGAAGCTGAAAGAAATAACTTTTGAATGGTGTTATACATCAATTTAATTTAGAAGAAATGGTTGTCGTGAGGGGGTGAGGGTCATATGCAAAATGTTGAGTTAGACAGTTCGACCTTGGAGTAGACTGGAAGGCAGATACAAAGAGATGAGAGCTGGGGGAGAAGACTTGTTAAAGCACTGTAGGGTAGTCTCAGCACAATGTAACAAGTGTGGCAGTGGAAATAGAAAGGCTAGTAGAAGCTAAGAATAATTTATAGGATATAGGACGTGAAAGAAGAGAGAAAGAAAATGCCGTAGGATAACAAAAGTTTAAGCCTGAGTAACTAAGAGAATGATGGGATTGGAGATTGAATTAAGAAATTTCTGAAAGGACTTGAACCCTGAAGGAAAGATAACAAGTTTGGTTTTAGGCAAATTGAATTGGAAGGGGTAGTGGGACATCCACTTGGATATTTTTATTAGGAAGCTAGAGATGACGAACTAAAATTCTGGATGGCTGTCTGGGTCATAGAATCTGATTTAAGAGTAACTTCTATACAAGTGAAATATTAAGTTCTGAGATTATAGCTGATCTTCAAAGGAGAAAGTACTTACTATATCACATTAGACTTTAAATGTATGCAGAAAAATGGGACAGGAACCCTAATTCGACCAATGGTACTGCTGCTGCTGCTGCTGCTTCTTTTTTTTTTTTTTTTTTTCTGTTTTTTTGTTTTTTTGTTGTTTTGAGATGGAGTTTCACTCTTGTTGCCTAGGCTGGAGTGCAATGGTGCAATCTTGGCTCACTGCAACCTGGAGTGTAATGGCGCGATCTCGGCTTGCTGCAACCTCCACCTCCCAGGTTCAAGCGATTCTCCTGCCTCAGCCTCCCTAGTAGCTGGGATTACAGGCGCCTACCACCATGCCCAGCTAATTTTTTGTATTTTTAGTAGAGATAGGGTTTCACTGTGTTGACCAGGCTGCTCTCAAACTCCTGACCTCAGGCAATCCACCTGCCTCAGCCTCCCAAAGTGCTGGGATTACACGTGCGAGCCACCACGCGGTGGACCCATGGTACTTCTAAACTGACTAAAACTCTTTTGCTATACAACTGGTGAAGAGCAAGGTACTCTAAATTTGCAACATGTCACTTCTTAATCCTAGGATTTAAGAATGGTTGGTACTTTATGTATACATGACCACAGAGCTATGAGTAGGTATTTTAAAAGCAAATACTTGTGTTATTTTAACAATTAAATATGCAAACAAATACACTTTATATTTTTATGGCAACTCATGAATAATCATATTAAAAGAAGCAGGACGTGTTATACATATGTTTCCATGGTTACCGCTGGGTGAAAGAGAGAGAGTTATGACCCTGACAGTGAGAATCAATCTCAAGGATTGCCACAGCCAAATGGAAAAAATACCTAATGAAAAAAATACTGAGGAAACAATGTATAAGGAAGTTTTCTTTTCCCCAAAATTATTATTTAAAAAAATTCTGAACATTTTCAGTTATAATAAAATTATGATACATTTTAACATCTTAAATGTATAATCTGTTATTCATTATTTGGGCAGAATGACTAAGAATAACATTACCAACCTAATAATCCATTTAGAAGAGACAGCATAATACAGAAGAACTAAAAAGGAATCTAGAGCCAGACGTGGGACTGAGCCGGGCACTTTATGTGCCTTTCAGCACATCAATTAACCTCTCAGAAATTTCCTTCCCTGGTCTATGAAGTGGGGAAATGTTACCTAATTGGGTTTCTCTGATCTGTGAGGATGGAATGGGATAATGTGCAAGAATTGTCAATGTTCAGGTCGGCTGTTATTAGTCCCATTAGATTGTCTGACCAAAAACTTTGCTCTGTGGTGCAATCCAAAACATTATCCCTAAAGCAAATACTAATATGAACCTCCTGGAAGATACAGTGGAGGGATCTTTAGTGCATTCCTAGCAGGAAAAATAATTTGTTTTTATCCCAGCACATAGAATGAAACAACTCTCCAAGAGAGCCCTGTTCAAATTCCCCGGATTCTGCGCATTGGGAACCAGACCTAGAGGAAAGTGTTAACGGTAACAAAATGACAAGGCCAGGTGGTGGCTCACACTTGTAATCTCAGCACCTCGGGAGGCCGAAGCAGGCAGATCACTTAAGCCCAGGAGTTCGAGACCAGCCTGGGCAACACAGTGAAACCCCATTTCTACAAAAAATACAAAAAATTAGCTGGTGGCACTCGCCTGTAGCCCAGCTACTCAGTAGGCTGAGGTGGGAAGATTGCTTGTGCCCAGGAAATCGAGGCTGCAGTGAGCCGAGATCACACCATACACTCCAGCCTGACAGAGTGAGACCCTGAATCAAAAAAAAAAAAAAAAAAGAAAAGAAAAGAAAAAATGAAATGAAATGAAATAAAATGACAAGTAGTCAGAAGATTGGCTTCTAGGGCCATTTTGTACCACAGAGTGGGATCTTTTAGAATTACCTCAGGCTTTCCTGATGGCTTTAATCAAGCATTGTGGGACTTCTCTATGTTCTGCTGAGCTCCACAGAAGCCACTGCTATGGGTAGGTCACTATCCTGGGTTAGCGAATGTATTTAATGTAGATAAAAATCTTGTCTAGGAAGGTGAGCTTGGGGTGGAAAAAAGGAATAAGGTTTTCTCTCCTCTGTGATCTGGAATTGATTCGCAAAGTAGCCTGGAAGAAAGAGAAACTTTAAACAAACGATGAGGGCATCAGAGGGCTTGCCTAGAAGTAGGCTAAAAAAGAACAGAAAATGGATAATATTCACTTTGAAATTTAAATCTCTTAACTTCTGTGATCTTAAAGATAACATTCTGAAGGATGCTTCTGTATCATGTTGGAACAGAAGTTATGAACATCTTCTAAGCCATAAAATAATCAGGCTTCATAGAATGAAGTATTCTGTAGCTGAAATTTTCTAGCCATTTGCTATAAAATGCATATTATTACATTTCTTAAATCGATAAAAGAATAGCTGAATTTAAGATGACTCTGTCCAGAGAGTCACTGATTATTAGATTAACTCACTGTGTGCTAGCTATAGCCAAGTTGCTAATTAAATGCACTTCTTATAAAAATTGATTATTTGATATTTTAATGTTGAAATATGTTTCTGAGATACTTCCCGGCTCTTGGTTAAAGACAAAATACTCATTTTTTAATGACTTTTTCAGCAGTTCTTTTACTAAGCATTAAAAACAAAGTAGAAGTGTAAAATTTTGAAGATCTCACTGAGACCCTTATGGTTTATTTTCTTTTCTTTATCTAATATGTCATGGACCCTATTATAGGATAAAAGTACTACACAAAGATTAGTGCAAGACTTAGCTTCCTGGCAATGTCAGATTTGGACAAATTTGCAACTTAGTGTAGCAAGTCCTATGACCTACACTAGAGTTCCCTGATACACCCTTCTCTCAGTGAGCTTTTAAGTGTTTTTCCATGCCAAACCTTTCCTTTGGAATTTGTTGCCTCCCTCCAAAAGCTCTATCCTCTAGAGCAATGGTCTACAAACCATCTTGATTGTGTACCCTTATCCATAAAAGAAATTTGAATACCTACCCTCAAAATATGTGTATACACCCTCAGAATATAAAGTACAAGCATGGACTATTGTACTAATCTATTACAAACATCTTAAAATATGCACTAAATAAAAATTTAAACAGAGCGGAAGATGAAACAAGTATTAATATAACATGATTTTTATTTTTACTGTATGCATTTAAAATACAAAAATATTTTTGTGCTCAAAATTGAATGTGTCCGATTTGATCACACTGGGCATTTTTCTGTGACTGAAGAGATTACACTGGTGGTTGGGGGAATACTGTTTCTTCCTTTTGCTTCATGCTTACCCGGGCCCATCTTAGTTTTATCTTCTTATGCAGTTTCTTATAGAATCTTTAAGATACGTGCATATTTTTTAAGCACTTGTCCATTTTGTAAGGGTCAATTTAGTTAAAACTAGATAATATAATAATCAGTCTACTTAGCAATTTCATGAGTATTGCAATTAGCCACATTAAGGTGACTGCATATGAACCAAAGATACCCCAGTCACAAACAAGTTCTTTTTTTCTTGAGACGGAGTCTCTGTTGCCCAGGCTGGAGTGCACTGGCACGATCTCGGCTCACTGTAACCTCTGCCTCCCGGGTTCAAGCCATTCTCCTCCCTCAGCCTCCCAAGTAGCTGGGACTACAGGCATGCACCACAACGCCCGGCTAATTTTTGTATTCTTAGTAGACATGGGGTTTCACCATGTTGGCCAGGCTGGTCTGAAACTCCTGACCTCAGGTGATCTGCCCGCTTCGGCCTCCCAGAGTTCCGGGATTACAGGTGTGAGCCACTGCGCCCAGCCCAAATTCTTTAATACACATGTGTGATATGTGAATGGCTGAAGTACAAAGCCAATGAGTGTGGCAGTGTCAAACTGTATTTTTTTGAGACAGGGTTCTTGCTATGTTGCCCAGGCTGGTCTTGAAATCCTGGGCTCAAGACATCCTCCTGCCTCAGCTTCCTGAGTAGCTGGCATTACAGACATGTGACAACAAGCCTGGCTTGTATTTTAAATATTGGTAAAGTTGAAGTTCTTATTTTAAATAGAGATATGGGTATAAAAATGCTTACAGTTTGTTTCACACCCCAATGGGTTATCTTGCATAACCTTTAGGATGCACAATCTTCATATTAGAATCTGCTTCTTTGTGGACAACTTCAGTGTTCTCATAGGTTTTCTTTCTCTTTGTGGTCTAGCTGATCATAATGGTTTCATTGGTTTTGCAGCACAGTTGCCACATACATACCAATTTAACCTGGCTAACGGCCAGAACCAAGTCTATTCTGTCTTCCATGTCTTTGTAACTTAGTTCTACTCTGTTTTTATTCACAACACAGCTGGCCTAATGGCCATCTGTTTGTTGTCTCTGTTTCCAGTAACTGATTTTCCATTGGGGGAAATATGTAAATGATGATGATTCCAACACTTACTAGCCAAAAATATGTGAAGAAAATAAAGACATATTGGTGGAATATCTATAAATAAGATCTCCAATTTGGTTCTTAGGCTAGGAAAAAAAAAATCTCAAACATACTGTGCCCCATCAACCCTTTCTCTGCAAAGCTTGGGATGACAGAAGCATCTTAGCCTCTTGAAATGCTGCTACCTACTCTCACACCGGACAGAATGAGTCTGGAACTTATTCCAATTGAAAAAACTTCAACTGAAAAAAATGCATGAGTACAAAGAAGAGATGTGGCCCCTAGCTTGGGGTCAGCTTGTTTGAGTAGAAGCTGAGGCTTCCAGAAAGATGTTATGGTAGGTAGAATAATGGTCCCCCAAAGATATCCACATCCCCAGAATCTGAATATGTTAAATTAGATGGCAAGGGGTAATTAAGATAGCAGATGGAATTGAGATTGCTATCAGCTGACCCTAAAATAAAGAGATTATCCTGAATTATCTAGGTGGGCTCAATATAGTTGTAGAGGTCCATGTAAGAAAAACAGACAGGAGAGTCAGTGTCAGAGAGATGCAGCATGAGAAACACACAAGTAGACATTGCCAGCTTTGAAGATGGAGGAAGAGACCATGAGCCAAGGAATGTAGGCAGCCTCTAGAAGCTGGAAAAGGCAAAGAAACCAATTCTCCCCTGGAGCCTCCAGAAAGGGATGCAGCCCTGCCAATACCTTGATTTTAGCTTAGGGAGTTCGATTCCAGACTTTTGACCTTCAGAATTATAAAATAATAAATTGGAATATTTTAAGTTGTGAAGTTTGTGGTAAGTTACTATAATGGCAATAGAAAACAAATACAGATGCCTTAGAAAAAATATTCACTACAAATGATTCAACTATGAGGAATACAGAGCAAGAAGAGAAAATAAGGATGAAACTCAGTGGCAGATCCTTGTGCAAAGTTCAAGACAGGTGCTTTCCCCTGGGAATTGGGGGGTGGGGTTCATATCTCTCATACAACCTTAGGTTTCCCCTTCACAAATTGTAATCTCTATTCAGCTCTCCAGATTTTGATGGTGCTGAAAGCAAGGGAAGGGGGAAAAAAAGGAGAGGGGTAGCTTCCCCTGATCTTGCTGAAACTATTATTTTGAGAACACGGAACAGTAAGTTGAAGGGAGATGTTTCCAAATGGTTAAGTCACTGATGAGATAGCTTATCAACGAAATTCTGCATCTTTGGAAAGAATGGCAGTTATTTACTAGATGTAGAAGTGAATTTCCAGACATTATCTCTTGCAGATGTCAACTCATTTTCTTCTTCTTTCCTGAAACACTGCAAAGCAGCCTGCTGGCAAGTTGGGGAGCTGGAGTGTGGATTGCTCTGTACCGCGTCCTGTCCTGGTGTCTGGTCATGATTAGTGACTACGGTGACATTATAATTTAACCAGAGAGAGCTCTAACCCACAAGTGCCTGTGTTTATGTGTGTGAATGCATGTGTATGTAACACATATCTGTGTTGAAGGTTAAATCATGTTTGTTTGTCCCTTTATTTAAATGATGATTTGTTCCTGTCTGAAGAAATTATTAAATGCTTCTTTTCTTGCAACTTGAAAAACACTGTATGATAATCTATTTTCCTACTCACAATACTGTCTTCTTTTTTCCTGTGCCTATTACTTCTCCAAATAACAGAGAGAAAATCGGAATCAATAATAATTTCTTCAGATGATTATATTTTTAGTTTAATGCTTCAAATGACATTTTAGGTAATTGCCCTAGCAATGACCTGGAAGACCTAAGTGAGCAAATCTTCCAGTGGTCGCATCTGTTTCAACTTGCGCAGAAAGAAACTTTGAGCATACCTGTGCTCACTGGGATACTTTTAATTAAGTTCATATTGTAGAATTTCATCATCTATTAAAGAGAATGAATATAATTAACTGTTATACTGATGTAACTGATTTGCCATTGAACTCAAATAAATCCCTGTTATGTATCAATGTTGATGATTCTGCTTAGAGAAATAATCCAGGATAGAAATAATACAGTGACTTCTTAATTCTTATTTGGTATATGGTATTATTTAAAAGATGATACTAACTTTGAGAAAGGATTGTCAGACTTTAATACTCACAAGTAGATTTGCTAAAAAAGAGCATATGCCATGAAGGTATAATTGTGTTTTGTGATGCCCCAATGGGATCTTATCCTATTTCATGGAGAGATTTTTAATTATATTTAATATGATCTGATTTGTATTAAATAAAGCTGCAGGTTATTTGCTGAAAGTCAGTTGGAGACATGTACAATGAGAAATATGACTGTGACTAGTCACACATAAAGTTCTGAAGGTCACAAGTCTGATTCAGAGAATGAGGCTAAATCTTGAACAGAACTCCAATTAAGTAAATCAACTTGTGTGATTGGTTTAAACCCCTGGAGCTACTTTTCAGCTACTGTTCACTCAATAAACATATATTGAGCAGTTACTTGAACTAGGAACTGAGCCAGAAGCTGGGAATACTAAAAAAAGGAAGAAGTCGTCCTTGTTTTAAAGAATTTGCAGTCAGATAGGAGGGAAAAAAGTCCAAGAAGACAAAGAATTGACATGCAGAGATGTAAGTGCTATAACAGCCATAACAGAGGCTTCTTCCAAGTACTGGGGGAGCTCAGAGGGAAAGTGATTAATTTTTTCAGGTGACAGACTCATGAAGAAAGTAGGCTTTGAATTTGGATTTTCTTCTCTTCCTTTCCCTTCTCATTGCTCCCTTCCCTTTCCCTCCCCTCTCATCCTCTTCCTCTGCCTCCCTCCCTTTCTCTTCCTTCCTTCCTTGGCCACCTTGCTCCAGAAAGAGGTTCCATAAAATATAAGATATCACATTTTAAAGTAAAGGGGAGAAAAAGAACAGTTCAGCTTGTAAAAATATAGCCAGAAATGTATTTGGGAAAATTCATACTCTTGATTACAAATGTGCGACAAATTTGCCTCTGAGAGTTCTGGCAACCATTGCAAAAGGGAAAAGCTGGTAGATGTCACTACTAAGCGTTGATAAGATAAATACGAACCAATCCTAAGAGAGAAGTAAAACTGCCCTGGGCCTGAGACCAGCAACAGAGACATTCTCCAAAAAGTATTCATAAAGAAGATGCATCAGAAAAATATGATAACATCACTGACAAAATCCTTGCAGAAGGAGAAACAAGTCAAGTGGAATGTATAGGACAAGTAATGAGTTACCAGGTAAGAGCAAGGATGTTCATTATGTGGAAGGAAAGAGCACATGCTGTGTGTTGAAAGTCTACACCATTTTTTAGCTAATTTCGTAGTTAGGGCATAGAAAGGATAGATCAAAGGGAGGTGCCATGAGTTGATGATTGCGAGGAAAATGGAGATCACATTATGAAGGGTATGGAGCCACTAATGGATCGTGACTTTTATATCACTCACAAATTTTGAGATAAGGACTGAAAATGAGTAAAGATATGATCAGATGAATTACTTTGTCCCATTTTGCCTAGTTCTAGCTATCGTAACAGTTAGAAGTGCGGGGGTGGGGTACAGTGCCAAGTGAAGGAAAAGTAATGAGAATTAACAAAATCCTCTTACACGTTATTTCCAAAGAAGACTAATGTCTCACTGTCTTTCCATTATATACCATCACTCCATTAGTGGGATTTGTTATTTAAGCCTATTTAGGCCATTCCTTGTGCCTTATCCTTCTAAGTTTTCCAGTCATTTTGAGGATAGTAAATATCTGATGTTTTGAAGCATATGCTACTCAAATTTAGAAAAATAAAGAAAACAAAATTCCCTGGCCTCAGAAGTCAATACTATATATATCTTCTTTTTGTGGTTCATTAGCTGAAGGAAAGTAAAGGAGCCTCTACTGACCAGGAACACAAGATCGCTTTGCTGTGCAAAAGGAATTTATGTCCTGCTTCCAGTGTTTCCAGGTTCTGCTTTAAGATCTCTTAGGTAAGTTCTTTTCTATACTTGCTCAGGCTCCTTCCTCAGCCCTTGCTGTCTTAATGGGTGGCATCTGCAGGACAATCAAGCTCTGATATTCAGCTTAATGTTTTTCAAGCATGCTTAGTAAGTGAGGAAGACAGAACTCCCCTCCAGCTCCCAGCTGGGGGTTGAAATCCTAGTTTTTCTGTCAGAGCACGTGACCAGCTCCTTGTCCCCAGACCCTAGTTACCAAAACCAAAATACCAGCTCTCACCTCTTTTCCTGAGAAAGGTAAGTTTATTAGATTGAAAATAAAGGTCAAAGGCAGGGGTATCAACCCTTTTACTTTGCACTATTTTTGCTTCCTGGAGGATCCCTCATTAAGACTGCCAGATAGACACCTAGATCAGAGTCACAGTCTCTCAGACCCTGAGCAGGTGAGGAGGGGGCCTCCACATCAGATGTCTTTGACGCATGCCCAAACTATGGGATTCTGGCATAGATTCTGCAGGGGACTACATGTATGTACTTACAAACCCTTCCACATTGGCTGGATCTCCTCACCAGCTAGCATAAAGTGGACAATACAACTCACTAGTTGCTGTAGTTACAGTCTTTGCTGAGGTGGAAATCTCCTCCATCAGCCAGGCCTGGTGAGACTAGATGGAAAGCTATATGATGATCAGCAGAACCCACTTTATCCCTTTGCCTTTAATTCGTTGGCCAAAAAGGTGTGCCAATTTTCCTGACAACATGGGCTTAACAGTTCAATAAAGACAGAGGGTAGGAATGAAAACGTTGGTAGCAAGTGAGAAAGATCAAGGAAAGGTCTCTTGACCAACGTACCAAAATTTAAAAGAGACCTAGAAAATTAAAAATAGCTTTGATGTGACATAAGTATAAATCACAGGGGTATGTAATTTGGGGATAGAGTAAAACACTCAGGATATGCTGATGGACAAAGAAAGGAATTCTGATCTAAATACATTATTGCAGAACAGTCACTGAGCTAGGAGAAATCAGGAGGGCTGGGTTATAGCCTTACTGTGTCATCTCATATCTGTGGGAAGATGGATTTACCTACCTGGGTACCAATCTCCTAATAGAAAAATGAGGCAATTAGATGAGAAGATCCCAAAGGCCCTCCCACATAGATTTGTAACAATTCTACCACTGGCAAGGCAACAAGTTCTTATCTGGTGTTTGTAGCATAGTGTTCATGACTGCTGGCCTAACTACTTTCTTGGCCCTGAAGACTATAATTCTCTTTTAGAAAATGTTCTTGTCTACTACAGCATCATCACTGAAACAAGAGGATAAGGCCCTAAAAAGTGACACATCATGTCTTCACCTTGTGCTAATGAACCAGAATTCAGGAACATTCTAGGTAATGATACTTATTTTTTTTGGAAGGGGCCATCAGTAGTTTTCATTTGACTTGACAAGAGGACCTTGGAGAAGTCAGAAAACCATGAGATTTATTTAAGAAATAGAAATAAGTTGCTTAGTTATTGGGAGAATAAGAGAAGACACAGCAAGAAGGGTTACTTGTATCTCCAGCATCCAGGGGGTAAAGTTGTAACAGAAAGGAAATGGAAGACAAATGCCAGATGTCTCTGAGGAAGGCTAAATAATGCAATGTTACTGTTGAGCTGGATTTTATTAGCAGAGTTGCCTGCTGTGGATCTCACTCCCAAAAGTCCCCTGAAAGAACCATGTCATTTTGACACATGTGATAGGTTTGGCCCAATGGGGATAGGGTTCAAAATTATGACTGCCAGCTAGCCAAATCCCAGTGAAGCTTTGATTCTTCCTAAAAAGACAGCAAGTGCAACAACTCTCCTTCTGAACAGCATTGTGATTATTCCCCCACAAATCAGTATAGAACCTCAATTCTCAAGGCCTTCTCTATTTGTCTCCAAGTTGACCAGATCCCACAGCTTAAGTAACAAAAGCAAAAACAGCTCAAGGTCTCAATATAGCCAAAGCTAAAACCTTATCAGCTAACAAGCATGACCAAGCTATTTTTTTCCACTTTCCGTTTGGATAGAGGGCAGATCTAGAGACAGGTCATAGGTGACATGTCTGGGGAGCATATCTGCCAGCCTATGGAGTTTCACACGTGCATTTCTGAGACAGAAATGGGAATTAATACAGTCACTGTGTTAGGAGCTGGGGCAAATGTTTAAAAAAAAGGAAACATTAAATATACTACATTTTAGTAGGAGGAATGTGTTAGAGTTTGGAGGTAATGGGAAGGTGGAGAAAGGAGTAAAGCTGCTCACTGTAGTTGGAATGTTCCAGAATGCTCTCCCCAGTTCTCTTCCTCACATCAATTCTTACCTGAATCTCCTTGTTTGTTATTTCCTAGGTATTTCTTATCAAGATGAAAATTTTAAAAATGAGGGTGAAATCAGGATCACTGAAGTCATGTAAGTAGAGGAGAGGGGAAAGAAGAATACTCCCTGCCCATTCCTTCAAATACATAAAGCACAGGTCTACGTTTTGGCATCATCAGAATAGCCTTTTTACAGAACAGTCTGGTGGAGGTAGAAGATTATAGGAAAGTGACTGAAAAAAAATGGAATATTAAGCCACCAGGTCGGGGTGGCATGCAGAGGGAAAAATGGGTGACAGGTAGGTTTTACTTCATTGTCAATGGACGTTGGCACTAGGTAGATGTAAATTTAAGTCCCAGATGTTCACTTACAAGCTGAGCAGCCTCCATTCCTACATGAATACTTGGAGTTATATCCCCTGTGAGATATCAGAGGGGATATAACTGACTATATGATGTCTCTGACTATTTCTACCCATCGAAAAACGTAGACATGACACCATGCCAGTTTCTGAGCCCAGGATTTAATAGACTGACAGGTTCCACTTCCTGGAACACTTGTTCTAGTCTAGGAGCTGCTTCTGACTATGCTGAGGCAGCCATGTTGGGAGGAATAATATAGCCATGCAGAGAGGCCACATGCAGAGAGACATGCTTGACCAGCCTCAAGGTATTCCAGCTGAGGTATAGGCATGTGAGCCAATAATCCTACAGATGATTCCAACCCCAGCTCCTATCTGACAGCAGCCACATATCAGAACCACTCAGCTGAGCTGAGTCAATCCACAGAAGTGTGTGTTAACAATAACATGTTGTTTCAAGTCACTATATTTCCGGGATGTTTATTATGCAATAGTGCGTAACTATAATAGAAGAGTGACTCTGAGCAACTTATTTCACCTTTGAATCCTTAAATTTTTCATCTATAAACTAGAGATCAGAGCAATGTCCACGTCTGGGGGAGGTTGTGAGGCTTCAGTGAGATAAAGTCTGTAAAGCAGCACAGTGCCTCACTTGTAACAAAATATTTTCTGTTCTAAAATCCAGAATTTGTCAGATTTATAGAAGTAACACTACACAGATTCTATAGCACCCCCAGTGGGGTCTACAACACCCCTGTCATCAAACACACTAATATTTTTGCAGTGAAGCATATGAACAGTCACATTGAGAGAGATAAAGATAATCTCACGGTAGGTTAGATAAGTTTCAGGCACCAAATACATTCAAGTTGGGTTGAATGAGTTACCACAAAGACATCTGGTATCTCGGAGCTATTTTTGATTTTGGAATTATGTGTAAAGAAAAGAAAGAATAGTGGACTCGGCTGGGTGCGGTGGCTCACGTCTGTAATCCCAGCACTTTGGGTGGCCAAGGCAGGTGGATCATGAGGTCAGGAGATCAAGACCATCCTGGTTAACACGGTGAAACCCCATCTCTACTAAAAATACAAAAATTAGCTGGGCGTGGTGGCAGGCGCCTGTAGTCCCAGCTACTCGGGAGGCTGAGGTAGGAGAATGGCGTGAACCCGGGAGGCGGAGCTTGCAGTGAGCCGAGATCGCGCCACTGCACTCCAGCCTGGGCAACAGAGCGAGACTCCATCTCAAAGTAAATAAATAAATAAATAACAAGAAGAAGAATAAGAATAGTGGACTCATTTTTTTAATGTAGTCACCACATACTTCTGCCTTCATTTCTCCTTTTTATATTCCCATGGCATAATAGAGGCTAGATTTCAATACTAATTTATAAGAGAAAAACAGCACCTATATATTCAGTTTTTGAGAGCACACTTGCCAATTGCTTGTAAAAAGCCTTTCCAACTGTCCTTTGGTTTTGGCAGCTGAAATTCGCAGTCAGTTCTTTGTTCAGATGAGCGCATGAGGGAGAAATATAGCATCAAGGGAAAGGTATGGTCAGTCAAAAGAAATACTATTTAGGAAGACATACTGTCTGTAAGTCAAGATTCATCTGATTTTTCTCTTCCAGAGAACCTGTCTCACATTTTAATGACCCCATGGCATCCCAAAGCAAAGTAGTATCCCAGGTAACCGGGAATAAGACTTGCAAGATCATCAAATAGATGTGTTAGGGGACCCTGTCATAGTTAATTCACTTTTGCTAAATCCTCCAAGTGCTAATTTACCCAAAGGGTTTTTTTCCCTCCACATTTAATAAAGCGCAGTAGGAAGATGCCTCTTTTTTCATATCCTTCACAATTATGACCATTTGAAGCATCTGGCACTGTCTATTTCACACACAGAATATGCTGAAAGTAACATTTCCCCCGATGGAAAGTCAGGCAAGCATTGCTATAGGGAGGGAGGAGTAAAACTTTTTAAAGCTTATTTTCTTCCTCAATGTGAACAGAGATAAATTCTTAAATGTGTCTTTTTTTTGTATTTCTGGAAGAAAGAGCAGAATCATACAAAACCCCATTGTTATGAGACATTTTCTTTTGTCTGAAAGTAACCAGATATCATCGCCAAATTATAGAGCAGTGACAACAGTTATTTAGTTCTGAATAGCACAGCACTGCAAAGCACTGTGAACCCAAAGCCAGAAAGAATGCAGTCATTGTCACTGACTGTACCACCTTTGACAGACGTCAAAGGCACTCATTGCAATGAAGGCATTGTTTCAGTTTAACCTCAACACATCAAACCACTTCTGAATTTCTTGTTGTTGTTATTGTTTTCTTTTTCCCCATGCACTCCCTTCTCTTTTTTTATTTTTATTTTCTATAGAGATCAGATCTCACTCTGTTGCCCAAGGTGGTCTTGAACTCCTAAACTCCTGGACTCAAGATATCCTCCTGCCTCAGTCTCCCAAAGTGCTGGGAGTACAGGCATGAGCCACTGCCTCCCCTCTCAATGGGGATTTTTCTTTCTTCTGTTTAGAAAATCTTTAAAAAATATAATTAAAGCCTCTCCCTATCCTGGAAATATTTGAGAACAGGGTCTTCATCCCTGTCTTGTACTTTGTACAGCAGCATTTACATGTTCATCAGTACATAAAAATGACTAGAGGCAAATGGAAAGAGACTATGCTACTTTCCCTATGCACTTTTAGTTTGGGCCCAGGATCACTATAAGGATACTCCAAACTGAAGAAACTGATTGAGTACAAATACTAATTTTACATGGCAAGTTCAGAAACTGAATCAAAAGTTATCCAGGGTGTTAAGGGTTATCACCACAAAATGATAACTATGTGAGGTATAATGCATTTGTTAATTAGCTGGATTTAACCATTCTAAAATGTATATATGCTTTAAATCATTATGTTGTACAAGATAAATACATATAATTTTATATGCCAATTTGAAAAATAAATTAGACAAAAATGATATCTGGGGAACTCTTCTAAAATGCATAATTAACCTAAAATGTCCCTCAATGTTTTGTTTCTAAATTTTTTATTTCTGGAAGAAAGAGAAGAATCATACAAAACCCTATTATTATGAGACATTTTCTTTTGTCTGAAAGTAACCAGATATCTCATCACCAAATTATAGAGCAGTGACAATTTCCTTGCTTGTTGCGTGCTTGTTGTTTCAATAGTTTGTGCGTTCACACCAGTACTGCGTGTGTGTTTAGTGGTCACAAATCTGCTATCAGTGAGAATGGAGAATATTTCTCATCATGAAGAGAATACAGATTGATTGCTTATATCAGAGATCAGGTGAGGTGCTGGAAAGCTAAAAATAAATGAGACATAATCTCTGCTTTGAAACTTTCACAATGTACCCTAGCTGTCGTAGAACAAAAGTTACCATATAAATTTTTTGACAGTCTAGTATATAGACACAGATATGGATATAGATGGATATACACACTCATACACACACACATCTTTAGGAATGTTGAGTTCTAGCTAGATACTGCTAAGGGGTTTGTGGTGGACCTGCAGTGGCAAAACTAGTTGCCCCAGTGGAGGATGCCAGAGATGGACCATGGGCCAGAGGGCTGAATGGGAAACAGCAGAGACTTGGGAGTCTGGAGACATTCCAATTTAAGAAGAATCTAACTGAACCAGAGAATGATATTGGGCACTGATCTAGTTAGGAGGCCGATCGTGTGTTCTACCAGCTGACAAGCTTATCAGTGACTAGAGAACAAGGGATATTATCTCAGAAAACAAGGGACATGATACCCAAGGGCACTTATTTTTCCTTGCAACCATGAGGGCTTAGGAAGCATCCCCTTTACCTCATATAATGGAGGAACATCATCTTATTTGCAACAAGTAACAGTAGAAGGAGGGTGAAAGAGAGACTAAGCTGTCTTTTTTATGAGAGATTGTGCCCTAAATGATCAGATTAAGCCAGAATGAGAATTTATTTTTCCTCTGTTGGATAAGGAATATATATATAATTTCCTTATGGATGAGGACTCATGAAGAAGACCAGATCAGTTTAAGATTAAATAAAGGAGTAACTTTTTTTTTCAGCCCTTCTTATATCATAGGAACGAACTGTGTCTCCAGTACATATATATAATTATGTAATTCAGAGTTGACTGTCTTCCTCACTCTAAATGCAAGATTTTCATCAAGCTTCTTTTCAAAATTAATTTCCAGGAAAAAAGCTCTTGAGGATTCCCACTCCTCTCAGAATACCACTCTGTGTCCTTAATAAAATAATAATACTCTTTTATACTTTAAAACAATTGGAGATTTAGCAAATACAATAGTAGCAGTACATAATATTATGTCATGCTTACTATATATAAGGCGTCAGGATAGACCTCATACATACATAATTTCATTTATCATCAAAACAACCATATTCAGTAGGTTCTATAATTATCTTAACTTTTCTGGCTAGAAGTGGAGGCTCTAGGTATTAAAGAAATGTGTTTTTCAACGTGCTGTTAATAAGTGGTACATGTCAAGATTTGAAGCCAGGTCTGTCTCTAGAGTGTAAATAATTATTACCTAGACTGCCTTGCAGCATATTTATTTGCATTTTCTCCTTTAAAACAAGTGGACAAGCATGTGAAACAAGTTGATGAGATATTCTTATTCACATCTGATACTCTGAGGCTGAGGAAGGTTCAGTTCTACTCTCAGGAGCATGCTAGCTTTGTAATTGTCAATGTATTACTTTGTAATGATTCTCAAATCTAGTCATCCTGAGAATTTGATCTGCCTCAATTTCATCTCCTGCAATTAGACTGAAAAGTCTAATTAGAGTGCTAGAAGAATAGCTTACAATTCATTTCTTTCTATGCCTGCTGCTTGTATAGCTACAGAGATTTCCTGAGGGAGTGGTCAGTGGCCCTTAGGCATCTGTCAGGGACAAAATGTGAGCAAGAGTACAGTGAGGAGGATCTGGGAGCAGACCGAAGAGCTATGTTTTATTTGTAACTCCTGCCTCAGCAACAGGAAGGGTGTC
The DNA here is from genome assembly GCF_000001405.40 of Homo sapiens. Lineage (NCBI taxonomy): Eukaryota > Metazoa > Chordata > Mammalia > Primates > Hominidae > Homo > Homo sapiens. The sequence goes on along the minus strand of NC_000023.11, from coordinate 29,724,162 downwards.
ATCCAAGCATAACAATATCTTCATATTAATTAATAGTATATACATATTGGCCAGGCATGGTGGCTCACGCCTGTAATCCCAGCACGTTGGGAGCCCCAGGCAGGCAGATCACCTGAGGTTAGGAGTTCGAGACCAGCCTGGCCAACATGGTGAAACCCCATCTCTACTAAAAATACAAAACTTAGCTGGGCATGGTGGTGCACATCTGTAATCCCAGCTACTTGGGAGACTGAGGCAGGGGAATCATTTGAACCCAGGAGCTGGAGGTTGCAGTGAGCTCAGATCACACCACTGTACTCCAGCCTGGGCAACACAGCGAGACTGTGTCTCAAAAATAAAAACAATAATAATAATATATACACATTACACCGCCTGCCTCATTCAGAAAACTTGAAATATAAACATAGTGACAACGAAGTTTATCTACTTCATTACTTACCACTTGTTGGAAGATAAAGTATCTAGAAAACATGAATTATCTCATGTGGAAGCAGTTTAATTTTCTAAAAACTGTTGGTCAATCTTAGCATTAATCACATTGCTCTTAATTTTTCTTTTGTCCCATCAGCCACAGATGGGAAGTAAAGTAAATCATTCACAAAAAGACATGCAGACGCCGGGCACAGTGGCTCACACCTGTAATCCCTGCACTTTGGGAGGCCAAGGTGGCCAGATCACCTGAGGCCAGGAGTTCGAGACCAGCCTGGCCAACATGGCGAAACCCCGTCTCTACTAAAAATACAAAAATAAGCCAGGCGTGGTGGCGAGTGCCTGTAATCCCAGCTACTTGGGAGGCTGAGGCACGAGAATCACTTGAGCCCGGGAGGCACAGGTTGCAGTGAGCCGAGATCGCACCACTGCACACCAGCCTGGGCCATAGAGCAAGACCCTTTCTCAAAAAACAAAACAAAACAAAACAAACATGCAGAGTTATATGTAAAGTTCTCAGGAATAACTCATTATCAAAGGAAATACTGTTTTAAAAAATCATAGGGAATGTACAAGTGTGCTAATATTCTATTTATACCCACACTGAAATTGGTAAGATCCTCATTCTATCCGGTCTGATAAAAAGTCTGAAAATAGACACTGTATACATAAAGCTATAGCTTTCTTATATGCCCAGGAATAAAAATTAGAAATATGATCCAAAAAACTTACTTACAACAGTAACAAAATTATAAAATGCATAAGAATAAACTTTATAAGAAATGTGCAAGATCTGCATTAAGAAAACTATAACAATTTACAGTGAGAAATGTTTTAAAAGCCTCGAAAAATAGAGAAAGCATATGTTCTGAATGGAAAATTAATATTGTAAAACTGCCAGCTGTTCCTAAATTAATCAAAATATTTTAATGTAATCTCAATAAAGATCCCAATGACATTATTAGACTCATGCCAAAATAGTCTAGAGGAATTAAATGTGCAAGGATCGTCAAGAAAGTTTGAATAGGCCTGAAGCAGCAGATATCACAATGTAAATCGAGGTAATAATCACGAAAAGAATGGTCCTGATGTGGTGTTGAAAAAAGAACAGAGATGTCAAAATAGGAGAAAGTCTAGAAGCATATCAAGCATACGTAAGAATTTGTTACATACTATAAATAGCATCTCAAAACAATGCAAAAAAGATTTATCACTCAAAATTGGGTTAAAAATGTGTTACTCATTTGAGAAAAACAGAAGGAAAAAGATAATCTTGCCACAAAAGATTCAGATATATTGCAGTTAATTTTAAGAGCACTGGGAGAAAATGTAGGTGGCTATTTGTCTCCTCTTGGATAAATATGACCTTTCTGAAACAGACATTCAAAGACAGAATTTATCTGAAAAAAGTATTTTAATTAATTTTTCAAGTAAAGTTTTAAGGCAGAAGATCAATTTAAAACAACCATTTGTATTGCAGTGCTAATATAAGTGACATATAAGACATTTATATGAATCAAAAAGATAAGAATGAGCATGCCCTTTTTACCACAAAAAAGGTAACTATGTGGGAAGGTAAATGTTAATTTGGTTGACTATAGTGATCATTTCACTATGTACATGTATATCAAAACACCATGTTGCATACCTTAAATAAATACAATAAAAAAGAAGGTGCATACCAATAGAAAAGTGGGCAAAAAGATGGTAACAGGAAATGTAGAAATTAAATACAAATAAATGCTAATATAATTTACCTAATCAACATAACCTGTCATTTTGAAACAACTGAAAGTCAGATTTAAAACAGAGTGATTAAAAAACATGGATAAGCATTCCAATTACTGAATTCTTTTAAGTATTACTATTCTAAAGATATTTTTAATTTCATACTTTGATCTGCTTTTCACTAAAACAGTATTGATATTCTTCAAACATTGTCCAATCTCATAGTAAAATTGTACCTGATTATCTTTAATCATACCGTGAGTATGTGCATATGAGATACCTGAGTTTCTGTTATAATCAACATTTTCTACTAAAAATATTAACCTTGTGACTTAAGAGTGAAATTTGACATAAATTATAGATTAAAACTGGCTTCATCTTTTAAATGGACTGAAGTTCTCTGGTGGAGTTCAGGAGGGGAGGTGTCCATTGTTGCTCTTCAGTTTCTTTTTGTTCCTTAATTGAACATTTCTGGTAGCTTATCAAGTTTTTTGAATGTTTATGACAGGGGTTTTATATTGTGAGTTGACCCAGAAAATACTCAACAATGATTTAAAGGAAAGAGGGCTCAGAATATCATCAACAAGTATGTTCAATGTGCCTAAATGCTGCAGGGCTCTCTACTCTGTGCTACAGCATGCCAGGATATAGTGGCTCTGTCCTGGGTGCTGGAGAGATGGGATAGATGCATCGTATCTTCATTTTCCTCACCTAGCTTGTTGCCATATAGGAATAGCTCATATTATCTAACCCATGTTAATGTTTCCCCAAGAAGGCAGTCACCTAATCTACCTAGAGAGAGAAGGAAAAGCTTCATGGAGGAGGTGAGCCTGGAGCTGCCCCGGTCATTGTGTTCTTGCTTCATCCCCTAGGGTGGTTCGGCTGAAATCTCTATAGCCACCCCTACCTTGGTAATGTCCTGCCAAGTGGTCAATTCCATGGATTCTTCCCCTGGCCCTAGCCTAAAGAGAATTGTAAGACATTGCCATGGAAAGTTGATAAGAGCACTACTGGCTTTGGACTCAGCTGGGTTTGGTTTGGAATTTCAAGTTCATAGGAGAATCATGGGAAAATCTTGAACTATGCTAGTTTTCTTTTAACTGACATCATATCATTTGCTCCTTTTTCCCAATATACATGACATAAAATCAAAATTCTATTTTTGCTGCTAACTTAAAAATACAGTTACGCTGGGCAATTCTGTTTTGTCAGCTGTTTTTCTGTTTGTTTGTTTTTTTAATTTATTTTTTATTATACTTCTTTAAGCTCTAGGATACATGTGCAGAACGTGCAGGTTTGTTACATAGGTATACATGTGCCATGGTAGTTTGCTGCACCCATCAACCCGTTATCTACATTAGGTATTTCTCCTAGTGCTATGCCTCCCCTAGACCCCCACCCCATAACAGGCCCCAGTGTGTGATGTTCCCCTCCCTGTGTCCATGTGTTCTCATTGTTCAACTCCCACTTATGAGTGAGAACATGCGGTGTTTGGGTTTCTGTTCCTGTGTTAGTTTGCTGAGAATGATGGTTTCCAGCTTCATCCATGTTCCTGCAAAGGACATGAACTCATCCTTTTTTATGGCTGCATAGTATTTCATGGTGTATATGTGCCACATTTTCTTAATCCAGTCTATCATTGATGGACATTTGGGTTGGTTCCAAGTCTTTGCTATTGTGAATAGTGCTGCAGTAAACATACATGTGCATGTGTCTTTATAGTAGAATAATTTATAATCCTTTGGGTATATACCCAGTAATGGGATTGCTGGGTCAAATGGTATTTCTGGTTCTAGATCCTTGAGGAATCGCCACACTGTCTTCCACAATGGTTGAACTAATTTACACTCCCACCAACAGTGTAAAAGCATTCCTATTTCTCCACATCCTCTCCAGCATCTGTTGTTTCCTGACTTTTTAATGATTGCCATTCTAACTGGCGTGAGATGGTATCTCATGGTTTTGATTTGCATTTCTCTAATGACCAGTGATGAAGCGGTTGACTGTGCTTTTAAGTTGTTTGGGGGTTAATATTCTTATTCACATAGTTTTCACTTCAAGAAAAGGTTAAGCCAACTGTGCCTCAAGAAGACAGAAAGCAGAATGGGATGAGATAAGACTCTAGGGTCTATAAAATACTCTACCTTCTTTCCTGAGTTGTTCCACTGTCTTCAGAGTGGGCTGCACTGAGGACTCTTGGCAGGTTTTGAGGTCACACAACCTTTTGTGAGGTCACATTTTTTTTTTTTTTTTTTTTTTTTTGCTCATCTTTCAGAGAGAGAGAGCAGTTTGAAGGTGAGAACTGGTCTGGGAATAGTTAGAGAACAACCCTTACCCTATTATGTTTTCATTTTCCTCCCCCAACTTATCCTGAGAGCTTAGAGGGCATTTGTTGCAAAACCCAAGCATCAATAATTTGGGAGTGGTTGAAAAAGTCTTAGTTCTAGGTTCACTGAAACAACTTGAGTTAAAGATTTAAAAAACCCCACAACTCTTTAGCGGGGCCAATAGAACTCTTTCATCAGAATATTCGACACCACCATTGGCTAGACATGTGACTTTGGGTAAGGATTGGGTAATTGATGCCTACCTTGCAGGTTGGGAGGATAAGCAAGTAGTGGTAGGTATGATTATTCCTTGGAAAGTAAATCATAATTATGGAAGGTTAAACTTTGTTTTACATTCCCATAACATAACTTTTATTGAAGGATTCTTCTACAACTGTAGTGAATCTATCATGAAATGTTAGGGGCTAGAGAGAATACATTGTCTGACAGTAGTCGCATTCCAGGTGGGACTCTGAAATGTTCACATGCATTTAAATTCATAAGGAACTCATATCATCCTAATGGAGGTAAACATAACCAAAAGATCTTACTAAATACCTAGTCAAAAGCACGTATCAACAAGCAATGATTATTAACCGGAAAAGTCACTTCTCTCTGATACATATTTTCCTCTTACTTTTCAAAGATGATAGGTATCAGTTCTAGCAAATATATTTGTGACTTCCGAAGGGTTACTAACTTGAAAACATATTTCAAAATTATCTTTTAAAGACTCTTGTAGATAGGTCTTTCTTCAGGGCACATTCCAAGTCTAAATTTCATTCATTTGGGGGTATAACTTCTGCACCAGATGCTATACTTCTCCCCTCCTCTGCCTTTACCACAGGTGTACTTGTGCCTCAATGATTGCTGCTAATGTCTGTCCCCTGTTCAAGGACTCCCTGCATCCAAATAACTAACTGATGGCAATGGGAAGAGAGTGCTCAAAAGGCCAGCCCTCTTGCCTGAAGGCAGGATCAACTCTGTGGTTCAATTTATGCTGCAGAGGTCCCCATGGGATCAGACTGAAGCATGTCTCCAGCTGAGAGCACATTCTTTTTTTTTTTTTTTTTTTAATACTTTAGCTTCTGGGTTACATGTGCGGAACATGCAGTTTTGTTACATAGGTATACATGTACCCTGGTGGTTAGCTGCACCCATCAACCCGTCACCTACATTAGGTATTTCTCCTAATGTTATCCCTCCCCTAGTCCCCCACCCCCCAAACAGGCCCCGGTGTGTGATGTTCCCCTCCCTGTGACCATGTGTTCTCACTGTTTAACTCCCACTTATGAGTGAGAACATGTGGTGTTTGGGTTTCTGATCTTGTGATAGTTTGCTGAGAATGATGGTTTCCAGCTTCATCCATGTCCCTGCGAAGGACATGAACCCATCCTTTTTTATAGCTGCATAGTATTCCATGGTGTATGTGTAATGAGAGCACATTCTGTAGCTTTATCGCCCTTTCCTATACTGCTTCTATAACTTCCTTACTCCTGAGAGTACTCCCTCAACAAACAACATACACCCTAATCATTATCACAAACTGCTTCTAGCCGACCTTATCCGTGACAATCCTGTACAATACATTCGTCCATACCTTGCATTTATGTGGGGAGATGAGGAAGAATTTGAAGAAAAGAATGTGGACTTTTTGAACATAAAAAATGGTATGCTAGAATATTGGAGAGTCAAATAACTAGCTTGGTATTTCCCAAAGTTCCAGTACTTGCTAAAGGTAGAAATTTCTGGGTCTCATTCAGATTCACCGAATCAGAATCTCCAAAGGAGGAGATCAAGAAGCTGTTGGTTGAAAGGCACTCCAGGTAATTCTTATCAGTAAACCTGGGATACACAGAACTAAAACACAATAGAGCAAGGATCAGCAAAATTTTTCTGTAAATGGCTAGATAGTAAATATTTTAGGTTTTGTGGGCCATATGGTTTTGGTTGCACTTCTCAACCATGCCATGGCAGCTCAAAAATAGCCATAGACAATATGTAAACAAATTAGCAGAGCTGTGTTCCAATAGAAACGTATTTACAAAAATAAGTGGTAAGCAGGATTTGGCTCAAGGGCCATAGTTTGCTGACCCTTGGACTGGAGCACAGGAGGCATAAAACTGGATTGTTTTTCTATAATGATTTGGTGGCTAAAGTGCAGAATTATTCTTTCTTCAGCAAAATGTTTACATAACGTTAATCAGGCAAAAGACCTTCCCAGAAGTGGAGAATCATTTCCATTTTTCTAACCTCATTCCCAATCCTTGAATGTCACTGGCCTTGCCATGAGGTAATTTAAAACACGCATTTCAGAGGGAAGATTGTTTCTAGAGGCCAAGTTTGCTATTATTTCATACTCATTCATAATATTGTCAGAGTCCATCCCATCAGGACAGACTTTACTGCAAGGAAACATGTGAACCTATTTATTCTTGTTCGTGTGTGTGTGTGTGTGTGTGTGTGTGTGTGTGTAATCTGGCTCTCTGGCACTAAATATGGAAAATAAAACTTGTAAATTTTTCCAGCATTTATTCTCAGTAGGTATGAAGTTACTTGAGTCTAATGTCTTAAGAGTGTATAATTAACTCTATGAAGACTTATCAATAGTTTTCCCTTTATTCATTAAGATTTTATATTTCTCTTTACAAACTAAATGGTGTTATATCAATATTCAATAGCAAATAGAATCAACAGAATTAATGGAAAATATTGAATATTGATAGATATTCAATATCAATAGAAAATTTCAGTGTTTGGCATACATGTACTTCAAAATAAACAATTTTACATTCAAATCAGTTCCCTTTACTGAGGTTCCCAAGTTTTATCACCACATATTAGAATACACTAAATAGAATTCTGTTCAATCCAGGTAACTCACATTCATTTTTAAGTGACCCTGAGAACAACATAAAACAAATGCTCAGCTCTGCAGCCAGACTCTTTACTGTTAGGCCGTGACTTGGGCAACTTGGAATACGTTTAATTCATGTAAAAAAGAATAGTGACAGCTTTCTCATTAAATTGACTTTAGCCTCTGAACTCTGGGCCTGCATATGTTTATTCTAAAGATTGCTGTGTGTCAGATTTGTTACCTGCTGCATTGCTCCTCAGAGTAATTTCAATAAGGTTTGAAACACTCTCACATCTGTCTACAGGATATATTTTCAGGAAATCTCAGGTTTGGCTTGCATTTAGCATTTGGGATATCTGAGAAATTTAGTGCTTAAGAGCAAACTCAATTAAAATTCCTGTTGGGAGGAATAGGATAAATGGTTTTCTGGTGGGAAGCCAGTATATATTACTGAGATGATCACAAGCAAGGCTCTCCAGGGACCAACTTTTATTGTGTGTATTGTATGTATCCTCTTCAAGCATCTCTCAGCCAAAGAGAGTTATTTCTTCCAATGTTATGCTCCTCTTACTGGGCAGCCTGCATCTAGTGATCGATCTCTTTCCTTAATTCTGGACAAATTTGAAGGGACATTCCATCTCCAGAGCCCCTCCCAGTTTCACCTGAGCTCTCACCCAGCCTCTCCATTTGCACAATTATGTTTCCCTCACTTCCTCACTGGTATCTCTAAGAATATTCCCCATAAACCTTCTATCCACAAATCTCCATCTCAGAGACTCTGTCCCAGAGAATCAAGCATGTGACACTCTCCAAAGCTCAGATGAAAGCAGTCAGGACCTCAAATTATCAGCACTGAGGTAGCATAGTATCAATCATGCTGCTATAATTGTACATTTGCTTATCTACCCTTGAACCAAATGGTGGGTTGCTTGGTAAAGAAACTGGATCTTAATTATCTTCCATATACCATATGCTTTCTGGGACATTCAAAGACATTCAATGCAAGTTTATTGAATAGATAGATTGAATTAAAGAGACCAGAAACCATAGATCCACAGGTATAAGTCTCATATCACGTCTCCTAGAAGTATGGTCTGAGATGGAGATTTTATTTAAGTAATTTATTGGGAGAGTACTTTCAGGAGAAGGAGAGTGGAAGAAGCAGGATAGGGTAGAAAAGAATGCTTAGCCAGAATATCATTACTGATGGTGACCCTTTAATTCTGATCCCACTAGGCAGCTTTCAAACACAAATGAAACAATGTAGATAGTTACACTTTGAGGTAAGAGGTCCAACTTGTATAAGCTTGTGGCAATCAGTCACTCACTGTGGTCTACCCTGAGGAGAGACAGGACAAAGAGCCTTCAGGGAATAATAAGCTCCTATTTAGATTAGAGGAATGGCCCTTGAAATGTGTTATCTAGAGCAACAGCATTAGCATCACTTTGGAAGTTGTTAGGAATACAACTTCTCTTGCCCCACCCTAGACTTACTAAATCAGAAACTCTGAGTCCAGTCTTTTGTTTTAATAAGCCCCCTAGGTGATTCAGATGAAAGCTAATGTTTTAGGACCACTGGCCTAAGATAATACTCCAGAGAAAGGGGTTGTGATGGTGGTAGCTGTGAGTTATAACCCAAAACTCCTAGCAGCTGGAAAAATAGGCGTGCTTGAAGGTTAAGAACATCTGAGCAGGGTACCAATAGCTGGCAATGAAGAAATTTTCTAACAAACAGTCAACAAAAGATGTTTACACAAATCCTTCACATCCCAAAGCAGGATGCCCCGAGGTATATGAGGAAAATCAAATCAGATTACCTGGAAAGAGGATGATCTGATACCTGTTTGGATAGACATGTGGTCAGTGTGTCTGGGGAGACAGAAAGATTGAAGATTATGAAAATAATTCCCTGTTTTTGAAATGAACAGAGGAGAAGGCTGAGAATCAAAGCAGAGCTCTAGAGCAATTGTTGAGTATGAGGGAAAGTCCTGATCATCAGTGACAAGGCAAGAATTGAATTATCAGAACAGAAATACAAGGTAAGAAGAGGATAAGCAGCAAGGTTGAGTCAATGGCAACTCTTCCATTTCCAGACATAGAGCTTCTGTATTTTCCTGACCTAGCACATGAATAATCCTAGAATCTAAGGCAGCTAAACCTAAAATGGGGTTTTTAATAGGTTCAGCAATTAAGGTTAGAGAGAAACAAAATCAGAAAGACCATCAGATCATGACTGTCTCCTTCCAAACCAATATATCCAAATATCATATAAAATGTGCTAGAGCTGAGAGTTAACACAAACTGTAAGAAGTATGCCTACACAAATAGACTATTTCATCTTTGTTACGGAATTTCCAAGCTATTTTTCTGTAATTTAGGTTCAAAGCAATAAGCTGCTACAATAAAGTAATTTATTACTCTTTGGTTTGTGTGGAAATGAGATTGAATTGGCTGTGATTTCTAACTACCCCAAATTTCATAATCTCTTATAGCTTGACAAGCCTATTGAATAGAAGAGGAAGACAGGAGGTGAAGAAGCAATTTGTAAATCGTGCACAACCCTGATTGTCTTCTATTAGACAACAAAAAAAGAAAACATACGTAAATACAGATGAAAACAGTGGGGGGGATATGTTCAGTAATTAAGATGCAGATTCTGTCCTTAATGGAGTCCCTATGCCATATTAAGTCAAAAAATCAGTCTGTTCTGTAGCTGATTAACCAGTAGTGGCAGACATATAGCTGTTGCTATCTGGCATTCTACTATCTCAGCGTATATTTACTAACTGGCCTGTAATTACTTTTCTGGAACATTACCCAACACTGTTTTAAGGGAAGAAAGAATTCATTCTCTGTGTAAGAAAATAAACAGGCATTGTTTCCAGCTATACCTAGTTCTATCATTTTAAATGTTAGATGTAAAACTTAACTTAAAAAAAACTATATCAATAAATTTGTTTCAAATGTTTCAACACTGTGCTATTTAAAATGTTCTCTAGAGTTATGCATTACATAAGTTAGTCAATATATTACTACTTGAAGCCATAGCATCTGCATCCTTTATTTCCACTGATGTGCAGTGACCATGAATTGCCTTCCAAATTATATCTAAACAAATCATATGTAAACTCCTCTTCACAACAACAGCAGTCTACACTGCTGTTCAAATTTAGTATGAATCACAGTCACCTGAAGGGCTTGTTAAACCACACCTTGCTACTCCACCCCGCCAACACTGAGTTTTTGATTCAGTAGGTCTGGAGTGGGACCCAGGAATTTGCATTTTTAACAAATTCCCAGGTGATGCTTCTGGTCTAGGGGTCACACTGGGACTCCAGCTCTCTTTCACTTTGTTTCTCTTGAAGCACAACTTCATTAGATCATTTTTCTCATTTTCCACCTAAGAAAATCCTTTGCTCTAAACAAATTAATCCAATTACTGAATCCATTTTTAAAATTTAATCAAGTCTTGTCTTCTCATGTCTGTACCTACCCTACTTGGTGGAGAACTGTATAATTAGTATACACTGATCACTATTTGATATATGCAATGTATTAATTATTACGAAGTTACTCTAAACTTTATATGTATCAAATAGCTACAAGAAACATTTCCTTTATAGATTAAAATCTATAATCACATACCATTAAGGATCAGTGATCTTTCTTTATAATTTTTTAACACCTTGTATATTGTATGTACTTCATAAATATTTGTTAAATAATGGCTGACAGTTACCTAGTTCAGTCTTCTACTCAAATTAGGAAGCTCCTCTACTAATTACAAATGAGACTTTACCAAATTTAGATAATTTAATTGGCTAAAAAAATTTGTTTGAAATGAAACCTGCCCTTTAACAGTTTAGTGGTTCTTCTGGAGTAAATAAAACTTAATTTGGTCCCATATATAACAACTACTCAAGTATTCAAACTGATTTGTCCATTGCACCAGATTTATCTTTTCAGTGTAATATCTTCTAGCCCTTCAATCCATTTTCATGTGAGAGTTTTCAGATTGTTTTTATCAACCCAGTTACTTATGTCAGAATGCAGTTTGATTAATCAATGCCCCTCTTAAAAAGTAGTTCTTATATTTTACCACAATGCACCAATGTAGACTCCACAAGAAATATACTCTTTTTACTCAAATGTCTTCCATTCATATGGGCTACATAGTCATAAAATATTTAACTCAACACAGTAACTTACATACGGTCACCATCAACTAACTGCTAACAATATTAATATACTTCAGTCTGCCTTTATAGAATATAATTTTTCAACCTGAGTATAGAATTTCATATTTAGACATCATAAGTATCTCCTTTAGATTTAAGTTCTTATTTTAAACAATTAAAATATTTTTGTATTTTTATATCATTCCTCAGTGTATGAAGGTCCTTGTCCTATTTTAAAATTATTTATTATTTGACACGCCAGCTTGTATAGCATCATTCCTAGAGTATTAAATTTTCTTTATAAATTATCTACTGAAGCATATACATTCAATTCATTGTCATTCTTTTTTTTATTCATTTGAGTGAAAATTTTCTGATATCACCTTAGTCGTCAGATAGTATATTCATAAAAATAGAAGGAAGAGGTGATTACATAGTTGGTATAGCAAGTTTTGGATAATACATGTTATTAAAATGTTTAATTAAAAGAAGCCAATGGAAAAATAAATCCTATAGTTTCACGTCACTTACAACCACAAAAAAAAAAAAGAAGAAAATTTGGAATCATTTTTTTCTCCAAAAAAACAGCAATAATAAAATAATGTTTAAAACTTCCACATTTAGTAAAGTCTGTAGACTGCTAAACTTAAAAGAACATTGATCAGTACTGGGCCCTCAAAACTTCTTACCATCTTTTATTTTGTTCCCTGAATGAAGACAACTATCTTAAAACTGATTCAGTGCTTAGCAACCTAGTAGGTGATATAATAAATAATTGACTAAATGATCGTTTATATTTCTCATTAATCAAAGACTGCATAAGATTAATAAAAAATCATGGTTTACTGAGCATTCCAGACATCATTAAACACAACAATGATTTTCTTAATGTTGAAGAATAACAATTACCTTAAATAATTATAAGATCCTAACTTTTACACTGGGGGGAAAGAGAATAATTAAATAGAATCTAGATAATCATGATGTACTATTAAGCATAAAATACACCCATACCTCTGTTTAAAAAATAATAAACACAAAACCTTATTATTTATGTAATTGGTTCATAAGCATCATTTAATTTTATCTTCAAATTTATATCTGTAAATATACAGAGAAAAAATAATTATTTTCAATTCACACATGAAGAAATGAGGACCTGGCTAGGCGCGGTGGCTCACACCTGTAATCCCAGCACTTTGGAAGGCCCAGGCAGGCAGATCACTTGAGGTCGGGAGTTCAAGACCAGCCTGACCAACATAGAGAAACCCTGTCTCTACTAAAAATACAAAATTAGCCGGGACTGGTGGCGCATGGCGGTAATCCCAGCTACTCAGGAGGCTGGGACAGGAGAATCACTTGAACCCGGGAGGCAGAAGTTATGGTGAGCTGAGATCACGCCATTGCACTCCAGCCTGGGCAACAAGAATGAAACTCCATCTCAAAAAAAAAAAGAAAAGAAAAAAAAAGGACCTGATTAACTGAATGAGAAGTTTAAACCTAAAAAATATTAAAAGATGTAAAGAGGCCTAAATAATGGGAAAATATATATCTGTGTGTGTGTGTGTGTGTGTATACACACACACACACACACACACACCATGCTCATGGATAAAAAGACTCAGAATTATAAAGATAAAGGTGATGATTCTCTAAACTTATCTATAAATTGGAATCAATTTTTAAAAAATAAATTTCAGTAGGAATTTTCACAGATTTTGATAAACAGATCCGAAGATTCACACTTAATAGCAAAGTCAAGAATAGAACATAAATTTAAGATAACAAACAAGAGGTTATCTAGCAGATAACAAGATTTCCATAAATTTCTTTTATAAAACTGTTTGTTAGTAAATATAGTAAGGTATACATACAGGAACAAATAGACCAATAAAATAAATTTAGTAATCTAAGATCAGATCCACACATGGAAACTTAAGTGTTAAAAATGTCACAAAAATAAGGGAAGAAAAGATAAACTATTCAATAAAAGTTTCTAGAACAAAACATTATATATATATTATATATATATATATACACACACACATATATGTATGTGTGTATATATATAAAATACAAAGACGTATTACTACTTCACCATGATCAAGTGGGAATTTTCCCAGGGATGAAAGGATGGTTCAACATATGTAAATTAAAAATCATGTAAATCAATAAATGTGATATATCATATTAACAAAACGAACAACAAAAAAATCATATAATCATCTCAATAGATGTAGAAAAAACATTTGAGAAAATTCAACATCCTTTCATGGTTAAAAAAAAAAACTCAACAAAGTAGATATAGAAGAAATGAATCTCAACACAATAAAGGCCATATATGACACACCCACGGCTAACATTATCCTAATGATAAAAAATTGAAAGCTTATTCTCAAAGATCAAGAACAAGACAAGGATGCCAACTCTTGCTACTTGTATGTAACATGATGCTGAAAATCCTACCTGGGGCAATTAGCCAAGAGAGATAAATAAAAGGCATCAATATGAGAACAGAAGAAGTGAAATAGTCTGTTTGCTGATGACATGATCTTATATATGGAAAACCTTAAAGAAATATTCCACCAAAATCTATTAGAATCGAGATACTTAAATTCAGTAAAGTTGTGGGTTATAAAGTCAACATACAAAAATCTGTTGCATTGCTATGCAGTAACAATGAGCTATCTGAAAAAGAAATTAATAATTTCATTTAATAGCAATAAAAACAGTAAAATACTTAGAAGTAAATTCACCAAAGAGGTGAAAGATCTGTACACTGAAAACTGTAAAACATGAATGAAAGAAATTGAAGAATACACAAATAAATGGAAAGATATCACATGTTCATAGATTGGAAGATTTAATATTGTTAAAATGTCCATACTACCCAAAGTGATCTACAGATTCCTTGGTGTACTTATCGAAATTCCAATGTTATTTTTCACAGAAATAGAAAAAGCAATCCTAAAATTCATATGGAACCAGCAAAGACTCCAAAAAGCAAAAGCAAACATGAGCAAAAAGACCAACACTGGAGGCATCACACTCCCTGATTTCAAAATATCTTACAGAGCTATTGTAATCAAAACAGTATGGTCCCGACAAAACAAAACAAAACAAAACAAAAAAAGAGACACATCGACCAATGGAACAGGATAGAAAGCCCAGAAACAAACCCATATATTTATGAACAATTGATTTTCAAAAAGGTGCTAAGAAAACACAATGGGGAAATGGCGATTTCTCCAAAAAAAATAGTGTTGGAAAAACTGGATATCCACATGTAGAAGAATGAAACTGAACACCGTATATGTCACACCATATACATAACTCAACTCAAAATGAACAAAAGGCTTAAATGTAAGACCTGAAACTCTAAAGCTACTTGCAGAAAACATAGGGGAAAAACACCACAACATCAGTCTGGGCAATGATTTCTTGGATAGGACTACAAAAGCACAGGTAACGAAAGCAAAAACAAGACAGATAGGATTGCATCAAACCATACATCTAATAACAGGCTAATATCCCAAATATATAAGGAACTCAAACAACTCAACAGCAGGAAAACAAATAACCCAATTAAAATATGGACAAAGGATCTGAACAAATATTTATCAAAAGAAGAGATACAAATGGCCAACAGATACATGAAATAAATGCTCAACATCTCTAATCACTAGTAAAATGCAAATTGAAACCACAATGGAATAACACCTCACACCTGTTAGAATGAGTATTATCAAAAGAGGAATGATAACAAGTGTTGGCAAGTGTGTGGATAAAAGACAACCCTTGTACACCGTTGGCAGGAATGTAAACTAGTGCAGTAATTTTGGAAATAGTATAGAGGTTTATCAAAAAACTAAAAATATAATTACCATATAATCTAACAATCCCACTTCTGGGTATATTTCCCAAGGAATTGAAATTGGCATGTTGAAGAGCTATCTGCACTCCCATGTTTATTTCAGCATTACTCACAGTAGCCAACATATGGAACCAAACTAAGTGTCCATCAACAGATGAATGGATAAAGATAATGTGGTATATATACACAATGGAATATTATACGGCCTTTAAAAAATCTACCATTTGCAACTATATAGATTGAACTGGAAGACATTATGCTAAGTGAAGTAAGCCATTCACAGAAAGACAAATACTATACGACCTCACACACAGAATCTAAAACAGTTGATTTTATAGAAACAGAGTAGAAAGGTGGTTGCCAGAGGCTGCAGAGGGGGGCAGGAGGTAATAAAATTTCTGTTAAATTGGAGGAAAAGTTTTAGTTATTTATTGCACTCTACGGTGACCACAGTTAATAATGTAGTGTGTATTTCAAACTGGAAACTGGCAGACGGAATAGATTTTTAATGTTCTTGCCACAATAGTATGGTAAATTGATGAAAAGATGGATATGTTTATTAGCTTGAGTGACTCTTTGTACAATGTATACATAGATCAAAACATCCCATTATAGTTCAAAAATATACACAATTATTATTTGTCACTTAAAATCAATAAAAAGTATATTTCTACACTAGACACAAAAATAAATCTTACATAGAAAAGCTCAGAGTGAAAAGAAGAATTTAGAAAATTTAAAATATATGTGAGTATATTTGTAACTGGGAAAAAAAGCAATTTTTTTTCCTGTTATATATTTATTTTATTTTATTTTATTTTATTTTATTATTTCAATAGGTTTCTGGGGAACAGGTAGTGTTTGGTTACATAAATCCTATAGAGGTGACTTCTGAGTCACCCATCACTTTGGTGGACCCATCACTGAAGCAATGTATCCTGTACCCAGTGTGTAGTATTTTATTCCTCACCAACCCCCACCCTTTCTCCGAGTCCCCAAAGTCCAATGTATCATTCTTATGCCTTTGCGTCCTCATAGCTTAGTTCCCACATACGAATGAGAACATAGGATGTATGGTTTTCCATTCCTGAGTTACTTCACTTAGAATAATAGTTTCCAATTCCATCCAGGTTGCTACAAATGCCACTGTTTCATTCCTTTTTAGAGCTGAGTAGTATTCTATAGCATACATATACCACATTTTCTTTATCCACTTGTTGATTGATGGGCATTTGGGCTGGTTCCATATTTTTGCAACTGCAAATTGTGCTGCTATAAACATGCATGTGCAGGTATCTTTTTTTCATATAATTACTTATTTTCCTCTGGGTACATACCTAGTAGTGAGAATGCTGGATCAAAAGATCTACTTTTGGTTCTTTAAGAAATCTCTACACTGTTTTCCATAGCGGTTGTACTAGTTTACATTCCCACCAATAGCATAAAAGTGTTCCCTTTCACCATATCAATGCCAACAACTATTTTTTTTTTATTTTTTTGTTTATGAACATTCCTGCAGGAGTGAGATGGTACTGCATTGTGGTTTTAATTTGCATTTCCCTGAGAACTAGTGATGTTGAGCATTTTTCCATATGCTTGTTGGCCATTTGTGTATCTTCCTTTGAGAATTGTCTACTCATGTCCTTAGCCCACTTTTTGATGGGATTATTTTTTTCTCGCTGATTTGTTTGAGTTCTTTGCAGATTCTGGATATCAGTCCTTTGTTGCATATATAGATTGTGAAGATTTTCTCCCACTCTGCGGGTTGTCTGTTAACTCTGCTGATTTTTTCTTTTGCTGTGCAGAAGCTTTTTCATTTATGTAAGTCCATCTGTTTATCTTTGTTTTTTTTACATTTGCTTTTGGGTTCATGGTCATGAAGTCTTTTCCTAAGCCAATGTCTAGAAGGGTTTTTCTGGTGTTATCTTCTAGAATCTTTATGGTTTCAGGTCTTAAGTCTTTGATCCATCTTGAGTTGATTTTTGTATAAAGTGAGAGATGAGGATCCAGTTTCATTCTTCTACATGTGGCTTCCAATTATCCCAGCACCATTTGTTAAATAGGGTGTCCTTTCCCCACTTGATATTTTTGTTGGGTTTGTCAAACAATCAGTTGGCTCTAAGTATTTGGCCCATCTTTTGCATCAGCATGACCTGGATGTGAGATATGGAGTCAAAGGAGATCATTTTGGGGCTTTAAGATTTGACTGCCGTGCTGTATTTCAGACTTGCATGAGGCCTGTAGCCCCTTTGTTTTGGTCAATTTCCCCCATTTGGAATGGCTGAATTTACCCAATGCCTGTACCCCCACTGTATCCAGGAAGTAACTAACTTGCTTTTGATTTTACAGGCTCATAGGTGGAAGAGACTTGCCTTGTCTCAGATGAGACATTGGACTGTGGACTTCTGAGTTAAAGTTGGAATGAGTTAAGACTTTGGGGGACTGTTAGGAAGGCATGATTGCTTTTAAAATGTGAATATATGAGATTTAGGAGGGGCCAGGGGCAGAATGATATGATTTGGTTCAATGTCCCCAGCCAAATCTCATCTTGTAGCTCCCATAATTCCCACATGTTGTGGGAGGGACCCGGTGGGAGATGACTGAATCATGTGGGCGGGTCTTTCCCATGCTGTTCTCGTGATACTGAATGGGTCTCACAAGATCCGATGGTTTTAAAAACGGGAGTTTCTCTGCACCAGCTCTCTCCTTGCCTGCTGCCATCCACGTAAGATGTGACTTGCTCCTCCTTGCCTTCTGCCATGATTGTGAGGCCTCACCAGCCATGTGGAACTTTAAGTCCTTTAAATCTTTTGCTTTTGTAAATTGTCCAGTTTAGGGTACGTCTTTGTCAGCAGCATGAAAATGGACTAATACAAAGTGCTTTAAAAAATACATTAACTTGTTTATTCGTTAACAAGAACCCAAAGAAATTCTTATTTCATCTCCATATTACAAGGGGAGGACCTAATGTTAAAAACGTGGCTCTAATTCC
Organism: Homo sapiens; assembly: GCF_000001405.40. NCBI lineage: Eukaryota > Metazoa > Chordata > Mammalia > Primates > Hominidae > Homo > Homo sapiens. The sequence goes on along the minus strand of NC_000023.11, from coordinate 29,705,777 downwards.
ACATAGGTATCAAGTACTAAATCTGAAGCTCAAGTCCATGTTTTCTCACTATAAATATATTGCTAGCAAGGAAGGGATGTTATGGACAGGTTTCCGCAGAACAGAGTCTCAGTGTATGCTCCACCGTCCACTAGCTACATGGCTTTGGGAAAGTATCGTAATGACTGTGAATGTTAGTCTGCTCATTTGTAAAATGGGATTATGAAAATGCCTGCCATATGGGGCTAGGAGGAGGGCCAAAGTTGGTCAAATGAAGTAATAGACAATAGGCATGGTGGCTCATGCCTGTAATCCCAACACTTTGGGAGGCCAAGGCAGGCTGAACACTTGCGCTCAGGAGTTTAAGGCCAGCCTGGCCAACATGGTGAAGCCCCATCTCTACTAAAAATACAAAAATTAGTTGGGTGTGGTGGTGGGCGCCTGTAATCCCGGCTACTTGGGAGGCTGAGGAACGAGAATCACTCAAACCCAGGAGGCAGAGGTTTCAGTGAGCCAAGATTGTGCCACTGTACTCCAGCCTGGGCGACACAGCAAGACTCTGTCTCAAAACAAACAAACAAAAAAAGAAGTAATAGACACGAAATAGTGTATAAAGCACAGTTGCTCATTATTATTACTTTACAGTTCTATCATTCTTTACAGTTGGGTTTTTAAATATTGGTTCTTCTAAAAGTGATTAACAAGTTCATAGTAAATTTATTAATATTGAACGATGAATTTAATATGTGGAGGCTATATAGGGTACAATGCTCACTATTTGGCTGAAGGCTATACCAGAAGCCCAGACTTTACCACTATGCAATATATCCATGTAATAAAACTGTACTTCTATCCCCTAAATTTATAAAAATAAAAAAATTAAAAAAATTGAAAGGTAGAATTCTATGGTCATGGAACCGCAATAAGGTTTAACTGCAATTAAGTTATATGAAAAGTTGGATCAAAGAAGATAAGACAATGTAATATATAATAAAAGAGAACCTATTATTTTTTGAACAAAATTTCTCTTATAGTACATTAAGGAAAAGTAAGCTAGATTTAGTTCAACCTGGGTGAAATTTCTGTAGTTCTAAAATAGGTTTTCTATTTCTTTTTTTTCTTTTCCTTTTGAGATGGAGTCTCACTCTGTCACCCAGGCTGGAGTGCAGTGGCGCCATCTCGGCTCACTGCAACCTCTGTCTCCCGGGTTCAAGCAATTCTCCTGCCTCAGTCTCCTGAGTATCTGGGATTACAGTCACGCGCCACCATGCCCAGCTAATTCTTGTATTTTTAGTAAAGACAGGGTTTTGTCACGTTGGCTAGGCTGGTCTCAAACTCCTGACCTCAAGAGATCTGCCTGACTCAGCCTCCCAAAGTGCTGGGATTACAGGCGTGAGCCACCGCACCCTGCCATAGGTTTTCTATTACTATCTTTTAACATGTTAGTCGGCCTTCCAACAGACAATATCAATATTGTATCCCTCAAGCACTAATTAATAAATAATGCATTTTATTAAAATGTAATAGGAAACTTCTTTTAAGATATCTATAATTGACATTAAAAAGACAGGCTAGGCACTGTGGGTCACATCTGTAATTCCAGCACATTGGGAGGCCGAGGCAGGAGGATTCCTTGAGGACAGGAAATTGAGACCAGCCTGGGCAATATAGCAAGACTCCCTCTCCACCAAAAAAAAATAAAATAAAAATTAGCCAGGTATTATAGTGCGTGCCTGTAGTAATAGCTACTTGGAAGGCTGAGGTGGGAGGATCGCTTGAGCCTAGGAGTTTGAAGTCGCAGTAAGCTATGATTATGCCACTGCACTCTAACCTGAGCAAGACCCTGTCCCTTAAAAAAAATTAAAAATACAAAATTTGACACCATAAAACTAGCATTGTTAGTTTTTAAAAAGTCTGATATTAAGAGTATTTCTGAAGATAATTATTTATAATGAAAATATTTTTGACTGATATTTATGACCCTCAAGATTTAGAGTTCTAGGTTCAACACTTAAAATATCCCCAAAGAAAGTAAACTTCGTTTCATGGTTTTAAAGTGGAACATGTTTTATCTACAAGCAAGTATATGAATTCCATATTTCTGCCTCATTTAAAATCAAGCAAAAATAAATCAAAACTTAGTATTAAAATATATATTCTGGGCGCGGTGGCTCACGCCTGTAATCCCAGCACTTTGGGAGGCCAAGGCAGGCAGATCATGAGGTCAGGAGATCGAGACCATCCTGGCAAACAAGGTGAAACCCCGTCTCTACTAAAAAATACAAAAAATTAGCAGGGCGTGGTGGCGGGCGCCTGTAGTCCCAGCTACTTGGGAGGCTAAGGCAGGAGAATGGTGTGAACCCGGGAGGCGGAGCTTGCAGTGAGCGGAGATCACGCCACCGCACTCTGGCCTGGGAGACAGAGTGAGACTCTGTCTCAAAAAATAAATAAATAAACAAATGAAAATAATTAATAAAATAAAATATATATTCCATGTGCAAGAACCAGTGCTATCATCAACCAATAAATATTTTTCGGTATGTTCTATCTGAATCAATACTGCATTTTTGGATCTAACTTTCAAAAACAGGACAGAAAATAATAGTTAAAATGTTGAACACAGTGCGTATATATAAAATCCAGTAGAGAGTTTGCACATTATTATTACTTATAATTACAATTTATGAAATATATTTTCAAATCATTTTAATAATTTGGAAACAATGTCATGTCTTATTATTGACCTCTCCGATACTCATTTAAGGTAAGAAGATGCTAAGATGATTTTCTCTTTGTTCTATTTATTTTGGAAATTAATTCATTACATAAGGTCATTTTTAATTCATGTGGTAGCCTAGGCACTGAATCATATGAGCATTTAGTTTAGTAATGCTGTATTAGGCCAGGATCCTTCCCATTTATTCATGTGCTCTGTATATGCAGTTTATGATTGCTTTTTCTTTTGTTGTAACAAACCAGCAGAACAGCATAAGCATTTCAAACTTATGGGAACTTTGGGCTTCTTTCCTTTTAAGGATTAGTTTTAGTCAATGGGGATAAACTGCCCATGTCACTTGAAGAAAACTCAGAAATTCCCATGATTCCATGCTCTATAGCCAGCCAGACTTTAAGGTATAAGTAGCACTGTAGTGTCCAGTCTAAGATCACGCAAATGAACATTTCAATTGTCAGTCAAAGCTCAGAGATCTCCCTTTGTCCTTGATACACCTTATAATGGGTCACCTAGACCACCAGCTTCCCCGCCCTGTCATATCCACACTTAGGAACACAGAGGCAGGGAGGAGTAAAGAAAGAGACATAATGGCAAAACTATTCTTATTTGGTTGGTGAACGGCAAATGTCTACAAATAAATCTTTCACTGCTGGGTACTTCTGTGGGTTTGTCATTGGTCCCCAGCTTGCACCCAACTCCTGTGATTGTGTGAGCCTCCCATTTGGATGGTCACTGTCTCCTTAGAACTAGCATCTCTAAGGACCCACATTACCTGGAGAGTCTATTCCTAGGAAGGTTTTTTTTTTTTTTTTTGACAGAGTCTCGCCCTGTTGCCGAGGCTGGAGTGCAGTGGCGCAATCTCGGCTCACTGCAACCTCCGTCCCCGGGTTCAAGTGATTCTCTTGCCTCAGCCTCCAGAGTAGCTGGGATTACAGGTGTACACCACCACGCCCAGCTAGGTTTTGTATTTTTAGTAGCACTGGGGTTTCGCCATGCTGGCCAGGCTGGTCTCGAACTCCTGACCACAGGTGATCCGCCTACCTCGGCCTCCCAAAGTGCTGGGATTACAGGCATGAGCCACCGCGCCTGGCCAGGAAGGTCTTAAAATGTCTCCAGATGGTCTTTTTTTCCCTGTGGCTCACATTTACTCTGTGAGAAACACTCATGCTTTCTTTTACTCCTCTTGCCTTCCTCTAGCCCTCAGGGATATCATTTTGTGGCCCTTTATTCTCACTCTTTCTCTCTCTTCCCCTTGTTCATACATGCTTTAACTCTCACAGGTATAAATGAGGCATCAGTACACTGCTCATTAACCTCTCTGAGTGGTCCCACTGACTTCTCCACCCTTTGGAGGTCAGGTGTAAAAGGTCTGCCTCACCCCACCTGAAGGATATGGGATACACTGCAGCAGCTCTTTCTCAACAAATTTGGCCAGCCCCCTCTGCCTCTCCATTCTAGATTCGTTTATATTCTCAAAGTGGGTGAAGTCTTCAAAGACATGAAGATTCTTTTGAGTTATCCACTTTGAAGCTTCCTCCCAGCTATTCAGTCTCATACTCTCTTGAATATATGACAATTATCATATACGGTATTGGCACATCAGACAAAACTTCAATTTTCACATCCTCTTGAATAATACTAATAAAAACAACAACAGCAACAACTAACATTTCTTGAGATGTTGACACTGTTGTAGGTCTTCCATCTTTATTCATATTCGCCTATTTTATCTTCTCAACAATCCCATAAGTTAAATATGAAGGCTACCAACATTTTCAAGATGGATGCATTGAACATCAAGGTATTAAAGTAATTTTCTTAAAACACACTGCCACATTTTGAAACCAAGTGGTCTGGCTCCAGACCCCATCTTCTTAACCACTCTGATATTCTGCCCCCAGATGAATCACTGAATGGTCATTTTCTTTGAAGCATAAAATACAAAAATGACCCAACATTGAACTTATTCTAACAATTGATTGAAAATTTGGGTAGAGCAATTTTGTAACGTAAAATTTCAGTTCTCCTTTCTCTGATGGTCCTTGTAATCAAAGTTCCTGAAAGTTTGTAGATTCAGCACACTCCATAAAGAGTTTATTACTATATCCAAATACAATTATTCTCTATAGATAAATTATACATTTATGGCAAATCATGGAATTTTCCGTCTTACCAAAAGTTCAGCTATTTTAAAAAATAAAGTATAATGTCTCCTGCTATGAGTCTACAAATTTATTTGGTATTTTTTTAGTGGACAGTTTTTAAATGGTAATTTCATGTAGTTAAACAATAATTGCAGGCAGTTCAATCCCTCACAACTCCTGACGTGTCACCAAAAAGAAAGTTGTCAACATATTCTTTCTTTACAAATATGCTACATGAGAATTTATGTGATTTCTCTTTCAATATAAGCTTCCGGCAGAGCTGTAATACTGTTACTCTGATGAGATATAAATAAATATAATTTAATACAATACCTATGAAAAACTTCTTCAATTAAATAGCAGTTAAATAATTTTGAAGATTTTTTTAAAGATTCTGACATTTCATGACACCTTCATTTTTCACATCCATTGATTACATAATGAAACAGAGGGTAAAACAAGAGATTCATAATACCAAGAAAACATATTTCGTATCTGCAAAATGAACTGAAGCAAGTGGGTTTTAATGTGAGAAACTTTTGGTCTGAAAATTAAATCTATAACTTGAACTCCATTTGTATAAATAATTGACCTCTGAATTACTGTGAAGCCAAGATTCTGTGTTTGACAAGATGTGATACTGTAATTTCTATTAGACTCTAGTGAGATCAAAATATTAATTGTATGATGTGCATTTCATATCAAATAAGGGAAAAGCAAACCAGTCTTTTGCCTCAAACTTATTAAAAATTTTTGGCTTTAGTTCATTCTTTCTTTTTTTTTCATTCAATAGGATTTTAAACCTGGGAGTTTCTAAGAGATAATCTGGTTCATGCCTCTTGTTTTAAAGAAGAGAAAACAGAGGCACCAATGGGTCAACTGAATAACACAAGATCACAAAAAGAGATACCAAGTATGGACAACAGAATGCTTGTTTCTTGATTCTTCCAACTTGAAGATTCATCACTATACCCACAGCCTCCAGTAAAAAGAAATAATTCAACAATTTGTCCTACCATATTTCTATTTTTAAAAATCAACTTATGAACAAAAAGGCTGACTGTCAGTATTCTCCTTTTATGAACTTTTGAGTGAAGTCATCCTTTCTCTTTAGGCCAGTCTAGAAGTAGCCACTCACAAAGAATCTGTTGAAAACTATTTTTAAAATCAATAACATTTAATCTACTTGAAAAGGCCAGACCAATCAAAACGTCAGAACAAAGTCTTGATTAGGGAGTTAGTAACTTTTTACAGAAAAGAGAAAGTGAAGACCTAATTTGCCATGATGTGACTTATGCACTGGGAAAATTTGGAATTTCTGGCTGGGGTTTCTAAAAGAGAGTCTTTGGAATAAAAGCTTGAAAAATTTTCTGCTAAGTACTTGAGTAATCATTGTAACAAAGTTCTTTAAATCCAAGAACTGTCTCCTCATTTGGCTGTAAAAGCAAAGTCATTTGATAATGACTGTTTTACAAGAAAGACAAATATTTGGAAATGAAATAACTGTGTAATAGAATCCAGCATGCTGGACAATTCTTATAACCACACGTGTTCCACTCACATGAGTTATGTAATAGTAGTTACCATTAAGGCAACTATTCCAATGTTGACAAAAGCCAATGATTAAAATAACAAAGCAAAATAAACAAAAACAAACAAACTACTAAACCAGTTCAGAAATCATTAAAACAAAATTAAAATTTGGCATGCAATTGTAAATCCTGGTTGCTTTTGTGGAGAAAAACTGAGTAGCTGGGGTTGGCACATAGACTTTTCATTGTAAATCCTTTCATAATTTTTGAATTATGTTCCATGCAAGAGCATTACCTGTTAAAAAAGATGAATTAATTTTTAAAAAGTCAAATCAAATAAACAGATACATAATCTTATGCTACATAATAGATTTGACTATTTTAATAGGTTCTGTTATGTACACGTAATATTTGCCTTAACTTTATATGGAAGACTGAAAACTATTGGCCTATGTTCAGTTATCAAGTTAGGAATGATTGTTGTATACAGGGCTACTCTCTGTATGGAGAACTAATAAAAATAAAAGAAATAAGTTTAGAATTAGAATCCTAAATGCAGGAACTTCCCACTTCTAACTTCTATTCTTCCTTTCTTAATTCCTTCCTTCTAATGTTGACGAAAGCCAAGGTTTAGAATAACAAAGCGAAACAAACAAACACTGCAAAACCAGTTCAGAAATCATTAGAACAATTAAATTTTGGCATGCAATTGCAATCCTGGTTGCCTTTGGGAAGAAGAACTGGCAACTTCCTTCCTTCTGTCTTTCCTTCCTTCCTTCCTCCCTCCCTCCCTCCCTTCCTTCTATCCTTCTATCCTTCTGTTCTTCCTTCCTTCACTCCTTCCCTCCTTTTGTCCTCAGCACTGAACTAGCCACTGGGTATATACCATGCACAAAACCATGCACAAAGTTATTCCAGAGTTACATATATGACTGTGGTTACAGTGAAAAGAAACAGAATGCTAAGACAGCGAATAACCAGGATACTTTGGGGAAATCATGGAAAGACTCATTGAGGATTTGATATTTAAGCTTAGAACTGCATACTGAATAAAAAATTGCCATATGAAGGTATGGGAAAATCCCAGCTACTCGGGAGGCTGAGGCAGGAGAATCGCTTAAACCCTGGAGGTGGAGGTTGCAGTGAGCCGAGACCGCACCACTGCACTCCAGCCTGGGCAACAGAGCAAGACTTCATCTCAAAAAAAAAAAAAAAAAGAACATTCCAGAAATAGTAAAGACCATGTGTGAAAGCTTTAGTTGGGAAAAGTTTGATGCATGGAGGGGTGTTCTTGGAGCTTAGAAAAGATGGGATGAGAGAAGGTGGTGAAAGTAAAGATGAGGGGAGGAGAGGGCAAGTCACACTGGACCTTATGTTTCGTGTTTAGAATTTGAAATTTTATTCCAAGTACAATGGAAAGACATGGGAAGGATTTTAAAAAGCATGGTGCCATGGTCCATATTACGCTTTAGAAAGGTCATTCTGGTTGCTTTGGGCCAAATTAATCAGAAGGGAGCAAGTGTAGATGTGAAAGAACAATTAAGAAGCAACTTCGGTACTCCTAATGAGATGCTGACAGTGGCTAATGCGCTCATGTCGGCTGTGAAGGAGAGCAGTGAGCAGATTTGGAATATATTTTGGATGTATTGTCAATAGAACTTGGTGATTCATTAGATGTAATGGTCAGAGATGCATACTGCTCCACCAGTTCCAGACTTGATAACTGTAAGGAGGACTTTAAATACCACTTTACTTAAATGTCTGGAGTATATATAGAACATTTCTGAATTTATTCCAAATTTTTAAAGATATTAACTTCATTTTATTGGACCAACTTTCGTTTCAGGTAGTACACACCACAAGCACACAAACACAAACACACACACACAGACACACACATACATTTTGCCCACAGAATTCAGTCAGTTAAAAACATTGTGGAAACATCTTATGTTAATTTAGGGCTACCTGTTTTTAAAATTAAAACATTAATATGCAGATATACAAACCTTGTCCTTTTTTCCTTTGATCATTCTTACAGTTGTATGTAAGCCACTATACAAACTATACATAATTTAAACTTTCAGACTGAGTTTATTTTTAAAAGAGAAACAACCAAATGTGCAGCATCGTAGCTGGTGGGTCTGCTCAGAACTGCTTACACTTCACTTCTCAGAAAGGGTCGACATTTTACCATTGTGACTTGCCAGGTGTGTGTTCAAAGCCAGATCGTTTATCTCCATAAAGCCCTCACTTGCGGCAGTGCAGTGATGAATGGAAAGAGGCGGATAGTTAAATATTTTTATTTCATATCACTACATGACAGTGACCTATAAAAAAATCCCAAACAGCAGAGGCTTTGGAATATGACTTCACTTATAACTCTCTATAAGTCTTTAGGAATCACTGGTAGTCACGTCTTTATAGATGAGGCATCCATAACATAAAGTAATGTAACTTTCCATTTTATGTTTTTGAGGACAGTTATTCTCTAATCATTCAAGTATAAGAAAAATTATGCCGAGGCACAAGTTAGTAAATAGCTAATATCTATGTGAATATTATGACTTCCTTCTCTCTACCAATTTAAAAAAAAAAAGGCGATTGTTATTATTTTGCCTACAAAAGATATAGGGTCAGAGTGCTGGAAATGAAAGCAATGATTTAGAAATGTTCCCCAAAAACTTTTCTGTTGCTCCTTTCTCAAACCAAGCTCATGTTGACCAACTGCGGTAAGCAACGATATTGGAAAGAGCATCAGAGCTGTCATCTGAAGTCTTGTGTTCAGGATGTCTTCCATGCTAGGTAGGCAACCTGGGACAAATCATAACTTTTCGCACCATGCATTTCCACTGATCAAATTGCATTTATTCTACCTGTCTGCCGAGCTGTTATGGATGATATATGTGTACTTTTTAAATCATATGTTCTGAAGGCACTGCTTTAAGTGGAAGACACCACAGTTTGTTATATGTGAAATATGATTTTGGGCTCAGGAGACCTGAGATCTAATCAAAATTCTGCCACAGTTTAGCTGTATGACCTTGCTTACAGCACGTCAATTCTCTTTTTGGGTAAAGTTGAGGGGATTATACTAGACTTCTCTAAATCTGTGGTTTCCCAACCTGGGTTTTGGGATGACTTTTGCCCTACAGGGGATATTTGGCAATGTCTGGAGAAATATTTGGTTGGCTCAACTGGGGGACTGGTACTGGCATCTAGTGGGTAGAGGCCAGGGATGCTGATAAATATCCTATAGTATATAACCCCTCCCAACAAAGAATCATTAAGCACAAAATGTCAGTAGTGCCGAGGATGAGAAACCCTGTTCTAAGGCCTCACTAAAATTCTATGATCTATAGGGAAAGACATCTCATAAACTACTCAACTGACCAATACGTACTTAAATTTACCAGAAGAGATTTTATTTTTATTATGAAAATATACATTGCCATCTATTCTGAAGTTTTCCATTAAAATGTAAAGTGTGGTCATGATTTAGCAATAAGAATAGCATAAGTTTCAGTATCTTTATCACCATCATCAACCACAGTCCCACATGTGATGCTGCTCTCGGTACCCCATTGCTGAGGAGTGAATGTTTGTGTACCAGCAGAATTCATATGTTGTAACGCTAATCCTCAGTGTGGTGGCATTTGGAGTTGGGGCCTTTGGCAGGTAATTATGACGTAAGGATGAATCTTTCATAATAGAGTTATTCTCCTTTTAAAAAGAGGAGCAGATAAAAGATTCTCTCTGTTTCTCTCTCTCTCTCTCTCTCTCTCTCTCTCGCCACCTTGCAAGCACCAAGGAAAGTCTAAATGAGAACATAACCAGGACGAGGGCCCTCTCCAAGAAACAGATCATGCTGACATCTTGATCTCAGACATCTAGCCCCCAGAACCATGAGAAATAGATGTTTGTTGTTTAAGCTACCTAGCCTATGGTACCTTGCTATAGCAGCCTGAACTATGACTGCAAGTATCTTCAAATTATATAACTGGAGACCAAAGTACAACTATAGCTGACAGAAAGAACTATTTGTGTCAGTTGTTGTTAGCATATCACTGAATACTATGAGTCTTACCATCATACTTCTTGGGTTCAAGTCTCATTTTCTCCAATAATTAGTGACCTTGGGAAACCTCTCTGTACCTCAAGCTCCTTATTTGTAAAATGTGATTTATAATCTAGTTGGTGTTTTAAATGAAATAATTATCTTAGCATTGTGTTTAGCACATGAGTAGTCCTCAGTAAATGTTAGATACTGTCATAGTTAGACCTAAAGGTGAAATTTCATTAATTCTATTTCAAGGCATTTCTTCATTGTAACCACTTAAGATTTTTCCCTGCTCATGAGTTTTGCAGATATTGTTTTTGGTCATTGTACATTTCTCCACCTGGAGAAGTTATATTCATCCTTTGAATCTCAAAGTCAACACTGTCTCCCTGAAGGAGCCTTGTCCAGCCCCTCTAAGTAGATATAACCATCCCAACTACGGTGTCCCTAAAGATCTCTTTCCATATCCATCTGTTATGGTCTGACTGTTTGTTCCCCCAAAATTATTACGTCAAAATCTTAACCCAAAGCTAATGGCATTAGGAGGTGGAGCCTTGGGAAGGTGATTAGGTCACGGGGCTAGAACTCTGATGAATGCAATTAATTCCCTTATAAAAAATAAAGCCCTGAGAGAGATCCCTCATTCCTTCTACCTTATAAGAACACAGCAAGAAGGCACTGTTTATGAGCCAGAAAGCAGGCTCTCAACAGACACTGAATCCACCAGTGCCTTGATCTTGGACTTCCTAGCATCCAGGACTGTGGGAAATAAAATTTCAAGGTTCATAAGCCACCCAGTCTATGGTATTTTATTATAGCAGCACAAGTAGACTGAGGCACCATCACCCTATATTATCATTCATATATACATATACGCAAAAACATCAGTTTTTCTGGCTGGAATGACCTGCTATCCCTGATTGATATCTATATGCATACTGCATTCACACTGGGCCCTCCATAAGTGTGGAGACTGGATCAAAACTGGGAAATCTCTTGCTCTAACAATAAAGGATAAAATCGAATTTGCAAGCTGAAATTACATCCTTATAAATGGAGGAGAAAGTGAAGAGGAGAAAAATCCCTTGTTTGACAGGATAAGATAATTGAGAAAAAGCAGATCTCAGCAGGATCCATTTATAGCTATTTCCAGAGCAGTCTTGTTACAATTGTGTAGAAAATGCCTGGGTACCAAAGAGATGACACAACAGATTCTGTTTTGATTTTGCTGCCCAATAATATGTATTAAAAGGTTAACCAGAAGAATAGCTGCTTATTATATCTGATGTACGGGTTTTCCTTAAATGATGACAAATCACTCCACATGGTAGATTGTAGATATGAATAGTGCTACTTAACCGAATCTTACATGACAGTAATAAGCTTAGTCTCACAATGGATAGTTAAGCTAAAAAGATATGAAAATGCTAAGCCAACTAGAAGTATCCTATCAATAATTCCTACCTCAAAAGCATAGTTGACCTTCTCTACCATATTCAAAAAAAAAAAAAGAAATGAATCATTTCACTACTTCCATGTTATAGGTGTTAAAAAGTGACCATTAATGGGACTTAGGTACATGACTGCAATTATCCGTGGGCTAATTAAAACTGACTGTCATTCACGTTGTCCACAGCACATCAACAATAGCAAACATGACACTGCTCACTTTCATTTAGAGTTATGTCAGTTTAGCTTATAGAGAGTATTGCAATTATTGCTCAAGCTCATAAATCCTCTATGAAGACTTGTTGACAGTTTAGTTTTTATGCTGTTGTCTGATAAAATGTCAGGAACCAATTTCCTAAAGTCACATGCAGGCTATCAGGTAATGGTAGTGAATTCAACACAGAAGTAGAGTTTTTTTCCCTTCTAAAATCACATGGAAATATAAATGAAGGGATTTTAAATTAAGCACAAACCCATAATGACAAAGAAAACAAGGAAGGACACCACGGCAGCAGAATTTTAGAAGCTGGAAAGTTAATGAATAAGTAGTAACACACTTAGAAGCCTGAAAAAGCTGAATCCTAATCCAACAGCGGTTGAAGCTAAGAATCAACTTGATTGCCAATGCAGAACCTCCAGAAGGGCTCAGTGAATGATGACACCAGCTGCCTATGGAAGGTAGAGTAAGAATTGGGAGGAAATAAGAGGGTCTGTCAAATGTCTGTTTATGAATAAGGTAGCTATTGATTTCCCTTCTTTGTCATCACAGGGACAATATGTTTATTCTCTTGAGAGGTTGAAAGAGAGTCTCTGCACTGCAGGACACCAGACCCATAAACATGCAGCTGAAACGCACTTTTATGCCAAATGTGAAACCTTTTCCCGCTCATCTCTCAAATGCAGAAAGACAGGCTGGATATTGGAGGACTATTCTCTGTGAATCTGACCAGTGCAAAACAAAAGACCTAAAGATACCAACAGCAGAAATTTCTCAACTCAGCAGAAAACCAAACCAGAAGATCCACAATCAACATTCTGCTAAGAATTACCAAGCACTTTTTTTAGTGACCTCTACTTAATGAGTAGACAACCAAGGACCATCAAAAAATCAAAGGAAGCCTTGAACATGAGGGAGACTCAAACATGCAACCAAACAGACAATAGGAACTTGGGAAAAATAAAGATTATGTAGAGAGAAAAATAACCCCACAAAACAAAATCAGACAAAATAACTAACTTCAATGTTTTCAGAATGAGAAGAGATGCTCTTGACTCCATGTGACAAGAATAGGCTGCTATAGAAAAAGAGATATGCAGAAAAATGAAAACTCTTAATAATTACAAATACGTATTAGAAAAATTATTCAGTAAGAAGACAGGAAGACAAAGTGTAGGAAAGGTCCCAAAAAGCAAATCAAAGAGAGAAAGAGATGGAAATTTACTATAAGTGGCTCAGCTTTTGCTAGAGTTTTCATAATTGCAAACAACTGGCAGATAGCACGGGAGCCAAAATTACTACATGGGAGAATGAGAAGGCAGGAAATGCATATTTGTGTAGGAAGGGTAAGAATTTGATAGAGAACTATATCTTAATCTACAGTACTGAGAAGTCAACATATTAAATCAATAAATCAATTTTAAAAAATAGAAAAATGCGTTCTTAGTACAGCATGTGATTTTGAGGCATGGAACTAAATACCAAACATCAGCTATAGTTGCAGGTGTTTACCTCTGGGTAGTGGGGTAAGGCTGTGGGCAAAAAGAGAGGGGAAACTTATATTTTATATAAGATGGCTTTCACAACATGATTCTACAGTGTATACACATACAACTGTAATGAGAATAAATTCTTTGTGTCACCTTCATTGTAAATGAAATACAAAACACACACATATCAGTGAGGACATTCCATTCCCAAATATGGGGAAAATATATTGCACATTTGCATTGGTTTTCACTCTCAAGTATTTTATTTTAGGGTAGAGAAAACAAAACGTATTATGATTGTAGTGTTTCTTAGAGGCAGGACACGATCATTAACAATCATGCTATGTCTCAGATGCTCTTAGATGCAAAATTTGGTAGCAGCAGAAAACAGTATAGTGAGTTTTTTTTTTTTTTTTTTTTTTGAGACGGAGTCTCGCTCTGTCGCCCAGGCCGGACTGCGGACTGCAGTGGCGCAATCTCGGCTCTATAGTGAGCTTTTAAGACAAATATAAAATTGAATGTATTGAATTCAAATGATCAGCACTTCCTCTGAGAAACCTTCCAAGTTTTGGATTTTAAACTGCTCCTTTTAGAAATTCCATATTACATTAATAGCAGATCTTAATTCTTTATCATTTAATAACATCATTTGGCACCTTTATTATGGTCCCGTTACTTATTTTTTGTTTGTTTGTTTAAATAATTCAACTGGTTCCTGAAATCTAAATGTCTTGGAATCACTAGCATTCAAGATTCTCTGTACTCTTACAAATAAATACCTGATAACTCTTGACTTTCTAAATACATCGAGCAACCCAGGATAAATATTCCTTGCCCAACAGACAAGTGCAATTCCCCTTCGTTTCAAATCACATTGCATTATGTGGCCATTTCAGTACCATTTTCGTGTCTTGCTGATGACCAACACAGCAGGATGAAATGCACTTAAATGAGCTGGAAAATGGAAGTCCCTCAAACACTCAGGAATCAATATAGCATGGAAAGATAAATAAAGGAAGAAGAAAACAATACAAAACCTAAAATTGGTAAGCAGGTCACAAAAATTTAAATGCAAACAGACACAGTTCCAAATAAATGCCAAGTATGGGTTTGTCTATATATTTAAAAGAAATTGTTGAAAAAAAATATTGAATCAATTAACTTTTTTTCTATTTTCTTCCATATTCTGTTATTTAAAATGTTGTTTAAATTATTCAAAGATTCTAAATATTTTAATAACATGTATATATAGTACCTTCTTTCCCTGGATAGAAGGAGAATAATGTGAATTAACAGCAGAAAGATGAAGCATAATTTATGATGTCTCGCTAGTACATTAACTTGATAATATATACTTATGAATGAGTGACTTTTAATGGACATGACACATTTGTAGAAATAATCAACAGTTTTTAAAATAACATCTCATTACATTTAAAAACAATTAAAGTAAATTTTAAAAGTATTTGGAAACCTGAAAGATTAAGCAGTGAGATGATAATAGGATTACAGTAAAACTCATAGAAATACTTTTGTTTTCAGGATACAACAGTAAATATAGTAAATTTTTTTTTAAATTCCATTAAACTTGAAAAAGTAAGATAATCTCAGAAACACGGCAACCTAAACTCTAGTAATTCAAGAGGAACTTTTTGAAGACAATCTATCAGCTGATTACTCAGAGGTAAATAAAACACATTTCCTGTCCTCAAGAGGAAAATAAGAAATTCAGGAATTAGTATGCTTAATTATTCCAATAATACTGAGATCAAATGAGAAAGTAAGTTATCCTTCCCATCAATAAATATCTGACTTCCTTTGTTACTTCTTTAAGAGAATCTCTCAAATACAAGTCCAGCCCGAATACCTCACTAAAGCTCTGTACATATTTCCAGTTGTGGGAGAGACTTGTCAGAATGTACTATCGTCGTGTAACCACAGTTTGACTCAACATATTTCCCACAAATGTTGCTCCTCTTTACAACATTCTTTTTCTTATTATTGATATCACCTTCCTCCCACTCAACCATAATTAAAATCTACTTTCTTTGACTCCTATCTGTCAACTTTACTTAGCATTAGTCTACACAACAATAAGATTTATACTTCTCTGAAAGTCAATTTCCCTCAACTCTGACCTTTTGCAAATCCTACTCTATTACTTTTTGCCTAGACAATTAGTTTCCCAGTTGGCTCTCTGACCTCTGGCTCCTACTTCCTCTTATTCATTCTACAATGTATTATGAGACTACCTTATTAATTGGGCTCTCTTTCTTTCCTAATTGTATAAGAAATTGAAACTTTCAACAGAATATATATGTATATACATACACACATTCCATTGTGATATATTCCATTGAAAGTGTATCTAAATTCGTAATGTGTCTACACTATTTTTTCCAGCACTATTTTTCATCAGTTCAGTTGGCTGAATTTCTTCAGTTGGCTACAACAGTTGCCCACTCCAAAAGCCAACATATGTTCTGTCATCTCTGCCTCTCCTAATGCTGGTCTTTCAGCAATGTCTTTCTATTAATACTTCATCAATGTCTGCTTAAATCCTACACCTTAATTAAGGTAGAGTTCACATAACATTTTCACCATTAGGCCTTGCTTGACCGAGCTTTTGAAATAAGCTCTTCATCCCTAAACTCATACAGTGCATTCATTTTGGTATTTACCTACCACTTTCAAACAAACATTGAACAAGTGCTTGATAAATGCATGATTTCTTATTAATACATTGAGAACTTTTATTTTTTATTTTTGTGAACACACAGTAGGTGTTATATTTATAGGCTACCTGAGATGTTTTGATACAGGCATACAACGTGAAATAAGCTTTTTAATATCTGACTCTGCTGATGAAGGTTAAAACCTGCAATGCTGAGCACTGTGACTGCCCCCATAGTTTAAAAAAGGTATGCCTGTAATCATTATGGTTAGATACTACGATGTGTCTACTAACGGAGAAAGATATATTATCTCCGAGATTTTATTTGTGAAGACTTTGGGAACAATCTACCATTTTCCATTAGTAGATATAATCATTGATCCACTTGTAAACAGACATCCTTTTCTATTGCAGGTGAATCAACTCTTGACAAATGTACGAGAACAACTGAATACTGTAAAATTCACTACAAAGAGTTAGAGCTAACTTTCTTTGCTTTCTCGGAACTACCAGGATTATCTTGTTTTTTCTTGCTGGGAAAGGGTTAGAGGGATGTTTCCCTTTGCTTTACTTATTGTGCTCCACAAAACTCTTATGTTAATGGATAGTTTTTGGTAATGTCTTCCCCATTTGGTAACTTCAAGGGCTAAATGGGAATACTCTTCAAGTGAAAAAAAAAAAAGACCACAAAGCACAACACACATGAACACAGAACACACAAACACACACACACAGACACACACAGAGAGAGAGAGAGAGAGAGAGAGAGAAGCAACCCTGATAATTATTGAATGAGGGGTCTTGTTGATACTTCACTGTTTATAATCTCATGAACTTTTACTAAGTATCAGTTTTTGTGAATGTAGCAGAGCATGTGACAGATACTATAGTGGGTTCAATCGTGCCCGCCTCACCCCCACAAAAGATATAACCATGTTTTACAACTCCAGAAACTGTAAAATTTTTTACCTTATTTGGAAAAAGGGTCTTGGCAGATATAATTAAGTTAAGCTTCTTGAAATAAAGAGATCAATTTCAATTATCCAAGTGGGCTCTAAATTCAATGACAAGCGACCTTAAAGAAAAGGCAGAGGAAGAGCTGAGACAGATGGAAGGGAAAGAAAAACAGAGAAGATGAGGAGGCAATGTTGATCACAGGCAGAGGTTGGACTGGTGCGGCCGCAAGACAAATAATGTAGACAGCCATAGACCTTGGAAGAGGCAAAGATTCTCTCCTAGAACCTCCTGAGGGGTTTCAGCCCTTAATTTCAGACTTCTGGCCACCAGAACTGTGAGAATAAATTTCTGTTGTTTTAAGCCATCAAGTAATTTATTACACCAGCCACAGAAAACTAACATAGATATAAAGATAACTTTTTAGTAAGGTAAGTGACTCAAATTGTTGCTAAATTTTTACTATGCTCTGAGAAGTGCCTTCTTTCTCCACCTCACTCCCACCCTCATTCCCCAGTGTAGTGTCCTGTCATACAAGCTTCCACTTGAAAAGATCTTCAGAGCCTCACTGGGACTCTCTGTGCCTGAGTTATAAAGTCTTCCTTTCTTGGCACTAACAGCCTTTCTGATGAGATCACCCAGAAAGGTCTGTTAGCTCCCTCACATGGAGAGCA
This sequence comes from Homo sapiens, assembly GCF_000001405.40. NCBI lineage: Eukaryota > Metazoa > Chordata > Mammalia > Primates > Hominidae > Homo > Homo sapiens. The sequence goes on along the minus strand of NC_000023.11, from coordinate 29,687,870 downwards.
AAGAGCTCTAGAATATAGAGAGATCATGATAATGACTAAGAAAACATCAAACCCACCAGGTCAGAGGTTTTTTTTCCTATAGTGGTTCACACATGATTAGACATACTTATGGGACACAACATGATGTTTCCATATATGTGTAAATTGTGTAATAATCAAATCAGGGTAATTAGCATATCTATCACTTTAAATATCATTTCTTTTTTATGAGAACACTCAAAAACCTCTCTTCGAGCTATTTTGAAATATACATTCTTTTTAATGCTAGTCATTCTACTATGCAACAGACCACCAGAACTTATTCCTTCAATCTAACTATAGCTTTGTACCCAATTGACCAATCTCTCGCCACCCCTCCCCATCTTCCTACCCTCTCCATCCTCTGGTAAACACTATTCTACTCCCTACTTCCATGAGAACAACCTTTTAGATTTCACGTGTGAGTGAGATCATGCGGTGTTTGTTGTTCTGTGCCTGGCTTATTTCACTTAACACAATGTCCCCAATGTTCATTTATGTTGCTGCAAATGACAGAATTTCATTCTTTTCATGATGGAATAGTATTTCATTGTGTATATACAACATATTTTCATTACCCAATCATCCACTGATGAACATTTAAGTTGATTCCATATCCAGGCTATTGTGGATAGCGCTGCAATAAACATGGGGGTGCAGATATCTCTTCAAATTACTGATTCAATTTCTTTTGGATAGCTATCCAGTAGTAGGATTCTTGGAACATATCATAGTTCTATTTTTTATTTTTGGAGGAACTTCCATACTGTTTTTCCTAATGACCGTATGAATTTACATTGCCACCAGCAGTATGGAAGGGTTTATTCTCCATATCCTCACCAACATTTGTTATCTTTTGTTTTTTTTTTTTATAGTAGCCATTCTAATTAGAGTGAGGTGATATCTCACTGTAGATTTGATGTGTATTTCTCTGAATTTTCAAAATTTGCAGACCTTGCTCAGCTTCCCTTCCAGATGTAATAAATTAAACTTTAGGCTGGGCACGGTGGCTCATGCCTGTGATCCCAGCACTTTGGGAGGCCGAGGTGGACGGATCACGAGGTCAGGAGAATCGAGACCATCCTGGCTAACATGGTGAAACCCCGTCTGTACTAAAAATACAAAAAATTAGCTGGGCGTGGTGGCGGGCGCCTGTAGTCCCAGCTACTCGGGAGGCTGAGGCAGGAGACTGGCGTGAACCCGGGAGGCGGAGCTTGCAGTGAGCTGAGATCGCACCACTGCACTGCAGCCTGGGCGACAGAGCGAGACTCAGTCTCTAAATAAATAAATAAATAAATAAATAAATAAATAAATAAATCTTTAGGGGGGTGGGGGGAGGCAGGGGATCAAGGAAACTAGGTGCATATGTTTTGTAAAAGCTCTACAGGTATTTATCATGTCCATTCCTAGTGAAGAATCATTGCCATAGACAGTTGGAAATTAAAATCCTCAGACCACTGAGATTCTCAATTAGTCAGTGGCAAGACCACTACCCAATGGCTTATATCATGATACTTCTTTATTTGGAAAATGATACTTTAAGAGTGAAAATAATCTATAATATTAAAACAATTAAAACATGTTATTTGAAAAGCTGATGGATTATTAAACTGAATACAAAATGCTATCCTGCATTTGATAATTGAATTGATCATTATTTCAATAAACTATGAGAATCTTAGTCTTATCTCCCCACTGAGAACCTGTTCTCACAGACTAGAATAAAGTCAGTTTCTCTCTTATTTTCAATATTATGCTATCGTGCAATTAAAATCAATACTTATATTTTTTAAGTCATTGAAGTTTAAAATAACATGCTCACCTTGTGACTATACTTCTTTTCTTTTCTTTCTTTCTTTTTTTTTTTTGAGACGGAGTCTCACTCTATTGCCCAGGCTGGGGTGCAATGGCATGATCTTGGCTCACTGCAACCTCCGCCTCCCAGGTTCAAGTGATTCTCCTGCCTCAGCCTCCTGAGTAGCTGGGATTACAGGCACCCACCACCATGCCTGACTAATTTTTGTATTTTTAGTAGAGACGGGGTTTCAGTATGTTGGCCAGGCCGGTCTCGAACTCCTGACCTCATGATCCACCCACCTCGGCCTCCCAAAGTGCTGGGATTACAGGTGTGAGCCACCGCACCTGGCCAATACTTCTGTTCTTATAATCATTTTCACAACTGGAAATGTTTTTCTGATACTAGTGTTTATGAAACCTCACACCTGGTAAATGTCAGCCTTTAGGAAAAATTGCAAATTATGTTCCTAAGTTAATACAGCAAACATTTACATAATAAAAGCACCTCTATTTCTACATAAACCTTACCAAGTTCATGATTTATTTATTTTTTGATATGGAGGCTTGCTCTGTCACCCAGGCTGGAGTGGAGTGGCACGATCTCGGCTCACTGCAGCCTCTGCATCCCGGTATCAAGTGATTGTCCTGTCTCAGCCTCCCGAGTAGCTGGGATTACAGGTGCCCACCACCATGCGTGCCTAATTTTTGTATTTTTAGTCAAGATGGGGTTTCACCATGTTGGCCAGGCTGCTCTCAAACTCCTGACCTCAGGTGATCTGCCCACCTCGGCCTCCCAAAGTGCTGGCATTACAGGCGTGAGCCACCACTCCTGGCAAGTTCTTTAAAGTTAACATATATTTACAAGCCATGAGCAAGATGCACTGTAAATGTCATAAAAATATCGTAAGTCAAATTTAACTTCTCAGTTAAGATTAATTTTGATCCAGTTGTTACAGGTTTTCTAAATGGATATTTACTAATGTCTACATAGTTTTTAACTTTAAATGCTCAAACAATAACTAGCTGGCTTCAAACTACCTTTCTGTATATAGTCAGATAATTATATTCAGAAAGAAAACGTGAATCCTAAATTAACGAAGTCCAACTTTGCGTGCAGGGAATTAATAGTCGTAGTAAATTGACAAGTCAATTATTAGTTTCACTTTGTCTATTTCAAGAAGTGAAATGAGACCACTTGCTTTTGCTTGCTATTTAAGAAGGGATTATAACTTGCTGCTTTTTAAAGAGTAAAACTCTGATGAACTAGGCAACTTTTCTATCAGCTTTTCTCACGTTAACTTTTGCAGCTCTCGAGACATTCTGTTCATGAATGTCCTAAGTACTTCCATTTTCCTAAGTGCCTTGAAAAGAACTTCATGCTCGAAGATCAGTGAAAGAAGAAAAGTGTCTCTTAAAATGTACTTGAAAGAGCAGAAGTACAAAAAAAATGGGAATGAGAAAATAGGAGGCAAAGATGAACAGAAGCAGATTCAAGAGACATGCAACTGAATAGAAAAACAAAAAACAAAACCCAAAACCAAAAACCTGAGAAACCGCTGTAATCTGAATATTTTCATCCCCCCACCCAATTCACATATTGAAACCTAATCACCAAGCTGATGGTATCAGCAGGTGACGAAGGTATTAGAAGCCTTTCGGAGGTGATGAGGGCTCTGCTTTTGTGAATGGGATTAATGCCCTTATAAAAGAGGGGTTAGAGAGCTGCTTTGCTTCCTCCACTATGGGAAGACTCAGCTAGAAGGCATCATCCATGAAGCAGAGAACCCTGGCCAGGCACCAAATCTGCTGGCGCCTTGATCTTGGAACTTCCATCCTCCAGAACTGTGAGAAATTAATTTCTGTGGTTTATAAATCAATCAGGATAAGGCATTTTTCAGTTTTTTAAAATTTTTGTGGGTACATAGTAGGTGTATGTATTTATAGGATACATGAGATGTTTTGATACAGCATGCACTGTGAAATATGCACATCATGGAGAATAGGGTATCCATCCCCTCAAGCATTTATCCTTTGAGTTACAAACAATCCAATTACACTCTTTAAGTTATTTTAAAATGTTTTTATTAACAATAATAACCCAGTTATGCTGTAATAGATATCTACACTCCTATGTTTGTTGCGGCACTGTTTCCAATAGTTAAGATTTGGAAGCAATAGTATAAAGGCATTTTGTTTTAGCAACCTGAACTGGATAATACAGAAACATTTCAAAGACAAGTTTATATTCAATGGAATTATTACTAGATGTTCTACTTGATGAGACATAGACTCTCTTAACAGTGGAAGAAAACAGAACTCAAGTAGTCTGTAAGAATAGACCATTTTAAATATTACAGGAAGGTTATGGATTTAAGGGAGTATTGCATGTTGTGCACAATTAGAACTCAACAAAGGAGCAAAACAGGTAATCACATTCAATACACTAATGTATAGAAGTGTCACAACAAGTGCCACACATAAGCTTTGATCATTATCTGTAAAATGGAGGCAAAATAGACATCACAGGCTGTTGAAAAGATGAAATGAGACAACATACTTAAATGTCTTGCAGATGTAAGGTACTCTCAAAGCAAAGATAAATTAAGATCACTAATCAAGGAAAGCTGTACCTACTGGATCACGACTGTGTGATTAAAAAGCTCATTAGAACGAGAGCTGACATTCATGACTGAAACTGTGAGGAAAGACAGGAAGTCTTGGCGTCTTGGGGAACAAGGAACATCCAGAGGTTAACCGAGATTATAACATAAACTCCTTGTAGACAGTCGTCTGTTTGTTAAGCTATCTATCTATCTATTCATCTACCTATCTACCTACCTAGCCACCTATGTGGATTTGACCAGACCTTGTGCCCAGTAATAAAGTCATAAATGGAACTAGCGAACCAATTTCTCATTCAGGGCCCTAAGATTGTGGAGTCTACTTTACTAAATTTAGAGATCTGCCTGAAACTCAAGACGCCAGTGAAAAGTCTCTACCCTTGACCAGTCTTCTAGCTGAACTGATATATAACTGTTCTTTCAACCCCTATTTATTTATCCAAACTCAACCTACTGCTCTGTTGTGACCTTCAATATCCATCTGATCTTTCCTCCTCTGTCTAATCGGGATTTGACTTATTGCTAGACTTCCCTAGCCAGACTCCTAGGCCTTTCTCTATCTGTCTCTCTCATCCATGAAGGGGAATCTTCAATCACACCAGGCAATTAAATCAAAACCAACAGTTTTAGCGTGGTTTACTCCATTACTCTGCAGTATATGCTACTAAAAGAAGAGTGACATATGTATGTTGGTTTTTATTTATGACTATTAAAGCTGAGTGAATGCTAAATGAATTATTTATTTCTGTGCATCAGATACTGTCCTACATATCAGGGATGTAAAGATGAAAACATTATAGTACATGCTCTAAGAGTCCGAAATGCAACAAGAGAAATAGACACACAAAAATATGTACAAAAATGATGAGAGAAATGTTCTAATAAAGGTGTGAAAAAGAGATTTGCTAGCAATTGAGAGGTGGTATTTAATTCTGCCTAGTGGGAGTAGAGTCAGGGAAGAGTTCATTGGGGTGACATTGAGGTTGGTCTTAAAATTTGAGTAGATAGGCACAAGGGAAAAAGGCAGGAGAGGAAATTTCAGGTGGTGGGCATAGCATGTACAAATGATAGAGTTATGTAGGTCCATGGTATGGTCAAGGGTGCCTGGTCAGTGGCGTGGGCTTAAGAGGAGAGTGCATGAGACTATAAAGACAAAATGGGGTCAGACTGTGAAGAAAGTGGCCTTTATCTTCTAGATAACAGGCAGACACATAACATATACATTTTTACCCTGAACACGATATAGTTTACTCAATATAAATATCTCAGTAAGCTTGGTTAAAAGAATATCAATTAAGACCACACATACACAAGAATTATATTTGCATCAAATGTTTTTCCTTTTTATTAATACGCAATAATTGTACATACTAATAGGGGTATGTGTGATATTTTGATATATGCATATAATGTGTAATGATCAAATCAGAGTAATTGGAATATTTATCACCTCAAACATTTCTCATCTATTTGGAAACACATAATATTTTTAAGCTGGCAGTCTGGTAATTTTTTTTTTTAATTTACAAAGAGGATTTTTTACCAAGCCAAACTTAGAGTCTGACATACTGACTCTGCTTCAATTTTTGGTATTATCTACTAAAAATTCTAATGCCTGTTATAGGATTTCTACTCTCTGTCGTCCCAACTCTCGACTCTGATGACAATACATAGGAATGATGACTGCATTACATTCATGAAAGTAGGCTTTAAATAATGAAGCAAGAATAATCACTGATCCTTTTCTTGGCACATTTTCACAAGTAAATTAGGTAATGCCTAGCCTTGAGTAAAGGACCTTAGGAACAAACATATATCCAGTGGAAATGTGCAGAGAAGAGTAAATGAAAATGTCTGCTGGGAGAGTTAACAGACATTTCTACTTTTGTTAACTTAACAAGTCTGTAATGACAAAATAGACATAGCTACTTTTTTGTGGGGCCAGATTGCTAAAGAGAATTTGCCCATTTCATTCTAACTCTATGATTTTTGTATCGCCTGATGGGGAGATTCTCCTTTCATAATTAACTATGCTGCTCTAAACTCCTTGCTTCTTGGGTAAGAGATTTTATTAGTTACTCCAAACACATTACAAATCATATTATGTCATGTTCCAATCTATAATATGATGGAACAGATTCATATTTCGTGATAGCCATTCTGAATCCAGAGCCTACCGGCTCCACAGTGCAGCAGTATTTCGTAGTATAAACTCTCGATTTACCAATCAAGACATCAGACACTCAGGCCACTGGACTAAAACTACCCACTAGACAAGTTTTATTTGGCCAAGATGGTATTAACAATAAATTTAAAATTTTATAGGTAGAAAATGTTTTCCCCACTTCAGCATGGTCTCCATTCTCCTTTATAGCATTACATCTGGCCTCACTTTACTTATTCATATTACGTGAAGTTGATTTTATAATCCATTCTCTAGCTCTAGAAAGCATATTAATTTTTTCCTAAAAATGTATTTAACAGCTAAGAATCTGCCATTTGGTTTAGGTTTAAGGCTGGAAGAGAACATACTCTGCAGGCTTAGAGACAGCAGAGAGATGAATGCAGGTCTAGAGTTGAGACGTATGCACTACAGATACACAGGAAAGGATGTCAGTATTAGTTGGGAGAAGAGCAATGGAAGAGTTTTCAGCCCAAGAGAGACTGCATTCAAATGCATCAATCAGGATGGGTCATTCTACCCTCACTAAGTTAATGAAGAGGCATAATAAAGATGACAGCTAAATTAATGAGATGGATTAACCAGGGATGTTAAACAAATATTGAATATGGAATATGAAAAGATGGACTCCATAATAACCATTGCTTTTTCCCCTATCTTTGTCTGTTAAAAGCCCCATTACCAGCCTCCCCACCCACCCACCAACTGCCACATCTACGTACTCACACAAAAATACAGGCTTCATCACAGGAGAGAGAGACACACAACAGCCACTGAGCCAATGCCCCTCACCTCTAATGCCATAGTGATCCGTCCAAAATTTAGATCTGTATCTCATTCTAGGCCAATTAGGATTTCTCCTTAGGGAACTTCAAGTTCTCACTAAAGTTCCAAACCCACATTTCCTCCTGGTTAGAAGAACTGAGCAACGTATTCCTTCACCCTGTATGCCCTCCTCTACTCACCCAGACCCACCACTCTCCACCCCTATACAAAATGATGACATGCAGAAAGAGTAGAGAAGAAAGACAGAGAACAGTCGAGCATTATTCCAATCCTTCTTAAGGCCAGCACCACTCCTGTCTTTTAAGTGATTTGTCACTTATGACCAGAGCTCTAACTATGAAGTATTAAATCCTGTGATTCTTCAAGTTTAAATTGCTTAGACATAGGAAGTTGACCCCTCAAAAAAAAATCCCCAAATTAACCTTTGCTTGAAAGAGCCATCTATTTGAGACAAAAATAAAATTTCTGGATTATTTCCCTTCTAAATTATGTATATATTGCCTCAGTTCTCTATTTTAGGTCATGCACATAGTGACTGAAAGAAAATACAATCCAGTACTTTCTGCCCTGTTGATAGTCAACAGTACGATTCCCTCTTGACTGAACATGTCTTTCATAATAGTCACCGATGTTCTCTGTGACACACAATTTCTCCTGAGGCTGAAATCTCATGTATTCATCTAATATAAGATTCACTCATTTTATTTAGCTCCCATTACATAAAAACCTTATTCTCACTCTGTAATTAGTAGCAAGTCCTAATAAAGAGCATTGGAGTGACAACATATTATTTATGGTAAATAGAGACAGGGTTTTTTTTAAAATAATAATCATTACAAATTACATTCATGTTGAATATGGTGAACCTGATTTAAAAAACAAATTATATTTATGCCTAAGAACAATATCTTGTTTAAGTCTTTTAATCAATATTGTATGTGATATGTAATTCTGAAAGAAATATTCATACTACTTATAAATAGGCTATACAATAAGCAGAGTGCATAAAACTAGTCTAATTGCACCCCAAATATTTCAGTCAAAAACAGGTACATTTACAGAAAGTAGTAACAACTTTTAATCATTTAATTAAGAAGTCTTAAAGTTGCCAAGATAATTGACATGATCATCATCAGAAATACAGGTTCATCGGAAACATTACATTTTTTTCTTTTAAGAAGAGAAAATAAAAAATATTTTGTTTTCTGAACTTTCCCTAAGCTATTTCACATAATGGTAATGGCTTCTTACTGAATATTCGTGGTAATAATCTCAAATTTTCCTAGGACCTGCCGTATTGTTAAGTATCCTGTTCCTAGTGATGGCTTGATGTGACAGGATGCACTCAGTTTTATTTTTCCAGAAAAGCAATGCATTCTGCTTTGCTTTTTTCCTACTCAAAGAGCCGCCATTCTATAAAAGTTCTTCAACAGGCAAGTCCAAGGTGGGTACTCTGCTTTTACTAAACTAGAAACAAACACTCAGAGAGTGAGAAAGTCGGTAGCCTCACTGGGGAGAAGTGGAAGGGAGAGAAAATTATTCACTCTCTTGGACTCTTAAGCAACTTCCTGGCTTTTTGTCATGCTTGTTGTAGACCAGATCTAGCGGTGGGAGGTATCTTCTCACAAGACCATGAAGCCAAGACTTATTTTAAAACAGATTAATTTTGGAAAACAAAAATTTTTAAATCAAGATTGTTTTCCTTTCATAATTCAATTAGTATATGTTATAATGAGATTTTATAAATTTTTATTACAAAATTAAATAAAGATCCTTGGCATTTCTAAAAAAATAGTGTTGGCCGGGCGCGGTGGCTCACGCCTGTAATCCCAGGACTTTGGGAGGCAGAGGCGGGCAGATCACGAGGTCAGGAGATCGAGACCATCCTGGCTAACATGGTGGGACCCCGTGTCTACTAAAAACACACACACACACACACACAAAATTAGCCAGGCGTGGTGGCGGGTGCCTCTAGTCCCAGCTACTCGGGAAGCTGAGGCAGGAGAATGGCGTGAACCCGGGAGGCGGAGCTTGTGGTGAGCCGAGATCGCGCCACTGCATCCAGCCTGGGCGACACAGCGAGACTCCTTCTCAAAAAAAAAAAAAAAAAAAAAAAAAAAAAAAGTAGTGTTGAACTTGTGTGTGGTGAATTGGAAGGAAGCCTCTTCATGAAGTTTTGCTATGGGGCTTAGGTTTTAAAGCCTTATGGACACTCTATGTATTGGACTCATGTAAATATCTGGCATGTTTCGGAGCACATGTTTAAGTACATTTTGGTAATAGCCTCATTCATAAAGCTGCAAATCAAGTGGCATTGTACATACTTTTATATTTAAAAGAAATTATTAAACATATATGAATACATTAAGATAAAAAGAAGTGACTGCCAGAATGATAAAATGAGAGTCATACAAATTTTAGAAGAATCAAAATACAAGATGTTCCTTTTAAACCTGGAAATAAGAACTCTCATCACAGTTATAGAAAAACAAGTGACACCATGGGCAGTTATCCTACTAGGGTATATTTCAACAAAACCAAGGCAGATAAGGTAGTAGGATGGCGTTCAAAGCATATCCCTTATGAAAATAAACTATTTTGTCATAATTGGACATGAGATATTCTGGTTACTTAACTATTCTACCCTACAAAATATATTTTCAAAGAATTAGATTAAAACCAAATACTGTTGATTCTGAAGCTGGTGAGTAAAATGTAATATTTCCTCAGAGGAGGCAGAAAGTCACAATGAGGACATTTGTTTCCATTAATAAACAACGGGAGGTCACACATGGTAATGGGTGGATGATCCTTTTTCTGGATCAGTTGGAGATGCAACTTGCAGTTTCATATCGATGAACCTCATCTTACAAAAATGTAAAAATCTGCATTACCACAGGGAAAACTTATGGGGGTGATCATTCAGTTACAAAAGGGTTCTTATATAAAATTATTCACCACAGAGTTTCTTTAAATAGCATATTTCCTTTATGCATATAAATCTTTCATTGATCATTAGCTGCTTAAAAGAGAATGGGGGACAGAGCCTCTTAAACCTGACATGTTAAGCCACTGCTAATCGAAAATCAATCAAAAATGAAGGGAACACTTCTCTGAAATGATGATGATTCAATTTACCCACAAATCTGTGGGAATATACTAAGTTGATAAAGTAAGGTTTGACAGGAATGCTAAGTGTTTTAACATGAAAGCATAAAATACTGGTAACCTATTTTCATAATCTTATTGAAGCACTAGTTATTTTTCATGGAGAGTCTGCATATAATTTAGAAATCCTTAGTTATTTAGCTGAAATTTGAGAGGAAATTTATGGGTGAATGTATCTCTTTATATTCAAACTTTAAATGATGTGGGTCTTTTTATAGTTTCTATTTTAATGGACATCAGTCATGCAGTGCATACTCTTATTCTAAAACCTCTTTCAATATTCTACAACGTAATGTTCTTTGATAGGTTTATTTCTGATAAATTGGCATTTACTTTGCAAATTCAGGAGTAGTTCTTGTTAACATACAATACTGACTGTATTTTTATATGCTAGTAAACTTCAATCATTAAGAATGACTTAGAAAGCTTTGTGATAACAGTGTTTGTCAGGGGAAAAGCAGCATTTTTTTGTATAAAATGATATGACTATCATCAAAACCTTCATGAAGAACTTGACAGGCATAATGGTGGAAAATTATTTTCCAGGTCTCTTGTTTTTAAAAATATTATACCTGAATTTCCTCTGTTTACAAAAGAGAAATTTTTTTACTCTTATTTTTGTCTTGATGGTCATTTATAAATTCATGTGGCATAGTGTCCTTTAAATTATCATTTTCTTTAAATAAGAATAGAGATAGTTTTCTTCTGTTATAACTATGTACTTACTATATGCATTTGGCTAGACTTGATGAATTAAGTAATCTAAAATCAATAATTTCTATAATTAAAAAGTTTCATTGAAATACAAAAATTTAGTATGCATATTGAATCCTTAAAGGGGAGATGGAAATAAATTTTCTAAAATCTTATTTATCCTGTAATGAAGGCTGTATCTGCTGCCATAGTATGATACTGTAGTAAGAATATAAGCATGATCAAATAAGCATTGACATTCAAAATGCATTTCAAGAATCTTCTATATACAGTACTCTTTTACAGCATTCAAATGTCTCAAATACTAACAGCAAACATGTATTGACTACTTAATATATGCCAAGTAATCTATTAATTTTTACATGCATTATCCGATCAAATACTCACATTACCTCCATAGAAGCAGTACTATCTTGGTACCTTTTTTATTGATTAGGAAACTGAAAGCTGGTTGTTCAAGGTCACACTAGAAGTAAATGGTGGAGCTAAACTGTCACATAGGCCTGTGTGAGATTTCAACTGGGAGCCACTACTGTACACTGCCTCTTAATTATAACAACAAAAACACTAACAGTGATAATATGATGATCATGAGGATGATGATAATGGCAATAACAAGCTTTTGTAAATTTTTTATGTAAAAAACATGTAGCCATTTTGAGTCTCCATTTTCTCATCAATAAATGAAAAAGGTTTAACCGGGTGTGGTGGCTCACGCCTGTAATCCCAGCACTTTGGGAGGCCAAGGTGGGTAGATCACGAGATCAGGAGTTCAAGACCAGCCTGGCCAACATGGTGAAACCCCGTCTCTACTAAAAATACAAACTTTAGCTGGGCATGGTGGCGGATGCCTGTAATCCCAGCTACTCGGGAGGCTGAGGCAGGAGAATCCCTTGAACCCAGGAGGCGGAGGCTGCAGTGAGCCGAGATGGCGCCACTGCACTCCAGCCTGGGCAGACAGAGCAAGACTCTGTCTCAAAAAAAGGAAAAAAAAGAAAGAAAAAGGTTTGACCTGATAACTTCCAGACCCCCTCCACCTCCTAAAGTTCTTCATTTAGAATTGCAAAGATTTATACCTATATAGCTTCTTAACTGACTGATAACAAATAAAATAGTACTCTTAGTGCTGCAGCAAAAGAGTAATCTGCATAATATGTGTCAGTGTCCAGCGTGGGGACTAGACCAGGAGTTGGAAGCTTAAATGGACTCTCTGCATTGCTCTGTGACAGCACTCTTTCTTGGGCCTTTTCTTTCTTCTTCTTTCCCTTCTGGCCCTTTTGGAAAGTAAGTGAACAAGAAAACTCACTTGTCTCTGTCCCAGTTTTTAAAGACTTTAACAAGTGCTTCATTGTAAATTTGTTTAAATTCGTTATAGATGCTGGATATGAGACCTTTTTTGTCAGATACATAGTTTGCAAATACTTTCTCCCATTCTGTAGGTTGTCTGTTTACAAAGAGCTAAAAACAGAACTACCATTTGACCCAGCAATCCCATTACTGGATATATACCCAAAGGAATATAAATCCTTCTATCATAAAGACACATGAATGCATATGTTCATTGCAGCACTGTTCACAAGAACAAAGACATAGAATCAGTCTAAATGTCCATCAATAGCAGATTCGATTTTTTTAAAAAGTGGTACATATACACTACAGAATGCCATGCGGCCATAAAAAGAATGAGATCATGTCCTTTGCAGGAACATGGATGGAGCTGGAGTCCATTATCTTTAGCAAACTAATGCAGGAACAGAAAACCAAATACTGCATGTTCTCACTTATAAGTGGGAACTAAATGATGAGAACACATGGACACAAAGAGAGGAACAACACACACTGGGGCCTACCTGAGGGTGGAAGGTGGGAGGAGAGAGAGAGAGAAGAAAAAAATAACTATTGGGTACTAGCAGCTGGGTCACAAAATAATCTATACAACAAACTCCTGTGACACAAGTTTACTTATATAACAAACCTACAAATGTGCCCCTGAACCTAAAATAAAAGTTTTTTTAAAAAAGTGCTTTAACTGACTTCCAAACTTTTGGATATCATTGGCCCACTGGAACTGTTCTTACCTTCACGTCCATCTTTTTTATGGGATTGCAAACCTGTCCTAGAACTAGGGCTTGACCACTTAAAACTTTTTTTTATTTTTGGAGACAAGGTCTCGCTCTGTCACCGAGGCTGGAGCGCAGTGGCACAATCATGGCTCACTGCAGCTTCAATCACCTCGGCCCAAGTGATCCTCCTACCTCAGCCTCCCAAGTAGCTGGGACTACAGGCGCATGCCAACACACCAAGCTAATTTTTGTATATTTGTAGAGATGAGGTCTCACTATATTGACCAGGCTGATCTCAAATTCCTGAGCTCAAGGGATTTGCCTGCCTCAGCCTCCCAAAGTGCTGGGATACCAGGAGTGAGCTACCGTGACTGGCCCTGACCACTTAAAACATAAAAAGGAATTTCAACTTCTACGTAGATAGCAGTTTTTAAAGCAAACATGCAGTTGTATTTTTTTCCAAACCTATTTCTCCTCTCTGTCACCAAAAAGTGACTGAATTTGAGAATCTGAGAGAATCATGTAAGTTAGGTCATACAATGACCTCAAAATACGAATACTAGTTTCCATTTATTGATTTATCATCTGTTTAATGATATACGATAATAACTGAAATAGTGGTATGACAAGTATTCCTTTTTAGGTCAGTCACAATTTTTAGGGTGCTTTTTGGTTTCAAAAGCAAGACAGACTAAGAGAGCTGTTAAGAGTTACCACTTTCATTTACCTTGGGATGATAAATTTGGATTGAGTAGAATTGAATGCCATAGTTTAAATAATTATAATACCAGTCTTTATTTATCTTTCCATGGTTTAATTACGATGTCTATTTGTCCAAAAGGTTTAATTTATGTCTAACAGGTTTATTTCAGGCACTAGAAATATGCTGATTGGTATGTCTTTCTTAAATGGGCAAAAAGAACCACATTTTCCATAAAAAGCTTGGACTTGGGATATTATTGTTTTTCTCGTAGTAGAAAGGGAAGTTTTACGGTTTTTTAATTTGAGTTTGTTGGTGAAAATATGTCCTTTATATGCTCTATGATCCGGTAAAATCAAATCAATGGCCTTACATTTGCTTATGACAACCAGTAGCGTGAATGTAGATGAGAAAATCTGGCCGATACTGACTTTCCTATCTCTGGGAACTGTCATATTTACATCACTTGTACAACTCAGCAAAACAATAATGTTTAGACTCAACAGTATTACATGACACTTTCAGAATTCGGTATCAAATTCAACACCTAAATAATGTTGTTTCTAGGATATTTATATTAAGTATTTTCTCACCCTAGAGAGGAAACAAAAAGATTTCCCAAGTTTACTAACACAGAGTAGTAACTATTCAGAAAAGGTGTGGTCAATTATGATCTGTAATAAAATGTATGGACATTTTCCTTTGGTCTATTCCAAATCTAAAATTCTGCAACTACAGTATGGTGGAACAAGCCAAGGAGTGCTAATTAATTTCTAGTGTGACATTTTATTTTAAGTAGCCTATAGTTAAACTGGATAAAATTGCATATATTGGATAAAATGTGTATCCTTTTACTAAGATCTATGTTTAAAAATCTGAAGTTTCTTTATGTCCCCAACCATTTTCCTCCAGATGTGAATATCTGGTGAATCCTTATTACCCACTCAGATACAAAAAGTGCTTGCTTTTTAACAAGCTTAACAATGAGAATAAATTAGTAAAGAAAAATAAGAGCACGGTTGGGCAGCTTACACAGTTCAGTCTACACATTATATTCTCTTGCAGAAAATTTAGAGGTGTGTGTCCTTTGTGCTGTGAAGAACTTATTGTCAGTTAGTATTTATTGACATTCCATGTGCCCACAGTACATCACGAAATTACTGGGCACTTTATTAAGAAACATAGAATCTGGAGGAAGGTCCTAGCTGAGCATTAGGATGAGCAAGAGAAGAAAATGGATAGAGATTATAGACATTCGATTAGGTTTGTATATTTTCTCAAGGGTAGACATTTACCTAAATGGGCTAGATCTTTCAAATACGGATAAACTCAAAGAGCATCCACTTGTACTTAATGAGTGAAGAGAGAAAAAGAGGTAAAAGAGAGGAGAGAGAGGTGATTTTAGTATCAAAGAGATCTTTAAGAGTTTTATGTTATAAAGATATACTTTTATTAATTTTGTTAAAGATTAAGTAGTATTTATACTTATTACATACTTCTGGTGGGAGTTTATACAACTTCTCTGGTAAGAATTCTGAAAATATGTACTAAGAACCTTTAACAAAATTATTTCTTTTTACCCAGTATTTTTACTTTTAGGAATTTGTTCTGTTGAGATAACTATAGAGTCAGAGGGAAAGTGTATAGGTAAAGACCATCACATTATTTATAATAACAAAAATGTGAAGAATTCAAATTTCCAGCAATATATATGAAATTATATGACATTCACATCGGCCATTAAAAGGATATTTTGTGAGAATATTTAATAGGAGCAGAATGCGTTTATAATGTAGAGTGTAAGAAAAAGATTCTTCTCTCTATTTCCCCAAAATTTCTACCATTAACCTTTATAATTATTTTAAAGACAACACTGACATTTAAATAAAGTGATACACATATCTAGGTAAGTAATTAATGATAATTTTCAGTGAATTCTGAGTTGTAAAATATAATTTGTACCATTAGGTCAAGGGTAGGGTGGATTTCTACTCTTTGAAAGTCTGGTAGCGATAGAATATGCTCTCTGTCCTGGACGGTTCTGAAAGTGGGCTCCTGGCCGTAACAGGCAGGCCACATCTCTGAATGACATCCTCAGGGCTCAGGTTTAGCAAGACAATTGTGGCTGTCTTTTGATTCTCTTGACTATAGTAGCCTGAAAAAATACTCAGGCTCACCTCCCAGATTGACTTCCAGAACTGTACAGTGAAATTTCTGGGCCTTTTGCCCAAAAAAGTGCTATTCACATATTTGCTGATGCCTGAAAGTTATGTAAATGGACAGTGTTCTTTTTTTTACATTTAGAAATAACATACAGTTGCCACTTAAAATGGAAATGCCAGGTTGTGACCACGTATTGATTCAAATTCAAAGCCGACAATTTACATATTTTATATGAATTTAGTTTCCATTATATGATTTTTTCCTAAGTACTTTGCTTTTAGTGCTTTTTGCTTTCTTTCTACAATAAAAGAATTTAAATGACCACTATCAAACCCTTTCCAGTTTGAAAAGATGGAGGAATTAGAAGAACAGGACACAAGAAAATACAGAAATATAGAAAATGGGAAAGGTAGGCACGGCTAGCAAATGGCAGAGAAAATGAATTTGAAGATGAAGAGCAAATCCATGCACTTCCTGATTATATCAAAGTTCATTATTAATGAATTACATATATTTGTGAGCAAACTAGAGAATCTATGGACACACAGTTACTAGGGTTGATTGGATACGTGTGTAACTTAACTAGGATGCTCAAGTTAGGTCACCAGACATGTACAAGCTTAGCTTTGTGTAATTCCTGATGATTTTTCTTATAACGTAACTCTTACAAGAGTTTGGTTATCCCTCTGAGGTCAACTCTCAATTTGGGAACAAGTGGAGGCAAACCTCTGAATACTTGGACCGTAAAATTCTGTTGAAGGTTTTCAACAGAGTAGGTTATAAGTTCCCCATCATGGGCGCAGGCCACCCTCTTTACTCCCAACCCGTGACTCTTCACTCAGTCCCTCTTAGGATTTATATCATATTTTGAACCTGTTGAATAGGCAGTTTTGTCAAATATGGAAAGGGCAAAAATTAAATCCTTAAGAAAATGAAAAGTCCAAATACATATTTTGGAAAAAACGTATATTTTAGACACCTCATCTCAAGCCTTTTTTGTCTTTAATATTCTTTCCTATTTTCACTTACCCTTTTTGATTCACCTACTTACTAGCAATGCTAGCAAAGTAGCAAGAATACTATTAAGGTAGTTACTTCAAATCAACTGTTGCTCACAAATCCAAAGATTAAGGTTGAATTTCTCTAACTAGTAAACGACTTATCTGTACACTATGAACCAAAATCATAAAACACAACAAAATAAAAGTTGCTTAAAATAATCCACTAGTTTAGTCAGTGGTTAAAGAGACCTCATGCTCCTTTTTGAGTGACAATAAAGGATTTAAGAGTATTTTTTGAAGCATTTTAGTAACAGACATGCCCATATTTCTTCAAATGAATGTATAGTCACTTCCAATTTGCTTAAGAAATTTCCATATTTTTAATTTGCTGTGGTTAGTCTTTGTGACTTTGTTCAAGAGAAGGTAAAGCTTTAAATACAGCTTTACCAATTATTCTATTTTGTAAAACAGTGTAGTAAGAGGTAGAGAACAATCTGACTTATTACAAATTCAAGGACAGTAAAAAGAAACCCAATGGGCAACAATCAACCATAAAATTCTTTTCATTATATTGTCAAGCAAAGGCGTACAATTAATTTCATTTTTACTATGTTCATTATAGTAACTGGTACCATAAAACCCTCCATTCTCGGCCCAAAATGTTTAATAGTTTTATATAACTCCTTAGAAATACATCTTCCTATGAATTATTGAAAGATCAGTATGAGCATGGCTACTTATGGGAATTTATAAATAAAAATGTATTCATAATGTAGCAATAAGTTCTAGTGTAATTAAGGATGCCATGGCATGCATAAAGTGCATGATAAAATTTGAGTACACCTATTTGCTTCATATGTGGCACTGTTTCAATGCTATCTGTAACCTTCCATCTCAAAATAACAGCAATTATAATACTACTTGCATTTATATGACATTAATTCAAAAGGCTTGAATCAAAGAAAGATATTAACACCCTGACTTGTATAAATCCTGTATGTTCATGCTTTAAACTTAGCAAATATAAGCATTTCAAGTGCTAGAAAGCCATTGACCACAATAATTTTATAGGTGCTAAAACCATCATCATATCTTTGTGTACTATAACTTTGGGTATGTTATTAGTAAAGATTATCACATCTGTAATCTTCATTTGGAAAATGAATTTACAATTTTGATGCAAATTCTCACTCCAGGAATAAGAATAACATTAATAACTTAAGGGATGGTATACTGATTCTTTTTAGTTATATACAGTACATGCATTTTCACTCTTGTATGATTAATCTAAGAAGAAATTCCTTAACAAACATGGATATTCATTTAAATTCATATTTTTGATAACCTTTTATAATGCACCACTACAAACAAAAACTCTTCTGCCAAAGTTTATGGCATATGCCTGCATACTACATTTCAAATAAAATAAGACCTAAGAGAATATAACAGAATTGCTATGTATATATTTATAATTAAGAGGGAAATTTTTCATAATTTAGTATAACTGAATATAGCTAAATCAAACTCAAAATTTCTAGATGAACCTCTAAGATAAGTCAGAATTCTGATTCGTATATAATTGTACATTTTTTCAATACATATTTTGTCTATAGCCTTATGTCCCAAATCTGCTAGTCCCTTAACCAAAAGTCACTTGGTCATATTTTATTAATAGATTATCCAAAATATAACTAGCAAAATTTATATTATATTTGATTACACTTAAAATGTTTTTTAACCATAATGGTGACATTTATTTTAATAAATTTGAACCCTTTCCCCTAAATTTCAGAAATTGCATCTTAACCTATTAATAGATATTATAAATCAAATTGTTCCATAGTGTCTGTTTGAAAACCAATTCAAACCTTGTAAGACAGTGCTGTAATACCATCACTAAAATCATCAGCCTATCTCATTTTCCAATAACCATCTAAATAGCATGTGAGTTTTTACATCCATATGTCCAACTGGGTCCTAAGGCACGCACTGTAAGGAATGAAATGGCTAGGTATGCTAGCATTTTCTAATTCTGTTCCCTATGAATACAAATGGATTTAGCTGCGAGTATTACATCGGGTTACAATCTAGGCTTATTAACTGTCACAATGTAACGAGAGCAGCATATTAACTAGAATTAAGGAATTACTCACCCAGCTGGGTCTCCTGAATTGTCAGTTTACTTTCCATAGGATACAAAAGCTTGGGTGGCTTATCAGTCAGAGGGGCTGAAAAACAACAACAATAATAATACAGAGACTTATAGTTATGCTGCATAAAACTAAAAGATAGAATACAGTCTATTTTCCCAAATATTTTTCACTTTCAAAGTAGTGTTAAAGTGCTCTACCAAGTAACGATGAACATACTGCAGATAACACCTTCAGGCAAGCTGAAAAGCTATTAGATTGTACGTGAGTAAAATATAACACTTCCAGACTGACAGTCACATGACACTAATGAATTAGACCATCAGGATTGGTCAGTCCTTGTGAACATATAACTGTGTTTCAGAAAGCATTTTCAATTTGTTCTTTGTTTTACTTTTAATGGGATGTCCTGCATTTTTTTCTGTGTTAATTAAAGCTACACATGATATATGTGGCATGTATTACAATGATTTTTTTTGGCATAAATTTATCTCATTATTCTTAATTCCATTCCTAGTTTCCATATCCTAGATCACATCATTTCAAAATCTGCCATTTAGTTATTACATTAAGTATTTCCTACATACATAATCTAAGTGAGGTAGATATGGCATTAAATTAGTACAAGCATGCACACCCACACCAAGGGAATATTTTAAATGATATTTTCCATTTAGTCTAAACTCTTTCTATTATCCGTTACATTTTATAGTGTTTATTGCTAATTTGCATGATATACTCTCTTCGATTTTAAGCTTCTACACATTTCTGCTCTGTGCTCTCGTCAACTTCAATTATCAGCCCACAAATCTAAGAGTTTGCCATTAGAAATCTTGAAGATAGGTTTTCCATTGCATACTTCATTCCTAGCTAAACTAGACTATATCTGGACTTTAGTTAGTCAGCTCTCCTTCATCTAGCCTCCTCACTCTGCCCTGCCCTCTCTCATCGAATTGCCTAGGTCCCTTGAAACCTGTCACCGAAATTTCTACTCTGTATCAAGTATATAAATTATCATTTAAGGATTGCTAAACTAAATGTTTTTGCTTTGAGGGCTTTCTTTCTTCCTTGCCAAGAGGACATGCCAGCTTGGTTGATAACTGGAAGGCTAATCTAGGCAGAATTGCCAAGAGTTGGCCACATATACTTATCACCAGAGGGTTCAAGAATTCAAGCTTTAGCAGCTTGCCTCCTCTTCTTTTTAAAGGAAAACACATTAAGTACAAAGGAATGACATGCCCCAAGTCAGAGAATAAAAGGAATGAGTTTTGAGTTTTAGTTTGGAAGAACAACCTCATATATGATTGATAGCTTTTGTTCATAGCTCATGGAATAATTATCCATTCATCTTTATTACTATTTAACAAGAGGACAGAAATAAAGGGCAAAGGAAAGTTTGGGTAATAGGATGAGATCAATCGCTTTGAAATTCTTCTCAAAGATATGATATCACTCTGATTAATCTTTAATACTCTTATTTCCTGCCTAAAGTGATCTTAATGGATTTTATTTTTCTACTGCCTAAATAATCAGCTTATATTCACTAAATATTGGCAAAATAGTTTGCCATTAATAGGTTGGAAATCTACATTTCTTAGACTCTGGTTATCAAATGGTTTCAGTGAATTTCAAAAGCAACTATGGTATCTAAATAAGTGTTGTATTCAGTAAATTATGTCAGTTTATATAATCTTGTGACTATGTAGTTACAAGTAGACGACTTGACAGTTTTTTACAGAAAGCACCTGAGAGAACTGTTCCCTGTTCAAACGCATACCACATTAGTTTGCAGTAAGGCAAAAAATAAAGATCTACAGAGAAAGATAATAAAACCCGTATGCAGTACATTTGTTCAGAAATACAAAACGGTTTTGTGGTTCTCCATCATAACCCACCACCCACTTGACGGCATAATGTTACAACATCCTTAACATCTTTCATATTACTTTCATGTGGCAAACTAGATGTTAGTAAAGGAATTCTTTAAAGCTCAGTCATGGAATTATAGAATGTTGAAGCCAGGAAGAATTACACGGTTATTAAGTTCTTTGATTTGGAAACTGTGTTCTCTAACATGGTATGATTTTCACCATGCCCCTCTGAGTAGGTGGAGTTTGGGGGTGCCCACTGGGCTCAGTTCCCTGCCTTGTTGTGCCACCCATTCCTCTTTGACAAAATTAGTTCTGCTTTTATTTTACCTTATACATCAGTATTTCACCCAAGATGTTGACCAAACAAATCCAATTCAATTCAACTGATATATATTAAACAGAATAATGTGCCAGATATTATGATACAGGGTTTGGAATATCTTTAGTTTCTGTCCTTATACCTTACGGTGCTTTGTAGTTAAAAAACTTTAATAAAAATTTAAAAATAAATTTTAATTTAATAAAAAATATTAATAACTTAAAAAAAAACTGGACTGATTCAACTCTATTATTTTAGAGATCAAGGATCTGAGGTACAAAAAGATCAAAAGGCTTGCCAAAAATAACAGAGCAAATTCAAACTAGAATCCTTCCTAGATCTTTTCCTCCCCATTCTTTGTTATGTGCTCCTTGGAAAATTCTGTCAAGCAAATATTGCATGGGTCTGTGCAGTCTCCCCTCAAGGTGTGTGCAATCTGTTACAAGACTGGAAACATGCAACTAAATAATCATAACCTACGGCAGAGAGCTCTTGCCATGCAATCTGTCATCATCTGTAAGTGTCATGTTTTGGTATTATCATGGGTATCAGTTGGATACATTTCTCATGTGATTTGCCTGTCTTTGATAGAAGTGAAGGGAAACTTCCAGAGACCACAATGGCTGAGCCACTGATTTGACACATTGGCAAAATGACTGTGAAAAGGAGGTGACTGCTAAAGCTAAGATGTAGCTCAGTTCTACAGTCACTTGAGGGTGACCAATTTTGCTGTCACAAAGTCACAAAGGAAGAATATGAGCTGAATTTTCCATTATTTGAATGTTTCTGGAACATTATGGTATTTCATAAATATTAGTTGGATTAAATTGACAGAACACAGAACTGGAAAACAAATGCAGCTATGGTAATGGCCAATCAAGATGAACATACACACAACCACAAAAACCCTCTTTATTTTCTGCACTGGCAAAGGTGAAACTAGAAGGAAATTCAAACAAATTACAATTTTAAAAGAAACGTTCTTAGCATTAGACCATGACTAAGCCAACTGGCTTTTTATAGTTAAGAAAACAACTTGTGTTACGAAGACATTTCTCTCTTCCTTGAAAACACCTATACACACATATGCACACTCACTCACAAATGGAAATCACTTTGAAAACTAAACAAAGTGTAACAGTAATGATATGAAGCACAGGGTAATTTTAAATCCTAATCATATTTTGTCCACAAAAACCCACAGCAATTATAGTAGAGATTTTTCTCTCACTAATTTTGCATTAAACATAGCTTTGTATTCACCAACAAAAGTATTTTCAAGACCTCATTTTATTCTTCAGAACATCCTATTAACAACGGTAAAGCTCTATAGACATTTAAATAATAACAGACCTCTCTTACAGAGTTATTAATGTCTCAGTTGACAAAGCTTCTGCATAATAGAAGGAACATTTTAAGGACACTAATTTTTCTTACTAGCTACCAGTTAGAGAAACATCTAGAAGTCAGAACACATGAAGATGTGTACAGGATTGATTCCCTATCTATATTAACTTTTCCTGAGTATTCATAAAGGGATACAGCCTCTCCCTCTTTTCCCCATCCCTTTTACACTTGAGCTATGGAACGGTAAAAAGTAAAACACTATCTTCCTAAAACAAATATGACAACACCAGGGTAAAGAGGCCAAGATTCTTGAGTCTTTTTAAAGTTCTTAACGTGGAGAGAAATGTGAGGTGTCTATAATACATGTATCTTTCTCTGTTGAACAATCACGCCTTTAAAAGTTAATTTTAATCCTTCACATACTAATCCCTCAAATACTATTGAGAATATTCGATACATTTTGGATATCTATACTTATCCTACCATAAAATGTTTCTTTCAAAGTCATATATAATTTTCATAATGTATTTTAACTAGTTCCCTTCACTTTTTTTTTTTTTTTTTTTTGAGACGGAGTCTCGCTCTGTTGCCCAGGCCGGAGTGCAGTGGCGCGATCTCCGCTCACTGCAAGCTCTGCCTCCTGGGTTCATGCCATTCTCCTACCTCAGCCTCCCGAGTAGCTGGGAATACAGGTACCCGCCACCATGCCTGGCTAATTTTTTGTATTTTTAGTAGAGACGGGGTTTCACCGCGTTAGTCAGGCTGGTCTCGATCTCCTGACCTCGTGATCCGCCTGCCTCGGCCTCCCAAAGTGCTGGGATTACAGGCGTGAGCCACCGCGCCCGGCCCACTTTGTTTCTTAGAAGCATTGTGGTAGAGTAGGAAAGATTTCACACAGTTAGTGTTCAAGGAAACAGGTCTAACAGTTCCTGATTCTGCCTTATTTGTTTGGCAAGTTGGATAAATTACTTAACATCTCTTAGTCTCAGTCTTTTTATATGGAGAATGTGACATAGTCTTCCTGCATGAATTGTCGTGAGGATTTAATAGGAAAACAGATTAAGTTCCTGCATATAGTAGACGGAAAATAAATCTGTTCTAATTATATCCATCAAAGTTTGGGATAATAGCATTTAGCAGCCTATATAGCCTGACAAGAAAAATATTACTATTTGTGAAATAATGAACTGGACATCCAACCAAAGGATCAAAAGGGGTTTAGACCCTGATTTAAGAATCATTAACACTTTCCACATTAGTTTCCATAGCAGGGGGATTGATCTATACTTAACAAATCAATTCAACAAAAATATTCTAAAGACTTTTAAATATGCAAGGCAATGTACAGGACTATAAGGGGATCAAATGTAAACAAAACATAGCATTTAGTCCTGAAAGAGCTTATAATCTAGATAATTATAAATACCTCCATAATCCAATTTCAAAAGCATTTATGAAGGACCTAAAATAGTCAGTACTAATTTAGAGATAAAAGAATGAGTAAGACATAGAGTCATTCATAAGGATGTTCATAGATGAGAGCATATTTATGATGCACTGTGGCGAGTGCTATACTCAGAGATAACTTTTTGGTGACCTCATTTAAATCCACCAACTAAAACTGGTCACGAAAAATATTCACAGATTTATACAGCTGACAATAAAACATGCTTTGTGCAATTGCACTGACTCACTCCATTTTACAATAGGTTGTTTGTGCATTTTTTTTTAACTTAAAAGAATTGACAAACAACTGCCTGTGTTCACAGATAGTCAGGGGAACTTGGATCACCCATAATGCTTCAACCTCTGAATGACTCAAGAGTGGAATTTCAGTTTTGCTTTCTTTGGCCTGGAATGTTTAAACATTAGTTTCTAATATTGGAGCATACATCTTGTGAGAGCTGTAGAATGTAAACACAATCTCATGGTCCTTGCAGAAGAAGGAAATGGACAGAAGAAAACATCAACATTTACTAGGTGAATCCACTTGGGGTGAAAGGGGTGCTCTATTTTTCACTTATCTCTAATGCTTTGGGGTTGGCAACATTTCTCCTTTCTGTTGCAAATAATTGTGGTGACTAACCACGGAGTCATGGAGCCTCAGGAGCCTCAAAGAGTGAGGAGTGACTAAGCAACTGAACAGAAAGGTGCGGGGAGGTCAGTTGATGACTAAACTAACAACATATACAAGGTAACTTAAGAGTCATGCCAAGGAGACAGAACAAATACTTCCAAGGAAGTAACTCATAATATATCCATCAAAAGACATGTATTTAGGAAAGCCAAGGAATTCATTTGGCTAGCTTTGATACTTAGTATTTTGTTCATTTAATTTGATAAGTGTGGTTTGTAATTAAACTATAAAAATATTCATTTATTCATTCAAAAAATATTTTTAAAATATTTCCTCTCTACCAGGTACTAGGGGCTATAATAGTGAACAAGACAGACAAAACTTCTGCTTTCATGAAGCCTGCATTCCAGAGAAGGAGATGCAAAATAATCATATAAATTGATACACACACAATATAATGCCAGGTGATTATAAGTACTATGAAAATTAAAGCAGCTAAAGAGATAGAGACTAATGTAAATGCTATTTTAGAAAAAACTGTCAGGAAAGCTTGCTCTGATGATCATTTGGAACATATCTGTGAGAAGGGAGGAAGTGAGTCATAGCAAAACCTGGAGGATGTTTATGCCAGGCAGAGGGAAGAGCAAGTTCAAAGGTGCTGAGATGGAGTATACTTGGCATGCTTAAGAGAGGGCAAAGAATGCCACTGTATCTATAATGATGTAAAAAAAGAGTGACAATGAATTCAAAGATAGCCACTGGCCAATGCAGGAAGGGCCTTGTAGAACATG
Organism: Homo sapiens; assembly: GCF_000001405.40. Classification (NCBI taxonomy): domain Eukaryota; kingdom Metazoa; phylum Chordata; class Mammalia; order Primates; family Hominidae; genus Homo; species Homo sapiens. The sequence goes on along the minus strand of NC_000023.11, from coordinate 29,662,102 downwards.
GAAAGGACTTGGGTTTTATTTTAAGTATAAGAGGAATGCTTTGGAGAGTTTTAAAAATAAGAGAGCCCCAAGTAGCATTTGTACCAGAGGTATCACTCTGGCATTTTGGTGTTCAAGTCTGGGAGAATGAAGTGGTGTGGAGGCAGAGAGGCAGAATGGAGGCAGGAAGGCAGGGAGGAAGATGTTGAGGCAGTCCACTGAAAGGCGACGGCACAGTGTTGGTGGTGGAAGTGGTAGAATTTTTTTCCCTTAAGTATCTATTTGGTAAGTAGAACTAACAAAATTTACTGACTGACTAGATGTGAATTATAAACGAATGTTCATGAGTTAAGGGGCATGATCCCTAGTTATGAGCTTGAGCAAACACATGAATGGTGGTACCATTTAACCATATGTGGAGACAACATAAGAGAAGCAAGTTTAGGGTGGATTAATTATCCAGAGACAAGTTTTTATAAATCAGTTTAGTCACCTCTTTTTATCCATAAGGCTAATTTTACTATTCAATGTTGATTTATATTTCAAAAATGTAAGGCAGTGACTGATGACTCATCTCCTTGTGATCCCCCAAAGGGAAGTGGTCTTGGAAAGTTTCATATTTTAGGCTAATGTCATAGTCATTTATTATGAGATAAGCTCTGGCTAATCTCTACTATCCTTCACTTACTGAATAGGGAAACACTGAAAGCCTTTCCACTCAGATCTGGAACAAGACAAAGATGTCCACTTTTACCACTTGTATTCAACATAGTACTGCAAGTCTTTGTAAAAACAATTAGGCAATAGAAAGAAATACATGGCATTCAAATTTGAAAGAAAGAAGTCAAATTATCCTTACTTGCTGATGACACGATCTTATACATAGAAAAATCTAAAAACTCCACCAAAAAACTCTTAGATTTGATAAATGAATTCAGTGAAGTTGCAGGATAATAATCAACATACAAAAATTAGTAGCATTTCTATACACAAATAATTAACTAGCTCAGAAAGAAATCCCCTTTACAATAGCACAAAAAATAGAATACCTATGAATAAGTTTAACCAAGGAGATGAAAGATCTCTACAAGGAAAACTATAAAACACTGATGAAGAAAGTTGAAGAGGATGTACACAAATGAAAAGACATCCCACACTCATATCATACATTGGAAGAATTAATATCATTAAAATGACCATACTGCCCAAAGCAATTGACAGATTCATTGCAATCCCTATCAAAGTACTAATGTCATTTTTCACAGAAGTAGAAAAAAGATCCTAAAATTCATATGGAACGAAATAGAGCCCAAGGAGCCAAAGCAATCCTAATCAGAAAGAACAAAGTTGGAGGCATCACACTACTTGAGTTCAAATTGTACTACAAAGCAATAGTAACCAATACAGAATGGTACTGGCACAAAAACAAACACATACACCAATGGAACAGAATAGAGAGCCCAGAAGCAAACCCATGCACTTACAGCCAACTCATTTTTTACAAAGGCACCAGGAACATACATTGGGGAAAGGATAGTCTCTTTAATAAATGGTGTGGGAAACATGGATATTCATATTCAGAAAAGTAGATACCCATCTTTTACCATATACAAAAATAAACTCAAAATGGATTAAAGACTTAAATATAAGACTTGAAAGTATAAAACTACTAGACAAAAACATTGGGGATATGCTAGGGGACATTGCTCTGAGCAAAGATTTTTTGGTTAAGACCTCAAAAGCACAGGCAACCAATGCAAAAACAGATAATTGAGATTACATTAGGCTACAAAGCTTTTGCACAGCAAAGGAAACAGTTAACAAAGTGAAGAGACAACCTACAAAATGGAAGAAATTATCTGCAAATGATCTACCTGACAAGGTGATATGGTTTGGCTCTGCATCCCCATCCAAATCTCATGTCGAATTGTAATCCTCAATGTTGGAGGAGGGGCCTTGTGGGAGGTGACTGGATCATGGGGGCGGACTTCCCTCTTGCTGTTCTCATGATAGTGAGTGAGTTCGCAGGAGATCTGGTTGTTTAAAAGTGTGTAGCACTTCCCCCTTCGCTGTCTCTCTCCTGCTCTGCCATATGAAGATGTGCCTGCTTCTTCTTCACTTCTGCCTGATTGTGAATTCCCTGAGGCCTCCCTAGCCATGCTTCCTGCACAGCCTGCAGAACTGTGAGTCAATTAAACCTCTTTTCTTCATAAATTACCTAGTCTCAGGTAGTTCCTTATATGAATTCAAGAATGAACTAATACACACGGGATTAGTAAGTAGAATATATAAAGAGCTCAAACAACTCAACAGCAAAAATCTTCATCAGAGAAATGCAAATTAAAACCACAAATAGCTGTAATACCAGCTACTTGGGAGGCTGAGGTAGGAGAATCGCTTGAACCCGGAAGGCGGAGGTTGCAGTGAGCTGAGATCGCGCCATTGCACTCTAGCCTGGGCAACAAGAGCAAAACTCCGTTTCAAAAACAAACCAAAAACAAAAACACAAACAAAAACCACGAAGAGAAATTTCAGCCCAGCTAGAAATGCTATTTATTATCAAAAAGACAAAAAATAACAAATGTTGGAGAGGCTGCAGAGAAAAGTGAATGCCTGTACACTGTTGGTGGAAACGTAAAGTAGTACTGCCATTGTGGAAAACTCTATGGAGTTTCCTCAAAATAATAAAAAGAAAATGTGGCATATGTACACATTGGAATACTATTCAGCAATAAAATAGTATGAAAATCTGTCATTTGCAGCAAGATAGATGGAAAGTCATTATATTACGTGAAATAAGCCAGGCACGGAAAGAAAAATATCACATTTTCTCACTCATATGTGAGAGCAAAACAAGTCAATCTTATGAAGGTAGAGAATAGAATGGTTGGTCATAACAACTCTATTTCGTTCCATTGGTGTATGTGTTTGTTTTTGTGCCAGTTCCATTCTGTATTGGTTACTGTTGCTGTGTAGTACAATTTGAACTCAAGTAGTGTGATGCCTCCAACTTTGTTCTTTCTGATTAGGATTGCTTTGGCTCCTTGGGCTCCATTTCGTTCCATATGAATTTTAGGATTTTTTTTCTACTTCTGTGAAAAATGACATTAGTACTTTGATAGGGATTGCAATGAATGTGTCAATTGCTTTGGGCAGTTGAAGAGAAGTTGATTAACATGTACAAAAATATAGTTAGATAGAAGGAATAAATTCTAGTACTCTATTGTACAGCAGGAAAATTATAATTAGGAATACTTTATTGCATATATCATAATAGCTAGAAGAGAAGAATTGTAATGTTCCCACCAACATAAAGAATTGGTAAATATTTGAGATGAGGGCTATCCCCATTACCCTGATTTGATCATTACACATTGCCTACATTCATCAAAATATCACATACACCCCAAAATGTGTATAACTATGACACATCAATAAAAAGTATACACCCAAATTTATTTTTTGACTAATACAATCGGGGTCCTGCTTATCCAAGTTACTAAGAACAATTCTCCAGCACTTCCTTAGTTCACTGATGTGTGGAACATATTTAACTGGCAAATTGGATATAATCATGATTTAGTTTTTTCTCATTAAAAAATATTTATTATGAAGTAGTGTCCTAACACATGAGTTACGGAATTTACATTTCGTTGCTGTCCAACATCTTGATAAACCTCCAAGGTAAAAGAAACAATGAAAATACTCTATTCATTATTTTCGTCATAGAATTACTCAAGAATACCAAAGGAAACCGTGGTCAACATGGAGATAATGTTAAGGTTCAGGGTCTCTATTCGTTTTTCACCTTCTACATTTGTCCTTTATGCCACAGCTTTCATTGTCTTCAGCCCTGTTTGATGCACCAAGACTCACGGCAGATCCCAGAACACATTTAACCACCCACTAAACCCTGATTCTGACCAAATGAGTGGAGAAAAACATGGAGGGTAAACAAAAGAGAGTACGACTAGATGTAGAATAAATAAAGGTGGTTCAATATTTTTAAATTTCACTTTTAAAACAATTACTGCAGTAGATTTTGCATAAATGTTGTGAGGATGAATTCCAACTGATTGCATGACTAATTTCAGCCATTTTAAATAAATTTGTGTATAGTTAATGCTAAAGAAAAAATGGTGAGAAAAATGAAACAATATATAATTATTGAGATAAATGATGATGAAGCATAGGAAAAGGATGCTGATTGATGTAATAGCTATAATCAAGTAGGTGAGCATGCCAACTACTGTTTTCACTTCTATTGACAGGCAAAAAACCAAAAAAAAAAAAAAAAAACAGTCACTAATTATCTTCTAGGAACAATAGTCTATTCCAAGAAATTATGTATCCTGTGAGGGAAAGCATCTCTAGCAATGAGGCAGTATGCAAAATGATCATAGCATATCTTTTTTTCTTCTTTCTATTAGCAGATAAAAGGCCTTCATAAATGAAAAAGGATAAATCCCAAGTTATTTAGAAATGCTTATCAAAAGAAAATTTTGGAACACAAAAAAGGCACAATGTCACTGCGAAAGTCAGAACATTTTAAATAATCTGCTTGTCTCAGGATATCACAAAGACATTATATTTCTAAAGTATAGTATAATGTAATTTAATGACCTTCCAGATTATATTGAGTTGGTTTACATATGCTTGCGCTTCTGCAGAAGGTATTTACATTTCTTGGTATTCTGTTTGTGATACACAGTCCTGCATGATTACTCATTGGCATGGTTTTATGACAGTGGTTCTCAACTGAGATCGTCACAATTGGTAGGGGGTGTTACTTGACAATGGACGCTGCTAAAGATCTTACGATGCACAGGAAAGACAAACGCAAGAATTATCTGGCCCTAGATGTTAATAGTGCTCAATAATTCCGAGGTTGAAAAATTCTGCCCTATGATAACCACATATTAAAAGTGGTTTTATTACCTATATTTCAAACAGAAATGGTCAGGAAAGTTCAATTTTCTGGTAGACAGAAAGCTATTGTTAACATGGAGCTGTTGATACATAGTGGTGGAAACTGCAGCCTGGGCTGTCATAGAGTGGACCACAGCCATGAAGGAAGCCATGAAGGGTTTAGAAACCTTGTACAGGCTTAGTACCCAGAAAGATCAGGTATGATAGGGTACGGGGAAGAGATGCAAGGCCAAAATGAGAAGGACTGATGAAAATCCATATAAAGAATGAGTAACCTACTCTTTCATCTTCCAAATCCCCATATGAAGAATGACCACCACCACCATCTCTTCTCCCCACACAAACAACTGAAAATCAAGAGGTTCTTCTCTAAAAATATTCAATAAACCACCTAATGTAGAATAGCAAAGCCATTCCGGAACTTCAGAAATAATTCCAATGTATTTCCAAACATTTAGCTTATGACACAATTCACAACTGCAAAAATATGGAACTAGCCTACATACCTATCAACCAATGAGTGGATAAAGAAAATGTGGTGTATAAATATATATATATATATAAAATGAAATACCTACTCAGCCATAAAAAGGAATGAAATAATGGCATTCACAGCACCCTGGATGGAGTTGAAGACCATTATTCCAAGTGAAGTAACTCAGTAATAGAAAACCAAACATTGTACGTTCTCACTTATAAGTGGGAGCTAAGATATGAGGACACAAATGCATAAGAATGACATAATGGACTCTGGGGAGTTGGGGGAAGGATGGGAGGGGAGTGCGGGATTAAAGACTACACATTGGGTTCAGTATACACTGCTCGGGTGATGGGTGCACCAAAATCTCAGAAATCACCACTAAAGACCATACCCATGTAACCAAACACCACCTGTTCCCCCAAAACTATTGAAATAAAAAACATTTAGTTTTTGAAATATTACAGTTATTTCATAGCAACAGCTTCCTATATACTAATATACTTCAGTTAGTATGGAAGTTATTGGCAATTACTGAACATATATTTACAAAAAGAAGTTAGCCTAAAAACCATTTTTTTTGGTAACTGTCAATAAATATTTAACGGCCCTGGCCAAGGATTAAAAACAAAGTAGCCCATGCAATATATCAATCTATCATTAAATATTGACATAACACCCTCTGCTTAATTTCACTGACAAAACATTAAGTAGATGTGTTGTTGGCTAGAACTCTCAGCATAAATTTAAGGCTTATAAGATACAAGAACATAAATATAAGATCACAAGTAAGCATATGCATAGGGAAAATTAACATGTTTTGGGGTGTGTGGTTTGGGGTGTGCAGTAGGGAAAATTAACACTTATGTTTTGGGGTGTGCGGTTACGTTACTTTATTTAAAACTGTCAGTTTGCTACAAAGGAACAGACATAGAAACTTCAAAAACAAATGTCCAGTGAGGACAGAAGCCAGAATTCAAACCTACCTCTTCTAATTTTAATGGTCACATACTTCAAATATTTTCTATTTCGGTAGTTTGCTTTTTTTTTTTTTTTTTTTTTTTTGGAGACTGTCACCCACGCTGGAGTGCAGTGGCATGATCTCAGCTAACTGCAACCTCCGTCTCCCGGGTTCAAGCAATTCTCCTGCCTCAGCCTCCTGAGTAGCTGGGACTACAGGCGCCCACCACCACGCCTGGATAACTTTTGCATTTTTAGTAGAGACCTGGTTTCGCCATGTTGGCCAGGCTGGTCTCGAACTCCTGTCCTCAGGTGATCCACCCACCTCGGCCTCCAAAAGTGCTGGGATTACAGGCAAGAGTCACCAGGCCCAGCCTGTAGATTGCTTTTTCACATTTGTGTTTTCCAACATGGTTTCTACTAGACACCATATTTTTCCTGATTATGAGCAATGCTGTGGGAGGGAGGTGGGAGAAACTTATTTAGATGAAGTTTGGAAACAAGGACAGAAAGTTTTGTGTAAATTTAATGTACTTCATTAGGACTAAGCTATATTTGACAATAGTGAAACTTTTACTGTAGGATTTGAAGAGGTTTGATCTGCTTGCCTGAACAGACTAGAAGAAAGGGTCATGTCTGTTATTGGCTCTCATAAGTAGAACTCTTTAATGATTACATGACCCAATGATGACATACAATTTGAGGCTCTCATTATGATAGTGGACTGAAAAAAGGTAAGCATTCTAGAAGCCCCTTTAATGCTGTAACCAAAAAGAAAGTGAATTTTAATAAGCATGGCCTCCACTGAAATTCAAGGTTTATAAATATAAAACTATTTTTAATTTTTGTAGTAATTACATAAAATATTAGAGATGTTCTTTAGAATGACATTTTATAACAGCCCAAATCTTATAAAAAAATTCGTATTTGCATAAAATATAGGAACATAAAGTTAACCAAATAACTTTAGTACTACTACAATGCATTTCTCTAGATGAATTAAATTTCATTGGTGATCTGTGTCTTTATGGGTAATGATACTGATATGGTTTGGCTGTGTCCCCCACCAAATCTCATCTTGAATTGTAGCTCCCATAATTCCCACATGTCGTGGGAGGAGGGACCCAGTGGGAGGCAATTGAATCATGGGGGCAGGTCTTTCCCATGCTGTTCTTGTGATGGTGAATAAGTCTCACGACATCTACTGGTTTTATAAATGGGAGTTCCTCTACACAAGCTTTCTTGCCTGCTACCATGTAAGATGTTACTTTGCTTCTCCTTTGCCTTCTGCCATGATTGTGAGGCCTCCTGAGCCATTTGGAATTGTGAGTCCATTAAATCTCTTTTTCTTTATAAATTACCCAGTCTTGGGTGTGTCTTTATTAGCAGCATGAGAACAGACTAATACAAATACTATATTTTTGTATATTAATATATTCAACTTCAGCACTTGCTTTAACTTTCTTGACCTCTGTCAATGATTAGGCTGCACTGGGAGATGATAGCACAGGTTTTTTTTGATATTCTGTGCATCTAAGATAACCTCTTTACACTTGGCACCCTGAAATGCCAATATAATAGTAATATAAATATTGTGCATTAAATTGAAAAGCTACTTTAATTTGGTGGCATTACTGCTTTTAAAAAAAACCTCCAGATAATTAGCCTCTCTCACTTCCTTTCTTTTTTCCTTCTTCCTCTCATCCTCCCTCAATCCACCATTTCCTTTCATCCTTCCTTTCTTACCAAGAAGTATAGGTGAAGGCAGACTGAAAACAAACATTTTATTTATTCTATCCTGGATACAGCCAAAAAATAAATAAATAAATAAATAAATAAATAAATAAATAAATAAGAGCCCTAATTTTCCATTCATTCTTTTGTTCAACAAACAGAACACCTATAAGTTACTTGCCTAGATCATCATTACTTTTCTCTGTTTATACTAATTGTTATGATTCATTTAACTAACACTGTTGGAGGAGTCAGTTTATGCAAACAATTATTTAGCAAATAATAATCTCCCACCAGAGAAGATTTCAAGTAGCTTCAACACTCTAAAAGCTTACTAAAGAGGTCCTATGGTGATTTTCTATTGTTTCATAAAACAAGTCTATCACAAGTCATTAAAAACATGATTACTACCAAAAATAAGAGGTACAAGAAAGAAAAACATGCCTATAAGCAATAATATCAGGCACCCTTTAAATAATACTTGCTATCCAAATTTAACTATGCTGTGAATATTCTTATATTACTTTTGCTATCAGTACGTACCCAAGAGTTACTTGGCAACAAACAGAGGTTAATCATTTCAAGCATTGCAGGAAAAATCTGCAAATTTGTTCTTAGTAGCATTGAACACCACTCATGTTGTCAAAAGAAAGGAAAACAAAAACAAAAATAAAACAAAACAAAAGCCTGTTACAAACAACAACACATGCAAAATGTTAGAAATTACTAAAGCTTGGTGATAAGTACATAGGGTTTCATTATGTTATTCTCTCTACGTTTGTGAATATTATAGCTAAAATTGTCCATACTAACAAGAGTTAATTTAAAAAATATCAGTGCTATGGATATGAAGACTTTGGTAAATTTTTGAGAGGTATAAATAGTGCATACCTATACACAGTATCTACATCTACATCTGTCCATATACTGAAGTATACATTGTACAGTTAGAGCCAAGTTTATAACAAGAAATGGAATTACATGGAATTGCATCTATGCCAGCCCAAAGCAATACCATGGTCCTATTTGCCTGGCAAAATTTGTTTCTATTACAGCTCCACATTTCTTTGAATGTGATAAGTAGCAAAGACATTTTTACTTTAGGGTAGAAGAATAGAAAAGCACTAATACAATTCATCAGTGAAATACTACTGAGTTACAAAATATCCCAAATCTTAGTAGCTTAAAATAATGGTCACTTATTATTGGTCATAGGTCTCCAAGATAACTGATCAGGGCCAGGCTTGAATGATCTTTGTTTTACTCCCTTATGTATCTGTGGTTAACTGCAGGTCAAGCATGTGGCTTTGCTCATCTTGGCTGGGCTTGCTCACATTTTTTGCATTTTAACAAGCTAAGACTTTTACTCAGTAACAGCAGAACAATGGTTTGTAAGCAAGAAAGTAATGTGATCCGAATTGAATTTTTTTCATGCTCCTGTAAAGTCTGGAACTATTCTCAAGCTGCTACTAATCAAGCACACTGAACATTTTACCATTTCCCCAATTTACCACTTTCTTGGAATCATTTAGAATGCCCCTCCTTTTCTTCTAGAATGCTGTATCCCTCCTTAAATCCTAACCCATCCTTCCGTATCCCTCCTTCTTAAATCCTAACCCATCCTTCCATGACTACCACAGATGTCAACTTGTAGGTTAAACTTTACTAATTCTGGGACTCTTAAACACAATCTGTTTACCTCTGTCCCGCCTTTAAGAGGCCAGATTGTAACTTTTCCTTCTACACATTTAACTTTCCATTGAGATTGTAAACGCACTAAGAATAAATTTCTAAACTTTTATTTCCCTGGATTTTAGTGTTTTTCATAACAGGTAAAACAGAAGATATTCCAAAAAAATTTTTTGATTTGACTAGTCAAGGAAAGATTTAATTGTATTTCATGCATTCTATTTTAAAAGGCAGTAATTGTGTGCTTTTTTTCTGAAGATCTACATTAAAAACTGCCATTAAAAATAATTTTTGATGGCTAATGAGATATGCTTCAGTTACTTTAGAAAACTTATTCATCTTGAAAATACACTACAGGAATTCAGAAAAATGACTATTAATACTCTTTGAAAAGTATCTTTTCTCATTCTTTCTTTTTCAAATTAAATTGACAGATAACATTGTATGTATCTATCATGTACAACATGATATTTTGAAGTATATATCCATTGTAGAATGGTTAAATCTAACTAATCAACAAGTGCATTACCTCACGTAGTTGTCATTTTTGTGGTGAAAGCACCTAACATCCAGTCTCTGCATTTGTCAAGAATACAATGTACTGTCATCAATGATAGTCATCATGCTGCACAATAGATCACTTGAACCTATTCCTTCTATCTAACTATAATTATATATCCTTTGCCTAACATTTCCCCAACACTCCCATCCCAGCCACCCCAGCCTCTGGTATCCATCACTCAAAGTTCTACCTTTTTGAGATGAGTTTTTTAGATTCCATACGTCAGTGTGATCATGTAGTACTTGTCATATTGTGCCTGGGATCTTTCACTTAAACTTATGCCTTCCAGATTCATCTATGTTGTTGCAAATGACAAGATTTCTTATTTTTTTTTGGCTAAACAGTATTTCATTGTGTATCTATATACATTTTATTTATCCATTTATCCATTGATGGATGCTTAGGTTGATTCCATACTTTGGCTATGGTGAATAATGCTGCAATATACATAGAAGTGCATATGTTTCTGACATACTCACTTCGTTTTCTTTGGATATATACCGAGGAGTGGAATTACTGGATCATATTATGGCTCTATTTTTAATTTGTTTAAGAACCTCCATACTGTCTCCATAATGGCTGCACTAATTCACATTCTCACCAATAGTGCACAAGGGTTTCCTTTTCTCCACAATCTAACCAAAACTTATCTTTTTTTTTTTTTGACAATAGCCATTCTAATAGGAGTGAGGTGATAGCTCACTGTGGTCATGATTTGCATTTCCCTGATGATTAGTGATGGTGAACATTTTTTGACGTACCTGTTGGCTATTTGTATGTTTTCTTTTGAGAAATGTCTATACCTGTCTATTGCCCATTTTTAATGGGTTATTTGACTTTTTTCTATTGAGTTGTTTGAATTCCTTATATATTTTGTATATTAATCCCTTATCAGATGTATAGTTTGCAAATATTTTCTTTCATTCTATAGGCTGCTTTTATTCTATTGATTTTTTCTTTTGCTGTGCAGAAGCTTCTTAGTTTGATAAAATTCCATTTGTCTATTTTTTTTGCTCTTGTTGCCTCTGTTTTTGAAGTCACATCCAAAAAATCATTGCCCAAAACAGTGTCATGGAGTTTTCCCCCTATGTTCTCTTCTAATAGTTTTACACTTGTGGGTCTTACCTTTGTCTTTAATCCATTTTGAATTGATTTTTGTATAGAGTGAGATATAATAGTCTAATTTCATTTTTCTGCATGTGGCTATCCAGTTTTCCCAAAACCATTTATTGAAGAGACTGCTTTTTCCCCATTGTGTATTCTTGGCAGTTTTTGAAAAAAAAAAAATGAGTTAGCTGTAAATGTGTAGATTTATTTCTGGGCTCTTCATTCTGCTTCATTGGTCTATGTTTTTATGCCAGTATCATGCTATTTTGGTTACTATTGCATCACAGTACATTTTGAAGTCAGGTAGTGTGATGCCTCCAGCATTGTTCTTTTTGCTCAAGATTGCATTGGCTCTTTTGTGTCTTTTGCAGTTTATAAAACCTATTGGATTCTTTGTTCTATTTCTGTGGAAAGTGTCATGGGTATTTTGATAGAGATTGCATTGACTCTGTAGATCACTTTGAGTAGTATGGACATTGTAACAGTATTTATTCTTCCAGTTTGTGAATACAAATATTCTTCATTTATCTGTGTCTTCTTCAGTTTATTTCATCAAGATTCTGTAAAATGTAAAACGGCTACAGTTTTCAGTGTAGAGATGGTTTTCCCTCTTGGTTAAATGTATTCATAGGTATTTTACATTTTTGTAGCTACTAGAAATAAAGATTTTAAAATAATATTTCTTTTTCAGATAGTTTGCTGTTAGTGTATAGAAATGTTACTAATTATTATATGCTGATTTTATATCTTGCCACTTTACTGAACTTGTTTATTAGTTCTAAAGTTTTTTGGTGGACTCTTCAGGGTTTTCTATATATATAAGATCATGTCTCTGCAAACATGAAAAGTTTAGTATCTTCCTTTTCCATTTGGATACCCTTTATTTCTTTCCCTTGCCTAATTGCTCTGGCTAGGATTTCTAGTACTATGTTGAATAGAAGTAGTGAAAGTGGACATCCATATCTTGTTCCAGATCTTTGAGGAAAAGCTTACAACTTTTCCCCATTCAGCATGATGTTAGCTGTAGGTTTGTCACATATGGTCTTTATGGTCATGAGGTGCACTGTTTCTATACCTAATTTCTATACCTAATTTGTTGAGAGTTTTTATCTTGAAAGGATACTGAATTTTATTAAATGCTTTTTCTGCAACTATTGAAATGATTATGTGGTCTTTATCCTTCCTTCTGTTAATGTGATGTATCATGTTTATTGATTTGTGTATGCGAACTATCCTTGTATCCATTTGATGAATCTCAATTGATCATGTAAATAATATCTTTATGTGTTGTTGAATTTGGTTTTCTCCTATTTTGTTGAGAATTTTTGCATGTGTAAACATCAAGGAAATTGGCCTGTAGTTTTCTGTTGTTGTTGTGTCCTTATCTGTTTTTGGTATCAGTGTAATGCTGGCCTCACAGAATGATTTAGGAGGTATTCCCTCCTCTCCAATTTTTTGTAATAGCTTGAGAAGAATTGGTATTACTTCCTTAAATATTTGGTAGAATTCAGCAGTAAAGCCTGGGCTTCTATTTGATGGGAGACTTTCTATTACTGATTCAATTTTCTTGTTATTGGTCTGTTCAGGTTTTCTATTTCTTCATAATTCAATGTTGGTAGGTTGTATTTGTCCAGGAATATATTCATTTCTCCTAGATTATCTAATTTGTTGGCATATAATTGTTCATAATACTCTCTTATGATCCTTTGCATTTCTTCAGTCTAGGTTGTAATGTCTCTTTCTTCATCTCTGATTTTATTTATTTGAATATTCTCTCTTCTTAATCTAGTTAAAGGTTTGTTGATTTTGTCTTCAAAAAGCCTTTGCTTCATTCATCTCTTGTATTGTTTTTCTGATCTCCATTTTACTCTTTTCTGCTCTGATCTTTATTATTCCCTTCCTTCTACTAATTTTGGGTTGAGTTTCTACTTGTTTTTCTAGTTCCTTGCAGTGCAACCTTAGGCTATTTAAGATTTTTCTCTTTTTTGATATAGGCATTTATTGTTATAAACTTTCCTATTAGAACTCCTTTTGCTATATCTCATAGCTTTTGGTATGTTGTATTTCCATTTTTATTTGTCTTAAAAAATTTAAATTTTCCTTTTAACTTCTTTATTGATCAATTGCTTGTTCAGGGGCATGTTGTTTAATTTTCATGCATTTGTGAATTTTCCAAAGTTCCTCCTGTTATTTATTCCTAGTTTTATACCATCATGGTCTGAAAAGATACTTGATATTACTTCAGTCTTCTAAAGCTGGATAACACCTGTTTTGTGGTCTAACATGGGACCCATCCTGAATCATGCTCCATGGGCAGTTGAGAAGGATCTGTATTCTGCATCCGTTGGATGGAATGTTCTGTATATGTCTGTTAGGTCCACTTGGTCTAGAGTACAGTTTCAATTCAATGATTTTTCTGTTTGGATAATCTTTCCATTGCTGAAAGTGGGTTGTTGAATGCCCCTACTGTTACTGTATTGCAGTCTTTCTCTCCTTTCAGATCTATTACTATTTTCTTTGTATATTTAGGTGCTCCAATGTGATGTACATATATGTCTATAATCATTACATCCTCTTGCTGAATTGGCCCCTTTATCATTATATAATGACTTTGTCTCTTTTCATAGCTTTTGACTTAAAGTCTATTTTATCTGATTTAAGTATAGCTACTCCTATTGTTTTTTATTTCTATTTACATGCAATATCTTTTTCATACTTTCACTTTCAGTCTCTGTGTGTCCTTACCAGTAAAGTGAATTTTTTTATAGGTACCATATAGAAGAGTCTTGTTTTTTAATCCATTCAGCCACTCTATATCTTTGACTGGATAATTTAATCAATTTAATTCACAGTAGTTACTGATAGGTAAGGACTTACTACTGCCATTATTTTCACTGTTTTCGAGCTGTTTTGTAAATGCTTTTAAAATTTATTTCTCTTTTACTGTCTACCTTTGTGGTTAAGTGATTTGCTTTAGTACTATGGTTTGATTCCTTGCTTTTTACATTTAGTGTATCTATTATAAGTTTTTTGCTTTGTGGTTACCATGAGGCTTACAAAAACATTTTATAAGTTATTTTAAATTGATAACAATTTAACTTCGACCACACACAAAAAAATTGTTCACTTTAACTCCACACACACTCATATTTTGAATTTTTGATGTCACAATTTACATCTTTTTATATTACATGTACCATAATAAGTTAGTGTAGTTATTATTTTTAGTATTTTTATATTTTAACCTTCTTACTAAAGATATAAGGAATTTACACGCCATCATTACCGTATTAGAGTATTTTTTTTTTTTTTTTTTTGAGGCAGAGTCTCACTCTGTCACCAGGCTGGAGTGCAGTGGCATGATCTCGCTCACTGCAACCTCCGCTTCCCATGTTCAAGCAATTCTCCTGCCTCAGCCTCCCAAGTAGCTGGGACTACAGTCGCGTGCCACCACGCCCAGCTACTTTTTGTATTTTCGGTAGAGACGAGGTTTCGCCATGTTGGCCTGGCTGGTCTTGAACTCCTGACCTCAGGTGATCCACCCACCTCAGCCTCCCAAAGTGCTGGGATTACAGGTGTGAGCCACCACGCTCGGCCTAGAGTATTCTTAATTTGACTTTGTACTTACTTGTACCAGTGAGTTTTATACCTTCAAATGTTTTTGTGTTACTCACTAGCATTCTTTTCTTTCAGCTTGAAGAAGTTCCTTTGGCATTTCTTGTAAGACAGGTCTGGTGGTGAAGAACTCCCTTGACTTTTGTTTGCCTGGGAAGTCTTTATCTCTCCTTCATTTCTGAAGGACAGCTTTTCTTGGTACGGTATTTTTGGTGGGCATGTTTTTCCTTAATCACTTTGAAAATATCCCACTCTCTTCTGGTCTGTAAGGTTTCTGCTGAGAAATGTGCTGCTACTGCTAAGTGTACTGAAACTCCCTTTATTTTCTTTTTTTTTTTCTTGCTGTGTATATAATCTTCTCTTTGTCTTTGATCTTTAACAGTTAATTATAATATGACTTGGCTTTTATTTAAATCTGATTAGACTGAATCTGATTGGAGACCTTTGACCTTCCTGTAACTGGATATTTATATCTTTCTGCAGATTTGACAGTTTTCTGCTTTTCTTTCTTTAAATAAGCTTTCTATAGCTTTATATTCCTTTGTTTCCTCTTAAATGTCAGTGACTCATAATTTGCTTTTTCTTTTTGATACTATCCCCAAAGTAAGCTTTCTTCATTCCATTTTATTCTTTTTTCTTTTTCTCATCTTACCGTATATTTTCAAATAAGTTGTTCTCAAGTGACAGATTCTTCTTCTTGATGAATACTTTTGTTGATTCTCTCTGTTGCATTTATTATTTCATTCCTTATATCTTTCAGTTCCAGGGTTTCTGTTGAATATTTTATTATTATCATTTCAATTTTGCTGTTAAATTTATTGTACTGGTCACTTATTGTTTTACTCCTTGAAATTTATTATTTCTCTTTATTTTCTTGACATTTGTAGATCTCCCTTAAAGGAGGTATTTTGAATTTTCTGTTATGTAGTTCATATATCTCCATCTCTTTAAGGTCAGTCAATGGCACCTTATTTTGTCTATTTTATGATGTCATGTTTTCCTAATTATTTTTGGTCCTTGTAGTCATGAATCAATGTCTGTGCACTGAACAAGTAGGCCCTTCACAATCTGGTTTTGTCTGAAAACATCTTTCAGCAGTAAGCCTGTCCAGACATTTTGAAAAGGTTGTCCGGTATGGTTCCTATGCCCTTGAGCACTACAGTCATTGCAGTGCTAGGGAATTCCCTAAGCCCTAGACCACTGCAAATTATGCTGTACTAAGATTGGATTTGCGGCTGCTGAGCTTGGCATAGGGCTAGAATCCTATGGTCACCAATGTTGGTGCAGCATTGGAGTGTGCCTAAAGCCCGTGGCCACTGAGGCTAGCACAGCCCTGGGGCATGCCTGAAACCCACAGCCACTAAGGCCTGCCTATCACTGTGGGTTATTCACAGCTCAAGGCCACTGTAGTCAGCTGGCCACAATGCAGACCAAAACTTGATTCCATTTCATAGGGGCTACAGGCTCCTCTCGGGTGCCAAGTTGGTTCTAAAGGCTCCGTACATAGGTTTTAGCCTGGAGTCAGTGGTCATGGAATTCTGACTGATGCTAGATTTCATTGTAGCAGGCAAAGTCTTATGCTTACTTCCCTCTCTTTCCCCCAAGCAGACAGAATCTCTTTCCATGCTATGCTTACTGGGTTTGTGGAGGGGTGACAGAGGTAATAAAACTGTTTTTCTTGCCCTCTTTGATGCGTCTTTTCTTAGCATTACACTATAACCTAGTGCTTTGATTGCTCACCTGATTTCCTTAGCCCTGGTGAAGATGTTTTCATGCATGGATAGTTGTTCAAATTAAAGTTTCTTCAGGGAGACAATGGCTGGAGAGTCCTATTCTGATATCCTACTCCACCCTCCACCCCACTGAAAAATATTAGGTACCAGTTATTTGTATGTTTACAAGATAAATTTGTCATCCTTCTTTAAGAAATTTATGAACAAGAGTTAGTTTATTCAGTTATTTCACTCATCTCTGGGGAAAATATCTAATTGTTTTACTTCTCTTTTTGTCTAGTTATAATGTGAAGATAATCATTCACATAATCAACAATATGTAAAAACTGCCAGTGATTAGCCTAGCATTTGAGCTGGTGCCATAGGGCAAGACCAAATAAGATACTACACACAAGCAATTTACACTCTGATTGAATAGGCATGACCAAGAATTCAACAACATACGACAGAGGCTGGGCGTGGTGGCTCTTGCCTGTAATCACTGCATTTATGGAAGCCAAGGCAGAAGGATTGCTTGAGGTCAGCAGTTTGAGACCAGCCTGGCTGCCATGGTGAAATCCCATCTCTACTAAAAATACAAAAATTAGCCAGGCAAGGTGGCGCATGCCTGTAGTCCCAGCTACTCAGGAGGCTGAGGCAGGAGAATCACTTGAACATGGGAGGCGGAGGTTGCAGTGAACCGAGATCATGCCACGGCACTCCAGCCTGGTTGACAGAGTGAGCACGTGTCTCAAAAACAAAAACAAAAGAAAACAAAACAAAAAAAAAAACACATGATAGACAATGTTTAATAAAAAGATTAGCCATGTAGTCCTGGATATGGGTGATTTCACAGTTCTTAGTTAAAAGATAGAACAGATAGGATATAAATCAGAGGGCGAAATTCACGAATGAGGGACATGTATAGGTGCAGAAGACAATGTATCTGTTTGCCCAGGAAGGACCAAGACTTCTGGTCCACCATGCTCTTCCTCACACACTTGACAAAGAATTAATTCTTTTGTTGGTTTCCACTATGACACAGGAAGTAAGATGGTAGCAAAAAGAAAACAGGATTTGGAAATCAATAAGCCAAGCAAGCAATCTACAAAGCTGTTTTACTGTGTTTCAACTGTGTCTCAAGTGAGTACAAGGTTAATGGAGAACAGATTCCTTCATTAGATACCTTTAATAGACTTCTTTGTCTTCTTTATTTGCAATGGAAAGAACAAAGACTTTAGAGTCAGGAAGTCCTAGCTTAAAACCTTACTCTACTTCATTACAAAATTGTTTTATGAAAATTGCTTCACATATTTGAAGCTCAGATTCCTCATTTATGAGATAGGTATTAAACATATATATCTTGAAAAAATATATCTTGAAGTCCTGTTGTGACGTTTAAGTGAAATACCTAGTTAAGGTGGCGGGTATTACGCCTGACACACACAAAAAAATGTGTTCCATAAATGCTAGTGTACATTAATACTAATATTAAAGATTTCAATGCCTCCATAAGTAAGGCTAAAATGTACCTGAGAAGAAAGGTGGGATGGGCCATTCCAGAAAGAGGGAGCAGCATGAATAAAGAAACAGAGGTTGACTTGGTGTATTTTGAGGGCAGAGGTTAATGAGGCAGTGGAACACACTGGATCAGAGTCTCCTTGAGAAATACGATCAAATAGGCATCTCCACAACCATTGTATCATAAGAACTAACAAACAGAGGAATCATGAAGTGGAGGCCAGGTACTAATTATCTCTTAGGAGTAATTTATGAATATGCAATATGTTATCTAACTTGCTTTTCCTCATTGTAAATCGACGTTAGGTTGTAAATTTTGACTTACAGATGTACAGACTCCAGAATACTCTTGCTTGGATTAAAAAGTGCTATAAACAATAGCTAATTCCACAATGATTAACCTAGCATGAAAGCACTGCCAAACACAGCTTTCACCTCATCAATGACTGGCAGATCATCTAAGATGGAGAAGTGGGTGATAAACACCATATGGTCTATAGGACCCAAATGCAAATTATTAGATTGCTCCAGGCCCCATTAGAAGAACAACACAGACACCAGAATTCACCTAAACCCAATACAGTAAGACATACAAGTGTGACTTTGAAGCCATTTTCAGGCAACAGCACTGTCATTTGCCACATCGTCAAACAAAAAGAAGACAACAAGAGAAAAAGCGTACATAGCTAGCATCAGCCAGCTAATATCCAACAATGTTAGCCACATTAAAAAATGAGGTTTCCTTTGATGCCTTTATTCTCAAGTTAGTGATATATTAATTTAATTTCTGCCTGCTGGTACCACTGTGGGTTGTTAACACCTCAAATTAATATTTGTCGAGTCTGATAAATTGCTGAATTGTGCTTATTTTTCATCTTTGGTTCCTAATAGTTTATATAGTTTAGAGTTTAAATTCCAGCTGCACTGTGGTTACCTTATTGGAAGGAAGATCTAGAACATTTCCATGACTGCACAGATAGTTTAGTTAGGCAGTACTGGACTAGACTAACTCTCAACATTTCTCATGCCGTAGCACATAATGGAAATTATAATTTTTGTAGAGCACCCTGGAATACACAATCTTGTGGTTAGAAATGATTGGTCTAGAGCCTCCAGCTGCCCCTGAGAGCTTACAGGAATCATTGTCTGAGCACATTTGAAATCCATGTGGAGTACAGTCATGTGCCACTGCACATCCGTTGGGAAGCTATGCCTTAGTTGATATCCAATCCAATACTATTAGAGAAGGCAAGTGGCTTATTCTCTGGAAAAACAATTGCTAATCAGGTTTGGATTTCTAATGAAAAGGACAGGTAATTATAACACTGAGGAGATTTGAAAAAAGTTAAAACCCAAATGAACAGACATTATTGAGTGTATACCACAGGCAAGGCTTTTGCTGAGTATTATGACAAACACTAATATTGAATTTCGTGGTCCCTCTTCCTCTCAAAGAACTAGAAAACTCATGGAAAACAGAACAAAACTATCCCTCTCACTTCTGAAATCTCACTAAATCGTAAAAGAGAACGTTAGAAATATTAGCGCAGGGCTTTAATACAAAATAAGAGTAAGATGCCTCACTTCTCACTCATTGAAATATAAGACAAGGAGGAAAAGGAAACATGAATTATTTGGGGGAGACACAGAAGATGAGTTGCAAACATTACGGTTATCCTGAAAGTGGATAAAAGCAAATGGCAAGTCTAAGAAATTGTTAGACTTAACATGTTTGTGAACTTTCAAGTTTCTCTCCAAGATGTAGGAAATGCCTTTTCTTTATAGTGATTTTCAGATCACTAAAAACATCTGTTCTACCCAGACACTGTCACTATGGCACCAAGTGCTAGAGACCACACAAAGACTGGAGGGTGCAGCAAGATGTGCTTTTCACAATCTCAGTTTCCAGAATCATGTGTTTCATGGACTATTTAAGTCAGAGATGGAGACATGAGCTCCATGAGACCCTGGATTTTGAAAGATTTTTCCACTGAAGAGCTAAAGATATTGCAGAGGTAATTTCATTAAAATAAAATGTTCAGGGATTCTAAGCACAGTTTTACAGCTGGTGGAGATAGAGATAGAAAGAAGAGTCAGGTGAATGTTTGCACTTTCCACAGATGCTTATCAAAGCCCTTTGTGCACTAGGCACTGTTCTTGGTGCTGGAGAACTGGCAGTGAACGAAACAAAGCCTTCACTCAGTGGGAAAAGACATCAGGATTATAAAGTCCATTAAGAAAATATAGCAGAATAAGAGACCATTGGGAGCAGTGCTATATTTTATAAAGGCTGGTGAGGAAAGATCTTACTGACAAGGAGATATGGCCTTTGAGTGGGCATGGGCTTTAAATGAAAAGAGGAACCAGGCCATGTAAACACCTGGGAGAAGAGCATTCCAGTCATAGAGATGATCAAGTTCAAAGGCACTTAGGTGGAAACTATTCGAAGAGAAATGAAAAGGCCATTGAATACGCAGGTGAATGAGTTAAGGAAATCGGCTAAGGAAATAACAGAAGGATAAGCAAACAAGTATGAGACAGTCTGATCGCTTATGGTTTTACAGATGTGGTTTGAACCTTGGGATTGAAATTCACTAGTGATTTCCTTTGTTTGTTTGTTTGTTTGTTTGTTTGTTTGTTTATTTTGAGACAGGGTCTCACTCTGTTGCCCAGGCTGGAGCGCAGTGGCGCGATCGTGACTCACTGTAGCCTTGATCTCCTGGGTTCAGCTGATGCTTCCACCTCAGCCTCCAAATTAGCTGGGACTACAGATGCGTACCACCATGCCTAGCTAATTTTTAATTTTTTTTTTTTTAAGAGATGGGGTTCTCACTTTGTGACCCAGGCTCATCTCAAAATCCTGTGCTCAAGCAATCCTCCTGCCTTGGCCTCCCAAAGTGCTGGAATTACAGGTGTGAGCCACTGCATCTGGCCGCTGGTGATTTCTAAGCAGAAGATAATGTAATGTAATTTGTGTTTAAGGATTCCCTTTTACTGCCATGAGAAAGTACACTATTGGGAAAAGGAAGCAGGTTGACATGTTAGGAGGCAATTACAATCGTCCAGATGAGATTTGTCATTGGTTTGGATTAAGACAGCAGCAGTAGAGAGGTGTTCATGTACTGAATCCACTTTCAAGGTGGATACCTTGGGATGTGGGATACAAAGTAAGGGAGGGGTCAAGGATGATCACAAGGCTTTGGCTGGAGCAACCACAAGAATGGAGTTGCCATTTACTCCTGTGGGAAGATGGTGGGATGATAAGTTGGGTCATATATGGGTGGACAGATCAGAAATTTGGTTTTGCTTATGTTAAATTTCAGATACCTCATAGACATCAAAGCAGTGCTATTTAATAGGCAGCCGGATCTATGAGTCTGGGATGCAGGGATGACATCAGGGCCACAGACATAAATTTGGGAGTCATTAGCATTGCAGAGAGTATTTAAAGCCATGGGCTGAATGAGATCACTGTGGAGTGAGGGCCCCACTCTGGGATTGAACCTCCCTCCTCTCAGATGCTGACAAAGACACAAAC
This sequence comes from Homo sapiens, assembly GCF_000001405.40. Lineage (NCBI taxonomy): Eukaryota > Metazoa > Chordata > Mammalia > Primates > Hominidae > Homo > Homo sapiens. The sequence continues at coordinate 29,640,278 of NC_000023.11, read as the reverse complement.
AAATCAGAGAAATAGCAGTGATTACTGTTCAGCTGCCATACTACAATGCCAGGCAGCTGTGGTGCCCCTGGGTAAACACCCAAAGTAGCTAGTACTTAGCATTTTTTCAAAGTATTTCAGGAATCAATCTTTCTGACAGCCGTGGAAATGCACAGCAAGGCAGCCTTCCACATGAGTAAAAATGATGTGTGTGTTATCTTGTAGCATGACACCAACCTCCGTAACACCAGCTGTAGCCACAGTGATGTCTCTTCAGCTTCATTTCTTTTCATTCAACAGCTGGACTAGCGATCAAGAGAGGACCAAAAAGATGCCAGGGGCTGAGCATAATTTCCAAAACCTTTCTGATAAAAAATGCTTCTGGCTCAGAAGAGCCTGCAAAATACCAGGCCACCTATAATATACTTCCTGCCTTAAGACCCTGGCCACCCGCTGATGCATATCTAATACTCTGGGTATAAGGTATTTGATTTTTAGCCAGATGAACTGTCTTTAAAGGTTAGCTTTGACAACATGCGCAAGTAACTGACCAGCCAGTCCCTGTGGTATTGTGGACGTAAAATGAATGAAATAATCTTGCTTTTCTGCTCATCTGTAGGTGCTTGTGACTTTCTTCATGATTCCAAGTTAGTAAGTGTTCCCCAAGGCTGTTCCTGCCCTTCTTAACTACAGAATCATCAAAGCCATGCACAGATTGTGTATTCAGGCTTTAAAAAAAAAAAAAAAAAAAAAACTTTTAATTATGATGAAAAGACCACTCTGAAAAGTCAGTGCTATCATCAGCACATCTTTTGTATGTATGTGTGGAAGGGTACCTGAAACCAACTGTTTCAAAGTGCCAGGATAACTAGTCAGGTCTAACTGTGAAACACCACACTATGCATAGATTCCAGCCATCACTGGAATCAACCAGCTAAGAGAACACACTTTGTGCAAAATATTGTCTCAAAGGAAAGCTGGATAACAATCTAAGAGGACAATTAGAGCCAGGCATGTCTAGTCCTAAGTCTGAAACAGCAGAGAAAACTGGAAACAAACAAACAAAAAAAACAAATCTAAAAATTTTTTTAAAACCTGTTTTTTTTTTTTTTTTGAGACGGAGTCTCGCTTTGTCGCCCATGCTGGAGTGCAATGGCCCGATCTCGGCTCACTGCAAGCTCCGCCTCCTGGGTTCACGCCATTCTCCTGCCTCAGCCTACCGAGTAGCTGGGACTACAGGCGCCCACCACCACGCCCAGCTAATGTTTCGTATTTTTAGTAGAGACGGGGTTTCACCCTGTTAGCCAGGATGGTCTCGATCTCCTGACCTTGTGATCTACCCGTCTCAGCCTCCCAAAGTGCTGGGATTACAGGCGTGAGCCACCGCGCCTGGCCTTAAAACCTGTTCTTAAAAATATATTTCACTTTCAAGAACAAGGAAATCCTGTTAGTGTAAGTAGCGGGCAAAGAAGACATTTTAAAAGCTAGCATTAAAACCTAAATATAGCATTTATGTATGTATGAGCAAGCATAATTTTTTGATGTCCTCAGTTACTAACAGTTCTTTTGATAAAAGATAACTCGACATAGCACATTCAATAAGTTCACATTAGAGCCAAATGAATTCACATATGTATTTGTATATCCACCATATGTATTTGCAAAAGTATTCATTTGCAAGTTGGGCATTGTTCAACTGAACAAACTCTGATAACTGTCAAGGAATAAAAGCATATGTTTTATTTATGAGAATGGAAAAACAAAAGCCATGAAACTTGAAATTAAAAAAAATAAACTCAAAGCAAATGCCATACTGTATTCAAGTTTTGCTTAACAACTAGTCTTTAAATGAGCAGCAAGTAACTGACATTCTACTATGGACCCAGAAGGTGTTTACTAAATGTTAATTGCTGAGGCAGGAGAATCGCTTGAACCCGGGAGGCGGGGGTTGCAGTGAGCCGAGATTGTGCCACTGCACTCCAGCCTACGCGATGGAGTGAAACTCCATCTCAAAAAAAAAAAAAAAAAAAAGTTAATTGGTGTTGACAGCAGATGTTAACATTACTAGAGTGACAAATGGAGGTGAGGTGGCACAATGGAGTAACCAAGAAAAATGTCACCGTTCATTCAGCAGTCTAGAGCTCAGCATTAGGACAAATAACAGATATATATGAGACAGGAGAAATCAAAACAATTCCCTTTGATCACCAAGCTAGCCTACATTTGGTTCAGCAATTAGATTGTCTGGTGTATCTCCAATATGCTAGGACCATGTATATTATTACAAAGCACTATATTTTCTAAGTATTCATTCTAAAAGTATGTCAATAGAAACATAACATAGGTGTAAAACAAACATAGGTCCGCTGTGTGAAGAAAAGCATGAAAAAATGAAAAATTTAACATTTTTCTAGAGTTGCCTAAAAAGAGCAAGTGTTTCTATGTACACCATTCTATTCCTTTGCTATTGTGTTTAATAAAATCTTATTGGGTATTTACTATGCAACAGATATCTGATCAGGTGCTGTGGAGAGATACAAAAGGGGATGAGATACTGCTTTTTCAATTAAGCTTTTCCAATGTAATGGGAGAGATAAACTCCATAGGCAGAAAGCTTAATTCTTATGAGAGCTATAGTGTTAGAGGCATACAGAGGACACACAGAGATGTTTGGCTTAAAGAGATCAAGGAAAGCTTTGTGAAAGAGGATTTATTTTGTTTTTACTTTGAGAAAAAAAATCACTATACAAAAAAATTTAAAACATACATATATACCTTCTCCAATTCATATATATCAACTTTAAAATCTGT